>NC_000001.11:89553835-90803835 GCF_000001405.40 Homo sapiens
TCTTGAACTCTCTCCAATGAATTCTTTCTGATGCTTTCAAATTAATTTTCTTGATATATAATAGTATGTCCCTAAATGTATTTTTCTGTCATTCCCTTGCTCAGATACCACCAGTGACTTCCTACTGCTTATATCAAGCCTAAATTCCTCTCTCCTTGTAAAAAGATTTGAATATTCTAAAAGTGACATATTTACCCCCTAAAGCAATAATTTCTCAGGTGCCTGTTATGTTCTGGGCCTGAGTTAAATCTTGAAAATTTTTTAGTGTGGAATTTGAGACTTAATTAGCATTTGATCCTAATCACCTTTCTACTCTTAGCCCCATCATTTCTGTCTCATAAATTCCACTCCATCTATGCATCTGCTCACTAATTCATTAAATTGACCTTGGCTTTCTTTTGCCTTCTTTATTTGTTGTTCCATTCCTCCACATAAAATATTATGTGCCCTGTTATTAACCAACCCCTTTTACCCCTTATTCCTTCACCCCCTAACTATATAAATCTTACGCATCTTTCTTGGTCCAACTCATAAACCCTGTACAGTGACTATTGTTCTTCTAGCATGTATTACTTTAAGATGTAACTGTATAATTCATTTGTTTGATCTTTCTTGTACTTATGCCTTCTTTCACCAATGCATAAGCTCCTTTTGAGATTTAGGTCTGAGTGTGACACCTTTCGATTGCCTTCATTACCTGGGCCAGTTCTTTGCACCCAGCAGAAACTTCATCATGATTGTCGAGTACACCTAGTGTCAGAGCATGTGCAAGATGTAATATTTCCACTTGCTGTTGGTGACACAAGTTGGTGTTACATAAGGCCTTCTTCATTTCTACCTTTCTTCAACTGAGAGTCACAAAGTTGTTGCCTTCCTTAAATGGATAAGACTCTCCACACAATAAAAACAGATGGTATTGTCAAATATAAATAGGTAAATATTATTTTTTGTGCATGGATGAGAGAGAAAAGACAGGAAAAAAACTACACTTGTAGTTTTCTTGGCACAGTCTTTTTGCCCTTCAAATTTGGTTGCTAAGAAATAACCATAGATTCATCTGCTGTGTATAAAGGAGAAACTTAGAGACTCTGTGTGTTGTGCAGCTGATTTTGTCACTCAGCTATGACAGAGCCCCACCCTGATTTAGAAGTCATGTGTCAAACTTCCAGATGGGGAGTATATCTTTTGTCTCCTGGAAAACCATTGAAACTCTGTTTCCAGAGGGCCCATGTTTCTCCTCTTTGCTAAGACCAAGTGAAGCTGCAGAATCCTGCTGAGTTATGAAGCCCGAAGCCAGCCTAATGTGGAGAAATGACCTGTCACCTTTTTTGGAATGTAGGCATTCTATGTGATTCATATTAGTTATTTGTGCGTTATTTTAGAAGAACCTTACTCTATCACTTCAGAGTGCCCAGAGCTGCCCTAACTTATTCTGAATGCTATGGCTGAGCTAAATTCGTCTTCTCTGCTGATGGGGCTCAAATGGAGTCTTTAGTCTCTGCTAAAGGATTCAGGAAGCCTTTCATGTCATGTAGAATTTGGGATGTAAATTGAAGGTAAGAAGGTATGAAGATTGTAAGATATTTTTGCAGTTTTTGCTTCCAAACAAGGAGGTCTAATTAAAACTCTTGTATCTGTTCAATTAATATTTAGTAGCAGCTTCTACAAGCTAAGCCCTGGGGTGCATTGATAAGCATGATACATGTAGACCAGACCTCAGAGAGAAATAAACCTTTAATCAAACAATTACTTATAGGTTTGTGATAAATGTTATGAATGGAAGGGATAGAGAACTACAGGAGCATGTTGTGAAGTGACCTGTCATCATGTCAAGGAGGTGTCCCTTAGGAAATAACTTTCTTAGTCATTGACTCAGGGCATCAGTGACTTAAACGACTGCCTTGTTTTGGCCTTGAAAGCAAGCTTGACCTTTTAAGTGAACTATCTGGCACTGTTTGAAATTGCATCAGCCAGTTGGAATAAGAATTCGCTCTCCTGTGAGACTTTTCTTATACAGCATCATGTTATGTGTGTAATAAAGTCATATTTGGCCTTTGCCCCCATGTCACATCACAGAGCCCCATTCCTGATAAGAGTGTCCTTTGTTATTCATAGCGAGCCCCTGTTAACCATACCTAAGTTTGTTCTAATGTGGTAACTCACTGTAGGCACCTGGGTAGCTTCAGGATGGGGCCTGGTCACCAGAGGATCTAACCATGTGATTCCAGCATTGGAACTTTTACGCCCACCATCAACTTCTGGAAAGGGGAGAGGGACTGGAGATTTTCAGTCACTAACGGCCAATGTTATTTAATCAATGATGCCTACATAATGAAATTTTCATAAAAACCCCTAAACAATGGAGTTCAGGTAGCTTCCAGGTTGGTGAACACATCGAAGTGCTGGGAGGGTGGTGAGGTTGGAAAGAGCAGAGAAGCTCCATCCTCCCACTGCCCTCAAATACCTTGCCTTTTACATCTCTTCCATTTGGCTGTTCCTGAGTTGTATCCTTTATAATAAATCAATAAAGGTAAGTAAAGTGTTTTCCTGAGTTCTATGAGTTACTCTAGTAAATTATCAAATTTGAAGAGAGCGTTATGGGAACCCCCAAATTTATAGTCAAGTCAAACAGAAGTACAGGCAGCCTGGATTCCTGGGACTTGTGATTGAGTTTGAAGCAGAGGCAGTCTTGTAGAATGGAGCCCTTAAACCTGTGGAGTCTGATGCTAACTCTGAGTAGTTAATGTCAGAATAGGATTGAATTTTAGGACACCCAGTTGGTGTTACAGGGAGTGATATCAGAAAAAAAGACATCTCACTCTGCATTTACCCTAAATGTAAACCAGACATTCTCCCTCTCCAGCTGAGGAGCAAATGGCAACCAGTGATTTTGACTACCAGCAGCCATTAACCAAGTTACAAATATGAAGCATTAATTTAACACCAAGGTAAAAATGGACATTTTACCTGAATCATAAGTGACATAAGAGCTTGCTCTTTCAAAACAGACTGGTTTCTTTCTGAATGCTCTTGCCCAATGCTTCATTCCCCACACCTTCCTCCATGGAAAATAGGAGCTGGAACAGATAAGCAGTGTTGGCTGACTGGAATCTTTTAAAAAGCCTTCTCTGGGTTGGGCAGTTAGGCGTGTGCACTCCATTGGCACAGTGAGCCAGAGATTGTGCGCATTCTGTTTTTGTCTTTTTCCAAATCCCCAGTTGACAGACATTAAGGGATCCATTATCATTCCATTATTGCAAGGCAGATTTGGAGAAGAATTTTCTACTGAGATGGTTGTTTTGTCACAGTGAAACAAATGAGTGACATTCTATGTTTGGGCCACATAGTTCTTCTGAACCCCTGGGCCTCAATGCCTTTTTTGAAGCGTTCTTTTTGACTTCACAGTAGGACCCAAATATGATGAAATGTCAATGTCTTTGCAACACTTGCTATTTTGTTTCCCTGGAACCACAGTGGCATAAATAAAGCTCACTTCCTGGGTTGTTTTTTTCAAAGATACCATCCCAAGGCCAAAAGCATCCTCTTTTTAAATCACTTTGCTAGTAAAAGAATTAGGTTTCTTTATAAGAGTTCTCTTTTGCATCTGTTTGCTACTGCAATGATTTCAGAGTGCTTCCATGATATTTATTTTACCACTAATATCAATTCTTGAGCCAGTGTGATTATCTGTATTTTAAAGCTGAGGAGATGGAGGCCTGTATTTAGTGAGTGATTTAAGCCCATGCAGATGATGGTGGAGGCAGGCCTGGGACTCAGTCCAGTGTTCATTTTCCACACTGCTGCCATGGAAAACCAGCCCCTGCTTCTCACTCTCACTAGTGCGAGGAGCGGAGAAACAAAATGAGACTGTACTCAGTCAGCAGCAGATACATAAAAGTTTCCTAATTTTTATTTATATGTTTTTCCTAATTTTTATTTATGTGTTTTTATGTTGTGTGTTCCCCTGCTACGGCTTGGGGAACATTGAAATTAGGAAATTTATACTTACCTAAAACAGCTCTAGAACATTTACACAGTAACAGATCAGCAAGTAGAGCAATTACTCTAACATGTGCAGGGTTGACTCTCACAGCAGTGACTGCTGCTGACCAGTAAGTCAAGAAAACTTCTGTAAAAATGCCTAGTATCTGTAAGCATAGACACCAGTGAAGTATAGATAGAAATAAAGCCAGAGACTTAAAAAAAAATCCCTTGCCATCACAGCAGGGTTCCAAACTGATTGGAATCCATGAGACAGGCAGCATGATAAAGCAAGAGGTGGCCATAGCTAACTGTGAGGCTGAGTGAGTGCCCACAGCGAGTCACAGGGTGAAGCATCCTGTTGTCATGTTTGCACTGTTGTCAAGTGATCAGTGATCACTGTGATCACAGAATTCATAATCCAGTCTGCCCTGCATTTTGGGGTCAAACTTAGCACTCCTGGGAAGGAAACAGCAAGAGCCAATAAAACAGAAAGCAAGAGAAGCTGGAGATCACCACTCTTTCCCCTCACTTCCCATTGGCAAGCCTCCCCAACCCTCCCTGAGACATCACTTTGTCTTTATAATAACAAAGCAACAAGTCAAGAGGTGACATGTTTTAGAAAGAGCTCTCTGACTGCAGTATGGAAATGGGACTAAGGAGGGCAAGAAAGGAGGCAATTTCAGAGTCGTCCAGCCCAAAGATGACATGGGCCCCATCCAAGACAGTGGTAGCAAGATTGTAGAAGGGGCTAGTTTAAGAGACCATTGGATTTGAGGGAATAGAGGAAGAGAAAGTTTCTGGGTTAGGTGCCTGCCTTAGTCTGTTTGTGCTGCTGTAACAAAACACCTAAAACTGGGTAATTTATAAGTAACGTAAATGTATTCCTCACAGCTCTGGAGACTGGAAGGTCCAAGATCAAGATACTACAGATTTGATTTCTGGACGTTGAACATGGTGTAGGAGTAGAAAAGCAACAGGGACGGAAGGAGAGAACTTACCCCTTCAAGCCCTTTTATAAGGCACTAAATCCCATCATTGAGGGCAGAGTCCTCATAGCCTAATCACCTCCTAAATGCTCCATTTCTTAATATTGTTGCACTGAGGATTAAGCTTCAACATGAATTCTGAAGAGGACACAAACATCCAAACCATAGCAGTCAATGCCTTAGCCCTTGATGTTGCTATCAACCTGAGATTCGGGGATCAAGGAAGGACAGGTATGATATCTAGGTGTGGGAGGAAACGGTAGATGCAGTTTGGGACATGCTGTTTGAGTTGCTTCCACACATCTCGGTATATAGCCAGGAAGATGTTGGGGAGATGATTCTGCAGCTTGGGGTTAGGGAGCTGGGCTCACCATATACACAGAGGTGGCGGATGAAACCTTAAGCATAATGCTCAGGATGTCACCCGAGCATAGCATATGTGTGAGTAGAGAAGCTACAGGCCCAAGACTGAACCCCAATGCTTAAGGGATAAGCTAGTATTAGGAACCTTCCATGGTCCTAATACCTTTTTATCTTCAGTTAAAATTAGTACTTCCTGCCGGGTGCGGTGGCTCATGCCTGTAATCCCAGCACTTTGGGAGGCCGAGGTGGGACAATTGCTTGTGTCCAGGAGTTTCAGCAACATTGTGAGACTCTGTCTCTACAAAAAAATTAAAAAATAGCTGGGTATGGTGGCGTGTGCCTGTAGTCCCAGCTACTCGGGAGGCTAAGGTGGGGTGCATTGAGCCATGACCGCAACACTGCACTCAGCTAAATGACAGAGTGAGACCCTGTCTCAAAAAAAAAAAAATATATATATATATACACACACACACACACACACACATATATGTACACACATACACACACCCACACACATTTTTGTGTATATGTGAGGCAGAGTGAGTGTCCATAGCAAGCCACATGGTGAAGCATCCTACTTATTTGTAAACATATAAATAAATTTTAAAAATTAATACTTCCATTATATGCTTGGCTTGATGACCTTTTCTTGCTATAACCAATTTTTAGTCGCTTTTTCAAAGAGACCAGTTTATGAGTTGACAATTGTAGACATTGTACTCCTTTTCTAAGGAAACCTACACCATTGTTTTTCCTGGTGTTCTAACTTTTAAACCCCTTCTCAATCCTCACCACTCCAGAGGAGTCTTTCAGACTAGATATTCCCTAGCTCCAATCACAGTTAATAAACTCATAGCATTGTGGGAAACTGGAAGTAGAGACTCTATCAATCATTTGTTCTCTCTAACATTACATGTAAGGAAAATTAGATTACGTGAGATGACAAGGCCAACATTATGCCGTCAGTAAGATGTAAAGTGAGGAGTAGAACGTGGGTTTCCTAACACCTAGTTGGGTATTCATTTGATCAGGTCATGCTGCCTTGTAGTGTTGATCCTTCCCTATATCTCAGTAATGGTTACTTTCCTTGATTTGAACATCTAATCACATTACTACATTCCCCTCATCCACCAATATAGTTCTGTGCAGAGGCAGAGCAGCTGTTTCTCTATTATTAACTCATATATAAGGCTTTAATATATCTATCTCATTTGGTATATCTTTTTTTTTTTAATACTTTAAGTTTTAGGGTAAATGTGCACATTGTGCAGGTTAGTTACATATGTATACATGTGCCATGCTGGTGTGCTGCACCCACTAACTCGTCATCTAGCATTAGGTATATCTCCCAATGCTATCCCTCCCCCCTTCCCCCACCCCACCACAGTCCCCAGAGTGTGATATTCCCCTTCCTGTGTCCATGTGATCTCATTGTTCAATTCCCACCTATGAGTGAGAATATGTGGTGTTTGGTTTTTTGATCTTGCGATAGTTTACTGAGAATGATGATTTCCAATTTCATCCATGTCCCTACAAAGGACATGAACTCATCATTTTTTATGGCTGCATAGTATTCCATGGTGTATATGTGCCACATTTTCTTAATCCAGTCTATCATTGTTGGACATTTGGCTTGGTTCCAAGTCTTTGCTATTGTGAATAATGCCGCAATAAACATACGTGTGCATGTGTCTTTATAGCAGCATGATTTATAGTCATTTGAGTATATACCCAGTAATGGGATGGCTGGGTCAAATGGTAATTCTAGTTCTAGATCCCTGAGGAATCGCCACACTGACTTCCACAATGGTTGAACTAGTTTACAGTCCCACCAACAGTGTAAAAGTGTTCCTATTTCTCCACATCCTCTCCAGCACCTGTTGTTTCCTGACTTTTTAATGATCGCCATTCTAACTGGTGTGAGATGGTATCTCATAGTGGTTTTGATTTGCATTTCTCTGATGGCCAGTGATGATGAGCATTTTTTCATGTGTTTTTTGGCTGCATAAAGGTCTTCTTTTGAGAAGTGTCTGTTCATGTCCTTCGCCCACTTTTTGATGGGGTTGTTTGTTTTTTTCTTGTAAATTTGTTTGAGTTCACTGTAGATTCTGGATATTAGCCCTTTGTCAGATGAGTAGGTTGCGAAAATTTTCTCCCATGTTGTAGGTTGCCTGTTCACTCTGATGGTAGTTTCTTTTGCTGTGCAGAAGCTCTTTAGTTTAATTAGATCCCATTTGTCAATTTTGTCTTTTGTTGCCATTGCTTTTGGTGTTTTAGACATGAAGTCCTTGCCCATGCCTATGTCCTGAATGGTAATGCCTAGGTTTTCTTCTAGGGTTTTTATGGTTTTAGGTCTAACGTTTAAATCTTTAATCCATCTTGAATTGATTTTTGTATAAGGTGTAAGGAAGGGATCCAGTTTCAGCTTCCTACATATGGCTAGCCAGTTTTCCCAGCACCATTTATTAAATAGGGAATCCTTTCCCCATTGCTTGTTTTTCTCAGGTTTGTCAAAGATCAGATAGTTGTAGGTATGCGGCGTTATTTCTGAGGGCTCTGTTCTGTTCCATTGATCTATATCTCTGTTTTGGTACCAGTACCATGCTGTTTTGGTTACTGTAGCCTTGTAGTATAGTTTGAAGTCAGGTAGTGTGATTCCTCCAGCTTTGTTCTTTTGGCTTAGGATTGACTTGGCAATGCGGGCTCTTTTTTGGTTCCATATGAACTTTATCTTTTAATATGTTTGTCTCCTTTTATATGCCTTTATCCACTCGTGCTTTAGGTGAGCAGTTCGACCCCACATATCCAGAGACTATGGAAGTAACAAGGCAATCATGCAAAAATGAGTTTATTACGAAAGTCTCAGGGATATGTGGATGGATGGATGGATTGATCTATTTATTTCACATAGGCACCCAGTAAGTGTGTCTGCTATCACTAAGGCCAAGGATTGCTATTACTGTCTTATAACCACCTCCCAAAACACACACACACACACACACACACACACACACCCTCTGCATTACCACCACCCATCCTCCCACTTTCTTATCTTTTCCTTTTCTTCCCTGCCTTTACCTACCCTATTATTGCCGTCCTTGATGCCTTCTGGTGGATTGACCTCTTAACAGAAGATTAACAGGAGGATCAAATACTTTGCATATCCATTAAATTATTAGTGAATTTTGTAAACATGTGGGAGCTTCAATTGTTATTTTAGGAAAAAAAATCTCCCATATTCAGTTACCTTGATAGTCACCAGAAGATTTTTTAAATTTCTTAACTTCATATATTGCTATTTATCCTTTTTTTTTTCTTTCCGAGACTTGGTCTCACTCTGTCACCCAGGCTGGAGCTCAGTGGTGTGCAGTCTCGGCTCACTGCAGCCTCGACCTCCTGAACTCAAGCAGTCCTGTCTCATCCCCCTGAGTAGCTGGGAGTACAGGCAGGCGCCACTATGCCCAGCTAATTTTTAAATTTGTTGTAGAGACATGATCTTGCCTTGTTGCCCAAGCTAGTCTCAAACTCCTGGGCTCAAGTATCTTCCCATCTTGAGCTCCTAAAGTGCTGGGATTACAGGCATGAGCCACCTTGCCTGACCATATTGCTATTTAGTAAAGAAGACCTAAACATTTTCTAGACAAATTTGGGGGATCACATTCTCTCTCCCACCCAAATCAGGATGTTTTCCCACCCAGGGAAGGATGTACCCTTCCTCTGGCTATCTAGCATGTCAACCTTAAGTATTTAGCAGGCAGGCAGGATGGAAGAATTCAAAGTAACAAACAAAATTGATAATTAAATATTTAGTAGTTATTATGGTAACCTATGAATTATGAACAAAGCAAATTCAACACATTAAAATTATATTTTTTGTGTTGGTATGTTTTCTAGTATATTGAGACCAACAATATATTTAATTTGTGTAACTCATTTATATTCATTTTAAAGCAATAAGAACAGTTTTCCTGTTTTACATGAGTATAGATTTTTTGTGGTTTTATATATATATATGTAACAAAATTTACTTTTTAAACTATTTTAAGTAATTTTTCCTTTTTTAAGTATTTTAACTATTTTTAATTCTGTGGCATTAAGTTCATTTATATTGTTGTACAACCATGATTATAGATTTTAAGTCGTGACCCTCTGCTTGGGTGACAGTCATATCAGACCTGTCTGCAGCATAAATCTTGACTGGGATTATAGACATTGCATCAAAAAGTAGAGGTTACCGGCACAGGTTAACTTTTTAAAAACATTGCATCAAGGTATATTAAAGGCTTCACAACACTTTGCCTTCCTTATGGGCCACACAATAAATTATTAAGGAAAGTTACATTTCTTTTCACGACACTTTCTAGTAATGAGTCTTGTGATATATGGTGAGAACTGGCATGGAAATCACAACTTAGGTGGAAAACCAAACCTCCTAATATGTAATCTGGTATTTGTTTATAGGATCATACTTTAAAGGCAACCTTTAAAGGATTAATTTTAGATAAAGTTACTACTATGTTAATAAATAATCATGTTTAGTGCTTACATTGTACCTGCTGCTGTGCTAAGCATTTGAATTGTAGTTGTCTCAATTAATTCTTAAAACAACTCCATTAGGTTGAAACCATTATTATGGTTATTATCCCTATTTTACAGATGAGAAAAGGGATACTCAGCTTATCTAAGATCAAGCAGATGGTAAACAACAAAGTCAAAACTCAATCTTAACTATTCTGCTTCCTTCCCTTCCAAGTCTCTCACATTTTCATCAGTTTTAGGATAAGAACTAGGCCTAACAAAGTAACACATTGAAAACATGTGATACTCCTTTTTAAAGTCTTTCAAAAAGAAGGTCATATATGGGTAATATGGTTTTGATTTATTTTAACCACATTGTAATCGGTATGTCTGGAAGAAAAGCCATGTAAAACACTGTTATTTAACTACAGATTAAACTTGAGTTATTCATCTTGTTATTAAATTGTTGGTAAATGTTTCTTCATAAGAGGCTGTGCAAGCAGGATGTACCCTTGCTCTGGCTATCTATCATGTCGACTTTAATTATTTAATAGGCAGCCAGGGTGGAGGAAGCACTTGTTGGTTCTGTTTCACTAGATGGAATACTGAGCAATGAGCTAGGAAAACAAAATAGATCTCATTTTTAAATTGTCTCTTTTAGTTTTTCTAAAAGATAGATTGTAGCTTTGAAAAAAGGAGAGAGCTGTCACATTCTATATAAAACTCCTTTTTATATAGCTCCTTGGAGAGGCTGTGTAGCAGATGGCTCTTAGTCAGCTCTGTTGTGAATGCTGGGTCTGCTTATGAACTTGAGCAAGTTTGTTTCTCTGAACCTCAACTTTTTCACGTTTAGAGTTGGCTAATAATATCTACTTCACCAGGTACACAGTAAGTGTTATCCTTCCCCTAACTCTATCACTCCTTTCCATTCAACAGATAATTATTGAGACTGTTAGTGTCAGGTTCTTCCTGCACACCCGACTCTTCTGAGAGCTCAAAGGCTGAGGCAGGAAGGCATCAAATCAGATATTGGTGATACAGTTTAATGGAAGCATAATAGAACTATCAGTATTCCCTAAATGCTAAAGAAGCATGAAGGACTAACTACTTGTTTAGGGGGACAAGTAGGGTAGCAGTGTTTGTTTTAAACATCTTTTGTGTTTAATAGTCACTTAAATACTGAACATTAAATGTTTGTATTTGGTGGTCAGAAATTAGCTCAAGCACTAGGCTGATTTGCAGTGCATGACAATTTGATTTTGTCTTTGGGTTAAGAGTGTGTTATAGCAGATGTAGCATTATTTACGGTGATCATTATCAGACGTTATTGGTTTTATGAGACTAAAGCTATCTAAGGACGTGCAATATTGTCAGCTCAATCATAGCTCACAGCATTGTGGAATTAGAACATTTATGAAGCACCTAATATGTGGTAGGCTCTCAGGAGACTAGAAAGGTCTTTGCCCTCCAGAGTTCAGGACAAGTGGGCACAGAATGGTTTGATGTGCAGCATGCTTGTTTGGATGATACCTTGATAATCCCATTGGTACCAGTATAGTTCTTGTTGCATTATACTAAGGTTAACTTGTGGAAAAGGGAATGATTGTGAAATCATAATTTGATAAGATATTAAGGTCATTTTGGAATGCTGTGGCATTTATCCAGTGTCCAACACTGATTCAAAATGACTCTCAGTCATTATAATGCACCAGTCATGCTGAATTTGACAGCAGTTCCCCATTCAGATTTGTAAAACATCCCATTTGGTGAGTAAGTTGGCAAATATAAATTTTTCTCCTTTCTCCCTGAAGGATGAAGACTTAGCCTCTGCTTCTGAATTTCTGCCCCTGCCATGGGGTGATGGAAATGCCTGAGGCTCTGTCGCTGTCATTTGCTTTGCCACCCTTCCATACCCACCATGTGTTTGCACCAGTGGTGTTCACAGATCTTTCTGAAAGCCAGGCCTTCTCCTCTGTACCCTTGGTTCCTAAATGGGTGGTGAAACCTGATCTGCTGTCCTTCATTTACTCAACAATGATTTACTAAATATTCATGGCACAGAGAGGGACAAGACTGACACGGGAGTGGGCTCATCACCGATCACTCTGAGCTCTGGGCAGGCTAAGGATTTGATGCCACTTCACACTGGTATTCACTAAATATTTGTTCGCCGTGTTTTTAAGTGGAGTAGTGAAGCACTGTATCGAAAAAGAGTAGCAAAAGAGCCCTCTGGGTCCGCCTTTTGCCAGTTTCTGACCCGAAGGAAATAGACTCATGATATTTTCTTCCATCCACATTCAATACCATCCTTGAGAAAGGTTCAGTAGGTACTATTTTTGTTTAATCTAGTTAAGTTTCCAGAGATCTAAATACCCCATTGATGAATCCATACGTAGTAGCTGCTATAATATATAGGACCTTAAGCTAACCCATGAAAGAGACATTGGGATACATCCTGGGATGCCAATAAATGAGATACTGCCCCAGCCCTCAAAGAATCGCAGGCAATAGCTTCACATATATTAATAAACAATGTAAAAGAAATATTAGTAAATGACTTCCTGGAACGCAGATGAAGGAGCAACAAATTCAGCCTGTGCTGGTCTGGATGGCTCATAGAGGTGATTCCACTTGATCCAGAATGGGACAGATGATGCAGTGGGATGTTCTTTTTTTAAATCCATCTGTTATTTATGATTTTGAATTTTTCAAACTGATGAAATGGGAGACTTTAATTTTACATAGTAAAGCCTTAAACTTATACAATTGCCCGAGGCAGGGTGAATGAGTATGATATTCCAGTGATTCCTGCCATAGCTGTCCTGCCAAACAAGATCCCAGTGACTATGCCTTTAACCCAGTTCAAGTCCTTTGACCAGAGATTCTTGATATCTTGCTAGATCTTTCCTAAGATTTAACTATCCCTACAAGACAAATATACCCAAATGGAAAACCAGGCTCAAATTCCAAAATTGTATAATAGTTCTTTGTGCACTACAAAAAAGTTTGTTTTGTCAAATCCACCATCTCTCCTGACAAGAAAGAAACAAGAACATCAAGAGTAAGATCCTTTGGGGCTTTTTGTTTTTCTATCAGAAAGCTGATTGCTGCTGTGTTGTTCCTTAATCCTCAGTCACTTGGGAGCCGTTCCTTATATGTCCTTGGTTGGGAGCCTTCCTTTCAGGAGGAAGCTCTTATTTGAGAAAGAAGAGAATTCTCAGTGTTACACTTATCTCCAAATCTTCCAGAATACCCTTTTATTTTTAGGTTATCTTGGAATTGACTTTTTAAGTTAAAATACACCCGTCTTGTGTCCTTCCTCTGGAGAGAGAATGTTTTTGAAGGGGTAGATTAGCTAGTTGTGTAACACTCATTAGCATAGCAAACTGGTGGACGTGCTGACGCAGGCCGCCTGCCTCAGCAGCTGGGTCGGTCAGAATTGCTTTAACAATCTTTGTCCTCTTTTTATCCTGCCTAATATGGACTATTTATGCTATTCTAAGAAGCATTGTCATTTAGTATTTCTCATTTCATTCTTCCAACTTGGTACTTTTATGTTTTGCTAAGGAGGAAGAAAGGTGATAAGTTTAGTTACAGTTTCTAAAATTGGTTTGAATGATTTGGTTTTATCCTGAATAAAGAAACTCCGCTATATTTTGTTATTTACTTTACTTGACAGCAGTGGCTTCACCCTAAGATGACAAATTGTCATTATGAGAGAGCTGTCATTTATATCTTCTCAGCAAAATACTCCTCTGGTTTAGGTAAATGTTAAATAGGAGAGAGGAATGAAATGCATTAGTAAATATGCTGAAAAATGTTCAATTCAACTCAAAGAAATGCCAAATAAAGCAACAATAAGATCATTTTTCACATATGGATTAGCAATTTTTTTAAATAATGATTTTTAAATCTGGTGAGGTGCTACTCATACATTGTTGACAGGAAAGAAAATTGGTATAAACTTTCTGAGAAATAATTTGATGCTGTATATCAGAGGGCTCAAAATGTTTATGCTCTTTTGACCTAATTCCTTCATTTTTGAAGTATATGCAAAAAAAACATATGAAGAGTACTGAGATGTTTACAACATTATTAGTAATAAAAAAAGGAAAATTGAAAATTTAGTAGGGGAATGACTTCATAAACTAGGACATATCCATGTGTGAACTATATGTTTCCATCAAAAATGATGCTTAAAGAAACTTCATAGCAGTATCAAAAAAGCCTGTGATATATAAGTGGCAAAAAAAGGTCTCAGTATTGTGCCATTGAATTTTACAATGGCATAATTGTATAAAACGAGTAGGTCAGCAAAAATTAAAAACTGGACAAAGAAAACTGTCCCAAATGTTAAGTCTTTCACGTTTCCCCTATTTAAGAAGCATAGATACTTTCAGTTTGTTTTTCCGTCTTACATTTGTAAAATCAGTGGTACTCATATATAATGCTATCTTATTCTCCATTAAAAATTCAATGTTTATGTTTTGTGCCTTATAAGCTACTGTTGTGATGAAGTAAAATGTGTAGTTTGTGACAGTGATTTGTTTCTCTCCCTAGGTAATAGTTAACCTCTTCTGTGAGAAGTCAGAAGGTGATCTCTTTAATGCTTTCTTTTTAAGTAAGTTATCTTTTGTATGTTTCATAAAATTATTACATATGTTGGAAATTTTAGAACCATATCAGTGGATAAATTATCTTGCAGTCCTATGATGCGTAAAATATAATAATATGCTTGTGATTTCTCCTTAGGAATTTTTCAAATTGAGACTAATTGCAGAGGTTCCAGTTGACCAGCATTCATAGGGTAAGATTAACATCCTGAATTGTAAACACATGGTAAAGATAATTACAATTAAGTTGGTAGCTTGGGGCAAATAAATACTGAATACTTAGTATGTAAAAGAGATTACTGTTCTTACAGATGTTTTGAGTAAAATCTTTCTGAGGTTTTTAAACTAGTTAATAAACAGAAAATTACATCTGTATACCTTTTAGTAAAAATGTCATCTTCCTACTTTTTGTGGATTTTGTATGCAGGAAAATATATGTGTATATGATATTTGTCATTTTTTAACAGTAAAATCTAAGGAATATAATAAATGGCCATGGCAGACTTGGAGTCCATGTCTGTATTTTTCTGATTTTTGTTTAAGGTAGGATTTTTAATGCTACCATGGATTTGGTTTTAATGCTACCATAGATTTGGTTTGCATACTTCTATTAAGTAAAAGATGGCCATACTTTCTTTGAGTAGGCAAGCCAGAAATAAACAAGCCCTATACTCTGTTGCTTTCTGCAAACATCATTCTTCTTTTGTAATTGCAGAAGATTAATTTTAAGTTAGATTGTAGCAGTGCTTTTAGCTTTGACACAATGAATGAAGAATTTGTACACTGTATTAAATAGCACAACTCTCTGATGTTCTGAATACAGCTTAAAAGTGTCACCCAGCTCTGAACATATAGTCTAGGTGAATCAGTGGTGAAGACAGGGGGTCTGTCACCTACTACATTCTAAACATCCTTTTTTTACAGATGAAGGTGAAGATCCTTTGACTTCTTAGGTATATTCACATTTCCATTCTGACTCTTTGAGTTAACTATAAATTTTTTTTAATTTTATAATTTCAACTTTTATTTTAGATTTGGATATACATGATCAGATTTGTTATAAGGGTATATTGCATGACACTGATGTTGGGAGTAAGGATGATCCTGTCACCCAGGTAGTGAGCATAGTGTACAATAGGAAAACTTTCAGCCCTTGCCTCCCTCCCTTCCTTTCTGCTTTTGGAGTCCCCAGTGTCTGTTGTTCCCATCTTTATATCTATGTGTACCCAATGCTTTGCTCCCACTTATAAGTGAAAAAATGTATTTAGTTTTCTGTTTCCGCTTTAGCTCACATAGGCTAAGGGCCTCCAGCTTCATCCAGGTTGCTGCAAAGAACATGATTTCATTATTTTTTATGGCTATGTAGTATTCCATGGTGTATACGTATCATATTTTCTATGTTTTTCTTTATCTTTTTTTTAACTTTTAAGTTCGGAGGTACATGTGCAAGTTTGCTACATAGGTATATTTGTGTCATGGGGGTTTGTGGTACATATTATTTTATCAACCAGGGATTAAGCTGAGTTCCCATTAGTTATTTTCCCTGGTCCTCTTTCTTCTCCCACCCTCCACCCTTTGATAGGCCCCAGTATGTGTTGTTACCCTCTATGTGTCCATGTGTTCTCATCATTTAGCCCCTACTTATAAGTAAGAACATGTGGCTTGCAGAACATTTGGTTTTCTGTTCCTGCATTAGTTTGCTAAGGATAATGGCCTCTAGCTCCATCCATGTCCCTTCAAAGGACATGATACCATTCTTTTTTATGGCTGCATGGTATTCCATGGTGTATATGTACCACATTTTCTTTATCCAGTCTATCACTGATGGGCATTTAGGTTGATTCCATGTCTTTGCTATTGTGAATAATGCTGCAATGAATATACACATGCATGTGCCTTTATAATAAAATGATTTATATGCCTTTGGGTATGTGCCCAGTAATGCGATGGCTGGGTTGAATGGCGTTTCTGTCTTTAGGTCTTTGAGGTATTGCCACATTGTCTTCTACAATGGTTGAACTAATTTACACTCTCACCAACAGTGTATAAGCATTCCTTTTTCTCCACAACCTCGCCAGCATCTCTTTTTTGACTTTTTAATAGTATCCTTTCTGGCTGGTGTGAGATGGTGTCTCATTGTGGTTTTGATTTGCATTTCTCTAATGATCAGTGATGCTGATCATTTTTTCATATGCTTCTTGGCCATGTGTATGTCTTCTTTTGAGTAATGTCTGTTCATGTCCTTTGCCCACTTTTTTATGGGGTTGTTTTTTCTTGTAAATTTGTTTAAGTTCCTTAAGATGCTGGATATTAGACCTTAGTCAGATGCATAGTTTGCAAAATTTTTTTCGCATTCTGTAGGTTGTCTGTTTACTCTGTTGATAGCTTCTTTTGCTGTGCAGAAGCTCTTTAGTTTAATTAGATCCATTTGTCAATTTTTGCTTTTGTTCCAATTGCTTTTGGCATCTTCATTATGAAATCTTTGCCCATGCTTATTGTCCTGAATGGTATTGCCTAGGTTGTCTTCCAGGGTTTTTATAATTTGGGGTTTTTATAATTTGGCCTTTAATCCATTTTGAGTTCGTTTTTGTATATGGTGTGAGGAAGGGGTCCAGTTTTAATCTTCTGTATATGGCTAGCCAGTTATCCGAGCACCATTTATCAAATAGGGAATCCTTTTCCCATTGCTTGTTTCTGTGTTGTTGAAGATCAGATAGTTGTAGGTATGCAGTCTTATTTCTGGGTTCTCTATTCTGTGCCATTGGTCTATGTGTCCGCTTTGTACCAGTACCATGCTATTTTTGGTTATTGTAGCCCTGTAGTATAGTTTGAAGTTTAGCAATGTGATGCCTCCAGCTTTGTTCCTTTTGCTTAGCATTGCCTTGGCTGTGCAGGTTCTTTTTTTGGTTCCATGTGAGTTTTAAAATAGTTTTTTCTAGTTCTGTGAAGAATTTCAATGGTAGTTTAATAGGAATAGCATTGAATCTATACATATATTGCTTTGAGCAATATGGACATTTTTAATGATACAGATTCTTCTTATCCATGACCATGGAATGTTTTTCCATTTCTTTTGTGTCATCTCCAATTTCTTTGAGCAATGGTTTGTAGTTCTCCCTAGTTATCTGTATTCCTAGGTATTTTATTCTTTTTGTGCCAGTTGTAAATGGGAGTTTGTCCCTGATTTGGCTCTCAACGTGACTGTTGTTGGTGTATAGGAATGCTAGTGATTTTCATACATTGATTTCGTATCTGGAGACTTTGCTGAAGTTACCAGCTTAAGAAGCTTTTGGGCTGAGACTGTGGGGTTTTCTAGATATAAAACCACGACATCACAAACAGGGATACTTTGATTTCCTCTTTTCCTATTTGGGTGCACTTTCTTTCTCTTGCCTGATTGCCCGGCAAAGACTTCAATACTATGTTGAACAGGAGTGGTGAGAGAGGGGATTATTGTTGTGTGCTGGTTTTCTTTCTTTCTTTTTTTTTTCTTTTTTGCTAAGGAATGTTTTACTTCCAATTATGTGATCAATTTTAGAGTTTGTACCATGTGGCAATGGCATTGAGAAGAATGTATATTCTGTTGTTTTGGTTGGATAGTTCTGTAGATATCTATCAGGTCCATTTGATTCAGTGCTGAGTTTAGGTCCTGAATATCTTTGTCAATTTTCTGTCTCAATGATCTGTCTAATATTGTCAGTGGGGTGTTAAAGTCTCCTACTATTTTTGATTGGGAGTCTAAGTCTCTTTAAGGTCTCTAAGAACTTGCTTTATGAATCTGGGTGTTCCTATGCTTATGAAGCTTCATTTGGCCAGATATGAAATTCTGGGTTAAAATTTCTTTTCTTTAAGAATGTTGAATATTGACCCCTAATGTCTTCTGGCTGGTAGGGTTTCAGCTGAGAGGTTCGCTATTAGTCTGAAGGGCTTTTCATTGTAGGCGACCTGACCTTTCTGTCTAGCTGCCTATTTAACATTTTGTCTTTCATTTCAACCTTAGATAATCTGTTGATTATGTGTCTTGGGGATGATCTCCTTGTGAAGTATCTTACTGAGGTTCTCTGCACTTCCTGAATTTGAATGTTGGCCTCTCTAGCTAGATTGGGGAAGTTTTCATGGATGATACCCTGAAATATGTTTTCCAGGTTGGTTCCATTCTCCCCATCTCTTTCAGGTAAACCAATCAGCTATAGATTCAGTCTTTTTATATAATCCCATATTTCTTGGAGGCTTTGTTCATTCAGAAAGGCCATCTTCCAACTTTGAGATTCTTTCGTCCACTTGGTCTCTGCTGTCTGCCTGTCATTTGAAAGGTGAGAGTGTGATTCAGAAGGGACTACATAGGGAGTGGGTTTTGTTCTACGTATTATGGCTTGCTTACTGTGGTGTTGGGGGGTGGTCAGGAAAATAGTCTTATAAACAGCAAAAGGTGATGGAGAAGGATTTGAGGTTGCCTTCTATTTACACCTTCTCTGTAAGAATTATCCAGCAACTAGTGGCTTATGCTTGTGTTAATATTACAAGAATATGGCTGCAACTTCTTTTATTTTAAATAGATTTTAGAAAATATGGTAGCTTACTAAAAACTTCAAAGAATTGAGAGATCTTTTCCTAAAGAGAAAAATATTATCTACATTAAATATATGATGTATTCTATAACTGCCAGAAATAAGTAAAAATGAAGCAATATTCCTTAAAGTTTAGGATAACTCAAATGTCGGCCAGGCACGGTGGTTCACGCCTGTAATCCCAGCACTTTGGGAGGCTGAGGTGGGCGGATCACGAGGTCAGGAGATCGAGACCATCCTAGCTAACATGGTGAAAACCCATCTCTACTAAAAATACAAAAAATTAGCCGGGCGTGGTGGCAGGCACCTGTAGTCCCAGCTACTCAGGAGGCTGAGGCAGGAGAAGGGTGTGAACCTGGGAGGCGGAGCTTGCAGTGAACCAAGATCGCGCCACTGCACTCCAGCCTGAGCACAGAGCAAGACTCCGTCTCAAAAAAAGAAAAAAAAAAAAAGAACAACTCAGATGTCATTAGGATTTCTAGAATTTTTCCATGGTTTTAATTCACTCAGTAACTTTTTTATTTAATTTATTACTTACTATTTATAATTATTTATTTTATTTCATTTATTCAATAACTTTCTCCAAGGGCTTCTGATGACTAGGGTGATTTTCCTAATGTTTAGAGTATTCATCAAATTGTTTCCCAGACCCATTATCTTACTACAGTTTTGGGTCAGAAGCTCTGGAATGGCAGTTGTATGTCTCTCTTCTCCTTTGGTTTCTGTGTATTATTTTATGATGATGTCAGCTTCTTTCCTTGAATTCTGATTTTTGTGTTCCAGAAATACTGTGCTTCTCCTTTACCTCACTGATCCTGCTTCTCTATCCTTTTTCAATCTTCCTTATCTAATAAACCTTCCTTATCTATTTTATAGAGGGGACAGCAATTCTGTCCTTCACTCACTAAATTCTTTCTCTCAGATAATTCATTTCTGTGGCACTGACCACCACTTAAGTGTTCATGACTTCCTACGGTGGGCTAAACATGGCTGCTAAGGCCTAGCAACTCTGCCTATCAAGAGGTGGAGTTGATATCCCCACCCTTGGAATCTGGCTGGCTGTGGTAGGTTTTTTGATCAATAGAATGTGGCAGAAATGGTGTGGAGTAATTTCCAAGGCTGGGCCTTAAGAGACTTGTAGCATCTGCTTTTGTGTGCTTGAAACATTCCTCTTAGATCTTAGTCTCTTGCTATGAGGAAGCCCAATTAGCCATATAGAGGACTGGCAAGGCCCCTGGTCGACAGCCGAAGCTGGGCTCCCAGCCAGCAATCAGTAGAAGCACCAGTGTTGTGACTTGAGGCACTTTGGGCCTTCTGAGTATTCTAGCATTCCAGCCCTCACCATGTGAACTGCCAGATCATCCCATAGAATCATGAGAAATTATGAATTGTTACTTTAGCCACTAAGTTTTGATGTGACTTGTTACACAGAATAAAGAATCAAAACAAAAATTGGTACCTAGAAGTGAGATGCTGGCATAACAAAAATCTGGCATTTTGGCTTTGAGACCAGGTGTCAGTGAAGGCCTGAAGGGCAGTTAGAATACTATTGCTATTGGAGGATGTCAAATGGTACCCTTGTTTTATATTGAGAAAAAAGTCAGCAAGACCATGACCTACAGTAACATGGAACATAGAAAATGAACCTAATGAACTTGTGGATCTAGCTCAGGAGATTTTCCAGCAAAATATCAGAAGCTCTGAGTGACCCCTTTAACTCCTTTTTTAACTCCCCTTTTTTTTTGATACTGTGATCAAAGTATTTCAAGAAAGAGACTAATTAAAGAAGAAACTATTTTAATTTTAAGCAGACTTTAGAGGAAGTATTTCCAATCCTGAATTTTCTCAGATTGTAAATCCGACTGTTTCTCATCCCCAGCTCCTCTACCCAGCAAAAGACCAGTTCCTCTACCCAGCAAAAGATACTCAAAGAAAGAAGTGGCCTCAGGTCCAAAGATCAGATCCAGAACATTACTGCCAGTAAAACTTGGGCTCAAAGTGAAAATAAAAGCAAAGGCATAGCTGTAAGACCCTTCGTTAAAACGTCAAAAAGATTGAAGGCAGTGCCTCATAGAACCTCTCAGCTAGACGGAAGGGCTTCTAATAATTTCAAGGGTCTTGTCCCACAGCATTCTGGAACTGATTTAGATGACAAGATCCTGGACTTCAAGCCTGAATTTGATGCCATAAGGGGATGAAGTTTTTGGGGGGCTTGGGAAAGGGTTTAGTGTGCTTTCCATGTAAGAGGAATGTAAATCATTTCTGGCCAGAGAGTAGACTGTGGTGGACTAAGCATGGCTGCAGACTCTTTGCCACTCCTCCTATTGAAAGATAGAGTCCACTTCCCTTCCCCTTGAATCTGGACTGGCCTTGTGACTCCTTTGGCCAGTAGATTTTGGTGGATGTGTCACTGTGTAGCTTCAAGCCTATGCCTTAAAAGAGCTGTAGCTTTCACTTTTATGCTTGGAATGTTGTCTTAGAACCCACCCACCATGCTATGTGAGGACACTCGAAGAGCCACATGGAGTCTCACATGAAGGAGTTACCAGCCAGCAGTTAGCACCAACTACCAGCCTAAGGAATGAGGACATTTTGTACCTTCCAACCATCTGGAAGGTGTGCCAGCCAACACTATGAAGTAAAAAAACCTCCCACAGAATCTCAAGAAATAAAACCTTTTCTTAAGCCATTAAGGCTTGGAATATGCAGAACAGTTAGCAAAAACTCTTCCATCTCTATTGTTGCTGAGTTCTTGCCTCTTCCTAGGAAAGGCTCTATCACCCTGAATACACCCTAAAAGTTTGAATGGTTAGGGGATCTTTTTCATTTTTGTACATTTAATTATTACATAAATATTTATTGTGCCCCATGTGCTGGAAACTATGTAAGATACTATCATATCATAGGATCAAAATCTGAATCCACTTGACTCCTGCCTCTCCGTGGACCTCTTTATCTGATGTTGCTAGGTGGTACTGAATTTTAATTTCCCTTGACTATTTTATTCTTTGCTTTCTTTTTAAACATATTGTAAACTTTAGCCTTATTATTCTATTATAAAGTATTGAGTTTAAGAGAAAATGTATTCCCATTCCCGTGCCTGACAAAGACATGTTTTAAAGTACACATTAAACAAAAGAAAACTGCTTTTCAATTACTAAATGCAGTGCTCAGTAGGACAGAAAACGTACTGCTTCTCTTAAATGCTAGACCTTTAAAACATTTGCTGGATGACAGCACTATTGAAATAGCCTTTCAGCTGCTCCCTTTGTTTCTAATCCCTCTCCCATAATCCATCCTGCATCTCTCCATAGCTCAGTGATTCACTGTTCTACTGCTTCACGTTCCTGAGCCTCTAAAGGATTCATGTGGAGATGGTAGCTGTTACTTTGTAGTCTGTAGAGGGGAGAGAGCATCCTAGAAGTCTAGTGCAACTTCCAAGAAGACTTAAAAGACAGGCACTTTTCTCAGACAGTTTATTGTCTATCTTGTACGCTTTCTCCTCCTGGGGAGATTTGGGGGAAAAAAAAAATCTGGCCTCTCCTAGACCAATTGACTTGCTCTTTGGGAGTAAGGCCTGGGTTTACGTTTCTTTTAAAAGTGCCCCAAGAGGTTCTAAGGTGAAGCTGAGATTGAGAATCACTGTCTTAGGTTTGTGATTCTTGAAAAGTGGTCCTTGGACCAGCAGCATCAACATGAACTAGGAATTTGTTAGCAATGCAATTCTTGAGACCTACTTCCTACCTTACAAATTGGCAACTCTGAGGGATGGACTAATCACTTCATGTTTTAATAAGCTCTTGGTGATTTTTATGTACATTAATGTTAGAGAACCACTATTAGAAAAATCTTTCTTTCTAGGTCTCAAAACTACGACTGAGTTTGGGAAGCATGTTTGTTATTTGAAAATCACTGTACTAACAAGATTTGAAAGAACTACAAAGGGACATAAGGAAACTAGTATATCAAATGTTATTGCCGGTGATCATTTAAGCACTTGAAATATGTTTAATGCTTGTCATTAAATCTCTCAAGAATGGTGAAATGAGTTACTTAGCATAAAGAAAAGGGGCATATTAATCAGAGATACTGATGCATTGTTTCCTAGAGAGAGAACTCAACAAAAGGCGAATTTAAATTTCAGTTAGATATATGTTAGTCCCAAGAAACATCTTAATGGGAAGTAGCACTAAACATTTTGAAGGGATATAAGGTGATTTTTAAATCAATTTTCAATGAGAGTAGTGTAGAGAACCGCTATTTGGAATTGTTCGGCTATAATCCCTGCCTGGGGTCAGAGACAGATCTTTGAAGTAGCGTCCTCTTCTCAGTATATAATGACACTAAATACCATCTGATCATCATTTGTTTATTTTTTCACTTGTTATTTTAGAAATGCTTTCAAAGTAAAATAAGGACTACTGGGAAGTAAAGATGCCTAACTTGAATGTTGATGTTACAGTCTTAGAGACTTTGGAGTAAGATTGTCAAGTGAATTCATGTGTTTTGAAAAAGCTTTTATGACTTCTTAATGAGGTTTAAAAGCTGAAATAATGGGATTAGAACCGTAAAATCCATTACTCTTAACATTTCTTTGGATTGATTTAGTGTGTTTGTATATTAGAAATAGATATTTTATTTGGATTGAATCATCATTGTTTACTAAAATATGGTCTGGAAACAATTTCCTGGACAGACAGTATTAAATGGCATAATGACAAAAGATAGCTATGCTTAAACTCTCTAGTTAAGCACTTCAAATAGGAAAATTATCATCATTTTATACATAGGAATGCTGAGATGTTTTATATATACTTAAATCCAGATGCTATATATTTAAATATTAAGTTTTAGTTCAGTAGAAAATATTTAGTAGGAAAATGTTTAGCTGAGAAAGTAGATTATATGTAACGGAAGACATTACAGAAAACTACATTTGCATCCTTATTCAAACCCAGTTATAATGCAGTTATAACCCAGTTATAATGCAGATATTGGATGAGTTGGGAAAGAGCGCTAATTAGCTTTTTCTTCAGCTTTTGAGAGACCTAAGACTGTGGCGTAGTTAATTGGATTGACTGAGGCCATGTGGTCTGGTGTGCATGAGGTTGGGATTTGAGTATGAGGACCTAAGTTCCAGTTGCAACTTTATTTCTTAGAGGTTTTGTCACCTTGGGCAAGGTTAATTCTTTGGGACTGCCTTAATTTCTATGCATATAAACATAAAGAGTAATACTATTTATTTCAATGGCTTGTTTTAAGTATAAAACAAATTAATGTAAATGAGACATGCTTTGAAGGTAGAAAAACAGATGTTAAATTATTAATAAAGTAGAAAGTATATTTCTAATATTTAAGGAGAACTGTATAAGAAGAATCATGGCTGAGTAACATTTTTGAATTATGCAATAAATTCTTTTCTGGCATGTTACAAATGCAGCCGCTATGGAAGAATATGTAAAATGTTTCACACATCAGATGTCTTTATCATGCTCAGTGCACATAAATGCAGTCATGTGATATATGTTGTAAGACTTTTATAAAGGCTTGTGAATTGTGAATGAGAAATCTTACTCCAGTTGTGCCCTGTAGTTATGAATTAGTGTACAGCTAGGTTCTTATACATACTAACTGTGCTTTCTAACCTGCAAAACAATTTGATGCTGGATGGTGACTAATTGTAAAATAGGCTTTGCACATGACTTGGTAAACCCAAAGTAAGTTTTGGACATGCCCAAATTTTTGATATTTGAAATGACAAGCTTAAAAGATTATTGCTAAAAGTATCTTAAATACAATTTGGGGTCAGTACTCTTAGGAAGATTTGAAGTACTTTTTAAAAAGGATTGTATAATACAAAATCTCCCTAGAAACTTTTTTTTTGAGGTTTCATAGGCACTAAAAGATATAATTTTTACTTTCAATTAAAAACAAATTCTAGCATTTTACAATTTTCTCACAGTTCAAATTATCAATATATATGTAATTTAACTATCACAAATTATTGAACTATAAATGTTACAAATGGCTTTTATTAAACTCTAAATTAAACAAATCTAATATAAAGCCTAAGTATGTTTAATAATAACATAATTTCAAGTAATTTCAGCCATATTTCTGAGCTGTATCTGAAAAAGTATATTAACTTATCACTTTTTCTAATGAGATTGGTAGGCTAAATTTTAGGAGCACTGAGACTTATTTGGATAGATGTTTGGTTTTAAATATGGGTACAGAAATCACTTGGTGTGACAAGCTGTCTGAAAAATGCAAATAAGAACGACTGTGTTTGAGGAATGAGTGAGAGAAATTAACATATGTCGACTACTTAGAAAAGCTGTGTTCATCTAAGTGTTGTAGACACAGAATTTTAAAATATGTTGTGTTTAAATTGCTGTGGGAACTAACCTGTAATTGAAAGGAAGTTCAGGGAGTGAGTATGGTTTAATGAATGTGAGTGGGGCCCTGTAGATACACCTTTGCCAGAATGTGCCCCAGTGTGAAAAGTAAACTGACCTATGAAAATCTAAGCCAGGCACAGTGGCTCACACCTGTAATCCCAGCATTTGAGAGGCCAAGGTGGAAGGATTGCTTGAGGCCCAGAGTGTGAAAATCTATTTGCCATGTCATGTCTTATGACTGAGAGGGCTTCTGGAGACAGTATCTCCAGTTTGTTTGTTTGAATGACTGTAGCTATTTCAAGATATCTATGTTTTCTCATAGAATGAAGACAAACACAGAGATGGTGTGTCTAAGAAACTTCAAAAGGTGTAGACCTCCTGACTGAAGCATATTGGATTTATTTAATTTTTTTCACTGTAGTAAGTATAAATATTTAAAACACTTTTTTTGGTCAATGTTGACTTGTATTTTTATTGAATAAATATTCACTCTGTCAAATACCCTTATCATTGTTAGAGCTATTGTTGTTTTCATTCTTCTACAATTTCAGTTGCATATCTTAAATGAATTTAATTCTCAGGACCTTTGAGAGGACAAATGAAACATGAATTTAGAGCTGAAAGAACCCTTTGAAATTATCTGCTTCACTCTTTTTATCCATTACAAGAAATTCCTTTGCAACTCTCCTGATGGATGGTCATTTTATTTATCAAGATTCTGCTCAGGACATAGAGCTGAACTGTTTCACAGAGCAGCTAGTTCGATGACTTTCCACCACAGATTGAATCAAAATGTGATTTTCTAAAGCTTCCATCTACCTGGTTCTACCTTGGGAACAAATCCACTATTCTTTCACCTGTGAGGTTGTTGCGCAAAAATGTAAAGATAAATTCTCGGGCTCACCTAGTCATCTATTATTTCAGCTGAATATCATCGATTGCCCGTGTTCCTCTGTAGGAAACGGTTTAGAAACAACAGCTCCTGGTTGGTTTTTTGCCCATTTTATCTTTAACCTGTAACTGAGCATTGGGTTTCAGTATTGTGATCTCACGAGGCAGGTACAGAAGGACTGCAGCTCCTTTATCTGGGTTTACCTATTAATATGGCCAGATGTTATAATCAGTATTTCAGCGTAACAGCTGTCTCATGACTAGCTGAAAGTATGCATACATGTCAACTAAAATCCTAAACTGTTTTTCACATGTTCTTTCTTTCATCCAGCAGTGTTTTCTACCATCCCTCACACCCCTGGCCACATCATATTTATAGTATTTTGAGGTCTAAGCCCAGGACTTTCTCTTTGCTTCATGTATTCCTCTCATTTTAGTTTCTGTCTTACCTCGACACACAATTATGTAAGGCAGAGAGGTGAGGCAGAATGAGAAGAGTTGAGAGTTAGAAATAGATCCACTAAACTGGAGTGAAGGAGAGAAGCCCTGAAGAGCTATATAATCCACCTGTAGGTCCTAGGAGGAAGGTGAATCCATATAATATTATGTGATACCCAGAGAGGACACAAGCAGAAAGTAGTGCTCCAGTCCAGCAGTTAAGCTCAGAAATTGTAAAATGCCTTAACAGGTACAAGAGCATGAAGCTGTAGGGTTCAGGGTCAGATGGTCAGGAATATGCTGAGGATGAGACTTATTAACAGGGAGCAGGGACTCTGTAATGGGACTCTAAGGTTCAAGGCAGGATACCAGACCCCAGAAAGAGGGCAAATGAGAGTAAAAAAGTCTTCCTGGCCAGGCACAGTGGCTCAGGCCTATAATCTCAGCTCTTTGAGAGGCCAAGGTGGGCAGATCATGAGGTCAGGAGTTCGAGACCAGCCTGGCCAACATGGTGAAACCCCATCTCCTGTCTCTACTAAAAAGACACAAAAATTAGCTGGGCGTGATGCCATGTGCCTGTAGTCCCAGCTGCTCGGGAGGCTGAGGCGGGAGGATTGTTTGGACCCAGGAGGTGGAGGTTTCAGTGAGCTGAGATCACGCCACTAGACTCCGTCTCAAAAAAAAAAAAAAAAAAAAAAAAGGCTTCCTTGGGGATGCTACTAATACTAGAGTGTCTAGAGAGTAACTCTGGCCCAGAATAAATGATAAGACTTCAGACTCAAGAAAATCCAAGAGAAACCCTTGAAAATAGATTAGAGCTGGACTACCAGCAAGGGGGCACCATGCTACCATTATTATTTTTCTTCTTTTTCTTATCAGATATTTTCTAAGACCCACATATTTCCTTTTACTTTACTCTGTGCCATCTTATAGATCATCTGGATTTTACTGATTAGCAATTTTTGAAACAATTGATGTATGTAAGACTCAACATAGAAATTCTCAGGAATGTTGTCTGAATACTTTTCAGTATGAAAATACAAGATAATCTTGTTTTCCTGAAGGCAAAAGTAATTTAATAATGGAATATGCCTCCATCGTTTATCCTTTTAGTACTTTGCCATCACAACATTAAACATGAGAGGGAGTCCCCATGATAGAATATTCTAGCAGAGCTTTTCTTTCTTATTCTTTTTTAAGCCATAACTTTTAAATACTTCCCAACTTTTAAATACTCTAAGTTTTTTCATACTCATGTACTTAAATTACAAAGCGAAAGCTTGTGTGGAAAGGAGATAATGCATTCAGTGACAGGTTGTTCTGGGCATAGAATTGTAGACCCCACTAAGCCTAAGGGGTAATTTCACAAAGCAGAGCTTGCTTAAAAGAGGCTCCTTGTGGTGACTAAAACAACTCTTGGGCTGTAAGTGATGCTTCAGACATGGGACAAGGTGTGGAAAGGAGCTTACTCAGACATTTTGGAAGGTAAAATGTGACCACTGGAAATTAGGTGGCTGGCTGTGGTGACTCATAGCTGTAATTCCAGCACTTTCAGAGGCCAAGCAGGGAGGATCACTTGAGGCCAAGAGTCTGAGGCCTGTGAGACCCTGTCTCAAAAAAAAAAGGAAGAAAAAAAGAAAGAAAGAAAGAAAAAAATATTAGTAGCATAGGAACAAGTTTTTCAAATGTCAGTTGAAGAAAAATTGGCTCCTGGTTTTTAGTAGCCTAGCCTGGAGTTGAGATACAAGAGGTAACGAGATAATTACCTCAAGGGCTACCCCTAAATTTCTTTCTAGTCAGTATCACTAAATGGTCCCCCATCTAAGAGACTATGGTTCAGAGTTGGATGGCCTATAGTTTCAAATGAAACCAGAAGACTTATGTGCCCCTTAATCAGCTCTTCCTTTTAGGTTTTACCCCAGAGCTAAATCCTACTTGGGAAGGAGGGCATGTGTGTATGAATATTAGAGTAAAATGCTTATTTGAGTACTTGCTTCAGTAGTGTTTCTTTTATTTCCCTCTTCCAGTTTCTGTCCTCCTACAAGGGAAAGTCATGATTACACTAACTGAGCTAAAATGCTTAGCAGATGCCCAGTCATCTTATCACATCTTAAAACCATGGTGGGACGTCT
Source organism: Homo sapiens (assembly GCF_000001405.40). NCBI lineage: Eukaryota > Metazoa > Chordata > Mammalia > Primates > Hominidae > Homo > Homo sapiens. The sequence goes on from NC_000001.11 coordinate 89,582,730, forward strand.
TCTGGTATTACATCACACTGATCATGCTGCTGGTGGCCGTGCTGGCCGGAGCTCTCCAGCTGACGCAGAGCAGGGTTCTGTGCTGTCTTCCATGCAAAGTGGAATTTGACAATCACTGTGCCGTGCCTTGGGACATCCTGAAAGCCAGCATGAACACATCCTCTAATCCTGGGACACCGCTTCCGCTCCCCCTCCGAATTCAGAATGACCTCCACCGACAGCAGTACTCCTATATTGATGCCGTCTGTTACGAGAAACAGCTCCATTGGTTTGCAAAGTTTTTCCCCTATCTGGTGCTCTTGCACACGCTCATCTTTGCAGCCTGCAGCAACTTTTGGCTTCACTACCCCAGTACCAGTTCCAGGCTCGAGCATTTTGTGGCCATCCTTCACAAGTGCTTCGATTCTCCATGGACCACCCGCGCCCTTTCAGAAACAGTGGCTGAGCAGTCAGTGAGGCCTCTGAAACTCTCCAAGTCCAAGATTTTGCTTTCGTCCTCAGGGTGTTCAGCTGACATAGATTCCGGCAAACAGTCATTGCCCTACCCACAGCCAGGTTTGGAGTCAGCTGGCATAGAAAGCCCAACTTCCAGTGTCCTGGACAAGAAGGAGGGTGAACAGGCCAAAGCCATCTTTGAAAAAGTGAAAAGATTCCGCATGCATGTGGAGCAGAAGGACATCATTTATAGAGTATATCTGAAACAGATAATAGTCAAAGTCATTTTGTTTGTGCTCATCATAACTTATGTTCCATATTTTTTAACCCACATCACTCTTGAAATCGACTGTTCAGTTGATGTGCAGGCTTTTACAGGATATAAGCGCTACCAGTGTGTCTATTCCTTGGCAGAAATCTTTAAGGTCCTGGCTTCATTTTATGTCATTTTGGTTATACTTTATGGTCTGACCTCTTCCTACAGCCTGTGGTGGATGCTGAGGAGTTCCCTGAAGCAATATTCCTTTGAGGCGTTAAGAGAAAAAAGCAACTACAGTGACATCCCTGATGTCAAGAATGACTTTGCCTTCATCCTTCATCTGGCTGATCAGTATGATCCTCTTTATTCCAAACGCTTCTCCATATTCCTATCAGAGGTCAGTGAGAACAAACTGAAACAGATCAACCTCAATAATGAATGGACAGTTGAGAAACTGAAAAGTAAGCTTGTGAAAAATGCCCAGGACAAGATAGAACTGCATCTTTTTATGCTCAACGGTCTTCCAGACAATGTCTTTGAGTTAACTGAAATGGAAGTGCTAAGCCTGGAGCTTATCCCAGAGGTGAAGCTGCCCTCTGCAGTCTCACAGCTGGTCAACCTCAAGGAGCTTCGTGTGTACCATTCATCTCTGGTCGTAGACCATCCTGCACTGGCCTTTCTAGAGGAGAATTTAAAAATCCTCCGCCTGAAATTTACTGAAATGGGAAAAATCCCACGCTGGGTATTTCACCTCAAGAATCTCAAGGAACTTTATCTTTCGGGCTGTGTTCTCCCTGAACAGTTGAGTACTATGCAGTTGGAGGGCTTTCAGGACTTAAAAAATCTAAGGACCCTGTACTTGAAGAGCAGCCTCTCCCGGATCCCACAAGTTGTTACAGACCTCCTGCCTTCATTGCAGAAACTGTCCCTTGATAATGAGGGAAGCAAACTGGTTGTGTTGAACAACTTGAAAAAGATGGTCAATCTGAAAAGCCTAGAACTGATCAGCTGTGACCTGGAACGCATCCCACATTCCATTTTCAGCCTGAATAATTTGCATGAGTTAGACCTAAGGGAAAATAACCTTAAAACTGTGGAAGAGATCATTAGCTTTCAGCATCTTCAGAATCTTTCCTGCTTAAAGTTGTGGCACAATAACATTGCTTATATTCCTGCACAGATTGGGGCATTATCTAACCTAGAGCAGCTCTCTTTGGACCATAATAATATTGAGAATCTGCCCTTGCAGCTTTTCCTATGCACTAAACTACATTATTTGGATCTAAGCTATAACCACTTGACCTTCATTCCAGAAGAAATCCAGTATCTGAGTAATTTGCAGTACTTTGCTGTGACCAACAACAATGTAAGTAAATCCATTCTTTCTTTTATTCAGTATCTGCCGTACTTATAGTGCATTACATAGGGAAAGAAAACACACTTCAAATCATACTGTGTGTTCTCAAGCCAAGCCCAATCCGATCTTGCATAAATTACCAAAACACTGAGCATCCATTTTTAACCTAAATTACAAGTCATCGTGGAGATTTTATGAAAAAACATAAAAGCATTTGGCACAGTTCCTGGCACATAATAGTTGCTCAGCAAATGTTTTTCTCTTTGTTTTTTTCCCAGTTTTCTACATAAACATCACAAAGTATTTTAAACTATTTAATTCATTATGGTAGAGCTTACTTTTTGTTTTATAAAGGTTTTAGGTATTTAGGGAGTTTGGCAAAACTTTTCAGCTTTCCAAATCTGTCATAATAAAATAACTTCTTGTTCTAAAATGCTGGGATTATGAATTATTCATAAATCCTTTTTGTGATGTGGTGAAAAAGATTTGAAATCTGCATGCATGTCTAGAAAGATGATTCAAAATGAAAGGCCTGCCTCTATAATGCAACACTACAGCTTCTTAGAAGCTTTTTCCAGGATCCATGCTTTAGAATGAACCAAATTTGCAATAGTAAAACCAAATTAAAGAAAACTTAACTTTACCAAACCATGAAAAAACAAAATAAATGAGTAGTTTCCTAGGTTAAGATATGGAGGAGGAGGAAAAAGGAAAAATTCACTGTAGTCTAAAGGCAAGAGAGTGAGGCTAATGTCCATTTGGGAAGAAAGAGGGAAAACCTGGTCAGAAATCAAATCTACCAAGGGATGAAACTGACATTCCTCTACTTGAAAATGGGTACAGCTATTCCACCACACTTCAAAATATATTATCCAAAAATTAGCTGCGCGTGGTGGCACGGACCTGAAGTCCCAGCTACTCAGGAGCCTGAGGCAGGAGAATCGCTTGAACCCGGGAGGTGGAGTTGCAGTGAGCCGAGATTCCACCACTCAAGCACTCAAGCCTGGTAACAGAGCGAGACTCTGTCTCAAAAAAAAAAGAAAGAAAGAAAGAAAGAAAATGTATTATCTTTTAGACTTTTTGTAGTTCATATGTCATGGTAAATATAGCTATGAGCATGGTGTTGGCTAATAAACATATTAATCATACATTATTTTTGAAAAACATGGGTGTTAGATAAATACCAGAAAATTGGGGGATGAGAGCAAAATTCATGCTGATTTTTAGAACTCTCAGACTTTATTCATATGTAAAAGGAGAGAGTCCATTGTTAGATAAATGAGACATCTTCAGATCTTAAAGGTTTATGAGATTTTAAAACTACATTAGGATTGACCTAGACTAACAGTGTGCATCAGAATTACCCAAAAGGCTTGCTGAAACACAGATGGCTGAGCCCCGCTCCCAGGGTTTCCGATTCAGTAGGCCAGACGTAGGACCCAAGAGTTTGCATTTCTAAGAAGTCCCCAGGTGGAGCTGATGATGCTGGCCTAGTGACTGCACTCTGAAAAATCACAAGTCTAGAAGTGTATCAGTGCCATTTAATTATGCAGGTGATTAATATTAATATTTTGATCACATTTTTTCCATTGTTAAATTTATAATAAAAATATCAATAATTACTTTTAAAGGCATTGGTTCCACTAAGCAGTTATACACAGTTAAATCACTTTCAAAAATGGATTTTTGAAAGTCGGAGCTTATTCAATTGTTAGCTGGCCATGCATTATTTAAATGTATGAGCAGGTGAATGTTTCCACCAAGTTAATGTAATGAAGAAACCTTGAGACCATTAGTACTTTTGACACCAAGTTTATGGAATCCTGGACCATATCTGAAATAATAAGTGTGAATATCAGGCACATGCTTTCTTGAATAAGAAAGAATACTTTGTAGCACAGGAAAAGTCTTACGCTGAAAATACTTTATAACCAAAATAGAATGGTATCTTTTTGAGTGGGTTGTCCCAGAAATCTGAGAAAAAGTAGTTGCTGATCATCTTTGGAGCCAAAATGATGAACATGACATCTTTGAATTGGTGAACTTAGGGTCAAAGAAGCACTGTTCAGAGACTATGTAACAACAATATAAATAAACTAAAACTCATCAGAGGACAGCCACCAGGAAGATGACAACTCTGATGGAATACTTTAGCCTCATGATGGGAACTATAGGTGGCACGGGAGAATTGTCTACAATATTGGTCTTCAGATATTTGAAAAATTTACATGGAGAACAAAACTTGCTGGGAATAGCTACAGTGTTAGAACTTAGGGCAAGCGGAGAAAACTAGGACCATCAGGGGAAGATTTCTCATCTTTCCCATATAGCATTCAAAGATTGAATGAGCACTTGAGGAGGGAAAAGTCATTTTCTTATTAATAAAGCTCTCCAGACAGGGACTGCCAGATACTCAGTAGGAAGGCTGTTAAAGGGCATCAGGAATTCATGTTTCATGTGGGGATTTAACTAATTTTAAGATTATTTACAACCTTCAGAGTCTCATGATTCTGAGTTAGATCAAAATATTGAATCACGAAGTCAGGAGTTTGAGACCAGCCTGGCCAATATGGTGAAACCCCATCTCTACTAATAATAAAAAAATTAGCCGGGCATGGTGGCACGCGCCTGTAGTCCCAGCTACTTAGGAAGCTGAGGCAGAAGAATTGCTTGAACCCGGGAGACAGAGGTGCAGTGAGCCAAGATCTTGCCACTGCACTCTAGCCTGAGCGACAGAGCAAGACTCCATCTCAAAAAAGGAAAATAAGAAAATACCACATTGGCTGCATACATAGTTAGACATGCATATACAAAGAAATTCAAGCCAATTAATCCATGTGGAACGGCAGTTAATAAAGATTCCTATAAGAGGCATTTTAAAAGTCTGATCTCAAGACTTGGGCAGCGTATCAGGTTTATAGATGGAGTCAACAAATACTACCTCTTAAGCAGAAAAGACATTAGTTGAAAGGATATTAGGTATCTCATATTACCACTGAAAAGATTGCAAAACCAAGCTTGGAAAACAATCAGGCACAAAGTAAGTCAGGCAGCAGTGAGGACTGTAGCCAGAATCATAGCGGAAAAGCACAATGGTGAGGATACACTGACGAGGACCTTACCAGCTCAGAGCACTGCTTCTGTTCTTGAAAACTTGATGTTGCTGCTGTTGTGACCCTAGGCCTCCCACAGAATAGATTCTTCATGGCTTCCACTTCTTTGTAATGTTAGCCCCGGTTCAAAGTCCGAGTCTGAGCAACTGATTGGCATAGCTAATGAATGCCCACATTGTGGCTATAGGAGAGCTGAGAACACAAGAATCTGGTGTCAGTAGTTTCTCTAGTAGAAAGTGAGCTCTACTACCCACCAAGACTCATAAGGTAGGGAATTCCCTCGACATGGGAACGTGCTGGGCAGTCCCTGGGTGGCGGATATTCACTGAGCAGGCACTTCAGGGTGTCTTCCATAGGACGGTAATAGGTGTCACCACAAAAAACATTAAATGTTTCTTTTGATCATATTTTTGCTGCAGGATTCTTCAGAGCCTTTAACATATGAATATGCATTGTGCTTCTCCAAGGAGAGATGGTATGCAATATTCATCAAATGTGTTTGAGCAAGACACCTTTTTTTATAGAGTGACTCTTGTGTTCTGTGAAGCATACCCTAAGAACACTGGATTAGGGAAGCGTTAAAAAATAGAGGTCATCCACAGAGGACTGAAAAAAACATAACCAAATATAATAAGAGATGAGACCATTTAGTAAGGTGGGTCAGAATGGAGAGTGCCTGGAAGTCTGCCAGTCAAATTCATGTTTGATTCATTGGATAGTGACTAGGGTGAGACTTGAGCTTGAAAGTGCTAGTTAGCCTGAACTGGTACCTTCAAAGGAGGCTCTGATTGTAGCATATAAAAGGCTTAGGAGAGGACAGCCAAGAAACAAAACCCCATGGAAAGGTTGAATCAGTTATGATTTAGAGGTAGGAGTATAGATTTAAAACAAGAGACAAAGACTCTCATACCTGAAAGGAACACTGAGTCCGCAGACTGCAGCCTGGGGGTCAAGTCTACCCACTGCCTGTTTTTATACAGCCTAGGCTAGGAAAGGATTTTACATTTTTAGATGGTTGGGGGAAGAAGATCAAAAGAATGTTTTGTGACCCGTAAAAATTATATGAAACTCAAATTTCAATTTCTACAAATAGATTCCATCATTTTTATTAGTGGGCCTGTATTACAACAAAATTATATTCAATTGTTATATTTTGAATTTCATTACTTAAAAATATATGGAATATTTTTTCTATTATATAAGGACCTACATAATATTTTCACTTTTGCCTCTTGGCCCAGAAAGCCTAAAATACTTATTCTTCTGGTCCTTTGGAGAAAAACTTTACCAGCCCCTACTCTAGTCCACTGCCCTTATTTTACTGAGGCTCAGAGCAATTCACCTGAGGTCTGAAGTTTCCTGGCAAGGGGGCTAGGATGGAACCCAAACATTCTGATTTCTACTCTACTATTCTTCTACTGTGTCTCCTATGCATCAATCCAAGTGATTCCACATGGGGTACAGTGGTATATGTGGGTGGACATGGAAGGTGGGAGAAATGGAGGCAAGATCCATCCCTATCACAGTGCCAAAGAGTAATTGGATTATGGTGGCATTGATTGTAATGGAGAGAAGCACAAGGCATGGGAAAGGATTGAGCTAGGTTTGCTGAAATCTTAGACCAGTCCAATTTACACCTAGGTCTTCTTACTTCCACATTTGTGCTTTTTTTTTTTTTTCTTATATTAGTTTGAAGACTTCTAGCCAGAAGGTGAATAATGTAGAAATTCCTTCTGAAGATCATCTATGTGACACTGGGTTTTGTTATTTTTGGCATCACTACTTAGAAACAGAAATATTCAGCTGTGTTTCTTGAAATGATTGGACTTTAGGGTTTGGTAAGCATTTCCTGAGATGGCATGTGTCAGTGGCCAGAAAAAAAAAAAAAAAAGGAAATCTGGTATTGAGAAGGATTCTAAAGTAAGATCTCAGCCTCTGGGAAAAAGCCAGGGGTATTTAATTAACAATGTCAGCCATAGATGTAAAAGAAAACCATCCTGTTCTCGGGGACTTCAATTCATTTTGCTGAAGACATTTGGTTGTCAGAGAATTCTAGGATGTAGAGAGATAATATAGCCATTAGTTTTTGTTGTTGTCATCTATTTTGTAGTTTATCATATAGCTTATGTATGTGTGTATTATATGTTGTAGTTTATTCCATAAAACTATTTTATTGTTGAAGTATGTCATCCCCATAGTAGTCTGTAAGCTTTCCCATTGGTTTTTTTAGAAGAAATCAGTGATCCACTAAGGTAATTTTTGGCTCTCTGGCTCATGTGTCATACAGTCTAAGAAAGGGCATGCTAAATAAATTAGTTTTAAATAATTGTTTTCTAACATTTTTTATAGAATTTGTTGACCCAGGCAAAATTGGAGTTCTTGTAAGCTTCAAGGCAAACTATTTTTAAAGCTGTAAGTAGATTTTTCAGGATAAAATTGCTGAATTGAAGGAAAGTCTTGAGTCTTTAACAAAACTCCCCAGGCTCCTTTAGAAAAATTGAATGAGAGTAGGTGAGGTAAGATCCTGTGCCTTAGCTGGGCAGAGAGCTGGAGAGAAAGCCCCAGAGATGGACTCTCGCACATAGCCAGCGCAGCCCTTGACTCACTTTCACAGCAGCAATGCTAAGGGGCTGGCCCTGAGGCCCACTCCCACTACCTTGGGAAATCCCTCTCTTCTAGTGGAGCCTAAGAAGTTCACTAAAATCACAGATGTAGAGATTTGGAAGGAGACTGGTGGGAATGTGGTAGTGCTGATAGCCAGACAAGAGAGTGAGGGCAGTGGCTTCAGGGTAATCACCCAGTAGGAAATCAGTCCAGTTAAACGAGGTACTTGCTGGGAATCTGAAGCTGACTGAAGAAGGGAAATACGGAATGCCTAATGCAGCTCAGGTTAGGGCACTTTTCTTCATACCACTCATTACAGACAATTGTGTAATCGTTTCATGTTTCTCTCTTCCGTGAGACTTGTGCTTCTCAACTGGGAATGATTTTGCCTCCCAAGAGACATTTGTCTGGAAACATTTTTGGTTGTCACAACTGGGAAGGGGAGTGGCACTGGTAACTGGTGGGTAGAGGCTGAGGATGCTGCTAAACATCCTACACTGCACAGGACAGCCCCACAGCAAGAATTTTTCCACCCACAATGTCAACAGTGCTGAGGCTGAGATGTCCATGGTGACCTGCATTAGGCTAAAGTTTTCAAAGGCAGTCTTTCTAACTCAGTACTTGATCCCAGCAGCTAGCTGGGAGCCTGGCACATTAGAAGGCACTCAGCACGTGCTCACTGAATATAAATGAGCCAAGCCTAATTTCTTTTTTAGCCAGTTTGCCTGAGTCATTTCATAGGCACCAACAAGCACTCTTAATAATGCACACTGCAAAGGACTGATTTTTTCCTTCACTTGGACATCACTGATCCTACTTCTGAGCTGCAGGTATCTCTGTGCAGAAGGGGTTGCCTTAGAAAGAGGTTGCATTTCTTCTCATCTCTCTGCCTCATCTCCCAATGTAAGTCTGCATATGTAGGGTTTGCATCTGCTCTTGGGAAGGAAATGAAAGTAAAGGGTAGATATTTTTCCCTTTGTTTATATCTAATATTTTGGTGTACAATGATGATCTATATGGAATGTTGTTCTTAGCAGTGACAATCATTAGATTTATTTTTAAGGATATACAGCACTGAACGTGTGTTAGAGGGAGGGGTGATGTAGGAGAATGGAGTTTACAACATCATTAACATTTTTAATGGAATTTGGTCATTTTTTAGTTTATATAAAAGCTATTTATCCTTTTGAGGAGAGACAGTTCTGGATGGCCCTAGAAACTTGTCTCCCAGCCGGTCTGCATTAGCCCGTCAGAGGATATAGGCCAAGTCCCTGAGTGCCCTTTTTATCCCTGTTTCTAACAAAGCCAGTTTTGGAACCAAGGAACCTACATTATTTCATAGTTTTTGTAGGTGGCCCCTGTCCCCAGCCAATATGTAGAGTATTATGGGGGGTAGGGAGCGGTGGTATGTGCAGTCTATCTATGCTGAGGCCAGACTTATCCCTCAGTGAAGTGATGAGTTGAAGGGATTGTGTATGTGCTCAACTTCTTCTCTGGAGGTCTTTCCTCAATAAACCCTATTTCTTCTATGTACTGTGGCGCCCTTAGAAATTGACATGCAACCTATCTACCATATAGGGCAGCAGTCAACGGGAGCAGCTTTAGGAGTTGACCTAATTTGCATAATATTTATTATATTTAAAAGTATCTGTGTTATAAATTATTTAGTTGAAACCATGCCAGAGGGAAGGAACAAGAGTAAATATTCAGGTGTATGTGTATGTAGAGGGGAATGAAATGTGCATGTATATATAATCATATTTTTTTGCTCTGCTTCTGTAGGCTTTTTTAAAAAAGAGAATAAGGTTTTCAGTCTGCTGTCAGATTCTTAGGATGTTTTTAAGGGTATTATTCATTACATTACACAGTAAACTTTTTATGAAGACTCTTGAGGGTAATTTATTTCTGATCAAGGACTCAAGAGTAATTATGATTTTTCTTACTGGTTTGTTTTTATCTTAACGACAATGTGTGTATAACTACATTTTATTTAAGAATTGCTTGTTAGAGTGTTTAAAACCAAATTCGTTGCCCACCCATATACAGCAAGGATGTAGGTGTCCAGGGTAGCCACAGTCCTCACTCCTCATTGTACTCCTGTCTTCATTTTCCCTCTATCTTTTCATCTACTTCAAATTTATCATCATTGTAGTCTGCATCACTTATAAACCTCCAGAAATGTTTTGTTTTTTTTTTTTTGGAAAAAAGGTAAATGTCTTATCATAAGCCACCAAAAACCTATTTTACCAGCTTCTTTTTTCTTCCCTTTCCAGATTGAGATGCTACCAGATGGGCTGTTTCAGTGCAAAAAGCTGCAGTGTTTACTTTTGGGGAAAAATAGCTTGATGAATTTGTCCCCTCATGTGGGTGAGCTGTCAAACCTTACTCATCTGGAGCTCATTGGTAATTACCTGGAAACACTTCCTCCTGAACTAGAAGGATGTCAGTCCCTAAAACGGAACTGTCTGATTGTTGAGGAGAACTTGCTCAATACTCTTCCTCTCCCTGTAACAGAACGTTTACAGACGTGCTTAGACAAATGTTGACTTAAAGAAAAGAGACCCGTGTTTCAAAATCATTTTTAAAAGTATGCTCGGCCGGGCGTGGTGGCTCATGCCTATAATCCCAGCACTTTGGGAGGCCAAGATGGGCGGATTGCTTGAGGTCAGGAGTTCGAGACCAGTCTGGCCAACCTGGTGAAACCCCATCTCTGCTAAAACTACAAAAAAATTAGCCAGGCGTGGTGGCGTGCGCCTGTAATCCCAGCTACTTGGGAGGCTGACGCAGGGGAATTGCTTGAACCAGGGAGGTGGAGGTTGCAGTGAGCCGAGATTGTGCCACTGTACACCAGCCTGGGTGACAGAGCAAGACTCTTATCTCAAAAAAAAAAAAAAAATGCTCCAGGGCTTTAAATGAGAAGTAAAATTTTCTAAGTTAATAAAGATGAAGAATGGGTGACTATTATGATGAACCATAACTAAATGTCTTATTAAAGCAACTGAGTGTCTAGCCCTAAATTAACCAGGTAAAAACTGTTAACACTAACCTGAAGTTTTGTGAATAACTGTTCTTTAACTTATTGAGATGTTGCAAGAAATGCACATCCAGGGTGGACTGGGAGCTATGAAATGACTAAATTCCTCCTTGCAGTGTTTACCTTCAAGATTGTATAGGTATTCTCTCCTCTTCTTCCCCCAGTCCCCATTACTTATTTGCACACTTGTTTTAACTGACTTCCTGTTTTGATATTTATCACCAAGACCATAAACTCATCAATATGAATTTTCTTGATGTATACTCACGACTGTCTTTGATTTATGTTCCTAAATTTTTTTAGATAGGGTATGTTGTGCTTGGCAGAATTCTTTTTTGGCTTAATTTTTACTTCCTTTCCCAGCTTGCTTGAGTCTTCCTTAACCTGGTTTTCTCTTAACACCAATGATGAACCCTGAGAAAATGCCTGCATTTGGCCTTTGCCTAGAACAGGAGCTGAGTATTTAAGATGTATTATCCTCGGGGCATCCTGAAAATTAATGTATTCCCTAAAATTTCTTCTTGTCTATCATCAAGGCCTTTTTTTATTTGTTAAGAATTTTTATATTAAATGTAAAACATATAAATATTTTCTATTGTATAATCTTGGATTCAACATCTGTGAGGATCATTTTTGTAAGATACATAGAATTTGTGCATTTCTTTATGAACTTACTGTTAGTGTTCTTGGTTTCGGCTGTTTATGACTCATGTTTATGTACATTCTGCTCCAAAATGTTTTTGTACTCTGCAACTAATTACTTTTGGATAACAAAAGCCTTGTGTTTAATGCCCTAAAGTATTTGGGGGTTTCCTTGTGAGAGGGTGGCCGAATCATCTACCTCTCTCTTCCATAGTTGCTGTGCAATCGTACGGGTAAAATTCTTAATTACTTACAAAAACTGTGATAGAGGGGAGAGGTACAGATTTGGTTTTTAAATTGATTTTAAAATACTTTATAGAAATTTAGTAAGAGTTAAAGCAAAAGACTTTTTTTCCCTCCATCTATGTAATCTCTAGCTATGATTATAATGTAAAACAGCCTCTATTCAGTGTCTAAAATGAGTTCTCAAAACCCACAAAGAAATAGATCCATTTAACTGAAATTCATCTCATGCCTTTATCTAACTCTTCTGGAAAATACATTTTGCTCCTTTTTATAAAGAGCTTTGTGCTTGGCCTTTTATTATGCATATTTTTAATGAATAAAATCAACTGACTCATTTTTGGGAAATGTACATCTTTAATATGTTTTTCCCTAAGGGTCTAGGCATTATGATGCCACCTCTTCATTTTGGATATAACTATGAAGAAATCTATTAACTGCACCTACACAAAACTGGAAAACACTATAGGTAAACAGTACTGTGTATATGGAATTGTGGTGCGTGGTATGTGTTTTCTCTTGCTTTGTTCCAGAAAGATGAAAGTGAGTCTTTAAAGCATAGCAAATAGAGCTTCCCCTCACCTGCCACACACTCCTGCACTAAAGTTCAAAGAAAAGAATTATTCAAATCAAATGAAATTTGAATAATATTAGCTATCAGGAATATAGGACACCAAACACACTGCCTCACACATTATTGTTTATTCTGAACGGAAAGGAACAGTGTAAAAATAAACTACTTACCAAAACTTGCCTTTAGTCAGAACATTCAGCTCTCAGGGAAGCAGGTATAACTGATGAAACTTCTAGGACTTCAGAAAACAGATTCTAATTATATCCATGTTTTTCGTTGTTATTTTCATTTTTTAAAGTGTGAGTTGATGTTTATTTTAGTGTTTCACAATAGAATTATCATGTATACTGATTCCAGTGTGGCATGTGATTAAGTTTTGGACATGAATATGCCAAAAGTGCTTAAATGTTTTTGGCCACATAACTAGCTAGAATTTCAAAACAAAATTCAGATTTGCTACCATTCACCTGACGAACTTCTCCATGGCTCGTCACTGGTTTGGTTCAACTGCAGAAGTCATTGGCTAAATTTTCCTTATCACCTACGTAAATTTCTAGAAGAATTTACTAGCAGGATTAATAATGAATATTATAAACTGCTTTCCACACACTAGGGTATAATTATTGGTGCAATCTATGTTGTTCTTGATGCCATGGTTTTACATCTTTTAATTTAAACCTTATACACCAGTGTTTAGGTCGCTTTTGAGACAAGGTAGCCCTGATGCAAGGAAAAATGAGGCTACTACTTCACATAAAAAATAGGGTGTTAATACCACCTTTACTGTACTGTTGGAGCAGATCTTTATTTTACAAGTGTTCATATTCACATAAGAGAATTTTAAATGAAGAAAATTAAGTTTGTTAAATTATAATTATGAGACTTTCGTTGGCATTTGATTTCAAGAATACATATGCATTTTCCAAAAAATAAATGTGGAGGTTATTCAGAACAAAATTCATAGCTTACGGTAGTAATGGCATGGATTAATTTTATTTGCATGCACACACAGACACACATACTTCATATATGCAAATTATAGCATTAGTTTTTGATATATCTAGTGGTTTTTTTTTCAAAATTGCAGGAGGTTGTAGATTAAATTAAGTATGATAGCACGTTTTTTAATTCATTAATCATGAAGTGCTCTGTTCCCTAAGTTATGACATTTAGAAGAAATCACATGCTCAACCTTAATCTGAGAACCTAAGTGTTTTTGAGCATTCCAGTAAAGGAGTAGTGTTCTTTTCCTAACTTACATCAGGGTACATCTGTGTGGCACACAGATACTATCTTTTCATTCTTCACTCCCAGTCTTAATTTCTTTCCCCTGTATGTCACTGTATTTTATGTCACTTCACATTGTGTTAAACAGGGTAAATAGAGATCCTCAGTATCTCAGTGCTGTGGCATAGCTCCAATAGGTGTGCTGTGGTGCACTGCAGTGATGTATTTGCATAACATTGTTTGATAGTGAAAAATTTTTTTTCGGTTCAAGTGTTTTGTGATTAAAATTTTATGTTTAATTAAAATATTGCATAATATTGATGGGTTCAAAAACCATTAAAATAATCAAACAATTATTCTGTGCCCTTAACATTATTTTCTTGTGTTTTCAATAAAATTTTCTTTTCATCTTTCCATCTTCACATTCTCTTAGCATCATCCTATGCACATAAGGTATGTTGTTTTCCTTCTCCACTCACCTACCGCACTAAATTTGATCAGCAATTGTACAGTAACAGAATATATTTGTGCCAGAAGATTTGCAATGATATTTGAGCATGTATTTATTTAGGAGGAAGCCAGTGCCTGTAATTATGTCTCATTGAGTAGTTTTACTTTGCCCATCCTGCAGTATTTAGAGCTGATCTGTACCCAAAGCAGGACAATGTAACTGTAGATCTGCTTTGTTTTCAGTAACTGTACATTGCATCAGAATCTGTTTATTTCTATCTGGAAACAGACAGAATGGTGGGGGAGGGAAGGAGTTATTTTGCATCCTAGTTTGTATTATGAAGTCATCATATATATATTTGAAATAGTATAAGCTAATTACTGTTGCAGAATGCCCTCGATATAATTATTTCTTTTCAGCTGGATGTGAAAAGCTGAAGCAGTGAAAACCTGCAGTCTTATTTCACTGGTTTCCTTCTGTTTCTTGTCCATCACTTCTGTATCCACAGGGAGCTATCTACTACATACCTTTGGTAACAGGCTACATTCTCTTCAGATTTTTTATATGAATAATTTCATCAGCACTAAAGCATTAACATAGAATAATGAGCCAAAGTACTGAGTCGAGATGGCTTTCAGTTGAGTTTAATTTCATATTTAACTTTTGCATTTAACTTGTATAATACACTACTGCTGAGAAAAACAATTATGAATGCCTTCTGCATGTTGTACATTATCTCTAACAGAGATGGTGCAATTTTAAGAATACAAAGGGGTATAGAGTTAGAATGGATGTGTTCGTGCATATATATGTTGTATTTAAATATTAATGTTTACAAGAAGATTTTTTTTAAATTCTTCAAATACTTCACTTAGTGAAATAATGGGCCAATCTGGAATAGAGACATTTTATTTGGTTAGTGCAAGAGTGAAAGCTAGCATTTGTTAACCTTCACATATTTATCTGTGTACAATTGTTTTTGCTTCTGGTAATGAATTATTAGAAAATGGAAGATTTTGTTCAATGTTTTTGGCCCTCAGGTTTACTGTGTAAATCTGCATTTTTGGTGGTAAATCCCTTTGCCACAGATTCAGTAGCTTTTGGTAAACTTCACTGTTTTTAAAGTACCTTTTGTGTAAAATAAAGATCCAATTTTTATAACAAATGGCAAATAAAAACAGTAAATGCTGGAAGAAGTTGACTGTACTAATTTTAACCAAGTTCCAAAAGTGATTCCCTCTCTCTTCTCATGCTTCCTTGTACTGTCGTACTGTTATTCACCAAATAATAGATTTCAGATTTACATGTGAATCTTACAACAATGG
The DNA here is from genome assembly GCF_000001405.40 of Homo sapiens. NCBI lineage: Eukaryota > Metazoa > Chordata > Mammalia > Primates > Hominidae > Homo > Homo sapiens. Next base: position 89,597,994 of record NC_000001.11, read on the forward strand.
TATGAGTTTTCAAAATATGCTACCATGGCCACAAAATAACAAGCACCTGAAAAGAGCTGCGTGGATCCTAGAATACATGGGTTGCGGGGGGTAGTAGATCTCTCATGAGTGGGCCCGTCTTTCCTTGGAATTCATCAGGGACAGATGTTCATAGAACGCCTCATCTCTCTCCTTTCTTCTTGGTGCCTGTTTCTCCATTTCCTGTTTAACACTGAATTGTGAACCAGGTAAGCAAAAGCTAAAGAACTGCAAGACAGGCAATTCTGAGATGGTTTAGTCAAAGGTGAAAAAATTGAATTACTGGATAAAATAAGTACATGATAGTTTGAACTTTTCGATAGAAAACAGCCTCTCTCGGTCTCTTACATGCACACACACACACAGTTTCAGGACCACATTAGAAGGCTGATAGCCAGAATTTTGCTGGAATATATATAGACTGAATCAGATTATGAAGGAAAGTAACTTAGTTGTTCCCTGGCCATATTCTCTGAAAATGCAGTAAGTCATTCAAGAAAGGCTTCCCCCATCTCTAAGTGGTTCAGGAATGGGAAGTCTATTGAAATGAAGTGAGTGCCTGCCTCCAGGCATTAGCAGCCTTTCAGGGACTGCTAGGTGCTTTGAGATGCTGAAGTTATATGCTAACAGTCTGCCCAGCAGTGACATGGCCCCCTAAACACAGCAATAACTGTGGCTTCATGTACTTCAGCATTCACTTCCACATTTCAAAATGGCTTTTTGAAAAAGTGGTAAAGGGCTCAACTGGAAGGGAGAGACTCCGGTGCTGTTGAGGGCAAGGTTCCATTCTCTGGAGCGGCAACTTTTGTTATGGTTTGTTTCCTTCTCTGTTCCCACCTGGTGTTTTGTCACCCTCATTCCTGAGGTCTAGGGAAAAGCAGTTTATCCAAAATGCACAAAGCCAGACCTCAAACTCAAGTCCCATATTTACATAAGATCCTACATCGACATGCTAAAGAAGGATCAGAAAAGGCCACTTTAATATGCGTAGTCTTTTTAAAATGCAAATCTCTTTCTTTATCCCATGTTATCTCATCTTCCCCTAGACTCGAGTTATGTCTTTCTGCCTCCTAAATAGCAGAGATTCTATAGAGCTGCCTGTTAGCTCTTGAGATTTTCAAATTATTTCCTTATGATAAATACCTTCCATTTTGGAGCCCTTTGTATTCCTATAGGGCTCAATCCACATCATTTTTTTTACTCTCTACCTCCCTCTGCTGCTGAGAGGAGAAAATGTCAAATAGAAGCATGCCACCAACACCCATCTGTAGGTTAATATAACTCCAGATTCTTTCTTTTGGAAAAAAAGATTCATGCCTATCTTACTTACCTGCAAAGCCATCACAGATTCTCTCTGCTTTCCTTTAACACCAAACCTTCTGGTCAGCCCTATTTCCTCACTGAGTATTCACTTTTCAACCCACTTCTGTCCAGCTCTCCACATGTCCCAGTTTCTGCCCCTCCTGGTAATTTCTCTTACACAGATTACCAATCGCTTATTTGCCAAGAGCAGTGACTTCTCAGTCCTAGCCTCTGTAGGTAGAGTAGAAATGCTTTTTTAGGTTTATCAACATTTGTAAATCTTGGCCAACCTTCTTCCTCATGGAGCGTGGGCCTCACAATTGCAGGTGTAAAAGATTTACAAAGTTATGAATCAGCACTGACCCTGCAATTACTGTTTTGGAGCCTAGCCTCTCCTTCCTGATATGGTCCTTAAACCACAGCATCCAGTTTCTTGCTCCTATACTCAGTTTCTCCTTGCCTTCCCTTGCCTTTATCAAATGCAGCCCCCACGGTAAGATCTTGAGGATTCATTGGCCCTCACTTAATATCAGTAACTGTACCTCAAATGAGATGCACATAGCCCCATGCAGTTCCTGGCACCAAGATCAGACCATACCGTGTGGGCACCCTGGGCAGGTAAGTGTGTGGTACCCCTTTAAAAGAACATGCTTAGAATGTTTATTCAACATGTTTTTGGTAGAAATGGGAAAACTGGCGTTCTGTTGGAAAAAACAATCATGAACATTTTAACTATCTTTGTATTCCTTTTTCCAAAACTAAAACTCTATCTAGCAAGAATGAGAAAGAGTTTAAAGATAATTTAGCAGAAAGACAAGTGGGCCTAGGGGCTGTAGGGAATATGAGGTTTTACAGCTCACGGCATTTCTGTCGAATATCCCCAATCGACAATCAGTCTCCCGGGCCTTGTGAGCAGGCCTGTCAGCTGCTAAGTCTCCCTTCTTGTTCCCTTTCAAAGCATCCTACTCTCTTTGTCCCGCACCCTTATCCCTCCCAGATCTCACTCCCTCCAACCACTTTTGTGGGCTCTTGCTCTCTTTCGCTTGCTCTAGGATTGTGCTGCTCGGCATTGCCCCAACCACCATACTCCAAGCTTACGTATCCTCACCTATTACTAACTCCCATCTTCAAGAATATGAAATACCTATTATTCCAAGGATGATGCTTTAGCTTGTTCTCACCAAAATACATGTCTCCCAGTTATCAAGATTCTCTGTTTCTAGAAGGTAGTTTCTTGCCACAGTTTCAAATTTAAAATAAGAGACTTATTCCTTATGTTGAATGGGAAAAGGGCCAAGTTTCATTTGTTAGGCTGCTAACATAAGGAATTACATGTGGAAACCTGAGTTAACTGGCACCAAATTTCCAATTACTCCAATGACATGTAGTTACTCCTTGTAAATTAATACCCCAGGCACCTGTTTAAGTGCACTTACCCTTAGTTCAGCACAGCCTAGCATGTGAGTACCTTGGATATGGCCATGACTATTTTCTTCTCAACAGGAATGAACGAGTTACCATTGTGGTGTGAAAAACTGTTTCTCCCTTGAAATGCTTCTCAGTCATTAAGGAGTAGGTGGGAAGGTTTCCCTTCTGGAGTTTCTGAAACTGCACCACTAGTGGGGGACTAAACACCACCTGTGTGAAGGGAGTTTCCTTCTAGTCTTTCCCTGAGCTTGGGTTGGATTCACACCCTTGTCTGTAGTAATGCATAGAGAAACTTCTCAGATCCTCAAGGGGAGAAAAGAACAGTTCTCTTTTTCAAGTGGATCAAACCACACTTTTCATAATAGATTGAGCCTTTCTCTGGCAGTTGTTCTGTGAAAAGGGAAAGCCTAAAGAAGTAGCCACGTGAAGAATTGATGCAACACGCATTAAGTGGCCTGAGGAAAATCTGCTTGGCTTGTGATATCAGAGCAGCACAATGCATGTCGGGAACCTCACTGGTGGCTTCAAATTGAGAAAAGAGAATAATCTAACTATTTAGTTCCTGATCCTTGAGTTTGGAGAGCATCACTGTAGGAAGAAGTATTGAGGTGGTATATGACAATAACTTTATTTTGCACCTCCTGTGTGCCAGGCAGTCTGCTAGGTTTTCCATGTGTACTCTCTCAATCCAGCCAACAACCCTATTTGGTATGTTGTTCTGATTTTACAGGTGAGAAAGAAGACTTTCAAATTATTACCATCCCAAGGTCTCATGACTGCTGAGAACAGGAACCATATTCAACCTACAGGTCTGCATAGCCTGTTTCTACAGAGATTAGCTGAACATTAAACATCAACTTTATCCTCTCATAACCACCTTGGAGTTTTGAAAACTCTGGTTTTCAGAGCTCAGTGGTCTCGTCCAGTCTGCTTTGATCCTAGTGCTTCCTCCTGCTCTATAGCTATCCTAGTTTCTATCTCCTCAGCCATAGTCACTTCCTGTATGTTTTATTTTCCTCCTCATCCTCTAATGTAATTCTGGATTCAGAGATCTTCCCAATGAGAAGAAACCATGGAGAATTTGCTGAGAAGGAAGGGTTAAGTGGCTTGTTGGAGATCACAGCCCCAGTGATTTAGGAAGATGGTACCATGATCTGTGCATGCCCCCGTTGAGTGCTCTTTTCACCCTACTGTGCTGGCTCTGAAGAGCACAGATAATCCGCATTTCACCAAAGACTAGTGGAAGAGCCAGATCAGCACCCATGTCTCCCACCTAACTCTAGAATCTGTGTATTCTCTAATAAGCTGCATTCATTTTAGTTGTAATCTGCATCTTAATGATAATCCCTTCCCATGCACAGTGCATCACTGTACCAGAGAACTTTAGGCCATTTTTCCCATTTCACATATAAGCAAACTGGGCTCTGAAAGAGACACCTTCAGTGGTTACCATTATTGGGAACTACTAAAGCACCTGCCATGAGCTTTATAAATATCATTAATCCTTAAAGCATATCAAGTAGGCATTACCTCTATTTTACAGGTTCAGGTAGCTTAACTAACATACTAGATTATATAGCTAGCATAGCACATGGAAGAGTCAGGTTTTAAACTGGGGACTCCATAGCACCATAGACTCTACTTTTTGTATACTATGCACTGCCATGGTCATATGGCTAGTAAGTGGTAGGGTTGTGAGCACACTCTAGGATTTTAACATCTAATTCAGTATTCTGTTCTTTATAATGTGCAGGCTCTGAATATTCTGAATGTTGAAAAAGATTGATACACATGTAGACATGTGCATGCCTACACACAGAGTTTTAAACATTTTAGTATAATTTCTTCCAAATAACCCATTTATTTATAAACTTTGATTATTTTGAAAGTGCATAGTTTATATTTTAATGTTTTAACCTAAATCTACATTTGCTGTCATTAGAAGAATGGAGTGTCATGCTGGATTTCTGACCCTGTGGGTGATGTTGGATAATGACCCCAACCTCTTAAAAAGAGTTGTTAACATTTAGTGTTTTTTGTTTCAGTTTGCAAATGAGGCTCACGTCAGTTTGGGTTTTATTAGAGAATGGAAGTTCCAGTTTAACTCCCTGAGAGTGCTGATTTATTATAGGAAAATGCTGGCAAACATTTTAGACTTACAAAATGACTTCTAATCACAGTTCAGGCTAAATTTGTTCTTCTGCTGATTTAGAATGTTGGAGAGTGAGAAGAGTGAGGAGGAGGGACAAGTTAGGCTGTCCTTATTGAATTCATGCCACGTTCCAGATAAGAAGCTGCCTTCCTTGCCCTGGAAGATGCTGTGACCCTGGCTTTGCCTTCTGGCTGAATGCACTACGAAGCAGGAAGAAAGCTTCAACCCCAGCTCTAACAATCCACTGCCATTTAACACTGGTTCACTTGGCATTTCCCCTGAGGTTCTTCAAAACGCTAGCCCTTTGAAATGTTTGTCATGTCAGGTCCACGTGAGTCACCTGCTCAGGTGTCCCCAAGGCCCGTTACACAGTGGGACTGTGGCTCTAAGGGGTCCCAGGCCCTCTCCACTGAGCTCTTCTATGAAAGGAAGATGACTTACCAAACGACCTTACTGGGACTTTGCACTATTTTTAAATTTTCTTCTAGAAGATGAAAGAAATTAGCTCTTCTCCCTTTTTCTTTCTCTCTGGTAGTGAGTATAATAATTTCTCCTGATGAACAGAGTGTCCATGGAGAATTTTTTCATGCTGGAAATAAGGCAGATGGCTTGGGTGTTGTCTCAGATCATCAGTAAAGGCCCCAGCTAAGTTAATGACTAGAAGGGCCTGGAAGAAATTAACATGCTTCTCAGGGTAAGCTGTGGCTTGGGGAAGTTGGTGAGGATGCTGGAGGATGTCTGACAGAGGGAGAGAAAATAGGGTTCTTTTGACTTCTGGGCTTCAGCACTAGCCCTCGTGATCCTGCCATTTCCAGTGTGATCTGCAGTGTGATCTGCATGCACAGGGTAGCAGCCTAACTGAGCCTTGTGAGTGGGTGGGCTTGGATGCTCGCTAGCTGGCCTTCCAACTCCAATATTCTGATCTACATAAAATGCTGAGTGAGTGGGAAGTGTTGATCATGTTTAATACTGAGTAATTTTCTTAAGAACTTGAGTATGTCATACATTTCTTTTTTCAGCTTTGGAAATGATTCACTTTTATGACACATGAATAAGACTTTTATTCACTAAAGAACCTCAAGCATAATAGCAAGTGAAGGAGGATGGAATTATCTTAAAGGGCTGTTCTGCAGTGCCTCCCCGTCAGGAGAGCCAAGTAGACAGTGAAGAGAAGCTATTTAGGGCAGTACAGTTAGAAACATTCCCAGCAGGGCCTTCACAATGCTCAGGTTACAATTCCCAGTTAAGAGAAATGTCCTGAGGTTGCACAGGTATAAAGGTGACCTGTGAGGTACTTGGCTGTCTTGGGCTTTAACACCAAAATTTGAAAGCTGAGGCTGACCCTTTATCACTGGCTTTCCTCCCAGAGTCTGACCTAGGGCAAATAGATGCCTGACAGTTTTAAGTTCTCCAGTTTCTGTTCAGCTGAGACCTGAGTGTCAGGTCAGCTAACAGGCTCCCCGTTGGAGAAACATGACTCTAGGTTTCAGTGCACTGAGAGATGTTAACTTCTGCCTGGTCTTAGGGTACAGCCCCACCTGGGTGCCAGCTCCAAGGGCAGACTATGCGCTCACCAGGTTCATCTGATAATGCAGTGGGCAGACATAGCTATGTGCTGTTCACTTGCTCTGTGCCCTCATGCCCAGTCTAAGACTGTCCAAGGCCCGGCCTAGTCTCTGCTTTATCTGGAAGAAGACAAGAGCATTTTCCTGGACTGACAGCCCAGAAGGTACTCATCTCCAACCTGGATCAGAGCCCTATTTTCACCAGTAACTCTTGAGTCATCTTGTACCTCTGAGCCTCAGCTTCCTCGTCTGTAAAATGTAAGCTTTATTTTATAAATATTGAGTGTCTGCTACTTACCCAGATGCTGCCTAAGGTATTGTGAATACAGTGGGGGACAGCAGGGACAAATAAGACCCACTCCTCATAGAAACAAACCTCATAAGATCTTAAGAGGATTCCACGAGATAATATGTGTAAAATGTTAGCATCTTGTCTGACCCTAGTGGTTGCTTTCTACGTTAGCTTTAATGAGTTTTCCTCCAAAGATGATAGAAAATATTTCAAAGTATGTCCTTTCCTGCCTTGGTCTGTGCACATGCATTTCTGCCAAAAAGGCTCTTCCTTAATTCCTATGCCTAGCTAACTCCTGTTCATCCAGTTCTCAGTATAAATGGTCACTTCTTCAAGGTGGCATTTTTCTGACCAGTCCATCCTTAGATCCCCCTGTTGTTTGTTCCCAGGGCAACTGGTACTATACTTTGAGGTATCCATCCTCTTGATAACTATGACTTATTTAGTGTCTGTTTCCCTGACTAGACTGTAAAGCTAGTGTAAACAGCATCCATGTTCACCAGAAATCTTGATGCTGAGCTTTGAGATTCTGCATAAACATCTGACCATCTTGCTGATATTTGAAGGGAATGTTCCCTTTCACATGAGAAAATTACATTGGACCAGAAAAGAAGAATCTGGCCCACCAGGAGCACATGGGTCCTTTCTTCCCTCTTTTCTCTCTCCTACCATGAAGAGGAGGGACGGCCAAGAAATGGCTGAAGAAAGGCCATTCCCAGGGCTGTACCCACATCTCTTAGAAGTAGCAGGTAGTCAGGGAACATAGGATGGAGAGTTGGGTTCCCCATTGTTCACAGGAACTTACCCAGTACCCATTCAAGGACCTACTGGGAATGGGGCAGTAAGGGTCTTCTTTGATACCATCTGCCACAGCCACACCCTTGTCCGTTCTCACCACAGCCAGGCAGCATGACTTAAAGGAGGTCTTGTTTCTTGTAACTATAGATAGTAGAAGCTTGATAAAATGAAATCTAAGGTCATAAGACTGGAATGGTGTCAGCCGCAGAAACGTCTCTGTCACCTTGTGTGAAAGATGCCCCCAGCCTCAGTACCTTTTGGAAGAGACCTTGGCAAAAATACAGCTGTTTACATGTGACTCACCAGAAATGTGAATGTTCTTGCCCTTTTGTGCCCTGTGGGATTTAACAAAGCAGCAATGTGACCTGACCCCAGTGGTTTTCTTTTGGCCAGAATCCAAGTCCTCCAGGCAGTGCTGGACTTCCCACATGCATTCCTGCCAGCCCACTATATGGAACTACAGGGCAGTCCTCTCTGCCAAGCCTTTCTAACCTCTATGTCTTTGTCCAGGCTGTTCCCTCAACCAGAAGTTCCTTTTTTCCATACATACACATATGAATAAACCTCAATTCATTCTTCAAGACTAAGATGATATCACTCTATAACTCCTCTAATCACCCTCTTTCCCCAAATTGGAGTTAGTTATTCTGAACCCTTATACCAATGTAGTGAGGTTATGGATTTCCCGCTCAGTCATCTGAAGGCAGAAACCAAATCTCGTTCATATTTGTGTCCCCTTCCACTAATATAGTATCTGCACCTATAATTTGTTACAGTATTCTACACTGTAGGTGCATAATGAATAAATAGCTGAAAGCTGGGCATTTGCAAGGTGTGTGCTGGCCAGTGGGTCAGCCAGGATGCCTAAGGGCAAAGGCACATGCCAGAAACCACTAATGGAGACTTTTGTGGACAAATTGTTGAAACAGTGAGAAGTTGTTAAATCCTTGTGGGTAAGAAAATGGCATAAGGAAGTAGTACTTTGGATACAGTCTTTGAGGGCATGGGTACAATGATGTTAAAGGAAGAAAACTGACATTTATTCTATAGATGGGGGAACTGAGGCTTGGGGAAGTTAAGTGATTTGCCAAAAGACACACAGCTAGTAAGCAAAGGAAACTGGTTTAGAATCTAGATCTGGTTTCAAAGTTTGTGTTCTTAAACAGTATGTGAAAACTCAACCACATCTGCATACACTACCTTGAACTAGTGTCCTTTAGATCTTCAGGGTATTCCCCTCCCAACTGTGTTAAGTTTGATGGCAGAATATCACTAGCCCTCATGGGGCCTCAGTTTCCTCTTCAGTAAATGAGGATAGTTGGGCTAAGTGACTCTAAGGCCACTTTTAGGCTCTGAGATGCTATGATTCTCTGTAGAATACAAATGGACTTTCTAACCTGGAAGTCAGCTTGGTCAAAACATGAGCGTACTTGTGTATTGGGCCTGAAAATCCTTCTCAGGTGTTGCAGTCATGATTCCAATACACACAAAAAGCTGGGAACTATTATCTTAGAGGTCTAATCATTTGTCCCAAATGAGTATTCAAATACACTCAGGCATCTAAGTTTTCTGAACTCATAGAAAGTTCCTGTTTATCCGAAGTCTACTTAAGTCACAGCAAAGTTTCCACTCATTCTCCAGGCTTTCCATGTTATTCCAAATCACACTGAAATAAAGTTCAGTATTGCATTACCCACACCTATGGCACCCAACCCCCAGGCCCCCACCACCTCACCCCATCACACAAGTCTCAATCAAGCATACATGCACTTCTCTGACACTAGGCTGAATCTTAGGGTGGAACACATCTGAAAATGTCTGTGTGGTTCAGAATGAACTCTGAAAAAGTTTCCGCCCATACCATTGAATAACATCCTGTTGTTTTGGCTTTTTTTTTTCTATCAAATCTGTGCAATAATGCCTTTGATTTGGCTTTCATTTACAATGATCTGCCTGATACCATTTCTCTGAAACATTCGGAACCAGATACAATCTTATTATAGTCAGCTACATAAAGTGGACCTTTCAGAGCATAAAGAAACATCTGTCCTCCATCTGTTGTGCCTGAAAAATAGGACTTTCAATAGAGCACTTTGTAGGGCACTAGTGCTTTTAATGGGCAAGAAATCCATTTCTGACTAAAATCTCAATAAATATATCTAAAAGAATATTTTCATCTTACAAACTGTCTTTCAAAGAGCACTTCAAAGGCCACTCTAGCAAAGTGGCATATTAAGAACATCGTCTCTAGACTCAGCCAAACCTGGTTCAAATACTTGCTTTGTGGATATACTGGCTGTGTGATCTTGGAAAGTTATTTAACCCTGATAATTTTAAGTTTTCTCGGGGATGTAAAATAGAATGCTAGCATCTACCCTGAGAGATAATATTTTTAAAGAGACTGGCACATGGTACAGCACCAAATACACATCAGCTGCTGTTCCTGTTTTGTTATTGCTGCTAATACTAGGAGCGGAATGGCCTGATTCCTGATGCAGCTGAATGAACACGGGATTTGGAATCAGAAAACCTGATTTTGCACTCTACCATTGCCACTGACTAGTCAGATGACCCTGGGGAAATCACTGAATGCTTCTCAACTTAGCTTCTTCATCTGCAAAACAGGGAAAATAAAAATAGCTATCTCACAGATAACAACTGTGAGGTTCAGATAAGGTGATTTACGTGAATTTCCTTTGCTAACTTCTAAACTCTGTACATATGAGTTCCTTGGTGATTGTTAGTGTTATGGGCTGAATGTTTGTGTCTTCCCCTAGAATTTATACATTGAATCTCTAACCCACAATGTGATGGTATTAGGAGGTGGGGTTTTGAGGGGTAGTTAGGTTTAGATGAGGTCACGAGGGTGGAGCCCCGTGTTAGAATTAGTATCCTTACAAGAAGTGACTAACAGCTCGCTCTTTGTCTGTGTGTGTCATGTGAGGACACAGCAAAAACTCAGCCGCCTACAAGCCAGGAAGAGGGCCCCCACCAAGAACTGAATCTGCCAACACCTTGATCTTGGACTTCCTAGCCTCTGGAACTGTGAGAAACAAAGTGTCTGTTGCTTAAGCCACCCAGTCTAGGATACTTGTTATCACAGCTCAAACTGACTAAGACCGTTAGTAACAACACCAGAACTGAAGAATGTATCAAATTTTCTTATTCAGAAATTTTTATTTACAAAAACCTTAGTGACGTGCTTAAGTAATTGTAGCTGATTTCCACTTAGTCACGGAAGTGAGGACTCTTTGCAGGGACTAAGGTAGCATCAGGTGCAGAACGTCTGCCTTTCCCAACAAAACTTTGTCATCACTGTGTACTCACCTTAGACCTGGTCTCTGTGAATGTTTAAAATGTGACCTTTCTGTTGGTGATGGGTCAGGAAAAAATAAGAAATTAAGAAAAATTTTAAAAACGTGTCCTGGTCTATTGCCAATGTATCTGAAGAGGTAGTGTTACGGGATCTTTGGGGTGTCACTTTTCTGGCCGGAAACCTCTGTGGCTGGTGGTGCCTTTGTCTGAGTTTTGCTCGGCCCGCTAGGCTTGTTCCACCCACTCAGCCTGGCAGGCTGCACTCAGCTCACGATACCGGTCTGGATCCCATGCCCCTAAGGGAGACTGCGAGTCAGGCGTGGAGTGGCAAGGGATGTGTAAGCGAGCATGGGGTCTGGCCACTGCGCAGTCAGACATGCCGGCTGCTACCACAGGGCGGGCAGCTCCACGTGCCAGCACAGGCACTGGTTCTCTGTGAGGCTGCAGCTGGACCAGGTGCACCACGAGCAGCTTCCTTGGCTGGCACCAGGGAATGTAGTGGCACCCAGAAACTTGGAAACATCAGGAACTGCAGAGCCCCAAAGAGGGAGTCAAAGCCCTGGCTCTAGGAGCTCCCAGGTCTGGGCTTCCCGAAGGGTCACAGCTCTTCTCTCCTTTTCACCCACAACGTGGCGAGCAAGGGGCATGTTTCAGCCCTGTTGGGGTTATAGATCTTTTAGCTTCGCCATTGGGCAGGCCCTGAGTTCTTGACCTGCGACCAGGAAGAATGAGGTGCACAGACAAGTGGAGGGTGAGCAAGACAAAGAGGAGCTTTTTTGAGCGATAGAACAGCTCAGAGGAGACCTGCAGTGGGTATCTCAGCCAGTGTTCAGCTCTCATCAGAGAGGGTAGCTCCTCTCTGCTAGGCAGGTCATCCTGATGAGTGTCTAGCTGTCAGCAGAGAGGGTAGTTCCTCTCTGCAGCTGGTCATCCCATTGTCTTCTCAGCTCTCAGCAGACGGGAGACACTGAGGTGGGTAGTTCCTCTCTGTAGCGGGTCATCCCACCATTTCCCCGTCCTCTCTCTATCCTCTCTCTGTCCTCTGCCGGAGTCTGGCTGAATCCAGGGTTTTTATGGGCCTCAGAGGGGAGGAAGTGTGTGCTGATTGGTCCATGGGTGGCCATGGGCTGGCCCAGAAAAAGCACTACAAGTCCTCCCTCCGGTCCTTGGAACTGGCAGCCTGGCCCTCAGGCTTCGAGTCCTCCCTGGTTTGAGGGTGGGGCTTCACTAGGCACCAGTCCCCTTCCACCCAGGAGCCAGTCGGCCTCCTGCTACTGTTCATGACACCCAGGCTGTTCATGCCAAGGGACACCTGCAGGCCAGCACCAGGCTGTGCTCAGCACCCGCCTCGGCATCCCTCCCCACTGTGCTTGTCAGTGCCCAAAGTCCAGAGGGGGCTGAGGCGGCAGGGGCCTGGCATGTCAGCACTGCCTCGTGTGTGTGTACACCCAGCCCGGCTGTGACATCGCCCACACTTGGCCTCAACTCCACCCTGTGATTGGAGCCAACAGCAGGGAGAGGCCAGGCAGTGGAAGCAGACACCTTCAAGCCTACGGGGGCTAACAATGGGGATTCCCAGGTCCCCTGAGAGTGCAGAGATGCCCGGGTCTGCAGCTGCAACCTGGGCGGCCGTAGAGGCGCCTGGGAGGGTGGGGCTCCTGCCTGCTCCTCGCTCCTGCAGGCTCCGTGGAACGCTGCACCACTCCTGGCCCAGCTCCACCTCGGGGCTCCTCTCTGCGTGCCCTTCTGTGCCCAACCATGCTGCCCCCACACCAGGGGGCAATTCAGCCTGGCCTCATCGTGGAGGCTCCCAGGGCAGCAGGCTCCAGGGGGCTCCCAGGGGCAGGCTCCTCCGGGGACTATCCACCTCCTCCCCACACCTCCCCACAGAGGCGGTAGGCAAGAGAGATGACACGGGGCCAGGGTAACAGAGTGGCAGAGGCTCTGGGCCTGGGAGTGGGTCCCGCCTGGCTGCAGCCAGTGCAATGGCAGCGGCTGCTCTGGATGGCCCACCACTGCCATCAGCAGTAAGATAGAAAAGGGCTGTCAACTTGCCTGCTGGGTGTTGTTTTGATGTGGTAAATGTGAGTTTTTCAGATTGTATCTCCCTTCCCTTCCAAGTGTATTCAAAACAACTAGCAATTCAGCTACTTTCTGCCCTTCTGCGTACCTGATCTCTTTTGTCCATTTTGTAGTATGGAAGTCACTGGGCTGGAGTTTTTTATACCAGTCAGACCTGCCTCCTCAACTTCCCAGCTGTGTTATCTTAGACAAGTCAGGCAACCTTTCTACAGCTCAGTTTTCTCATCTGCAAAATGGGGAAGAATAATAACCATGTTTCAAGGTGATTAAGAAAATTGAAACAACATATATAAAATTCTTAGTCATATCTGACACCCAATAGGTACCTATCACCTTATCTTCCTTCCCTTGAATCTTCTTCTTACCCACTTCTCACTCCCTATGCCTGATTATTGAGCCCTCTCTGGGGTCCTTGGTGAGATGATCACTAACAGAATCAATGGCTAATGGAGCCTGTAAGAAAGTGTCCCTGGGGAAACAATATTTGTAAACTAAAATTCTTGTTCCAGGTCTTATAAACACTTGGGGTTTTGGGATATTTCAGTAAAAACAATAGACTCCTACTAGATGTAGTTGCTAATTTAATATCTTAAGGTGCGTGTATGTGAGCTTGGATAGTCACAGAAAGTCTCCAGTAGATGCACAAAAAAAAAAAAAAAAAAACCCACCTGGTAACACCGTGTATATTTTCTCTGCATATCTTTTTGTATTTTTTTGAATTTCGTACCATGTGCATGTATTCCTATTCAAAATTCAATTACTTTAAAAATGCTAGTGATGTTGGAGTACGTTTTTGCTAGGCATTGTAGTAGGAGCTCCCTAATGACCTGGAGCCTGTTAATATAGCCACCAAAACTTTTTAGTGTACAGAGAAGAAAAACTGTAGTCCTTCAAGCTGAAAACCACTGTCTGAGCTAGGAGAGGAGGTTCTTACTTTGTGGCTTCCTTGCCATAGAAGGTTTGTAACCTCTTCCCTCAAGATTTGCTAAGTAAATCTTGTTATTTGTCATCAGTAACAGTAGTGATCTATACTGAGAGCTTACTATGTGTCAAGCACTGTTCTGTGTAGCTTCTCAATTACCTCAAGTTAATTATCACACCAACCTTGTGAGGTGAGTTGTATTTTTATTCTATATTTTATATTTTTAAACATTGAGTCTCAGAGAGTCTCTTAACTGGCAAGTGACAGAGCTGAGATTAAGAGCTGTTACTGTATAGTTTTGTTATAACAGACATGGGCTGTTATTAAAGCTAAATAAATTCATACATATGAAGTGCTTAGAAAAGCATTGGCTGTGGTGCCCTCCCTGTTAAGGGCCAGCATTAACATTTCTGGAGTTAGGGAGGGACTTTGTAAATTAGAAACATAATTGAGTCAGTGAAAGTACCAGGAGGTAATTGTAATCAACTAAAATGTAAATTAAGGTTCCATGTATTCTGTAATAAGGCCTAGACATTTTTCAAGATAGTTTTCCCCTTGTTTTTATTTTCTATGTGTGCCATTTCCTAGAAGACATCCTGCCACCAATTCCAAGTTGTCTGTGTCCTACTCTCAGCATTTTTATGCTTTTTCATCACAGAGAGATTTTTAACATAAGATAACATTTTTGGCCGGGCGCGGTGGCTCACGCCTGTAATCCCAGCACTTTGGGATGCCGAGACAGGTGGATCATGAGGTCAGGAGTTCAAAACCAGCCTGGCCAAGATGCCGAAACCCTAGCTCTACTAAAAATACAAAAATCAGCCGAGTGTGGTGACAAGCCCCTGTAATCCCAGCTACTCAGGAGGCTGAGGCAGGAGAATCACTTGAACCCGGGCAGCAGAAATTCCAGTGAGCCAAGATCACACCACTGCAAGCCAGCCTGGGCAACAGAGCAAGAACTCCGTCTCGGAAAAAAAATAAAATAAAATGACATTTTTAAATGTAGCCATTAGAATGACTACCCATTCAAGCAAACGTTTGTAGGTACAATATTGTTGGTATTATTGAATCTTTCATTGGTGGTTTTTACTGAGTGATGTTTCTACCTGTGGGAGGTAAGAGCAAGTGGAGCACTAAAGAAGTTTTTGATCCTCTGTCTCCAACATGTTCAGGACTAGTAGCCACATAATGGCTTGCTATATAAAGCAAAAGAACAAGTAGTATCTGAACCTGATGGACAGAAAACACACCATGTGTCAGCAGTCAAATATCAGACTCAAAAATATAAAGCAAGGAAGAAAAATACCCCCCAATTGCCTGTAGGACTGCCCTGTGCAATGTGATCACCGCTAGCCACATGTGGCTATTCAGGTCTTGGAATGTGGTTTGTTTGAATGAAGATGTTCTATAAGCATAAAATACACACTAGACTTCAAAAATTGGTTAAAAACAAAATAAAATAGATCAATATTTTTATTTTGATTACATGTTAAAAGGATATTTTGGCTATATTAGGTTAAATAATATATATTATTAAAATTAATTTCATTGATTTCTTTTTACTTTTTAAAACGTGGATGCTAGAAAATTTTAAATTACCTCTATGGCTTGCATCTTATTTCTACCAGGCAGTACTGCTCTAGAAGAAAGTCTAAACTTTACCTTGACCTGACCCTTAAGTCTTCAGTACCTTAGAAACATGAAGACATAAAGTCACTAAATTCAAGTCTGGAAATAGGGACATTTATTATGTACCTACTAAGAGTACAAAGATTAATAATTACCCGTTTTCCAACTCCAGCCTGTAACTACTGTTAAAAAAAAAAAAAAAAAAAAAAAAAAAAAAAAAAAAAAGGTGGGAAGAGGGGTGAGGGATGTGTACTTTCTATATTATTTATTCCAGTGCCAGGACTTTTTTTATCTTAAATTTGTGAACCTTTGAAATTCCGTTATATCGACTGCAAGGAAATAATAGTGTCCATGCTAGAAAAGCACAGAAACTGAGTTATTTACTTCTCAATCAGCTCAGCTTCTCACCATAAAGCATCAGGAGAGATTACTCTTATTTTTCTCGAAGACAAAAGCAGAGTCTCACTCCTGTCACCCAGGCTGTAGTGGCATGATCACAGCTCACTCCAGCCTCAGCTTCCCAGGCTCAGGTGATTCTCCCACCTCAGCCCCTGGGACTACGGGCATGTGCCACCACACCTGGCTAATTTTTCGTATATTTAGGAAAGACAGGGTTTTGCCACGTTGCCCAGCTGCTCTCCAACTCCTGAGCTCAAGCATTCCGCCTGCCTCGGCCTCCCAAAGTGTTGGGATCACAGGCATGAGCCATTGCACCCCGTCTGGACTTCTAATTGGCACCTCAAACTTAACATGTTCAAAGCAGAATTCCAGATTTTCCATCCCTTCCACCTGTTCCTCTTAAACTATTTTACATCTCAGAAAATTAGCATTCCTTTCTTCCTAGTAACCAGGCTAAAAGCTTTGGAGTTATTTCTGACTCCTCTCCCTCTCTTAACCCACATTCAATCTGTCACATATTCTTAAAGCTCTACTTTCAAAAGAATATGTTGACCAGAATTCGGCCACTTCTCACCACCTGACATCGATTACCCTGGTGCAAACCATTATGGAGTCTCCCTTTGATGACTTATAACATCCTAACTTTGTCCCATGCAGTCTGCTCTCACCACAGCAGCCAGAGTAACCCTGACACAACTTAGATCATGTCACCTCTGCTCCAAACTTTCCAGTATGAGAGTGACAGTGACTGCAGCCAAATTCTCTTTGGTGTTGCCCAAAGCTCTGCACTCATTGACTCCAGCCATACCGGACTCCTTGCTGTTCCTCCAAAACACCAGGGAGTCTCCCAACCTTAGGGCCTCTCCCAAAATGTTCTTTCTCCAGTAGCCACAGGCCCACCCTCACACCTCCTTCAGGTCTTTTTTCGACGGCCTCTTCACAGCGAGGACACTTCCCTGCTCCGCCTTTTAAAAATTTGTCATTGCCTTGTCCAAATACTCCCTTTCTCTGCATTATTATTCTTTATAGCACTTATCACCAGCTGACATATTATGTCTTCTACTCATTTTTTATTATTTGTGTCCTCTGAAATAGAATATAATCCCCACAAAGGTGAGGATTTTATTTATTTATTGCTATCTTTCTAGTTCCTAAAATAGTACCTGGCCCAAAATATATGTTCAATAAATATTTGTTAAATGAATGAATGAAATTTTCAGATGAGGAAAAATGGGCAGGGCCTGGTGGCTTATGCCTGTAATCCCAGCACTTTGGGAGACCAAGGCGGGCAGATCACTTGAGATTAGGAGTTCAAGACCAGCCAGGCCAACACAGGAAAACCCCATCTCTACTAAAAATACAAATATCAGCCAGGCATGATGGCATGCACCTGTAATCCCAGCTACTCAGGAGGCTGAGGCAGGAGAATCGTTTGAACCCGGGAGGCGGAGGTTGCAGTGAGCTGAGATCACGACACTGAACTCCAGCCTGGGCGACAGAGTGAGACCCTGTCTAAAAAAAGGGGGGGAAAGAAATGACGTAGGGAAGTTCAGTTTTAGCCCAACACCAATGGACTAGTAAGGTCAGGTTGACTCCTGAGGATTAGAACTCAGGTCTGACTGACTCCTGAGCCTGTGCTCATTCCAACTCTCTGTCTGGTTCAGGAGATAATAGGGGGGCTCCAATATCCAACTATGAGAGCTGACAGGCTGTAAAGGGCCATGGGGGAAGCACACACCAAGGTTCAAGTGTAAATCCTGCTAGAAATACTGAGCTAAAACAGAACAACAATTTTGGCAGCATTGTTGACAGTCCCTGAGATGAAGGAAAGTAATTTGAGGGCATCTGCTGAAACTTTCCAGTTTTAAGACTGGCTTTCATTATTTTTCTTTCAGCTGTAGCTTTCTCAGATAATGAATGTACCATATGTCTCTATCTCCAGGTTCCCATACAAATTAGGAAACTAAATGCCAGATGATTAAAACAGTTTTCTGCTTGTTTCCATGGGAAATCAACTGCTGGGAGCCCTCAGGAAATGAGAGGAAGAATGTGTTCAGCTGAAGGTGTTTGCTAGTGAGAACATGCACTCTGCTTGCAACCCAGGTACCAGTCCACAGACTGTTCAACATTTTGGCCCAGGTGAGACACCATCCTAAGCTGCCGGCCCTGCTGGTGGCCAAGTGAGACCATGGAGATCATTGTGCCCTGTCCTACTCCCTTGTGCCTCCACCACTAGGGGGCTGGGCACTATATGCCAGGTCCTTCATGTTAGGTCCCAGCCAATGGTGCCAGGAAGATTTATTAATGACAAACAGACAGTAATGCAGGGGCCCTAGCCTCATCAACCCAGTGTGAGTTCAGCATATTTTGAGCCCACTAGCAGGTCTTCTGGAAGACAGGGGACTATCAAGGATTCTTGCTAGAAGGGTCACTTCTGGCCATCTACAACTAGACAGAGTTAATTCAGGGGCGTGGGAACAGCATTCTGTAAAACACAGCCAAGTGTGCCCGAGGCAACTGTGCCAAGGATATCTCTAGGAGGCTGTGATTATTACTTGTTCCTGCTTGCCCCAGAATTAGCTCCAATTTGCCTGAAAGAGATAACATTGAAGAAGGAGGTTGCAAAGAGATTTCATTATTGTCTTGACAGTGAAAATCTCTGATTTGTCTGGGGAAAATTGGTTCAGGAGCTGACTCTAGTCTAACTTGAGTGTCGATAAATCTCATCCCACCTCTTGCAAATTTAGGGGGAAAAGACAACCTTTCTTGGCTTTATTAAACCAGAGTGTGACTTGGGCATGCCATAAGGAGGCTCATAGATGGAAACTAGGCAGTAAAGGAGAGCATAAAGTTTAAATTTGGACTCAGACAACCCTGAATGCTAATGCTTGTTCTTTAACTTACTATGAGATCTCAGGGAATTCTGAGCCACTATGAGTGCCTACAAAGTGAGGATATGAATACCTACTCCTCAGGGAGGTTATGTCTTCATAACTTATGCTATATGTGTCTTCATAAGCTTATGTTAAATAAGCTAACGTAAGTAAAAGCATTTGTTCTGAGCCTGCTAGGCAGTGGATACTCAATGCCTTGTGCCTTCTCTTTCCTTTCCCTCTGTTGCTATGTTTTACTGCCAAAATTGGAAACAGATAGCTTACTGAGCAATAAATAGGCAGGGCCCTCCCTCTCCCATACACCACTATCACCAGTACCAGCAACTTGATTTTTCTCAGAATTACTATCTAGGATATAGACAGAGCAGAGAAATCCAAATCTTCACACATAACATACCCACTTACTTATATCTTATCATCTAGGCTTGGGTTTTTTTGCCTAGGTAGAATATTTTTCAGAGAAACTAAGTGATGAAGGACACTCATGTTGTCTTCTGCCTAAATAAACCATTAGCAGGACCCTGTGAAATTAAAACCACGGTTCACAATTCAGTCCAATTGCCTTGCCCTAAGCTAGTCAAAACTATGTTGACTCCTCCTGTCTTCAGATGATTCATGGGCATGATTCCTTAGCATGAGGCTATCCTAACATGTTCTAGGTAAGCCAGATTAGAGGAAGCAGTTTAATCATTTTGTGGTCCTGGGCAGGCCATTAGTAAATCAGTTTTTCCATTGCAGCTATGCTATACAATCATGCTCCAGTGGCTTGATCTACTTCCATGGATTCCAGTAATAGCTATTTAATACTGTCTGTGTTCTGTTTCCACCTCAACTGAATTCTGACACTAACTACCAGAATTGGCACAGATTAAGGGACAGTGTCCTTCATGAGACTGCCCTCACTTAGGATGCCAGTCATGAGTCTCAGGAGGTCCCAAGGCCACTCACACTTCTGCCCAACTGGCTTCAAATTTAATGACTCCTATGACCCTCTCAGGTTCAGTCACTCACTAGAACAACTCACAGAACTCAAGAAAGCACAGATTTGATTACAGACTTTTTATAAAGACTGTATCTCAAGATGAGCCAAATGAAGACATACATAGGGCAAGGTCAGGGAGAGACCATACAGCTTCCATACTCTCACCCCATGGACCCAACGCACACACTCTCTTGGTATAACTATATGTTCACCAATCAGGAAGCTCCCCTGAGCCTTAGAGTCCACAGTTTTTATTGGGCTTTCATTATATATATATGACTGATTAAATTATTGGTCAAATGATTAAACTCAGTCTCCAGCCCCCTTCCCCTCCTGACTAGTTGAGTTTTTAACTCAGGTCAAGCTGGCCCAAAGTTTGAGCACGCTAATCCCATGGTTGGTCTTTCTGGTAACCAGCCTCTGTCCTGAAACTACATAGGAGGCTATGGTCAGACACGTCATTTGCATAACAAAGAGACCTCTATCACTTAGGGAATGCAGAGGGTTTTAAAAGCTTTGGAGTAGGAACCAGGGAAAAAGACCAATATACTCTTTATTATACCACAGTCTCCTACTGAGATTTACAAACCATGCAGGATTCGAGTTTAAGTTTTTCCCTTTGGACAGTGGGGAGTTACTTAAAGCAAGGGGAAATTGTTATTGAGCAGCTACTCTGGGCCAGCCATTCATTTTATATGTGTTGAAAGCAGCACTTTGGGAAGATAAATCAGATGATTTCATGGAGATTGAACTGGATAAAACTAAAATGGGAAGACTGGGAAGGAGACAGTGGCCACTAGGTAGGCATAAAGTGATGAGAGCAAAACTAGAGGAGAGACGTGGAAATGCAAAGGGAGGAAAGGAAGGGGTTGAGAGATATTTTGAAGTAAGATTTCATCTTATCTAAAGTTTTGTCACCATTACAAAATACTACACAATGGTTAGAGTAGTTAAAACTGCTTGAAGAGTTAAAAGTACTTTCTAAAGATAGCCAAGTAATATAGATAAAGTGGCTCCTCTGATTTACGAGACCTTAGTATTTTATCTCAAACAAACTTCAGGACCTGTGTCTTAATTTTTGGTGGCATACTCCCATTGGTTTCTGGACAGAAATATTGACACCTCTTGTTTTCAAATGGCTGAACTGTTTCTGTTTTAAAATTAATATTGCCCAATTTTACATTTCAAACAGCCTTTTGAAGTTGGTTTGCTTTAGAGTACGAGGTCCTCCCTACTCTGTAGATCACAAATTTATGAGGGATTTGAAGAGATCTTGAGATGTATCCCTTTATAGATCATGTAAAAAAGAACACATAACACTGGTGTGTTAAAACTAGCTATTTCTTCCTGCATGCGATTTCAGTAAACAATGAAAGTCTTTTTTCAAAATTATTGGTGTGTAGCCATTTTTCTATATCAGTAACTAGGACATTGACTCATTCATATCCACAGAAGTTCTACAATATGACAGATACTTTAGATAAGAATTTCTCAAAAATACAATTTCCTGTGTTTAAATTTGGGGTGGGGGAAAGAAATGATGATTTTAGTGTATCATGGGTGATATATTAAATTGAAATAAAAATGTAGAAACATTTTAAGTTATATTAGTTTTATATTTATATAAAATTTATCAATTTTAATAAAAATAACAATTTATTTACATAAATGAATACAAATTTAAATAATCAAATAAACTTTTTATATAATAAATACATAATTATATGTATATTATATGTAATATTAATTCAGGTAATAAGTATTCATTATGTTCACTTTTTAAACATTTTATTATAACTAAGCTAACTTATAAGAAAACTGTCAATTAGTAACTCTTTACAATATAATTAAAAATTTGAAGAAAGATTCCCTTTGGCATTATACTATACATAATTAAATCAAATCAACAAATTTTAACCTCTACCATATGGAAAATAGAAAAAAATGGAAAACTTTAAAATAAGGATGCAATTAGCTGTTAAATATTAATAAAAATTAATGTTTGTCACATGCTTACAATATGTCAGGCTCTGTTCTAATATTTTATATGTATTAAATAATCTAACCCTCACAACCAGACTATAAAGTAGACACTATAATTACCCCCATTTATTTCTCAGGAAACTGAGGCTCAGAGAAGTTAAGCAGCTTATTTAGGTTCTCATAGGTATGGAAGGTAAGAGTGATGATTAATGACTATAGAGTAGTTTAGTCCCTTTGGACTGCTGTGAAAAAATACCTTAGACTGAATAATTTATAAACATTTATTGCCTTAGTTTTGGAGGCTGAGAAGTTCGGGTCAAGTCACCAGCAGATTTGGTGGCTGGTAAGGGCTTCTCTGCTTCATAGATGGTACCTTTTTGCTGTCTCTTTGCTGCATCTTCATATGGCAAAAGGGATAAGCTCCCTAAAGCCTCTATCATGAGGGCATTAATCCCATTCATGATGCTGGAAATCTCATAGCCTAATCACTTCCCAAAGGCCCCACTTCTTAATACTATCACACTGGGAATTAGGTTTCAACATATGAATTTTGAGGGGACACAAACATTCAAACCATAGGAAAGCATTTACAGAAAAGAAAGTGTGAGAAAAACTTTATGAAGATAGAATTTGAAGTGAACATTTAAAGACTGATGGAATTTGGAGAGAAAGAGAGTATAGTGATAAGGACAAAAAGGAAGTAAGAAATTAGAAGATGGTATAAAGACACATGCAAAATCAGGGAGGCAGTAAAGAACTATAAACCCATCAGAGCCATGTGCAAATTTGATTAAAGAACTGCAAAGTTCGGGAAGATGATTTTTCAAAAAAAAAAAAAAAAAAATAGGCGATTTCCTACTGGGTCTACAGAAATTCAGTCATCATATATGTTATAAAAAATGCCAATGCAGGTTTAAATCCAGGTAAATTCAAATACTTCCAGTTAAAAAATGTCAATACTTCCTTTTAGCTACTTGAGATTTCACAAGATCAGGAGATTCATACTTGCTTCTCTTAAACTTCTTAATTCACTCTAGATAACAGAAACAGAAAGTAAGTTCCACTCAACTCTGTTCTTCAGGGTCTTAACAGAAAGACAGAAAAATATCCACCAATCTTCACAAAAGTTTTTCAGCAAAGACCATGACGACTCCTCATTTTCTTGTGAAAATGGTTGCATGGGATGCTAGAAGTGAAACTTGCTTTTGCAACTGAAATGTGTATCATACTATTTGTCTTCGGTAGCCAGGACACTGAGTAGATGTAACGTTGCAGAGAATTTTGCATGAAGCCTTTTTATTGCTATTTTTTAGAAATCATTTTGGAGTTTTGAGAGGCTAGGCAGCAATCTATAAAGGTTGCTTATTAAATGATTTCCTCATCATCCTAAGAAATAATCATAAAAGAGTTTAAAAATTCCTTTTGGCCAGGCGCGGTGGCTCACGCCTGTAATCCCAACACTTTGGGAGGCCAAGGCGGGCAGATCATGAGGTCAGGAGATCGAGATCATCCTGGCTAACATGGTGAAACCCCGTCTCTACTAAAAAAAAAAAAAAAAAAAAAAATTAGCCAGGCGTGGTGGCAGGCGCCTGTAGTCCCAGCTACTCAGGAGGCTGAGGCAGGAGAATGGCGTGAACCCAGGAGGCGGAGCTTGCAGCGAGCCGAGATCGCCACTGCACTCCAGCCTGGGCGACAGAGCGAGACACCATCTCAAAAAAAAATTCCTTTCCCCTTAAAGCACTCAGAAGTCTTGCACCACTCCTCACCTCACCCTCCTTGGGAAACTGGAGAGGCTGAGCTGCCAGTCTGATCTGAGGAAAAGTATTGTGATGTGACTTGTAGCCTAGGCAGCATCACAATGTGCCCACCTGGGGAACCTGGAAATTGGGCAGTTTGGGGCTGGCAGTAATAGTCTTTATAATCATGAAAAATGGAAACATCTCCAGGTAGAGAATTAGTAACTTTTAAAATATTGTTGCTCTTTCCTCCCTCTTTGGATATAGACTTAAAGACACTCAACATCTCTTGGTATTTGTTTTAGGTTACTAAATGATTTTTCAAATGCATCTATGTTAGGAGTCTGGGATACAGCAAAACCTTATGTGAAACATTTCCAAGTGGCATAACTAGAATGTCTCCCTACTCAAAATGGGCTATACGGTATCTTTTTTTCTCAGTCAACATGGGCTGATGCATACCAATTCACCCTTAATGGTCCTGAAATATATTCACTGTAGAGAAATGAAGATCAAAAACATCGTATATGTGAAGATAATTAGGTATGAAACTCCAGATAAGCAAGACTGTTTATTTTTGTTTAGCACTCTAGGGGGAAAAAATGACATTTTCCAGCAGTTTAAAATACTGTGATGTTTTAAGATAGAAAGGGCGTGATAAGAGTGTGGGCTTTCAAGTCAAGCTGTCCGGGTTATACTCCTGGCTGTGCCACTTACTAGCAGCATGAGGCTAGGCAAGTGACATTAGCTGTATGTGCCTCAGACTCCCTATCTGTGAAATGGGAATAGTAAGATTACCTGTTATCCTGTTGTTACATGGATGAAATGAAATCATACATGTAAAATTTTTTTTTTTTTTTGAGATGGAGTCCCGCTCTGTCGCCCAGGCTGGAGTGCAGTGGCGCGATCTCGGCTCACTGCAAGCTCCGCCTCCTGGGTTCACGCCATTCTCCTGCCTCAGCCTCCCGAGTAGCTGGGACTACAGGCGCCCGCCAACACTCCTGGCTAATTTTTTTGTATTTTTAGTAGAGACGGGGTTTCACTGTGTTAGCCAGGATAGTCTCGATCTCCTGACCTTGCGATCCGCCCGCCTCGGCCTCCCAAAGTGCTGGGATTACAGGGGTGAGCCACCGCGCCTGGCCTACATGTGAAATCTTTAACATCATGCCTGACGTAGAGTAAATCCTCAGCAAATGTTAATCAGCTACCTTGTCTGTATCATTCAAATCACTGCAGCAAGTTGTCAGCCTACAACTTGCTTGTCATCTTACAAATGTGCAGACCTGGTTGCTCTTAAATCAATACTGTTATACTTTAAAGTCTCTGATAATTTTTCAATCAGAAAGTGTTTGTTTCAAAGCAAATGATCAGATATATTATTATAGAAGGTATAATTTTGAATTTTGGTTAAGCCAATAAAATGAACAATTAATATAAAATGGTATCAGATCAGATATAAATAGCTATTATCTGGAGCATTTTACAAGCTAAAGAATATTCGAGACACTTAAGAGATCAGAGATGTTTTCAGTCTCCTAAATGAGACCATAAGCTGTTTTCATGTTGTGGTTAAATGCTCCTCCTTTTGGTCACTGGAAGCAGTTCATCTTATCTGAACCCTAGTGTTTTCATTTTGGAAGCTATCAACGCAACTAACTCAGACACACACACACACACACACACACACACACATGCGCACACACACACACATTCTTTAATGTAACATGGTAATTCCTTTTCACTGAGAATTGATTTTTAAATAATTTTTCAAAATAAAATAGAATATAAAATATTGTCTCATCATTGTAATGAAATGTTATCATGCTGGACTTTAAATTAATGGTGTCTTTTCTTTGAAATTCCTTAATCAGAGTACATCACTTCTAATAGCTCTCTATTGAATCTTCCTCAGAAACAAGGATGGAAGGCTATCATAAATGCCACAAGAGAGGCTGGGCACAGTGGCTCACGCCTGTAATCCCAGCACTTTGGGAGGCTGAAGTGGGCAGATCACAAGGTCAGGAGATCAAGACCATCCTGGCTAACACAGTGAAATCCCGTCTCTACTAAAAATACAAAAAATTAGCCGGGCATGGTGGCATGTGCCTGTAGTCCCAGCTACTGGGAAGGCTGAGGCAAGAGAATTGCTTGAACCTAGGAGGCAGAGGTTACAGTGAGCCGAGATCGTGCCACTGCACTCCAGCCTGGGCAACAGAGCTAGACTCCATCTCAAAAAAAAAAGAAAAATGCCACAACAGGCCTAGAAAAGCATTCATAGGAGAGAATATTCATTAGGCCAGGAATGATTCAGAGAGGGAGGGTAGATAAGTATATCAAGTTATCCCATCAATTTCCACCTAGTAGAGAGGAAAAAGCTAGTCGTTGTAAAGAAATGTGGAGGGTCTGAAATTTTCTTATCCTTGGAAACTAAAATACTAGCCTGCTACACTTTCTGGGATGGTGGTATAAGACGTGAAAAGTCCTGGGTCAGAGACAAAAGAAAGTTTACTACTCACTTCAATAGCAGTATCCAAAGTATCAGCATTTTTATATCAGTTCCTGGAGACCCACTTCCCACAGGGAGATGCAAAGAGAGCGAGAAAGCACCTAACTCCACAGTGGATTGTGTTATAGGAGAGAAATCCTGAGCTAGGGAATATCAACCTTTTATGAGCAGTAAGTATGCTTCCCGTTTGCTTTGGAGAAAAACATTATCTTTATTATACTGGACAGTAAACATGTCTGGCTTTTGCTCCAGAGAAAGACATTATCTCTATCTTTCAAGGCTGTTCACTGTACAAATATCCTTGAACATTTATTTTGGAAGAAAGAGTACAAAAACACTAGAGACCCATAGAGAACTGTCTTCCAATAGTCACCAATAATAGACTATTCTATGTCATCTTTTTTGTGCTCAGAATATGTGCGTGTTCTATATCAGTTTCAGCTATTTCTGAAAGGATGTCATGGAACCCAGAGGCTAACAAGAGTATGTAACAGCCAGGGAACTATTCCTCAGTGTAACAGAACAAAGCTGCACTATTACCAATGAGAATGGATACTCTTTGTCCTATTAAAGATGTCAGGCACTCTATTATGACTGATGTTTGTAAGGAAAATAGCTGAAGAAAACATCTACCAAGAGGGCTTATCTTGACAGATATTCATTAAATGAGTTATAGAGCCCACAATTCCCTTCTCTTTCCAACAAGAAAAGTCTTATGAAGGCTCTGCAGTCTTTAACTCAAAAATAACAAAATATTCTATTCTAAGGAATTTTATTCTTTTGGAATGTTGATAGGTGTAATAAAGGAAATAGCTCCACGGCCAAGTGAAGTTAAAGAAATGCTAGGTTCAGCAAAGTTTAACAAGCATTTTTAATACAGGACTTATCAGAGCCCTAAGCATATTAATACGCATTGTGAATCTTCAAGGAAGATATACTACTTTCCAAACAATAGGAACCATAGATTCCTATTTCTCAGGATATCTCAAGGGGTAGAGTTCAATGGACAGCTGCTTAGAAATGCCTCATTAGAGGAACGGCTCTCTCAGTGGGATGGATGGTGGAAGACCAAGGTACTTCGGGAAGATACTGGCTGACTGGTCTGCCCTGCCTGTAGACAGAATTCCTGTAGATAGCAGCTAGCAGTGATGGATCACTTCCTGCTTCCTTGATTAAATGCTGGTGGTAATATCCATTACTGACTGAAATCTAAGGAGGATAAACATGTATAATTTTAATATCTATGTATAAAATTCTCACACCAAACAAGCCCTAAGAAGACATCTTTCCCAATCCTCTCATTTTCAAATGAGGACTGAGGATGTAAAGATATTAAGAGATTTCTCCCAAGTCACAAAGTTGGTCAATGAAAGAAATATGACTGGAATCCAGGTCTCATCAATTCCAGCTTATGTTCTTTTCACTAACAGCAAAAGTGCCATTAATACATCACTGATACTGAGAAGGGAAATCAGGCTTTGTTGTTGCTGATGTTGTTTCCTAAAGAGACAAAAATATGAGTGGATTCAGGAAACTAAGAAGCTCCAAAAATGCTAAAAAAAAATGCATCATACCTCAGGATGGGTGGTGGCTTTCACGGACAGAGCATGTGCGCATGGCTACGGCATTTCCTAAACATACAAAGCACCGTCTACAATAATTTTCCAAAGAGAGAATCATGTTTATGTGAGTAACAAGAGCATCTTCAATTTCACTACCGTGATAAGGTTTCCTGAGCCATGGATCTTCATGCCTCAAAGAGAGGACAGCTTCTCATTCAAAACAAAGAAACAATTGCTTAGGCTTAAAATTAGATGCTTCGTCAGGGCTGATGCCACTGAAATTTGAGGCAATTCAATGTTAAGTTGTGATCTGACAGGCTCTATGGCATATTGTGTATGCATAATAAAATATGGTGTTATGAAAAGACTGAAAAATTTGAGCCCTGGAAAAAAATCAGTCACATTCTTTAGGAGATATTATTAATGTATTTTTAATCAAAAAATTTCTAAACCATTTAAATGTTCCATTGTCTTTAGAATAACTCACTTCATGGGTACAGCCAGTCATTTGTAGATTTAATTAATAGGTTAACACATGCAAACTTTTTAGAACAGTAGCTGCAGGTGCCAAATACATAAAAGCAAGCAACTATTCCTTAGTAACGCAGTTATAGCAGTGATATTTAGGTGCAAAGAAGTCACTCCTGACAATACAAAACTTTTTACTTTAAACTTACACTACATATGTATATAGCAAAAAACTCCTATATGCTACTACTCACATCAATACTTTTAGCCACCAAATGTGTGGGTTTCTCCTCACAATAATTCAGTTCTCCAATGGACACTGACTGGTATCCTATAATTTAACTCAGTTCTGATATTACCTGAAGATAGCATTAGACCCCACAGGCTAAGGGCTCAGTCCCACAAGACTGCTTCCCCATCCCCCAATTTCACACGCCAATCATAAGTGGCAGGTTCCCATGTTATATTAGGATATATACCACTTTTGTCCAACTTGTCTACAAATCAAAGGTTCCCATAACTCCTCCTCAGGTTTAATCATTTACTAGAATGGCCTACAGAGCTAGGAAAAGTTTGCTTTCTAGATTACTAGTTTATTACAAAGGATATATTAAAAGATGCAAATAAATAGCCAGATGAAGAGATATATAGGGTAAGATCCAGGGTCTTGAGTATAGAAGGGTCTTGAGTATAGAAGCTTCTGTATCAGTGGAGTTTTGGGGTACACCTACCCCTACAGCAGGTGAATGTGTTCTTGTTCATCAACATGGAAGGTCTCTGAACTCCATCCTTTTTGGTTTCTATAAAGGCATCATTACATAGGCCCGATTGATTAAATCATTAGCGTTGGTAATTAAGTCAGTTTCCAGTTCCTCTACACTCCCAAAAGGTCAAAGGTCCAGGTGGGGCTGAAAATTCCAACCCTCTAGTCTAGACACACACACACACACACACACACACACACACACACACACACACACACGTTTAAGTTTCCATAGCAACCAGCTCCCATCCTGCAGTTATCTAGGGGCTTTCCAAAAATTGCTTCATTAACATAAACCCAGGTGTGGTTGAAGAAGACATCTTATGAGTAATAAAAGACACTTTTTTCACCTTTATCTGGAGCTATTTCAGGAACTAAAGACAAAACCCAAATATAATCAAAAATGATCCTATAGCTCTAATCACTGAGGAAATTACAAGAGTTTTAGAAGCTGTAAGCCAGGAACCATAGACAATGACCAATATATATATATATTTCTTATTATATCATAATATAATAATATTTCTCATGTGAAAGTTACTTATCTATCGACCCATCTGAACAATAATTCTAAGAATGAGACTCTCTGTCTGGTTATAGTTCATGTTGCCTTAACTCGGAGCTACGGACACATTATGATCTTTGATTAAGAAGTTTGCTTTCAGTTGTAAAGTGCTTTTCAATTAAAGAGTAAGCTGTAAAACCAGCTCATGAAGGCACATATGGGATATGAGTACACTAGTGGAAAAAGCACAAATCAATGCAATTTTGAAATACTGAAAAAGTACATTATTAACCTTACTGAAATAACTGATGGGTTCCATTTAAAAATAAATACTCCTTTCCTATAGGATTAAGTAGTGAGTAAGCATGAGAACCCTGAAATTGACTTGCCTAGGCCCAAATCCCAACTCTTCTACTCACTGATTATGTGACCTTCAGCTAGCTACTGGATTACAATGGGCCTCTGTTTTCTCATCTGTCAATATGAGAAAATAATACTGCCTGTGTAATGGATAGCTATGGTGAATAAATGAGACAATGCATATAAAGCTAGCACACATTGAGCATCCCAAATCTGAGGTGCTCCAAATTTTCTGAACACTGACATAAGGCTTATAGGAAATTCTCATTGGAGCATTTTAGACTTTTGAATTTGGTATGCTCAACTGGTAAGTATAGTGCAAATATTCAAAATCTGAAATCCAGAACACTTCTGGTCCCAAGGAATTTGGGTAACAGATATTCAACCTGCATTTAGCACATAATGTGTACCTCATAAGTGTTTATTCTTTACTATTTCCAAAGAAAATTTCACAAGTTAGTGGGATCAAACAATTCTGTCTTGGGGTGGTAAAATAAATAAGGTTTGTTTTAGAAGAATCTGATTCAAAGTTTTATAGAATCCTATTTTTAGGTCCTTGGTACTGTAGGGAGCAAAAAGGGGTGATTCCTTTCCTTCCTATCATAACAGTTGACACCTCTCTAACAAAGGCAAATTAACAAGAGAAAAGCATAACAAATTTATTTGATCGTAGTTTTGTGTGACACAGGAGCCTTCAGAATGAAGACCCCAAGATATAGGGGCAACTATTCCTTTATTATTATTTTTATTTTTGATTTAGGGTCTCACTCTGTAGATCAGGCTGGAGTGCAATGTCCTGATCATAGCTCACTGTAACCTGTAACTTCTGGGCCCAAGTGATGTTGCACCTCGGCCTCCCAGAATGCTGGGGTTATAGGTATGAGCCACCTTCTCTTGGCCCATTTTTATGCTTGGGTTCAATGAAGTATGGAAAGCTGTGTAGAAATATGATTGGACAAAAGGGGTATGATCCAGCAAGGGGAATGGGGAAATCCAGCAAGGCCTGTCTGTTCAGATTTCTTCTTGGCCTTTCGATATAACATTCCTTCCTCCCAGGTATGGGGTAGGACCCCCTGGAATGAGGGTCTTAATTTCTTTATGGCCAGCAGTTAGCAAGAAAGAGAAAGGGAAGGGAGGGAGAAGATTAGAGTAAAATGTTTAGGCTCTAAGGCTGGTTTTGGGGAAAAGGTTCTGGTTTATATGACCCACCTCAGGGAAGAAGGATTCCAGTTTCTATGGCTTGCTTCAAGGGAGAATAAGAGAGTGAGAGACAGGAGGGCAGGAGAAAGCTAGACAGAGACTTTGCTTCTGAGGCTGCTTTTTATTCCTTCATTTTGGGGTATCATTTTTAGCCCCAATAGACCACCATCTCCTCTGGTACAAATTCAACTGCCATTTTGGGATCAAGTCCACATTTGACATTACCTCTCAGGCAACTTTCTGGGCAAAAGAATTTTCTAGGGAAGGTTTTATTTTTCCCTGTCTAGCATTTTTAATGGCACAGAGTCAAGGATTTCAAAACTGTTGCTAAAGGTAGCATTTATCTTGCAGGTATTAATTCAGAAAGTGCTAATGGTTGCAACAGTCTAAACAACTGAAACTTAAAACAACAACGTTTTCTTTTAGCTCAGCCTCTTCCCACAAAGCTCAGAAATGGTATGGGGAGCAGATGTGCACAGGGTGGATAGAGAATGCAGCGTAAAATCCTGCTGGTGGTTTTGGTTTAGAATGTAGATTTTACTTGCACTCTTACCAGGTAGGATCAACTGAAATCAAATGCAAAACAAAACAAGAATAGCAGGTTGATCTGAAAGAACAATCCCAGCATTGACATCATCAAGGTTTAAGCAGATACATATACATAATACATAAATTTAGTATGAATTATTTATGAGCTAAAGGGTTCAGGTTTTAGAGCCTGTAGTATAATAAGAGTTATACTGAAAGTCAGAACCAATACAAGAAACTGAAACACTTAAAAACTCATTATTTCAATATTTAATATCAGGTCCTGTGCAGGGTATTGATAATGGACATAAAAGTGAATCAAGATACAGCCCTGCCCTGGAGAGGCTCCCAGACTCTGTAGTGAAGAGGCATGTAAAGAGACAAATGAGAGCATGCCATGGTAAGTGCTGTGGTCACACAAGGAAGGAAGAGTTATACTTGCCTAGAACCTGTGGAGGCTTCATAGAGAAGGTGACTTTTAAATTATGCCTTCAGGCCAGGCGTGGTGGCTCATGCCTATAATCCCAGCACTTTGGGAGGCCAAGGCGGGTGGATCACCTGAGGTCAGGAGTTTGAGACCAGCCTGGCCAACATGGTGAAAACCCATCTCTACTAAAAAAAATAAATAAATACAAAAATTAGCTGGGCGTGGTGGCGGGCACCTGTAATCCCAGCTAGTCAGGAGGATGAGGCAAGGAGAATTGCTTGAACCTGGAAGGCGGAAGTTGCAGTCAGCGAGATCACACAGCATGAGACTCTGTCTCAGAAAAAATTAATTAATTACGCCTTCAAGGAACAACTCAGCCCAGCCTGAGTTTTCTTACAGCTAACAACAAAACAACAATGTGACACAATTGCTGTTACCATACAACCCACTAGAGGGGTTACAGATATTCTAAGTCTCACCACAACCCTAAAAGGTAGTTATATTCCAATAGACTGATGAGGAAACTGAAGTTCATAGCTAGAGATACAAGATTTAAGCCCAGACCTATTTCATTCCAAATCCCTTACCATAGCCCTGCATAGCCCAGAAATATCTACTTCTGCTTCTATCACCAACCTGTACATGGTTAACTTGTAATTACACAGTCTTTAGTGTGAGAACTACTAACTCTGGAAGTCCAATTAGAATGTCAAAATTTAGCCTAAAGAATTGGGTATAAAGTGAAAGGTCAAGACAGAGTCTGTGCACCCAGTTCATCTAGCTCACAGTACCCTCTCCTTCCTGGAGATGTGCTGAACTTCAAGCACATTTGCTTCAAAATGGTTTATTCTGGTTTGTGTGTATGCATGATTCCCATGAACTATGAACACCCTGAAGTCGGAGAATAAGCCTTGTACTTCTTTAAGACCCTCACTCAAGTTGACTGATTGCTAATTCTACCAGTCCTTTACAGAGAGCTTGCTAAGTGTGGATGTTAATGTGAATTAGGTGGACTGAGGTAAGATCACTAGATTTAAGGTTTACATGCTACAAAATAAGAAGAGGTGAACTAACCAGTGTAGCATAGTTTTTAGACTAGTGGCTTTCAAGCATTAATGTGCATGTGAATCACCTGCCTACACGTGAAGAACTACCCAGTTGATCCAATTAGAAGGCAGACACAAGAGTAGCCAAAAGTATTGCAATAAAGCAACTTGGGGTGGACTCAACTTGCAGGGGATTCAGATCCCAGGTTTCCAAACCTTTTTGCTATTCCTGGTTCTTTTGCTTTCAGTGAAGAGTAGTTAAGTACAATAGTAGCTCTCATTTACTGACTACTTACAAAGTGATTGGCACTGTTCTTGGTGCTTTGAGCATATTAGCTAATTCTCACAGCACCCTGTAGTACTATACCTATAGGGATGATAAGGGGATGTGGGTGGTGGGGAGGGGGCAGATAAAAAGAACAGTAAATTTCCTAAGTTTAAACTGGAAGAATAGGGATTTCATCCTGGTTCACCTGAGTACAAAGTCTAAGGTTCAATGATTCCTTGACACTGGGTAGCAAGGGAGCATTTCAGGGATGCCTAAGCTTGTGGTCAGGTGCCAACGGTACAAAGATAGAAGTATATCAGAGAGCCCTTGCAGAATAAGGCCCTCCACAGGAGGGTTGTGACCTTGGTACTTGCCTCACTGTGTTTAAATTCAGGTAAGGTAAGAGAATTGAAGAGGTAAAGCTACCTTAGAGAGTATTGCTGCATCTACCCTGGTGACTTACAAGGTACTTGAATTTTTTTTTTTCTAGCAAACTGCTAAAGTTAGCCTTTGCCTTTTTCCCAGAGACTCTCTAGGAATTTTTCCC
This sequence comes from Homo sapiens, assembly GCF_000001405.40. Lineage (NCBI taxonomy): Eukaryota > Metazoa > Chordata > Mammalia > Primates > Hominidae > Homo > Homo sapiens. The sequence continues at coordinate 89,631,671 of NC_000001.11, forward strand.
ATCTGCTGACTAGGAGGTAAGCCCGGACCTAAATTTTTGTCTTGTTGTAGGTTAATTAAGACTGGTGTTAGATTCAGCTCCTAAGGCCTAAGAGAATTTAAGGTTGTCTTCTGGGAAGGACACCCAACAGCAGCATTGGAATTGGAAAAAAAGTGTAGGATTTTGCTGAGTGAGCAGGGGGAAAGCAATGTAAAGCCCAAGAGAATATCTTTTGAACAAACGTCCTTTTCATTTTGGTTTAGAAATAGAAACGTGGTAAAAGGAGGCGACTGTTTTCTGAAGGCTTGTAGCACGAAAACAGGCCAACTGGCCAGCAACTAGTTGTCTATCAGTTTCTCTACTCACATACATCTGCCTTTTCCAGACTGCCAGCGCGGAGCACTAGTTTGACTTTGGGTGCTCTTCAAATAGCTGGCATTGATAAGGCATTCCCAGAAGACTGTGTTACTTAGTAATCTTGTCGGTACATTTTTTCACTGGGCAGAGATTTTCCAAACAGAGAGCTGCCAGCTTTCAAGACGTCAGAGTGCTTTTTCATCCTGAAATTGGGTGGGAAAATGGGGAGAAGAAAAGCACGGTTCAGATCAATCAATGAGAGAGAACCCCTCCCTCCATACTCGTTAAACAACAGGTGGTTTTGCTGTGCACCGTCAACTCCTTTATGCGGGAGCTGTAGGCGGGGCATTCCAACTGAGTCTCCCTGGAATCTGCCCCTTAGCCCGTATTGCAGGGGCGGTGCAGTTGGGGATTCCGGCCTGAAAGGAGACTTGGTTGTCAAGGGGCTCAAGGGCTTCATGATCCAAGGATATTGGGTTTTGCTTTTCTCCTTCTCCATCTTCCTCATTCTATCCCACCGTCCCCTCCCCACCCTTCTCTTAGGAGGCCTTCGCTTCTCCTGTGGAGGGGTTATCTTCATCCTGACCCTGGCCTTCGGAGGAGTTCCCAGAAGGGCTATTTTTAGTGGTGGCTGCTCCCCTCTAACTTACCCAGGGGAGGAGCTGCGGTGGCTGAGCCGACGCTGCGCGCACAGCCGCCTGTGGTTTTCCGCGCATTGTGAGGGATGAGGGGTGGAGGTGGTATTAGACGCAGCCGAATCCTCCCTCAGAGTCCGCCAGGTGGGCGTCTCAGGGGTGGGAGTGGCCGCGTCGTGAAGCGGAGAGAGGATTTCTCTCCTGGTCCTGGAGAAGGCCCCCGGCGGCCGGCGGCATCCCTCGCTGGCGAGTCCCGGGAGCGAGGTGGTCTCTGCAGGGGAGGAAGTTCCCGGGCGGCGCGGCCTGCGTCACAGCGGGGCTGGCACCGCGGAGTCGACTCGGCGGGCGGTGGCGACCCCGGGGCCGGGCGCTGGGCGGCGCTGGCTGCCGCTAGCCGGGCTGCGTGCGGGGCGGCGCTGGAGGCGGCTCCGTCCGCGGCCGGGGAGGCGGAGGGGAGGAGGGCTTGCGGGGCTGGGGCGTTAGCTGCGTCCCGGCTGGAAGCCCGCGAAGAGAAGTAGGAGGAAGGCGCCGCCGTGGCCGCGGCCGCAGTGCTCGGGCGCGACAAGCCATGAGCAGCGACCCCGCGGGCGACGCCGCCGTCCCTGGCAGCCGCTGAGCCCGACCCCCAGGCAGCTCGCCGCTCCCTAGCACCTTCTCCAGTCGACACTCTCGCGCCCGGAGGTAAGGGCGGGGGATCCGCGGAGGGATGGAGAGGGGCAGCCCGCAGAGGGCCACCCGCTCGGTCCGCTGTGCGCGCCGGACCGGGACTCGCCCCGCCTCACTCGCGTCCTTGCTTCCCCCCGGCTCTCAGACAGGCAGAATGTGGTTGCCCGCCCGGCGTGTGGTGCTGGGAACCTTCCGCTACTGCGGCTCAGGAGCCCGCCAACCCCTACCCCACCCAATCCGCGCTAGCCCGAGCGGCCGCGCGAGGATCTCAGCCTGGCGCCCAACGCCGCGCCGCAGCGGCAGGTCCTGCAGACTGGGCGCGGGGGTGGGGGGGCGGTCCGCGAGGGGAAATGCGTCCGTGGCCGGGGCGATCGTTGTTCTTTCCTACCTCGAAAATCTCTGAGACCCCGGGGCCAGTCCTTTCCGGTCTATCACCCCCCTGCCACCTCCGAACCCTTGAAGTTAGCACTTTTGGGCAGGGAAAGGAATTGGAAGGTTTCTCGAAGAAACGTGAGAGCACCGTGTGCTCACCTGCAGGACAGGAGGGAAGGGGTTCAGCTTGATCGGGCGGGCCCCAGAAGCCAGGTGTTTAGGCCAGCGGTTGAGGCCAAAACCGCTGCCTTCATCCCACGCCTAGGCTCGCTGATCTTTCCCTTTCCAGCTGGTTCCCACCAATGAGATGATTAGGGATGGAGTTAGCAACTCAGGAGCCTTAGATGTGTTCTGTGGACACGAATGCCTTTCTTTTCTCCCTCAGCCGGTTCTTCCCTCCCCAACCCCCACGCCTGCCCGGTATACAGCAAAGTCCAAACAGTTTCTTCCAAACCTCGCATCCTCCGTAGTTTTGCAACAGCCGGACACCTAGCCCGCATCCTAATGCGGATATTTCAGAGTATTACGGCTAAACTTCCCTTGGTTTCAAATTCCTTAAACATGTTAAAGCCTCAGCAAACGTTAGGAAACATTTTCAGGTTCCCATCCTCAAAGTAAAAAATAAGAACCAATCCATCTTTGTTGGAGTGCCGGTGTTTGGCACGGGGAGGCTTGAATTACCTCCATTTAAAGCAGCCTTTGAAGGAAGGAATAGGTAAAGGAAATCGCAGCCGTTTGTAAGTCACATACTTCTTTCGCGGTAGTGTGAGAAACGTAGCCTTAACCAACAGTCACATTTCCCGACAGGTATGTGATGGTTTCCCAAAGCATCGATGAGGCTTCAGCGTGGGCAGGTCATTAAGATGCCATTTAGACGAAAAAGGAGTAAAAGTGGAGTAGTCCTCTTGGTTAGCACAATGCTGCAAAATCGCCAGAGCCAATAATTTTTATACATTTATAAATTCTGTTTATTTTTAAATAATTTGTTGAAAACCCAAAACGTAATCTGAGCTGCATAAAACTCGCTCAATTCATAAACAATGTGTTGAGTGTGTAAACAAACATTAAATGTATACAGCTCTAGTCTAGGATATTTGCATTTCTTGTGACTTGCTTTAACAGGGAAGGCCAAGGCTATAATTGGTTTGCTTTACTCTGGAGTGATTAAGTTCTGTCTTGGGGTCAGTTTGTTTCCTTTGAGGGGGATGTAGGGCAGTTTTGCAAAGATGGATATTTGCCATGGTTCACATAATAGATTGGGCACAGACAGGACCCATCAACCCAACAATTGTATCAGAGATACCAAGTATATTTAACAATTTTCTTATTAATAAAATCAAGCCTTTATTAATAGTACTAATCTATTATTTCTCAGATTAAGCACTTTAATGAAATGTATTTTTAAAAGGGAATGCTTTTAGTGAAAATAATGCATTAGGAGCTGTAAGATAAATGAATGAAAATGTTGCACTTTATTTCCATGAAGTTTATCTTTTAAAAAACAATACAAAGTTAGAAATATGTTTAACTCCCAAGTGTTCAATTTTTACCAAATTGTTATGATTTTTAATACTCTATAGTATTATTAAGTTATAGTCACCTATGACATTATAATAGAGCGAGCCTAAGTTTAAAATGAAATGAGGTGGAAACTATATTTATTTTGCCAAGAATTGTGTTAATGATTTAATATGGTACATTGCTATAACATAATCTAGCTGCATGCTAGATACCTAATACACATTATCTCAGGTTCTTACAATGAACCCCTAAGGTAAATGGTGCCATCCACATTTTACATAAGAAGGAAGTTCAGAGTTTCTGATTTGGCTGAAGACTATGCAGCTAAGTTAGTGCCTGAATGAAGCCAAGCCTCCTTAGTCTTAATGATATACTTTTTTTTATTATCCAAAGCTGCTTATTTATTTTTTCTATATAAATTTGTTGTTAACTCACCATAGTGACTATATGAGGAAACAGAGATTGTAAAGTTTTCTGCCCAGCGTTTTCCATATAACAGAATTCCAATTTTGAATCAAGGCCATCTGTTTCTAAAACCCATGTTCTTGCCACTGATTTCTCTTAAATGACTGATCCAGAGCTTAACCTTATGGACAATTTACTCCTGCCCATCAGCTATTATCACTGACATGACAATGATGGTCTCATGGGCTGTAACACACTCCCAAGATTTTATACTTCATTTCTGGAGTGTTGACTGTATCTCCAGTTTCAGATCACTCATAAAAGCATATTACAACTAATGAGGGTTACATAACCATGGAGGTATCCTTGAATCTACTTGATTCCTTTTGAACTATAAATCATTCTGGTTTGGCATGGGGTAAAGAGAATGGCCTCCAGAAAAAGCTGCTGTCAAATTCGGACTCTGCCGTGCAGTAGGAGTGCAAATGAGGTCAGATTATTCAACTTCTTTGAACCCTGGTTTCCTCTTGTATAATGGGATTAATAAAGCCTCCCTAGCTGGATCACTGTGCAGATTACTTGTAATAGTGCATGTAAAGGACAGCTCTTGTCACCTAGTAGGTGCTCAGTAAGGATTAACACCAGTGTATCCTAGCACTGGTAGAAACTTCTGCTGTATTTCACTTTATGTATATTTTACATGCACGTAGTGATTAGTCATTGCTATCAGTGATTCACTCTTTATGTAATTATACAAAGGTCTAATCTGATTCTTAGCATCTTTAACTTTTGAATCACATCCTTTTTTGTTGTCTTGAGTCAGAAACATGTACTCATTCTATAGTTTTTCCTTTGCTCTTACTCTTTTATTTTATTTTTACTTTACTAACAATATGTTGATGGATCGGAATTTGTATTTTTTGGCAAACATACTTTCCTTTTTTCTGCCTCTCCTGATCTCTTAGCCTTGTATATCACTCAGGGTACCATGACAATGCCAGTCTCTCCCCACCACACACCTCACCCTTGACCAAGCCTCCACCAGCTGAAATTCTGCATCTCCTACAAGGCTCAGCATAAAAGCTACCTCCTTCATGAGCCTGCCTGTTTCCCTCCAGATCCTTGTCAGTTCACTTATAATTCAGACAACACGTACCCCTCCAAAAGTGCTGAGATTACAGGCATGAGGCACAGCACCCGGCCCACTCCTAATGCTATTTTAAAATTTTTTTAAAATTCTTATTTTTCCAGGTAATATATTTGAAAGACTATAAACTCTTTGACGTCAGGGATTTTTAAAAAATTTCTTTATATTTTTGCTTGGGATAATACACAGATGGTTTCTATTTCCTGAATGAGAGACAAATCGGATATTCTGAGATCCTTACAATAATTAGGAAAGACACCCAAATTGTTGGTGGCACCTTCTTTGTTATCTTGAGACTTGTTCAACCGAGGCTTCTCGACTGGTTTAACTGGTATTACATTTGCTGGAAAGCTGTCATTCTTAAACAAAGCCTTGGACATTAGGTACCATGTAAGATAGCTATGTTTCATTAATAAATTGCTTCCATGGTGATATAGTAACCTCATTAGGTTGCAAATATACCGAGCATGTCAACCGTATTTGAGTAGTTTGGTAGTTTAGATGGGTAATGGTTCAAATGTATTCTTTAATAATAGAATTTACTAGAGAGGAAGGAACACCTACCTCAGAGAAGAGGTTGAGATAATGAGCAAGGAGGATTTCAGACTGCTTTCGTTGAAAATAAAACTCATCATGGCACAGTGTGGAGGCTACAACCAGAAGTGGACTTCAGAGAGAGAATTAGCACAAGCAGAAGACCCACTATAAATATGACTCACTATAAATATGAGGGGTAGAAAAATAAAATGGAAGAGGTAAAATAAAGGAAGCATAACTATAATACCTTATGACTGAGGCCTGCTAGATATTGGTCATTCTTGGACTGTAAAAGTAGGAAAGAGACTGTGGGGTCAAGATGGGCAAGAAAGAGAAACTAATGTCACCTTGGACATCTAGCACAGCAATAGACTTCCACTTGGTCCAGGGCCAGCACAGAGCAACAAGAGTGTAATCTCAGAACTTTGTTTGAAATACATAGTTTGGCAGGAATATATTGAAAATTTCCTAATGATTACAAGATAGAAAATGTCTAAGCTCTTTTCCAATAGCAGGCATAAGACAAACAAAACCTTAGACTCTCTACTTAGGAGTGTAACATACCATCACAAATTTGAGGAGTGAATTTAGGATCATTTTCTGGTATTCGATGGGTGTTCTTTTAAAATACGGTTCTAAGTCTAAGTCTAACATTCGGTGTATCTAACCGAATGTTAATTGATGGAGACAAGGTGATACGGGTTCAGAAAATAGAATTCAGAAAAGAAAAGGAAGAATTGGCAAAATTCAGAAATCAATTTTAAGAAAAATGTTAAAGCTTAGGGAAGTAACTGAAAATGTTCCAGATGACCAAAGTATTTTGAGTCAAAGAAATCCAGGAGAGCTATATGTTCTTTAAAGAACCTTTCTAAGGACTCAGGAGAATAAAAGCTCTTTCCATACCAGAAGAGGTTGTGAAGGTAAAACAAGAAGGAAATTAGTTTGTCTAAAACAAAAATCCATCCAAGGGCCGGAAACACTAGAGAGAACACAGTGGAGCTAATTTCATTTCTCAACCTTTTTTTGATTATTAACCTCAATCTGTGAACCTTTTTTCCATAAATTGTAATAACACAGATACACTGTGTATCTGTTTATGTACTGTGACTCTTCAGTGGATCACAAACCATTATTTAAGGTTTTGTTACCCCGCCTTCACCTCAATCAATTTTTCCTAGGGGCAAGATTGTCCCCCGCTTGAGAACACATGGTGTAGCATGATTCTATATCATGTTTAAAATCACAAAAGTGCCATATAAAACTTAAAGACATGAAAAATAGTCAACATATCTATAAATTTTTGTATGAATATATACAATACCTTAATTTACACATCCTCTGGAATTAAATTACTTTTTTTGCAAATAAAACATACTTTATTGACCCTTCAGCTGAAACTTACATGTAAAAATGTAAGGTTTCTAGTCCCAATTTTACATTGACAAAATTATTAAATTCATAAAGTTGTCTCTCAAAAGCCTCCCCTACCTGTATCCTTTTATTTCCTGGAAGGGAAGCCCTCCGCAAACTTCAGACATTCAACATCCTTTATATATTTCTGTTATGCTGGAATGCTGTGGTATTATTCATTCTTTTGACTAATCAATTGTATGAGTATAAATTGGTATGTCTCTATTAGAGAATTTATGTTTTAAACTATAATTTTTTATTTTACTTATTATTTTATTTTATTTTATTTTATTTTATTTGAGACAGAGTTTTACTCTGTCTCTGTCTCCAGGCTGGAGTGCAGTGACGCGATCTTGGCTCACTGCAACCTCTGCCTCCTGGGTCCAGGCGATTCTCCTGCCTCAGCCTCTGGAGTAGCTGGGACTACAGGCACAAGCCACCACGTCTGGCTAATTTTTTGTCTTTTTAGTAGAGATAGGGTTTCACCATGTTGGCCAGGATGGTCTCGATCTCTTGATGTCATGATCCACCTGCCTCAGCCTCCCCAAGTACTGGGATTACAGGCGTGAGCCACCACGCCTGGCCTACTTATTTATAATTATGAAACACTGCGTTCCATAACTAAGAGATTTCAGTTCACAACAAGTAGATCTGGGAGGAGGAGAGGGCCTCTGAAGAAATTCTTGGCTTTCTCATGTTTAGTGCCTTGCTTGGGTTCTTTAGGTAGCATGAGCCTATCATGGCAGCTGTGAGGACTAGAGGAGCTTGTCTCCTTTATATATTGGCTGCTTTCAGCATCTGGAGCCTGGCATGCTCCCTTCCCCCCCAACAACTCATCCCTCATCTCCTCCAGCTTTTATTTAAACCATATTCTTTTCCTTTACCCTCAAACCTCCAGAAATATATTTGTTTTTCCACATATTTTCTCTGTTTGATTTTTGGAGCTACACTGAAACTGCCACAAGGGCAGAGGCCATATCTGTCTTGTTCACTGCCATATATCTACAGCACTTGCAAAGTGTCTGGGGCATAGCTGCTCAATAAATAATCATGTTATAAATATTTAATGACATAATTTACAGTAACATTTCTTACCTATTTGGAGTATATCCATTGTCTTTTCTACTATTTTAGATTCTGATGATGAAATTTGAAAGTATACTTAGAAGTCATACTTCTTAATAGGGACATTAAGAGACATGTAAATATTTCTATATGTGATTGAAAAGCAGGAGAAAGTATATAAATAATTATAAATTAGGAGTAAGCATATAAAACATGAGTTAAGACATCAAAGTAAATCCTAGGTAACAGTCACTAAATAAACTAAAAATGTGAAAACTCATACATCTTGTCAGTTCTCCTTATGTATTTTTCTTTTTTGAGATGGAATCTTGCTGTGTTGCCCAGGCTAGAGTTCAGTGGCACAATCTTAGCTCACTGCAACCGCTGCCTCCTGGGTTCAAGTGATTCTCCTGCCTCAGCCTCCCAAGTAGCTGGGATTACAGGCGCCTGCCGCCGCACCCAGCCAATTTTTGTATTTTTAGTAGAGACACGGTTTCACCATCTTGGCCAGGCTAAGCTTGAACTCCTGACCCCATGATCCACCCACCTCAGCTTCCCAAAGTGCTGGGATTACAGGCATGAGCCACTGCACCCAGCCTCTCCTTATGTATTTTAAGAACTTATCAAAATCAACAAAAATTACTAACTAGTCTTTTTCAAATATCTTAGAGATTTATGAAAACTAGAAACTGGCTCAAATATCTTTTTAATATGAAAGATATATCCTATAAATGTAACTTCTGGGAAAATACTGTAGAGAAATTACTATGAGAATGGCTTCATTAGCAAAACATTGTCAGGCTAATTTATATTATCTCTTGATATTAGCAAGGTTCAGTATAATATGCTTATCAGTAAAGTTAGGAGATACTGTCCAGCACACATAACTTTCTAGTTAGTGCACTGCTATGTGGACAACTGTGACCAGAAAGTGATTATCAACTGAGGAAGTAGCAGCTGGAGGTATGTCCAGGGTTTGGATCTGAGTTGGGTGTTTTAGAATTTTATCTGAGGATCTGGATGGCATAATAGAAAACATGCAGGTGATATTTATATAAGTGACTTTGTGGTGTATAGAGTGCCTTGATTTTGAAGCAAGAATTTGAAAAGAGTTTGGCAAAATAAAATATATAAAATTAAAGTGAAAGGAAATAATCAAAGATAAGCAATTAAATTCATTTAAGGAAAGCACAGGGTGGTACATTGAATAAAACCAAGCAAATGACATAAATATACTACATTTGTATTTGTTTTGTTAAATTTGTTTCTGTAGTTTCCAGTATTTAGAATAGTATATGACATGAAGCAAACATTTAATACACATTTGCTGAATAAATATATGAATAAAATATAAGATGGAGGAAGACAACATGTGATTAGAGCAAAATTAAGATTATTCCTAAGGGGATGGAAATGCGTAAGTACTAAACTGTTAGAAAAACTTTTTGGACAAATAATTTCTGAGCATGTGTTAAAATTTTATTTGTCTTAGGTGTAAAATGTTTCTGGTAGATGGATTCAAAAATTCATTCTTAGGGACATTTGGTAAGAAAAGTGAATGGTCAGATATAGCTAACCTAGATTTAAAAAATGTGGGTTCAAGGTCACTAGACTTTTCACTGACACCTAACAATTTAACTGGATGGCTAGGTAGCTGGTTTCTAAGAACAAGTGTTTCCCTATTAAACTTAATCAGAAAATTGCTTAATTATTAGGAATATGTGTTTCTTCATAGAAGGAGATTGTGAATTCTACTTCACAAATAGGTTCTGTTGCTGATCAAGTTAGAAACTTTTTTTTTTAATAGTCTCTCAATTTAGACAGTCTTTGCAGGTCTGTCTTGGTCAAGGAAGTCTATCCATCTCATTACATTTTTGCATTAGGGTCATTGAATTTGTTACCTACTCATTAACTTTTAGGTTTCTTTATTTACACTTTGCATCCAGAGTCACAGTTACAAGCACTATTTATATAAACACTGATAATACTTTGAACTGGTTTTCTATACCAGGGAAGATTTTCAAAGCATAATCTAAACTAACATAGTTTCAGTGTTATCTACTTTATATAATTTATGGTCCTGGGCTTCTATATTTCTGTGTTCTGTTCTACTTAGCATGCTTTGTTTTAAAAGGTACCGCAAGAGGAGCTTATTAATCCGTTTAAACGATCTTTTTATGTGATCAAGGCATTCGCTGCCATATGATATTGCACAACCAGTAAGGCCAATGAGTTAACATCTTTGTGGAAGCTTTGTGAAATCCTTGAAGTTATGTTTTTATTGCTTCTTTCACACTAGAAGTAATTTTTATAGTACTTTCCTCTCAGCTTGTCTACTCCAAGGCCAGAACTCAGGGAGTATCTAATTTATCTCCATCAGATTTTGCCTCTAGTACTTGTAACTGTGGTAACCCTATTTTCTTGAGGACGCTTTTTTCCTCCTCAGATTCTTATCCTGCTAGATAGTTATATTCCGTACTGCCTAAAAAGTTGAGATTCTTTTGACCATAGAGTAGATACCAGACTAGTATCCAGGGAGGATGTTCTGTGCATTGCTACAATTTATGTAGTGTAGCATTAGTACCTTAATAGGATTTTCATGTCAAACTAAATTTATCTCTAAATGTGACACTTTGGGCACAGCATGTTAGAAATTAGGTTTATTCATGGCTGGGTGCAGTGGCTCCTGCCTGTAATCCCAGCACTTTGGGAGGCCTAGGTAAGCGGATCACCTGAGGTCAGGAGTTCGAGACCAGCCTGGCCAACATGGTGAAATCCCACCTCTACTAAAAATACAAAAATTGGCCAGGCACAGTGGCTCACGCCTGTAATCCCAGCACTTTGAGAGGCCGAGGTGGGTGGATCACGAGGTCAGGAGTTCAAGACCAGCCTGCCCAAGATAGTGAAACTCCATCTCTACTAAAAATACAAAAATTAGCCAGGCATAGTGGCACGCACCTGTAATCCCGGCTACGCGGGAGGCTGAGGCAGAGAATTGCTTAAACCCGGGAGGTGGAGGTTGCAGTGAGCTGAGATCATGCCACTGCACTCCAGCCTGGGCGACAGAGCAAGACTCCATCTCAAAAAAAAAAAAAATACAAAAATTAACTGGGTGTGTTGGTGCGCACCTGTAATCCCAGCTACTCAGGAGGCTGAGACATGAAAATCACTTGAACCTTGGAGGTGGAGGTTGCAGTGAGCCGAGATCACGCCACTGCACTCTAACCTGGGTAAGAGAGTGAGACTGTGTCTCAAAAAAAAAAAAAAAAAAAAATAGGTTTATTCAATTATATACCAGTAGGAAGGAGGATATATTCTATTCTTTTTTGTTGTTTGTTTGTTTTTGAGACAGGGCCTTGCTCTGTCATCCTGGCCAGAGTGCAATGGCACAATCTTGGCTCACTACAACCTCTACCTCTGAGACTCAAGCCATCCTTCTACCTCACCGTCCAGAGTAGCTGGAAGCACAGGCACACGCCACCACACCCAGCTATTTTTTGTGGAGACAGGGTTTCATCATGTTGCCCAAGCTGTTCTCAAACTCCAGAGCTCAAGTGATCCACCTGCCCTGCCTCACAAAGTGCTGAAGTTACAGGCATAAGCCACCATGTCCAGCTGGGAGGACATATTCTTAATGAACCTATACAAATAGCTACATTACCAGGAGCAGTAAAGTGTCTCAATGTGTATAGTAATGACTACCATTCTGCATGGTTTTGTGGACTAGGCAAACCTATTTATGTCACATTTTATAGAGAATTGTAGATTCCATGATAGTGGAGTTATATACAAAAAGTTGTGTTGCTTTTAAGTATGATAAGAATAAGTAAAGTTTATGTAAATGATCATTAACAAAAATGAGTTGTGTTTTTGTAAGTTTACCTCTTTAAAATTCAATTTTGAAAGGATTTTTAGGTTCTCCTGGGTATTCACTAGTTTATTGTCACAGCTTTTCCTGTTATTTCATACAGGATGTTTTCCTTCATAGTGATAGAATACTAGACATTTTGTGAGTTCCAGAATTCTAAAGCATGTGCTCATGCTGTGTAGTATTCTGAAGAATATAGTCCCTCACCCTCTAAAACCGGGCTTCTGACATACACGGTACTATTTGATAACATAACAATCAAACATTTGAATTTTGATATAGTTATAGGCATAACCAATAATCAGAGGTGTTTAAGTTACAATTTCTTTGTTTCAAGTTTTTAAAAAAGATAACCTACAAATGCACTGAAATAACCTACTAAATTAAGGGTTAGAGATAATAATCTAAGAAGAAAAGCAGGGGCTTATCAAATACCTTTCAAAAAATAAAACATCAATGGTAGGATAGCTTTCTATCAATTAACTCTTGAGTTTATAACAATTATAAACTGACCAAAATATAAAACCCCACTATTTTTTATTTAGTTTATTTATTTAGTTGAGACAAGGTCTCGCTCTATTGCCCAGGCTGGAGTGCAGGGGCACAATCTCGGCCCACTGCAACCTTCACCTCCCAGGCTCAGGCAGTTCTCCCACCTCAGCTTCCTGAGCAGCTGGGACTACAGGCACGTGCCACCGCACCCGGCTAATGTTTTGTATATTTAGTAGAGACAGGGTTTTACCATGTTGCCTACACTTGCTGCCCGCTGTGGCCTCCCAAAGTGCTGAGATTACAGGCGTGAGCCACAGTGCCCAGACGAAACCCCACTATTTAAAGGCATGGGAATGCAACCAAAGCAAGTAGAAATGGAGGGGAACTGATCCTTGACAGAAAGAGACTCCACTGGATGAGATTTGAATTATGACTTTTCTCCTGAAACCAGTACCCAGTCCATATGGTCTACAGCTACTAACTCTCATACCTGACACTGCAGTTATACATAGTCCAAAGGTAGAGTTTGAACCTTGCTCTGTGGTTGGAAAGTGAAGGGGAAATCCTAGGGGGAAAAAAGTCACATAAAAGAGATTGCCCTCAAATCCGCATATAAACTCTTACCAAATCTTTGCCTGACCCCAGAAGTGCTCATGAGAGGAGTTAGGCTCCATGTAAACCTAAACCCCTGAGCAGCAGGAAGCCTAAAATGCTTGAGCAGACATTTTAGCTGCTGCCCACCTTAGAGAAGACAGTTTAGTTTCAGTATAACCGAGTCAATGGCCTGCTAAAGCTAAAAATCAGTATTTTCCAAAGGGAAATAATAGACTACAGAGCTTCCATAATATGTCATCCAGAATATCCAGGATAAAATCAGACTAGTAGGCATGAAAATGCACAGGAAATATAACTCATTATCAAGACAAAATACAGTCAATAGAAATTAACTCCAAGATGATCCAAATGTTAAAGTTAGCAAATAATAAATTTTAAAACTGCTATTATAGTATTGTGAAAAGAAAATATAGTCATAATGAATTAACAGATGAGAACTCTCAGCAAAGAAATGGAAATTATAAAAAACAGTAAAATAGAAATTCCAGAATGAAAAATCCACTGGATGAGCTTAACAACAATTGGAGGTAGCAAAGTAAAGAGTAGAGAATTTGAACATGTATTGATAGAAATAATATAATCTGAACAATAGAGAGAAAATGATTGAAAAAAAATTGCACAGAGCCATAATGGCATGTGGGAAAATGTCAAGATAAGAATGTCCTGGAAAGAGAAGAGAGGAAAAAATGGAGGAAAAAAGAGAGAAAAAAAGTGAAGAAAGAATGGCCATACACTTCGCAATTATGGTGAAAACACATCAACTTACCAATCTGAAAAGCACATTATACCACAAGCAGGTTAAGTACAACAATACCATTCCTGGGTATATTACCACAGTCTAACTACTGAAAACCAAAGATAAGGAGAAAACTATAGAAACAGCTAGAGAAAATTAAAATACATGTCATAGAGTATAACAATATAGATGATGAGTGAGTTTTTTCTCAAAAAAGGACAAAACATTATTATTGAAATATTAGAGTGTTTTCTCTGAACCCAATAGAATTAAATTAGAAAATAGGAACAATAAGATGTTTAGAAGAGCCTCAAATATTTGTAAATAAAATAAGAAACTTCTACATATCTTATGGGCCAAAGAAAAATTCAAAAAGGTTAAAAATATTTCAAACTGAATGATAAAAATATAGCATTGAAATTAATGGGAAAAAATAATGAGATAGCTAAAGCAGGGCATAGGTAGTTTGGTAGGAAGATGATCAGATAGATAGATAGATAGATAGATAGATATGGTTACTTAGAACTTGATATTCTATATTATGAAACTTTTAATATTAATCATCTTAATTTCCACCACAAGAAGCTGGATTAGATTCCCAAAAGCATAGAAAGAAATACTAGATTTAAGAACAGAATAAATGAAATCGAAATCAGATGAGTGACAGAAAAATATTAAATAAGACAAATGTTGGTACTTTGAAAACATTAATGAATCTAGCCAAACCATTAAAGAGGTGAGGGGGAGTAGGGGATGGAGAACCCAAATTACCAATATCAGGAATGGAAGAGGGGTATCACTACAGACCCTACTGACGTTAAAAGGATAGCAAGGAAATATTGTGAAAACTATATGCCAATACATTTGACAACTTAAATGGGAAAAAGTTTCTTGAAAAGCACAATTACAAAGCCTGACAGAAATTTTATTTATAACCAAAAACTTTCCCATAAGGAAAACTTCAAAGGGGATTTAATCCCAAGAATGCAAGGTTGGTTTAACATTCAAAAATCAATCACTGTAATTCATCATATTAAATGATCATATGGTTTTTCTCCTTTATTATTTCAGTAGATGCATTCAATATTTTCAGCATCTAGTAATGATAAAGATTTTCAAAGATTTTCTATCAATCTCATACACATTTTATTTTAAAATAACCTATAGCTAGCATCATACTTAATGGTGAAGTTTTGAATGCCTTCCCCTTGAGATCAGAACTAAGCAATTATATCTTCTCTCATCACTTCCATTCAGCATTATACAGGAGGCTGGCCAGTGTGATAAGGATGAAAAAAATTAAAGATTAAAAGAAAGAAGTAGAACTACTTTTCTTTATAAGCTTTGTGGTTAGAAATTGGGATTCCATATTCTAAGGAATCTACAAAGCAACAACGAAAAATAATAAGTGCCACACTAACTTGTAATCGACATGAAGATATGTAAAATTTACCAAAAAATCTTACCAGTAAATCTGTTGACAATCACCATGTCAATCAGCCCTTGTATATGAACATGAATATGATTTTACTTACTCTGAAAGGGTATTTAATAACATAACATTAATAATATTTTACCTGTTAATTTATCTTTACCTGACAGCTTTCCCCATAATGTGAGTGCAATAAACAGAATTGCCTACTGTTGACCTAATTAAAGATTAAGGAACAAATCAATTAAAAGTAATTATTTCTAGCCTCTCTTTCTTGTAAGTACCATATCCTGGATTATAGGAGACAAAGCAAATCTTCGGTGCTACCTAGATGCTATTATGTATCAAACATGGATTGGGTTATCAAAGTGCCTCCTCCTTTTTATATAGCTCCAAATTAGGAACATGATCTTAAAGGAAGGCAGCATTTTAACATGTTGTCAGATAAGAATGCAGATGCCCAGGGAATTGAGAAGGTCATAGTATTGCCTAGCTTATTTACTAATAACTGTATCAGAAAGTACATAAGAAATGTTAGAATTTTAATTTCTCTAGAGGCCAGGAATCTTTATTATTCTTGTTTCATTTCGGTATTTTGAAATACTAAAAAGCAGCACAAAAGCATGAAATTGACTTGCCGCTTCTGAAAGAACACATTTGGGTTGGGTGAGAAAAAATATATAACTTTTACTCTCTGGGTACAATATACGGTAAGTAAATAACTTTACAGATTTATTTCTAGAAAAGGCCATCTCGAAAATAATTTTTCATTTTGAGTTACCAGTTATCTATCCTACTTAGCTACTTCAAAAAACTTAATTTTATCTCAAAATGTGTTATTTTTCATACAAATCACACAGGCCAAACAATGGTGTGTGACAATTTTTAGTGTTAAATGTTAGTTTTTAAAATAAAATTACTAAAGTGGGAGGATCACTTGAGCGCAGGAGTTCAAAACCAGCCTGGGCAACATGGTGAGAGCCATCTCTACAAAAAATAAAAATTAAAAAAATTAGCCGGGCATGGTGGCTCATGCCTATGGTTCCAGCTACTCTGGAGGCTGAGGCGGGAGGATGGCTTGAGCCCAGGAGACTGAGGCTGCAGTGAACTATGTTTGCAACACTGCATTCCAACCTGGGTGACAGAGCAAGACCCTGTCTCAAAAATAAATAAAATTAATTTTATAAAGCATGTTATGAAATAAGATTATAGTCTTATTTGAATATTATGAAGAAAAAAATATGTTTATAAATCGAATACATAGGTTAAAACTATTGTATAAGTATTTTGCCAAAGATTATTCATTGAATTCCTAATTTTAATATTAGCCCCTGCTTAAAATTAATTATCTAAAATTGCAATTTAAATTACCATTTAAAATAATTACTGTTCGTATTCAAAGCCTATAAGAGAAATACAACATCCCATGATTTAACATTACTGCAACATTGCCTAAAATTTACAACCATTAAAGAACAGACACTAGTTATAATTCATTGTTGTTGGGTACATCTACAGTCTTAAATTTTTAGTATAAATAATAACCAACCATCTGACCTATGAGACAAATATAAGGAAGTTAATATCTTCTAGTTTAATGCACATTGTATCAGAGAACAGACAGGGTGAACCAAAACACATGAATGAATTGCACAAACTAAAATACATTTTTAACAGCTTTATTGAGATATAATATACAAACCACATATTTGTTTACAGTATACAATTCAATAGCTTTTATCATAATTATAGAATTGTGTAACTATCACCATAATCTAATTTTAAAACATTTTTATCACCCCAAAAAGTAACATCTATGCATTAGCTATTACCCCTGCTCCCCATCCTCTACTTCTCCCACAGCCATTACTCTATTTTTGTCACAATAGATTTGCCTATTCTGGACAGCTCATGTAAGTGGTATCAAAAATACGTGTTTTTTGTGACTAACTTCTTTCACTTAGCATATATTTAAGGTTCATTAATGTTGTGGCATATATCAATGCCCCACTTCTTTGTCAAATAATATTTCATAGTCTCAACATACCACATTTTGTTTATCCATCCATCAGTTAATGGGCATTTTGGTTGTTTTCACCTTTTAGCTTTTGTAAATCATTCTTTTATGAACATTCATGTATATGTATTTGAGTACCTGTTTTAAATTCCTGTGGATATTCCCCTAGGAATAGAATTTCTGGGTAATATGATAACTCTGTGTTTGACATTGTGATGTAAATGAGGTATAATTTTTGCATCCTATCCCTAACTAAAATAAAATCCATGCTAAGGCATTTAACTGTCTTTTTAATGACGTTTAACAAACTAATTTGTCTAAGCATTAATCATTACTGGAATATCAATTGAACTTCAAATTTTATATAATTAATTCATAGTTGTTTGCAAAGTACTATTAAAGCACTAGTAAAGCTCTTTACATTTTGGATTTAAAGTTCTAGTTAAATATGGAAAGAGCTGCTGAAAGCTGACAGGGTAGCTAGTTGCATTTTTGTTGTTCTTGTTCCTTATCCCTAGTGATCTGTACGTCATCTGTTAACTCCAAACATTCCTTCTGTGCATTTTTCCCCTCTTTTTGTTGTGTGTCCAGAAAAGATTTTTTTTAAGATTTTCTTATTCTAGATATAAATAACTGCTATTAGTTTCTGTCTAGAAAATGTGAACTCCATCTATTTGAAAAACTTCACAGTCATGCTAATTTCTCTCTGGAAGGAAGTAAAGTTATTTTACCTCCTGGAGGTAAATAAAACACCTTTCCTTGAAACATTCTTTCAGGCACTATTCCTTTGCCCAGGGTGGTGGAGGAACTATCTTGACAGGCTGTAGATTCTATCTGTTTTGGTCTATTTAGAGATGCTCTTTTAATTCACTGTCACCCAGACTTGGCAGAAATTTCCTTTAACTCTTTCTTATCACACACCTGTGAAATCACCCAGGCAGATTTCCCCTCCTCTCTTTGTTTCAAAGTGAATTCATTTGTTTAATGAGATGTTCTTCAAAACACAGGACAAACTTTTGTGACCCCTTTAACTTTCATTCTTAGAGGCATTCTAAGCAAATGAGAAGCTCTCATTCTAGTAGTTGAGTCCTAGGTATTCAAAGGACTCACTGACCAAAAATATAGAACACTGTAAGTAACTGTTTACAGACACAGACAATTGTACAGGAAACCTCTGAACCCATTCCTATAGGATACAATTTTAACTGTTCAACAAATGTAAATACTGATACAAATATATACACAAACCCACTGCAGGCAAAACACAAAATAACTTAAGATTTCTGTGAATGTTGTCATAGGATAATTTTCAAAAAGTTAAACATGACTCTTAAATATAGAATGAACAGTCAAAGATTTATTTAACTCATAAATGAGGGAGCCAGCAGGATGGCAAAACTGGTGCAAAGAGTGTTCAAGGAATTATTTTTGAAAGGAATGTTAGAATAACATTGCTAGATATAAAACTAGGTAATGTCCTTCAGGAAAATAAAACCCATAATGTTTTTAGTTTTCTTTTCTACCAGCCAAAAATCTACAAGACTGGAATTTAATCAGTAGAAATTAGGAAGTAAAAAAAAAAAGGTATATTTCCCCAAGTAATCCATGGGTGGGCCAATTAAATAATTATTCAGTATTACATTGAAAGGATATATTGCTCTACCTTTCCCTCACTTCCAAGTTTTGAATACTTTTTGAAACAATGTACACTTGCTTATCCTAAATGTTCTTTTTAAGGGCTTTGGTTGTTTCTTAGTAATATAGTAAACTTTAAGCCATAGAATGTGTCAAATACAAAACACTGGTGGTGGAAATCTTCAAACTTAGAACATGGGTTCTAGGAACAGAAGTTTTGGGTTCTACACTTCCACACTTACATCCCTCCAATATCAAATACTGCTCTGATTTCACCCTGGGGGAGGAGTCCTGTTTTAACTCCAACCCCAAGTTCAACCACTTCTTAGAGCTCAAACAGCTCTCCAAGCTCTCAACTTAGATGGCAAGTCATTTTAAGCCCAGTAGAATGGGAGTCCCTTCAGATGGCCATTAGACATTGACATTCAAGTGCTCAAATTGCCATATCTCAGAAAAAAAATAATCCAGTGATCAAGAAGCATAACACAGTGGGTAACAATAGCATATATGCCATGAAGTACCTTGATCCAGAGGCTGACAATAACTGTTTCTCTTGAGGTGAGCAGGTCTCCAAGGGAGTTCTGAGAACCATTGCAACAGGAATTGACAAGCTGTGGCCCATGCATTTTGAGTTAGTGCAAACTGTTTTGGTATGGCCCACTTGCTGAGATTGGCTTTTCTATTTTTAAAGGATTGTTTAAATTTTTTAAAAAGAATATGCAACATAGGCCAGGCATAGTGGCTCACGCCTGTAATCCCAACACTTTGGGAGGCCAAGGTGGGCAGATCACGAGGTCAGGAGATCGAGACCATCCTGGCTAACACGGTGAAACCCTGTCTCTGCTGAAAGTACAAAAAATTAGCCGGGCATGGTGGCGGGCGCCTCTACTCCCAGCTACTCGGGAGGCTGAGGCAGGAGAATGGCATGAACCTGGGAGGTGGAGCTTACAGTGAGCTGAGATCGCGCCACTGCACTCCAGTCTCGGTGACAGAGCGAGACTCTGTCTCAAAAAAAAAAAAAAAAAAAAAAAGCAACGTAGACCACATATGATTTATAAACCCTAAGTATTTGCTTTCCCTCCCTTTATAGGAAAAAGTTTATGGATCCTTGCATTTTAAAAAAGATTGACAATTTACTTGTTAGTGTATGTTAAAGCTTTGTAATAAACTTGCTGTAAGGGAGGAGTTTGTTAGTAGGCTAATTCAGAGATTTGCTCTTGATAGGGACATTTTGTAGCAAAAGAGAATTGTTAGAAAAATTACTAGATTTGACATCAAAATAAAACAATATTTTGTTAAAGGTCACTAAATTCTTGGTTGACAGCTGGTCAACTGCATGGGTCATATCTAATTTCCCAAAATAAGTCCTAGTGTCATTAAAGTTCATGAGAATCAATTACAGAAGCATTTTGTCAGGAACACTCATTTCTTTCTGAGAGGAGGTTGTAAGTAATATCACACAAACAGGTTTGGGACTATTTTTCTTTTTCAAGGCAATGTAGTATATTTTTAAAAGCATACACTGGAGTGCTGGGGTGCAGTAAAAGAAAAGTAAAACTGTAGGAATCTTTTGATGCCACACTAACTCATACCTTGTTGGAATTTAGATACACAATGAAATATGAAGATAAAACAATGGGAAAAGAATCAGAAGACCATCACAGAGTGGGTTAGAGCATTGAAAACAGGATCTATGTGGGAAAGATGAAAGGAATTGAGATATTGCTGCTAAGATGGGGTCCAGGAAAAAGTTAGTAATTATTTCCAGGGGTATGAAAAGGTCTCTGAATCTGAGGAGCAATTTTGCATCTCTTCTGAAAAGAGATAAGAGTTTAACCTGCTGCACAAAGATTTTGGTGGTTAAGAATAATAATTTTGAAGCTTCAAGTAATCAACCTTTTCACAAATTTGCATAGTGGCTGGGTCTCTGGGATATCTTAAAAATAGAACAGAGTTGGGGCTCTCTGTCATGGGTTTAGTGTGGTCTTGCCTGAAGGTTTAATCAGATAACCCCTTATGATCAGTCTTGCATTATCATTTAAGACCACACTAGGTACGAGGCTCTCAGCGGTGGATCAAAGGGAAAATAAAAGAGGACCACACTGGGTGCAGATCACCAGATCCACTGGCTTTCTAGGGGATTAAAAAGAAAGCCACTGTCCCAGAGGACTTACTCTATGACAGAAGGATAGGGTAAACAAATATACAAGTGGCAAGTTACGGGGTCGCAGTATCACAGGAGAAGGGGGAATCGTTGCAATATATAAACATCTGAAAAGGGACACAATTAAAAATACAGCTCATAAGGCAAAGATCTGGAGGAGGTGGGGAGACACAGATATCTATGGAGGAGAGGTCTGAGAATAGGGGACAGCAAATATAAATATGTTCCCCTGGCATTATGGAGGAACAGCAAGAAGGCCAGTGTGGGTGCACAGCTCTGAACAATAGGGAGAGTGGTCGTTAAGAGAGGGTGCTGTAGGCTCATGAAGTGTCTTGTCCACCTCTACTCTGAATGAGATGAGGAACCATTAGAGAGTTCTTAATCTGACTTGCGTTTTCAAAGGATCACTCTGGCTGTGGTATAGAGCAATCATTAGCCAACCTTTTGGTCTCAGGGCATTTGTACTCAAATTATTGAAAATTCCAAAGAGCTCTAACCCCTAAGAGCTCAGAAATGTAAATCTGATTATTTATTAATTTTAAAATAACAATAATGCCACTGAATGTTAACACAAGTAACATATGTTTTGAAATTATATTTTCCAAAACAAAAGAACAAAAAGATGTCAGTGTTTAAGTTTTTGCAAATGTCTTTAATGTCTGGCAATCAGTCTGTTCACTGTCATGTATCATGTAGCCTCTAGAAAGCTTCACTGTGCAGTCACAAGACAATGAATTTAAAAGGCCAATAATGTTTAGTATTCTTGTGAAAATAGTTTTGACCTCACTGATTCCCCAAAAAGGCACACTGTGAGAAACAATGGTAAAGAGTAGACTAACTGTAAGAGACAAGGATGGAACCTATTATAATAAAACAAATGAGACATGCTGGTGCCTTGGGTTATAGCAGAAAAGGTAGGGAGAACTGGTTAGATTCTAGATAGATTTTAAAGATTGAGCCTGCAGGTTTTGCTAACAGAATAGACCTGAATGTGAGAGAAAAAAATTAAAAATTGACTCCAAGGTTTTGACCCAGAGGACCTGCAAAGATGGATTTCCTATGTACTGAAATATGGATGGTTGTGGAAATAGCAGATTTGGAGTGAAATTAACAATTATTTTGGACTCGTTAATTTCAATCCAGCAGTATCACTGCTAGGTATCTACCCAAAGGAAAATAAATCATTATATCAAAAAGCTACCCGCACTTGTATGTTTATTGCAGCATCATTCGTAACAGCAAAGATATGGAATCAATCTAAGTGTCCATCAATGGATGACTGGATAAAGAAAATGTGGTATATATACACAATGGAATATTATTCAATATATATACACAATGGAATATTATTCATCCATGGAAAAGGATGAAATCATGTCTTTTGATGGATAGACATGATAGAACATGGATAGAACTGGAGGCCATTTTCTTAAGTGAAACAACTCAGAAACAAATAGTGTATGTTTTCATTGAGAAGTAGGAGCTAAATAATGTGAACACATGGACATAGAGTGGAATAATAGACATTGGAGACTTGGAAGGGTAGAAGTGAGGAGGCAGCTAAGGGATGAGAAATTGCTTAATAAGTACAATGAACATTATTCAGGTGATGGTTACACTAAAATCCCAGACTTCACCACTACCCAGTATAGCCATGTAGCAAAATTGCACGTGTACCCTTTAAATTTATACAAAAAAAAGAGAAATGTCTACTAAACTTCCAGTTGGAAATGTCAAGTTGGCAGCTGGATATTTAAGTCTCAATTCAGGGGATGGGTGTCTTACTCCCTTTATATTCCTCAATACTTTTTAAGGAGAGAATACATAAAAATAAATTTTCTGTGTCCTTCTATGTCTGAAATACACTATTTATTCTACTCTCAAATTTGAAAGTTAGTTTGGTTGGGTACTAAACTCTACATTGACAACCACTTTCACTAAGAATTTGAAGGCTTTTTACAACTATTTTCTGGCATACAATATTGTTGGTGAAAAGTGTAATACTGATCTGACTTTTGTTTCTTTGTATGCACCCTTTTACCCTCTCTATTTGCTGCCTCCTCCAAGCTTTTAGGATCTTCTCATTATCCCCAATGTTCATGACAGTATGGGTCTTTATTAATTCATTGTGTGCTAGCACTTTAGTAAGCCTTTTTTTTTTTTTTTTTGAGACAAGGTCTTGCTATGTTGCCCAGACTGGATTTGAACTCCTAGGCCCAAGTGATCCTCCTTCTTCAGCCTCTTGAGTAGCTGGGATTACAGGCATGAGCCACCATGCCCAGCTAGTCAGCAGCCTTTTTAATATGAAGTCCCATGTCCTACAGTTTGGGAAATTTTTCTTGCACTCTCTTCTTGATACCTCTGTGTCATTTTCTCCTTTCACTCTTTAGTTAATTTCCATTATTCAAACATTGAATCTGGTGTCTGTATATTATTTTTCCCCGTCTGTTTTTTTTCTACTTTAAGATGAATTTCATCAACATTATCTAACCTTATGCTGATTTTTTCATTATCTTATTTTTAATTTCCAAGTTCTTTTCGGTGTGTTTATTTTATAAATACAGTATCTCTTGCTAGCTCTCTGAGAATATTAATTATAGTTGGGAAGTTTTTAAGTGTGAACTCCTGCTCTCTGCTTTACTTTCGGTTTTAGTGTGTCTTTATTTGTTCCTTTGATTGTGTATTTGTCTTATTTATATCTGTCTTTCAGTTGGAGGCATTCCTCAAATGACTGATGATCTATATCTGTGTCTTCAAATGTCTTAGTTTGTTTTGTGCTGCTATAACAGAATACCAAGACTGGATAATTCATAATGAATATAAAATTTTGGGCTTACAGTTCTGAAGGCTGGGATCCCAATATCAAGGTGCAGGCATCTGGTGAGGGCCTTCTTGTAACATTATCATATGGCAGAAGCCATCACATGGTGGAATGGCAAAGAGCTAGAGAGAGCAAGAGCCAGAGGGGGCAAATCGACTCCCAAGATAACACTAATGCATGCATGAGGGCAGAACCCTCAAGACCTAAACAACTCTTAAAGATCTCCTTACTACCCTTGCTAACATGTATCCCTTACTTGTCTGTTGAAGATGATTAATACTAAGCCTGCATCCCATCTCAGAGGTGGGGAGGAAGGTATATGGAGGGCTCCTTTAAGGACACAACTCCAAGTTGAGTTCATCTTTTCTGTTTATATGCCATTGGCTAGGACTAAGTCCCACACCATACCTGCCTTCAAGGGGGCTGGAACATGTACTTTATTATTACGTAAAAAGGAGAGGCTAAATACTGGAAAACAAGCAGCTGTGTCTCGACTGTGATGCTGCCATCTTACAGCGAGAGGTACAAAGAGCACAGGGACATTGTAGTAGCTCACAACAAAGATTCAACATGAGGGCTCTTTCAGTGAACTTTCCTGAAGATTGTATAACTCACCTTCCAAGAACTCTCCCTTGAGGGGACATGTTTATCTCACAGATTGCAGCTAGTTTCCTCAGCCTCAGCTGCTAACCATCCTGTAGACCCTATAAAGGCAGCTGTGTTTCTGGATCGCAGTGGTCAGAGGAACAGCCCTTCCATAAGCTGGCAATCTCCACATCATCGGGTCTAACTGCCTGTCAGGTGTGGGGTGGGGATGGGCCCTTGCTCTTAAGCACCTGTTCATTAACTTTATCATTATTGGTATTAGCTATCGAGGCTTTCTTAAAACTTCAGGTCATGCTCTAGAGATGCTAGGTACTGAGTAAGCTCAAAGAGTCACATAGTCAGTGGGGAATCTAGTAGAAATGCACATTTGAGACCTCTGGGTTTCCAGGCATGTAATTCAAGAATTGGGGCAGTTTGGCATTTCACAGAGTTTGGTTTCTATATATCCATGCAACAAGCATAGGTAACACATGGAGTTACAGATAATTGATTGGGAGGAATTGGCCTTGAGGCAATTCTTGAGGCAATGGAAAAAATAGCAAATGTTTTCAAGAGGACACCACAATTTGGGGGTACTGTTCGGCACTTTCCATGAACAGCAGATATAGTGGAACATACAGTAAATTGGATTTTTTAGAATCCAGAAGATTCCCAAGAGAGAAGCCTAGCTATTTTTTTTATTCAAAGTTTATTAAACAATACAAACATTGTTCTAAAAAGCAAGAAGTCTGGAAATATTTTCTTAATTAAATAATGTAGTTGACAATTTTCACATTTACTGCCGGCTACTTATCCAAGTGTGCATGATTCAAAGGGGTTAAATAACCTGCCCAAAGTCACTAGCTAGTAGCCATAGAGCTAGATTTCAAACCTACGTCTTTCTGGCTATAAAACATACATTGTAACTATTTCATTATATTATACAAAATGGTGAGTAGAGATGGCTTCCTTTTATTTTTATTTTTTAGATTAATGTGACCGCTTATGACTAAACTTAGAATTCTGAAAATGCAGATGTCCAATGAGGTAGTAGTATATACATCTAAGGCAATAACAGGAGTCTTTTTTGTTTGTTTTACTGTTGACATATATTGCCTTGGACTAAGGACTTCATATCACCCTAAGTGTACAAAACTGTAATCAGTTCATAGGAAGAGAATTTGTACAAAATTAAAATTTTGTATTAAAGTGCTATTACTATATTGTTGGTATCCTAAATAGCAACATATCCTGTCTTTATGAATGGTTTGCCTAACGTGGTAGTGGGCCCAGGAAGTAGTGACCATTGTGGTTTAGAAGATGCTTAGTATGGCTGAGCATGGTGTCTCACACCTGTATACCCAACACTTTGGGAGGCCGAGGCAGGCAGATCATGAGGTCAGGAGTTCGAGACCAGCCTGGCCAATATGGTGAAACCCCGTCTCTACTAAAAATACAAAAATTATCTGGGCGTGGTAGCACACGCCTATAGTCCCAGCTACTTGGGAGACTGAGGCAGGAGAATTGCTCGAACCCGGGAGGCAGAGGTTGCAGTGAGCTCAGATTGCGCCACTTACTTCAGCCTGGGTGACAGAGTGAGACTCTGTATCAAAAAAAAAAAAAAAAAAAAAGATGCTTAGTATAATGAAAAGTTACTAAGAATTTCTGAAAAATTTTCAGGGGACCTATTCTTCAAAAGAAGGGAAAAATTTTAAACCTGAACTGGAGTCATGTACATATTAGAATATTTTATAAACAAAAACATAGTTGATAAGACGTGTCATTAATGTTAAGCAGCAGATTTACTTCCAGAGGATCTCAGGAATGAAGTGTATGACTGTGTGTAACTTTACATTTACTCAGCTTGACTATGATTTGTTTTTTTATTGAAATATACCATGCTTTCAAAAAGCCCCCTTGTGCCACATCCAAGAGCAGAATAGGTTCTTTATATAAGGAAACCACAAATCTTGAAAACAGCAGTTTCCCTTGATGTTCTTTGGCCACACTACTGTTTGGTTTAACTAGCGTTTCTGGTATTGGAGTTGTTTGAGTCTCAGAATGACTTTGCTTAGAATTTTTATATTTCTGCCCGACCTCTTCCTGTTGACATATTTGAACTGAATCAAAATTATTTGAGTGATCATATAAGCATGTTAAATATAGCATTTGAAAACAGCCTAAGGGTCTGAAATATTAACTTATTCGGGTGTGTTTGCTTGGAAACCTGGAATGAAGACTGTTTGAAAATATATTTGTTTTTAGAATATAATCTAAAAAAGGCTTTAAAAATTCTGAGGCTCAGTAAAGTTTTAAAATAGTAATTATTCATATCTCAACATCTCAGACGCCAAGGCATTTTATGTAGTGGAAATGGGGCAGGTGGTAGAATCACTACATTTTAAAAATATGCAGCTATGTCCTCATTTTAAGGAAGATTATACCTAAATACCATTTCTATTTTTATATCAGGATCACCTATGAACAGGATTTAGGAAATCCTCATTATCTTTCCAAAACTACACAATTGATATAAAATTTAACATTTGTGTCATTATTTTTCATTCTGAGTGATAAACTATAAAATGTTTCTTGAAAATATGTATGTACCATATGCTGAAAACAGGCACATTTCTGACAGGGAAATGAACTACCTGTACTCTCATTTAGCTATTGGGTGAAGTGTAGATTCCACTGTTTAAATTCTTTAAAGTTTATAAGCGCCTGACCAAGAGGCTATAGAGCTAAAAGATTTATAGCCAAAGAATTAGGAGCCACTGCTAATGGAAAAGCAAACAAATTTTTAAAAAAAGTATCTGAGTATGTGTATATTACACTCTAAGTATGATATATATTTAAAAGTGTCTCTGATATTATAATGAGAGTTAATAGGAAATTTTAGGTTGTGTCTTCTCCAGGTTTTTTTTTTTTTTGTGTGTGTGTGTGTGTGTGTGTGTGTGTGTGTGTGTGTGTGTGTGTCTGTGATGAAGTCTTACTATGTTACCCAGTCTGGTCTCAAACTCTGGGGCTCAAGCAGTCCTCCTGCTTTAGCCTCCCAAGTAGCTAGACTGTGTCAGCCCAGCTATCCCAGTTTTTATGAAACACTTCTGTAAAGGAAAATACCCTTTCCTCCTAACTAATTCCTATATTCATTCAAGAAGGAATTCAACTCAGTTTTCAATTGTTTTGTTCTGTTACGGAATGTTAGGTTTAGTGACTTAGATTAACCAGTTCTAAAAACAGATTACCTGGGTTGTATGCAGGCCCCTCTGCTTACTGCTCTGTAACCCCAGGCAAGATATTGACCTTCCTAAGCCTCCATTTCTTGAGTAAGAGTAGGCTTATAGTACCTGGAGCCCAGAGATATTTGGGCGTTAAGTAATGTAATATGTATGATGCTCCTGACACTTCTAAGTACACAGTAAACCTTAGCTCGTGTTATGATGGAGGTGGGGTTTTCCTTTATACATAAAGAGAACTTCATTTTACAGTAACAGTAATTAATTGTTACTGTTAATAAAACTGTCAATAAAATGGTAATGAACTGTTACTCTAAAATAAAATGCTTATAAATATGGACCCCATCAGAACTACAGTTTTAATGTTCAAAGGATCATCTACATTGAGAAACTGTTTTGAGAGGTAAATCATTGCTGTACATGTGGACTAGCTCTGTGTCATGCAAAAGTGTTACTGCTCAGACAACTAGGTCAGGGGCTGGGCATGCCAAAATGAGCAACCTGGTCTCTGCCCTTACAGAATTTACAGTGTGGGAATGGAGATAGTTGAGAATATAAATAACCCAGGGGAGTGAAGAGGTGAAGAGAGCAAGTAGGAAAGTGTTGATCTTGGACTGCTTATGAAAATACTCAGCCACGGGCTTCCAAAATAGGACACTGCAGCTGTGGTCTGAGACCCCTTCAAATATTATCCAAGCAGCGTGCTCTTCTTGAGAGAGGGTGGGCTGTGTGGGGAAGCCTGACAGTCCTGATGTGGTGATCTGGGAATGGGTGGTGTCCAGGTAAGTATTAACCAAAGATGTGATATTAAAATATAAATTCATGGAGTACTGAAATCATTTTAAGTGAGTAAACCCTGCCTTTGATAGGCCCAGATAAAGCTCTGGTTTTTCCCTAAGACCTCACTTAGTGCGTAGCTGTACTTTTTATCACAAACAGAAGAAACAGATGTTTTGGGGAGAATAGGTCTCAACCTCACCTACATGTTGGAATCACTTGAGGACCTCTAAAACAAAACAAAACAAAAACCTCATGCCTGGGCCCCACCCCAGCGGTTCTGATTTAACTGCACCCAGGCATCAGTGTTTTTAAAACTCTCCAGATGATTCCAATGTGCAGCCAAGGTTGAGAGCCACTCTTCCTCCCTATCCTAGGTTTTATTTCCCCCCAGATGTTCCCTAATAAATTTCAGGAGACTAGCTCAGCCAAATTCTGTCAACAAGTTTTCCAATCAGAAGTTATTAATTTAATACCAGTCCATGTGTTTTCCCTTTGAAAACATGTGCACTTTCTGCATTTCAGTAAGTAATGTTGGCTCCTGGAGAAATACTCATCTTAAGCTCCTAGTGGAGCAAAAGAACCTTTCTCATCCAGCACCCTGCCTCCAGACAGCAAGCTCACCATCAAAACATGATTCACTGTCCTATTTTTCACATCTCCTTGGCATGACCAACCCTCAGATTTCGTCCTGTAACCATTTATTTGGTCATTTAACAATGGGTTGTTTCTTCCTAAATCTCTCATGCAGCAGTTTAAAGCCTGTAATGTGCAAAGTTGAAACATTTTGTATTTGGCACTGAAGTCTATCCATGGACATCCAGGCTCTGGACTCCTCTGGTAGCCTTTTGTATTCCTTTGCTTGTCTCAATTTACATAGTGTTTCTTTTTGTTTTGTTTTGTTTTCCAAGTTTCAGTTATTTACTAATCAGTGCAATCGCCAATAGATTACATCAACATGATTTCATGCATTTAGAGGAGAAGTATTTCCTGGTTAAGCGGAAAATTGTGTGGATGGCTTCTGGAAGACCTTCATTCTAAAGCAGCTTTATAGTGAAACATTTGTTAGAAATCTGGACCTTCTTTCTTCAGTTTGCTGTAATCCACAATTACTGAGTAGAACTTGTATTGATCATTGGGAGCCAGTTTGTTCCAGGGCTCTGGATTATTCTTTCTGTCCCAACTAACATCTGGATTGAACAATGCCAGACACGAGATACAGTGCTGCTCCAGTACCTCCAGCTCCAATGAATACAAAGAGGGAGATCAAGCTTAGATGCTTCTTGGACTGAGTGATGATGTGGTGGAGCATGTTTGCTGAAGAGGCCTCCGATTGGAAAGGAGAGAACCAGCCTAGCCACCAGGCTCTGGCCTAAGTAGTATCTCCATAGTGT
Source organism: Homo sapiens (assembly GCF_000001405.40). Taxonomy (NCBI): domain Eukaryota; kingdom Metazoa; phylum Chordata; class Mammalia; order Primates; family Hominidae; genus Homo; species Homo sapiens. The sequence continues at coordinate 89,661,540 of NC_000001.11, forward strand.
TTCTTGATAGGTTCTGTTTCTACCACTTTACTCTTCTAATTAACAGATATCTGGTGAATGACAAATATGGGCCAGACACTCTTCTGGGCATTAGGGACAAAACATTTTGCAAATTGGGCAAAAATTTCTGCCCTCCTGGGACTTGCATTCAAGTGGGAGGAGAGAGAAAAGGAAATGCATAATTAGCTAAAATATATATAGTATGTTCAAAGGTGTTAAGTGCTATGGAGAAAAATAAGGCAGGGCAGGAGGAAAGGGAGTGCTATGGCTGAGATATGGTGTGATATTAAATTGGCTTTGCAGTATTATCTAAACAAGAGGAGGGTGAAGGCTTGGACCAGAGGAGTAGTGATAGAAATGGTGAAAAGTGGTTGCAATCTGGGTAAATTTCAGCAAGGCCTAAAGAAGGTGAAGGATTGAGCCCTGCAGATACCAGGAAGATGAGAATTCCAGACAGAGCTGTTGCAAATGCAAAAGCAGGAGTGAACCTGGGGTGCCAAGAAACCACTCTAACAGGGGCATCCGATCTTTTGGCCTCCCTGGGACACACTTGAAGAAGAAGAATTGTCTTGGGCCACACATAAAATACATTAATGATAGCTGATGAGCTAAAAGAAAAAAAATCACAAAATCTCATAATGTTTTAGGAAAGGAAAGCTTGCAAATTTCTGTTGGGTCATATTCAAAGCCATCCTGGGCCACAAGTGGTCTGCAGGCCACAGATTGGACAAGCTTGTGCTAGAAGGCCCAGTGTGGCTGGAGCAAAGCGAGTGTGCAGGAGAGGGCTATGAGACTGGTGTGGGGTGGGAGTGAGATTGCAGAGGGCCTTTTAGGACTTTTGTAAAGATTTTCGCTTTTTCACAGAGTGAGATGGAGAATTATTAGAGGATTTTGAATGGAGAAGAAACCCAGGATCATTCTGGTTGCTCACTTGAGATGACTCTCTAGGGGTCATTGGTAGAAGTGGAGAGACTAATCAGGAAGATATTGCAATAATCTTGCAATAATCTAATTGAGAGATGATGGTGGCTTGGATCGGGGTAGCAGCTAAGATGGGTCAGAAATCGTTGGAATCTGAATATATTTTTGTAGGTAAAACTTTTTGCCCTTATGTCTATGTAATATTTTTTGATATTCCTCTTAAAATAGAGCCCTAAACTCCAGTAAGGGACCTGAATAATGCTAGTTATAGCAAAAGGTTAACTGTCTGACTCTTGAATACCACAAATTTAGTATTGTGTTTTCAGCCCCCGCCATGGGGTAGATATTATTTTCCTATGTTTCTTTTTTTTAATTATTATACTTTAAGTTCTGGGATACGTGTGCAGAACCTGCAGGTTTGTTACATAGGTATACACGTGCCATGGTGCTTTGCTGTGCCCATCAACCCGTCGTCTACATTGGGTATTTCTCCTAATGCTATCCCTTCCCCAGCCTCCCATCCCCTGACAGGTCCCAGTGTGTGATGTTCCCCTCCCTGTGTCCATGTGTTCTCATTGTTCAACTCCCACTTATGAGTGAGAACATGCAGTGTTTGGTTTTCTGTTCTTGTGTTAGTTTGCTGAGAATTATGGTTTCTAGCTTCATCCATGTCCCTGCAAAGGACATGAACTCAGCCTTTTTTATGGCTACATAGTATTCCATGGTGTATATGTGCCACATTTTCTTTATCCAGTCTATCATTGATGGGCATTTGGGTTGGTTCTAAGTCTTTGCTATTGTGAAGAGTGCTGCAATAAACACACATGTGGCCGGACGCGGTGGCTCATGCCTGTAATCCCAGCACTTTGGGAGGCAGAGGCGGGCGGATCATGAGGTCAGGAGATCGAGACCATCCTGGCTAACACAGTGAAACCCCACCTCTACTAAAAATACAAAAAATTAGCCGGGCTTGGTGGCCAGCACCTGTAGTCCTAGCTACTCGGGAGGCTGAGGCAGGAGAATGGTGTGAACCCGGGAGGCAGAGCTTGCAGTGAGCCGAGATTGCGCCACTGCACTCCAGCCTGGGCGACAGAGCGAGACTCTGTCTCAAAAAAAAAAAAAAAAATACATGTGCATGTGTCTTTATAGTAGAATGATTTATAATCCTTTGGGCATAGACCCAGTAATGGGATTGCTGGGTCAAATGGTGTTTCCAGTTCCAGATCCTTGAGGAATTGTCACACTGTCTTCCACAATGGTTGAACTAATTTACACTCCCACCAACAGTGTAAAAGCGTTCCTGTTTCTCCACATCCTCTCCAGCATCTGTTGTTTCCTGACTTTTAATGATCGCCATTCTAACTGGTGTGAGATGGTATCTCATTGTGGTTTTTATTTGCATTTCTCTGATGACCAGTGATGATGAGCTTTTTTTCATGTTTGTTGGCTGCATAAATGTCTTCGTTTAAGAAGTGTCTGTTCATATCCTCTGCCCACTTTTTGATGGTGTTGATTTTTTTCTTGTAAACTTGTTTAAGTTCTTTGTAGATTCTGGATATTAGCCCTTTGTCAGATGAATAGATTGCAAAAAATTTCTCCCATTCTGTAGGTTGCCTGTTCACCCTGATAACAGTTTTGTTTGTTTGTTTGTTTGTTTTTTGCTGTGCAAAAGCTCTTTAGTTTAATTATATCCCATTTGTCAATTTTGGCTTTTGTTGCCATTGCTTTTGGTGTTTTAGTCATGAAGTCTTTGCCCATGCCTATGTCCTGAATGGTATTGTCTAGATTTTCTTCTAGGGTTTTTATGGTTTTATGTCTTACAGTTAAGTCTTTAATCTATCTTGAGTTAATTTTTGTATAATGTGTAAGGAAGGGGTGCAGTTTCAGTTTTCTGCATACGGCTAGCCAGTTTTCCCAACATCATTTACTAAATAGGGAACCCTTTCCCCATTTCTTATTTTTGTCAGGTTTGTCAAAGATCAGATGGTTGTAGAGGTGTGGTGGTATTTCTGAGGCCTCTATTCTGTTCCATTGGTCTATATTTGTGTTTTGGTACCAGTACCATGCTGTTTTGATTACTGTAGCCTTGTAGTATAGTTTGAAGTCAGGTAGTGTGATGCCTCCAGCTTTGTTCTTTTTGCTAAGGATTGTCTTGGCTATGTGAGCTCTTTTTTGGTTCCATATGAAATTTAAAGCAGTTTTTTCTAATTACGTGAAGAAAGTCAATGGTAGCTTGACAGTGATAGCATTGAATCTATAAAATTACTTTGGGCAGTATGGCCATTTTCACGATATTGATTCTTTCTATCCATGAGCATGGAATGTTTTTCCATTTGTTTGTGTTCTCTCTTATTTCCTTGAGCAGTGGTTTGTAGTTCTCCTTGAAGAGATCCTTCACATCCCTTGCAAGTTGTGTTCCTAGGTATTTTATTCTCTTTGTAGTAATTGTGAATGGGATTTCACTCATGATTTGGCTGTTTGTCTATTATTGCTGTATAGGAATGCTTGTGATTTTTACACATTGATTTTGTATCCTGAGACTTTGCTGAAGTTGCTTATCAGCTTAAGGAGATGATGATGGGGTTTTCTAAATATACAATCATGTCATCTGCAAACAGAGACAATTTGACTTCCTCTCTTCCTATTTGAATATCCTTTATTTCTTTCTCTTGCCTGATTGCCCTGGCCAGAACTTCCGATACTACGTTGAATAGGAGTGGTGAGAGAGGGTATCCTTGTCTTGTGCCAGTTTTCAAAGGGAATGCTTCCAGCTTTTGCCCGTTCATTATGATATTGGCTGTGGGTTTGTCATAAATAGCTCTTATTATTTTGAGATACATTCCATTAATACCTAGTTTATTGAGAGTTTTTAGCATGAAAGGGTGTTGAATTTTGTTGAAGGCCTTTTCTGCATCTATTGAGATAATCATGTGGTTTTTGTCATTGGTTCTGTTTATGTGATGGATTATGTTTATTGATTTGTGTATGTGTAGGCCTAGGTTAATATACATGTTGGCGTCTTCGTTTTTAGTTAAAAAATTTAAAAAGCAAAATATAATAATTTAATAGCAAAAAACTTATTGAATAAGGAATAAAATATATTTTTGCGCAGCTATAAAATGTGTTTGTGTTTTAAGCCAAATGTTATTATGAAAGCATCAAAAAGTTATAAAGAATGTTTAAAGTTTAAAAAGCAAAAAAGTTGCAGTAACCTACAGCTTATTGTTGAAGAAAGAAAAATTTTTTTTATAAATTTAGTGTAGCCTAGGTGTACAGTGTTTATTATAAAGTCTACGGCAGTGCAAAGTAACATCCTAGGCCCTCACATTCACTCATCACTCACTTGCTGACCCATCCAGAGCAACTTCCAGTCCTGCAAACTCCATTCATGGTAAGTACCCTATACAGGTGTACTATTTTTAATCTTTTATACATTTTTATTTTACCTTTCCTATGTTTCGATACACAAATACTTACTATTATGTTGCAGTTACCTACAGGATTCAGTACAGGAAAATGCTGTACAGATTTATAGCCTAGGAGCAAGAGGCCAAACCCTATAGCCAAAGTGCGTAGTAGGCTATACCGTCTAGGATTGTATAAGTACACTCTATGACATCCACACGACAAAATTGCCTAATGATGCGTTTCTCAGAACGTATCCCCATTATTAAGCAACATATGACTGCATTTTGACCCAAATGATCAATGATTGCTATTGCACTGCTGTTGCTTAATAAACATGTACATTCCCTTCTTGCAGTCTTTACCTTATTCCATGGTAGGTCCCTGGAAGTTGACAGAGGCCGGCAATGTGAGTAGAGGAAAAAACATGATACTGTTAATAATATAAAGGAGACGAGTTAACGGGTGCAGCACACCAACATGGCACACGTATACATATGTAACAAACCTGCACCTTGTGCACATGTACACTAGAACTTTAACAAAAATATATATATATAAAGAAGCCCATGATTCAAAACAAATGAGGCCCAGGACAGTTCTTGTCCCACTCCTCTCCTTTGTTCCTTCTCCCAACTCTCTAAATAAGATAGAATTGTCCTTTTCCAGCTCCATGCAGATCTCTCAGGTGGCCTCTTTGACTTCTTTGCTTCCTCTTTGCCCCTAAACAGGGTGCAGGTATCATGAGAAAATGCAGAGTAGTACAAAAGAAATCTGGTGTTCTCTTCCCCAAAACCAAGTGCACCTTACTCTAATTTCTGTTAGTCACATAAACATTTCTGTTATTCATTTTAATAACTGGAAGAATTTCAGGTTAAGTAGATGCTCATTTCTCATTTCATTGGTTCAGCAATTACTTATTGAGTACCTTTTATGTGCCAGATACTGTTCTAGGCTCTGGGAGACAGGAGTGAACAAAACAAAGTCCCCATTTCTTAGGGAGCTTACCTTATGATGCAGCAGAGAGATAGAAGTATAACTAAATGAGTAATACCCGTATAGTACATCTGATAAAGATAATGCTATTGAGGAAAGCAACTTAGGGAATGAAAAAGGGAGTGCTGGGATGGCATGCTCTTGCTTTTGGTGAGTTGGTATTAATATTTTCAATAGGGTAGCCAGAAAAGGTGTCTCCAATAATGATATATGTGCAGAGACCTGAAGGAAGTGAGAAAACAATATTCATGCCAATATCTGGTGGCAGAATGCTCCTTGCTGCAGGAAGTCCTTAGACCGTTTTCTCCTCTCTATATGCTGCCTAGGTGGTTTCATCCTATCACTTTTTATAACCCTAATGACTCCCAAACTTCTATCTCTATCCCAGATCTTTCCTATCTCTAGTCCAGTGTATCCAGCTGTTTGTGGAGCCCCTCCACTTGGGTGTCTAGTAGACATCTCAGATTTCAGATGTCTCTATCCAAACTCCTTATTCCCCACTCCCTAAACCTACTTTCTGTAGCCTCTCACTCCCTTTATAAAATGGCAACTCCATTATTTCAGCTTCTCAACTTAAAAATATTGGACTCATAATGATTCTTCTCTCTCAAACCTCACACCCAATCCATCAGCTAGAGCACGAGTTACTTATATTGGGAAAAACTAAAAAAGGAGTAAACCTAGGGCAGTGGGAGGAAGAAATTAAGGTAAAATACAAAGCAGAGCAGTAATAGAGCTACTTTCTGGGCAGTGTTTGATGGGATGAGGAAAATCTAAGCTGAAGGCATTTGAGCCTTGGAACTCAGGTTGCTGGGAAATCACATCCTAAGCCACATTCCCTTAAAAGAGCTAAAACTTTAAAGTGGTTTGCTATGTTTTGATATGTCTTAACATCAAGAGTGAGTTAGTTGGCAAAACTCAAGCTGTCAACCCATGGGTTAGAAAGAGACTTTAGGTACCCGTGAGAATGTTTTACATAAAGTTTACCTAAAGTATTTTCCATTTCCTGCTTCTGGAAACATTGTGGGACCTGAATGGAGAAGCCAGAAGTGCAAAGTCATAATAATAATTTTAAAAAACAGTGAGCATTTGAACCAGTCTTAGAAAAATGAATGTTCTTTGTTGGCATATCTACAATAAAGCAAAACACTTAGCTGAAACATCAGGGAAAGGAAATGATAAATGTCATGGGGTAAAAGATGGTTAAATACTTAAGTATCTTGATTATATTAATTTGAACCATGAAAAGGAAGTAAGTACTCACTGTCCTTCTGTTTTGATTTGGTATACATTTCCCAGCATTCAAATTCTCAGCACAGAAGGTTCTTGCTGTTTTGCTGCACCAAGTTCTTGGAAATCACATACAGATCCCCCTAAAGGAGATTGGAACAGTGCAATATTTGGGGACTGCATTCTCCACCCAAGGATTTAGCATCAAATGAAAAACAGGTATAACCAAGAGCATAACACAAAAGAGCTTCAGTGGCTCTGGTAAAATTTTATTTTTTTAGCTATTTATTATAGAAGGATAAGTTTCACCCTAGTGACTCCTTCATGGACAGAAGCGGAATCCTTTATAACTTCTAAAAAGATCATTCCTCAGACTGGATTTCTCTCAGTGTCAGATTTTAGGCTACAGTGTTCAAGTCACAAATATGATTGCCCTGAATGCAATCCTGAAAGAGGTGAATTTCCAAATAGGTCCTTTTGCCAATGGATATCAAGTCTGAATTTCCCGTAAAGGAGATTGTTAGAGACTAAAATAATTTCCCTCTTTAAATGAAATGAGCTTGGACATTGGAATCTGAAAGCCCTGAGGTGGAATTTTTGCTATGCCCTTCACAGGCTTTCCAATCTTGGAGAAATTATTTAATCTCTCTTTGTGTGTTTCCTCTTCTGTACAGAAAAGATAATACCTACCTCGTGGATTTAATATGGAGGTTCAACAGATAACATGTTTAATGTCTGGCAGTTAGTAAGCATGATAACATTATATGTCAATTATATACCTTTTATTTCCTATTTAACCAACACAATTTTTTTGTTTCTTCTGTTTTTATAAATAATTCTATTTTAGTGTGGTACCTCAAATTAGGACAGAAGTCTCCAAACACCGATAAATTCTTATTCTCAAAAGTAAACTTCATTATTCACAATAACCAAGATGTAAAAATAACCAAAATGTCCATTGACAGATGAATAGAAAAAGAAAATGTAGTATATACACACAATGGAATACTACTCAGCCTTTAAAAAACAGGAAATTCTGCAATATGTGACAACATGGATGAATGAGGACGTTCTGATAAGTGAAATAAGCCAGTCACAGAAAGATATGTGATTCCATATGTGAAGTATCTAAAGTAGTCAAATTAATAAAATCAAAGAGAACACTGGTGGTTGCCAGGGGCTGGGGGGAGGGGAAATGGCGAGCTGTTAATACTAATCAATGGGCATAAAGTTTCTGTTTGCAACATGAGTAAGCTTTAAAGATCTGCTGTACAACATTGTACCTATAGTTACCCAAACTGTATGGTATGCTTAAAATTTTAAGCGGGTAGATCTTATATTGTGCTCTTACCAAAATAACATGTTTAAAAATCATAAAGTCATTATCATAGCTATCAAATTTGATTGTCATCTCTATTGCTAATATTAGTAGCTGTCATCTATTGAGTGCTAATTCCTGCCCAGTACCATGATTAGTGTTTGCCACTCTTACATGCTTCCCCAGCAATCCTGTGAAGCAAGATACTGTTCTTTTCCCCATTCTCAAGATGAGAAAACAGAAGGATTAAGTAAGTTTCTTGTGGTCACCCAGCTTACAAGTGACAGAGCCGGGATACAGACTCAGGCACCCTGACTTCAGTGCCATGCTCCCAACCACTATGATTCTGAAGTATTATTTTTATATTCTAGTACTATATTAATATGATTGTCTGCCCTTGAGAGGAGTCATTTATTGCCTTAATAACCAATGACAGATCTCCTCCAAAAAAGTAGAGATTGGACATGGAAAATGTAACCTAGGAGGATGTTTCTATTTCTTATGTTTGTTTCTTTTTTCTTTTGCCTTTTCCTATAATAAAACCAGATATTTGAGTGGAGATTCTATGTCATTTGCAGAAAAGTGAGTGGGTGGAAATAATCCATAATGTTTAACTTTTTTAATTATTTAAGATTATATATCACTGAAGAAAATCTCATTTGATCCCTGCAAACCCTTTCCCATTCCCCTTATTTAATTCTGTGAGTCAAAGAAAAGAAAGGTCCAGAATAGTTATTATATCAGCTTAGTTCTTATTATTAATACCATGCTTTCACTCCCTTGGATATTTTCTGTATTTAATCCGTTTACATGCTTTTTGCGTGTTGCCATAGTAAAGCTCATTCCGTGATGTGAGAGACCCTAGTGCTGAAGAAGGTTTTCTTAGCGTTAAACCTCGCATTTTCATTTCCGCATTTTATCTTGGTGTTACCAGGGCAACCCAAATAATTTCATTTTCTCTTCGAAGTTGATGCCCTTAGCCTGTTATACCCTCATGCTGACTCATTCATGTTCTTGCCATTTTTTTTCTAGTGTAATTCTGGTAACTACTTTCTTTACAACATATGTTTTCTGCTTTTCTTTCTATAATCATAGCAGCTAATGCATTGTTGGAGTAGTGGTTAAATATTTGGAGGGATTACAAATCCCACTGAAGATTGGAAAAGAGCTGTGGACTTTCTCTTCAGAAAAATGTCAATTTAAAAAATAATGAATGAAAATATTGAATATATAGAAGTTTATTCAAGTATCTCTTTACAAATCTATTTGGTTCTTAGCTTTTGAATAGCAAGTTGCAAGAGTTTATACAGCAAGGAATTTATCAAAAAAACTATCTGAATCTATTCCATCTTTAAATTTAGATTGTGAAAGTAAAGGTACCTGTTTATTTCTGTTTTCATATCTTCATCCCAGGGCAGTCCCATGCTTGGTTTTATACCCTGTTTGTCTCTGGCATGTCTCTTGGCAAACCACCTGCAGGAGTTAAAAAGCTAGTTGGTATGCATCTTTTCCAGTGCTGGCCTGGCTTATGCAAGCCCCTTGGGTTTGAATCAGTATAAAGAGCTGAAGAGCAAAGAAAGGGGATAATACATTTTTTGGTTTCCTTGTTTATAGATCTGTTACTCACATATGCTCTTTTTTTTCTTTCTTTTTATTTTTTTGAGATGGGGTCTGGCTCTGTCACCCAGGCTGGAGTGCAGTGGCTATTCATGGGTACCATCATAGCTCACTGCATCCTTAAACTCCTGGTCTCAAATGATTCTCCCACCTCAGCCACCCCAGTAGTCACATATTCTACTATAGCTTTTTATTTATCTTCTATCCCCAGTGCTTGGCACTTAGTAGTTAGGTAAAATGTGTTGAAAAAGGTTAGGGAGGGAAGAAGGTTAGAGAGGAGGAAAGGAGAAAAGGAAAGAGGAAGGGCATACTCAAGGAAGGGAAGAAAAAGAGAAAAGTGAAAAACAGATCAAAGGAGACTATCCTCTGAGCAAAGACAATCTCTGTGCATAGCTCAGAAGTCAGTTCCTAAGGAGGAATTCTAGGTGGATTTCGAGTGAGGGGCCCTCATGGCAGGCTGACACACATTTGGATAAATGCAGGAGAGTAAAGACATGGTTGACCCACATGTTGCTGCGTGTGTTCAGTCTCAGGAGATTGTTGAGCAGCCCATGACCGGTGATGACCATCCCACTGAGATTCTAACGGCCTTCAGTGCCTGTCATGAGAATTTTGTGAACTTGGTACAAACATAGGCTATTGAGCCAGATTTTAACATGGAATTAATGTGGAGGCATTAATGATGTTTACGCTGAATTAATGTGGAGGCATTGTGTGGAGGATGACCAAGTATAGGTCAGAGTCAGTTTGCATGTTCTAGAAGGCAGTTTTCTCCATTTAACAGCCACATGCAAGGTGAAGCTGTGAAGCTTTACATGAATCTGCAGAAAGCATGGGTAGATTTTCACACATACCGTACAAAACAACTTTTGGTGAATGAGTCTTGTGACTTTTTGCCAGTTCCATCTAAGAGCATGTCATGTGTTGCCCTCCTTGTCTCAGATCATCTGGACTGGCTCAGGCTACCCCTATCCTTATGTCTCTACAGATAGAAAATGACAGGGCCCAACCTTATTCAAAATAAACAGAAACAAAACATTTATGAGTAATGGATAGCAAAATGAAACATTTTAAGAGGGGAAAAACAAACAACAAAAAAAGCCATTACGTTGCAGACCCTTCACTCTGTCTGAAATGTTCTCCTGGCCTTGGCCTCCAATTTTACCTAGCTAACTGTTACTACTTATACTATACTTCATACTTCCATGCAAGCATCACTTCCTAAACCCCCAGTAGTTCAGGTCCTAACATATACTGTCAGAGTGACCTACACTTCTACTTCATCATGCTTGTCACAATTGTGATTAAATGGTTGTGTGTCATTGTTTACTGTCTGTCTTTCCACCATAATGCATGATTCATGAAGACGGGGATTATGTCTCTCTTACTCATCACTTTATTCACATTAACGAGCTCAATACCTTGCAGATAGAGCTATTCTAATACTTATAGAAAGAATAAATAAAGTTCCAGGCATCGTGGTAAGTGCTAGGAATATAAAGCTTTCAAAGACACCGCATCTGTCCTTTGGAAACGTTGTACTCCAGTAGCTATCTCCATTGATAATCTATTCAGCCTCTAGAAACAGAAAGACCAAGGATACATTAAGATCCTAGAACTTTCTCCACCCCCATTCCCCTACATCCCATGTCTTTCTCACGATAATCCCAAGACTGGCCGTGCTTGTGTCCAAGGATGTGGAATAGAAATGAACCAACTTATCTTTCCACCAATTTCCATTTCTTCGTTGACTGGATATTTATTTATTTATTTATTTATTTATTTTTATAGAAACAATTTTAATTTATATCTGTGTTACCTAATGTTTTAGGTTTCTAAAACATTAGGCTGTGTTAAGTTTTTAAGATGGGTCATTGGAAAAGAAGATCAAACATTACAAGAACAAGTAAAAACAAACATCCCCACAGTTGTTTCATAAACCCTGTCCTTTCCCTTGGCCCTAAGCCTACTTTCCACTGCCCAAAACATCATCTACTTCATTCCTAAGTCCTTCTTCAGAACTTCCAAAGATCTCTCTTCTTTGAAGTGTTGGACTTTTAAAAGTGTTTTTTCTTCTTTCTTCCATACTTTTTTCTACTTGTCTAAAGTTTTAATTGAATTCCTATGACCTTTCTATGCTATTTTTTATTTTTTAGCATTTGTGATTAATATATTTAAACCTCCCAATTTAACAACTTTTGAGCCAGTTTTGCTCTTTTCAAGCACCCGCAATCCGCCTTTTTAATCCTCCTGATGAAGTTGCTGAGAAAAATCAGTTCTGAAATCAGCTTTAGATGTCACCTTGCAAGTTGATACATTACTAGACTTCCATAGGTTTTCAACCGTTTAAAAAAATATATCTGCAAGGTCTAGATATCTTTGAGATGGTTTTCTCAGGAAGACCTCATCTGGCTCCAAGCCAGCTTTCTTACTAATAATAGCAACTCCAAGTGATTTCAAAATACTGTACCGTTTGTCAATGAAGATGGCACTGTTTTTGGTCTTGTTCCAAGTTAGCTGATGAGCTTTATATTTCTTCCTCTACTTTTTTTTCTGACATAGGATGCAAATTAATAAATCCAAGATATTACACTTAGACCATTCTTGTAACTTTCTTTTTAATTGCTCATCTATTTACCCAATAAATATATATTGAGCACCTACTATATGCCAAATACTGTGAAGTGTTGGGAAAACAGTGGTGAACAAAACAAATTATTTCTGCCTTCATGGACCTTATAGCCTAGGGAAGACCAATGTAAATCCAAGAGCACAAATGAATGGAAAGTACTCTCTGACAGAGGTCATCAGGGGGTATCCTCAATGAGAGCCTGAAACTCTGGATGTGACGGAGTCAGAGAGATTGGGGACAGCTTCCCTGAGCAAGTGGTGCTAGAACCTGGGTCTGCGGTATGCATAGGAGTTAACAAAGCAAGGTGGGTGGGTATTGAAAGAACGTTCCAGTTGTAGGATTAGTACCAAAAGGCCCCTGCCACTATTATTTATGTCTTCTTTGTGATGACTTTTCAGGATCTACATAGACTGTTGGCCTTTGCTATCATGCAATGTATGTTACCTAGTTTCACTATTTCTTTTTGAGGGAGGATAGGTTTTTTATCTTTTTAAATTAAAGAACATATCTATCTTCAGAAACAATGTATTTTAATTAAATGATTCATATTTTCCGAGAATATTTTTCGTATAGATGTTCGGCACAATGTAGATTTGAGAGACCAGTAACATTTGGCTATTTCCACCTAGAGCCTTCCTATAAAGAAACTTTTCATGCCCTTTCTCAGCTTCTAGAATGTGTGACTCTATGAGCATCAAATGTGTTTGCATTAGATATTTAGCTCTGCTGTGAATAAAGAAAACTTAGAAGAGGGAACTCATAAAATGTCTAACTTGGAAAAGATGGCCATTAAATCAGTATGTTAAATATAGAGCCAAACCCAGCAATTATTTCTCCTTTAGATACAAAGCCTTGCATTAAATATTCATTAGCTGGACAGACAAAACCTAACATTCTGATTTTTAGGTACATTCTTATCAGTTTTAATGCTCCTGAAGGGCCATTTTTCCTGGAGGCTGGAGGACCTGAAATTTTTCCTTCCATCACAAACTTTACTGAGCTCATCCAACAGGAAAGACCAATCAACAGCTGGCATGAGATGGAGGGCAGCCTTCTTGAAAAGCTCCAAAGATAATTAGTCAACCGTTAGTGTTTTTCTGCAATTATCAAACTTTCATGGTCCCTGATTCTAGATGGTACATTTTAAAGGTAGATTCCTGTAAAGATTAGCTTAACTGAAAAGGAAGATAAAAATGATCATACTCTAAACCCATTAGTCTTTCAGTCTCTCACTTTAAACATCAGTCTCTTGGTTTCTGTGCAGTGTTACTTTGTTTCCTAGTTTTTTATGTTTAACCTAGCTGGAAATTTTAAATTTTACCCCTATTTAACAAAAACAAAAACAAGTGAAAAAGTGTTTGACAAAAAGTTGCTTTAGCTTCCTTGTCACACTTTTTGGTTGACAGTTTGTATAAGTACCAGTCTACCATCTATTTTTATGGAAAGGTATTTGAAAAACAAGCTACATTTCTTGTCAGAACAGAAAAGACAACTTTCTCCCTATGAAATCATTAAGAGTTCAACTCAAAAAAACAAAAAAACAAAAACAAAAACAAAAAACCTTTTTTTGAGTATTCTAGGCCCCAGAGCAAGGAATATAAAATAAAAGGTGACCCCTTGCCTTTTCAGAAAACTGTAAATTCCAGAAGTTACAAAATAAACAAGAAACTTTAGTTTTAATGCTCTTGAGGGCAGGAGTCTTCTTGCCTTCCGCACCCTCCTCTCCTTGCTGCCCTTCATCAGAAAGAAAGCAGCATTCCCCGCACATGGCTTTGCCAGCTCCTGTCATGCCTGGGTTTTCTGGGCTGCGCTGTGTGTTCATGGTGTGCCTGCTGCTTAGAACCCTGTGCCCTCTTTGTTCAAGGGGTAAAACTGGATTGGAGGTAAACCTCAGTCTCTTTCTGTACATTGAAGGAAGAGATCAATGATCTTCAAACCAATCATTACAGATTTCCCCAGTTGAATTTGACTTAGCTTTTGGATGTTGAGACTGATAAGGTGATTGAAAACCTGGCCTTAACCACAGCCAATGATATTGAGAGTTCAAGGAGAAACACACAGCCTTTTCAAGGGTTTAGAATCCGATTGGGATTGGGAGGAGGTGTGTATCCACGCTACCTCATGGAAGAGTGTTTCTAGTTTAAAGGAGACAGAAAAGAAAAAAAAGAAACTGGAGTGAAGAGGTGACTAAGAAGGCCAGTAAGATGCAGAGAGCTGAGCCATTTCTGAGAGAGACTATAGGTATACTCAGAATAATAGATATATGGAAAGAAATGACTGACATTTGAGGATAATCGTTTATGAACAGTTTTTGAAGGACTATTAGATCTCAGCTTAGCCTCATTTCAGTAAGGATTTCTGAATTTAAATGTACTTGAATTGTGCGGAATAGGCATTAAATAATTATTAGTATCATATACATATAGCTGAAACTATTTGACAAAAATCCCAAAGAAATTAAAGCTTTCTTTTAAGATCTCAGTGAGATTTAGAAAAGCAATATTCCAAACCATTATTTTGTTAATAATACTTTAATGTTTAGATTTGTTTTCTATCACCTGTTTCTTAATAGGTTCATGTTCTGACAAGGTAGTCACAACATTTGGCCATTTTCTTGGGTACAAGCTAAGACCTCAGAAGACATTACTGATCAACACATCCTGTTTAGCAGTAGTGACAGAACATTGTGCATTAAAAATTCAATGATATTTAACTTTGAAATTATAAATTATTCCTGACTTCTTTCCTCATCTCAAACATTCTCTTCAGTAGTGGATGTTCTTTGAATAATCATTATTTACAACAAGGAGCTATTTGGTAATAGTCTCTCTCTTATTTATTGCAATGTCAGGGTCTATCTAAGGGGATAATAACGTAATGAAAGAGTTGGTCCTTACTACAAAATGCTCGATTGGGTGTGTCTTTATCTGTGTGGGTGATAAGCATGGATAAGTCGATTTTAGTGTAACCAATTTGTATTGAGGGCTGCTTCTAAGACACTGTGCTACTTTCTTGAAGATACAGAGATGAGATATAAATTCTATCCTTGGTAAAATAAAAATACTGTAACAACGTCTTTAAATGCACCATTGGCACAGGAAACAATAATCAACCCCATTTACAAAGGAGTTTCAATTCATATTTTTATAAGAATTTCTTCAATGAATATTCTCCCGTGAGTGTATATGTGGGTGAGGGATTCTCTCAGCACCTAGCACAGAGCCTGACATACAATTCCCTCTCATAATTTATAGTAAGCACATGAGTGAATGAAAGTGAATTATGCTTGTGAGAGGGAAAAAGCAGCTACTGATCATAGATTTTTAGTGAATTCAAAGGCCTGTGGCTACAATAATATAGGTAACTGTGGAAACTGTCATGTAAAGCAAAAGCCTTGAAATGTACAGCCTGAAGCACACACAATTAAAAGGATTTTTCTTTAAATATGTGAAGAGCATAATCAGAAACGAATAATATCGTCATTGTTTGAGAGAACTAAAATTGCTAGGTAGAAGTACTTTTGCCACACCCACCAACACCCTTAGAAAAATAGGTTAAGCTCAACTTGAAGACTTTCCAAATAATGTAATTGGTCCATTAATTGAACATACAATATCATGGAGATATCCAAGGAAAAGATGGAAGTATTCATTGGGTTGCAAGTTCCGCTTACCTCTTAAGATTCCTTTGAGTCAAAAGTTCTATCATTTTATGATGCTATGAGGACAGTATAGCTTAAGAATCATTTAAATGTGTTAATGTTCGTTTATTTTTTCTTTTATATTGTCAAATAAGAAACATGAAAAGAGAAATTTGAGTACAGGAAAAGTTCTATTTAAACTCTTTGTTTCTTAGCACAGTTTAACTTCTTTCAGTTACAGTCAGCATCATGTGGTATTAGCAAAGAGCTCTAGATGGAAAGAAAAAGATTTGGTTAAAAGTTATAGTTCACCATTAGCTGTGTTCCTTGGGCAAGTCACCTAATCTCTCTTGGCTCAGGATTTTCACCCATAAAGTAAGGGGTCTGGACTGGATGATCTCTTTGACCTTTTTCAGGTCCTAAAATTTTATAACCCATTTATGCTTTTCTCATTTAATTAAATACATTTCTACAGAACCATATAATTATGTTCTGCTTCAGTGGATTTTTCCAGAAATATTTTGTCATGAATGCCAAAACTGTACAATAAAACACAATCTACAGTCATGCTCTCCCAAGGGAGAAAGGTATAATTTTTATGTAATTGGGAAATTTTGCCTTTTTGCTCCTGCTTTTTATTTCCATCTTTTCACTGCCAAAAGAAAAGCAATTTGTTTTACAACTGATGTTTTCAGCATATTCTGATGACTTTTTGATTTGTGGAGACTTTGGGTACAACTGAAAAGAACTCATAAATTTAAAATCATGGCATTTCTGTTCGTTACCTCTTTTGCCCTTGTTCACACTGGCTTTAGCTATGCTAATGTCCTGGCCCTGTGTGTGGGATCTTCCTACCATGACAGTGTCAGACATATACTTTGCTTTTAGCTTCAGTAATAAAAATTGCAAAAGCAATTATATCCCACTTTCTTAACTAAAATTACTATGTATTCACCCATTTATTCATCAAACATTAGTTGAGTATCTAATACATGCCAGGCATTATTTTCTAGGTACTTGTAACACATCGATGAACACAATAGAACTGAAAAATTAAGTTCTGCCATCATGAAACTTGCATTCTTGTGGAAGTAGAGATGCAATACATCAAGAAACACAAGGCCGGGCATGGTGGCCCCTGCCTCTAATCCCAGTACTTTGGGAGGCCAAGGCCGGTGGATCACCTGAGGTCAGGAGTTCAAGACCAGCCTGACCATCATGGAGAAACCCCGTCTCTACTAAAAATACAAAATTAGCTGGGCATGGTGGTGCATACCTGTAATCCCAGCTACTCGGGAGACTGAGGCAGGAGAATCGCATGAACCTGGGAGGCAGATATTGCAGTGAGCCAAGATCGCGCCATTGCACTCCAGCCTGGGCAACAAGGGAGAAATTCTGTCTAAAAAAAAAAAAAAACGAAAGGAAGAAACACAATAAATGAGGGTTTTTTGACAGACTGCACGTGATTTTATGAGACAGGAGTCAAGGATGACTCCAAGATTTGTGGCCTAAGCAACTGGAAAGATAGACTTGCTATTTACTGAATAGGAAAGCTGTAAGTGGAGAAGGGTTTGCTGTGGGGATGGGGAATAGGGGACTGGGACAGGAGTAGGTTTTGGACAGGCCAAGTTTGATGTGTCTAGTGGATATCCAAGAGGAGATGTCGAGTACGTAGTGGGAACTCTGAGTCTGGATGGAGATATGAATTTGTGAAGCGTCAAGTATAGTTGGTATTGAAACATTGAGGCCAGATGCAATCACAAGGGGAGTGAATGCATTAGGGAAGACAAGAGGACCTAAGAGTAAGCATTGGGATGTTCCAAACAAGGGGGTCGGGGAGAAGAGGAGGAAACAACAAAGGAATAGCCAGGGAAGTAGAAGGAAAACCAAAAGGCTGTGGTGTCCTTTAAAAGCCAAGGGAGAAATGGTCAAATTACATGAAGTGCTGCTCATAAATAAGATGAGGAATGAAAGGCTAGGTGCAGTGGCTCATGCCTGTAATCCCAGCAGTTTGGGAGGCCAAGGTGGGTGGATCACTTGAGACTAGGAGTTTGAGACCAGCCTGGCCAACATGGTGAAACCCCTTCTCTACTTAAAATACAAAAATTAGCCGGGCGTGGTGGTACATACCTGTAGTCCCAGCTACCCAGGAGGCTGAGACATGAGAATCACTTGAACTCGGGAGGTGGAGATTACAGTGAGCCAAGATCACGCCACTGCACTCCAGCCAGGGTGACAGAGCCAGACCCTGTCTCCAAAAAAACAACAAAAGAAAAGATAAGGAATTAGAACTGACCATTGGATTTAACAACATAGATGAGCAATACACATGGGTTTCTTTTCTGTTGAATTCCTATTTCATGTGCTCAGGAACTATTAAATTGTTTTGTATTCGTTTTGATCAGGGCCATTCACTGGGTTACTGACAGGCTACCTACCATCATTTGAAATTGGTTCTTGTTTTCTTGAATGATATATGATTGTGCTAAAGGTGATACTATTTACCCACTGTCAGAAAAATGTGGAATAAAACAAATGTTAACTCTACCCACCTGATAGCCACAAAACAGTGTTAGCAATCGTGTTGGAATCACACTAGAATAAGTTTCATATTCTTTAGGTCATGGATTGATAAATAGAGCAGAATACATTCTGGGATATTAATTCTAGGCAAGAAACACAAAAATTATCCTGGGGAGGAGGATGGGAACATATTATTTTAGGAAGAGCCATATAAATAAAATAAACTCTATGTTTGTACCTAACTTTACCAATATTCTTTTTTTTTTTTTTGAGATGGAGTCTCGCTCTGTCACCCAGGCTGGATGGAATGCAGTGGCGCAATCTCAGCTCACTGCAAGCTCCACCTCCTGGGTTCACACCATTCTCCTGTCTCAGCCTCCCGAGTAGCTGGGACTACAGGTACTCACCACTACGCCCGGCTAATTTTTTGTATTTTTAGTAGAGACGGGGTTTCACCGTGTTAGCCAGGATGGTCTCGATCTCCTGACCTTGTGATCCGCCCACCTCGGCCTCCCAAAGTGCTGGGATTACAGGCGTGAGCCACCGTGCCCGGCCAACTTTACCAATATTCTTTACCAAAATATATATCTTTGAGAAGTAAAGTTATGTGGAATATGGATCTACTAAAATAGTTTTTTGTAATAGTTTTTTTTTTTTCTGGTCTGGAGATGGCCACAGGATATTTGAATTGGTAGTTGATAAGTGCCAGGTGTTTCATGCTTTCATGCTTTTTTTTTTTTTTTTTTTTTTCTGTTTTGAGATGGAGCCTCACTCTGTCTCCCAGGCTGGAGTGCAGTAGTATGATCCCAGCTCGCTGCAACCTCTGACTCCCGGGTTCAAGCAATTCTTCTGCCTCAGCCACATGAGTAGCTGTGATTATAGGTACACACCACCACATCTGGCTAAGTTTTGTATTTTTAGTAGAGATGGGATTTTACCATGTTGGCCAGGCTGGTCTTAAACCTCTGATCTCAAGTGATCCACCCACCTCGGCCTCCCAAAATGCTGGGATTACAGGCATGAGCCACTGCACCCAGCCTACAATAAGTATTTTAAATAAGGAAATGAATCTGAATGTCTGCAAAAGGTTACCGAAGCAGAGATGTAATAATTTTCATTTTTAAAATTAGGATACCAGAATCTCTTGATTTAATTAAAAATATTACACTTCCAAAGACATTACTAATAAGATAAATTAAAATCCTTTGTAGCAAGTTGAAAATCAAGGTTGGAGGAAATATAAAATAGAAAAATGTTTAACTAGAAATAAAATTATGCTGATTGATCTTTATCTCCCTATTTAAACCCAGTAGTTTATTCAGAAGTGGCTCCCTTAGCTTGAAATGATAACTCTTGAAATTGTCGCAAATCACTTAGAAATGACAGCAGCAATGAAAGAGCAATTGATCAAGTGTGGCTGTCACTTTTTCAGAGGAACTGAAAGTTGTGAAAGAGAAGTACAAAAAAAGTTTTCATTGAGCAAGCAAAAGGTCTATCTACCTTCTCTTTAGATTTGTAGTTTTTTATTCAAGTCTTCCCTTACTCACCTTTTTGCATCAAAAACATTAAGGATTAATGCTGTGTTAGATATTGGTTTGGGGCCTTGTAATATGTTAATTCAATAAAATCTGGTACATCTGTGTATTAGTCTGTCCTCACGCTGCTAATAAAGACATGCCTGAGACTGGGTCATTTATAAAGAAAAAGGTTTAATGGACTCACAGTTCCACATGGCCTCACAATCATGGTGGAAGGTGAAGGAGGGGCAAAGGCACATCTTACATGGTGGCAGGCAAGAGAGTGTGTGCAGGAGAACTGCCCTTTATAAAACCACCAGATCTCATGAGACATTCACTTTCATGAGAACAGCATGGGAAAAACCTGCCCCCATGATTTAATTACCTCCCACCAGGTCCCTCCGATGACACAGGGGGATTATGGGAGCTACAGTTCACATGAGATTTGTGTGGGGACACAGCCAAACCATATCAATCTGTATATATATTTATATGTAGGATACATGTACATATGTAGACATGTAGACATACATGCACATACGCATTTACTCAAAAAAATTTAAATGCGGCTGGGCACGCCTGTAATCCCAGCACTTTGGGAGGCCGAGGTGAGCAGATCACGAGGTCAGGAGATCGAGACCATCCTGGCTAACACGGTGAAACCTCATTTCTACTAAAAATACAAAAAATTAGCCAGGCGTGGTGGCAGGCGCCTGCAGTCCCAGCTGCTCAGGAGGCTGAGGCAGGAAAATGGCGTGAACCCGGGAGGCGGAGCTTGCAGTGAGCCGAGATCGCGCCATTGCACTCCAGCCTGGGCGACAGAGCGAGACTCTGTCTCAAAAAAAAGAATTTAAATGCAATAATAGTTGTGTTGTAGCACTAAACTTTGCCATCTTGACCAGCTGATTCCCTATCAAGTCTTATATTCTATCTTATCTAGACTGTGCCAATATTAAGAAGCAGTAGATAATACTTATATTTCTTAGATGCCTTAGTTTGACTTTATTTCCCATATTAAAAGCATGAGGTCTGTGAAGCAACTCAGACAAGGACCCAGAGAACCTCACCTGTTGTGAGTATTCAGGTCTTTGTTTTTTCAAAGGAAGACTTAGATAAAGGAACAGTGACCCTCTACCTCGGTTCTCAAAGTATGGTTCATGGAAGCCTGGCAACCTAGACCTTTTTAAGGGACCCCATGAAGTCAAAACTGTTTTGTAATGCTAAGATGTTTTTTGCCTATTTCACTGATGGTGCAAAAACCATGGTTAGTAAGGCACCTTCACATTACTCAAGATAGAGGCACTAGACTGTGCTGAAGGGATTGTGTTCTTCACTGGTACACACTTGAAATTAAAAAACCAGGTTCACTTGCTGTTCTTATTGAGGCAGTAAAAATTACTGTTTTAATAACTTTCAACCTTTGACTGCATGTTTTATTAATACACTATGTGATGAAATGGGAAGAATACACAAAGCACTTCTGCTGCATTCCAAAGTACAATGGTTGTCTGAAGAGAAAGCTCTTGTGTAATGGAGTTGAAAGTAGAATGAGCTACTTTATCACATCATACTACTTTTACTTGAATAAAACAACTGATTATTGAGACTTGAGTATGTGGCATATATATCCTCAAAATGAATGAAGTGATCCTGACACTTCAGGGAGAACAACTAAAGTATTTGTTGACAGCAATAAAATTCAAACTTTCAAGTGATAATTAGAATTTTGGAAAACTTGTGATCACCACCATGAGCTTGACAGCTTCCCAAGACTTAAACATTTTTCTGATGATAGCAGTGGTGATATTAATGAATGTGATTTTTAAATATTATTACTAAAATGTGTCTTAATATTTTATTAGGATGAAATGTGTCAACATTTGGAAGGTCTGGATAACTCAGTGATCCAATGTTTTCCAAATTACCAATGCATGATGTTACAAAATCATGCGTTACAAAATCATGCATATGTTACAAAATCATGCATGTGTAAAAAGATCCATTCAAAGTACAAGATAGACTAATTTTTTTTTTTTTTTAAGATGGAGTCTCGCTCTCCACCAGGCTGGAGTGCAGTGGTGCGATCTCGGCTCACTGCAACCTTCGCCTCCCAAGTTGAAGCGATTCTCCTGCCTCAGCCTCCCAAGTAGCTGGGATTACAAGTGCATGCCACCACGCCCAGCTAATTTTTGTATTTTTAGTAGAGTTGGGGTTTCACCATGTTGGCCAGGATGGTCTTGATCTCCTGACCTCATGATCCACCAACCTTGGCCTCTCAAAGTGCTGGGATTACAGGTGAGCCACTGAGCCTGGCCACTAATTAATTTTAATATAATGAAGTTTAAAAAGTTGTTTGATAGAGTTTCCAGTTTCCATATCACAACTAAGTTAGTCAAGGTTTAGTATAGTATCAAAAATAAATATCTACAATGATATAAAAAGGATACTCGTCCCTTTTCCAACCACATGTCTTTGTGAGGCCATGTTTGGTCCATACATTTCAGACAAAACAACATATCATATCACAATAGATTGAAATTTCAGGCAAAACAACATATTATATCATAATAGATTGCAGAAGCAGATATATCTTCTATTCAGCTGGCTTTTATATTAAGCCAGGCATTAAAGGGATTTGCAAAAATTTAGAACAATTTCATTGTTCTACTAATTTTGTTTTGGAAAATATGGTTATTTTTCATAATGATGTATCTTGATGGATGAGTTTACTTTTTAATAAATTATATATATATTACATTTATTGGTTTTTCACTTCTAGTATGGTAAATATGTATAGATGTAACCCATGTAAATACTTCAGGGTTCTCCTCATTGTTTTAGAGCATGAGGGGTTCCTGAGACCAAAAAGTTAGAGAGCCACTGCTCTATATTGGTGCATTTTATTTCTGAAATTGTTGCTCACTTTTATAAATAAGTCCAATTTCCTCTACGATGTAAAGAAACCTATGGAGGAGACAACAACCAAATCTATCAAGGAACAATAGACTATAACACAGGTTGTTTGCTAATTATCCCTGCCGCTGCAGCTGATTAGGATCACCCCAAATCTGAGTTGGATGAGCATTGCTTCACGAATAAGCATCAGAATTTATTCAACAGACAGTTGTTACGAGCTTCTTGTTTTTCAGGCAGTATGGCAAGTAATGGGGATGCAAAATAGAGTAAGACAGTACCTTCTGAAGTGGAACTTGGAAGTCAAGATGAATTTGTGCCATCTGTTATTGCCACTGAGACAACTGTGACTATCAAACATTTGGGGCAGTGGGACTGTAATAATTTACTGAGAAAAAAAGAGGCCATAAAGTGTCAGGAAAATCAAAGTTTGGACTAGTCTGAAATTTTAATCACACTAGAAATATACAAAGTAATGTATTGAGCTTTTGTGCAGTTTGCCTGCAATACATGTTTTAAGGAGACACATAGGCAGAACATGTAGATTCTACCCTGAAGAAACTTGTAGCCTAGTGGGTGGTAACAGAAAAAAGTTAAGAAAAGTTGTGTTTCAGTAAAATGAGGAAATTGTATTCTGCATAGATGTCAAGTAGGTAGGTCAGAGAGGAGAACATCGCCAGGCCGTTGAAATTTTCAACACTGTGTTAACAGATTCAAAAAGAAGACAAATTATTGTATAAGAAAGTCACAATGCAGCAAGACGGAATAGATAACATTGTAATTGTTGCCAAAGCTGTAATCAAAGAAGAGGCTTTGCTTTTATGTGGGATGTTTATTGTCTATCTAGTTCTTTTTTTTTTTTTTTTTTTTTTTTTGAGACGGAGTCTCACTCTGTCGCCCAGCAGGCCGGACTGCGGACTGCAGTGGCGCAATCTCGGCTCACTGCAAGCTCCGCTTCCCGGGTTCACGCCATTCTCCTGCCTCAGCCTCCCGAGTAGCTGGGACTACAGGCGCCCGCCACCGCGCCCGGCTAATTTTTTGTATTTTTAGTAGAGACGGGGTTTCACGTTAGCCAGGATGGTCTTGATCTCCTGACCTCATGATCCACCCGCCTCGGCCTCCCAAAGTGCTGGGATTACAGGCGTGAGCCACCGCGCCCGGCCATTGTCTATCTAGTTCTTAATTCAGTATTAGGGAAGGAAGGTGAAATGTTTTTGGCCCTCCTTGGCCACCCTTATTCCTTGCCATAAGATAAAGAAAGGATATTTCTTCTCACAGTAGGAGGATGATTGCCATAAGATACAGAAAGAATATTTCTCCTCACAGTAGCAGGATGATTAACCTCAAGTCCTGGGTCACACTAAAGGCAGTAAGAATGAGTAAGAAAGGAGGAGGCACATCAAGAAAAGAATGTACCTCTTTTTCCCTTTTCCCAGAGCCGTGGGTGCACCCTATTCATTTATCTTCTGTCATTTGGTTAAAGATAGGAGTTTCCAGACTGAACTGTTGTCTCAGCGGAGAAAATTAGGATAAGTTTGGGGTTCACAGTGAAATGTGAGAAGTACAGGAAACAGAGAAAAAAATCAAGATACAAGCATAGAGACAAAAAGGAAACAAGGAAGAAAAATTGAGGCCTCCTCAATCCACCACCATCAATAAGACCTTTCTTCTTAAAAGACAAGGACCACGTGGAAACACTGTTTTCCTTTCCCATGGAACAAGCAAAATGCTTTATAAATAGGGCTCAGTAAAGAATTAGCACAAAAGAATGCTAAAATTACACTTAAAAATGGTTTAAAGCAAAAAAAAAAAAAAAGCTTAAAGCAATAACCCAAGATGGTAAGATAAACAGCAAAAACATTTCAAAGGATGAGCTCTAGTCTTTCTGGCATCTTCATGTTCTGTTTAAGAGAAATGAGGGTCCAGGAAATAACTGGGACTTGGAAAGTGTCTGGCCATGTTCTTTCTGTCCCACCTGGAGCACAAAGGGAACCTTGTCATTGGACAAGAAAAGGCAAGTACTTGCCTTTTCCATGTGGGTCTCCTTATTTCCTCAACTGGTGATTTTATTCAGTGGCTCATCAAAACATTGATGTGTCTTGACAGCTCTTGAACTAATTCAGACCTCTGCTGTGAGGAGTTGGAGCCACATTTGGTAACAATGCAGTATGTTGTACTGGAAGATAAATTGATTTACAAGTAATCTCTCCTTTCTCAGAAACATGATTCCCGTGACAGAATTCCGGCAGTTCTCTGAGCAGCAGCCTGCCTTCCGAGTGCTGAAGCCATGGTGGGATGTGTTTACCGATTACCTCTCAGTAGCCATGCTCATGATCGGCGTGTTTGGATGTACTTTACAGGTAGGTGCCTAGATCCCTGGCAAAATGGGGGCCAGAGCAAAGCACAAGTCATTGAAACCTCTTTAGGGAGCTGGCTGTGTGATTTTTAACCATGTAAGTATTAGTCACTGTTCTCTGTGGATGTATTTGTAATCATAGCAGAGAACCTGAAACACCTATTTACTGGGATTTCCTAATACGGTAAATATGGTACTTGAAAGATTTCAATGAGCCCAAAGAGCAATTGACTGTAGTCAAGTAATGTCTGATGTCACTAACATCAAAGGGGGCCCCTTATCTTTCCAAATTGGCTTCACAGTGAAATGTAACATATGTCCAGCACCATTGATACTGCCAAAGTGGAACTTTTTGCTTTTATTCATCCTTTACCCTTACCCCTAATAAGATTTTCTGGAAGAACTAAAATTTTGATGAGA
This sequence comes from Homo sapiens, assembly GCF_000001405.40. Taxonomy (NCBI): domain Eukaryota; kingdom Metazoa; phylum Chordata; class Mammalia; order Primates; family Hominidae; genus Homo; species Homo sapiens. The sequence goes on from NC_000001.11 coordinate 89,687,028, forward strand.
TATCATTATTTTACTGAATGTTTAGTTCTGAATTTGAAAAGAACCCAATAAAAATTTATGTAGATGCCATGTATTTATGTATTGAATCCAGGTATTTTTTACATAGCTGCTATGTTCCAGGTACCATACTTTGAGGACATGGATACATATAAGTAGTTCATTTCTAGGGGAGAAATAAATAAACTAGCAATCAAAATAACTTGTGTTATACTTTGATAGAGGTGTCCATAAGGCACTAAGGGAATGCTGAAGAGAAACCCTCATTTTGGTTTGGGAATAAGAGAAAAGGTGATGGTTGAATTAAAACTTGGAGAACCAGCTAAAGTTAGTCAAGAACCTCTCCTTAGCTGAAAGTAAGAGGACACCAAGAGGAGAAAAGAAAGCTCTGAGTCATGGATGTGAGAAAGAACATGACATCTTTGGGAAACTGTCAGTAGAACTGGCACATATAGGGTGTTGATATAAGAGCTGAAGCCATGCTTGCAAATGGACTCATCCAGGGAGAATGTGATGAGGAAGATAGTGTCAGTAATAACATTAAAGAGTAAATGGAGAAGGAAGTGGGGCCCTTGAAGAAGACTGAGAAGGGGCAGCCATAAGGACAGATGAAAACCAGGAGAGAGGCATAGGTCAGAAGCCAAAGGAAGCCATGGACAATGATGGCAGCCAACACAACTAACTCATGGACTAAGAAGAGGAAAGTAGCAACTACGTCATTAGAAATCTTAGGTCAGTGGTTGGAAAACTGAATGGAAATCAACGTATTATAGAAGCTATGGGGTAGATGTGATTTTTCGGGTAGATCAGCTGGAAAAGAAGGTATAGGGAGAAAGAGAAATCACTAGAAGTGGTACAGAGCGAAAATAAAGTACTTTTAAAAGTTGGCCTTAAAAATAGTGAACACATACTGCTTCCTATGTGTCAGGAACTCTTTTGAACACTTTACATGTATTTTAACAAATGTCATCCTCATGACAACTCTTATATATAGGTTCTATTACTAGCCTCACTTACAAATGAGACACCTGAGGCACAGAGAGGTTAACGATCCTCCCAAGGTGAGTATTGAAGCCTTTATTCAATCCAGGTGATTTGGTTCCAAAGTTCCTGCTCTTAGTCCCTCACACCATGCTGTCTTTTATTTGGTCACTGAAAATATCTTTCCCCCTCCCCTCCAACAAAGGGTGCCAGTGAGAAGTTATTGTCTAAAAAAAGGGGCATAAATTCATTCATAAATGAAATAGTTGTTGAAGAACCTACTGCGTATCAGGCACTGTTCTACTAAGAATTATCAACGAAGGAGAAAAAAGACAAAAATCCCAGCTTTATGGACTTTAAATTCTATGGGAAAAATAAGCAAAATAAGCAAAATCAATTAGTAAATATGTTAGAAGATAAAGGCAATGGGAAAAAATAAAGCATGCCAAGATGGTAGAAGGTTCCTGCAGGTAAGATAGAAGCTGCAATCTTCAAATAGGATGGCCTGGGAAGGCCTCATTGGAAAGGTGACTTTTGGCCAAGGAATTAAAAGACGTCCAGGAGCAGGCCAGGCAGATGTCCTGGAAGGAGGCTTCCAGGCAGAGGGAACAGCAAGAGCAAGAGGCACATAGTGAAAGGAAGGCACAGGTCCCTTCCTTTTCTGCAGAAGAATTGGATTTTATGACTTTCTCAGTTTTCTAGTTTGGTTTCCCCGGAGACCTGATAAAGGTCAAATGTTAACTGTGTTACTAGGCAACATTATGGCATAAATGACTGCTGATTGGTCAACTGTTTCTGGGCTGGAAGAGTGATAAATGCCTGGTAGGAAGCTGTATCATTGGACTTCTGTGACTGTAGTGAAACTTGTGATTCAGCATGCTCCTTGACACATCAAAGATTGATCTATTGAGTTACTAGAGATATTGGTTCCTTTGAGGCACAAGGCTTTTAAGCCAGGGTAAGTTCTGAACCTACCTAAAGTAGATCACTTTCCTTGCACTGGAGATGATTTGGGGAGGAGAGGCTCAGGAGGACAGCAGTGTGGACGGCTACATGGACAGTTGTGAAGATTTTCCTAAAGGGGAAAGGCTGATGTTGCCTTGCTGGTGACTCTAATCTGTGTATTTCTGAAGTGATTCTGGTGCCAAATGAAGTTTATGATAATCTTATAAGTCTGCATGTTAAGGTGAACCTAGAAAGTCCCCTGGACATGTTACAGGCCTGAAGCAGAATTACCTCTGTAATGTTGAAGAAAAGCCATGAGGCCAGTGTGCCAGAAAAACGTGAGTGAGGGGAAGAACAGTAAAAGGTGAGGCCCGAGACACAGTGGGTGCCAGATCACGTAGGGCCTTCTAGGCCACTGGAGGGCTTGGCTTTGTTCTGAGTGAGTTAGAACATGTTTGAAGGATTTATGACCAGAAGATTAGCATAATTTATGTTTTAACAAGACCACTACAGCTGTTGAGAATATACTGTAGGGGGTGAGGATGGAAGTGAGGGTGGTATTTGGAAGGCTAGTGCAATAATCCAGGCAAGAAATGAATTAAATGGTTTGAGTAGGGTGAAAGCAGTTGTTCTGCATGTATTTTGAAGGAAAACCCACCAAGATTTGCTGAAAGATTAAATGTGAAATACAAGAGAAAAAGAGAAATCGGCCGGGCATGGTGGCTCACACCTGTAATCCCAACACTTTGGGAGACCGAGGTGGGTGGCTCACCTGGGGTCAGGAGTTCGAGACTAGCCTGGCCAACATGGTGAAACCCCATCTCTACTAACAATACAAAAATTAGCCGGGCATGTTGGCATGCACCTGTAATCCCAGCTACTCGGGAGGCTGGGGCAGGAGAATCGCCTGAACCCGGGAGGCAAAGGTTGCAGTGAGCCAAGATCGCACCATTGCACTGCAGCCTGGGTGACAAAGCAAGACTCCGTCTCAAAAAAAAAAAGAGAGAAATCAAGGATGACTAAGATTTTTAGACCTCAGCAACTAGAAAAGTTTGTTTGTAAACATGTTAGGTTTGTGATATATGTTAAACATCAACGTGGAGATATTAAGTAATCAGTTGGATGTAAAACCCAGGAGTTTGGGGTTAGTGATGGTCATTTTCAGGAGGAACGAGGTGAAGATCCAGGATCTAGGTGGAAGGATTATCCCTGATTTGGGTGGAGGAGGCATCATCCACCAGAATGGGAATGATAGCTACAGATACATTTTTATTTGGTAGGGAGACAGAAAGACAGGCGTCTGTGCCTTATGGCTTGTTGTTTCTCTGTGATGGAGAAAACAACATTTACTGAGAGGTTGTGAGGGTGAGGAATGCAGTAGGAATTGGCAATAAGGAAGGTAGTAGAGCAGGGGTCTCAAGGAGAAGGTTAGATTTGGGGTGGCTAGCTTGGGAAATAGTAGAGGAAGGTGACATAGATTAGCGGGAGCACTATCAACCTGTCTTTATTACTGTGCCATGGCTCAGAGCGCTGCTGCAGGATCTGCCTAACAAGCACACGGAATTGTTTCTCTTGTTTACACATTCCATGGCAGGATGAAAAGAGAAAGAACACAGAAAATCTTTTAGAATAAATAGTTAACTTGCAATGAAATGAATGAAAATAAGAGTGTACCTATGAAAATGTCTATAATGAGCATCATTTAGGAGATGTGCCTGCGGTAAGTTCAGGAGGGAATTCAAGCACAAGCTAAACCTCTTTTCCTGTGTGCTGGTCAGAATCATCTTCCTGCAGCACAGCCCCACAGTGTCTCTCTACAGTCCAGAAGGCTTTTGGGCTCCCCGCTGACCAGCCTTCTCAGCACCACCACTCTTACCTCGCACAATCAGTGGCTCCTGCTCAGACAGGTTAACTAACCTGGGCCCTTCACACATAGGCCTTTTTCATCTCTTCAGCCGTTAAAAAGAAATCTGATGCCAGTTGACTGGGTACAAGAAGTGTTGTCTGAGATGACAAGGTTCTGAGAAAAAGTGAGATGCCAAAAGAAATATTGCTTCAGAATATGAAGGCTGCAGGGCACAGAATTCATACGGGGTGGACTACTCAATTCAACAAACAATCCTGTGCATCAGCAATATATCAGACACTCTGTGGGGTGTTAGATGCTAAAAGAAAAACAGCACAGCCCATGCCTTCAGATTGCTAATTGTCTGAAGACCATAGAAACACATAAGCAATGTTTTCCAATATGTAAATGCCTTAATGGTGCCTCAAGAGCATCAAATATGATGTTGTCATCTCAGTCACTGGAAGTGAGGGACTCAAGAAGATAATTGAGTGAAGTCTCAAAGAATGAATATACAAAACCAAAATATATATTTTAATAAGACGCATGAAGGGGAAAACTCAGCATTAACAGAATATTTAGTGTGATCATTTTACAAAGCCCTCATGGATTGGCACAGTGACCGGAGGGCCCAGATGGCATTTTTCGGAGAGGGTGGGGTCAGGGATATTAAACATCCTGCAATCGGTGGGACATTCCCACACAGCAGAATTGTTTTATCCAGAATGCTAATAGCACATCCATGGAGTAACACTGGCAAGAGAACCTGTGCTAGAATCTGTATGTACTTTATTTAGTTCCCAGAACAAACCTGTGAAAGTAGATTAGTCCCATTTTTCAGATGAGAATTCCAAAGTGTAGAAGGTTAGATAACTTGCCCCAAAGCCAAGAGGGATGCAGCTGAGATTCCAATCTTAGGCTGATTCTCCATGAGGCGTCTGTCACCCCTGTGCACACTGCTATCAAATATTATGGAACCATCACAATTGCACAGATTGTGAGGGCAAGGTTTGGCTTATAAAACAGGATTTTCAGTGTAAAAGCAAGTACAAAATGATAAAAAGAGAAAATCGTTACAAAAAGTATCAATTTTATGAATTATAAATTAAAATTTTAAGGGGCATTCACTATATACCTGCTATTTAAAAAGAAAAATTTGCACTCTATAGTGAGCATTAACAAAACAAGAAAGAATGCATGGTACAAATTATCAAAGTAAAACTACCTAGGATCCATATAACAAATTAATGTTCCATAGGGGAAGAATTTAAGCTCTTATTTTAGCTCTGCTATGATAATCCACTAAAAATGGCTTAATGACTGATAACTTTATAAACAAAGGATTCTCTGTGAAGCTCAAGTTCCTTTCTCATTCCCAAGGCGATGTTAAAATTGTTAAAATATATTTTTATGTCTTGATTTTCCACTTGTAAATTGAAAGTGTATCATTCTTTCTGATCTTATTTACAAAGCAAGTTAACTCCTATATTGGAATACATGACAAGGCAAAATCTAAGGTGAAGTTAGAAGAACACTCTTTGATGATAAAATAGTAATCCAACAGCTTTTAGAGTAACTATTTTGTAAGTTGCTTTTTTCATGTCAAGTTAACAGTTGATATCTGTTTACTCCTAAAAGATTGTATTCATATAGGTTCAACACTACTCAGCTTGGAAAATACTGGGGGATTAAGGAGATTATTTTCTATCAAGGGGATGTTGATTCTTTCTTGCACTTATGTAAAAGGATTAGAACCAGCACTTTTGCCTTACTTGTCTGACAAATATTTATTCATTTCTGAGCAAGTAGCTCTTTTCAAGGCTGCCATGAAATAAGAGCATGTATAAAGAGCATTCCTTAGATTACATCAATCCACATAAGAACAAATATAAACTCACTATAAGCCAGGAGAGTGTAGGAGTATATGTGTCTGTCCTATTCCTGTACAGTCATACACCCTCAAGGACCAATAGTGTAAACACCCAACTTTGTGCTATAAACAACACTATTCAAAAACTCAACACATTCAACAAAATAGACCATATCCTGAAAGGTCAACACGTTGCTTCCTGGAAAAATAAGATTGCTTTAGATCTCTGCTCAGTGACTCCAGGTTATCTTATTATGACCAAATCCAAAACAGCCCATGGGCAGACCGTTACCAAATATAGAATTAGCAGTTAGAAACCAGAAACAGGAACTGGAAGATGCAAGCCCCCTGGAAGCCCTAGGGGACCTGCCTTGTGATTGTGACATAGAAAAGACATTTCCTGCTTTCTGAATTTGGAGGGGAAAAAAGAATTATTTCAATGACAAAGCCACCTACAAAAAAATCCTGGAAGATTTAACCCAATCACTAGGAGCGAAGTGGCCAGCAGGGTCACACTATCAAAAAGGTTAGGACATGTGAGTTTTTTGGTTAGAGCTGATCCCCGCTTTGATTTTTAGGGCATACTGAAATTAATTTCTACTTCTCTGATTTAGAGCCATCAATGTCAGCTCCATGACAAATGACCTTCAGGTGAAAATGCTCATAGGCAGTTCACTGGAAAGTACAGGCAATCAGAATTATAGATTCCAGAATGATATCAGAAGACTTCATTTTGACAATGTGCCCTGAATTCTTGCTTCTACTCCCCCCATGCAGTCATCTGCTGTATACTGTCTGGGATTTCTAGTAGATCTTTTTCTTTGGCCAAATTTGAATTTTATAGATAGAAGCCCAGAAATTCTTACTTAGAATCAGTAATACTGATTACATCAGAATACTGATGAAATCACAGATAGAAGTGAAGGCTTAAAATCAAGACCTCATCTCAGATATGTTCCTTTTCTTTTATCTTTTCTTCCTTTTTTTTTTTTTTTTTTTTTTTTTTTTTGAGACAGAGTCTCACTCTGTCACCCAGGCTGGAGTGCAGAGGCGCGGTCTCGGCTCACTGCAACCTCTGCCTCCCAGTTCAAGCAATTCTCATACCTCAGCCACCTGAGTAGCTGGGTTTACAAGCATGCACCACCACACCCAGCTAATTTTTGTATTTTTAGTGGAGACAGAGTTTAACCATTTTGGCCAGGTTGGTCTTGAACTCCTGGCCTAGAGTGATCCACCCACCTCAGCCTTCCAAAGTGCTGGGATTACAGGTGTGAGCTACTGCACCGGCCCAGTTGTATAAAGTTTCCATGTACCCACCTTACATCTCCGTTCTACTAGGGTCTTTGGGGAATATAAAACAAAAATTATTTAGATAGTGAAAATAATTGTAAAGAGCAACCTTTGTCATCTCTGTGGGGATGGTAGTGAATGGTGTGAAAGAAACACTATTTCAAAACCTCTGTTACATCTAGTATCAAAAATATGCCTTAGTTGGGACCTTCTTTTTATGGTGGTTTATTTGAACTGACACTTTTGATCTTCCCTAGAATTTTACTTCTTGTCATCTATCACCTTGACAATTTTATGTGGACTGAATTCCAATTTTATGTGGACTGTATACAGGGTGGTTATAGGAATACAGGAATAAATTATATTCCAGGGAGAAAAAAGTGATATGGTGTATTACAGAAGATAAGACTTGTGGGGCATGGTAACATTCTACAGATGTCCACTTGGGGGTTTCTAGCAAACAAGGACTTTCAGCTCTGCTTCATTTTGTTTCGTTTGTTTTGTTATTTTGGAGACGAGTTCTCACTCTGTTGCGCAGGCTGCTTTGAAACTCCTGGGCTCTAGTGATCTTCCTGCCTCAGCTTCCTGAGTAGCTGGGATTACAGGTGCGTGACACCATGCCCAGCTTCTTTTTTTTTTTTTTTTTTTTTTGAGATGGAGTCTCACTCTGTCACCCAGGCTGGAATGTGTGCATTGGCATGATCTCACTGCAACTCCACTTCCCGGGTTCAAGTGGTTCTCCTGCCTCAGCTTCCCTAGTAGTTGAGATTACATCCATGCACCACCACACCCAGCTAATTTTTGTATTTTTAGTAGAGACGGGCTTTCACCATGTTGGCCAGAATGGTCTCAAACTTCTGACCTCAAGTGATCCACCCGCCTCAGCCTCCCAAAGTGCTGGGAGCCCAGCCCATGCCCAGCTTTTTTGTTATAATAGCACTTCCTGTTTCTAATAAAAGTATAAAGACTTTTTTTTTTTTTTTTTGATACAGAGTCTCACTGTCGCCCAGGCTGGAGTGCAGTGGCTCAATCTTGGCTCACTGCAACCTCCACCTCCTGGGTTCAAGCAATTCACCTGCCTCAGCCTCCCGAGTAACTGGGACTACAGACGTGAGCCACCATGCCCAGCTAATTTTTGTATTTTTAGTAGAGATGGGGTTTCACCATGTTGGCCAGGCTGGTCTCAAACTCCTGACCTCAGGTGATCTGCCCCCCTCGGGCTCCCAAAGTGCTGGGATTACAGGCATGAACCACCGCGCCCGGCCCTATATAAAGGCTTTTGAACATACATAGTGACATTTTTCATCATGTAATGACAAGTTCAAAATGTTAAGTTTCCTAAGAAGTGTTTGAACTACTGGCAGTAATAGGGTCAGCTATCTTAAAATAGAATTGGCATCTCCCTACTCAAGTTATTTTAGTTCTTAAAAGCTGGTGAGATTCTTTGCACTGATATCCAAAGCTGGGGCTATGTGACCTTAAGTTCAATATGTTAACTTACTGTTTAGGATGTTGATGTTAAATGTTATAGGTGATAGATATTGGACTCAGAAAATGCTTAATGCAAGCTGAGACAGTGTTGTAGTGATATTCACTTGTAGAACACTTGTATGCATGATTATATCAGTTAGTAGTCACTTAATTTTATATTTTTAGAATTCTGCAAAAATCTTTTGTCTAATAAATAGGCCATCAACTATCTCATCATTTTACCTTGTAAGAAACCTTATATGCTCACTGGAAATAGAAAACCTGGATTTAAAAAAAATAATAATTTCAGCTAGATCAAGTTAATTTAAAGAGAAAAAACAAAATCTTTCCCCAAAACTTCAAACAGAAAGCATGGGCTCTCTCATATGCTCTTAGTATGAGTTTAGGTGAAACACATGGCTTTTCTGAGGCCCAGTTTTATAAAATGAGCAGGATAGGCATCACTTCCATTTTACAGTTTTATTGTGAAAAAAATGGTGATAAAATAGAAATGTATTGTTTTTAGTCTCTTTAGAAACTGTAGACCTCAAAATGTCTTCTCTGGGCAATTACTCTGATCCTCCCCAATTGAAAAACAAAACAAAAAACTGCCTTCTCTTCATTTGGGGCATCTTCATATAGTCATAAGTGTGATTAGTTGAGTCTTGACAAACAGAGATTGAGAGAGGTCTTGAATCCAGGACCAAATGCCCTAATTCTGATAGCTACCTACATCTGTCTCCCAGAAGACTTTGCAGGAGCTATACAGACATAGTGGACAAGATCAGGCAGAAGAACATTTAATTAAAGCTAAGGTTCTGGCCCTAAACCACATTATCAGTTTCCTGGTGAGCTAGGCCACACTTCAGATAAGTCTCAAGCACTTTCTTTGCCTAAGCTCTGAAAAATCTACGTACCTGCAAAAAAAGTGGGGGTGTGGTAGGGAGTTCTGAAAAAAACTCCTTAGCTTCTTTTTCTACACCTTAATCTCTGCTGTGCTCAGGTCAAAGAAAGGTAATCTGAGTAAAGAACAGACAGAGGGGAGAGGGGAAGGGGAAGGGGAAGAGAGAAGAGGGAGGAAGAGAGAGGGGAGAGAGATATTGATTTATTATTGATTCTTCCTAAAGGTCATCTGAACAATCCTCTTCAGGCCCTCCTAGGCTACCATCAACTTCCCAGAGAGAGGCAGCTTCAAACCTGTTGTGTCACATCAGTTTTAAGGAAAAAGGGAGACTTCCAAATGATGACTCCCTTTAGAAGCTCTAAAGAGAGAGTCAAAACAGACTGGTCCCAAGGAGAAACAACCCCTTGTGACACCAGAGTTCAGTCCTTTTCCTTAAAGGTCACCATCTCTATCAAGCCCTCTTTCACCTAGAAAGAAGTAAGGAGGAGCAAAGAAGAGTCTTTTCTCCCCAGAGATCAGCCATTATCTGGATGATTCAGAAAAATGGAAAAGTGCGTAGATGAAATTCTCCCTCTATAGGTAAAAGACCTGTTTGTCTGAAATGTGTGGAACCTGTCTTATCCAAATTAATATTTATGGAATCCAAATAATCTTAACTTCTAAAAATTATAATAATGATTGAAAAAAAAATCACTTGCCATCCAGCACACATAAATGACTAACAAGTGCCATGACTCTTGCTTTAACTGCAAGCCTTCTATGATGCCATAACAAATTATGGATATTATCTTTTAAGGATGACACTATCTATTCCTTCATGTAGATTGGACCACAACCTGGCAGTTGATATCATCTCACTTGGGGAGATATTTTTATTTGCTAAAAATAAATAGCAAATTATTTTCCAATTATTATAGTAAATTTCTAAAATAATCATTTAAAAATATCCTTTTAGAACAGTTTTATTTGCATGCTTCCCATATTTAGAATTCTGTATCTTTGTCCTGTTCATACATCGAAGATAATCTGGATGATTTATGTTTCTCTTTGAACTCTCCCAATTTCTTTTATTCTACTCCTGCTCACAGATTTATCAGTAAACTGCAGGGTTTCTAGAGCTAAGTCAGCTGAGTACAGAACTGAGGTTTCAGTCCCTGGGCATTGCTTCAAAAAGAGTTTTTCCTGTATTATTTTAAGAGCATAATTACAGATAAATATTTCAAATTCTTCAAACAACCGAAACAAATAGTCTGTTATAAATCAAAACATGTTCTGTGTTATGTATCCATTGAATTTTCTCACATGGTTGTTACTTTGAAATGGATGCTTTCCACATAGATCTTAAATTGCCATGGATCAAATAATTCACTGGTCTTTATGGCTTATGGAAAAATGCCATGAAGCAGAATGAGAAGAAGCTGCTTCAAATCTCACCCACCCCCTTCATTTCTGAAAAATTTTTTTTGTAATTCCTTGTTTGGCCTAGAGAAGCTTTCTTCAAAAGAAGAGGGGAAAAAAAACAATGTGGATACAACCAAGATAGAGGTAATAAAAGCATCCTTGATGGCTGGAAACCTTCAGTTTAATGAAGGGTTAAAAAAATGAACATTAATAGTATGTATTGTCATTCCCACCCTCAGAAAAGTTAGTATGTCAATATTTACAGTGATAGGAGAATCGTATTTACTAAGCAAAATTTCAAAATGTAGACATGATTCTAATGTGGATATGATGGTTTCTTTTTTACCTAGGAATAAACAGACCATGTGTCCCAAATCTGGTACTCTCTTTGTGTCTCTTAAATGAGTTAGCACTTAACTCTGGCTTTAGGAATCACTAGACTGATATCACTTGGCAGTTAGGAGAGTGTGCAAAACGAATTGTTTCATGTCAGAAGAAGGTAGCTAGAGGTCAAATATTTCCAGATGTTCTCTGGCATCTGAATATATGAATGCATATGCTTGCCTTAGCTGTGGTTTGTTCCTCCTTAGGGATATGGGGGACAGTGTTTGTTTTATTTATTCACTTCATATTTATTGCGTACCTACTTTGTGCCAGGCAATGAAAACTAAGCATGGTGTCTATCTTTAAAGAGCTTACTGGTCCTTATACTGTTATTTGTTCTGTATAATGATTTAAGATATGCTGTAGCTTTTTTAGTGCTTAATCTTTCTATCAGTGACATTTAATGTTCCTCAGGCATTTCTCACGGTGCATAACTCAAGGAGTTTCACTTGATACTAGCCTTTAATTATGTATTAATAAAACCTGTATAAAAGTACCATTATACTTTACCACTGAGAAAATCCATAAGTTCAGAAATCTAAGTTTTAATGCACTTATCTCTTCAATCCCTTGGATTTTTTTCCCCAAGCACTCCATGCCTCAAATGTGCCAAGGTATGATTTTTTTTTCCCTTTCTTATTGCTGTTGGAGAAATAGGCAACTAATAAAAACAGACCTTTTACTCTGCTCTTGTAAATACCTTAGACTTTGGCAGTTTGCCTTAGACTGGTTTTTCTCTCACTTTACTATATGGGTGTAAACTTCCTCCCTGTACAGTGTGTTATTTCCTGGCCATGATATAAATGTTAAGCATCATCATCATTAAAAATAAGGGAGATTCAGACAAGTCCCGAAGGTGGAAAAAAAAAGAAATTAAAAAAGAGAGAGAGAGAGATGATCCAAACAATGGAATGCTATATAGTGCTAAAAATAAAAAATAAAAAATAAACGGTCAAGCTATGAAAAGACATGGAGGAACATTAAATGTACATTGCTAAGTGAAAGAAGCTAATCTTAAAAGGATACATGCTGTATGATTCCAACTGTATTATATTCTGGAAAAGGCAAAACTACAGACAGTAAAATATCAGTTGTTGCTTAGAAAGGACAAAGGAGGGGAGGGATAAGTAGGTATAGCTCAGAAGACTTTTAGGGCAGTGAAATGACTCTGTAGGATATTACAGTGGATACATGTTGTTATACATTTGTCCAAATCTTTATCCAACACCAAGAGTGAACCCCAAGGTAACTGTAGACTTTGGATGACAGTGATGTGTCAATGTAGGTTCATCGATTGTAACAAATGTACCACTGTGGTTGAGCTTGGTGATAATGGGGAGGGCTATACATGGATGGAGGTAGGGAGCATTTGGGAAATCTCTGTACCTTCCTTTCAATTTTGCTGTGAACCTAAAGCTGCTCTAAGAAAATTTAAAAAGTCTTTTTAAAAAGTAGAAGAAAAGAAGAGAGCATGTGCACAGCAAACAGGAAATGATGCCACATACTTGCAGTTTTGCTTTTCCATTTCTGTTGGAGACAAGGACGGTGTTCGTCCTGATGATAGTGATGCAGCATGTGTGGTTCTCATAGATGTCTATTTCTGTGCTCCTGTGGCGATTGCCCCCAAATATGCTTATAGTCAACATAATGCACAGCAAGAGTTGTGAATAAGACATTTGCTAAGAATGAAAGCATTTAAATATTCACTCCTTCAGAGCCATCTACTCTGCCTTTTCAGTTCCTTTTCATTCTCATTCTCACCAACATTTTTTGTACTTAAAATATTTTCAATAGTTCAGCCTTGAAACACAGTCTACATTTTCAGAGTTAATTCTATCACTGATGAGGGGAATCAATCTCATGCGTTTGGACAACGAGTGCTTTCTTTGTCCTCTAGCATCTTGTATCTTGGGGAAAGTGCTTAGTCAAGTTTGTACATTAACTGATAACTTAGTGACATGAAAATTAATTCCTTTCCCTTCTATTTCTATCCCTTTGCCCAGGAGAAATGGGTCTACCTCAGAAAAGAAGAGTGACACTCCATCTTTTCAGTCTTTCTCCCTCTCTCTCCCCAAATGCATCCTTTTGCTCCTGCCTCTGGAACCACAGGCTCTAACCTAGTAGCTTCAAGTCCCAAGTGAAGTTCCTTCTACTCCGCCAAGCCTACCCTGCTTACTCCAAGCCTGAGCTCTTACTGTAGATATTGCCATATTTGTGCTCTCGTTTGATTTTTCATGTGGCTGTTTATGTCCCTCTAGCAAGATTGCAAGTGCTTTTAGAACAGCAAATACTGGCTATGCCTCTTTGGTTTTCCTATGACGCTTAGCATGTATTACGTTGGCACAAAACTAATTGTGTTTTTTGCCATTACTTTCAACGGCAAAAACCACAATTACTTTTATGCCAACCTAATAGTAGATAGTAGGTATTCAATATGTTTCTGTTGGTAAAGGATAGCCTGCTCTTATCTCTGAACAATCCCTGGAGAATAGATCTTTGGGATGTGATTTTGCTATATCCTTCTTAGGTCAACAGGGAAAACTTGGTTTGTTCCGTCAGACTGGGGGCAAGTCTAGATGATCAACTTCAGGGTAGAAATCTTTGGTACTACCTATATTTGAATCAATGAGGTGGAGGGAGGATGAAGCATAAACTTAACTGCCTTATATTGGCCACTTGCCTTTTTGTGGCTCCACTCTACCTGTTTGGATCAAATCTGTCATAACCAAGTTAAAGTACTGTCTTTTTAAAGAATAAGACACAATCTAAAGACTACATCTGGATCACAAGTTAACATATTGGAATGGTACCACCTATTTTATCATACACTGCAAATTTTCTTACTTCCTCTTCCTATAACAATATAATCATAGCTGTGTTTTAAAGTCCAAGCTGGTAGCTCATGCCTGTAATCCCAGCATTTTGGGGGTCCAAGGCAGGAGGATCACTTGAGCCCAGGAGTTCAAGACTAGCCTAGGCAATACAGTGAGAACCCATCTCTATAAAAAATAAAAATAGAAAACAGGTTCAAGCTGGAGAAATAATTTGGGGATTATAGTTCATAGAAAAAGAACAATGGGGCCAGGCGCGGTGGCTCATGCCTGTAATCCCAGCACTTTGGGAGGCCGAGGCAGGCGGATCACGAGGTCAGGAGATTGAGACCATCCTGGCTAACACGGTGAAACCCTGTCTCTACTAAAACTACAAAAAATTAGCCGGGCGTGGTGGTGGGCACCTGTAGTCCCAGCTACTTGGGAGACTGAGGCAGGAGAATGGCGTGAACCTGGGAGGCGGAACTTGCAGTGAGCCAAGATCGCACCACTGCACTCCACTCCAGCCTGGGTGGCAGAGTGAGACTCCATCTCAAAAAAAAAAAAAGAAAGAAAGAAAAAGAACAATGGACTTTATTGTCGAGGATATAGGAAAGTAAGTATTTTCATATGCTGTTGGTGGAACATGTGTAAAGAAATTCGGCCTTTCTGGTGGGGAGGGAATTTGACATATAAGTTTACCTTGTGTGGCACTACCCAAGCAACACAATTTTTCATAATAATTTGTCTCGACTAATTTTTGTATTATGATACACACATCTGCGAAAGATGGTAAAACAGGTGTTACAATTCAAAACAGTCCTGTGTTCAATGTGTATAGTCATGATAGATATAAAAAGATAACAAAAATGCATACACAGACCCCAAAGCAAGATGAGCGTTTCTGTGGAGCACAAATGGAACGCTGAATGGGTCTGAATCAATTGCTGGGCTCTTATCCAAAACTAAGCAGTAGCAGCCAGGAGCTCAGCTCCTGCTAGTAAAGGGAACCATAAATGCACCAAGCAAGATAAGAGACTGGAGCCTGGTCACTGTTTCAAGCCAAAAGTCCTCACTCCCAAAAAGAAGCTGAAAAAATATAGCGATTAACTGGATGCTGGAGCCAGTACTTCAGAGGAAAGTGTGCATCTGAGGTGCCTGCCGACCAGAAACTGAGTCAGCCTGTCCACTGTCTTGCAGACTGACTCTGTGAGGCCTGACATCACAGTGGAACATCCAAATACCATGATAAGACCTATTGGTGGACTCTGGGGGGCTGGGGGCTGGGTGCAGAAAACCACAAAAGTACACTCAAGAGAAGCAGTGGAAAACATACACCTACTCAGGATGCGTCTACCACCCAGAACACATGAAAAAAACTATGTTAAGAAAGACTATTAACAAAATTAACAGTTGGAACACAGATTCATGCAAGATGAAATTAAGTTTTAACCAGATGACAATGAATTTAAAATAAATATACAGAGAGTGGTTAAAAAGATCAAGACATAACATTTAAAAAGTAGGGGCCGGGTACCGTGGTGAACACCTGTAATCCCTGCACTTTGGGAGGCCGAGGCAGGCGGATCACTTGAGCCCAGGAGTTCAAAACCAGCCTGGGCAACATGGCAAGACCCTATCTCTAAAAAAATAAAAATTAAAAAATAAAAAATAAATTTTTTTTTCATTAGCCAGGCATGGTGGCACACACCTGTAGTCCCAGCTACATGGCAGGCTGAGGTGGGAGGATCACTTGATCCCAGGATTTTTGAAGCTACTGTGAGCCATGATCATGCTACTGCACTCCAGCCTGGGCAACACAGCAAGACCCTGTCTCAATCAATCAATCAATAAAGTAGGTAGATATGACTTAAGAGCTGATATAACAAATTTAGAAATCTTGGAAATAAAGTCAATGAATTATAAAATATCAACAGATAGAATAACTGGACTGTACTCAGTAGCATAAAGAAGTAATGAATTAAACAAGAGTTCTCAGTTTACCCAGAGCCCAGCACAGAGAAAGACAGGAATCAAAACACACGCTCATGAAAGACAGACTGAGAGACACTGACATACATCTCAGAGGAGTTGTAGAAGAAAATGGAAGAAAGGATGGAGCAATATTTGAAGAAATATTTGCTTTAATTTCCCAAAATTAAAGAAAGTCAAGTCCTTAGCTCCAGATATGGAGTAGGATTAATCCACATACATTCAAAATTAAAGTGAACCTGCAGAAAATCCTGAGACTAAAGGTAAAATCTTAAAAGCTACCTTAAAGATAGATTGCGCACTAAATAACACAAACTGACAGCAAGCTTCTCATCAGAAAAAATATAAGCCAGGGAAAATGGAATAATATTTTTAAATGCTGAGAGGAAATTACTATCAAAACAGAATTGTATAACTTACCAAATAGTTACTGAAGAATGAAAGCAATATAGGAATTGTCAGTCTTACAGGATATATGAGTTTCCTATCCACAGACTTTTATTAAGAGTTATTAAGGTGTATACTTCAACCAAAAGGAAAATGAACCCAGGGAGAAGTTATAGGATCTAAGAAAACTAGTGACTCATAATTTAATAAATATATAAACAAACACAATCAAGTACAGATTGTAAAAAAAAAAAAAAAAGTTTCAAAAGAAAGCAAAAACAAACTCTGGGAACAACAAATTGGTATAGTTCAGTGGGTAGTTACAACATATTCTTGGAAGTGGTGTGGAGATACTAAAAATTTTAACTGTACATTTTAAGAAATTATAGATAACATCTAGAAGAACAGAAATACAGTCGCTATCTTCCTAACCAGCTGAGAAGGGGTTGGGTGGGAAATAGGAGATAGAGAAAAAATGAGCAGTGCAGCAGAAGGCAGGAAGGAGAAGGGAAAAGTATAAATGAAAATGAAAAATCTAGAAATAAGTCCAAATATCCAAATATGAGTGAGCAAAATAATGGATTAAGTTCACTTATAAAAAGAAAAGGGTGATTAGTTTGGATTTTTAAAAATTCAAAAGGCAGAAACCTAAAAAAATTATAAGAGTAAAAATAGAGATTAAAAGATAATATAACACAAATACCCAAAAAAGCTGGTAGCGTAATGTTAATATTAGATAGCATTTAGCCCTCCCATCTTCAAGAATACACTCTTTATCTAAACAAGGTATATATTTGAGTTTTCTAATATGCACAGGTTCTTGTAACCACCACTACAAACAGGATACAGAAGAATCTCAACACCCCAAAGAATTCCTGGTGCTGACCTTTGCAATGAACCCGCCAACCTCAGCCTTTAACCTCTGATCTGTTCTATGTCCTCATCTCTCTGTCCTATTTTTCAGAATGCCATGTAAAATCAGATAGTATGTAACCTTTTGAGACTAACACACTTTTTAGTAGCAAAACTCCCTACATGCATGTCATCATGGGAATGTCTTCAGTAAATTATAGCACATCCACAATATGTAATTCCATGGCACTTAGAATGAAGTAGATCTCCAGGTGCCAATCTATTAACATCTCCAAGACATACCATGAAAGAGAAAAACTCAAGGTGCAGGAACAATACATATAGTAAGATCTTATTTGTTTATGTATTATATACATGTAAATGCACAGATACAGATCTGGAATGGTATACACCAAACTTATCAGGGCTCATGAAGGAATGGCAATGGGGATAGGAAAAGGGAAAGGGAGGACTCTACCTTCTGTGTTAAAAATAAATGTTTTGCACATGAAAAAATGCTCACCATCACTGGCCATCAGAGAAATGCAAATCAAAACCACAATGAGATACCATCTCACACCAGTTAGAATGGCGATCATTAAAAAGTCAGGAAACAACAGGTACTGGAGAGGATGTGGAGAAACAGGAACACTTTTATGCTATTGGTGGGACTGTAAACTAGTTCAACCATTGTGGAAGTCAGTGTGGCGATTCCTCAGGGATCTAGAACTAGAAATACCATTTGACCCAACCATCCCATTACTGGGTATATACCCAAAGGACTATAAATCATGCTGCTATAAAGACACATGCACACGTATGTTTATTGTGGCACTATTCACAATAGCAAAGACTTGGAACCAACCCAAATGTCCAACAATGATAGACTGGATTAAGAAAATGTGGCACATATACACCATGGAATACTATGCAGCCATGAAAAATGATGAGTTCATGTCCTTTATAGGGACATGGATGAAATTGGAAATCATCATTCTCAGTAAACTATCACAAGAACAAAAAACCAAACACCGCATATTCTCACTCATAGGTGGGAATTGAACAGTGAGAACACATGGACACAGGAAGGGGAACATCACACTCTGGGGACTGTTGTGGGGTGGGGGGAGGGGGGAGGGATAGCATTGAGAGATATACCTAATACTAGATGACGAGTTAGTGGGTGCAGCGCACCAGCATGGCACATGTATACATATGTAACTAACCTGCACATTGTGCACATGTACCCTAAAACTTAAAGTATAATAATAATAATAAAGAAATTTAGGGATTAACCAAAAATAAAATAAAATAAAATAAAATAAATAAATAAATGTTTTGGCCGGGTGCAGTGGCTCATGCCTGTAATCCCAGCACTTTGGGAGACTGAGGTGGGTGGATCGTTTTGAGCACAGGAGTTCGAGACCAGCCTGGGCAACATGGTAAAACCCCATCTCTACAAAAAAATACAAAAATTAGCCAGGCATGGTGGTGCAGGCCCGTGGTCCCAGCCACTCAGGAGGCTGAGGCTGGAAAATTCTTTAACCCGGGAGGTGGAGGTTGCAGTGAGCCAAGATCACGCCACTGCACCCCAGCCTGGCAACAGAGCAAGACCCTGTCTCAAAAATAAATAAATAAATGGTTTTTTTAAAAGACAGATTTATGGTAGCAAAAAAATAAAATACATAGACAGACATAACTTAATAATGCACAAAATCTATGTGAGAAAACTGTAAAACACTCTTGAAAGGCACAAAATTAGATGCAAACAAGTGAAAACACACACCATAAGGAGGAAGAATCAACATCATGTCAGTTCTTAACTTATAAAGTGATCCCAATAAAAATACTACTAGGGTTGTTTTTCCTGTATCTACGTAATCTGATGATAAAGTTTATCGTGAAAGACAAGCACAAATTTGAGCACTTATCACACTAATTACTGATTTATATGTCTCATTCCTGTGCTTGACTTTGAAGGGCTTTTTGTTCTTGTTGGTATCCCAAATATAACAACTGACATATAGTAGATACTACTGCAGAATGACTTTTCCTGAGGCACACTCAGAATTCAGCATTTATGTTCTACATGTCTGGCATGTAATAGATAAGCTGCCTTCGTTTATATGTTCTTTGTTATTTCAGGCAGTTTCTCTGAAGCTAAGTGGTTTTATTTTGTTTTAACCTCAGCCCTTTGGTGTCTCATTCATGCAAATGTGGTACCTTTTCAACTAGTTATCACAGGTGGGTTCTGCTTTTTCACTTCCATACTTTTCTGGCAACTGCCTAAATAAGTGTCATCCTGATGTGTCTTAATGATTCTAACAAAGGACTAAGACTTAAATAACATACATCATACAAAAATGTAGCCATAAATATTATGACTTAAAATAGTGAAAATTTCTATTAAAAGGCCCGAATTTCACGTTGACCATTCAAGGTATTTCAGTATGCAATAGAGCATGCACATACTCCACTTACAGTGCATCTCTAAATCTGATTGTTACCATTTAAAACATTTGATTTCTCTTCCTAGATTCGAACAGCATTTTCAGGCAGGTTTGGATGGGTTGTTTCTTTTTTAAGGAAGCTTGAATTTTGGCCTATGCTTCCCTTGAAACCCTTCCCCTCCCCCATAGAAAGCAAAAGCAAGAAATTCAGCTTATTTCATTGACCTTAGAATTGAGGAAGGATCTTCAAGATCCTCTTTTATCTTTTCAAAAATAGCTGTTGTGTTTTCTCAACATGATGATTTGCAGATCAGAATTGAAGAATCCAAATTTTAGTGAATCCATTTAACCAATTATTGCAACCCTTGGGTTTCTTTTCCATAAGTACTGCATAGATATTATCACAGTTGTGGAACAAGTTTATGTGTACATTTTTTTCTCCAAGGACTTTAATTGGGAAGCCTTGAGGAGTATTTTATACTCCTGGATGTCAGTCGTTCCTAAAGATCCAGAGGATAGGCCAGGCGCTGTGGCTCATGCCTGTAATCCCAGCACTTTGGGAGGCCGAGGCGGGTGGATCACTTGAGGTCAGGAGTTCAAGACCAGCCTGGCCAATATAGTGAAACCGCATCTCTACTAAAAATACAAAAATTAGTCGGGTGTGGTGGCACACACCTGTAGTCCCAGCTACTTGGGAGGCTGAGGCAGAAGAATCACTTGAACCCGGGAGGCGGAGGTTGCAGTGAGCTGAGATTGCGCCACTGCACTCCAGCCTGGACAACAGAGCAAGACTCCATCTAAAAAAAACAAAAACAAAAAAACAGATCCAGAGGATATTGGGTCACACCCCAGTCTAATGCCCCCAGCAGGTTCCTGGAAGGATTAGGTTCCCATGGTCCCAGTTTCTGCTTCCATGGAAATCTTTAGATTACAGATTTTTACCTAGCCCAGGTAAACTCTGTACAGCTTTGATCCCAGCATGAAATTTGCTGTGATTTCTACAAAATGCATTCATAAAAGGTGTGGCTGGTGTGTGTGTGTGTGAGTGTGTGTGTGTGTGTGTGTGTGTAGCAGATTTTACTAAAGATTTGAGAAAGATTGAAAGGTATTTCTATCTCAAAATAGAAATAATGAGCATATACTCCAGCCACCTGCTGTATGGCTTGACCTAATTTTCTTCTTCCCTTCTAACCTGTCCGTGCTCTCCTGATTCACCTCCTCCTACTTCCAAGCCTGTTCACTCCAATGTAAAGTAGGCAGTTTAGCTGTCTCTTTGTACCTTGGCTTAATCTGACCCTTGCTCTCAGTGTCTCATTCTTCTGTGTCCCTCTCCTCCTCCTTCACTTAGACATTTTCCTTTCCATAAATGATTTCATTCTAAGAATTCTGAGAATTCTTATAGCAGCTTTTAGAATATTAACTTTTCTCACTTTTATGCATTTTGGATGAGGTTCTCTTGTTCATTTTGATTTTTTTCTTCACTTCTCCCCCCAGTTTCTTCCCCCTTTTTCTCTCCCTCTTCCTACATAAAGGCACCACGTAACTCCATTCTCAAGCCTTTTTCCTCCAAAGGCAGCTGAGAGTTGTCCTTGAAAGAAAATGGCGGAATTGCTCCATGTGATAATGTGTGTGGATGAGCTGCTGGTGATGCACTGAACCTCAAGGCTTTGTAGAAGGGGATGCGGTTGGGCACTTTCTCCCTGCCCCTACTCCAAGCACTCTGTCTTAGTCCTGTACCAACAGCCTGGAACCCTACAACTATTCTTTTGAGATTTGTTTTGCAGCCTTTCTTTAAGGCTTGTTTTGCACCCTGATCTTTACATTACTGGGTAAAGAAAAAGAAACGTGAAGTATAGGTCTGATTAGGCAGACTTCTCAAAAGGATAGGACAGATAAAACAAAAATTTCCTAATTCTCACAGGCTGCTGTTACAAAGATATGGCAAAAACACTGTTTAACCTTTTGAAGAAGAAGAAGAAGATGACGAAGAAGAAGACAAAGAAGAAGAAGCTGCCTGCCTTATTTTTTTTCTTATTTTTCTCTTTGAAAATACTGATCCTTTTCCCAGTTCTTCCCCACATTGCAGTGTTCAGAAATACAGTCTCTATTTAACATGGAGGGTAACTTCCTCTCTCTTATAGCTATTGCACTGTTTAAATCTTCATACTGTTTACTGTTGGACCTCCTAACCTGGCTATTTATTTTTGTAGTCCTGGATTTGACAGCCAGCCCTCACATTCTTTTGGAATTCTACTCAGAGATGCCTCTCTGCAGGAGTCTTCTTGTGATGTGTTCCCTCAGCAACATGAGATGCTACTGTTCTTAGTAACTAGATTCCAGTATTTTTTTTTCTACTCAGCGCTCGTTTCTGGGTGATTAACAGCTTTTGGAAAATAGATTACTGTCTTTATTCTCCTGAGATTTGAGTAGGCACACTTCAAAAAATATCTTCATGAAGGAATGAAAGGGAAATATGAAGTCAAAAGAGTGAACAGAACTTCTGGAGATTGCCTGTGGCATAAGCCTCCTACGCTGGGCTGTTCTCTACAAAGCCATCCTAGCGGAAGCTAGGTGAAATGAGAAGAATGTGGGGAGTGGTGGAAGAACACTAGGCTGGAAAGAAAAGACAGGTTTAAATTCCTGTTCTGCCATTTCCTAGCTGCGTGAACTTGTGCAGGTCACTGAAGTTTTCTGAACCTTGGTCAGTTTCTTCTTCTGTAGAACGGAGAGAATGTGACCTACTTCTCCAGCATGGCAGATTCCAGCTAATTAGACATTTTTGTGCAAAATATAAAAACGCAGTTGCACTGTGTGGACATAACCCCAAGTGCACACAGCTGAGTGAGAGGTACACAAGCTAGATTTCAGCCTACACTTGCCCTTCACCTGGGCACCCTGGTACAGTGCATAACCTAAAATCCTGTACAGCAGCCAAGTTCCTTAAGTCCACCGTCTTCTTTCATTAGGAGCAAGCCCGGGGGAGGGTTCAGGCAGGGGTACAGAAATGGGGCCCACTTGGTTGCTTTGCAGGGACTTAGCACCTTAAGAAGATGCCTCCCTTTTTACCTTCTATTTAATCTTGCTTTTACCTGATTCCTCTGTGTTTTTTTGTTTTGTTTTGTTTTTTGTGTGTGGTTTTTTTTTGTTTGTTTTTTTTTTGTTTGAGACGGAGTCTCGCTCTGTCGCCCAGGCTGGAGTGCAGTGGCGCGATCTCGGCTCACTGCAAGCTCCGCCTCCCGGGTTCACGCCATTTTCCTGCCTCAGCCTCCCCAGTAGTTGGGACTACAGGCGCCCGCCACCGCGCCCGGCTAATTTTTTGTGTTTTCAGTAGAGACGGGGTTTCACCGTGTTAGCCAAGGTGGTCTGGATCTCCTGACCTCGTGATCCACCCGCCTTGGCCTCCCAAAATGCTGGGATTACAGGCGTGAGTCACGGCACCCAGCCTGTATTTTCATCATATCATTAACAATATCGTATTAACAATAGTTCAAGGGTGTCAGTCTTGAAGAATGTGCTCAAGGAAGCACATTCCTTTTCCCTGCTGATCTCTGGCCCCCTCCCTCTGCCTACTTCCCAAGTTGTTGGAGCATTAAATGAGATCATGAACAGGAAAGCATCTGGAACATGATCCCAAGCCCTTCTCTTTTATGTTTCTTCAAGATAGTCTAGTATTTGTCTAGGCTTTCTCCTGGTGGTTTTGTTTGTTTTTTATTCCAGGGGTTTCCAAAGTATGGTGCTTGAATCCCGAGAAATATGATGAATGCTCCATTGAGATGTGAAATAAAAGTGAAAACTTTTCTTTATATTTATTTTAAACATGAAATAAGTTAGCTTTTTGATTATTTGACATATTGATTGATGTGGATATGCAGTACCTATAGGAAGACATAAATATAGTGGGTAGGCATACTCAACATTTTCCTCTAAGTAATAGAAATGTTTGAAGACCACTGCTGAATTCTC
Organism: Homo sapiens; assembly: GCF_000001405.40. Taxonomy (NCBI): domain Eukaryota; kingdom Metazoa; phylum Chordata; class Mammalia; order Primates; family Hominidae; genus Homo; species Homo sapiens. The sequence continues at coordinate 89,710,570 of NC_000001.11, forward strand.
ACATCTCAGTAGCCACCAAATCCTCTAAATGCAATCACATTTGTTGTTCTTACCTGCATTCTTTTGATTTAAATAGTAAATAGTTGCCCCCCTGCTTTATCTTCCCAAGACAGAACTTTATAAATCTTGTGGTGAAACCTCCTCTCTTCCCGCAGCCTCATTTCTTGTTATCTGCATAGGACATGGCAAGCAGTAAGCCTTTTCTGTAAAATGTGACTTGTTTGTGCAAAATAATTTGTTAAGATAAAGTCAAATTGGGATCCCTCTGGCTTAATCCTAGACATTCAGGAAAATACGAATATGGGCTCTGGGTCTAGGTGATTCTGAGCTAGATGACATTAGGCAAGTTATTTACCTGAGTCCATGCCTCAGTCTCCTCATCTATAAAATGGAAATAATAAGAGTACTTGATGTCATCCGATTAAGATGGCAATTAATAGAATTAATGCCCATGACTTTATGAAAAGACGGTCAGCTGCATATTAAGCATAACAGAAGTTTGCTGCTGTCATCACTATAATCACCATCTTCATCTTCATCCCTAGAAGAGGTGTCCTGCACACCCAGACTGATACAACCCTGAACTAGAAGGACTATTGGCAATTTTGGATTCACTCCCTTTCTCAGAAAATATACACTGGTGGTCTTCCATGTACCAGACACTTTACTAAGTGTTGGGTGCTTCACTCTGTCATCAGCCTCATGCTTCTATATGGTAGGCTGCTAGTTCCCTTGTCACCAGCTCGTGGTCACCTTACTATGCTATAGCAGACCACTTTACAACGGGTTCAGTTTCTATGCCTATAATCAAGGTAAAGGACTTTGATGTTGCAAAATCACTAACCACTGCTGGTGCAGAATCACTAAACATTGTGGATTTTCAGCCATTTGACATTTTAAGGTACAAATAGACTTTCCCTGCGTTATTAATTCCACATGTCATTGCTGAATACTCTTTGGTTATTCTTCCTTTGAAATGTCAACTTTTTGTTCATAGAGTTCTACTAACATAGGCCTCCTCCTGAAGATGATTCGTCTAGGTTTATTCAATGTGTATTCTGTCACATCCTACCTTATCTTCAAAAAGGGTGCATTCATTCTCTCTTTCCCAAATTGCAATTTTTTGAGTCTGCTGGACATTCTTACAGCTTAATATTCTTTTCAACAAACTGAAACGTTGGTGGAAGGATGGTGGTTCTCAATGTAATATTTTGTGTGTAACGCTAGCAAATCTAAACAATTATTTTACTGTTGAACACTTCTGTATTTTTTTATCTCTCTCTGAAGGAAGAGTTTTTATAAAAGCTTAGCAAAATTTCCATTAAATTCATTCATATTGATCTATACATACAGTCTAGAATATGTGTAGAAAAAGAAGGGGAAAACAAGACAGGAATTCCTTTCATAGTTCCTCCTTCTTATCTTTCTGCTTCTCATACACAGACTGATACAATCTTTGAGGACATCTAACTCAAGATTGAGTCTGAGAAGATGATATACTTCCCAGACTGATGACTGATTCTCCCAGAATCCAGTGAGAGAATTGATAATTTTTTTTTTGAGACAAAATTTTGTTCTTGTCGCCCATGTTGGAGTGCAATGGCACGATCTCGGCTCACTGCAACCTCCACCTCCTGGGTTCAAGCAATTCTCCTGCCTCAACCTCCCAAGTACCTGGAATTACAGGTGCCTACCACCATGCCCAGCTAATTTTCGTATTTTTAGTAGAGACAGGGTTTCGCCATGTTGGCCAGGCTGGTTTCAAACTCCTGACCTCAGGTGATCCACCCGGCTTGGCCTCCCAAAGTGCTTGGATTACAGTTGTGAGCCACTGCGCCTGGCTGCTAATTTTTTAAAAATACATGAATGTTCCCTAAATATTTATTTTCTTGTGAGTTGTTCTATGACCTGAAAAAACACTGTTTTATGTCATAACTTAGACATGATGAACAAAGTCAGATATTTCATTTTTCCAATATATGAGCTAAGAATAAAATCTTGATGCTGGAATTGAACGTTGTATTCTCCAGGCAGAGGAAATGGACATTTATTGGATGTTACTGCTGCTTTCTTTGCAGTAATGACATTATGAAAGCTCTTTGAGTAATATAATTTGAAAATATTATTTCCATGTTTCAGGTCATGCAAGACAAGATAATCTGCCTTCCGAAAAGAGTGCAGCCTGCTCAGAACCACTCTTCCCTTTCGAATGTCTCTCAAGCAGTTGCCAGTACCACTCCACTGCCTCCACCTAAACCATCTCCTGCTAACCCCATCACTGTGGAAATGAAAGGCCTGAAGACAGATTTGGACCTTCAGCAGTACAGCTTTATAAATCAGATGTGTTATGAGCGAGCCCTCCACTGGTATGCCAAGTATTTCCCTTACCTTGTCCTCATCCATACCCTGGTCTTTATGCTCTGCAGTAACTTTTGGTTCAAATTCCCTGGTTCCAGCTCCAAAATAGAACATTTCATCTCCATTCTGGGGAAGTGTTTTGACTCTCCTTGGACCACACGGGCTTTATCTGAAGTGTCTGGGGAGGACTCAGAAGAAAAGGACAACAGGAAGAACAACATGAACAGGTCCAACACCATCCAATCTGGTCCAGAAGACAGCCTGGTCAACTCTCAGTCTTTAAAGTCCATTCCTGAGAAGTTTGTAGTTGATAAATCCACTGCAGGGGCTCTGGATAAAAAGGAAGGTGAGCAGGCTAAGGCCTTATTTGAGAAGGTGAAGAAGTTCAGGCTGCATGTGGAAGAAGGTGATATTCTATATGCCATGTATGTTCGCCAGACTGTACTTAAAGTTATCAAATTCCTAATCATCATTGCATATAATAGTGCTCTGGTTTCCAAGGTCCAGTTTACAGTGGACTGTAATGTGGACATTCAGGACATGACTGGATATAAAAACTTTTCTTGCAATCATACCATGGCACACTTGTTCTCAAAACTGTCCTTTTGCTATCTGTGCTTTGTTAGTATCTATGGATTGACGTGCCTTTATACCTTATACTGGCTGTTCTACCGTTCTCTACGGGAATATTCCTTTGAGTATGTCCGTCAGGAGACTGGAATTGATGATATTCCAGATGTGAAAAATGACTTTGCTTTTATGCTTCATATGATAGATCAGTATGACCCTCTCTATTCCAAGAGATTTGCAGTGTTCCTGTCTGAAGTCAGTGAAAACAAATTAAAGCAGCTGAACTTAAATAACGAATGGACTCCTGATAAACTGAGGCAGAAGCTACAGACAAATGCCCATAATCGACTGGAATTGCCTCTTATCATGCTCTCTGGCCTTCCAGACACTGTTTTTGAAATCACAGAGTTGCAATCTCTAAAACTTGAAATCATTAAGAACGTAATGATACCAGCCACCATTGCACAGCTAGACAATCTTCAAGAGCTCTCTCTGCACCAGTGTTCTGTCAAAATCCACAGTGCGGCGCTCTCTTTCCTGAAGGAAAACCTCAAGGTCTTGAGCGTCAAGTTTGATGACATGAGGGAACTCCCCCCCTGGATGTATGGGCTCCGAAATCTGGAAGAGCTGTACCTAGTTGGCTCTCTAAGTCATGATATTTCCAGAAATGTCACCCTTGAGTCTCTGCGGGATCTCAAAAGCCTTAAAATTCTCTCTATCAAAAGCAACGTTTCCAAAATCCCTCAGGCAGTGGTTGATGTTTCCAGCCATCTCCAGAAGATGTGCATACATAATGATGGCACCAAGCTGGTGATGCTCAACAACTTAAAGAAGATGACCAATCTGACAGAGCTGGAGCTGGTCCACTGTGACCTGGAGCGTATTCCTCATGCTGTGTTCAGCCTACTCAGCCTCCAGGAATTGGACCTGAAGGAAAACAATCTGAAATCTATAGAAGAAATCGTTAGCTTTCAGCACTTAAGAAAGTTGACAGTGCTAAAACTGTGGCATAACAGCATCACCTACATCCCAGAGCATATAAAGAAACTCACCAGCCTGGAACGCCTGTCCTTTAGTCACAATAAAATAGAGGTGCTGCCTTCCCACCTCTTCCTATGCAACAAGATCCGATACTTGGACTTATCGTACAATGACATTCGATTTATCCCCCCTGAAATTGGAGTTCTACAAAGTTTACAGTATTTTTCCATCACATGTAACAAAGTGGAAAGCCTTCCAGATGAACTCTACTTCTGCAAGAAACTTAAAACTCTGAAGATTGGAAAAAACAGCCTATCTGTACTTTCACCGAAAATTGGAAATTTGCTATTTCTTTCCTACTTAGATGTAAAAGGTAATCACTTTGAAATCCTCCCTCCTGAACTGGGTGACTGTCGGGCTCTGAAGCGAGCTGGTTTAGTTGTAGAAGATGCTCTGTTTGAAACTCTGCCTTCTGACGTCCGGGAGCAAATGAAAACAGAATAACTTATTTTTCGTTAAAGTTTGACTGAAACACGCTTCTACCAAATACAGTATAAATAATTAGGTAGTCTTAATGCCTTTCCTATTTTTTTTTCCTTTTCACACAAAATGTACACAAAGATCGCGTAAGGAGTATGTATTTTTAATAAAAATTTAATTGTATTTTTTCAATATTAATATTTTGAAGTTTTATTTGTCTTGAAACACAATGTATCTATTATCTACTGACAGAAAGAGATAGTTCCATTTGGTTTTTTGTTTTTGTTTTTTAGTTCATTCTTGTGGAAAGGAGGGAATTATAAGTTGCATGCTTTTTGGCATTTTTTAAATAGAGGAAGATATTTTGCCAAGGCCATTTTTAACTTGTTTACACCTGTACAGGGTTCTTATTTTTGTTTTCATTGTGTGTGTATCAAGGAATCTGTGCTAGTTATTTTAATACCAGCTGTCTTCTCCATTGGCCAAGACCTTCATTCAGTGGAACTTCACATAAGTGCATTGTCATAGAGTATTTTAAATGTTCCCCTGCCTCCAACAAAACCCTAAACTGTGTTATTTCATATACCTGACAGTTATTGTTATCCTTAGGCAAGGTTTTTGTGAGTGAAGAAAATAATCTTTAGTGGCTGGTATGTTTGAATTAGGCCTTTATCATTTAACTTATTTGCATTTTACCAACATTTTAAAAATATTTAAAACCTAAATACAGAGGCTCCTCCCACCTTAATCTCAATACTGCTATGTAGTACTGGTGAACAACTTTGGAGAACCTAGATTTATTTTAATATTCTAATAGATAATTAAATTTTAAAATGATAGAAGCCTGGTTTTTGAGTAATTTAATCATCTTTCATATCTTGATATGCAGCTGCATCAGATGGAAAAAAATTTACTAAAGCACCCTGTTAAAGAGCTGGTGTGCTCCAGTGAGGCCCTCTCCTTTTCTCAGCACAGTGTGGCAGTGGTAATCTATTCAAATTTTGCCTGTTACACAAAATAATCCACTTATATATACAGTCAGCCTTCCGTACTTGTGGGTTCTGCATCTGTGGATTCCACCAACTGTAGATGGAAAATACTCAAAAAGAAAGTTGTGTCTGTACTGAATATGTACAGACTTTTTCCTTGTCATTATTCCCTAAACAATACAGCGTAACAACTATTTAAATAGGATTTACATTGTTTTAGGTATTATAAATTACCTAGAGATGATTTAAAGTATATGGGAGGATGTGCATAGGTTATATGCAATTTCTGCACCATTTTATGTCAAGGATTTTGAACATCCTCAGATTTTGGTGTTCGAGGGCATCCTGGAATCAATTCCCCATGATACCGAGGGATGACTGGATATTAATCGATTTCCCTCAAGCCTGCCCTTGCTGTGAACTAGTGCTACAAGCACGGGAAATCCATCTGCTCTCTGGCTTAAAATATGTATCTCATCTAAAATTGTTCGTTAAAGTGTGAATAAATTGCTAAGTGGTTGTTGCTTAGCAATAATTTTTGCCTGACCATCAGCAGAGCTTTTATTTACCTTTGTAATTAAAATCCAACATAGCATGGGCTCTTGGGCAAAATATTTCACTGACTATTAAGCATGTAGAACAGGAAAATGAAATACACTATTTGTGCCCTTGACCTAGAACCAGAACCACTAATTATGAGAACTTTGTTTTATGTACCAAATTCACATTGACCATTTTCTGAGCTCTAGACTGATCGTAGTAAGTTTTGTGACTTAACAATGAAAGAAAGTAGAAAGATGCTTTGGGTTTTCAAAATGTTGTTTTTTAAAATTGTTCTTTGGGTGAATTTACTCAGTGCTGCTTTGAGTTGTATACAGAAACAAATGTTGGGAATTGCTCCTCAGAAATGTGTTCCTAAGTTGTGTTTTCAACTTTACATCATGAGGTGAAGCATTAGGGAAAGAGATTCTTTCGATTTGTTTAATAATCTAATTATACAGACCAAAGTGCTTTACGTTTCTGCTCTATGTTAATGTTTTAGAATGGTGATTTTGCTGATTAATTTAGACCTGGAATTGAAATAATGTGCTCAGAATAATAACATGGTTATAGTTCTTGTATGATAAAGTATTCAATTTCAGAATAGTGTTGGAATCCTGAGTTTGAATAATGTGTTGTATTTAGAAACATAGCCCTATCTGTTTTAAACAAATAATTTGTTGGCCGATTGTCCATGGTTGAGCATGACAAAAATACCTCGTCGAAAGGCAAGCTTAGGTAACTGCTGGCAAAACACTGGGTGCACTATTTTTCTGGATAAAATTTATAGTTATTTTCTATATTACCCTTCAAAAGGGATCTCTTCAGGTTAAAAATCACGCTTATGCTGAAGTCTTTATCTGGTGTTAACTAAAAATCTCATATGGGTTCATAACCGAGGTCACTAATAATTCATTTTTATCACTTGTAAAAATTTGCTCAAAATTCCAAAAAAATATTGATTTGTTTTTTAGTGATTTTGCAGGCTGACCCCCAACCTAAGTTTTGATAACATCTGGTAAGTCAGTATAGTTCTGTGACTTCATGTTTTAACTAAGAAGGAAAATTCATAGATATTCCTATTAGATTTTATAAACCTTCAAAAGTCTGAAACTTAATTTTGAGTCTAAATTTTCTGACACTGGCCCCTTTTAATATTGTAAGTTTTTGTTCACTTTCTTAAGTAAAAAAAACATTTAATTACTAGTTAGCCCTTAACTGGGAAACTCAGGTAATGAACTGCTGACTTTTCTAAAGTTCTTTAACTGATCAATTCTGTATAGAGGGATATTTATCTAACCACTTTCCGTATTTTACAAGTGCTCTTTCTAAAAAGGAATAACTATTATAGCTCTATTTCCCCAATCTCTATAGGACTCATGAGAGATTGCTTGTGTAAATATAAAAGCACCATATGTGTTCTTAACTCCTATGGCTGCTTGAAGCTCATGATGAAAAAGTCTTTTTGTCAGTTTTAATTGTTAAGTACAGAACAAACAATTGTTTGGTGATGGCCTGGTTGAAAGAGAGCATATAAATATATCCCAGTGGAACTCACCAAAGAAGACCACACCTCAGAAATTATTGCATTTTCTCATTATGTGTTGGGTTTGATTTGCTTTTGTTTTTAATGCAGCTCTTTTAATATAAAGATTCTTGATACAGTGAAATCTCTTATTTCAAGTGTAAGTTATTCTTCACCCACCCCTTCCCCTGCCATTGTATTTCCCATCTGTTTCAAGGAGTTTCAACAATTTACATTGCATCGTATGCAGTAGGTACTGCTTTTTCAGAAAGACCTGGAAAACATACCTGCTATGAATATTTTGTTCAGATGTAGCCATTTACCTGGCTCTCAAGTTGTCTTTGTGGAGAGGGTCTTAGACAAAAATCTTCCTTGTATTTACTTGGGTTAAGTGAAGTCCAAATTCTTACAGTATGCTATTTCAGGATTTCTGATATTAAAAAAGAAAAAACAAAATCTTTATATCTCTTATTAACACTTCCCCCAAGAAGGGTTGTGCTGTTATTTATTTTCTATTATAAGAAAAGTTCATTCTTTAAGTAGTTTCTTTTACCTCTAATCTAATTTCATACCAAATACCTGATCAATAGAAATGATATATTTAAGCAGCAAAGATTCCTAATCCATCATTATGAAAAGTGTCAGCATACTTAGTAGTGAACAGATAAAGTCAATTTGAATATAATTCCACTTTGTTTTTAGAGACTAAATTAAGATTCAATTAACATTATCCTATGAATTCTGAATGTGATAATGTGATTCAAACAGTCAAATTTTATTAAGCTCTTAGTAACTCAGGATAGCATTCCATACTAACCTCAAGTTAGCAAAACAAATTAGTTAAACAGCTTGGTTCTTAGCAGACTGCTTAAAAGATCAAGAAAATTTTCTCATCTTTTCTTTCTACTTAGAAACATTGCAAGAAACCTTGGACAGTCTTCACCAGACCTGCCATGATTTTATAAGATTTAGGCCTCAGTGACATGCTCCTGAAAGTTTCCTGCCAGCCATCCAAACTAAGCATCCACTCATTCCATCTTCCCAAAGTCACTCACCGATAAAGGTAGCATCCTTAAGTTCATTTTTGAAAGGTGGAGGAGGATCTCCCCCTGCCCAAAGGAATTTTTTTATCAGAATACCTTGAAAGGGGGGTATATAAATTTGGAAAACTTAATTTCTTGGCTGTGTTTGATAACAGTTCCTATGCATGGTTTTTAATGTGAGGTAAATTTGTTTCTTTCTTCAGAATACCTCTCTCCACCCCCCACCTTATTCTTCCTCTTTAATGAATATTTTTATTGGAGCTCAAACTCCATGACTTACGTGCTCACTAAGTTTTCTTTTTTCCCCTTGTTTACTCTGTCTGTATGTATGTCAAAAGCTGGCAAAACCTCTAAAACTGTCAAGAAAATGCTTGAAAGTTGATTTGTCATAGTGCAAATTCATGATAAAATGTCTTAATGTTATTTGGATATGTAGTACATAGAAACAGAAAAATAAAGTCATTTTTATAACTTAAAATAGATATTTGTCCCTCTCTTACTCATTTTTAGAAATCATGTTTATCGTTTGCATTTCTTAAACTATTACTAAAGCTCCCTTTTCTCTGCAGGAAATAAGCTGCATGCATTCTTTCACTTTGTGTTGAGCTAGTTTCTGTAATTGTGACTAATTATTTCCTTCCTTAATTCACTCTACTGTATCTACCTAAGGTGCCCCTGGAGTTTCATTTGGGTAATTAGTGCCTTCATATGTAATCTGGAGTGCAATTTCTGTACGTTTGCCAGATGAGATTGTACAATGGCTGTCCAGCTCAGCTTTCAGTAAATAGTCTTATAGTAATGACTGTGGTTACTTAAAGGAATCAGCATGATCCTGCACAGCTAGGAGGCCTCCTCTAATTAACCACATTCACTCCAGGCTTAGGGAAGCCCTCTACAAGGAAACTTTATGACCACTTACGCATAAGAAATGATGGGTAATTTTCAAAGTTAAATAGTCCCTTTACACATTTTTATTAATAATAGTGTTTATTTTACTGATCATCAGCCCTCTGGAGAAGGATTGTTGAGATAAGGAAGGGTGGTGAGTGTGATGGGAGAGGCTGTGTAAGTGTGAGTAGCACAAATTAGAAGAGATCATGTGAGAGCTCTGGAGAAATTCTGGAAAGGAGCTAGGGAATGCAATAGATTAGAGACATCTGGCGATTTCAGTGCAATCTGCACGTACAGAAAAAACTGCCCACTGCCATTCTCCACTGTCCCATCTTCTAGTCCTTTCACTTACACAGAGTATTGAGATAAACTCTGAAAAATTTTAAATTGGTTATTATTGGCTAGCAACATAAGCTTTTCGTTTGGGTGAAGAAGTAAATGCATAAAAAGGAAGTTATTAAAGTTCATTTGAGACTCAGTGGAGTATTTACACGGTCAGAGCACAAGGCCCACATATTTCTGAATGTAAGTTTGAATGTCATCCTAAATTTGCAAGTAGGAAAAAAGTGAAAGCTGTTCATTAGCTACATAATTTTGTGTGAGCATAGATGTTTGAATGCAGACTATACTGTAGGTTTCACATTTAAACATATTTGAACATATTTAGGGACAAATTATTAAAATAGTTATATGATCAGGCATATCATAAGTGATAGAATATTCCCAGAGTTTGAATATTTTGCATAAAAGATACAGGGTAGGCAATGATATCAAACATCTAAACCAAATTGGCCATTCCAATTATTTTAATCCAGGGATTTTTCTGTTATAAAGTTTGAGAAGTAGAAAATGGGCTTTCTCCTTATTTTTTAATCCTTTACAGAATTAATTTTATTTCAACTCGAGTTACATCTGGACTTTTGCCATTAAAAAAATACTGCTTGGTTCAATCCTTATTAGCCTCAGGTAAAAGACATCTCAGGAAAAGTGACACAAAAGAGGCAACCTCTAAGTTTTACATTTTTTATCTCCTCCACAGTTCTTCTAATTAAAAAAAAAAAAATCAACTCCCCAGAAGTGATGCTGATATGGCAAAAAAAATATATAGCATTTCTTCACTTTGAATTGGGAAGGTTCTTGGGATTTCATTGTAATTTAACATAGACTATGTGTGACAGTTTTGTTAAAATCATACTCTAATATTCAGACAGCTTAAAAATCTTTCTTAGGATGATTTAGTCCAAGAATAATGAAAACCAATGCAAAAATGTAAAGATGTACTCCCTATGCATTTGAGCAATAAATGTCCACAAGCTTATGAAATGAGTTCTATTCATGTCTATTGAGCTGTATGGATAAATTATATCTTAGTAATTTAAATTTCTTTGTGAAAACTAGGTTGTCAAAGTTGCCACTCTTAACAAAATTCTAAAAGGCCATGTACAACAATGATATCAAAATGAAAACCAAGTTTTATTCAATGGGTGCAGGGCGTTTCTGTGAGCCTTACCAACAGGAAGTCAATTTGTTCAAAATTAGAAGACTATTTTTTCTGAACTCTCCCCCAGGTTCTAGCCTCTGGTGGTGTGACTCATAGACTTCCCTGGTAATCACACTTTGAGCCTTAACAATATCAGCATGCTAACAGATTTAGTAGTTTTATGCATTTAGAAACAAAGACAGGATGTTGACAGCCTTAAGTGATGAAGTATTTAAAATAAATTCATACTTGTAAAACTAAAAACTAGAGATTCCAATCTAAACATTTAGCTACGTAAATATTTTCTTAAGTCCACGTAACCTCTCAAAGAAACTGATTTCATGTCAAATGGGAAATACAAAGAATGTCAGATTAAACACCTGGTTTATATTAAATAAGGCTGTCATTTGTTGGGGGGCAAGGGGAGAATGGAGCTTAGAAAGCAGACTCCTGATAAGGGGTGCTTAACACACTTTCTAAAATTCAGAATGATTTGTTGCCCTTCAAATTCTACCAGCTTTAAAATAATCAAATCTGGGCCGGGCGCGGTGGCTCACGCCTGTAATCCCAGCACTTTGGGAGGCCGAGGCGGGCGGATCACGAGGTCAGGAGATCGAGACCATCCCGGCTAAAATGGTGAAACCCCGTCTCTACTAAAAAACACAAAAAATTAGCCAGGCGTAGTGGCGGGCGCCTGTAGTCCCAGCTACTTGGGAGGCTGAGGCGGAGAATGGGGTGAACCCGGGAGGCGGAGCTTGCAGTGAGCCGAGATCCCGCCACTGCACTCCAGCCTGGGCGACAGAGCGAGACTCCGTCTCAAAAAAAAAAAAATAATAATAATAATAATAATAATAATAATAATCAAATCTGAAGTACTGCAAACCAGCTAGGTAATTATTTTCAGGTAACGTTCCCTAACTCAGAAACTGCTAGTGACTATTAAGTGCTTCAGTTATAAATCTGATCAAGAACTTGCATCAAAAATGCCAGGAAGTTAACTTCAAAATCTTATGGGAAAAACTGATAATGACATTCTCCATCCCCCTCCCCATCTCCCCACCTGCCAAACTATATCCTGCGTGGATATTCTTAATAGCACAGCACTACACTATGGTAAACAACTGTAAGACAAAAGTTGCATTCTGGGTTGTTTTCAAATGTTTAGAATCATTTTTTTTCTTATATATACAGGGAGGAAAAAAATTATACAAAAATTTATCCAGGATTCTACAAATGCTTTAAGTAGGCTCAATAATAAAGGAGTTATACTTACTCTATTTATGTACTTTGATCAGACGGGGCACACAGAGTATTGGGATATTCATAGAAATGCCCTTTCTGTTGTCAGTCCGTCCATCCAAATCCAATCTAGGGCCCTGCATGTATTAAAATCCATGAGACTTTTTAAAGAGTTTTCAAGACTTATTTAGACTTTCTCTTAACACTTTCTACCTGCCTCATTATTTAGGACACTTACCACTTGGATTATGGTTGTTTTAGGACTTATCATATCTTTCTTTCCAAAGTTGGAGGCCCAGTGAGTGCAGAAACCAAGACTTGTTTATCTCTGTATTTCTCTGTGGTGCTTACCCTTGTGACTTGTACCCAGTTGGCTCTAAAAAAAACACTGAATCAATCAAAAGGCCTAACTCCATTAACTGAGGGACTTAGAACATGAGGGACCATCATCTCTGTTCAAATTCACTCCTAGGTGCAAGAGTTTCTTAGGGCTACCATGACAAAGTACCACAAACTGGGTGGCTTAAACAGATTTATTGTCTCAGTTCTAAAGCACGATGTTTGCAGCAGGGTTGGTTCCTTCCAAGGACTGTAAGGGAGAGTTTGTTCCGTCCCTCTCTCCTCATTTTTGGTAGTTTGCTGGCAATCATTGATGATCCTTGACTTGTAGATGCATTACCTCCATCTCTGCCTTTATCTTCATGTGGCATTCTCCCCATGTGTATCTATCTCTGTGTCAAAATGTCCCCTTTTTATAAGAACATAGTCATACACCCTAATGACTTCATCTTAACTTGATAATCTGCAAAGACCATGTTTCCAAATAAGGTCATATTCACAGGTCCTGAGAAGTAGGGCTTCAACATCTTTTAGGGGGACAGAATTCAATCCATAACACTACGCGAGATTCTTCTCTTTCCTGATGAAGCTCTTAAATTCTAGTTTTATTACAAGCAGAGATTTTGGAGCCATTGAAGAGTAGTTAGTCCAGAGGTTTTCAAATAGTGTTCCAAGAATCTATAACTCTCCAACAAAGTATCTTAGAAGAACTCAGGGAGTGAACAGGGCTCCTGGTTTTATATCTGTTGCAATTAATATTTCCATGTAACAAACCAGCCCAAAACTTAGCGGTGTAAAGCAACTACATTATAACACTCAGATTCTGTAGGTAAGGAATCTGGCACAGCAAAGACCTCTTACTTATGCTCCATGATGTGTGGGACCTCAGTTGGCAAGACTTAATGGCTAGGAGCTACAATCATCTGGAGGCGTCTTCACTCCCATGTCTGGTGTTTGATTCTAGCTGTTGGCAGGAACCTCAGCTGGGGCTATCAGCCATAGCAAACCTTTCCATGCAGCCTGGGCTTCCTCCCAGCATGACAGCTGCAGGGTAGTCAGGCATCTTACACAATAGCTTAGGGTCCAAAACAAGTATTCCAAAAGACAAAAAGGATGCTGCATCATCTTTCATGGCCTGTCCTCGAAAGTCACATTCCTCACTTCTGCCATGCTCTTATTAGTTAAAACAGTCATAAATCTTGCCCCGTTTCGGAGCAGCGGCAGAGAAGACACAGAACCCACGTTTCAGTGGGAGAAGTGCCAGTGTCACATCTTAAGAATATGTGGAACAGGAGTTATTGTTGTAGCCATCTATGAAAAATACAATCTGTCACACAATCTCACACCAAATTCTTCAACCATGGAGCAGCACTTCTAAATGTTTTACATGTAAGGACCTCTAACTCTTTAATGTTTGCTAACATTTATAGATAGGAAATATAGGATGCATAGAGGCCAAGAAACACTCATGAATTTCATACAATCTTTCAGCATATCCAGTAATTATTGTAGAAAAGCAGAAAATTTACAAACCTAGTGTTTTCATTTCTCCTTTTCTTTGGGCAAGCAGGGGGAACCTGGCAGAATGCGTATTATGAATAGCTGCAAGAAAGCCATCATTTCATTTTATTCCCTCTTTAAAATCATTATCTTTTTGACAGGATTTCAATGAGGCACTTTTACAAATTTTGGTTAACGCTCTTACTTCTCCTAGTGTAAGCCAAAATTTCCTAAATGCTCAGAGACGGGTGTGTACACACACCTCTTGTCTATGACTTACACAAATGAATAAGAGGAAATGTCTCATCAGTCTCTGTGGTGAAAATGTGGAGAGACCAGGGGTGGGGCCTTAGCCAAGCCCCTGAGCTTCCATTTTTATCCCAGCACAGAAGTGTGCTCAGGGCTCTAGCTTCCTGCCCTCCCCAGCCTGACCCTAGTGAAGGTTACAAACCCTCCCAGTGACTGCAGGACAGGCAGTGAGGGCAGGTCTCTTGCCTCCTTGCTTTGTGGCAGCCTTCTCAGTTGGGTCACATCATTCTTCTAGATCAGGAGGAACATTTAGGGGTTGGAAAAAGTTTTCTAGGAAAGAATTACTCATGAGCAAAGGGACCAGAAAAGTCCCAGAGATGTTCTTCAGCAGACAATTTAAACTAATGACTCGCTGCTGGGCAGCCTGCCCTATAATGGCTGATGTAAACTGTGTCTATGTAATGCTGTATTAAGATCTGCGTTCTCCCTCCAGCCTACTAAATCTCCAAACCAAATCATTGAGGGCTTGCGTCACTCATGTTTAATCTTGTAAAATCCACCAACACATTTTGCTTGTTCAGAAAGAATATTCAATAGTTATGATCGTCCATGATAAGGTTGCAGTGCAGATGTCGAACTGGAGTCTGTATGTCCCCTAAGATTTAGATGAAATTGGCTATACCCCCAAGTCCACTGCCCTCCCTAAGGTTTCATAAGTTTCCAATGTGTTTACATTTTCAGGCCACTGACTCTGAGCCTCAGTCTCTATGGAACATCTTCCATTCATCAGCTCACCATTGCTTAGGTTAGATCTCCATTCTAGAGTTTGATCCCTGTTCTTCAGTAAACCACTGCCCTCTTCCTGGATCTCCCCCAGCACTCACACTAGGTTTTTGTGCATTTTAGAAACTTTATTGAAGGTTTGGAGAGACAGCAGAGCATTCATGAGAGCAGTGCAAGCTACTCTAAAACCCCATGTTTGTGAAAGCCATCCCCATCTTCCCCCTCCCAGCCCTTCCGTCTTTTTCTCTGCTTCACAACACCCGTCTCAGGTTCCTCACTTCTGGCAGAGGGCCCTCTCACTTTCTCTCTTGTTTCCTGGTCTCCCACTCTCCACCTCCTCACTCCCACCCTTGGCCCTCCTAGCGGCTTACCCATGTATTTCTCTACACACTTCCATCATGTAGGAGGGATTCTGGTGTCTGCTGTCCAGTTGTTTGATCAGCCTGATACAAGTCGTTGCTTGACCTCTGCCTCTTTCCTGTCTTTCACAGCCCTCCTCTTCTGCCCTCTGCATAAGCCAAATCTTCAAGCTTACTCCTCAGCCTTTTGTACCCCTTTGTCCTTACCCCAGCACTTGGTGGCCTCATTTACCTTCAGGGCTATGTCAGCAGCCTTTTTTGGCAACTCCCAGATTTCTAGTTCTGGTTAGCATCTCTTTTCCACCTCCCACCTCCAACTGCCTTATGGACATTTCCTCCTGCCTGTCATCTCCAGCTTCATGTGTTTAGAAGTAAACCTGTTCTAGGCACAACTCTCGTATTTGCAACTGCCTCCTAAATAATCTCGTCATCAGCCACTCCCGCTTCCACACTAGACTCTCTCCTCTTCTCCACCATTAGACTAGTGTTCCCAGCTGTAACTCTGACCTTATTGCTCCTCTGCTCAAAAACCTTCCCAGTGTCTTCTTGATATTGTCTGTGGGCCTTACCCTGACTTTCGAGGTGGACCACAAGATAGGCTTGACCTGCATTTCCAGCACAAGTCCTGGAGTCCAAAAGGAGTTCCAATTCTTACTATCCATTTACCTGATGCATGACTTTGAGCAAGTTTATTTAAACTCTCCAGCCTCTGTTTATATTGAAGATATCCAAGTATTGACCCTTCCCAGAAAGTAGTAAAATGTCTTGATGCTGGTCCCACCCTCAGCCAAGTGCCTAATTAGCTATATCATGGAGCAGTTAGGTGGGCTGGGAGAAGAACTGAGTGGAGTTGGGGAAGACGGTTTGTTCCCTTTTCTCTGAAGTTCAGATGTTGACAGGTAGCTGGCATTATAGGCACTAAGGGCTACAGCCAAAACTTTGGCTGCATCAGAGAATCTGAGCCTGGGAGGCCCTGATGTAATGCATGGCCATTACACATTTGGTCCAGAGTTTACATCCCATCTCTGCCGCTTTCTGCATGTGTGTTTTGGAGCAAATCAGTTAGCTCCTTGAGCTACATCCTCCTCATCTGTAAAATGGAAACCCACTTTAAAAGTTCCTGCGAGGATCAGTGGCCTGAGGTATGTGATGTGCCTAGCTCAATGCTTGTACTCAGAAAACTTGCTAGTCTCATGATGACTATAGACTGAACTCTGGCTCTGGATAATATAAAAATTATCTACAATACTGCACATTTTCCTAAAGTCAACATTTTTTAACACCCAGAATGTGCTAGACATTGTTGTAAGGGCAGCAAGTTTGTATCTTTGTCCTTAAGGAGCTAGAGCATCATGGAAGAGTCACAGCTAAACAGCTACCACTGGGCAGCAGGATAAGTGATGCAGTGAGTGTGTAAGTGAAGTCCTCTGGCAACACAACTGCTTTTTCAACCAACCAGCATTTTCTGGGCACCTTCCAGGTAGCACATACTGTTCTAGATACTTAAGGACCAAAAATCAATACTGTGATCCTTGTTCTCAAAAAGTCCATAATCTAATAGGAAAAGGCCTCCATGCATTCAGATAGCTACAATGTGTTGTAAGAGCTAACCCAGAAGTCTGTTCACACTAGGAGCAGCGGGGAAAGTGGGCCAGAGTCACCTGGCCATGGGAAAGATTTCAGGAGATGAACCTGAACTGAGTCTTGATGCAGGTGATCCCCAGAAGAGAAATGAGAGGACGTCAGGGAAAGAGCTTTTAGGGTGGGGACAGAGGCCTGAGAGATCACGTGATGTCATTTGGAGGGCTTGGTGCCAGGGAAGGGTCACGGCCATTGGAATGGATGAGAGGTAAAGATGGAAAGATGTGAGGATCAGCTTGAGGGTGCCCTGTGTATTCCACCCATGCCAGAGACCTCTTTATTTTATCCTCCAGCAGTGGGAAACTGGGGAAGGTGTTTAAGCCCATCCTCAGTTAAATTCAAAGGCAGGATAATCTTACAGTCTGTCTGGAGCCTCCTCCCTGTGTTCAAATTCTTGTAAAAAGAAAGAAACTACCATCTCGTTTTTTAGAAATCCAAAGGCTACAGAGAGAAGCCAAGAGTCGGCAGATTAACAATGCCCCAATCAAATTTCATGGTGCATGAGACTCATAAACATTAATGTGTTACTTCAGCTTGTTCTTGGCATCACTAGACCTCAGGAAAACTACCCAGCAGGCCCATTGTCCTTTGTCCCTGCCTCTTCCTCCTTATTTCACACCCCGGTTTCTTCCTTCGCTTTGCTGCTGTTTTCCAGCCGATTAACGGGAATTTGCCCTGTTTCATGTCTACAAAGTCAAAAGGAAACCACCCAGTTTACCTGAACTCTGAGCGCCATTCTCAGTGCAAAGCTCTCTTCCTCCCTCTGCCCCTTATCGTACCGGTGTGCTCATCTGTGAGGTGCCATTCTCAGGGTATATGAGGATGTGCAAAAGTTTGTATCTGCTTATCCTCCTTCAAGCCTGCTCCCCAGGTAAGTCCAATCTGCCTGCTTGGAGCCCTGTGGGCTGGATAACTCAGGGCGAGAGACACAGTGGAAGACGTAGCTTGGTTAGCCAAGTGTCCCCATTAGGACTCTTGCTCTTTTTCTGTCTCCAGAGGAAAGGTGGAGCTTTCCTGCCCACAGAACTTAGTTTCATTTTCCCATTCTTTCTAATGCTGTGTTCCTGCCCTACCCTCCTGGGTAGCACGGGTCTTAGTGTTTCTTCTGGACAGCACTCTGCAGAATGCCTTGGTTCTCCCAACCAAGGGCTTTGATGCTAATGGGAAGACCACAGGTTGAAACGCTAGAGAGCACACTTCTCCTCTGATGGTGCCATTGCTTAATTATTTTGCAACCCCTGCCTCAGCCTCTGGCAGGACCCTCTCTGCCATAGCAGGGAGCCACAGCATCTCTGGCACCCACGCTTCCCTGACCACACCCTGGGAGACTCTGACTCTTCCCACCACTTTCCGTTACAGAGGAAGCAGCGCAGTTTGGAATATGAGACTGGCCCCTACAGTGGCTCTTCAGAGGGACCAGGTGACACAACCTGAAAGTGAGAGGCAGTTTATGCCCGTAGGGTGAAATTTGACCAAATAGAGAAAAAAAAAAAAGACCCTGAGGGGACTGCCAATAAATTCTACGCCCTCCCTTCCTCCTGTGGGTGATTCCTAGGCTGAGTGGTTTGGTTTGTCCTGCCAGGGATGTCTCATACCACCAAGCAACAGGCTGTTTTGTCATGAAGCTGTGACCAACTCATTAATGAATATTCACTTTCCTTCCTCCCAGCCTGGATTTTCCTTTTCTCTTATTTTTGCAACCCTGCCGTGGCGCCTCCCAAAAAAGCATTAGCAGGTAAGCTTTTTTGGAGAATCCACTAACCCTTGCCCACTGAACTCAGAATAACACTCTGAACCCATTAATATGGCTGGTTTCTTCCTGGGTTGGTCTAAGCAGGCTTATAATCACTTTTCCCTGACACCCGCTAAGGCCCCAAAGGAGGTCATTCCTTGTTTCTCCCTTGGAAGGGAATAGAGTCAGATTGGCAGATCCCTGGAAAACACTTAGGCAGAGGGAGAACCATCACATCACCAACATGATGGGTGGGAGAAATGAAAACAATCTAAGCTTCCAAAAATGAGAATGATACATTTTTACAATAAAGCACTAGGTAGACATTTAAAATAATGTTACAAATACATTTATTGACGTGTAATTCATTATGTGTTAATTGAAAAAAGTAAATTTTTAAAATTAAGCACAGTGTGATCTCACTTATGCAAGAAAGAATATATATATATTTAAAAATTGGGGCCAGGAACTGTGGCTCACACCTGTAATCCCAGTACTTTGGGAGGCTGAGGCAGGCGGGTCACCTGTGGTGAAGAGATTGAGACCATCCTGGCCAACATGATGAAACCCCATCTCTACTAAAAATACAAAAAGTAGCTGGGCGTGGTGGTGCACACCTGTTCTCTCAGCTACTCAGGAGGCTGAGGCAGGAGAATCACTTGAACCCGGGAGGCAGAGATTGCAGTGGGCCAAGATCACACCACTGCACTCCAGCCTGGGCAACAGAGTGAGACTCTGTCTCAAAAAAAAAAAAAAAAAAAAAAAATGGAAGAAGATATACATCCAAATGCAAACAGAGATTGTCATTCAGTGGTGGGAGTATAAGTGCACTCTCTTTTATTCTTTATATATATCAGTATTTTAGAATTTTTCCTCTAAGAATTATATATTAATTGTGATTTTTTTATTTAAGAGAGAAAAAAGTATCTAGGCTTGGCACTCACAGATGCACCTTCTGCCAGCAATATGCTGTAACATTAGAAGGGAAATTAGATGAAGACCCAGAAAGACTCTGGAGGACTAAAGATAAAAGATATGCTTTCACATAGGCTTTTATTTATGAATAAAATAAAATATGAATTTTATTTATTTTATTTTTATTTTATTCATAAAATAAAATATGAATAATTAGAATGATATTGTTTAGAATTGTTCCAGTAATATACACTTGTTCAAGCATAAAGGTAATACGTGTGTATATATGTATATAAACAAGAGCAATGTTATAGTGTTGTTGTGGTCACTGTCCTTTGTGAGGCAGCTCATAAAATATATGTGTGTATTTCATTATTTTATTATTCTTAATAATTGAATTGTCCCTAATACAAATACGTTGCTCCTTCAATTTTTTTTGTTATGTTTTTAGTTCTTGAGAATTTTTAAGGATAAACCATTGCCTCTGCACAGGGTAGGGCAAATGGTGAGCAGTCTATTTATTCAGCATACACCAAGTTCTGTCTATTTTTCAGAACTTAGCTGGGTACTAGAGAATCAGAATGTAAAGGCACATACAATTCCCTCAGTGAGCTAGTAGGGGACAAGAACCAGTGAACAAACATCCAAGATGGACTACAATGAGTACTCTATGCCCAGGCCTCTAATGGGCCCAAGAAGGGCATGCAATCCAGGTGGGGAAACATGTAGTCAGGAAAGGCTTCCCCAGAGTAGGTGACATCTGAGCTGTATGTTGAAGGACAAGTGGTATAGGAAAACAGCCTATTGCACGGCAAGAGTGACGCCATCTTGAAGTGAAATCACCGTGGTGGCTAATATTTGACTCCTCCATAGCAAGGTTTTAAGCAGCAAGGTCTTTAAACAATGTTATAGTGTAGATAGCCTGAAAAAGATGCTTCCCTAACCTTCCCAATAGTCACAAGTTTCACAAGAAAATCTGAAACATGACCAACTGCACATGTTTTACTCTAAAATCTTGCTACAAGTGTAGGAATCCACCGTCTCATGGCCACCAGAGACCTTGCTTCTGTTCCTAAGTCCCTAAAAAAATTTTTTTTTTTTCTGAGAAACTGGATTTGTCAACCTCTTTCTTTGGCCTGTTAGCTCCCTTGGCTTTCGGAGTTAGGTTTGCATAGACCTGTTCACCACATGGAATAAGTGAGAATTAGCCAAAGAAAGGGAGAAGGGTATTCTAAGAAGAGGCTAGCACATGTGGAAGGGAGCACGTCCAGGGATGGGAACAGTTAGAAATGTTGATCAGTGCTGTCCAGAACTATCTACGAAAGTCCTATATCTATGATGTCCAAATGGTAGCTACTAGTCACATGTGGCTGTTGAGCAAGTGAGGAAGTGAAATTTTAATTATTTTATTTTTAAAATTTAAATGGAAATAGCCACATGTAGCCAGTGGCTACTGTCTTGAACAGTGTGGCTCTACCTAGTTTTTTCATTTGAAATAGGTTTTGTTTTCATTTGAAAAGTGAAAAAGAGTCAGTACAAAATTTCAAAACAGAGTAATTACATGAGTAGATTAGGAGGAAAGATTACTTGCAAATTTGAAAGCAGAGTAATTTGGACAGTTTTTAAGATGCATTCACTTTCCATGACCTTCTTAGGAAGATTTTTTTTAAAAAAATGAAGCATATATAAAACAAACTGCCATAAAATTTTGGAGCAAAAATGGACAAATAGGACCTAATTAAACTAAAGAGCTTCTGCACAGCAAGATAAACTATCAAGGAAGTAAAAAGACAACCTAAAGAATGGGGGAAAATATTCACAAACTATGCATCCAACAAAGGTCTAATATCCAGAATCAAGAATGAACTAAAACATATCAACAAGCAAAACACATATAACCCCATTAAATAGTGGGCAAAGGGTATGAACAGATACTTCTCAAAAGAAGACATAAAAGTAGCCAACAAACATGAACAAATGTTCATCATAACTAATCATCAGAGAAATGCAAAGCAAAAGCACTGTGAGATGCCATCTCACACCAGTAGAATGGCTTTTGTTAAAAGTTAAAGGATAGATATTGGCAAGGCTGTGGAGAAAAGGGAACACTTACACACTGTTGGTGGGAATGTAAATTAGTTCAGCCACTGTGGAGAGCAGTTTGGAGATTTCCCAGAGAACTGAGAGTTGAATTACCATTTGACCCAGCAATCTGTCTTCTGGGTATACACCCAAAGGAAGATAAATCATTCTACCAAAAAGACACATGCACACATGTGTTTATCACAGTACTTTTCACAATAGCAAAGATGTAGACTCAAACCAGATGCCCATCAACTCTGGACTGGATAAAGAAAATGGAGTACGTATGCACCATAAATAAATGAAATCATGTCCTTTGCAGCAACATGGATGGAACTGGAAACCATTATCCTAAGCAAACTAACACAGAATCAGAAAACCAAATACTGCATGTTCTCACTTATAGGTGGTGGCTAAACATTGGAAACACATGGTCATAAAAATGGGAACAATAAACACTGGGAAATACAGGAAGTGGGTGGGGGTAAGTGTTGAAAAAAACACCTATTGGGTGCCATGCTCACTATCTGAGTGATGTATGTATTCGTATTCCAAACCTCAGCACACACAGTATAGCTTTGTAACAAACCTGCACATGTACTCCGATTCTAAAACAAAGATTGAAAAAAATTATTTTTAGAAATGATCTGACAGTGGAAACTACCAAACAATTAGCTCACCTGCAAACTGAAAGGTAACAGATAACCATCCCAGTAGGAAACCAAGAAGACAGAATTGGGGAACCATTCCCTAGGGCCTGCATACAAATGGCCAGTTACACATACGAAGCAGGATTCAACCTCAATAGGATTCTAGGAAATTTCAGTAAAAATGAGATTCTCATTTTCAGTTGTCAAATTGGTAAACTTTCACTTTGAACACTGAATGTTGTTGAGAATGTAGATAAAGAGTTACTCCCTTTAAAACTCTTTAGGAGAATAAATTGGTGCATCCTTTCTGGAGGCCAGTTTGGCAAGATTATAGCAAAAGACTTGAAAATGTTTAAGCTTTGTCAGCCAGCTATTCCATGTCTGGGAACTCGCCATTAGGAAGTAATTAGAGATTCTTGAGAAGATTTACACATAAGGCTGTTCCATGTCTGTGTTACATACAACAGTGGGAAAAATGACAACAAATTATTTGTGGTTCCCAACAGGGGATTTCTTAAATAAATTATGATACATCTACACAACTGAACGCTACATAACCATTAAATATGTTGTATATGAATACCTAACTGCATGGGGAAAATGTGTGTGATATATTGTTTAGTAGAAAAGTATCAAAACCCTATTAGAATATAAGATTTTAGTTGTGTATATTTTTAATCATATGAATAGAAAAAATACTTGAGGGATATTCACCAAAATGTTAATGCCGTTTATAACCTAGTGGTGTGATTACAGGTGATTTTTATTTTCTTCTTTGTGTTTCTCTGTATTTTTAAATTTTCTACAATGAAAATCTATGACATTTAAAATAGAAAAGCATTTTTTTAAATTAAGGTTGTCGATTATGTTGGTAGTGTTAAATTGTAACAGAAGTAATGGAAAGTATGCAACTGCCACCTGCAGAAGTGCCACACTAGATAAAATGATTAAAGTAGCAGCAGGCATCGGCTAGTCTAGACTTGTAGGCAGTAGAGCTTTTAAAGAGGCTAAGTGCCTTTGGAGTCCTTTCCAGAAATTCCTCCCTGCTTTTTAGTAGCAGAAAAAGTGCTTTAATTAATCAAGATAAAATGTTTTCAGCAAGAGATCATTATGTATATGAAGTTCATCTTGCAGCCAAAGATGCGGATGGCTTGTAAAAATAGAGGGAATTTTCCGCTTGTTAGGTTCTTGCTAATATTTTAACCCAGAAAAGTTTCCCAGTACCTGGAAAAGGAGAGAGGAGAGTAGCAAGGAAAGATTTAACCAGACTCAACAACCAGAAACCTCAGCTAATCTGAAATTCTTCTGCCTTTGACTTTCAGAAGAAAATGGAAGATCTCAAGAAAGCAATTCTGAATTGAGATTTGCCCATAACCAATTTTCAGGCTATTTCTCAGGACTTTACCAACTCAGACTAGTCTCCAGATTTTCTATGTCAATATACTCATCCTATCCAATGAAAATAATTTCTAACAGTAAATGTGAGATTCCAGGAGAATTTTCAGAATCAATGAAAATAGATTAAATCATGTTCTACACACTCTACTTACCATGCAGAAGGAAGAGAGGGAGGGAGAAAGAAACGATAGAGAGGAAGGAGGGGAAGGGAGGAGGAGGGAAGAAAGAAAGAAAAAAGAAAAGAGAATGACTATGTAGACTGGGCCCTACCCAAAAACTCGCAAGACTGTGTCAGAAATCTGGCTTCCAAGTGTGAGGTACACCCTATGCAGTCTGGCCAGATGCCTAGCATCACACTTTGGTAATTTCCTTGGAAAATGAGAGTCCTGCTATCTCACAGCCTCCCTCCTCCTCCAGAGAGAAGGAAAGGGCCTTTTCCTTCACAAACTGGTTTGGAGGCTCATGGTCATTGAATGGCATTCCCATTCCTCATGCCCATCAGTCGTTGCACCTACCTTAGTTTCACTGCCAATGTTGCTTCTGAATCTCCCTGGATGCTCTTCCAGGAGTAGCTGATGAACTATGTAGACAATTCTGCTTGGACATTTCCCTTCCTGTTGCCTTTAGTTACAGAAATTTTTGTGCTTTGGCATTTGGAAACTTAATTAATGACTTTCCCTCCTTCTCCTGGTTCTAACAGATAATGTCTTCTATTTCTAAAACGACTTGGGTGGGTAATGGGGTTTGGGCTTAGAAGCAGCAACAGAGGACAGTTGATGGACATATGATGGCAACTATGGGTCTCAGAGGATGATTATTCTGTCGGAGTTACTATTATGTGACCAAGGCTGTGTGGAACAGGACTGGATTATATGTGGGTCTCAATAGATAGGGAAAAACAAGGACAGCAGAAAAGAACTGTGAAGAAACATATTTGCTTATATTATTTCAAAGTGGATTGTAAATATTTGAGATTGGTAGATGCTGTAGGCAGAGGCAGCATAAAATGAATGAAAAATCTCACATGTCTGAGAGGTCACACTGCAAGTCTAACCCTGCCTCAGTTGGCAGCAGGGTTCATCCAGAGGCCATTAGATTTCTCGCTCCTGTGAACACCTGGAACCCAGTTTCCTGCCCCTTCCCCCACTTGATGTGTGTGTGCATGCACACACAAACACACAGACACACACACCCAGCATGTGGCAATACAAGTCAACAGCAACAGCTCCTGCTCCAGGAATGACATTCACCTGCTGTGTCTAGGTCTCCAGTGCAATGGTCTCTGACTCCTGGATTCTGAACCATGTGTACCCAGAGCCTTGGTGCCTGCCTGAAGGAGTCTCAGCTGATCTGAGATTCCGTCCTGTACATTCCAGGATTTTGATGCCAATTGGGTTTGTTCCTTGAAGCTTAACTTCTATTTACAAAAGACTTGAAAATATTTAAGCTCTGTCAGCCAACTATTCCATTTCTGGGAATTTGCCATTAGGAAGTAATTAGGGATTCTTGAGATTTATGCATAAAGCTGTTCATGTCTGTGTTACATACAACAGTGAGAAAAATGACAACAAATTAATTGTAGTTCCCAACAGGGGATTTCTTAAATAAATTATGATACATCTACATAACTGAACACTACGTAGCCACTAAATATCATATTGTATGTGAATACTTAACTGCATGGGGTAAATGTGTGTGATATATTTTTTAGTAGAAAAATATCAAGCCCCTATTAGAATATAAGATTTTAGTTGTATATTTGTTTAAATGATATGAATAGAAAAAATACTTGAGGTATATTCACCAAAATGTTAATGCTGTTTATTACCTAGTAGTGTGATTATAGGTGATCTTTATTTTCTTCTTTATGTTTATTTTCTTCTCATGCTGTGCTGTATACTGCACCAGTTACTGTCTGTATGTTGGTATATTCAGCACCTATGGTAACTACAGTTCATATCTTAACCAGATGGCAGAAACATACCTTAACAGACATGTTACTTCAGTATTTCACTCATATGAAAACACATGTCTCCTGAAACCTAAGTGATCTCTCCAGTTGACTATGGTGGTCTTCCCCAGACATTGAGGACCTCACCCTTTACAAACTATAGCCCAGATGGACTAAGAAGGTTCTGCCTTTCCTACATTTCTAACCTAGGCTCTATTTCCATTCGTTCTGAATTTAGCTTCTCTCTGGTGTGATTTACCTTCACCTTTGCCAAAAAGCAGTATGTATAACTTTGTACTGTAAAAAATACTCAGAGAAAACTATTAGTAATCAAATTCCTGTTGGACATAAATCGTAACTAGTGAGGCAGAGTAACCAGGTGGAATATCACAGACCTTGGAATGAATGAGAACTGTTTTCCAACCCAGGCTTGTGAGCTGTGAGATTGTGAACATGTTTCCTAACCTCTGTGAGCCTCTGTTTCCTCATTTATGAAACAGAAATAATAATACATGCCTCACAGGGTTGTTAAGAGGGTCAAGTGACATAGTGCATGTCAGGCTGTTAGCAGTAACAGGTGACAAGGCTTCTAACTATTGAATTCTGTTTCCCTCTCCCCTATTTCTAACTTATCTGTGGCTGTAAATAGACACTTTGAGGGATTTAAATGTACAGTGTATATGTTCCATGAAACCCAGAACTTATCTGTATCCCCAAGGAATATTACTTAGCACATAGTTGAGGTTCAATAAATATTTGTTTAATGAATGAATGAACCATTGGTCTCTGCCTTTGCCTAGGGAAATGGCCAGTATCTGCTCTTTGATGGATTACTTAGTCTAAGAGGGCACTTCACCTTAAGCAAGTTCTCAGCTAGACTGCTGCCTGACGGACCATCCTGCCTCTGCACAGCACCCTCTTAGTATAGTCATGTGTTGCTGAGTGACAGGAATACCTTCTGAAAAATACAACGTTAGGTGATTTCATCATTATGGGAACATCACAAACCTACTTACACAAACCTAGGTGGTATGGTCTGCTATACACCTAGACTATGTGGAATAGCCTATCGCTCCAAGGTACAAACCTATACAGCATGTCACTCTACTGAATGCTGTAGGCAATTGTACACAATGGTAAGTATTTGTGTATCTAAAAACAGAAAAAAGGTACAGTAAAATATATTATAAAAGATTAAAAAGCATACATTTGTATAAGGCACTTACCATGAATGAACCTTATAGGACTGGAAGCTGCTCTGGGTGAGTCAGGGAGTGAGTGGTGAATGAATGTGAAGGCCTAGGACATTACTGTACACTACCATAGACTTTATAAACACTGCACACTTAGGCTACACTCAATTTATAAACAAATATTTTTTATTCCTTCAATAATAAATTAGCCTTAGTTTACCGTAACTTTTTAACTTTAAACGTTTTTTAATTTTTTTAACATTTTGTCTCTTTTATAATAACACTTAAAGTACAAATATATTGTACAACTGTACAAAAATATTTATATCTTTGTTCTTTAAAACCTTTTTCTATTTTTTTTTCTTTTTAAACTAAAACACAAACACACACATTAGCCTAGGCCTCCCCACAATCAGGATCATCAATATCACTGTCTTCCATCTCCACATCTTGTCCCACTGGAAGGTCTTCAGGGGCAGTAACACACATGGAGCTGTCATCTCCTATGAGAACAATGCCTTCTTCTAGAATACCTCCCGAAGGACCTTCCTGAGGCTGCTTTACAGTTAACCTTTTTTAATAAGTAGAAGGAGTATACTCTAAAATAACAACATATAGAATAGTAAACACATAAACCAGTAGCATAGTCATTTATTATCAAGTATTATGTACTGTACATAATTGTACGTGCTATGCTTTTATATGACTAGCAACAGGTTTGTTTACACCAGCATCACCACAAACACGTGAGTAATGTGTTGCACTACAATGCTGCACTACATTGTTACAACAGCTACAGCATCACTAGGCAGTAGTGACGGCATGGCTCCACAGTACTTTCGGGGCTGCGAGCCGTGAGGCTGAGGGCAGTAGGAATTTTTCAGCTCCATTATAATCTTATGGGACCACTGTCATATATGTGATCTGCCGCTGACTGAAACATCGTTATGTGGTGTGTGACTGTACAAGAAGACAGGCCAGTTCTGCGCAGTTCTCTTAGCCAGTTCCCTGGCAGAGTGTCTCAGACAGGTAAAGTGAAGTTAGGGAGTGGGTGGGGCCCTCTCTGCTCTGCCTCCAGCCCCAGATTTCTTTCTGAAGGCCAGAAGAGCCCTGACTGTCCCAGTGACCTCAGGACCAATTCGTCCATTAGGAGCAATAGGCACAGAGGGCTTTTAGAGGCCCACAAAAATGTTTTAATTTTAATTTCTTTTCAAATCAGAAGAAAAACAAATTGCTTATATAATAATAAATCTGGCCTGTATTATATTAATTTTTATACCAACAGTCGTAAAATTTTTTAAAAATTTAATGGAGGAAAAGGCTCATGAAGGCAAAAGCCATCAGGGCTCATGAAAGCCATAGTGCAGCCCTCGCTGACCTGAGCAATACAGCAAAACCAGCCAAGCACTGAACTGCCCTGGGAGGGGCTGCTCCCAGGCTCTGCCTGGTCAGGGCAACCCTCGGTTTAGAGGCAGAAGGCCATCCAAACTACCTCAACCTCTTAAATAAGGTGTACTGGGCACCGTATACCTCCTCCCCTCACTTAATGATACAAAATAAGGGAAACAGCATGATCTCACTCATTCGTCTCCCAAATAACACAAACCCAGGTGTGACCTCATCCCCTGACTCTCAAGTAAGGAAAGCTCATCAATGATCTCAACTTTTTCCTCAAAAAGCAAGCTCACCCACGGCCTCCCCCTAGTCCAGGCAAGATCAAGCCTGATGTCACCCCCCACCTCCCAATCCCTCCACCCATATCTGGCTGGGTTCCTCCTCCCCCTCCCCACAGCCTAAGTCTCCCCATCCCACCCTCCAGCAGATGACACACTCCTACCCCACTGCTTCTCAGAAGCGGCTCTGTCTGAAAGTGTGGGTGTCTGGCTGGACGCTGCTTCCTCTCAGCCCCAGGGCCAGGCAGCCTTCTAGAGACAGTATGGACACAGCACCTAGGCAGTGACTCAGCCGTGGCAGCAGACAAAAATTTATTCAAGGCTCAACACTAAAAGGGGAGTTTTTAGGCAAGTCTGAAGAAGAGACTGAGCCAACTCAGGATGAGAAACTAAAAAGCAAAAGGGGAAATCCAGGGCTGAGAAATTCCTAGAAAAGAATTTATAACTTTGGCTGGGAGAAGGTTCTCTGAGTTGACAGGACGAGGCAGGAACAGCCCTCAGCCACACAGCTTGCAGCCCCGAGTACTGTGGAGCCATGACATCTGTTTGCCCATTTGCCCTGCTCACCGTTGTACATCCTCTGCAGGTACTGTGCATCTGCAAGGAGAGAATGGCAGGCCCCTGACAGCCTGGGCAGCCCAGGTAGGCAATGGGGGACTCAGGACCCAAAGAGCAATACCAACGGAATCTGTAGCCCGGATTTGATCTGTGAGAAAGGGGCAGGACAGGGAAAAAGTTAACCTTGTAAATAAGTCTGTTCTGGCAATATGTCATTAGTTGGGGAGATTGTATGGTGTGAGGGTAGGGGGTTTGTGGGAACACTCTGTACTTCCTGTTCAATGTTGTTGTGCACCTAAAACTGCTAAAACAAAAACAAAGTCTAATTAAAAATTGGCTGAGAAAACTACAACATAAAGCTGTTCTGTGGCCACAGAGCCCTGCCTAGCATCAGAAGTGGTTTGTTCTAGGTCAAGAGGAAGACTAGATACGCAGGACCCACCAACCAAGGCATTGTGATTGTAGGAGTCCCAAGAGATGAAAGCTCTCCTCTTCTCTCAGACCTTCAGCACAACTTTTGGTGTTAAAATTCCTTAACCGTGTACAAATTGCTTTGCATTCTACTGCTAAAGAACAAGTGCCATGCAAATACTTAGGGAAGAGATAGACTCTAACATATGAATAGCTGAAAACAGATCTTTTCCTAAGAAAAAGATTTCATATTCTAAGCTTCAGTTTCCTAATCTGTGAAATGATAACAATATAATCTGTCTGATGCAATGTCCTCTGGATCAGTTTGTGTTTGTTGTTTTAAATACAGATAGGCTCTCGCTATGTCTCAAATTCCTGAACCCAAGCGATCCTCTAGCCTACACCTCTCAAAGTGCTGGGATTATAGGCATGAGCCGCTGCACCTGGCCCCAGATCAGTTTGAAGTGAGATCTTTACCAGGTCACCACATTTAAAAGAGCTACCTTCCCCTCCTCAACTCTCACCAGCATTTCCTAGCACCCTTCTTTGTTTTATTTTTCTATATGACATTTATCATCATTTCCATATCATATATTTTACTTTTTAAATTCTCTTACCTTTCTCCCTTTGGAATGTAAATTCCATGAGGGCAGGGATTTTTGTCTGTTTTCTTCTATATCCTCAGCACCTGGAATATTTTCTGGCATATAGTAGGTCATCAATAAACACTTATTGAATGAATAATTCATATAACATCCTCAGCACAATACCAAGTATGTGATCCTGTTAACAATTATTTATTTTCTTTTCAAAGCCCTGACAAAGGTGGCATTGTCCTGATGCTTTGGGAGGACCAGTGTAAAACTAGTTGTTTGGTTTTTCATCTCTGCTCCGACTTTCCTCACATGGAGGTCCTCTCAGGCTTAAGCCAGGTAGACCAGCAGCTGAGCTAGCCTGAAGGCAGTCTCTGAAGTCTGGGCAAACTGTCCTGGCTTGGCTTTCTCAAATGAAAAACAAACAAACAACAACAACAAACCCTTTTCTCTATTCACACTTCTGATGCCAAATGTGTGGGTCATACTGAGCAATTCTCCAATTCTCTGGGGACACCAACTGGGTGCTGGATGTCCACTTTACTTCAATTATGACACTGGTTAGCTTGTGCTGACAGTTAACACAAGCCCCACAGATTAAGGACTCAGTCCCACAAGACTGCCCCCACTTCATTTGCCAATTGCAAGTAGTGGGTCTCCAGGTGACCCATAACTTCCGGCTTGCCTACAGATCAGGGGCTCTCACAATCCCCTAAGCTTTCATAATTTTCTGCAGTGGCTCACAGAACTCAGAAACATTCTACCATTACTAGTTTATTACAAAGGAGAGTATAAGGAATACAAATGAGCACACAGACAATGCAGTACCTGGAGGGAGGTCCAAAAGGGTACCAAGTACAGGAGCTTCTGTCCCCATGGAGTTGGGGTGCACCACCCTCCCAACACGTGAATGTGTCCACCAACCCAGGAGCTCTCTGAACCCCGTTGTTTAGGGTTTTTATGGGGGGTTCATTGTGTAGATATGGTTGGTTCAATCACTGGCTGTTAGTGATTGACTCACTCTCCAGCCCCTCTCCCCTCCCAGGAAGTTGAGGTGGGGAATGGGGAAGGGAGATATGGCTGAAAGTTCTAACCCTGTCATCAAGGCTTGGTCTTTCAGGTGACCAGCCCTCATCCTGAAGCTGGCTAGGGACCCCAGGTACTAGTCATCTCATTAGCATAAAAAAGACAGTCATCACTCTGGAGATTCCAAGGTTCTTAAAAGCTCTTGTGCCAGGGAACAGAGAATAAGACCAAATATAACAAATGGTGCTCCTCTTACTCCTATCATTCAGGAAATGATGAGGGTTTTAAGACCCATGTGTCAGGAACTGGGGTAAAAGACCAAATATATATTTTTTATTATGTCAGACAGCTATAGGCAGATGATTCAAGGGGCACAGTTATACCTCTAATGCCTTTGTGCAAATTATAAAAAGGTGGCTCCTTCAGGCCCATGGATTGGGAAAAAAGCTTTTATTCCTCTGGGCTGAAACATCTCTGAGACTGGGGAGAAAGGCAGGGCTATAATTCAGCCCACTGTCTTCCCTCCCCCTCGGCTGGACACTTTAGTGCAGTACAGAGACGGCACAGCTGTACCTGGGGCTATGGGAGAAAGTGGTACTGGGGGCCAGGGATATGTGGAAGACCAAGTGCCTCACCCTTACTATGCTCACCCCAAGGATGAGACTCTTTTTCTTTCCAACTGCAGTTTAATTGTTGTAGGGTCTCCTCAGGATGATGCTCACCTCTTGATCCTTCTCCACCGTGCCTTGCCCTGTTCCAGGCCTGTGGTATCAATACTTAAACTGAGCTGACCTAGGAAGAATGCCTTTCTTGGGTGTAAAGATTGAGCAAGCAATGGACAGAGCCATTTGAGGAGGGGCAATGTGTTGTCATGGAAAGGCCACACATCCTGGAATCAACTGACCTGGTATGGTGGCTTGATGGGTGTCAACTTGATGAGGCTGAACTGCATTTCCCAGAATTCCCTTTGCTGCGTGTTTCCCATTAGTGTGGACCACAGGAGATATTGTGTGAAAGTTGGAGGGAAGTAGTGAAGCCACAACCATTAAGTAGCTCACACATGTCTATGTTGGCATGAATCTGCTGGCTCATTTGCTGGGTCCTCCAAACACATGGATGTTTTTGCCTTCCCAGAGCTCTCCACTGTGAGAGCACTTGCTGTTGTGCACCGGCCCCACCTCCTAATACTCCACCTTGGGATTAGGATTTCAATACATGAATTTGGGAGAGACATAAACATTCAGTCCATCGCAAATCTCTTGCACTCTTAGCAGACAGCTAAATAAACCAACCCTGTCCCTGTCCATTGATCTTCTTCTCCCAGTTAAAATACCAGCATTTTCTCAGGATATTTGAAAGCTAGTGCTTTTACTCAAAGAAAGAGTATGGGTAGAACCTGTAGGCACCTTACTAGGCTAGTTGGGGAGGTATTTTGGGGTGGTTCTCTCCCAATCCTACCATGAGCAGCATCATATACTTTATTTGGATTGATAATAAAGGTGATTATTTGTGACCTTATTAACAGGGAATATAAATGCCTCAGAGAAGGCTTCCACTGTTTAAAACTATTTTCCAATTTTATGAGTTTTCTGGAATATGAGGTTATTCAGAGAAGGAGCCCTCTTGCAACTCCCTGGCATCTTACCCTCAGTTCCATCTGCATTTTCCACTCTCAACATCCACGCATAAACAGCCAGCATCCAGCCACTCTCTCCCCTTTTATCCTGCTGTGTTGTCACCCTGTCCTCCCTCTGTCTTGTCAAAAATGAGCAAAGGCATATTAGCCACCCTGGGACGGCTTGACACGGAAAAGGTGTCCTTTCAAAATCTCAGAATGTCACGATGAACTAGTTGAGAAAACAGTATGATGGACTGTACTGGCTTCTCCAAAGTCAGCCCCTGTGGAAAAATATTGAACATTTGACTCATTCACTGACATTTGGGACAGTTAAATGGGAGAGGAAAAAAAAGAAAGGAATGAATAAATTGCTTCTTTTTCCTCCATAGGTATCTGATTCAGGCGCCAAAGCTTATGAATCTTGGAATATAGTCAGCTACAATCATGGGTTATTCTCCAAATGAAGAGTCCAAACACTGGCAAAATAAAAAGCACATTTGGTCCATCACATTCCTAACTATAATGGATGCTGAGAAATGGATGCACTGTAACAACCCGCAAGTTTCCTGGTACTGCTGCTGTCATTGCAAAACCATTGCAAAGTATCCATCTCTTGCCTCTGCCAGAAAAAGCCAGCCGTTAACAGAAACTAAACCCAAGGTCACTTACTTTCACATAAAGAGAATATTTTGGCAGCTGCCAAAATTCATTTTTCTAATGTGCACTTACCCAATAACTTAAGCTTGGCATCCTGGGCGGAATCCAACTTGGGTAATTCCATTTTCACAACCGAATTCCCCCAAGGAGTTTGAGCTGAACATCACATTATTCTTCACTTCTCCAGCTATCCTCTCAGTAATCAAACGAGTGCTTTTCATCCCTGAAGCGTCATGGAAATATAGGGGTGGGGGTTCAAAAAAGGGTTTCTTCTTAAGAATATAGTGATGAGAGGTTCCGTTATACGAACTTAGTAAAGTCCTTTGGAAGTCAAGACTGGTTTCATTTTTTTAATTATTATTTATTTATTTATTTTTTGAGATACAGTCTCACTCTGTCACCCAGGCTAGAGTTCAGCGGCGCAATCTTGGCTCACTGCAACCTCTGCTTCCTGGGTTAAAGTGATTCTCCTGCCTCAGCCTCCTGAGTAGCTGAGATTACAGGTGTGTGCCACCACACCTGGCTAATTTTTTGTATTTTAGTAGAGATGGGGTTTCACCACGATGGCCAGGCTGGTCTCAAACTCCTGGCCTCAAGTGATCCACCTGCCTCAGCCTTCCAAAATGCTGGGATTACAGGCATGAGTCACTGCGCCCAGCCTGGTTTCATTTATTTAACCAACAGGTATTGAGGTTTGTGCCAAGTGCTGGTCTCAATATTGCAGGTGCAGCAGGACATAAGAAAAGGTTTCTGCCCTCAAGAAGTAAATATTAGAATAAGTATATGAAATAGGGCTGGAGAGAGACACAGGAATCAGACCATTAAGGCCATGATATGGAGTTTGGATATTATTATAAGTACAGTTGGAGAGTATTAGTGGAGTGATGATCAGATTCAGGGTTTTTAATAAGATCACTGTGAAGAGGAAGAGCCATTGTACAGGATACCTGTGGAACCAGGGTCTTAACCTTCTGTTGTTTTCCATTGGAATCTAACCATTCTAGGAGTCAACACAGCTATGGCCAGATTTTCCTCCTTGCCATTCTTCAAACAGCCTTGGATTCTCGGTAACTCAAGAACCAAAGAGTCCAAAGCCATGGTTTGACCACATGGATCATCAGCACCGCTCCACGACTGATGCTGCTTTCCCTTCTTCTCTAGCCAGCTGTACTTCGTGAGCTTCCTTTGGTCATTCAGGACACCAGAAACAAATAAACTAAGAAGCATTAGTTCATCTCCATGAGCTGCTCCAAGAGCTTTAAAAGTAGGTCAGTTGCAAAGTCCAGGAGCAGAAGTATGTGTACATATATGAGACTTATTAAATGGTGGCATTCTGGGAAGAGCATCACCACTGATAAAGAATCATTGAAACTTTCTATTTCTGTGAACAGTGGTAAATATAAATCTTAAAATCATAGAATCTGAGAGTGGTAGAGGACTTCAGTGATCATCAAGTCCAACCTCCCACCCAAGGTAGGATTATTCTATGTGGCCCTGACAGGGAGTCTAATGTCCTATATCCCTCCCATATCACATAAAAACA
This sequence comes from Homo sapiens, assembly GCF_000001405.40. Taxonomy (NCBI): domain Eukaryota; kingdom Metazoa; phylum Chordata; class Mammalia; order Primates; family Hominidae; genus Homo; species Homo sapiens. The sequence goes on from NC_000001.11 coordinate 89,745,537, forward strand.
TCAGAGGAGTCAGTTTAAATGCACACTGTTCTGTTGGCTAGGGAAGGCCATCGACTGTGACATCTATTGCCCAAAGTTGCAGTCTGAAGGGCCAAATAGCAGATAGAAAAAGTTATGTCTTAAAGAGGGGTAAAGGTCACAACCTAGAAGGAGAACACCAAATAAGCTTGTCAATCTCAGCACCAAGTTGGAAGAAGGTTATCAAGTATACAGAGCCAGAAAAAGAAGATACCCAAGATGCTGATGGGTGACAAATATGGACTAAGTGGATTGGAGGTGAGCACATTTGGAGGGATTTCTGCAGGTTCTCATGATAAATTGTTTATGTAGTTCTCACACAGATTTATATAATTGTGCCAGGTACTTTTGGAGGATCTAGAAGGGAACTTCTGTCTTGCTTCTGCTAAATGATCCCTGTCTCACACGGTAGCCCATTCCATCATTAGGAAGTGCCGACAATCAGAATATTCTCCACACCCTCTTCCCTCTGGCCATAGATCTGTTCTTGAGTGACACGCAGAGCAAATCTAAATTTCTTTTTCTCATGATGACCTTTCAAATAATTAAAGCAGATCCTATGTTCCCGTTCAATATTTCCTGCTCTAGGCTACATCTCCCCTGATTCCTTCAACTGTTCTCAGATGATGTAATTTTGTAGCTTCCAAACTTTCAAGTTGGAAAGGGCCTCAGAAATTCAAGTACAGATCTCCCTCTTTGCCCGGGAGGAAGATAAGGTTTAGAGAGAAGAAATGCAGCTTTGGGTAGAGGTGGGGAGTAGATTTTGCCCAATGTCATCTGGAAGTGGCAATTTCAAAACTTAAACCTGAATCTCTTCATCTGAAGTCTAGTGTTTTCCCCATGTCTTTCAACAAACCTCAGGATCCTACTCACTTTCCTCTGGATTCATTCCAGCTTCTCAGTCTTCTTCTTTAAAGGGAGCCCCTTTTGTTGAACCCACCAGCAGATGTGCTCTAGCCAACCAAGAGAACAAGGGGATTGTTATCGATTTTATTGTAAACTTCATACATCCATTAATGCTGCTATGATTACTTTAGATTTCTTTGGCAGGCCCTGGGATTCATACTGAGCATGTGGTTAACTAAAACCATTTGTTTTGTGTGGTTTTCTTTTACTTGAAATGTGTCAAGGAAGGTATTTTCCACCTTGTACTAAAATAGTTCATTTTTAATTTAACAAAAGTGTAGGACTTTATATTTAATCTTCCTAAATATCTCTTTGTTAATTTAGTATATCTTTCCACCCGGTTGAGATATTTTTGAATTTTAATTCTATCAAACATATTAACTAACCATCCATGTTTTATGATATACATAGATTCAATAAGCACACTGTGGCAAAGACAATTCTTGCCAAATATGCCATGTACTCCCTTGCTTTACCCAAACGCTGTTGCAATTGGGTTGGAGCCATGTGACTTCCTCCAGCCAATGGATGGTGAGTAAAGGTGATGTCATTTCTGGGCCAAGGTATTTTTTTTTTTTTATTATACTTTAAGTTTTAGGGTACATGTGCACATTGTGCAGGTTAGTTACATATGTATACATGTGCCATGCTGGTGCGCTGCACCCACTAACTTGTCATCTAGCATTAGGTATATCTCCCAATGCTATCCCTCCCCCCTCCCCCAACCCCACCACAGTCCCCAGAGTGTGATATTCCCCTTCCTGTGTCCATGTGATCTCATTGTTCAATTCCCACCTATGAGTGAGAATATGCGGTGTTTGGTTTTTTGTTCTTGCGATAGTTTACTGAGAATGATGGTTTCCAATTTCATCCATGTCCCTACAAAGGACGTGAACTCATCATTTTTTATGGCTGCATAGTATTCCATGGTGTATATGTGCCACATTTTCTTAATCCAGTCTATCATTGTTGGACATTTGGGTTGGTTCCAAGTCTTTGCTATTGTGAATAATGCCGCAATAAACATACGTGTGCATGTGTCTTTATAGCAGCATGATTTATAGTCCTTTGGGTATATACCCAGTAATGGGATGGCTGGGTCAAATGGTATTTCTAGTTCTAGATCCCTGAGGAATCGCCACACTGACTTCCACAATGGTTGAACTAGTTTACGGTCCCACCAACAGTGTAAAAGTGTTCCTATTTCTCCACATCCTCTCCAGCACCTGTTGTTTCCTGACTTTTTAATGATTGCCATTCTAACTGGTGTGAGATGATATCTCATAGTGGTTTTGATTTGCATTTCTCTGATGACCAGTGATGGTGAGCATTTTTTCATGTGTTTTTTGGCTGCATAAATGTCTTCTTTTGAGAAGTGTCTGTTCATGTCCTTCGCCCACTTTTTGATGGGGTTGTTTGTTTTTTTCTTGTAAATTTGTTGGAGTTCATTGTAGATTCTGGATATTAGCCCTTTGTCAGATGAGTAGGTTGCAAAAATTTTCTCCCATGTTGTAGGTTGCCTGTTCACTCTGATCGTAGTTTCTTTTGCTGTGCAGAAGCTCTTTAGTTTAATTAGATCCCATTTGTCAATTTTGGCTTTTGTTGCCATTGCTTTTGGTGTTTTGGACATGAAGTCCTTGCCCACGCCTATGTCCCGAATGGTAATGCCTAGGTTTTCTTCTAGGGTTTTTATGGTTTTAGGTCTAACGCTTAAATATTTAATCCATCTTGAATTGATTTTTGTATAAGGTGTAAGGAAGGGATCCAGTTTCAGCTTTCTACATATGGCTAGCCAGTTTTCCCAGCACCATTTATTAAATAGGGAATCCTTTCCCCATTGCTTGTTTTTCTCAGGTTTGTCAAAGATCAGATAGTTGTAGGTATGCGGCGTTATTTCTGAGGGCTCTGTTCTGTTCCATTGATCTATATCTCTGTTTTGGTACCAGTACCATGCTGTTTTGGTTACTGTAGCCTTGTAGTATAGTTTGAAGTCAGGTAGTGTGATGCCTCCAGCTTTGTTCTTTTGGCTTAGGATTGACTTGGCGATGCGGGCTCTTTTTTGGTTCCATATGAACTTTAAAGTAGTTTTTTCCAATTCTGTGAAGAAAGTCATTGGTAGCTTGATGGGGATGGCATTGAATCTATAAATTACCTTGGGCAGTATGGCCATTTTCACGATATTGATTCTTCCTACCCATGAGCATGGAATGTTCTTCCATTTGTTTGTATCCTCTTTTATTTCCTTGAGCAGTGGTTTGTAGTTCTCCTTGAAGAGGTCCTTCACATCCCTTGTAAGTTGGATTCCTAAGTATTTTATTCTCTTTGAAGCAATTGTGAATGGGAGTTCACTCATGATTTGGCTCTCTGTTTGTCTGTTGTTGGTGTATAAGAATGCTTGTGATTTTTGTACATTGATTTTGTATCCTGAGACTTTGCTGAAGTTGCTTATCAGCTTAAGGAGATTTTGGGCTAAGACGATGGGGTTTTCTAGATAAACAATCATGTCGTCTGCAAACAGGGACAATTTGACTTCCTCTTTTCCTAATTGAATACCCTTTATTTCCTTCTCCTGCCTGATTGCCCTGGCCAGAACTTCCAACACTATGTTGAATAGGAGCGGTGAGAGAGGGCATCCCTGTCTTGTGCCAGTTTTCAAAGGGAATGCTTCCAGTTTTTGCCCATTCAGTATGATATTGGCTGTGGGTTTGTCATAGATAGCTCTTATTATTTTGAAATACGTCCCATCAATACCTAATTTATTGAGAGTTTTTAGCATGAAGGGTTGTTGAATTTTGTCAAAGGCCTTTTCTGCATCTATTGAGATAATCATGTGGTTTTTGTCTTTGGCTCTGTTTATATGCTGGATTACATTTATTGATTTGCGTATATTGAACCAGCCTTGCATCCCAGGGATGAAGCCCACTTGATCATGGTGGATAAGCTTTTTGATGTGCTGCTGGATTCGGTTTGCCAGTATTTTATTGAGGATTTTTGCATCAATGTTCATCAAGGATATTGGTCTAAAATTCTCCTTTTTGGTTGTGTCTCTGCCCGGCTTTGGTATCAGAATGATGCTGGCCTCATAAAATGAGTTAGGGAGGATTCCCTCTTTTTCTATCGATTGGAGTAGTTTCAGAAGGAATGGTACCAGTTCCTCCTTGTACCTCTGGTAGAATTCGGCTGTGAATCCATCTGGTCCTGGACTCTTTTTGGTTGGTAAACTATTGATTATTGCCACAATTTCAGCTCCTGTTATTGGTCTATTCAGAGATTCAACTTCTTCCTGGTTTAGTCTTGGGAGAATGTATGTGTCGAGGAATGTATCCATTTCTTCTAGATTTTCTAGTTTATTTGAGTAGAGGTGTTTGTAGTATTCTCTGATGGTAGTTTGTATTTCTGTGGGATCGGTGGTGATATCCCCTTTATCATTTTTTATTGCGTCTATTTGATTCTTCTCTCTTTTTTTTTTTTATTAGTCTTGCTAGCGATCTATCAATTTTGTTGATCCTTTCAAAAAACCAGCTCCTGGATTCATTGATTTTTTGAAGGGTTTTTTGTGTCTCTATTTCCTTCAGTTCTGCTCTGATTTTAGTTATTTCTTGCCTTCTGCTAGCTTTTGAATGTGTTTGCTCTTGCTTTTCTAGTTCTTTTAATTGTGATGTTAGGGTGTCAATTTTGGATCTTTCCTGCTTTCTCTTGTGGGCATTTAGTGCTATAAATTTCCCTCTACACACTGCTTTGAATGCGTCCCAGAGATTCTGGTATGTTGTGTCTTTGTTCTCGTGGGTTTCAAAGAACATCTTTATTTCTGCCTTCATTTCGTTATGTACCCAGTAGTCATTCAGGAGCAGGTTGTTCAGTTTCCATGTAGTTGAGCGGCTTTGAGTGAGATTCTTAATCCTGAGTTCTAGTTTGATTGCACTGTGGTCTGAGAGATAGTTTGTTATAATTTCTGTTCTTTTACATTTGCTGAGGAGAGCTTTACTTCCAACTATGTGGTCAATTTTGGAATAGGTGTAGTGTGGTGCTGAAAAAAATGTATATTCTGTTGATTTGGGGTGGAGAGTTCTGTAGATGTCTATTAGGTCTGCTTGGTGCAGAGCTGAGTTCAATTCCTGGGTATCCTTGTTGACTTTCTGTCTCGTTGATCTGTCTAATGTTGACAGTGGGGTGTTAAAGTCTCCCATTATTAATGTGTGGGAGTCTAAGTCTCTTTGTAGGTCACTCAGGACTTGCTTTATGAATCTGGGTGCTCCTGTATTGGGTGCATATATATTTAGGATAGTTAGCTCCTCTTGTTGAATTGATCCCTTTACCATTATGTAATGGCCTTCTTTGTCTCTTTTGATCTTTGTTGGTTTAAAGTCTGTTTTATCAGAGACTAGGATTGCAACCCCTGCCTTTTTTTGTTTTCCATTTGCTTGGTAGATCTTCCTCCATCCTTTTATTTTGAGCCTATGTATGTCTCTGCACATGAGATGGGTTTCCTGAATACAGCACACTGATGGGTCTTGACTCTTTATCCAACTTGCCAGTCTGTGTCTTTTAATTGGAGAATTTATTCCATTTACATTTAAAGTTAATATTGTTATGTGTGAATTTGATCCTGTCATTATGATGTTAGCTGGTGATTTTGCTCGTTAGTTGATGCAGTTTCTTCCTAGTCTCGATGGTCTTTACATTTTGGCATGATTTTGCAGCGGCTGGTACCGGTTGTTCCTTTCCATGTTTAGCGCTTCCTTCAGGAGCTCTTTTAGGGCAGGCCTGGTGGTGACAAAATCTCTCAGCATTTGCTTGTCTGTAAAGTATTTTATTTCTCCTTCACTTATGAAGCTTAGTTTGGCTGGATATGAAATTCTGGATTGAAAATTCTTTTCTTTAAGAATGTTGAATATTGGCCCCCACTCTCTTCTGGCTTGTAGGGTTTCTGCCGAGAGATCCGCTGTTAGTCTGATGGGCTTCCCTTTGAGGGTAACCCGACCTTTCTCTCTGGCTGCCCTTAACATTTTTTCCTTCATTTCAACTTTGGTGAATCTGACAATTATGTGTCTTGGAGTTGCTCTTCTCGAGGAGTATCTTTGTGGCGTTCTCTGTATTTCCTGAATCTGAACGTTGGCCTGCCTTGCTAGGTTGGGGAAGTTCTCCTGGATAATATCCTGCAGAGTGTTTTCCAACTTGGTTCCATTCTCCCCATCACTTTCAGGTACACCAATCAGACGTAGATTTGGTCTTTTCACATAGTCCCATATTTCTTGGAGGCTTTGCTCATTTCTTTTTATTCTTTTTTCTCTAAACTTCCCTTCTCGCTTCATTTCATTCATTTCATCTTCCATTGCTGATACCCTTTCTTCCAGTTGATCGCATCAGCTCCTGAGGCTTCTGCATTCTTCACGTAGTTCTCGAGCCTTGGTTTTCAGCTCCATCAGCTCCTTTAAGCACTTCTCTGTATTGGTTATTCTAGTTATACATTCTTCTAAATTTTTTTCAAAGTTTCAACTTCTTTGCCTTTGGTTTGAATGTCCTCCCGTAGCTCAGAGTAATTTGATCATCTGAAGCCTTCTTCTCTTAGCTCGTCAAAATCATTCTCCATCCAGCTTTGTTCCGTTGCTGGTGAGGAACTGCGTTCCTTTGGAGGAGAGGCGCTCTGCGTTTTAGAGTTTCCAGTTTTTCTGTTCTGTTTTTTCCCCATCTTTGTGGTTTTATCTACTTTTGGTCTTTGATGATGGTGATGTACAGATGGGTTTTCGGTGTGGATGTCCTTTCTGTTTGTTATTTTTCCTTCTAACAGACAGGACCCTCAGCTGCAGGTCTGTTGGAATACCCTGCCGTGTGAGGTGTCAGTGTGCCCCTGCTGGGGGGTGCCTCCCAGTTAGGCTGCTCGGGGGTCAGGGGTCAGGGACCCACTTGAGGAGGCAGTCTGCCCGTTCTCAGATCTCCAGCTGCGTGCTGGGAGAACCACTGCTCTCTTCAAAGCTGTCAGACAGGGACATTTAAGTCTGCAGAGGTTACTGCTGTCTTTTTGTTTGTCTGTGCCCTGCCCCCAGAGGTGGAGCCTACAGAGGCAGGCAGGCCTCCTTGAGCTGTGGTGGGCTCCACCCAGTTCGAGCTTCCTGGCTGCTTTGTTTACCTAAGCAAGCCTGGGCAATGGTGGGCGCCCCTCCCCCAGCCTCGCTGCCGCCTTGCAGTTTGATCTCAGACTGCTGTGCTGGCAATCAGTGAGATTCCGTGGGCGTAGGACCCTCCGAGCCAGGTGTGGGATATAGTCTCGTGGTGCGCCATTTTTTAAGCCGGTCTGAAAAGTGCAATATTCGGGTGGGAGTGACCCGATTTTCCAGGTGCGTCTGTCACCCCTTTCTTTGACTCGGAAAGGGAACTCCCTGACCCCTTGCGCTTCCCAGGTGAGGCAATGCCTCGCCCTGCTTCGGCTCGCGCACGGTGCGTGCACCCACTGACCTGCGCCCACTGTCTGGCACTCCCTAGTGAGATGAACCCGGTACCTCAGATGGAAATGCAGAAATCACCAGTCTTCTGCGTCGCTCACGCTGGGAGCTGTAGACCGGAGCTGTTCCTATTCGGCCATCTTGGCTCCTCCCGGGCCAAGGCATTTAAGAGACAATCTGATTCTTCTATTCCTCTATTCCCCTGATGCAGAGACCTTGAACGCCATATGTTCTAGACATAACTGTAGGTGGAGCTTACATGAGCCCGTGGCAATACATTAAAGACATTTGACTATATTCTATTAATTCAAATTTGTATCAGCTACAAATTCATTTCCACCCAAAAACATCATTAAAGATTTAGGTAAATGTTGAATATGTCAAATTAGCTTGATTTAGCCATTCCACAATGAATACATATCAAAACATCGTGTTATACACCATATGTGTATGTGTGTGTGTATATGTATATATGTGTGTGTGTATATATATATGTATACATATAGTTTGGTTGGTTTTTTTTTTTTTGAGATGGAGTTTTGCTCTTGTCACCCAGGCTGGAGTGCAATGGCATGATCTCGGCTCACTGCAACCTCTGCCTCCCAGGTTCAAGTGATGATTCTCCTGCCTCAGCCTCCCAAGTAGCTGGGATTACAAGCGCCCGCCACCAGGCCCAGGTTTTTTTTTTGTTTTTTTTGTTTTTTTTTTTAGTAGACATGGGGTTTCACCATGTTGGCCAGGCTGGTCTCAAACTCCTGACCTCAGATGATCCACCCGCCTTGGCCTCCCAAAGTGCTGGGATTACAGGTGTGAACCACTGCACCCAGCCTAGTTTTTATTTATCAATTTAAAAAATATTTTAGTTAACTGCCTTGTTAAAATCTAAATACATGAAATCCCAAGAACCATGGTAATCCACTAAAGGTGTATAAGCATGGGCATGATATGATCAGATTTGCATTTTAAAGATGCATCTGGGTGGGGAGTGATTGGAGGGAACTAAGACTAGGAGCAGGGAGAAGAGCTAAGAGGCTGGTTCATGAGCATTTGAAAAGGGAACTGTGGTTATTGGAGCCAATGTGAGCTCACTACAACAAAGTTCTGTCAAAGTCACCTCTTTTTATTTTTGCTAGTGTTGCTAGACTGGTGTGTTAGAGAGATGACAAAGTTCATAGTCCTGAACTTCTTGCCTGCTGCTCAGTTTTGTCCTGCCACTCAGGTTTGTCCTGTCCCATTCTCCTTCTCTGTCCTCTAGCCACATGGACCTCTTTTGGTTTACTTCTGTGTCTTGAGGAGTCTCTCGGATGCTTTTGCAGAGGCTCTTCCCTCTGTTTAGAATGCTTTTCTACCCTGTCCTCTTTTCCAGGCTAATTTCATGCTTTAGATCTCAGTTTTTTCAGAGAGACCTCCTCTGATTCCCCAAAACTAAGTTAGATCCCCTTGCTTAAATCTTCATTGCTCCAACCCCTTTCAAAGCATTCAGTGCCACTGTAATCACTTCTTACAAAATCACTTTTTCTTTTGACACTAAAAATTCCTTGAGTACAAAGGCCACTTCTGTTGTGTTTACCATTAGGAACTTAAAATAGTGCAAAGTAGGTGTTCACATTTGTTATATAGGATTATCTAATCATTTGTTCTGGAAATGTGTCAGAAACCTGTGCTAAACCATGTGAACTACAGATTTTAGAATCTTTTTGTTCTTTGCCCTTCTCCAGATTCTGAGCATTTCCTCTTTCTTGCAGCATTTTTCAGAGATTACTGACAGTGGTTCTGTGTTGCAACAGCAAGTTCTCTCAGTTGTCTGGGTTGTCATTGCTTTAGTGCAGGGATCAGCAAACTGCAGTCCAGCGCAAATCTGGCTAGCAGCCTATTTTTGTAAATAAAGTTTTATTGGAACACAGCCATGCCTATTTGCCTATTTCCAAACTGTCGATGGCTGCCTTCACACTATAACAGCAGAGTTGAATAGTTTCAACCAAGACCATATGGCCTGCAAAGCCTAAAATATCACTTCTATAGAAAAAAATTGCCGACCCCTAGTCTAGTATAAATATTTGAGCTCATTTAAGACAGCTAGTGATTTCTTTGTATTACCTCATCAATATTTGACTTCTTTTCATCTTTGCCCATCTTTGATCTGCCTTTACAATTTGGAAATTATTCTATTGAAGAATTCAGAACAAAATCAACAGCTGCTGCCCATAGTCATCTGCTGACGTAAATCTTCTGCCCCATGTGGTGCCTGCTCCACGTTGTTCTCTTTGCTCTATATATGTCTAACAAAGCCCATTTTATTGCCCTTAGAATTTTTATAAAATGTATTTCACACTCTGCTTCTTTTTGCAGGTTATATTCTGTCTTTATTATGCACTCCTCCTTCCTACAATTCTTCATGACCCTTTAAGAACTCACCAAAGAGCTCTCTTGGTAGCCAGACACTCCCTTTGTTCAGAATCACTTCCACTTGTGTTATCGGAATTTTATTTTTGAAAGTCATCTATCTCTCATTAATGAGTCTTTAGATCAGGTCTTTAGATTATACCTGTGAGTTTTTCTTTCTCTTTTTCTGAAATATCCAAATGTTTCCATGAGAGTTTTGAGGGCATGTCAGAAGTCCAGATATCCTTAGCCATTTCAAACTCTCGGATGACAATCCATTCCACTTCTATTCCTCCTCAACCAGTTATTCTGCTTGGTCAGTGTTATGGTTACATTGTAGTCCCTCAAAAAGATATGTTGGACCCCCAGTACCTCCAAATATGAGTTTATTTGGAAACAGGGTCTTTACAGAGGTCAAGTTAAACTGAGGTGAAAAGGGTGAGTGTCTGTGAGCACAGGGTTCTGGGAAGCATAGAGACAGATGCCTGACTCAGAGTCTGAAGGCTGGGAGGTAGAGAGGAACGCCTTGTGGAGAAACTTCTGTTTCAACTGAGACCGAAAACAGTGAAGAGTGTTTAGCAAAGGCACCACTAGCAGTGCTCTGGAGGAGCTGGAGCCTTCCCTGTGATTTCTGTTATTCCCCGCACCCCATCCCCAGCAACCTAATAGTAAAAACTAACATTTATTGATATTCATGTACCAAGCACAGTAATCAGAAGATAACTTAACAGTCATTATTTTATTTAATCATCGCAAGAATCCTGATATTACTATCCTAAGTCCATAGAAAGAGAGACTGAGATACATGGAGGCTAAGAACCTTGTCTGGGATCACTAAGCTGAGTGAGACACCTAGCACTCGAACTCAGGCAGGCTGCTTGCAGGAGCTGTGCCCTTATCCTACGTTTCCTGTGAAGGAAAGGAGCTTACCTGCTCTGCCAGGCAACTTTGAAACATGTCCTCTAGCATCGTTCTACCCACCTTAGCGCTTCAAATAGATGGCCACCACTAAGGCCCTCCTTTAGAGAAATTCTAGAATGCTCTTGAAAATGAGCCAAACAAATAAAAGAAGTATGGGAAGTTGGGAGAAGGGAGGAATCCTCAGGCTCTTCAGAGGAAGATTTTTTTTTTTTTTTTTTAGACAGGGTCTCACACTGTCACCCAGGCTGGAGCGCAGTAGCACGATCACGGCTCACTGCAGCCTCAACCCCCCTGGGCTCAGGTGATCCTCCCACCTCAGCCTCCTGAGTAGCTAGGACCACAGGCATGCACTACCACACCCAGCTAATTTTTCTATTTTTTGTAGAGATATGGTTTTGCCATGTTGCCCAGGCTGGTCTCAAACTCCTGGGCTCAAGTGATCTGCCCACCTCAGCCTCCTAACGTGCTGGGATTACAGGCTTGAGTCACTGTGCCTGGCCAGCAGGAAGATTTTTAATAAGAGCAAATAGCTAGAAAGTGGGCTGGGGTCGAAAGTTCCTCAGCCCCGATCCTGTCCTACTAGGAAAGTGCTTCTCAGCAGAAAGGATGAGACTTACTAACATCATTCACATGTAAGAGCATGTCCAGGGACACATTCAAGATATGCCTAAGAGCAGGGTCTGGGCGGATGAGCCTCAGCTGACCCACTGGTCACTCATTTCATCTCTGACTCTCCCCTTGCCTGCTCTCTCTCCATCTCCCCAGCTTCTCTTCTGTGCTACTCAACCTGCCCCACAAGCCACAAAACAACCTGTTAATGTTCTTGGCCTGCAGTTTTTCAGATCTTAACAGGTGAAACTTCAGGGTCAAAGCCTCATAGCACAGCCCCAGACCATCCTCACCCCACTGCAGCCATTCAGGATGGCCTCACAGAAGCCTGCAAGGAAATCAGTTCCTGGCTGGAATTAAATAACAAGGAGCCTCTAGAAATCAAGATTTGACACTGACAACTGAAGAACTTAAGTCACTGGGGCATAAGACAGCATGACAGACGCTACCCCAGTCCTAGGCATGCGGACTTGCCTCGAGCACACTGTAAGTGTTCAGACAGCTTTGGACAAATGCTGTCTTGAACTGCCAGATCGTACCTTCGTATTTAAGAGACCATTGCTCGGCACAACATGGCAGCTAATATTTAAAACAAATGGTAAAGAGGAAAGGCAATCATTTCCTCACTAAATGAAAAAGGAGATATGAATCTGAGGAACACAATCCGGCACTGATTGAAAGTAAATTACCAGTTGATTAGACGGCTGTAAATTCAGGGAGAGAAGCCTCAACCGGCAGCTGGATTTTGTAAGGAAGAGGGCAATTAGAGAGGGCACAGGCGAGGCAGAGCACAGAGAGGGCTCTGCACAGAGCAGACAGGGCAGCTTTGCAACACTAGGATTACAAAGGCAGGAAGGGGTTTGTAGGAAGTGTTCTGTGGATGGAGCCTGCAAGAAAGGGGAGCTCCCCACTCCCACTCGCCCTGCCCCACCTCCCTAGTGAGCAGGAAGAGGTTAAACTGCCAGTTCCCTGTCTAGCAGCAGTTAGGACGGGTGTTTGTTATTGCAACACAGGAAGTATCACGATTTCTCTTCCTTTTTCAGGCTGTACTCAATCTAGAAGCTTTTTGCTTCCTATCAAAAGCCAGGGACTTGAAAACTACTCAGGTCCCTGCAGCCCACAGGGACAAAGTTCATGCAGATTTCAGTGGGAGATGCCATCTCCGGATAGCAACTGGGGCCAGTTTTTGCAGATGGCAAGCGCTTAAAGATGCAAGCCTCCATGATTACCACGAACTGAGAAATCTCTGCAATTAGCAGGAGTGTAACTGGAAAACCAAGGGCTCCTCTGTGCCTTACCAAAAGACATTCCCTCTTCCTCTGGCAAGTTGAAGAAGATAATTTGGCCAGCCTAGGAGGAAGTGATTGATTGAGACAGAAATGGTGGAGAGAAGGATGACTGTGATTTTTACTTTGGTGATGGGCATGAACATAACAAAGAACAGATGGTGGATGCCTTAGTCCCACTGGTGTTATCAATTCCGTAGCCCTGAGCCCTGCCCTGCTACAGGCTTATGTAATTCTCAAGCATGTGCTCTCATGGCCCAAGGGGAGACTATGCAGCACAGACCCTCCAGCTGCGAGGTTAACTCATCAATGCTCCACCCTTGTCATCTTTGGGTTCCAGCACTCAGGCCCTGGATATGCCTCTCACCAGAAGTGAACACTTGGTGGGGGCTGCAATAGACCCAATGAACACATCAGCTGCAGTTTGCATCTAAAAGAAATGATTCCAATGTAACATGACAGGGGACATATGAGACGATGAGTAAACAATAGAGAATAAAAATAATGGAGGAAGAGTTGAGGAAAAGGTCTCCTTTGGGCTAGGATAAAGTCATTTCCTTAGCCAGATCTAAGGGTTTAACTCTTAATTTGGAGGCACCAAGAAGTTACAACACAGTGCTACTTGAAGCTTATTTTATAGATAACATACTTAACTGTTAACAGATTCAGTTAGCTGTTTACAGTTTAGTTAACTGGATATAGTTCTCAACCCACATGGGGTCAGTCATTTTCAACAAATCTTTTTATTTTCTCTATAGAATTCAGAGTTCAAGAGCTCCTTAAAGGATACACAAAACTGTCATCAGTAGTTAAGATTTCGGTGGTCTGGGGGTGAATTCCAGGTAAGTAGTCCCTCTTATCAAATGTCTCTTTAACAATGCTTGCAGCTATCTTGATGTGACAACCATCACAAAAGCAAATATTAATCAGATCACTAAAGGGACACAAATAACCGACACTAGCCAAGAAAGAATTCAAATATATTTTTGAACTAGTTTGGGGCCAACTTTTGTGTGAGAAGAGGAATTGAGTTCACTTCATCTGGTGTTAACTGAAATAAGAGTTAATGTGCCAAATATCTTCATCAGTGACTAAAACTAAGACCACAGATTAGAGTGCCAAAGGGTGTAACTAGAAGGAAGTGTCAGCATTGCAGAAAAGAATGCAAAACCAGGAGGATCTCATGTGAAGGGCTGGCTGCCTAATGGATAAGAAATATGGCCAGAACACAAGGAAGGAGACTGGCGAGTAATAAAGCTGAATTTAAAGGCTCTCAACAAAGCCACCTTCTCTTGCAGGATTACCACTCCTCCTGCTGCTCTCAGGACAATTCCTGAGCGCGCTGGTGAGAGGCTATGTTCAATCATCCCCAGGGTCCTTCAGCTCTTCCTTCCCTGTTGAAGTAGAAATGAAGATCAATTTTACTTAAGTAAACATTTGGTTCTCACAGCCATAAGAGAGAAAGTTCGGTTCTCAGAGAAGTACGTACAACTTACTTCTCTTAAGACAGCTCCGTTTTCCTAAAGACAGTTTATGAACCCCCAAGAACCTACAATGTTCCCTGGAGCCAGTTTAAAGTGTTGAGTCCTCTCTGGTTCTAGGATTCTAGAAGGATCAAAGTTTATTAACAAATCATATAGCAACTACGACTGCCCAACTTTTCCACACAGTTTCTTCTCCGTAACCAGATCATGTTAATGTAATTACTATCAAAATTTAAATAAGTTTTTTTCATAGACATAGACAAGCTTACTCTAAAATTTATATGGAAAGGGAAAGACCCAAGAATTGCAAAAAACAAAAAAAAAAAAAAAAAAAAAAAAACTTTAAAAACAAGAATAAAGTGGGAAGAATCACGCTTCCAAATGTTAAGGCCCTATATATAAGTGCTGTATCCAAACAGTATGGTATTGGTAGAGGGAACAGGCAAAGCAATCAATCAGTGGAACAGAATAGAGAACACAGATATAGACCCACTCAAAATTCCCATTAATTTTAGACAAAGAAGTAAAAGCAATGCAATAGAGGAGAAACAGCCTTTTCAATAAATGGTGCTGGAGCAATTGGACCTAAACCAATACCAAAATTAACTCAAAATGGATAATTGACTAAAACATAAACATACAACTATATAAGAGAAAAATCTTTGGGGTGTAGGACTAAGCAAAGTTCTTAGACTTGACACCAAAAGCATGAGCCATAAGAAGAAAAATTTATAAATTGGATCTCATCAAAATTAAAAACTTCTGTGAAAGACCTTGGACAAAGGATCAAAAGACAAATTACAGACAGGAAGAAAATATTTAGAAATTACATCTCTAAGAAAGGTCTTGAGTCTAAAATATATAAATAACTCTCAAAATTAAGAAAAGGACTGCTTTTGTTTGAATGTTTGTGTCTCTCCAAAACTCATATGTTGAGATCTAAACCCCAAGGTGATGGTATTAAGAGGTGGGACCTTTGGGAGGTGATTAGGTCATGAAATGGAGGGCTCATGAGTGAGAACAGTGCCCTTATAAAGGAGCCCAAGGGAGCTTATCTTCCCTTTTCACTTAGTGAGGACGCAGGGGAAAAGAACTGTTCTAGGAAACAGGAAGTGAGCACTCACCAGAAACCAAATCCAATCTTGGACTTCCAGCCTCCAGAACTGTGAGAATTAAATTGCTGTTGTTTATAAGTCATCCAGTTTACAGTGTTTTGTTATAGCAGCCTGAGCAAGCCAGACAAGGGCCCAAGGCCTCCATCAGCACCACGTTTTATGATATGTGTTCTGTGAACCATCTGACTTCGGATCTTAGAGGAGGAGGTAGCAGAGGGATTGGTAAAATGCCGATTCCCATGGACTGCTCCAGAAATTCTGATTCCATAGATTTGGGCAGGACCTGAGAAATCTGCATTTAAAACAAACTCCTTGAGAGACTTTTTTTATTATTATTAAAGTTTGAGAACTCCCACCATGGCCCAATCTACCAAATTATAAAGGAAGAGCATGCTGGGCATGGTGGCTCATGCCTGTAATCCCAGCACTTTAGGAGGCTGAGGCGGGTAGATCACTTGAGATCAGGAGTTCGAGACCAGCCTGGCCAACATCGTGAAACCCCATCTCTACTAATAATACAAAAATTAGCTGGGTGTGGTGGTACGCGCCTATAATCCCAGCTGCTTGGGAAGCTGAGGCAGGAGAATTGCTTGAACCCAGGAGGCAGAGCTTGCAGTGAGCTGAGATCGCACCACTGCACTCCAGCCTGGGCAACAGAGTGAGAGTCCATCTCAAACAAACAAACAAAAAAGAAGAGCAGCATTAGAAAGAAAACCTGTACTGGGACAGTTGTGCCCTAAAGGGGCAAGCAAAAAGAAAGGGAATAAAGACTAGCAACAACCCAGAAGTGCTGTGAACAACAGTTTCTAAGAAGTGACCATTCTCTGTATTTATTAGGATGTGAAAGAAATGAAGTTCCCTCTCTCACACACACATTCGAGAATACAAGTCTGAGGAGAACCTGCTCTGGGTGAAGAATTTTTTTTATAATTCTCATATTCATGCTCAAGGAGCATGCACTCCTAGGCATATATTCACAAGGGGCTATGAGAGCCCTGGAGAGACCAGGTACTCTGAGGGTAGGACACATACTTTAGCAACTTGGGGGACACATTCTCAAGCTGAAATGGTGTCTCTGGAGCCCATACGAGTTGTGCCTGTGGGGGCCCCACAGACAGGGACCCTTGGCATTGCTGATAATTGAAGGGTCTGCCACAGAGGTCTCTAACATGACTTTCTACCACCATCTTTCCTGCTCACTTGCACATCAATAGACACACAGGTATATTGAGCAGCAGCTCTTCCTCACCTTGTCATCAAACAGTCTGTTTCTGCCTTCACCATTTTGCATCTGACCTTTCACAGGTAGCAAGAGAAGAGTCTAAGGAGCAGCAGGCAACGTGCTGAAGTGCAGAGCCAGGTCAAGGCTGGGTTTGTCTGAGCAGCTGGTGAGTAAGAGAGCTGTGACCAGGGCTCTGAGAAATATGGACAGGGGCCAGCCTGACAAAGACAACAAAGAACTGCCCAGGGGAAGGTGAAGAAGGTAACTGTCAACCCTTCAAAAAGTGAAATGGCGTTAGTAAGATGAAGGCCAGCCCATAAGAGATGCCAGCCAAGATGGAATAATGCGCAGATTTTCATCTAAGGGTGGGAATGACCTGTCGGCCTGATCCAGGCACACTGGCTTCTGAGATTCCCTTCCTAGCCCTGCCCACACACCCCCCACCCGACGCCCTTTCCCCAGCCTAGGTCCCTGAGTTTCTCATTCGTTGCTCACTTGTGTCTATTGTATGTCTTCTTCGTCAAAATCGAGCAGGGACTAATTAGCGGTGAAAGCAGAGACTCCAGCTCATTTCCGTTCACCTCATTATTTGTTTCTCTTTTGGGCTGAAGCCAAACAACAATCAAACATTAACATTCCCCCTGCAGAGCGGGCACACGGACACATGGGAGCATGTTACACACACCACACCCTCACAGCGTGCACACATGCACATGCACACACACACACCTGCTCCACTGCTATTCGGCTGTGCGAGGTCTCTGCGGCCCCGCTGTCTCCGGGCATCTAGGGTAACATCTCTTTCCATTTCAGACCTGGGACTGGTCTGAAACTGTATAATGGAATGGCCCTGGGCAAGCAGGGAAAGGACGTTGGGAATTTCCGGAAGCACAATCCCCCTGGCCAGCACTGGTGTTAATTAAGGGCGCTGCTGGTGTTTTGCAGGCAGCTGTTTCCTCCTCCGGCCCTCCTGTTCCCCGGGCCGCCTGGGCACCGGCGCCTGCACTCTGGCATTCATTGCTCTACCGTAAGCCTTGTTTCTAGCCGTTTTCAATCAAGTGGGAGACTGTCCAAATTTCCGTCTCAATGAAAATCAACTGTTCTAAATCTAAGCTCCCATTAAGCGTTCCAGGGGCTGGCCTGACTTGGAATTTAAGCAGCAGCGCAGCCCTCCCTGGAGTGAGCGGCGGCCGGGGCTCCAGATAAGGCGGGCCTGCCTCCTAGTGGCCAAGGTGCTGCAGGGCAGCTCTGAGGGCTGGAGGGCTGCGCAGCCGCCACCCGAGGACACGGGGAGGAGGCACAGTAAGAGAATCCTTAGAGCCTAACGCCCCCTTCTCCGTCGCTCTCGAGCCGCTCCAGTCCCCAAGTCCCATCCCCTTTCCTTCCCCGACATCTCTCCTCGTTGCCTCACTCTGGCTCCGTCGAACTGCAGTGGTCTGTTAGCTGGACTCTATCTCCAGCTTCTGTATCGAATCCATGCACCTCGCTGCCAATTCGTCTTCCGGACGCTCGTTGTCAGTCCTCTGTGATCTCTAATTAAGGCTCTGCTGAGTCTCCTCTTTATCTATAGGGAGAATCCTCAAGCGGGGAGACACACCCTTCCTGCAGAGGCGTATCGCCAGCCACGACAAGGCGAGCCGCGTTTCTCCCCACACTCCCCAAAAAGGCGATGACCCTCCCCAGGCCGCGCTCACGCTGAACCCCTGTTGCTGAGCTGCAGTTCCTGGAGGTGTCCTGTCCTCAAATGTGGGGATGCGGGGAAAAGATTAAGAAGGTAAAAGTTCAAACCAGGCAAAAGTTCAAACCTCTTGGCACTCCACAATGTGGCCTCAAGCTTCCCTTCTAGCTTTAGTGCTAGAGTAGAATGAAATGAAGGGTTGGAATGCCAGGTGTGCTACGTTTTAGTCATGGAACTGTATGAAAGGTTCTAAATTCTAAATGTCTTTACAGGGTTGTCATGGAGACTAAAAGAGGTCGCCGGAGTATCAAATTTAGCACAATGCTTGCCACATAGTGAATGTTCAATAAATGGCAGCTGTCATTTTCCTTCCCCCGTTAGAAAGACAACTGGTTTGCTCACAGTTCTGATACCGGCCTTGAACTGAACTTTCCATCTCTGCACCTCGGCTTTTGACACCCTATTTGCCTGGAGCGTCCACTATCACCACTTTGGTTAAAGCTACTGTCACCTCCTGCAATAGACTAATTCATCTCCCTGCTCCTGCCCACAGTTATTTTTAATCTAGCCACCAGAATTTTTTTAAGTGTAAATCAGATTATGTCACTCATCTGCTCAAACCCCTATTGTAGCTCCCTATTTCACTCGGTGTAAAAGCCAAAGCACTCACCATGTCCTGGAGGCCCTACATGATCTGGCTCTTTTCCCCCTTCATGTTATTTCCCATACCTTTCTCCCTTGTTCACTCTGTTTCTTCCACAATGACCAATTGCTTTTGCTGGAAAGCACCAGCAATTTATTAATAGCCTTTGTGTTGGCTTTTCCCTCTACCTAGAATATTTTCCTCACATACCTGCATAGCTCTTTCGCTTACTTTTTCATGACTTTGTTCAGTTGTCACCTTCAAAAAAAAAAAAAAAAAAAAAAAGCCAGCCAGGCATGGCGGCTCATACCTGTAATCTCAGCACTTTGAGAGGTGAAGGCAGCAGACAGCTTGGGCCCAGGAGTTCCAGACCAGCCTGGGCAACACGGCAAAACCCCATCTCTACAAAAAATACAAAATATATTTTTCGTAGAGGACGGTGGCACACACCTATAGTCCTAGCTACTTGGGAGGCAGGAGGACTGCTTGAGCCTGGGAGGTTGAGGCTGCAGTGTGAGCCATGATCATGCCACTGCACTCCAGCCTGGGCAACAGAGCAAGACCCTGTCAAAAAAACAAATAAATAAAAGCCAATCCTGACCACATATTTAAAATTTCAAACTGCTCTACTTTCCCCCAGTACTTCCAATCCCCTTTATCTTGCCCAACTTCTCCTTTTCCATAGCACATACCATATTCCTTACTACCTTCTAAAATAATATATATAACAAAGCCAACCATTGGCAAATAAATCTCTCATAATTTGCTGATGGGAGTGTAACTTGGTACAACTACTTTGGAAATCTTTTAGAGAGTATCTACTAAAGCTAAAAATACTTTATTTTACTCTTGTATATAAATCCAACAAATTGCAAATCCAACAAAAAGGAGTACTTTTTGTCAGATTTATTTTGGTCGGTTCTGTAAATATAATATGTTATATAATATATAATAAGATATATACTTATATATTAGTCACCTACTCATATAGCTATATAATCATATAATTTATGATCTAATCATATCACATATAATAATCTTAATTACTTTAATCATTTCACTAAACTAGGAACAACCCAAATGTCAATCTACAGTAAAATGAATAAATTTTGATTTTTTTCAAACAATAAGTACACAGCACTAAAAAATAAGTTATTCATGGTATTCATTAACAACATGAATGAGTCCAGAATCTAATATTGAGCAAGAGAAGTTGGAAACCAAAAAGTACCTCCTATATGATTTAATTGATTTGAAGTTCAAGAAAGGCAAGACTTCAATGATAGAAGTCAGAATAGAGCTACTTATTTCTCTAATTGGGATATAACCTAATCTTTCTGAAAACAGGGAGAATATTCATCTTGCAGGACTGCTGTGAAAATTGCAGATAATATATATCTAACATCTAGTACCAAGTTCCTAGCACAGAATATTTGCTAACGAAATTATTGTTTGTATTCATGTGTGTTCTTAATTCATGTTAGTTTGATAATTGCTAAGTAAAAAGATAGTTTTACTCAACCCAAAGGTTCTGGTTGCATCTGCCATTTGTTGCCACCCAATAGCCATATCCCTTTTATTCCTTACTAATAAAATCCATATTCTTTCTCAGGACAGCTATGTGCCCAGTCCTGAAAGATAAAGCATGACAAGTCTAAGCCAATCAACAAACTCTCATACCCTTTTGCCAGATATTCACTTTCCCAACTCCTCCTTGCAGCTAGGGGTGCCCATGTGCCCAGTTTTGGCCAATGAGATTTAAAGAGCAATTCTGATAGGTAATTGCTTAGGAAAGATTTCTCCTCTTTACTGAAAAGAGATAGACACACACTATCTAGCTGCCTCCTGTTTTCTGCCTTTGAACAAATGATTCCCAGAGCTGTGACAATCATATTTTTACCTTAAGAATCGTAAAGATAGTGACAGAGTCCTAAAATAACAGAGTTATCAGTCACCTACCTTCAGACTTTTTGTTCTAAGAGTTAATTATCTTTATTATTTAAGCCACCATTAGTTAACTATTATGTTACATGTAGCTGAAATCATTCCTAACTGTGACTGTTCCCTTATAAATTACTAGTGTACAAAAGAGAATCATAAACTGATAAGACATCTTACTGGGCTCTCTTTAATTTTCCCAGTGTCTTCATGGTCCTTTTTTCGTAAGTCTCTTCCTTACCCGTTTACTAAAATGTCATTTTCTAGTCAAACATCTTTCAATGGCATATGAACTCACTAATAAGACCAATAACTTTCCAAAGGCCTTTAGGGCTAAGACATACATTTAAAACTCAGGGAAATTCTACACCGTTGCTGACTCCTGTTGGAGGTTGACCAACTGCTAAACTCTGACAGTAACACATATTAACCTGCATTTGCCCACAAGCACACCAGTGTGCCAATTCTGTAAATGTAAATACACTGTGAGCAGGTGGTCCATCCAAGCAGGGCTCATTCCTGGTTGGCAAGGCAAATTACTATGATGTTAATGAAGTTCTAGGACCCCTCCCTTTCATGAGCCCTTTTCATGCTTGGGGCCCGAGAAATGTGTTCCCATAGTCATAAGCTTTTGTAAAACTTGGGAGCTATGTTAACTACAATCGGTTAAGACCTCTGTCTCTTTCCTCTCCAGCTTACCCTCTGTTACACTTGCTCTTCTGTAGGGTGGTCTTTTTGTTTGTTTGTTTTGGAGACGGAGTCTCGCTCTGTCACCCAAGCTGGCATGCAGTGTCATGATCTCAGCTCACGGCAACCTCCGCCTCCGGGTTTCAAGTGATTCCCCTGCTTCAGCCTCCCAAGTAGCTGGAATTACAGGCACGCACCACCACACCCAGTTAATTTTTTTTGTTATTATATTTTTAGTAGAAACGGGGTTTCCCCATGTTGGCCACGCTGTTCTCAAACTTCTGACCTCAGGTGATCCGCCTTCCTTGGCCCTCCAAAGTGTTGGGATTACAGGCATGAGCCACTGCGCCTGGCCAAGGGTGATCTTAAAGAGGCAAGGGGTGATTGGATTCAGCTAAGGGGAAGCTGACTTGAAAAGGCATAGAGTTTGGGTTAAGAAGATTATTTTTATGTGGTTCACTTCCATATCTAAGTTATTGTTAGCTATCGTGGTGCAGGAATGGCTTCCAGCAATATTTCCAATGCTCCTTTGCTGCTCAGCCAATATCTGACAGACAGGTGCAATGCTAGAGGTCATATTGTGATTTGAATGTAACCTATTGCACTTGGCATTGGAAGTCTGTAGGTAATCACGTAGACAAAGTTTTCAAAAGTATGAACCCAGAAGCTAGCCTGTGGAAAATTCTGCCAATCTTCAGTTATGTAAAAGTCTGAGCAGAGGATTTAATTCTCAAAGACGCCTGATCAAAATGGAAGTTCTGTCCTGTTGAGAATATACATGATAAGCAGTGTATGCAATTATAAACCCAATATTTTTTATTTTTTGAGGTAAATCACACAAAATAGAATTTATCAGAAATCCTGTGATTGTAGGACACAGACCAGTGCCAGGTTCACAATGACTGTGCCTGTTTGTTTAGTCATGTATTTTATGCATCCCAACATGTTGGATCACATCGCATCCTAAAGACAAAGAGCAGCTTTAGACAAAAGAGAATGAAAAAGTATTCATCAATGAATCACAACAACCTAAAGAAACATTCCAATGATAAAATCACCACACATATTTATAAAATAAGTCCATGTACATAGTATAAGAATAATGACAAGTAGGTAGCTTAATGCAATGATGTTTAAAATCTATTTTACTTACTCTTCTATATACCTTAATTTCATGTAGCTTTGTGTATTTATTCAGAATTATTGATTATATTAAAATTCAAAAGAATTATAAAGGTATATATAAGGTAATTCATTAATAAAAGAATTGCATAATTTGTCCTGGACTTTTGATGTTTGTGGTATATTTGTCAACATTTTATTCTTTTTTAATTTTTTTTCTTTCATGACAGACAGGGTATGTGCGGATGTTGTAACAGGGTTTGAATGAAGCACGTCTCACACACCTCACATGTGAGAACCCAATCATCACATTTATGAACTACAAAAGGATTGGCATTTTAAAATTTGTAATTTGTGGATTTTTCTCATTCCAAGTAAATAGTTGTTTACATACCCAATTTTTTATCTTTGTTTTTGTTTTAATTTTTTATTTCTTTTTTTATTTTTTATTTTTTCTATTTATTTTTTCTATTTTCTACAACCAATTTTTTATTCCTAACTTTGCGTTCTTTTTCTTAAAGAAAGCCTCTGCCAAATTGTGTAAGCTCCTACACAACGCATAACTACCCCTGGTGATCAGGCAACAGTCACAATCAGTGAAGGCTCCAAATGATATTTACCAGTTTGGTTACTTTGGAAGTACTTTCAACGTCAGGCTTTAAAAGGGCAAGAATATTAACTGAGAAGAATTGAAGCTACTTTATTGAATGCCCTACATGGTTTGTTAAGTGAACATAACCTAATATTAAAATAGAACGCTTCTCACCTCAGAAGCGTCAGTCCAGAGGGACTGACATTGTGGCTCTCAGGTACCAATGTGCGCATGGGACAGAACACCATAAGAGTAATCTAAAACAAAACAAACCCTGATGTTTGGGTTTGGTTGCAAATTTTAAGGTCATTTATCCAAGGGCTTCTTTCTCTCTTCAAGAATAGAAAAGATTTTTTGGAGAGTAAGAAGAAAGAAGAAAGATTCTAGTGAGAAGGATTTTTTGGAAAAGTTTTTGCTGTAAGCCTGAAGTCCTGTATCTCAAGAGGAAATAAGGGGTGAGGGGACACCTGAACCTCCCTCAGGTTTTGAGGGCCTTCAACACGGCCATTCTGAGAGTCTAATATGTGTCACCTGAAGTTTGAAAGACCGTGAGCTGAGGGCTGATTTCTGCCCCAGAAAATGTGCAGAGTAAGAGAGAAGCTGGCCAGTTGTGTTGAGGATGATGAAGCCAAAGCAAGTAGCTGCTACACCTGGGAAATTCCCGCAACCCCAAGGCCCTGCCGTGGAAGGACACGGCATGTTACCCCAATGCAGGACAGGATAGAGGACCAGCAATCCTGAGGCTGTGTTAGGCTCTATCAGACAGGACCTCCTAGAAGGGGCAATGGGACTTCATAGTGTGTGTGGGTGGACCCTCTAAAGGGGGGAGCTGTCAGCAGAAGGGGCATCAACACAGCTCCAGAGATCCCACAGAGCGGGTACCCCCCAAAAGAGTGCTCAAGAGAATATCAGCTTTAAACGTCAGCCACACTCAGCACAAAGCCAAATTATGGCAGATAGAGCTGAGTAAGAAAATTCCCTTCTACTATTTTTGATTCCTCTCTTTATGTCCCAAACCTAGGGGCAAGCCTAATGAGGAAGAGGAGCAGGAAAGGAGAAATGAAGGATCAAGCCTTCCTCTCTCACTGCAGGCAGCCAGCTCATACTGGGGCTGCCCAAGAATGGGATACAATTCAACATTAAATAAAATTCAAGGTTTTAGATTTTTCCACGGCTCAGTATTCTAATGTGTGTATTGGGCTGTGTTTGTGACTTAAAATGACCACAGGACAGACTGTAAATTACCTTGGGGTGAACTGTATTCATCCAAGGCAGGAAAAGATTACCATACAAAATAAACTTTATAGGATCAATAAGAACAAAAGTCAAGTTGTGTTTTTATCACATTCCACGTGTCACATTTGTTCAACACTTTTGTTACATTAAGAAGAACCTATTAGAAAGCCATAAATAACTTAAAACTTTAATAATGATATTGATCTGATATCACTTTCTGATCGTTTTTCACTGGGCGTTAGTGAAATCCATATTCCTAAGTGGCCAGATTCATGTCTTTGTCTTGATATTACTCTGAATCATTCATTCATTAACCCGACAAGTATTTATTGAGATGTGATGAGGTTAGCTTCCTAAGTTCTACTTTGGTCATGTCCAAGACCCTTACTCAAGAACCTTCTGTGACTCCTCACTGTTTACAACAGACAGGAATATCAATAGGGTAAGGCTTTACCTCACCTCACCTCCCTCTCTCATTGTGTGTTCTGATATGTGCCTTAGGGGCTGGGGACTGCCCTTACCTCCCCGTTCAAGAGCCCACGCCCAGTGCTGCCCTAAAAGCCACTGTGATGTGTCAGAGGATTCATTTAATTTGCTCTTAGCAGAGCCCCTATCCTTTGCCCATCTAAATCACTTGGATAAAAAGGGAATTGAATTATATTTCATTTAGATTCAACTTACATTTTATTTTTTTTTATTAAGCCAGGAATATGATTTCCTCTCTTGGCAGCAGCCCAGCGATAATCATTTAAGCCCAGTTCCTTTCTCTAATGCTGTATCCTGGGGAAGGAAAGCTTATGGGGATTTCATCAGTGGTCCTGGTGAAATGACAGTTTATTCATCTCCAGGGGCTCTTTAGTCTCCACCTCTTGCACTTGTCTCGACAGAAGGTTTTGGAGGCTTTGGGGTCAAAGCAGTTTGGTTGGGAGAAGAAGGACAGGAACAGCAGTTATAAATGTCTGACTGCAGCCCACTTTTAAGAGATCTTTCCAGTTCACACAAATGAAGTGGATTTTAAATGCACTATTCTAGGACAATATGCCTCCCTAGTGTCTCCCCTGCAGCTGCCATAGACCCCGTTTGGGAGAGAAGATTGTTCCTATGCAGCTTATTTTATTTTTGTTTAATCAAATAAACAAGAGTGTTTTTCCATGGCAAAAAAAATAAAATAAAATGAATTTTTGGCCAGGCACGGTGGCTCACGCCTGTAATTCCAGCACTTTGGGAGGCTGAGGCGTGTGGATCACTTGAGGTCAGGAGTTTGAGACCAGCCTGGCCAACATGGTGAAACTCCGTCTCTACTAAAAATACAAAAATTAGCCGGCCATGGTGGTATGTGCATGTAGTCCCAGCTGCTCAGGAGGCTGAGGCACGAGAATCGCTTGTACCCTGGAGGCAGAGGTTGCAGTGAGCTGAGATCACGCCACTACACTCCAGCCTGGACAACAAGAGCGAGACTCCGTCTCAAAAAAAAAAAAAAAAAAAAATTGAATTTTTGAATTAAGCGTGATTATCCTGTTGCAGCTTGTTGTACATTCAAAATACAAGTATTAGAAGATAAGATTAACACCTATATTCTGTGCCTTTTAAATTATTTCTTTATTATTAGTGTTTATACTCAATGCAACAATCACTAAGCTACAGTGCTAAACATTGGGGATTTAAAAGATCAACAAGAAAGGGGTTGGAGAGGGGGAGATTCGCCTTGGGGGAGTAATCTGGAGAGGCGGGTAGCCTGACCATAATCTTCAGCAGTTACCCCAAAGCCACCCAGGTAACATGATGAGGATGAGAATAACAAACAAAAAGTGAGAAATCTTAACGAAAAAATTAAAATGCTGCCTGGCATGGTGGCTCACACCTGTAATTCCAGCACTTTGGGAGGCCGAGGTGGGAAGATCACTTGAGCTCAGGAGTTGGAGACCAGCCTGCACAGAATAGTAAGACTTCACCTCTATAAAAAAATAAAAACTAGCCTAGTGTGCTGGTGCACACCTGAAGTCCCAGCTACTTTGGAAGCTGAGGTGGGAGGATGGCTTGAACCTGGGAGGCAGAGGCTGTAGTGAGCCAAGATTGCACCACTGCATTCCAGCCTGGGTGACAGAGCAAGACCCTGTCTTAAAAAAAAAAAAAAAGTTGTCTTTATTGATCTAAGACCTATAATTTCAAGACATATGCTTATTATGAAAATGCAGCTTCAAGACAAGACTTAATCTCTTCTGCCCATCATATTTTAAAGCTGCCACAAAAGAAGTTTATGGTCTGTTGGAGTAAGAGACTGACGTGTGCACAAATAATTTACAAGACAGTAAATGCTATAATAGGGCAATGTATTTTCCTAATGAACCCTTTGTGGAATGGATCAAGAGTATTCATTTTCTTCTGGTAAACAGCAATCTGAACCCAAGAGATAATCCTTTCTCAAACACCCAATCAGCAATCAGCCAGCACCAGTGTCTTGATATTTCTAAAGAGTATACTCCGGTGGTTTGGCCTCCTGGAGGACGCTGTGAGGAAGACTGTGCTTGCGTCCCTGAGCCTGTTGCCACTCCTTACTAAGGGCCTTACTAAGGGCATGCCCAGAGCCATCCCAGTCTGCTATGTTTGGAAAGGGTTCTGGGCATCAAGACTTATCACTCAGAATACTGTGGGATTTTCTTCTACCTAAGACAAAAGAAAGAAGCAATTCCATTAATGTACGCTTTTCAGGATCTGTTGGGTTTTTCATCTGTTACTGCTTTGGGAACTTTTTCTGTGTGCCAGCACAGCGCTATGCACTGGACATTCCATGATGAGCAAGACGGATGTCCGTGCCCTCATGGACCTTAGAGAACCTAAAAGATTCTCATTTCTCTCTGAATTCTTCACAGGATAAACTGCCCTGGCATTTTCAGTTTTCTTTTTCCTCCTTCACCGGGAAGACTGACCCAAGCTTTCTCCTTCTGGGGCTGCCCCCAAAAGACTAGCTCAGTGTTATTCACACACCTGCAGATAGTTGTCCAGGTATGTATTTCAGTGCATGAAAATAACATGCTTTCCCTGTGTTATTCTCTATCACAGCACTCTGTGTACTATCTTCTTGGTGCTTATAGGCTGAAGTAATTAATTTGTCTACTTGTTCATTACCTGACCTTCTCACTGGAATGTAAACCCCATGGAGGCAAAGACCTTCTTAATATTCTCAGCTGAATCCTCAGTTCCTCATCAGCAACTTGCATATCATAGATGCTCAATGGTATTTGTTGAATTAATAAATATATGGAAAGAAGGAAGGAAGAGAGAGAGTCAGAAAATGTTATGCAAGGCTTACCAAAAATAGGGTAACCTAATTTCTTAAGGACTTTTACATATTCTTGAATGTGTACCATTTATAAGGGAATCATGGGTCTGGGGTGACATCTTTGACCAATGTCCAGAAGTCTACTAGAAATTTTCCTGGACATTCTCTCAGGGAAAATACTAAGTGAAATAGTTTGGGCCTTGTGGACCTGGAGTCACACAACTGAAAAAGGTTTTATTAGTTCTTGATGTCACTGAGTAGGGAAGGAGAGAAAGAAATACTCCTGGGCTCTAGGAAACCAGCTCCACCTGTGGCTTAGATAGATCCTTAGAGATAAGAGACAAGCAGGGTTTGCATGGGTCTGCAATGTTTTCCTTTAACCAAGGCCCACATTCTAATGAAATATATTTGTTGTTCATATAAAACCACCCTTAAAAAGATTTTTTCTAACATCCATAATTGTGTTTTTCTAGTTAGAGTTGACATAGGCAGAGAGCAAACCTATGTAATTGGCTAAGCAAAGATGTGTGCAGATGATGAGGCCATTATTGCAAAGAAATGCATATAATCAGGTAGGTATGATCCCTCAGAACCACAACGTTGGCATAGGTTAAGAATTTTAGATATTTGAAGTTATTGGTTTATTCCTATTTTATGCATTTATTAAACATTTATTAAGCACATACTTATTCAATTACTAACATGGATGACAAAACCAAATCATGCCAGTTGGGGAGGGAAATGGTAGTGGCCACTGCTGGATGTCTTGGATGCTTAGTGGAGCTGTTTCGCGATGCCATGGATTAGAGGTGCAGATGCACTGCTCCTGCACCTGGAGTGCAGTATTTCCCAGTCCATCTTCTGTGGGATGAAAGTGCTTTCTGGTGCTATTCAGGATATCAAGGCGTCATACAAAAAACTTACATTGGAAGATACATCTTACTGCTGTTTATCAGCAGCCGTCTACATGAAAATGCTGGTGAGGTCACTGCTGGATAATGCAGTACAAATGCAAGCACTGGTAAGCAATCTGAATTGTAACCACTTCATGTTTAAGAGAAGCACAAGGCCAGGCTGCCATTTGTAGGTAGA
The DNA here is from genome assembly GCF_000001405.40 of Homo sapiens. Lineage (NCBI taxonomy): Eukaryota > Metazoa > Chordata > Mammalia > Primates > Hominidae > Homo > Homo sapiens. Next base: position 89,774,188 of record NC_000001.11, read on the forward strand.
TTACACTTTCAATGCTAGTGCCAGAATTCACATTTCTCTGGATTTCTGGTTTGCCAGCGGGTACCATGTATGTAAGGTTCTCCTGTGTATGATACCGGGAAATAGTGGTCCTGGCACCCTTGCCTGTCAAGCAACAACAGCATGGCTGTCCTGTCCCTAAACTGACCCATGGAATTATGCCACTGTGCAGCCACTGTAGATCACTCTCTGGCATTGACTAATCTGCTGCTGCTTTCTTTCTTTCTTTCTTTTTTTTTTTAGATGAAGTATCAATCACTCTGTAGCCCAAGCTGGAGTGCAGTGGCATGATCTCTGCTCACTGCAACCTCCGCCTCCTTGGCTCAAGTGATTCTCCATGCCTCAGCCTCCCAAGTAGCTGGGACTACAGGTGTGTGCCACCACACCCGGCTGATTTTTTGTATTTTAGTAGAGACAGGGTTTTACCATGTTGCCCAGGGTGGTCTCGAACTCCTGAGGTCAGGCGATCTGCCTGCCTTGACCTCCCAAAGTGCTAGGATTACAGGCGTGAGCCACCATGCCCGGCTAATCTGCTGCTTTCTAATGATCCTGCCTGCCACTGAATGTGACATGTAGCTCACATATGCCACAAACCATTCAGAAAGTCCTTGATGTAGTGGGCACCCTTGTATATTTTTCTTGACTGGTTTCTATATAGTCTATATAGTCTCTGAGAAAAGTGTCTTGATTCTCTCAGCTGGAATAATCTTTCTCACCCTGAAATCTCAGAGCACAGCAGCAGCACCACTCATGACCTTTTGTCGTATCTCTCCTACTGATCTTCAAAATCAGAAAGATCTGTGTGGTAAGCAGGGTAATGGCCCCCAAAGACAACAATGTCCTAATCCTTGGAATCTGTGAATATGTTAGGTTACGTGGAAAGGAGGAATTAAAGCTGCAGATAAAAGGAAAGTTGCTAATCTTCTGTAGAGATGGAGAGATTATCCTAGATCATCTAGGAGGGCCCAAGGTAATTACAAGGGTCCTTATAAATGAAAGAAGGCAGGACAATCTGAGCCAGAGGAGATGCAATCATGGAAGCAGGGTTGAAATGATGCAATTGTTGCTCCATGAGGATGGTGGGGGACCATGAGCCAAGGAACAGGGGCAGCCCCCCAAAGCTGGAAAAGGCCTGGAAACAGATGCTCCCACAGAGCCCCTAGAAGGAATCTAGCCCTGCCATATCTTTATTTTAGCCCAGTGAGACCCATTTTGAACTTCTCACCCATAGAACTGTAAGATAATAAATTTGTGTTGTATTAAGCCCATAAGATTCTGGTACTTTTTTATAGCAGCAATAGGAAACAAATACAGTATGTCTGATTTATCTTTCTTTCCATCAGTGCCTAACACAGGGTCTTGTTTTCAGCTAGCATCCAATAAGCATGTGTTGAATGAATGAATACTGAAAAACTACTGTTTTATACCTATAGTTGGTCTTTTGTTGTGGAAAAATATGCATACTATTTATCATTTTAGCCACTCTTAAGTGTGCAGTTAAGTGGCAATAGATACATCCACAGTGTTGTATAACCATCACCACTATCTAAACTTTAAAGTTTTTCATCAGCCCCACAAAAACTACACATTAAATAATAACTCCTCCATCCTCCTACCCCCAACCCCTGGTAACCACTATTCCACTTCCTGTCTCTATGAATTTGCCTGTTCTAGGTACTTCATATACGTGAAATCATACAATATACGTTCTTCTGTGTCTGACTTGTTTCCCAAACACACTTTCAAGTTTCATCCATGTTGTAGCATATATCAAAATTGTATTCCTTCTTATGGCTGAATAATACTAGTGTGTGTGTGTGTGTGTGTGTGTGTGTGTGTGTGTACACAAACCACATTTTGTTTATCCATTCATCTGTTAATGGACACTTGGGTTGTTTATACCTTTTGGCATTTGTGAGTAATGCTGCTATAAAATTTGGTGTGCAAACATCTGTTCTTTACCTCTCCAAGCTCTAAATTTAAAAAGATAGATAGATAGATAGATAGATGATAGATAGATAGATAGATGATAGATAGATAGATAGATAGATAGATGATAGATAATAAATTTCTGTTGAAATTTCTGATAGATAAATTTCTGTTGAAGTTTCAGATAGATATAGATAGATGATAGATAGATAGATAGATAGATGATAGATAGATAGGTAGATAGATAGATAGATAGATAGATAGATAGATAGATAGATGATAGATAGATTTCTGTAGAGAGATTTCTGCTTTTGATTCTTTTGGGTATATACCTGAAGTAGAACGACTGGGTCTTATGGTAGTTTTATGTTTAACCTTCTAAGAAATTGTGAAATTGTTTCCCACAGTGTCTGTACCACTTTACATTCTCACCAGTAATGTGCAAGATTCCAATTTCTACACATGCTCACCAACACTTGTTATTTTCCATCTTGTTTTGTCTTTTAATTATAGCCATGCTAGCTGGTGTAAGGTGGTACTCATTGTGATTTTGATTTGCATTTCCCTAATGACTCATGATACTAAACATCTTTTTATGGGTTTATGGACCATTTGTATATCTTCTTTGGAGAAATTTCTATTCAAGTCTTTCGCCCATTTATTTTATTTTAATTATTATTATACTTTAAGTTTTAGGGTACATGTGCACAATGTGCAGGTTAGTTACATACGTATATATGTGCCATGCTGGTGTGCTGCACCCATTAACTCATCATTTAGCATTAGGTATCTCTCCTAATGCTATCCCTCCCCCCTCCCCCCACCCCACAACAGTCCCTGGAGTGTGATGTTCCCCTTCCTGTGTCCACGTGTTCTCATTGTTCAATTCCCACCTATGAGTGAGAATATGCAGTGTTTGGTTTTTTGTTCTTGCGATAGTTTACTGAGAATGATGATTTCCAATTTCATCCATGTCCCTACAAAGGACATGAACTCATCACTTTTTATGGCTGCATAGTATTCCATGGTGTATATGTGCCACATTTTCTTAATCCAGTCTATCATTGTTGCACATTTGGGTTGGTTCCAAGTCTTTGCTATTGTGAATAGTGCCACAATAAACGTACGTGTGCATGTGTCTTTATAGCAGCATGATTTATAGTCCTTTGGGTATATACCCAGTAATGGGATGGCTGGGTCAAATGGTATTTCTAGTTCTAGATCCCTGAGGAATCGCCACACTGACTTCCACAATGGTTGAACGAGTTTACAGTCCCACTAACAGTGTAAAAGTGTTCCTATTTACCCACATCCTCTCCAGCACTTGTTGTTTCCTGACTTTTTAATGATTGCCATTCTAACTGGTGTGATATGGTATCTCATTGTGGTTTTGATTTGCATTTCTCTGATGACCAGTGATGGTGAGCATTTTTTCATGTGTTTTTAGTTATATTTTTGAGTTTTAGGTGTTCTTCATATATTCCAGATATTAATACTTTATCAGATATGTGCTTTGCAAATATTTCCCCCCACCTAGTAGGTTGTATTTTTGCTTTTAAAGTATCCTTTGATACACACAAGAAAAGTTGTATCCTTTGATTCACAGAAGACTTTTTTTTTTTTTTTTTTTTTTGAGACGGAGTCTCGCCCCGTCACCAGGCTGGGGTGCAGTGGTGCAATCTCGGGTCACTGGAACCTCCACCTCCCGGGTTCAAGTGATGCTTCTGCCTCAGCCTCCCGAGTAGCTGGGATTACAGGCACACGCCACCACACCCAGCTAATTTTTGTATTTTTAGTAGAGACACGATTGTTGGCCAGGATGGTCTCAATCTCCTGACCTCGTGATCTGTCTGCCTTGGCCTCCCAAAATTCTGGGATTACAGGCATGAGCCACTGCGCCCAGCCTTGATTTAATTTCCTACTCTGTGTCTAACATCACATAAAGGATTGTCCAAACAGCAGAATTTGTGTATAGCTCTTTTATATGTGAAAATCTCAGACTAAATAGTTTTATTTACAATAGCCCAAAATTGTAAACAACCCAAATGTTCACCGGTAATAGAATAGATGAATAAACTGTGGAATATTGAAACAGTGGAACAAGGCAGTAATAAAAAAGAATGCAGCCCTACGTTAAGTACAAACATGGATGAATCTCATTGACATACTGATAAGAAAGGAGGCCAGACACAAAACTATACATATATTATGTTTCCTTTTAGTATTAAGTTAGAGAGCAGGCAACACAAATCTATGGTTATAGAAGTCAGGTCTGTGGTTACATGAAGTGGGATATTGAGAAGAGACATAAGAGAGACAAAGAAGCCTTCTGAGCTGTTGGAAATATATCTTGATCTAGGCAGTGGCTACATGGGTGTGTGTGTGTGTGTGTGTGTAAATTCATCAAGTTTACACAGGATTTGTACACTTTGCTGTTTATATATTATACCTCAATTTAAAATATTTTTAAATCTCTGGCTAATGGTGAGGTTCACAGAGTTCATGTTAGTATATCATCATAGTGATTTTTCTCATCAGAATATAGTCTGGCCTCTTTGGGAAGTTTTCAAATGATAACTGAGTTTAATCAATCAGCAGCAAACAAAGGCTCTTTAACAGTCACAGAGTCGGCCGGGCACGGTGGCTTACACCTGTAATCCCAGCACTTTGGGAGGCTGAGGCTGGTGGATCACCTGAGGTCAGGAGTTCAAGATCAGCCTGGCCAACGTGGTGAAACCCTGTCTCTACTAAAAATAAAAAATTAGCCAGGCATGGCGGCAGACACCTGTAATCCCAGCTACTCAGGAGGCTGAGGCTGGAGAATTGCTTGAACCCAGGAGGTGGAAGTTGCAGTGAGCCAAGATCGCGCCATTGCACTCCAGCCTGGGCCACAAGAGCAAAACTCCGTCTCAAAAAAAAAAAAAAAATGAAAAAGTCACGGAGTCTTGGAAATTTGCTTGTCGCAGAAAGAGTTTTCTTGAGGACTAGAGAGAAGGGTAGTAAATCATGTGCTTCTATATTGATGTTATATTCACAAAATAAATATAGATTGCCTGGAAAAAATCAGCAAGTAATGAAGTAGGATGCTTTGATTGCTGTAGTATTTGAAACTATACCCTGATGGTTGCTCAGAGATGAGAGTTGTTGCTAAGATATTTTAGATACCAGGAAAAGAGATTGAAAAAGATTATGAGCACGAAAGCAGATTTTTTAAAAAAATACAAGTTCAAGTGTGTGTTGTTTTGACGCAGACTCAGAAGTGAAATTGGGAAGGCACAAAGTGATAGCATTGGGCTTCAATCTGTTCACTGACTATTCCCTCAGTAAAGAATTGAAGTTGTGGAAATGATCCCTGTCACACAGGCTATCTGAAGCAAATTAGATTTTTAAAAATCATATAGGTGGAGACCGAGGTGGCTAGAAATATCAATCATCACTCTAGGTCAATGGAGTAGGGAGATGATTAGCCCCTGGGCTGCAAGAGTGAGTGGGAAGATCAGGCAATTCTGGACAAGATTATCACACCCTAGAAGATTAGACTAATATTCAAAATTAAATTTATAAAATGGCCCACCAAAAATAGGATGAAAAACAGTAAAGATGGGGGCGGGCGGTTGCATGTTTGGTTCAATTCATCTTGGGTCCTGAGACAAGATGGAAAATGAATCACTAAGTAAAAGTGCAGTAGAAAAAGCACTAAGACTTTCCAAATGGAAAAACATACTTGAGCAACGTGTGCTATTTCAAAAGTTTTCAAGATACTGTAATAAGTTAACAAAAGTATGACAAAGAAAAATGTATAGTATTCAAGAGCCAAAAGTTATACTCTATAAGCATATATATCATGTTTTCCTCACTGAGTAGAAGGATATTTTCTTCTTTAAGAAGCATTAATTTTTCTTTTTTTTTTTTGAGACAGAGTCTCACTCTGTCACCAGGCTAGAGTGCAATGGCGCAATCTCAGCTCACTGCAACCTCCGCCTCCTGGGTTCAAGCAATTCTCCTGTCTCAGCCTCCCGAGTAGCTGGAACTACAGGCATGCGCCACCACGCCCAGCTAATTTTTGTATTTTTAGTAGAGACAGTGTTTCACTATGTTGGCCAGGATGGTCATGATCTCTTGACCTCGTGATCCGCCCACCTCAGCCTCCCAAAGTTCTGGATTACAGGCGTGAGCCACCGCGCCCAGCCAAAGCATTAATTTTTAAAGGCATTAGAAATTCAACTTTCATTAAGCAAGCAGTATGCAATAGATGTGGAAGTCCTCAGGCACTATGCTATGATTTGAATACTATCTAAATTTCAGGAAAGAGCCCCCATCCCATATCTTTAAAGTGAATTATTTAAAAATTGGAAATTAACCTTTTTTAACAAAAGATTACAGGAATAACTGTATACATATTTTCACATATGTAATTTCCAGTGTCATTATAAAGGGATCTGAATAGGTGCTAACATCAACAATAGGGATCAAAAAAGAGCTGAGCTTCAGTGCCACGACGACATTCCAATGTGTTGTCTGTTTTTGAATTGAACAAGCAGTAAAGGTTATAAAGTGTCTATCTATTTCAAAAAGATCATGAGAAACAGGACTGACCCCGCCTGTCCCTGACAGCTTATGCATTATATGGTTTTTCATTCCAGCATTCAATGATTTCAAGTGTCTCACACACAGAGTTGATTATTCATAGTGCTCATACAACCAACAGATGGCAGAATTGGCCATGTTGTTATTCTATGATGACTACAAATCTAGATCTATATCAAGCAGGATAGTTTTTTTTTTTTTTTAGACAAGATCTCACTCTGTCACTTAGGCTGGAGTGCAGTGGCGCCATCATGCCTCACTGCAGATTTGACCTCCTGGGCTCAAGCAATCCTCCCACCTCAGCCTCCTGAACACATGCCACCACACCCAGCTAATTTTTTTAATTTTTTTGTAGAGATGAGGTCTCACTATGCTGCCCAGGCTTGTCTTTAACTCCTAGCCTAAGTAATCCTTTCATTTTGACTTCCCAGAATGCTGGAATTATAGGCATGAGCCACCTTGTCAGGCCAGATTTTTTTCTTAAAATTGTTGTGGCCGAGTGCAGTGGTACATGCCTATTGTTCTAGCTATTCAGGAGGCTAAGGTGGGAGAATCACATGAGTCCAGGTGTTTGAGGCCAGCCTGGGCAATATGGCAAGACCTCGACTCTAAAAATGTATAATAATAATAAAGATGGTTGCGTATCCCCCTAGGAATCAGAATGTCTTACACATACACATCCATATACTCTTGCTCTTTCCAATTTTAAAGTATGTTTCTGGGCTTTTTTCCCTAAAACATACCAAAAGAAAGGATCTCACCTTCAACTATTACTGCATGGTAACAGCACAGTCAGTTCAAGAAAAGACAGAGCTCATGAGCTGTTTTTTTTTTTTTTCTTTTCTCACAACACATCTGGCACCAAATGAGATTTTTCCTCCCACCAACCAATTCTCCAACTCTCCAGACAACAACTGGCTGTTGTACAATTCAATTCAATTCTGACACTAACTGCCAGAGTTGGTGTCAGATGCTAAAAGTGAAAGGGCTCAGTTCCACAAAACTGTCTCCACATCAGACTTCAGATGCCAATCACAAGTCCAGGACATCTGGGCTTCTGACCCACCAGCTACAGATCAGGGGTTCCCACAACCCCCTCCTAGAACAGCTCACAGAACTTAGTTAAACACTTTACATATTAGTACCAGTTTATTATAAACTCAGAAACAGCCAAACTCAGAAACAGCCAAATGGAAAAGACGCACAAGTCGAGGTGTGGGGGTGGTGCGTGGAGTTTCCTCTGGCACCCTCCCAGCACCTTGATGTGGTCACCAAGTATTTAGGGGGTTTTATGGAGGTTTCATCATGTCGGCATGATTGATTATTAACTGAAGCCCTAGCTTCTCTCCCTTGGAGGATGGGACTGAATTTTCCAAGTTTCTCATCAAGACTGGGTCTTCCTGGCAACCAACCTCAATCCCAAAGTTATAAAGGAGCCCAGCAAGAGTTGCCTCATTAGAACAAAGATGCTCTTATCACTCAGAGAATTACTAGAGCTTTAGGAGCTCTATGCCAGGAACCAGAAACAAATACATATTTCTCTGGGTTCTTTCTTTATACATATCTCATTTTAAAAAGGCAGCTCTTCCAATAAAGAAAAGTTCAGAATCAGCATAAACTATCATCAGCCTTTCTGTTGCAGTATAACTGCTGGACTTTCCTCATTTCCCAAAGTGACCCTAAAATCAATCAGACCTGACCTGGGGCCAGATCAGACTTCCCTGAGCTCGGATTCTCTGGGCCCAAATTGTGGTTCCAAACAGCTCCAGCCCACAGTCTCCTCTCTGCCCTTCATCACCTCCTAGGTACATGTGAGAGACTCAGATCTATGGTTTTACATCTGTTCTAAAGGGAATTCAACTCATCCCAGGGGTTGGTTCACACACATAAAAACAAGGAAACTAAGCTCCTAATTAACATGTGCATATTATTTGTCTTCCACTTCTTGCAGGATCACGGGATCAAATGCTATATATATATGAGTAGCTTCTGCAATGCCAGGAATCTCATGACCCCCTCTCCACTGGCAAAAATAATATTAATAGCTAGCCCTTATTGAGCATTCACTATGTGTCAGACACTGTTCTAAATACTTTAGAATAGTGCACTGCACTTATTCATTCAGCAAGTTTTTAGTGAGTGCCACTCTTTGCCAGGCACAGTCCTAAACACTGGGGCTAGAGCAGTAAGTGAATAAAAATACATGCCTTCACAGAGCGTATAGCCTAATGAGAGAAGAAAAATAATAAACAAAGTAAATAAACTATATAGTATATTGGAAAGTTATAAGCCTGTAACTGAACACAGTTTCAGTCACTGCTTGCAGAGTCCAATTAACAAGAGCGAGGTATGGTAGGGGAAAATTGACTTTATTTCCAAAGTTGGCTAAGGGGAAGTGGCTGGATTCCTATCCAAAGCAACCAGTTTGAATTTTGAGGTGGAAAGGCAAGCGTTTAAAAAGGGAAGACCTGATATGGAAGGGATGCAGGAATTGCACTGAGTTTTATTCCAGTGGCTATCTTGGGTCCCGGTCCACCTGGAGTGTGGGCTGGCGTTCATCTCAACAATGGCCAGGTTGTTGATTAGCCACCTTGAGGTAATCTCTGGAATTCTGCAGCTGGGTCTCCAGGCTTGATCTGTCTCTCTCAGGATTTGTCCCTGGAACTTCTAAGTAGGCACCTAGTTAGATACTAACATATAGTTAGATAAATGTGAAGGGCGTGTATACGGTGAGAAAGGGAGGGATGGGGAGTCTATTTTAAGGCTAAGGGAAAAGGCTTCTGCAGTTTGCTTCAAGGTTACATCTTGAAACCCAAGAGAAAGGAAAAAAAATTTTAAAATGCATTTTGAAGTTAAGCTGCCCCTTTACAGGCCCATACAGAAAACGATGCAGGTAACAGGGATAGGGTGTGCTGGTGTAGGATGAGGGACAATTGCCATTCAAATAGAGTGATCAGGAACCTCAGGGAAAAGATGGCATATGAGCAAAGAGTCAATGCAAAAGGCCTGGGGCCCGAGCTTTACTGGCATGGTCAAAAAGGATGCAGTGTAGCTGAAGTGGAGTGAACAAGGGACAGAGTCACAGGAGGTGAGGCTGAAGAAGTAAGGACAGGGTGGTTGGGCAGATTATGAAGTCTTTTATGTCATTGTAAGGAATCTGACCTCGACCAGGCGTGGTGGCTCACACCTGTAATTTCAGCACTTTGGGAGGCTGAGGCAGGTGGATCACTTGAGCTCACGAGTTTGAGATCAGCCTGGGCAACACGGCAAAACCCTGTCTCTACCAAAAATACAAAAAATTAGCCAGACATGGTGGCACGCACTTATAGTCCCAGCTACTCAGGAGGCAGAGGAAGGATGGATTGAGCCTGGGAAGTGGAGGCTGGAGTAAGCTGAAATTGCACCACTGCACTCCAGCCAGGGTGATAGAGCCAGACCTTGTCTTAAAAAAAAAAAAAAAAAGGAATTTGACATTTACTTTGAGTGGAAAGGAAAGCTATGGAGTGTCTTGATCTAATTTATGTTCTAACAGAGTCTTTGCAGCTCCCATGTTGAGCAGAGACTGCAGAGTTAAGGATATAAACAAGGAGACCATTTAGGGGGCTATTATAACAACCCAGGTAAGATATTGTCTTAGATCTGGATCCTTGGAAACTAACTCTGAGATGAGCAATTACATCCACAGGGTTATAGAGCGTGCTCTTGGGAGATACTTGTGTCAGGACTTGAGGAAAGCATAATAGGTCAGAGAGAGAAGCTGACCTGAAAGATGGTGGCATCTGACGCCTCAGCCAATCCTATGGGGAGCCCTGGAGCTGGGATGGCCCTTCAGAGTTGTCCAAAATTAGGTTAGTTTTCCATGGCTGCTATAACAAATTACCACAAGCTTGGTGGCTTAAAACAACAGAAGTGTATTATTTTACAATTCTAAATAACAGAATTGTAAGAGCCCGAAATGAGTCTCATGGGACTAGTAAGGTGTCAGCAGAGCTGCATTCTGCTAGAGACTTGAGAGGGAGGATCTGTTTCCCTGCCTTTTCCTGCTGTTAGAAGCTTAGAAGCTGCCTGCATTGCACCTTTTAGAGGCCAACTGAATCCCAGCAATTGCCATCACATCAACACATCTCTTCCTCTGACTCTGACTCCTGCCTCCCTCTTTCATTTACATGGAGGCTTGTGATTACATTGGGCCCACCCAAATGATCCAGGACAATCTCTACATCAGAACGTCAACTGGTTAGCAACCTTACTTCCCCTTGCCATGTAACCTAACACATTCACAGGTCTGGGGATTAAGCTATCATTCTGTCTACCACAGGCAAGGTGGCCAGGTGTTCGTATCCATACATTGGCCAGGCTTTGGTGGGGGGCTGCCCCTTGGGAGAGCAAGGCAGTTCTCAGCCAAGGCAATCCCCATGAGGGACACACCTGTATGCCTTTGACAGCCAACATTCCCAGCAGGTGGAGGACAGGGACCTCAGCTCTGAAGAGGATACCTGGGAGGAATGACCAATATGGTAATCACTGTAGCACAAAGCAATTGGATGTTGGATCTATTTTGAAATTAGATTCAGCAGGATTTGCTGATGAGAAAAAAGGTCTCAAGGATACTCCATGATTTAGGGACTGAACAATGGAAAACTAGATCTGCTGTTAATTAGACAAAAAACACTGAATCAGTACTGCCTCATTTAATCCTTAAGATTAAACTGAGGAGAGTACTTTTATTTACTTCATAATACAGTCGAGGAGATTGAGGCACAAAGATGTAAAGAAACCCGTCCAAGGCCACTCAGTGAACAAGTGACAAAGCCAGGATTTGAACGATTTGAACCCAGCCAGTGCCCCCCAAAACACTCCGTTTTATCATTTTAAAATGATAACGGAACCCTTTCTATAAAATAGTTGTTTAGGGATCCAAAATTGAGCTTAACATTATTTTACAGAATCTTGACCTTTCACTCTGGGCCTAGAACCATGTCTGACACAGGCTGGAATGTTTGGAAATACTTGTACACTGACTGTGTGAAGATCTAGTTACATGTATAAAATGTCTGCATGTGTTTCTACTTGGGGCAAGGACTAAACTCTTTAGTCCAAAATCCAAAATGTGAGCCAGGCATGGTGGCATGCGCCTATAGTCCTAGCTGCTCAGGACACTGAGGCAGGAAGATCGCCTGAGCCCAGGTTACAGTGAGCTGAGAATGCACCACAATATTCCAGGCTGGGTGACAAAGTGAGATGCTGTCTATAAAAGTAAATAAATAAGCCAAGGGCGGTAGTTCACGCCTGTAATCCCAGCACTTTGGGAGGCTGAGGCAGGCAGATCATGAGGTCAAGAGATTAAGACAATCCTGGTCAATATGGTGAAACCTCGTCTCTACTAAAAATACAAAAATTAGCTGGGCATGGTGGTTCACATCTGTAGTCCCAGCTACTCTGGAGGCTGAGGCAGGAGAATCGCTTGAACCCGGGAGGCAGAGATTGCAGTGAGCTGAGATCGCGCCACTGCACTCCAACCTGGCAACAGAGCGAGACTCTGTCTCAAAAAAAAAAAAAAAAAAAAAAAAAAGTAAATAAATACATGAAAATAAAATCTGTGATGTGGCCCAAGGCTTGTTTCTCACCTTCTCACCAAGTCTCCGGCCTTTCTATGCTGTTTCTTTCTATGCTGTTTCATACATCAGCTCCTTTACCCTTCTTGTTCTCCCTTAGGCATTACAAAATTAAGTTAACTGTACTCTGCCCAGGGTGGCTGGCTCTCGACATTGCCCTGAATGCATGTGCTGGTTCTGCTTCCCTGCCACTGGGTAGGACATACTGTACACCTGGAATAGCTTCTCCTTTCTCCCAGCCTAGCTGAATATTCCTCACCTTTAAACCCTAAAGAGAGACTCTCTCCACCACGAAGGCTTACACGTAACACTTTGTTCAATTGTTTGTAACAGAAGCTCAACTACATTATTTTAACCAAATAGGGGTTTGTTTTCTCACACACCAAGAAGTCCAGAAGCAGACAGCCCAGGACTCTTACAGCTGCTCAGGGAAATCACCAAGGACCAGGCTGCTTCTAACATCCTTATCTGACAACCCCAGCGACTGGCTTCAGTCCTCATGGTGGTAAGATGGCTGCTCTACTCTATGTGTTGTGTCTGGGTCCCAGGCAAAGAGAAGGGGCAGGAGCAAAGGGTCCAAGGTGCATGCCAACTGAGTCTGTGCCTTTGTACCAAGAAAATAATCGCTTTCCTGGAAGCCCCACTCACTGGACTTCCTCTGTCATCTTGCTGGCCAGAACCTGATTGGGTGGCCACCCTTACTGGGCACATGGCTCTCCTAAACAAAACCGGCATGCTATTAGAAAGGAAGAGGAAATGGTAGAAGATGAGATAAACAACCAGCGGTGCCTACCACTCCTTCAGTCTATTCCAGTCCATTGGAACTTTACCCTCCTTTGAGCAACTGTTTACAGTCTTCCCGCCTTATCCTCAGGGGATACTTTCCAAGACCTCCAGTGGATGCTCGAAACCAAGGATAGTATCAAGCCCTATAAATACTGTTTTTTTCCTATATATACATACCTATAATAAAGGTTAATCTATAAATTAGGCACAATAAGAGATTGACAATTATAACTAATAACAAAATAGAACAATTATAACAATATACTGTAAGAAAGGTTATGCAAATGAGGTCTCTCTCTCTCAAAATATCCTATTATACCATACTCACCCTTCTTCTTGTGATGTGTCCATGGCTGGATGTCAGGAGCAGACAATGTCAATAACTCACAGGTAGGTAGCACATACAGTGTGGATACACTGGACAAAGGAGTGATTCATATCCCCACAGGACAGAGTCGGACGATGTGAAATTTCTTCATGCTGCTCAAAATGGTATGTAATTTAAAACTTATGGATTATTTCTGAAATGTTTAATTTAATATTTTCAGACTATGGCTGATCATGGGTAACTGAAACCATGGAAAGAAAACTGCTGATAAAGAAAATACTGTATTGCAATTTGTGGGCAGCAAAAGTCCATGTCTATATCCCCCATAATAGAGTGCTGAGCATACAGTAAATGTTCCACTTACTAATACCACAAATACGTACAGGCAACATGGCATCATGGTTACTACTTAGTAGCCTGTGTTTGAATCCCAACTCAGCCACTTACTATTTATTAGTCCCGTCAACTTGACCAAGTTACTTAACCTCTCTGTTCTTCAATTTCCCCATCTGTACAATGGAAATAATGTGTTAATACATATAGGCAACCCTTGGCATCCTGGGGATTGGTCCCAGGACACCCCTCATACCAAAATCTGTGAATGTGCAAGTCCCTTATATAAAATGGCATAGTATTTGCATATAACCTACTCATATCCTCTCATATTCTTTAAAGCATCTCTAGATTACTTACAATACTTGATCCAATGCTTGCACATCATTTTATTCATGTAGATTCAATGTAGTACTCAGTGCATGGTAAATTCAAGTTGTGCTCTATGGACCTTTGTGCAATTTTTTTCCCCCAAATATTTTTGATCTGAGGTTAGTTGAATTTACAGATGCAGAACCCACAGATATGGAGGGTTGTCTGTACTTTATGCAGTTGTTATAAGGATTAAATTAGATTAACCCTAATATTAATTTAATAAATTAACTTCAATAGAACAGCTAGAATAGTAAGCACTATGTAAGTGTCTGTTAAATGAACACATGATTGTCACCTATGGTTAAAACATTACCAGAAATTGAGACCCAGAATTTGACAAGTTAGAGCATCTTCATGGACAAAAGGGACAGAATAGTGGAAGCCAGGACTGTTGAGGTCAATTAGGATGCATGGTATAACCGCAGGTGAGACATCAATAAGGGAACCTAGCGACAGGTGGGTCAGAGTTGAGGCTTTAAGGTCAGGCTGCCAAATTCAGCCACTAGCTTCCTACTTATTAACTGTGTTCCCTGGGCAAATCACTGAATCTGTCTAAGGGTCAATTTTCTCATATGTAAAAATAGGATAAAAATAAACAGAGCCTCTCCTTAGGTGTGTTTTGAAGATTAAATAGATTATGTAGGGTACTTAACATTATTCATGGTATGTCTGAATAAATGTTCATTTTGTTAACGATCAGGACCTATAATTGAGAGGCCAACTGGACCATTTGACCTTGGCTGAAGGGGACACAGGAGTGCAGAATGAAGTTTTGCCATGAACGTAGATCCTCCCTTACAAATCCCTCCATTTTCAAACCCGAGGTGAGAAGATAGAGCTGAGGGAAAACGTGTCTGAGCTGCAAAGTTGTTGGGCCTCCCTGGGGCATTATGAGGCACAGGAATGAGCCAGTGCCCTCTAGTTTGAGTTATGACATTGGATCCCTTTTAAAAATGGAACAAATGGACCTCTCCTAAGAAACATTTATTTATTTTCTTAAGACTGGCATATAGAACCAGGTGCAGTGGCTCACACCTGTCATTCCAACACTTTGAGAAGCCAAAGCAGGAGGATTGCTTGAGCCCAAGAGTTTGAGAACATCCTAGGCAACATAGGGAGACCCCCATCTCTACAAAAATATTTAAAAATTAGCCAGGCATGGTGGCTCATGCCTGTGGTCCCAGCTACCTGGGAGACTGAAGTGGGAGGATCGCTTGAGCACGGGAAGTCAAGGATGCAGTGAGCCGTGATCATCTCACTGCACTCCAGCCTGGGTGACAGAGCAAGACCCTGTCTCATAAAGAACAAAATCAAACAACAAACAACATCAAAAAAGAACTGGCATATAGCAGACAATTGTTATCTCTGGAAGCTCATTTACTCCTAACTCCTATAAGATATGTCACACACACACACACACACACACACACACACACACACACACACTCTTCCAGGAAAAGAAGAGGCTAAATATTTTAGCCAATATCACATAGTTGGTGGGATTTAAACCACAGCCTTCTAACTTTTTTTTAAAAGACAGGGTCTGGCTCTGTCACCCAGGCTGGAGTGCAGTGGTATAATCACAGTTCACTGCAGCCTCGACCTCCCAGGCTCAAGTGACCCTTCCACCTCAGCTTCCTGAGTAGGTGGGATTACAAGTGTGCACCACCACATCTGGCTTTCTTTATTTTTTATTTTTTGTAGAAATGAGGTCTTACTATGTTGCCCAGGTTGGCCTCAAACTCCTGGCCTCAAGTGATGCTCCCACCTGAACCTCACAAAGTGTTGAGATTACAGATATGAGCCACTGCGCCAAACCCTTCTAACTTTGAATTTGTGGGTTGTTACACTTCAAAACAATTTTCTCTATTGTAAAATGAAACTTAATGCACAGGTCAGAGCTTCTCTGGGCAGCCAGCCCCAGCCCTCAGGTGAACTCAGCACAGCCCTTCTGACTTACCCAGGAAGATGGGAAAAGGCGAGAGTGAAGAAGCAAGAGAGAATGAAATGAAGAAGCCAAGTCTTCTCCTTCTTCCTTTCCCCTCCAGAGGAAAACCATCTCAAGAGCCAGAAGTGGTATAGGCCCCTAAGTCAAGCTTTTTCAAGCTCCACTTCTAATGCTCCATGCCTTAAAAAGTATGACCCAAGACTGTCCCTGAACATGGCTGATCCACGGTAACATCCTTCCTCCTGGGATAGTCTCAGAGGTGCGTGAGGGGAGCACCATGAACTTTCTCAACCTACAGGCCAACATATTTTATTTTATATTCTTATGTCACTATCTCAGAACTTAATAGCCACTGTATGGCAAAATAAATAATTGGGTTTTTGTGACGAGCCTTTGAAATGTCCTTCCCACTGCGGATGTGCCACACTGTCTCCTAATTCTCCCCTTACAAGCAGACGTAATCCATGTTTCTGAATGAATTTATAATATGAAACCTTCAAAGGGTGGCATGTAAGTTCCACAGACCTCATTTTTACAACAAGGAAAGATTCTTTCCAGGAAAAGATTTTGAAGACCTGAATACTAAGTGAGTGGTGCTATTATATGCATGTGAAACAGAAATGTCTCCCAGTCTTTGGTAACTGGTGCAGTAGACCAGAGCTGGTTTTAATTATGTAGAAATGACTGATTACAGTAAAAACTCAACCTGGAAAACTGCCTCAGAGTTAGAGTAAAGGATTTATAAGAATTTAGAGTTGGCAGAGACCAAAGTGATCATCTTATTCACTGGTGCCTTACGTTTTATTTAATCCACTCAACAAATGTTTACTGAATGCCCGTTATGTGCAGGGAATGCAAGTACAAAAATCTTTTTTTAATATTAAAAAAGGTCACAGACCATCATATGATAGCATTGTAATTCTGGACATTCAGAAAATTATTTAATAAAGTAAAATCAACTACAAACTTAATAAAAGTTTAAATATTATATTTTAATAATTATGACATTACCTACATTGAAAATTAGTAGTATACACATGTATAAGATGTATTATTCATTCCATTGACAAAATGCTTGATTCACAAACATTCCTAAAATTCCTTGCAGGCACACCTAAGTTCCCTCCGAGTCTAAAGCCTATAAATTGGAAATTGCTGACTAGTTCAATAAGCTCATTTTACTGATGATGAAAATCAATAAATAACTTACATCTGGTCTTATAACTAGTGGTAGAGCTAGCAGCTCCAACTCCTAACCCAGAGCCTCACTGTGTCATGTAGTTTCTGCCTATCTGCTGTCTATTCAATTATGTGACAGAGAACACTAACTGACCCCCATGATTTATTCTCTTCCTCTTCAGCCCCACAAGTTTCAACCGGGCACATGGGTCACCAGATGGAGACTACATTTCCCAGCTCCTCTTGCAGGCTGGCATGTCCATGTGACTGACTATGGCCCGTGAATGTAAGTGGAATTGATGAGTCCAATTTCTAGGTCACATCCTTATAAAAGAAGCTATTACAACTCCACATCCTAGCCCTCCTCCCCCCAAATTCTGCACTGCTGAAACAGTTTTGACTGTGCAGATTAAGTCAGAATCCTGGAGGCAAATGCAATAAATAGAAAGAATCTGACCCCCTGGGTGCCCTCAATGAACAGGACCACCTTTCACTGCTGCAACCCCTTCTGGACTGGTATGTGAAAGAGAAAGAAACTTCTATTTCATCTTAGCTACCATATTTGCAAGTTCCTTTGTGGCAGAACTTTAGTCAAACCTAACCAAAATAACATAATATACTCACATAAAAGGTTACAAGGTGAGAGGATAAGAGCAATAGCAAAATGTGCTTCTGAAAATAAGGACAGTGTTTCATTTGTATTTCTAATTAATTGCATTACGTTTGATCTTGGTGATCATAGAAGAAAATTAATCTCAGACTATAGAGGCCCCTGGTATTTACCATGGTGTGGTATCCTCCCATGCTCTATCAGAGTTGGTCTGTGTGACCAATAGAATATGACAGAAGTGATAATGTGTGACTGCTGAGGCTAGATTATAACAGCAGTGTTGCTTCTGCCAGGATTTTCTCAGGTAGATCACTTTTTCTGAGGGAATCCAAGTGCCATGCCATGAGGACACTCAGGCAGCCCTATAAAGAGGCCCACATGGCCAAAATCTTGAGGCCTCCAGTCAATAGCAAACAAGAAACTGAGATGAGCATGGAAGTAGATACTCAAGCTTCAATGAAATCTTCAGATAACTGCAGCCCCAGGAGACATCCAGTTTACCTCATAGGAGAGCCTGAGACAGAACCACCTAGCCAGGGAATGTAAATTGGTATAGCCGTTATAGAAAAAATATGGAGGTTCCTCAAAAAAATGAAACAGAAGTTCATACTGTATTAGTCCATTCTCACACTGCTATAAAGAACTACATGAGACTGGGTAATTTATAAAGAAAAGAGGTTTAATTTGGTCATGGTTCTGCAGGCTGTACAGGAAGCATAGCTAGGGAGGCCTAGGGAAACTTACAATCATGGCAGAAGGGGAAGCTGTTACATCTTATATGGCTGGAGCAGGAGGAAGAAAGCAAGGTGGAAGGTGCTTACACACTTTTAAACAACCAGACCTCACAATAACTCACTCACTGTCACAAGAACAGCACCAAAGGGGAGATCCACCACCATGATCCAATCACCCTCCACAAGGCCCCACCTCCGACATTGGGGATTACAATTTCACATGAGATTTGGGCAGGGACACAGACCCAAATCCTATCACATACAGTCTAACAATCCCACTTTTGAGTATATCTCCAAAGGAAATGAAATCAGTATCAAAGAGATACCTGCACCCTCATGTTCATTGCAGCATTATTCACAATAGCCAAAATATGGAAACAACCTAAGTGTCCACTAATGGATGAATGAATAAGGAAAGTGTAGAATATATGCCAGGTGCTGTGGCTCATGCCTATTGTCCCAGCACTTTGCGAGGCCGAGGCCGAGAAGGGTGGATCACTTAAAATCAGGAGTTCAAAACCAATCTGGGCAACATGTGAAGACCCCATCTCTACTGAAAAGACAAAAAAATTGGCCGAGTGTGGTGGTGGGTGCCTGTAATCCCAGTTACTCAGGAGGCTCAGGCAGGAGAAACACTTGAACCCAGGAGGCGGAAGTTGCAGTGAGCCAAGATCACACCACTGCACTCCAGCCTGGGTGACAGAGAGAGACTCCATCTCAAAAAAAAGAAAAAGAAAAAAATATATATATAGGACTATTAGTCAGCTATAATAAAATATGTGAATCCTACCATTTGCAACAACATGGATGAAATTGAAGGACATTATGCTAACTGAAATAAAACAGACACAGATATACAAATACTCTATGATCTCATTTATATGTGGAATCTAAAAAATGTGAACTCATAGAGGCAGGGAATAGAATGGTAGCTACCAGGGGCTGGGCAGGGGCAGGTGGGGAGATGTTGATTAAAGAGTACAAATTTTTAGACATAAGATGAATAAGTTCTGGGTTTCTAATTTACAGCATGGTTATTATAGTTAATAATACTGTATTATTCACTTGAAATTTGCTAATTGAGTGGACCTTAAGTGCCTTTACCACACACACACACGCGCGCACACACGCACACACACACAAAATGGTAACTAAGTGTGGTGATAGATGTGTTCATTAATTTGACAGTGGTAATCATTATACAATGTATACATATAGCAAATCACCATGTTGTATACCTTGAACATATACAATTTTTGTCAATTATACAATTTGTAAAGATGGGGGTAAAAACCTAGCTAAGTCACTCCCAATTCCTGACCTACAGAAACTGTGCTATAATAAATGTTTGTTGTTTTAAGCCACTAAACTTTGGGTTAATTCATTATACAGCAAGAGATACCTCATACACTTATTGAATGTGTTTGGCAGGTGACCTGATACAGAGCCTACTAGAAATGTTACATGCTAGAAATGTTGACCTACCTCACCTGGTGAATGGGTTAGTTCCGTAGAAAATTTAGTTTATGCTCCCTAATTTTCTATAGGATTAGAGGTAATAATACCTATAAACATATCTCTTCTTAATGAATTTTTTGTATGTTATTTTTGTGGATAAGGGTGGGGATAGGTAATCTCACCATGTATTACCCCAGAATCCAGACAAAAGAGACAAGTTGGCATCAAGTTATACAATTGATTTACATTTTAATTTTTTCTGATATTTAGGTGAAATTAAGTTGTAAGTATAGAAGCCAATTCTTTCATTAATCATTTAAACAGCTGTTCAATGCACGTGACTAGTACCTGGTATAGTTTCTAGAAATCATAGTAGAAGTCATGGACTCCTCCCTCTCCCTCAGTCAAAATCCAGCCAGTCACTGAGTCCTGTAAAGAGTAACTCCGGAATGCACAAGGAATTCCTCCTGCAGTGTGAGGCCCAGGCTTTCCTGGCAAGGTCTCAGGGAAGGCGCTGCCACGTTGCTTTTTCAGGGGGATGGAGTAGCACTTTCACTTGGGGCTCAAAGAGCACTTGAGCTGAACACATCCCTTCCTGAAACAGTTACCATGATTTCGAACCCCCAAATCAGACCCTATTTTGGGGGGTGGGGGGTGGGGATGGAGTCTCACTCTGTTGCCAGGCTGGAGTGCAGTGGTGCTGTCTCAGCTTACTGCAACCTCCGCCTCCCAGATTCAAACAATTCTGCCTCAGCTTCCCAAGTAGCTGGGACTACAAGTGCGCGCCACCACGCCTGGCTAATTTTTTGTATTTTTAGTAGAGGCAGGGTTTCACCATGTTGGCTAGGATGGTCTGGATCTCCTCATCTCGTGATCTGCCCACCTCAGCCTCCCAAAGTGCTGGGATTACAGGTGTGAGCCACCACGCCCAGCCCATATTTTAATGTTCTGAAAAGTCCAGGACCCAGGAAGGAACATCATCAAAGAGAAATGGGCTGACCTGGCCGCTAGCATCCCAGTGACCAGTCATTCATCCTCTAGATATTCCATAAGTGTCTGCTATGTGCCAGACCTGGCCCAAGGTACTGAGCGAAAGGCCCAGTTCCTACCCTGGGCTCTTACAGTCTAACTGTCAGCGCTGCTTCCCACGCCCCCAGGGCTCCCTCAGCTTCTCCCCACACCCCACCGCAAGTTGGCAGGTGGAGGCAAGATTCCACCTGTCCTTTCCCTTCACCTCATGGAGAGGGCTTTTGAGTACAGCTGGGGCAGGGGAGGTCAGGATGGTGGGCTCACTGGGAAACTGGATGACAAGGAGTATCACTCTCTGCTATGTCAAATAGCTGCAGAAGAACTCAGACTGACATGTTTTCTTTTATTATTATTATTATTATACTTTAAGTTCTAGGGTACATGTGCACAATGTGCAGGTTTGCTACATATGTATACATGTGCCATGTTGGTTTGCTGCACCCATTAACTCATCATTTACATTAGGTATTTCTCCTAATGCTATCCCTCCCCCATACCCCTACCCCACGACAGGCCCTGGTGTGTGATGTTCCCTGCCCTATGTCCAAGTGTTCTCATTGTTCAATTCCCACCTATGAGTGAGAACATGCAGTGTTTGGTTTTCTGTCCTTGTGATAGTTTGCTCAGAATGATGGTTTCCAGCTTCATCCATCTCCCTACAAAGGACATGAACTCATCCTTGTTTATGCCTGCATAGTATTCCATGGTGTATATGTGCCACATTTTCTTAATCCAGTCTATCATTGATGGACGTTTGGGTTGGTTCCAAGTCTTTGCTATTGTGAATAGTGCCGCAATAAACATACGTGTGCATGTGTCTTTATAGCAGCATGATTTATAATCCTCTGGGTATATACCCAGTAATGGGATCACTGGGTCAAATGGTATTTCTAGTTCTAGATCCTTGAGGAATCGCCACACTGTCTTCTACAATGGTTGAACTAGTTTACACTCCCACCAACAGTGTAAAAGTATTCCTATTTCTCCACATCCTCTCCAGCACCTGTTGTTTCCTGACTTTTTAATGATCACCGTTCTAACTGGTATGAGATGGTATCTCATTGTGGTTTTGATTTGCATTTCTCTGATGACCAGTGATGATGAGCATTTTTTCATGTGTCTGTTGGCTGCATAAATGTCTTCTTTTGAGAAGTGTCTGTTCGTATCCTTTGCCCACTTTTTGACTGGGTTGTTTGATTTTTTCTTGCAAATTTGTTTAAGTTCTTTGTAGATTCTGGATATTAGCCTTTTGTCAGATGGGTAGATTGCGAAAATTTTCTCCCATTCTGTAGGTTGCCTGTTCACTCTGATGGTAGTTTCTTTTGCTGTGCAGAAGCTCTTTAGTTTAATTAGGTCCCATTTGTCAATTTTGGCTTTTGTTGCCATTGCTTATGGTGTTTTAGACATGAAGTCTTTGCCCATGCCTATGTCCTGAATGGTATTGCCTAGGTTTTCTTCTAGGCTTTTTATGGTTTTAGGTCTAACATTTAAGTCAGACAGATATGTTTTCAAACACGCAAGGAGCTTAGGGAACAAGAACTACATTTTCATTCTGTATCCAAAACAATGTTTTGATATCCCAAATGCTGTAACAGTACCATAGTCCCAGAGAGTCCTGGGCTGGCCTCTGGAGACCTGTGTGCCATGCAGTGTGCACTGAGTACATAGGCCAGCTCAGTTGGCACCTTGGTCTTTAATGCAGATGAAGCCAGGGTCCCCTACTGGTTACAAATAGGCCTTATTTTTCTTAAAGAGTATTTATCTGCTAAGACAATGCAAACCAATATTGGGATCCATTTTACAAAAGAGGTTTAGGGAAGTTTTTAGGGGAAAAGCTGTTTATCATTGTTTCCATTTGGGGATAACACTCCCTACCTCATTGGTTTGTCCCTGCTCTCCAATATCCTCGTACTGGGTTGAATAGCATCCCCCTCAAAATTCATGTCCTCCCAGGCTTCAGAATGTGATTTGTTTGGAAATACAGTCTTTGTAGATAGAATTAGTTAAGGTGACATCATACCAGATTAGGGTGGGCCCTAAATCCAATGACTGGCATTGTTTTTTTTTTTTTTTAATTTTATTTATTTATTTATTTATTTATTTTTTATTGATCATTCTTGGGTGTTTCTCACAGAGGGGGATTTGGCAGGGTCATAGGACAATAGTGGAGGGAAGGTCAGCAGATAAACAAGTGAACAAAGGTCTCTGGTTTTCCTAGGCAGAGGACCCTGCGGCCTTCCGCAGTGTTTGTGTCCCTGGGTACTTGAGATTAGGGAGTGGTGATGACTCTTAAGGAGCATGCTGCCTTCAAGCATCTGTTTAACAAAGCACATCTTGCACCGCCCTTAATCCATTTAACCCTGAGTGGACACAGCACATGTTTCAGAGAGCACAGGGTTGGGGGTAAGGTCACAGATCAACAGGATCCCAAGGCAGAAGAATTTTTCTTAGTATAGAACAAAATGAAAAGTCTCCCATGTCTACTTCTTTCTACACAGACGCGGCAACCATCCGATTTCTCAATCTTTTCCCCACCTTTCCCGCCTTTCTATTCCACAAAACCGCCATTGTCATCATGGCCCGTTCTCAATGAGCTGTTGGGCACACCTCCCAGACGGGGTGGTGGCCGGGCAGAGGGGCTCCTCACTTCCCAGTAGGGGCGGCCGGGCAGAGGCGCCCCTCACCTCCCGGACGGGGCGGCTGGCCGGGCGGGGGGCTGACCCCCCCACCTCCCTCCCGGACGGGGTGGCTGCCAGGCGGAGACGCTCCTCACTTCCCAGACGGGGCGGCTGCCGGGCGGAGGGGCTTCTCACTTCTCAGACGGGGCGGCTGCCGGGCGGAGGGGCTCCTCACTTCTCAGACGGGGCGGCTGCCGGGGGGAGGGGCTCCTCACTTCTCAGAGGGGGCGGCTGCCGGGCGGAGGGGCTCCTCACTTCTCAGACGGGGTGGCTGCCGGGCGGAGAGGCTCCTCACTTCTCAGACGGGGTGGCCGGGCAGATGCTCCTCACCTCCCAGACGGGGTCGCGGCCGGGCAGAGGTGCTCCTCACATCCCAGACGGGGCGGCGGGGCAGAGGCGCTCCCCACATCTCAGACGATGGGCGGCCAGGCAGAGACGCTCTTCACTTCCTAGATGGGATGGCGGCTGGCATTGTTAAAAGAAGGCCATGTGGACCAGGCACGATGGCTCATACCTGTAACCTCAGCACTTTGGGAGGCCAAGACAGGCAGATCACTTGAGGCCAGGAGTTCAAGATCAGCCTGGCCAATATGGTGAAACCCTGTCTGTACTAAAAATACAAAAAAATTAGCCGGGCGTGGTGGCACCCACCTGTGGTCCCAGCTACTTGAAAGGCTGACATGGAAGAATCCCCTGGGCCCGGGAGGTTGAGGCTGCAGTGAGATCGCACCACTGCACTCCAGCCTGGACAACAAGAGTGAAACTCTGTCTCAAAAAAAAAAAAAAAAAAAAAAAAAAAAAAAATTCACTTACTATACTACCAGATGCTGTGGTCAATGTCAATGTGCTATGGACATGATCCAAGACCTCGCGGAGATCACCTTTTAGAAGGGCAAGCAAACATTAATTACAAAACAAGTGTAGCATTGCTACTATGGGAAGTACTGCTGCAGAACATTAACATGGGATTTCAACTGTGCTTTGGCTGAGGACACAAGACAGTAGTTGGCAAGTGCTCCCTTATCCCAGAGTGAATTACTAGCTCAGCTGTACAGGCCTTGCAAAGGAGGCTGTGAACTGATTTTGACACCTTAGCTGACTGTCCTCTCCAACCTAGGAAAGAGGTTGGAGTTTCTGAGAGGAAGGCTAGAAACACAGAAGGAGGATTTGATGGGTGGACAGTGTGTGGTTCACCCCACCTCCCTACAATGCAGAAGAGGCCATGGGCCTGCAGGAGACCTTCTGGAACCATTGACTGTGTCACTGGAGGTGGAGTTTTGATTGGTATCTGTTTTGTGACTGGGAAATCTAAAGGCCAGGAGTCTGACTGAAGCTGCCCATGGCAACAGTGCAGAGGGTACAATTTGGGAAGTTTACTCCCCTGACAACAGGTCAGAGGTGCATTTTGCCATGAAACTGAAGTTCAGACATCCAAAGGATGAGCTGTGAGTTGACCAGGAGGCTCCTTAAAGGGGCTTTGCCCCAAAAGGCCACTTTTAAAGTTATCCCAACAGAAAGCATTAAATCCTTGAGAACAGGGGCTTCAGGGGGAGATTCAAATGGGCACCTGATCCCCTCTGAGATTTGGGTGAGGGATCACCCGAATCAGGGAAGTACAGGTGAGAGATCCCGGGAGCAGGGTCGCCAAAGAATCTCAGAGCAGCCCATGGGAGAATTCGGAACACCTGCCAGCCCAAAGAGCACAGAGCGCAAGCACTCAGCAGAAGATTTTCAGCCCCTTATCCTACCTCCCCTCTAACCCTGCAGAAATCAGAAGTTGCACCTGGTGGCGGAATGGGAATAGAGCTGGAAGGAGAAACTGGAGCGGTAGAGAGAGAAGCTGACCACATCCCCATTTCCTACTGCAGGTTTCCTGCCCACAACGGGCCAACATTGAATGATTCATAGTTTTTATTATTCCTCCAGACTGGACACAATTAACTACCAAGAGCTAAAGTGACAGAGCACTTTTCATGACCAGATAATCTATGGTGGCTGCTAGAGGAAACTGTCCCCTCAGGGTGGTTTACAGGGGTAATCATGGGAAAAAATAAATTTGTCTTATGACTGGGCTCTTCAAATTCTACACTTTCAATTACACCATGAAAGGGAGGCAAATGGCGCTGTAAGTGCATATGACAGAGGGTTTGACCTGAAAGGAGGAGGTGAGGGGAACACAGACAGGGCCTTGGGTAGTGGGGAATCTTGAAGGATTGCAGCAGCAGCAGCAAAGGGGGTGTGAAGAGCAAATAAGGAGGAGGGGTAGGAATTGAGTTCAGGATGGGCTTTCTGAATTGCCCTATGGGAGATGGAATGGTTTGGGGTGACTTTCAGGTAGAGACCATGGTCATACAAAGTGGTATGTGGGTGAAAGTGAGAAGAAGGTGAACTGGAGAGGGAGAACTAAAGAGGCCGGGGGTGGGGGCCACTCATGAGATGTGAACTCTAGCCAAGATGATGGCAGGGCTGGAGACAGACAGGAGGGCTATGACTGTAGTCATCAATGAGCAGGGAGGAGCAGATCGGGAAGTCTGCATGAACCACAAAGGAACAGGGCTTCACAGACATGACCAAGAGTTGGGAAGACAGGAGATTCAGATGGCTCAGTGGAAGGGTTTGGGAAAGAGGAAGTGAGTGGGAAACTGGGAGGAGGAGAGGGAGCACCACGTTTTGATGGGGTTAGATCATGAAGTGGGGGTTACAGCTGTAGGTCAACCAATGAATATAGGAATGTGAGGAGAGATGATTGAGTCCCTGATGGTATTCTACAGCCTTGCTGCTCAAAGGGTGGTCTGAGGACCAGCAGCATCAACGTCACCTGAGAACTTGATGTCAGGCCCCACTGTGGACAAATGGGATCCGATTCCGCATATGACAAGCCACATAAGTAGTTCTGCGCTAGAGTTTGACAAACAATCCTGGGAGGAACACTGTGAGGTTACCATTTGTAGCTGGATATTCCTTATTTTTTAGTCCATAGGAGGCTGTTTCCTGGCCTTCTGGTGCAACATCTATAGGAAAATTGATTTTAGGAGGCATTACAAATAAGCCATTTGGCACATGGCCACTTAACAGGCTGCTGCGATGGTTTCGGTTTTGGGTTTTGTTTTGTTTTGTTTTTGAGACGAAATCTCGCTCTGTCACCCAGGCTTGAGGGCAGTGGCGTGATCTCAGCACAGTGCAACCTCCGCCTCCTGGGTTCAAGCGGTTCTCCCACCTCAGCCTCCCAAGTAACTGGGATTACAGGTGCCTACCACCATGCCTGGCTGATTTTTGTATTTTTAGTAAGAGACAGGATTTCACCATGTTGGCCAGGCTGGTCTTGAACTCCTGACCTCAGGTGATCTGCCCATCTCAGCCTCCCAAGGTGCTGAGATTACAGGCATGTGCCACCATGCCCAGCCCTGCTGTGATGGTTTTTAGAGACTGATCTATGGCCCAGTCTGTGGATGCTGTTTGGTGGGGATACTGTAGCTGAGTGGAATTGAAGTCAGTTTCACATATGAACAGAGTAAATGATTGGAGGGAGTAGGCAAAGATAAAGCCCCCATGTATCTCCCCATCAGCTTGCATGCTTTAGGCCTGACATCCCACATCTCCCACTCCTGTAGCCAACTCCATAGGTATTTACTGGATGTGCACCAAGGGCCAGGCAGGCACTCTTAAACATCCCCTTCAATTTCCACAGCCTTTGCATAAACCAGCCCACATTTTAATTTTTATTCTCATAACCACGTTTTGAAGGTAGAAGATACTTTCTCTGTTTACAGTCCTGGAGGATTTACCCTAAATCACAGAGCTGATCAGTGGCTGAGCTGGGATTTGAATCTAGATTCTCTAACTTCAGCGGATTTCTGCAGAAAAGGCAGGTTTGTTTATGAAGGGGCTTATTATTTATGTCATAGATACTAGAGTTTGGTGGGCCTTGACCTGTTATAAAGTGTTTGGTTTCCTAATTACATAAGCAAGAGGATTTAAAATGCAGAAAGAGGCCCTTTCAGTGACAATCTCCTTTCTGGTCCTCTCTGACCCATCTCATGGGATATCACAAAGCAAGAAGCACCTCAGAAAGCAGAGAGGCCCATTTCGATGAGCTTGTTTGGGACAATGTGCAAAGAGGCCCTGATGCCCTTTGTGGAGAGGGAGCACTTAGGAAAGCTTGGACATGACTTTTCTGCTTCCTCACCTGGTGGAGTGGCGGCTTGGCAGCTGCATGGCTGTAAAACACCACTGTCTGGTCACTCTGCTTCTAATTGAATGCACATCACACTAAACATATTGTTTGCAGGAGTCTTAATTTTAAAAACAAGAGAAATGTGGGAGGAATGAGCCGGCTTGCTCCATCACTTTCCAACTCTCTGCACCTGTTCTTCCATGTGATTCTCATTGTCCTCCTCGAGGGACTCCTGTGTAGTCAGGGAGACCAGGCTAGGAAAGAAGTGGAGGGAGGCCCAGAGCTTCTTTTGTCTGTATTGTTTGGCAATCTGAGCTATCCCTTTCTGTTACACAGCTTGAACATGAGAGTTGTTTTTCAAAAGCCAGGGGAAATAGCACTGGACTACTGATATGGAAGTACCTCTGTTGATATGGAAGTACCTCTCCCATCAGCCCTCTAAATGCTTTTGAGATAAAGTGCCAGCTAGCTCCCATGGGGCATTTGCCTCAGTTGCTTACACAAGTCTAACAGAGATGGAAGGGATGGCTGTGAAATCAAAGTGAACAAGCCTATTTAAATCTTCATTACTCAGTCCCAGCAGCACCTACCAGAGCCCACAGCGCTAGCAATGGGCTCAGAGCATCTCACTGGGCTTCCAGCTGTGTTTTGTTTTTATTTTCAAATTATATGATGTGATGCCCTCAACCAGAGTTGAGGACCCAGTGACAAGGAGAGGCTGTCCTGCCACCGGTCCTGATGTTTAGTCTTTACTTGGCAGAGCACAGGGGCGTATGCTGGGTAAGCCGGTGCCAGATCTGTGAGCACCGTGGTCCAGCAGACAGAGAATTCCAAATCCAGAGAATCTAGATATTGGGAGTTTTTTGTATAATCACCCTGTTTTTGTAGCACTGGCCTCTTAAATCAATTAGGATATTGAATTTCTGAGTTGGCTATTTAAGTACATTACCAGAAAAACCTCTAAACAAAGCATGTACCTTAACCTGCCATTCTTACACAGTCTGAGGCCTTCTGATGATTTTCCCATTAACATAACACATTCCTAGAATTAAGGACGTGAGATAAACAGCAGGTCTAAAAAGAATTCCAGGCCGGGCACAGTGACTCATGCCTGTAATCCCAGAGATCTGGGAGGCCAAGGCAGGAGGATGGCTTGAGGCCAAGAGTTTGAGACCAGCCTGGGAAACATAGCAAGACCCCATCTCTACAAAAAATTTTAAAAATCACCCTGCTATACAGATGCATACCTGTAGTCCCAGATACTCAGGAGGCGGAAGCAAGAGGATAGCTTGAACCCAGGAACTAGAGGCTACAGTGAGCTATGAATGTGCTACTGCACTCCAGCGTCGGTGCTGGAGCAAGACCTTGTTCCTAAATAAATAAATAAAATTCCACAAAAGGTTCTAGGAATGAGGTTTTGATTAAATGAAAAATCATTTAACTTTTTTCCTTAGCTACTTTACCCATTAAGAGCTAGAATAAAATTGATTAGAGAAAAATAATAGCACCCATATATTGATGTCTTACTATGTGCCACGCCTTGTGTTAAGCCCTTTCATATATTTCTTATTTAATCGCCACAACAATGTCGACTTCTCTTCCTGTTAATGGAAATATGGCTTAGATTTACCTAAATTTACAGAAGCCACTAACTGGTGGGACTAGGAATAAAACTGACATAAGTCTGTGTTTAAAGCCCTTAATTTCCGTGCATCATTTGTAAAAAGATGACTGGAAGGGGTCTTTATTTTATTTTGAGACAGAGTCTCGCTCTGTCACCCAGGCTGGAGTACAATGGCGTGATCTCGGCTCACTGCAACCTCTGCCTCCCCAGTTCAAGCAATTCTCCTGCCTCAGCCTCCTCAGCAGCTGGAACTACAGGCATGTGCCACCATGCCCAACTAATTTTTGTATATTTAGTAGAGACAGGGTTTCACCATGTTGGCCAGGATGGTCTTGAACTCCTGACCTCAGCTGATCTGCCCGCTTCGGCATCCCAGAGTGCTGGGATTATCACAGGCATGAGCCACTGCAGTGGGCCAAGGTCTTTATTTTTGAACCTTGCATTTTCTATAGCACTTTGTAATTTTCAAAGTATTTTGTGAACAGTATCTTTTCTCGAATCTCTTAATAATTCTGTGAATAAGGCCGAAAAGGCCTCTTTCCCATTTTGCAGATGAAGAAACTAAGGCCCAGACAGGTTAAATGATTGACCAAGTTTCCAGAACTAGTAAATATTGGAACACCAATAAAAATGTAGGTCTTCTGACTCCTGTCCCAGTGTGAGATCCGTTCCTCTCACCACCTCTGCATATAAGCAAAGAACCATGTGCTGGAAGAGACTTGAGTGATCATGGAGTCTACAGATCTCATTTTTAATTTTCAGAAACTAAGATCCAGAATGGGGGCATTCCTTAACCAAGGTCACCCAATTATCCAATAACAGAACTGGCCCCAGAAATCAGACTCTCAATATTTGCCACTCTTTCAAAAAAAAAAAAAGAAGAAGAAGAAGAAGAAATTTGTAAGCAAAATCATCATCATTAAAAAGCATTTGAGGGAAACATTTTGCCAGTTGCTTTGGAATCATGAAAGAGGAAGCTTCAGGATGAAGCATCATTGGTTCCTGAGTTCTATCCTCAACCTGCACAGTATTTACCAAAAGATTTTGTTTCAATAATAAATTTGTTCATAAGTCATTAATATTATGCCTGTAAAGTCATAAAGTAATTTTTCCTCGGTGTTGATGTGTAACTTGCTATTAAAGATGTTTTTATGTAGGCTACAAGAGCCTTCAAAGCACAGTGTGTCTTGCATTAGAAACTTGAACTGTGCAGACAGAATGAGTCATTACAGCATCTGACACTAGAGGGCGCTCCGTGAGAAGGCTGGCTACACAAGCAGGAAGCCTCCTGGAGCAGCTGGAGACCAAAAAGGGAAGCCAAGAAGAGAAGAAATAAACAGTAAAAAGATACAGTATTATCAATGGATCCGATGTCACAAGCCACAGGATGGGCAATGAAAATGGCTGTGTCTGTGTGGGTCTCTGTATTTTGGTTTTGGTTTTGTTTTTGTTTTAATATAGCATTAGTCCAGAATAGGATTTTCATGTGGATACCATTAAATCCTCACAACCTTGAAAAGTAGGTATTATTAATCTCCACTTTATAGGTTAAGAAATCAAGGTTCAGTGAAATTAAGTGATGTGCCCAGGGTCATAAATGCAAAAGTAGTGTACTATTAACTCCTACCAATAGCATTTTCAAAGCAATAAGGCTTTGATTACTGAAGAGTATGTAATAACATCCTATTGTCTAATAAATGCCTTTCAATTGCAGAATTCCTTAGAATTTCTTTAGTTAAAACTGTTATTCCAAAATAAATAAATAAATAAATAAACTGTTATTCCACAACCTTGTCCTTCCATTCTAGCCAGCACAGTAATTTTTTTTTTGTCCATAAATATTTCATTCTGGATTCTCTTAAATGACTTTATTCCAACCTCACTTACTAGAAACATCCTCTTTTCTTCCTCCTCCTCTGAGACCACCTAACCTTCATGCCATAGGGTCTGCATTGACACCTCCTGTGGCCCTTACACCTCTCCTCTCTGATCCTGACTGTAGGGACTTCTTGAACCATAGTAGGTGCCAGATAAATACTGGCTGACAATGGTTCTCAAACCTTAATAGGCATCAGAATCACCAAGGGTGCTTGTCAAACTTGAAGATATTCAGAACTTACCCTAAGAAATTATGATTCTCAAAGTCTAGGATCGTATCCTTGCATATTTAACAAGGATCTTGGCTGATTCTGACATAGGTAGTCTGTGAACCTCATCTTGGCAAAATACTTCTTGTTGCATTCTTCTAATGATATGATTTGCCATTTGTTACTACTACTTGAAACATTTTCTCAAGCTGCCACACTTCTATACATTTTGTTTCTGAAGGGTGGAAGCTCTTAGAGGGCAGAGACCTCATTTTCTGTTCTTTCCTATTCTTCCCTTTCATAGCCATCAGATCCCCATTGTGTTGGCAGTTCCCAGGCACTTCTCTTCACCTACACCATAACTCTCTCCCCATGCCCTTTACCTGTGTAGCTCCCACCCCACTTCATGGCTCAGTCTGGATGGCTCCAAGTGATATTATTGCTCAAGTCCAGGAATGCACTGCTGCTACATGTTCCCAAGGCACCCTCCACCTCTCCCACCAGGGCATGACACACGATGCACACGTCTTTGCCTTCCCTTAGAAACTTTATTCCAACCTCACCCACTAGATACTTGCTGTACCCTCTTTGTGAGGACAGGACCTTTGGTTTTCTTATCCCAACTCTAGGAACAGGGTTCCTAGACATTATCTTATCCCAACTCTAGGAACAGAGCCTGATATTGGATAAGCCCTTAATGATTGTTTATAGATAAGTGAATGAACAAACTGAGAAGAATGATTAAAAAGAGAGAAATACAGGAGAAGAAACACTTTAAAAATTACCTTATTTCATAAAGGGCATGTGAAGTGTGGGGACAATGCCTTTGGGGTCAGAATGGGGCACCTAGGGATGGCCAAGGGGAGCTGAGGAGCCCTGTTTACTGCACTAACTTCATTTTTCCTGTGAATCTAATACAGCTCGACTTAATACATATTTACTGGGAGTCTTTGATGTGAAAGCCACTACGCTGGACACTGGGGAGTCAAAAATATATTAAGACACAGTCCCTGAACTTGAGGGTATGATAATTTAAAGTGAAACCATTTGGTGATCTATATGCCAGTGTGTTTAATAGGAAACAAGAGATGACACTATTCTGCTCTGAGGACAGTTCAAATGATTCTGGGTCTCATAATTGCTACATGATGTAAGGTGAGTCTTAAGAAGCAATGAAGCACAACGGAGAAAAAAAAGCCAGGCTTTAGAGACCCACAAACCCATGTTTAATACTGTAGCTCCCTCCTCTTACTAGTTATGCTACCAGCAGCCTGGGCTGCCTGTGTAACGTAGGTCTAATAATAATAACACCACTTCTGGCACATATTAGCAGTGGTAAGCATGATTTAGCACTGTGCCAGGCACTCTGCTAAGCACTTTCCATGCGTTATCATATTTAATCCTCTCAGCTATCTAAGTGCCACTTTTATTCACATTTTATTACTGAGGAAACTGGCTGTCATAGACTGAAGGTTTGTGAACCCCCAAAATTCGTATGTTGAAGCTCTAACCCCTGCTGTGGCTGTATTTGCGGATGGGACCTCAAAGGACATATTTAAGGTTAAATGAGGTCATAAGAGTGGGGCCCTGAACAAATAGGTTTAGTGTCCTTATTAGAAGAGATACCAGAAGGCCAGGCACAGTGGCACACACCTATAATTCCAGCACTTTGGGAGGCTGAGGTGGGAGGATCGCCTGAGCCCAGGAGTTTGAGACCAGCCTGGACACTATAGTGAGACCTCGTCTCTACAAAAACTTTAAAAATTAGTTGGGTGTGATGGTGCAACTGTAGTCCCACCTACTCGAGAGGCTGGGGTGGGAGGATTGCTTGAGCCTGGGAGAAGAGATTGCAGAGTCATGATTGTGCCACTGCACTCCAATCTGGGAGACAGGGAAAGACCCTGTCTCAAAAACAAAAAAAGAGACCCAGGGAAAACTCTCTCTCTTCACCCCCTCCCCTCCAAGAAAGAACATGTGAGGTTTTTGCACCAAAGACAGGCCTCATGAAGACACAGTGAGAAGGCAGCCAGGTGCAACTTAAAGACAGACCGCTCACCAGACACCCAGACACCAACCCTGCTGACATCTTGATCTTAGACTTCCAGTCTTCAGAACTATGAGAAAATAAATTTCTGTTGTTTAAACCACCCTGTTTATGGTATTCTGTTATGGCAGCCCGAGTTGACTAATACAGCTCAGAGAGGTTAAGTAATTTGCCTAAAGTGACCCAGATATCAAATAGTACAGTCAGGATTTGAACCTGAACCTGAACCTGGCTGATTAATAAATTAGATAGTGTAGGTAAAATTCCTGCATGGTGCTGGCAAATAATAATCCCTTAATAAATGGTTTATAATATACATATTGCACTCCAGAAGTCAGGCCCACAGAATTATTGCTGTTAGTTAGGGTGAGTTACTAGGAGGACGGCTCAGCAAGAGAGCAAGGAGGGCTAGGCTCCAGAGCCTGTGGCATGAGCCAGACACAAGAAAAGAGACACCTCAGCCACCACCAGTGCTTGTGCAACTCCTCCTGCACTGAGCTTCCTTGGACTCAGGAGCTATCACCCAGATCTGTGGAACCCTAACATCATAGGGTTACAAAGGTCTCACAGGTCACCCAGGTCCACAATCTGGTGCCTGCATACCCCTACCACATCTCTGCCAAGTGACAGCTGCTGCTTTAATCTCTCACCTGATGGCCTCTCAGTATGGTTCTCAGGCAGGGAAGGTGGGAGATAGAGCCCAAGTCCCAGAAGTCATCCCTGGATGACACTTTCAAGATCTTCTAAGTCAACCCCATGTGTTCCACATGGTCTGCTTGGAGGAGGAATAGCAGGGACTTAACCTAGGGAGAGGCTGGAGCTTTTCCCTCCCTCCTATAGAATGAGTCATTCCTTCCCAACCCACTTTTCTCATTGTCCTTCCAGGAGGCAGTGAAAAGTTTCACATATTTGGAAATCCAAATTAACACTGATGCAAACAAAAGGGCCCCTAAGTCATTGGGAACCGGTTTGGTCGGCATCACCACGGAGACCTGGGGGGCAGTTGTCAGAGGAGAGCTGGCTCAGATGTCAGAGATGCACAAACTTGCATATGCTCAGTCCACAAGCAACACCCCCGCAGCTGGCATCTAAACCCTTGGTAAAGCTCTTGGCTACAGAGTGCTCGTTGATGACATTTCATCTCCAAGGCTCTCCTTGACTTTCCTTTCACTGATACAAGGTAATGCAGCTTGAAGCCTCCTACTTTAGCTTGCAGCACAGGGGGTCATTAGTGAGGGGTAATGCTGTATTCACATGCTGGTTACCTGTTTGTCTTGTCTTCTCTTTTCTGACAACACACAGCAGGCAAGGCCTTATCATCCTTTGATGAGTAAGGACAGCTATCTTCTTCAAAGGGCTGGAGTCTCAAAATGAGATGGTCCTTTAGATTTTTCAGTCCCAACTCTTTCATGAAATTGTACCAAGATCCTGATTTCCTAAGCAGACATGGGTCAGGAACTTCATTATTGCCCTTTAATAGATTATATGTTAGTAGGTGCTTGATAAAATCCATATTGAACAGGACCTGAATGTGAGTCCATCCTTGGAGCCACTGCTCTGCCCCTGAAACTTTCTCTGTCCTAGCCCTTCAGCTTTCCCTTCCTGCTGGAGTTCTGCCACTCCTGCAGGGCTATGAAATTCAATTGTGAAAACATCTCTCCAGACCTCTTCATCAGTTCTTCCTAACAACTCTAAGCCTCTAATACTTGTGCTTAGACTATTTTTAACTTTTCCTTTCTTTTAAAAAATTACACCAGAGGAGCTTAATGAGCCCTACTTAACTTTTCGTAGAAAAAGAAAATTTGCAGACATTAACCAATAAGTGCGACTGAACACCATGGTTAGCTGGCACGCCTCTGAAAACCTGCCTTCTCCCTGTGCAATACAATAGTTTATTTTTGGACAGCAGCCTCCACACAACATCATGAACACACAACACTGGGGTTTATAATGAACTTAAAAGAAAGTGAAGATTTATGTGAGAGGTTTAGAGGAGGAACTCAGGGTTGCAGAGGGCAGGGTGTGGGAAGGAGGGACGAGTTCCTGGGCAATGAGAAGTCCTGGCTGCCCAAAGCTGCTTCCAGCATGTTGCACCTCCAGATTCTTTATCTTTGCTTTGAATCAGCCAGGAGTATGAATGATATGAAGCAAGTGGGAGAAAATAAGCAAGATTTCAGATTTTTGTTCATTATCATGTAAAACTAACACACACATAGACACGCATACACCACCACCACCACCACCACGAAAACCAGCAACTAGCCAAACAAAAAAGAGCTTGAGCTCTTACAAAGAATAAAGCACTGTGGCAATAAACATTTTCATCATTCCTCCATCCAAACTCAAGAGTCCCTTTGGGTCAAAGTTGATTCTAAGGAAAGGTTCTCAGCTGTCCTGCAAGGCAAGAGGTCCAAGTCACAAATTACAGGACTGCCCCCATTCGTGTCATAGCAGTTAGGACATGACCATTTGCCCTCTGGATTTTAGCTGAAGTATCATGGAGGTCTTTCCAGGCATGAAAGTAAAGCCCTATTCTTAATAGTGCTCGTACCCAACCATGCTATTTGTTCCAAAGTCGCCTGATTACTTTCCCTATTATCACCATGACCTTCTAAATTGGGGCTCAGCCATGCCTTTACCTAATGGGGTTACAATAAACCATCTCTGACCTGGGGTTTGTGAACGCAGTGTGAGGCATGCAAACACAGCCTTATTTAAGTGCTACTGGTGTGTCTAAGGTCTGGGGACCAGAGAGGGAGGAAGTTAGACTTCAGCAGTGCAAGACCTTCCTCTCTTGATAATTAGCCCATTCTCTCTGAACAGTGTTAGTGTTATAATGTACCATTCTTTAGAATTTTTCTTTAGAATCCATATTATTTCAAGCATTCCATGATAACTCAGAAGATAAAAGTGCTTGCTCAAAGCAGGACAAAGTACTGTCTGGCTGTGTTGGCTAAAAGAAAAGATTTTTAAGATGCTAAGAAATAAAGGAGAAATTTGTACATGACAGGAATAATTTTTAAGTTTATTACCATAACAAATTACTTGTGATCAAAATGAGTGTGAAGTATTTATTCTTGATGTATACAACTTTGATTAATTAATCAAAAGGAGACAGGATAAGAAGAGCAATTCTTTTGAGTTGCCACTCAAGTCTAGTGCTCATAATGAAAAAGGCAAAGAGTTTCATGTTTAGACTCTTGATGAGAGGTTAAAAAGTCAACAAACCTCCATCAAAAAAAGCAATTTTCTGAGTTCTTTACTTGCATGTTTGCTAGTGAGGCAAAAGCAGCCAAGGCTTTTGTTTTATGCACAGTGTAAACAGAAATTGTGTAATCCTTATTCAATGGCTCATTGAATTTAGGTTTAGAATGGGCCTCATTGCTTGTCCCATGCTACCTGATAGAATGGAGATGAAGACAAGCTCTGTGCCTGTGCTCATACTGTTCCCTCTGTTGGTAGAACCTTCCCTGTTTTATCCGCTAGGTGAACTTCTGTTCATCTTTTGGGACCCAGCAAAAAACACCATCTCCTCTCTGAAGGTTCCCTTGATGCACCCAAGGCGAAGTATAATCTTTCTATCTGAATTTCTGTCTCGCCTCACAGACTGTGGGCTCATAAAGATGCAAGAATATGCTTTATTGATATGTGCATTTTGAGCACAATGGTTGGCTCACAGTAAGCAAGTACTCAATAAAGGTTATTATTGATCATGTATATAAATAAATGCTTTTTGAAGGCATGCATATATGGCAATGACAAGGAGAACAAATAACAAAAAGAATCGAACATAGGCATTATTTCATAAATTAATAATCACTGATTCATCACTGTGAAAGGCAGTGGGGGAGACTGAAGAAACTTAAGACAGAGTCTAGGTCCTAGTTGGGAGAGTTAAATGAAACCTACATGAAATAGCAGGGAACACAAAAAGCAATATGTGATTGCATCTTACAGTTAATGGTTCAGAGTAATGAGGGTAGGTGTCAGAGCTTTGAGTTCTACCCCTCTCCAAGAGGATTACCCCAATCCAATGTTTACCACTCAAACAGCTGTCAGAATCCTTTTCTGGGTTGTTCCTCACCCTACTTTGCACTTTGTTCTGGATGGTAAAAGGTGCTGGAAATCTAGGCATTTATGTGAAATCTCCTGATTACTAAATATCAGCAACTAATTTTAAAAATCTTAGAACACTGTGTAGTGAAAACACATTTGTAGGCTTTGGGTCTACAGCTTGTCAGCCAGGTGTCACACAAGAAGAGAAGAAAGACTAACATAGTTAACTCATAAAACTCTTACTCCATTTAA
This sequence comes from Homo sapiens, assembly GCF_000001405.40. Taxonomy (NCBI): domain Eukaryota; kingdom Metazoa; phylum Chordata; class Mammalia; order Primates; family Hominidae; genus Homo; species Homo sapiens. The sequence continues at coordinate 89,812,032 of NC_000001.11, forward strand.
AGAGAAGAAAGATCAGATTTTAGGAGATAGGTAAATGTTACTGAGGAAAGTGTCAGGAGAACTATCTGTTGATATGCTGGAGAAAAACTTCCAGGGGATATAATAGAGGCTCAGGAATGGGAGGTAGCTGGTCAACTAGTCTCAAGAATGGATGATTTAGACTCATAGTCTCAGCTCCCTGTATGAGTAAGGATTTTCTCAAGAAATGGATCTAATAGCATATTTATATAGAGATATGTAAAAGAGGATTTATGATGGGAATTGGCTCATGTGATTATGGAGGCTAAGCAGTCCCACGATCTGCAAACTGGAGAACTGGGCAAACCAGCAGTGTAATTCAGTCTGAGGCCAGAGAACTGAGAACCGGGGGAGCCAATGGCATAATTCTCAGTCTGAGGCTGCAGGCCTGACATCCTAGGGGGGCCATTAGTGCAAGGCCGGGAGTCTGAAGGCCTGAGAGCCTGGAGTTCTGATGTCCAAGGACAGGAGAAGATGGCTGTCCCAGCTCCAGGAAGGAATTTGAATTTGCATTTCCTTTGCCTTTTTGTTCTATCTGGACTCTCAACTGATTGGATGGTGCTGGCTTTCATTGGGTGAAGATGGATCTTCCTTACTCAGTCCACTGATTCAAATGCCGGTGTCTTCTGGAAACACCCTCAGACATACCCAGAAATAATGCCTTACCAGCAATCTGGGTATCTCTTAACCTAATCAAATTGACACTTAAATGTAAGCATCACACTCCCCTTTGGCTTAGGTTCCCTGCCTGAGCTGAGCAAGGGCACCAACTTCGAGAATGATCAGCAACAGGAGACAGGACTGCTGCCTTCTTCTGTGCATCTGTGTTGCCCAAGGAGCCACTCACGTTAGGATAACACTGACTTTTAGTTCCATGGCGACAACCTCTCAGTCCGAACTTTATTTTCAAATCATCTCCAGGTTTTGCTGCTTTGAGAAGCTGTCAGGTGAAATTTCAAACAATGCTCAGATATATTAATCTTTTAAAGCCAGAATGCTAGAATTTCACTCATGAGTAAGAAAACCCCACAAGCTGGCTTCTCTCTTCCTGTTCCTACATTCCTCTCTCCAGCGCAGGCACTGCTCAGCCTCATCTTGACATTTAAGGTTTCTGGCTGTGCTCATCTTCTCTTCCCACAGACAAGAGCTATGAGGAGACATACTAACAAAGTAATTTCCATGTAGATTTCTAAACATTCAACTCACCATTTAGAAACAGCAATTACTCTTCCTTTTTTCAAGTGACCATACAAATCAGTTTGCTTTGGGAGCTTTTTAATTTTTTAAGAATTGCTCAATTCTTTTCTTATGGTGATTTTCTTGAGGATTTTTTTTTTTTTTTGCCATTTCAACTTTCTATTAGAAAAACTTAGATTCCCACTTGCTATTTTGTGTCATATCTGTGTTCCTTTATTCTCACTTAAACCTTTTATTTTAGCCAATTAGAATACACAGCAGCCTTACCTCACATGACATTTTTAAAATAAATAATATGTTACAGGAAAATGAATGTTTAATCTGCTCTTATTCTTTTCACTATTGTGTTACTTTGTTTAAATGTTTTCCTTAATTAGAATATAATTTAGGACTTTGGAATTACTATTTAGCAATTTTGTTTACTTGTTAAGTCAGATCAGATTGTTTTTCCTTATAAGAGATTAGCAAAAATTGACTGGGCGTGGTGGCTCACGCCTGTAATCCCAGCACTTTGGGAGGCCGAGGGGGGTGGATCACCTGAGGTCAGGAGTTCGAGACCAGCCTGACCAACATGGAGAAACCCCATCTCTACCAAAAATACAAAATTAGCTGGGCATGGTGGCACATGCCTGTAATCCCAGCTACTCGGGAGGTGGAGGCAGGAGAATCTCTTGAACCCGGGGAGGCAAAGTTTGCAGTGAGCTGAGATTGCGCTATTGCATTCCAGCCTGGGCAATGAGAGCGAAACTCCGTCTCAAAAAAAAAAAAAGAGATTAGCAAAAATGGTAATGTTTTCCACTAAGTTTCATCTCCTGCCATGTCAACTACTAGGTGTTGTTTTAGTAATAGGTATGTATGATTTGGAAACTCTGAATATGAATGCCTTTTTTCAATTAACGAAACTCAGAGAACAGCATGATGTGGAAAAATCTCTTCCTGGGAAAAATTTTCTCCTGCATTTACTATTGATTAGAAATCTGAAATAAATTCATTAATTCATTATAAAATAATTATTCAGTGTGTACTATGTGCCAGACACTATTCTAAATACATGTGGGCAAAATAGATAAAATTTCCTATCCGCAAAAAGCTTATATTCTAGCAGGAAGAGATAGATAATAAACAAAAAATATAATAAGCCAGTGATAAGTGCCCAAGGGAAAGTAATGAAGCAGGGTGATGGGAACGGAAGCAGGCAGGGAGTGGATTCCAATTTTAGATATGGTTGTCTGGGTATGCTTCTCTGAGTGACGTTTGGGTATGTGGTACATAGATCATGTAAGAACCTCACAAGTCACCGTAAGGACTTTGGCTTTACTCTGAGTAAAATGGGGAGTGATCACAGGGTTTGGGCAAAGGAGTGAGACAATCAAACATATGTTAAAATGATCACTCTGGCTGCTGCTGAGAATAGACTGTGGGGAGGAACAGGATAGAAGCAGAACTACATAGACTAATTAGATGACTAACGAGTTAATCAAGGAGAGAGACGATGGTGGATGGGACCAAGGTGGTAGCCGTGGAAGTGCATAGTTACAAAGTAGAGCCAACAGAATTTCCTATTTCAATGTGAGTTGCATGAGATAAAGAGTCAAGGATAACTTGGGGCTTTTAGTCCAGGCAACTGGAAGAATGGAATTGCCATTTAGTAAGGGGGTAAAGCTGTGTGGGATGCACAAGTTTTGGGGAGAAATCAGGAGTTCAGTTTTGAACATGTGGAGTTTGAGGTGTCTATTAGACGTGAAAGTAGGAAACCCAACTAGGCAGTCAGAAACACAAGCTGGAGCTCAGGAAAGAGGACTGAGTAAGAGACATAAATGCAAAGTTGTTGGCATAGAAGGGGAATTCAAAGCTATATAACTGGATGAACTGATTGAAGGGAGTGAGTTTGGTGTCCTGAAAGGCAAGAGAAGTCCACTTGAAGAGGCAGTAGTATTCAATGGTGTCCAGTACTGCTGAGAGGTCAAGTAAGGACCAAGAATTGTTGACTGTATTTAGCAGTGTGGAAGTCATTGTTTTCCTTGGCAAGATCAGTTTTACTGATGCTTTGGGAGTAAAACCCTGATTCAATTAAGTTTAAGATGGGGGTGGGGGATGAATTGGAGACAATGAGTAGAGACAATTATTTTGAGATCCATTCATAGTAGAAGCAGGCAGGAAGGTGGAGTATATGGGTACGAATTCATAGGCAGTTGAATTTGGTATATTTTCTTTTTTTACAGTTTATTGAAGGGAACACTTATTTCATGGTTACCTATTAAGATGCACCCACTCACTTAGATAGATAACCCTAATTTTACCACTCTCTCCGAATACATTTTTTATTTTTATTTAAATAGGGAAGGGGGTCTTGCTATGTTGACCAGTCTGATCTCAAACTCCTAGCCTCAAGCAATCCTCCCATCTCAGCCTCTCAAAGTGCTGGGATTACAGGAGTGAGCCACCACACCCAGCCCTATGAATCCATTTTAGAAGGCGTAGATCCACTTCTTTCTTCTTTTTGTGGTTAAGACATGTACCCTTAGTTTTTCTAGTTTCAATTTCGCCATATTATTTCTAACTATAGCAGTCTGGCAATTTCCCTTCCTCTTTGGACTTGATGTTGTGTCATACTCGCGGAGGGTTATCCCCCACATCCCGTCCAGCTCCATTTCCTCCACAGTGCTTCTCCCCTTTCAACCTGCTCATTGCTAGTCTAGTCATTTCAATTTCCTTAGCTGTGAGGAATGGAGACAGTTTGCCTCTTTAGCTACCTATAAGGCTAAGAGTTTAAGCCTGGGCAACATAGTGAGGTCCTGTCTCTACAAAATTTTTTGTTTTAAAATAGCTGGGCATGATGGTGCATGCTGTGGTCCTAGCTCTTGGGAGGCTGAGGTGGGAGGATTGCTTGAGCCAAGAGGTTTGGGCTACAGAGAGTGGTGATGGCGCCACTGCACTCCAGGCTGGGTGACAGGGCAAGAACCTGTCTCGGAAAACAAACAAACAACAAACAAACAAACAAAAAACAACCCGCAAGAGTTTAAATAAGTCTGAGAAGTGAAATGGGTTTAACCCATATAAAGAAAGTTTGAAATGGGTCTAACCCATATAAAGAATAGAAAGAACATTAAAGTAGTAGGTAGCGCAGGGGAGGAAAGAAAATGAGAAAACATTTGTTTTACCATTTACTTAGGCTGAACTCCTACCATGTAATTTTAAAGCATCATATGTATTGAGTTCCTGTCTTTTAAAAATAAAGTGCTCTAGATATTGCATATTATGTTAGTTATGTTATTAAGAGACACACTAGATTGAGAAATTTGATCACACTTATAATATGTGGTTGTACTTAGGTAACATTTACTGAGCGATGCCTATTAAGCAGTTGGCTAAGCCCTTTCCACATATTATGTCATTTAACTCTTTCCCTCATAATCAACTGAGGTATGTATTAGTATTCCCATTTCAGAGATGAGGAAACTGAGAGAGGTGAGAGAGAGGCTCAAATAATTTGAAACTCTTCAGCATTACTACCACTTTCAAGCAAATATACTGTACATTTATTTGTGTATGACTATGCAGGTATATCCATATTTAGCCCACCAGGGCTATTTTTCATTTTCCAACGAATTCATCATGACATTACTCATAAGCCACCTCAGTGCATTTGAGATCAATTTATAAAGTTTGATTGCTGCAAAATTTTTCAAAAACATGTTTACAGATTATTGAAACCCATATTGCCTACCATATGTTAGGCACTCTGCTAGGTGATAAAATGGAAGAATGCAAAATCACTCCTCCAAGGAGCTCAGATTCTTCTTTTGTAGGAAAGTCAATTATTCATTCCCTCATTCAAAAGTATTATTGAGTGTCTTGGAGCATGCTATAGTTTAGGTAAGAACAAATCAAGTTAGAATCATCATACTTGGTAAGAGGAGATGCACAAATAATGCCCTTTATCTTACATGGTCCTTTTAGGCAGTACTGTGATTAAGTGCTTGGACCTCTAGAGCCAGGCCACCTGACCTAAAAAGGTAGCTCTGTCAGTTAAAGGCTATGTGGTATTGAGCTAGTCACAGAGCCTCTTTAAAGCCTTCTGTTTCCCATCTATTAGATGAGGATAGTATCTCATAGGGCTGCTGTGAAGACTTAAGGTATGTGTAAAGTATTTGGAAGAGGACCTACGTAAGTATTAGTTGTTATTGTTGATACAGATTTACCATGTGCTGAAACAGTTGCCAATTCTCATAACAAGTAGCAAAGGATAGTAAGTGCTCTATTTTTTGTTGAATAGAACTTCCTAGAAGCCATGTGTTTCTCTGTAGATATGTCTAGAGTAGCCTCAGATTCCTTTTCCATCATATTTCTTAATTCTGAACCCAACATCAAATCAGTTATTGTCCTTTGCTGCCTCCGTTCTGTTTTTTTGTGGAAAAGGGGAAACTGATGGGCTGATTTTTTTGTTTCTGTTTTTACATCATAGATAATCAGAGTTATTTTTCATTACTTATCATTGGTAGACTTCTTACTAGTTTGATCCATGCTATAGTCTGAATATTGCGTCCCCCGCCCCTCCATTTTATATGTTGAAATCCTAACCCCTAAACTGATGGTATTAGGAGGTCATTCCTTTGGGAGGCGATTAGGTCATGATGGCAGAGCCTTCATGAATGGGATTAGTGGCCTTAAAAAGGAGGCCTGAGAGAGACCCTCACTCCTTCCACTATATGAAGACACAGCAAGAAGTCACCCTCTCTGAACTAGAAAGAAGACACACACACACACAGACGTGGAATCTGCTGTTGCCTTGAACTTCCTAGCCCCCAGACTATAGGAAATAAAAATTTTTTTTTTTTTTTTTTTGAGACAGAGCCTCACTCTGTCACCCAGGCTGGAGTGCACTGGCATGATCTTGGCTGATTGCAACCTCCACCTCCTGGGTTCAAGTGATTCTCCTGCCTCAGCCTCCCGAGTAGCTGGGATTACAGGTGCCTGCCACCACTCATAGCTAATTTTTTTATTTTTAGTAGAGACAGGGTTCCACCATGTTGGCCAGGCTGGTCTCGAACTCCTGACCTCAGGTGATCCTCCAGCCTAGGTCTCCCAAAGTGCTGGGATTACAGGCATAAGCCACCATGCCCAGCCAATTTCTGTTGCTTATAAGCCACCCAGCTTATGGTATTTTGTTATAATAGCCTGAATATACTCTAAAACAATCCTTTAAATTTTTAAAATTATTATTCTGATTATCAGAGTAATATGTGCTCAATATAAAAACAATTCAAACATACAGAACTTGATGAAAGGCCCTAGTAATCCCACACCCAGAGATAATCACCATTAACAGCTTGTTATATATGCTTCCAGACTTCTTCTGAAGCATACATTTAATAACATGTATATCTTAATGCAAAAAAGTACAAAAAAATGGAATCATACTATTCATATTGTTCTGCAGCCTCCTTTTTTTTCACTTATAGATTTTGGACATCCTTCCATGTAGGTACAAATAGATCTAGCTTATTTTTGTTAATGGCTGCTTATGGTTTCCTTCTACAGATCTAGCAAAATTTGCTTAAACAGTTTCCTACTGGGACTTTATTATTTGATTTTTACACCATTACATGTTCCCACTATTACAAACAATGTTGCAATAAGACACGTATATATATATTTTTGTACATGTGTAAATATTTCTGACATAATTTTTGCACAAATATGCTTAAAGCACAAACTCTTAGACATGGACTTACCTATTCAAAGGGAACACACCTATTTATCAAAAATTTCCAAATTGTCCTCCAAAGGGGTTTGTCCAATTTCCTCTTACTTTTACAGTGTGTGAGTGTCTATTTCTCCACATTTGACTGTTTTCTGAATATCACTTTTTTCTTTTCTCGATTTATACCAATCTTAAAATCATGTTTTTCAAGTCTAGAATCACAATTTAAAACCCAGGGAAGATCAAAAGAACAAAGTACAGAAGATTGGTTTTTTTGGTTTTTTGGTTTTGAGATGGAGTCTCACTCTGTCGCCCAGGCTGGAGTGTGGTGGCACCATCTCAGCTCACTGCAACCTCCGCCTCCCAGGTTCAAGCGATTCTCCTGCCTCAGGCTCCTGAGTAGCTTGGATTACAGGTGCGTGCCAACATGCCCAGATAATTTTTGTGTCTTTAGTAGAGACGGGTTTTCACCATGTTGGTCAGGCTGGTCTCTAACTCCTGACCTCGTGATCCTCTTGCCTCGGCCTCCCAAGGTACCGGGACTACAGGCGTGAGCCACTGCACCCGGCCTATAATTTTTTTTTTTTTTTACAAACAGCAAAACATTCCATATTCATTATAATAGTGGGCTGTTTTCAATAAAAATATCACACCACTAGTTGTTAAGTTTTAAAAGACCTCTCATCTCTTAGATCAGCAAATCTGACACTGATTAGATCACTTACACACACTCCCTGCCCATACACCTCCTTCTTGGCAGTGTGTGGAACAGGAGTGGCTGCTGGCAAGGAGGGTCGGGGAAGGAAAGTGAGAGCAAAAGGGCCGAGGGCTCAGAATCTGGTGGCATCTTGTAACGGGTCTCGGGCAGTCCCTTGAGTGTATTCTGGACCTCTCTGTTCATGTTCCTGTTTGGGCTGCTCTTCTTCACGTCCAATGCCTGAGGGCCAAGTGCTCACCATCCAAGGGTCAATTCTATCAGCTCCTCTCTGAATCCTTTTCTGAAACCCTGGACAATCATTCTCTTTAATGTCTCACTGTCTCTGAACCGACACCTTCCTGAGTACCTGTAACATTTGTGCAGCATGCTTATTAAGAATATTTAGATGCTGGGTAAACGTTGATTGAACATTTGCTGACATGGAGAGATATTGGTAGAAGACAGATTAGACTTCCGATGGTTTACAGAAACACATGGATTCAGATAAAAGAAGATATGAAAGCACTGGGTTGAACCACATATTTTATTACAACCAAATAACTCCAAATATCCCGCCTTAATTTATTTATTGGCCCCTGCCTCTGCTCACCCACAAAAAAGACTGCAAATGAACCCCGATCCTACAACAACAACAACAAAAAACGGTGACATTATCGGGCTGCAAAACCCTCTTAGCATAGAATAATCTTTTCATCTGCCTCTTTCAGATGTAACATATTTTTGACGAAAAGAATGGGATGAAAACGGCGGGCTCAGATAAAAACAAGAACCGACTTTCCAATACAGCTTCAATAACAGACGGAACACATGAAGCTGAGAAACTCTCCATGCCAAGTAGTAGTTGTGTGTGCCCCAAAGCTCAGATAAGTACTTCTCCTTAGAGTTGGAAGGCACTTAAGTGACTTTTTAACGTAATTCAACTCCCCACCCCCAGCGCCAAGTCTTAATATCAGAGTTTTAGTCGACGGGACAGCCTCCTTCGCCCAGGACGGGTGAAGGCTCCTGACCATGCCTCGCAGCTAACTGGCAGCTGCGCCTGCCCGGCACCGAGCCCTGCCCAGGTGGACGCTTGCGAGAGCATTACGGCGATGGTTATGTAGGCTGCCGTTCTTCCCCTCCCAAGCACCTGCTCCGCATCTAGCAGTCGCTCGCCGCCAGTCTCCAACCCCGGGTCCCCTCCCTCGCCACACAGACCCCGTCCGGTCAGGCGCTGCAGGGCCACCGGAGAAAGCGCTCGCAATCACATGGAGGCCCGGGCCCGCCCCATTGGCTGCGGCCGGGCCAGTCGCGGCACTCGCCGGCTGCGGTTGGTCCCAGAGCTGCAGCGCCTGCACGGGCCCGGAGTCCATGTTACGCTTTGTCTAATTCCCCTCGTTACAGAGTCATGTGCTGCTGCTCCCGTCGCCGCTGCTGCCGCTGCCGCTGCCGCCGCCCGTGGTGCCCCGGCTCCTCCGCCGCGCTTCGAGGTGGCAGCCGCGGGCGGGGCCGCGGGAGCAGGGTCCAGGGTGCAGCGCGCCTTCGCCGCCCCGGCGCGTCCCGGTGCAGCCGCCGCCCGCCGCGGGTGATGCCGCCACCTCCGGCCTCAGCATAAGCCGTGGCTTGGCGGCCGAGCTGCACCCCAAGGTTGGTGCGCACCTCTCCCGGCAGGGGCCGGGGGCTGCGAGGGAAGGCGACGCGCAGGTGGAGCCGCGCCGAGCCGGAGCGCGCAACCCTGGCGCAGGCGCCGCGGCCCGAGCTGCGGTTGCGGCCGGGAACTCATTCGGGGACGTCCGGGGGTCGGGAGGAGGTGGCGGCGAGCGGAGTGGGCTCCCGTTTGCTGCCGCCAGGGCCTGGGAGATTGTTCCGCTTTCTGCAGTCTGAGCGTCGGCCGCTTCGGCCCCGGGCGGCCGGCCCTGCGGGAGGGGAGTGCGGCTTCCTGGCTCCTGAACCCCTCGCGCGCGCTCCCTTCTCTCACCTCCCTCCGCCCTATCGGAAAGGCGGGGAGAGCCGGTTTCGGCTCTGCTGGTTCCTCCCGGAGGTGGGTGTTTGGTGTCTGGCCTTGCTGGCCCGGCGTCCAAAGGTGAGCCCTTTAACTTCTCCAGAATCGCCTCCCCTCCGCTTCCTTCCTGTGCAGGGTGGGCTGCGCTGGGAGCCCGGCGGGCGGGGGCGGGGAGGTGAAGGCCCGCGCCCCGCCCCCCGCGCCTGTGGGAGGGAGCTGGGGGCCCGCAGGTGCACCCAGCCGTCCGCGGGCCGTCTCCGGGTTGGGTACCGGTATAATCCGCTTCTAGCTTGTTTGGAGGCGTGGGCTCTTGGGAGCGGGACTTCTGCTCAAATCCTGTCCAGGGGCTTGAAAAGGAGGAGAATTGGGGGTGGTTGCCGGGAGGACCAGCACCTCCAGTTACTGGAGGGTTGATAGGGGCCTTCTCCTTTCCGTCACCCTTTACTAGGGGGTATCCCTTGCAGATAAATGAGATTTTTTGATTTCTTAAAAAGCCAGCTGCAGTGAAGAAGAACTGCTGCAGGTCGAGGGGAAGAGAGGTAGGTCCTTGCTGGAGAGGGAGAGGTGGGCTGTGAGGTTCCAGGAGCACGCACTTGGGGTGTGTGTGGCCGAAAGTATGGAGGTAGGGTTGTGGGAAGGAAACAGCCGAGATGAGAGGGAGGGCGCACTCAGGATGTAGGCGGAGAGATGGGGAATAGGTACTGGGGAGTCCTAGCGGAATGTGGGGCCCAGCTGGAGCCGCTTGGCTTATATTTGGCTCCTCGTTGCCTCGCAGATTTCCTGCTCTTGGATCTTCAAAAATATTTTTTTGTTGGACAAAGAAAACTCTGAGGACATATTTTGGAAGAGCTGATTTCTGGAAACTTTCCTTGGCAGCTTTGATAGTAAAATTCCGTACAGGCAGCGTTTATTGAGCACCTATTACGTGGTTTGTACCGGACTTTGGAAGAGTCTGGACAGGCAGGGAATCCCCGTTTGCAGTAATGATGAGGGCTGTCTACCTTATAAACAAATAAGGGGCCCCTCCCAGTGCCAAGAATGAGAGTGATCAGACCTTCCTCGCCATAGCATCTGGGACCTCTGCTTCTTACAGACCTGTGGGAAGAACCCTGCACCATATCCTGTAAATGGGGTCCTCAGGCAGCATTTATTTTTGCAGTCCAAAAATAGTGACCAAACACCTACTGTCAGCTAGGCGAGAGTTGGGGTTCTTGCTTCATCTGTCTTGACACCAACTAACTAAATCCCTGTTAAAATCCAAGTGCAAGATGGGGAGGAATCTGAGATGAAAATTAGGTGGTTAAAACAGGGGTCACGAAAAGTTGATTTGGGGTGTTTGGTCTCTGTAGGTTACTTATGGAGCCCCCCATAAAATGATTAGGTAATCTATGGAGCCAGGGAAAAATTCCAAAATCTTGAATTGGCACAGTTTATTTATATATTTGAACACTATGTTAGATTTGTCTCGTTTTTATTGAGAGTGTATGTGTGCGTGTTGATTAAAACCTAACAGATTAGAAGGTTGGAGAGGAAACTGTCCTTAGATGACCCAGCCTTCCATTACCATGTGGAGTAGCATATGATGCAACACTTAAAGTATTGAGCCATATTCATATCATTTTCTCCCTGCTGTGTTTTCCAGCATTTAAAAAACATGGTCAAAACTTGGCCCTTTTTTTCTCAAAATCGCTAAAGTTTAATGGAAAGAAAAAAGAAAAAAACTAGGCCCCTTTTCCCTTAATTTTTATATTATGCAGCATTTTTAAAAATTAATTTTAGAAAATTCTGATGTGTTTGTCATGTCCAAATAGTTAAATTGTTTTGGTAGCTATAGTTTGGAAATTAGACTCGATTCTGTTCTCAGTACTGTAGACAAAATAGCTATTAAAGTCAAAAGTTTGTCAAAACTTTGTAATCATGATTATTATGTTGTTGAAGTGGTAGCTTGTAAGAGATTTCAGTTATTTTTAATTGGAGCTGGTGTTTGACATTCTAAGAAACACCAGTTAATATTTGTTGAGTGCCAGCAGGAAGCAGAGAACTGGAGTGGGTGCTGTGGGATCTTAACAAGGCAGGAGAGGATTCTCGTAGTAATCACAGAGAGCAGATAAGACAGGCACACATGAGGATGCCAGCAGAAGCAGACAGTTACAGTTGTCTAAGAATCCAGGGTGTGTGGAACCAGATAAAAGTTTATGAAGTATGCTGAGGGAGGAGTGGAAATCTGAATTGACTTTTGACAGTGGTCAGGGATGTGGAACAGAATATACGACTAATAAAGGAGGGTAGAGGGAACCTAGTTCGTGAAAAACTTAACCACAAGTCAGTGGTGTTAATCATTTGCCTCAAGACCAGTGGCTCTCAGAAGTAGGCAATTTTGCTTCTCAGCAGACATTGAGGAATGTCGGAGACATTTATGGTTATCATAGCGAGGTGGCAGGTGCTGCTGTCATCTAGTGGCTAGAGGACAGGGATGATACATAAGCATCCTACTGTGCACAGGACATCAACCCCCTTCCTCCTAAACAAAGAATGATCCTGTCCAAAATGGCGATAGTGCCTGCCCTTAGATCTCAGAATAGGTCTTGAAGGGAGGTGGTTCTTGACATGGGAGGAGTAATAACATTGAGCTTAGGAAGCTGATGTAGGAGACTTGTGCTCAGGTCTGATGTGATTAGGGTCTGGGCAAATCCTTATTGAAAGAAAGGGGCAGTTTGGAGGGAGATCATAGCAGATGAGCACAGTATGATAGTGGAGTAAGTTGGGAATCATTGAAATCAGAATTGGCATTTTAGAGGGGCCCTATCCAATTTATTTATTTTAGTAAATTCTTACCCTTTCTAGGTAACTTTTGTTTAACCCCAGGAACCGTGAACTTCTCCTGAAGACAGGTTATTACACCTTTGGACTGTTTGTTGTATTTTTACTTGAGCTGAAGACTGTCTCCTTGAATTTTTTTTTCCAATGATTTTCTTCTTTTGGAGCTGCCTACTCTCTTTGAATGCACCAAGACAATATGATGTCCCCTTACCCCCAGTTGACTTTGCTAATGCAAACTAGTCCCAATTCTTTTCACAGTCTTTTATTGGGATGTGGTTTCTCGATGTCTTCTCAGTTTATCGGCATCTCACATGGAGAATCTGGAATTGAATATGTAATTGAGATGTGATCTGGCCAACAGAGAGTACAGTAAGACAGCTGTTTGCTGAGACCTAAGCATAAATGTCTACTTACTGCACCTTAAGCTTACAACTGCCTATGATTTTCTTAGGCAGTGCCGAGCACAAACTTCTTTATTAGATAATCATGTTTTGGATAGTCAAAACCCCCAGATATTTGCTCTGTGAGCTGCTGCATCCTGTATTTCTTGGGCAGATTTTTTTGGAGAAGTTTTTTTTGTTGTTGTTGTTCCTTCTCAATGTTATCCTATTTATTTTGATCCAGTCTTCTAGCCTTTGACATTTTTGAATTTATGTCTTCTAATTATATCAGAGAGGAATGGAGGATGACTTTGTTGAAAACTGTAGTCAGTACTATGTAAAACTCAGTAGTTTGGGGGCTCTATTGGTCCTATATGAGAGCTGAGATCACTGAGTGATGGAGGTGAGTTCTAGGGCTAATTAGCCCTTATTTTGGGGGCTTCTGAGAAATTTAAATGCCAGGCCACATGGCATTTAGCTCTTGAAATGTTTGCACCTGGGGTACCATTTTGAAATTGTTCAAGTCTGTTGCAAGCTTCTGAAATCTGAATTCCTTCCTCTGGGTCTTTGTAGTTCTGTTTATGTATCTGGAAGAGAGTTTCTAATGTTTTGTGCAAATCTGAAGCTTGCAGGGTTAGAGTTGCTTTTGAAATTTGTGAGAAGATAGGATAACTGGCAAAAATCAACTATGGACTTGTTTCCCACTCAGGCTAAGCTTTGTTTTCTTTTTTGCTAATATGCCTCAAATATTTAGTGACAGCCTTATATTTAGAGAAGGAGAGAGGATTGAGGTTTAGAAGCAAACCTTTTTCTCAGAGCTTGGCTTTAACTTGCCGTTGATGTAAGTTCATACTTAACTTGAATTTTACAGTCTTCACTACAAAGACATTAGGAAATTACCATTCCCAGATGTCTTCTGAAGCTGGCAGGTAAGAAATCCCAGGTACCTTAGTGCCAAGTTCTCCAAATACTCTAGATCTATCCAGTGAACTAGATTTAATAAATTACTTGATTTGGGTGGTAGCTGTCTCACAGTGTTGAAGGAGAGCTAGAGGAAAATTTCAAATCTCATGGCCAAATGTGTGTCACCTCTTTGTGATGAGTGTCCATTGTGCCCCAATCCTTTGTTAGTGTGTTGGCTGTCCAGATGGTGCAGTCTACTTGGTTTCCCTTCTTTACCAGTCCACGTGGGCAACCTCTTTATATCCTCTGGAGATGAAGGATATTCCAATGAAAAGAAGGGATGCCTTTTGAATATTTGAAATTTCTTGAGGGGAAAAGTGTTGCTGTCCTTTTATATTGTCAAAGGCTGTGTCGAAGTTGGAGTCTTAGAATTAAGGATGCAGTTGTGTCACTTTGAATAGAAAGAATATTATAGCTGGAAGGGATCAACCCTTAAATTTTATTTTATTTTATTTTATTTTATTTTATTTTTTTAGACGGAGTCTCGCTCTGTCGCCCAGGCTGGAGTGCAGTGGCGCGATCTCAGCTCACTGCAAGCTCCGCCTCCCGGGTTCACGCCATTCTCCTGCCTCAGCCTCCCGAGTAGCTGGGACTACAGGCACCCGCCACTGCACACAGCTAATTTTTTGTATTTTTAGTAGAGATGGGGTTTCACCATGGTCTCGATCTCCTGACCTCATGATCCGCCCGCCTCGGCCTCCCAAAGTGCTGGGATTACAGGCATGAGCCACCGCGCCTGGCTACCCTTAAATTTTATAGTTGAGCGTATCCAGGCACAGGGAGGTGATGTGCTTAGCGTAAGTTTACACATGTAGTGACAGAGTAGGCATTAGAATCTATCTGCCTTAAAGACCACAATAAAGGCTAAGGATCAGGATTTCTTCTCTGCTTAGAGGTGTGTAAACAGTGGGGTCCCTCGGGTCTTATTTACATAATTGATCTAAAAGAAGGAACACACAGTGGAATTTCTAGGTTTGCAGATGACAGCTTTTCTGGATTATGAAATGTCTAACCACTGGGTATTTGCTCCAGGGAAACCACACTAGGATGTATTAGTCATCAGACGATTTGCAGGTGAGTTTCTTGTGGGCAAATAGGTGGTTGGGTATTAAGGGGAAATTACAGAATTTTCATAGGATGGTGTTTTGTTGGATAAACTCAGGGAAGGGCTCTGAAAATACCTTCATGTTGTTGTCCTGACTTGCTGTTGCAGAAAAACAAAAACCATGAAATGCTAGGCTTCATCAAAAAGATTTTGGGGCTGGGCATGGTGGCTCAGGCCTGTAATCCCAGCAGTTTGGGAGGCTGAGGTGGGCAGATCACCTAAGGTCAGGAATTCGAGACCAGCCTGGCCAACCTGGTGAAACCCCGTCTCTACTAAAAATAAAAAAATTAGCCAGATGTGGTGGTGGTGCCTGTAATCCCAGCTACTCGGGAAGTTGAGGCAGGAGAATCACTTGAACTCAAGAGGCGGAGTTTGCAGTGAGCTGAGATCGCGCCATTGCACTCCAGCCTGGGCAACAGAGACTGTCTCAAAAAAAAAAAAAAAAAAGATTTTGGGGAAAAAAATACAAAATATAGTCTTAATTGAGTTTTCACTGTGTTTTTTCCCCCAAATTCGTGGGCACCTAACCTTCAGAAAGACACTAGAGCTGGAATGACCATTGTAATGATACCTACCTAGAATGTTTGGACATTGCTGCTAGAATGTAAGCTTCATGAGGACAGGGTCCTTGCTCATCTGTTTCTTTGATAAAAATATTAAGATTTCTAGCACCTGGAAAGAGTCATCTGAGAGGAGATGGCATGGAGGCCTATGAAACCACAAGGATAGGGCCATAGGCAGCCTTGATAGTTCACTTTATTCTAATAAGCCCAAGCGTGCTATTTTAATTGCCTCCTTGTCTTCCTGCTCCGGTACTCTGTCAGTGTGGTTAGGATAGGGATTTATCTCTCTTGTTCTCTACTGATTTTCTAGTGCCTTGCACGTGGCAGGCCCTCTATTAGTATTTGTCACCCAGAGGAATGAAAGAAGAGGTATACCTTAAAACTTTACAAGATATAAATTCAGGATGAATGCCAAGAAATATGGTTTTTCTCAACCCTGGCTGGCATCAGAATCAGTCTGGGGAATATTTTTTAAATACATATATTCAGACCCTTCCCCATGCCTATTGAATCAGAATCTCTGGATATGGAGTTTAGTTTTGAAAACAGCCCTCCCTGCCTCCAGGTAATTCTAATGTGCAGCTCAGCTCAGAACCACCATCTTAGTAGTTGTGCACGAAGGCTGGGTACTGACTGAAGACACCTTCAAATGGGTTTGAAACATTTGTGGCCAGCAAGCCCATCATTGGTTATTAAGACAAAAGAGAAGCTTTAAGGATATGTCAGTCTTCTTGGAAGGTATAGTGACCCAAACAGCACATGGTCCACCATGGCCCTTGGTGCCTCCATGAGATAGTGCATCCTGGGCTGGATGGATGATGGGACCAACTCCCAGTCCATCCTTGAGCAGTCATTTCCAGAGTGGGTCCCTGATGACAGTTTCACCAGCCCATGAAAAAATGAGAAGAGTGAAGACAATGCAACAAGCTTTTCTGTTTCAACTTTAGTGCTAAGTTTATTCAATTATAAGAGTCTGGTTTTTTGTTTTGTTTTTGTTTTGTTTAATCTTGGGTTGTCCTTCCTACTGGAAGGTTGGCTTGTTTTTTCATTTTATGAAAGGATGATGATGGTTTTTTGGTGTCATTTCTAGGTCCAGTTTTAAGCTGGCAATTTTGTGATAGTCTTTCTTTTGACATTTTACTGGCCTGTGAAATCAAAAGTCTGGGAACTACCACTCCTCTGAGGTTTTCAAGATGTCTGTGTCTACCCCTTGACACCTCCTTTTGGGGAACGCTCATAAATATGGTGTTAGGTTCCATTACAAGCATTTTTTTTTTCTTAAA
Source organism: Homo sapiens (assembly GCF_000001405.40). NCBI lineage: Eukaryota > Metazoa > Chordata > Mammalia > Primates > Hominidae > Homo > Homo sapiens. Next base: position 89,828,761 of record NC_000001.11, read on the forward strand.
ACATTTTTTTCTTTCCTCTTATGCTTGCTGGTAATAGTTAGGAACATTGCCAGAGAAAGCTTCACTTCCCCAACAATGCATAAATCCCATTGCTACATCTTAGCATCGACAGATAGCCAGCACTGCAACGAGTTCTGCAGAACAAGGAGAAGAAAGGATGTACAAGAAGACACCTTTTTCTCTGATGGTCATTGGCCGCCAGAAAGCTGTGTCTCAAAATCTCTCATGCTATAGAGATAGGACAGAACTCTTCAGATTGGGTATTAGATGCCGTCAGTCAAAATTCTCTTCACTGATTGCTTACAACCCAATTTTAAGAAATACTAGAAAATTAAAATGCTTGGAAAAATGGTCCCCATGGTGCTTGCAATGGCACTCTACTGAGTAGGCTTTTAAAATCAGAGTATTCTCAGATATGGCTGCTTTTTTGTTTTCGTATTTAACTTAGCTGGTTAAGAAGTACTTGGACAATGTATGGAACACCTAAAGTTATTAATAATAACAGCTATTAGGCACTTAATGATTGTCCAAACCTATGCCCTGGAATTTACATGCATTCTCATATAATCCTCAAAACAATTCTGAGTGAAAGATAGACTTATTCCCACTCTACGGATGAGGTCATAAGGCTGGAAAGGTTATGTCATTTGCAACAACGTCACATAGAAGTGGCGGAGGTGGAATTTGAAACCAGACTCATTTTATACCAGACTTTTTTATTTTAAACCAGACTTTTTAATATTTTATAATATATACCTATTCTCTTATCTACTGTACCCTTTCTCATTTCTGCACATTTCTTTGTATTTATTTTATAATACCTAGTAGTATTTCTGTTACATGAAAAAGAGAATCAGGTTTTGAGGTGTAAAGGTACCTGATAACTCCTCTGGTTCGTGCTGCGTGTTTGAAGAGTAGAGCCATAGCGGCATCCCGGCATTTAGGCTTCCAGGCCAATGCTCTTGTCACCCCAAGTTGGTCTTAGAAGTATGAGCCTGTTGGTAAAACTACTTGAATGAAAATTTATCCTGGAATTGAGAGGGTAACTTTAAATCACTTAATTATTCTGGTGTTTTCTCTAGCCCTGTTCTCTTTTGTCACCCATATTGATGATAGAATGCCACTTGTAAAGTACATCTTAAGCACCCTCCTCCTAGTTAGATCTCAGCCAGAATAACTACTGTACATAAACAAATCATGTAAAGATATACCTAATATTTGCTAAGGTGTTATGTCTTAGCTGAAAAAACTGCTGTAACAAATGTTTGCTGAATAAATGCCATAAATATATTCAATATAAAAAAACTATATCTTCAAAGTAAATGAATGAATAAATAAATATCCATGTATCTACATCATATTCATAGGCTGTTTCATTCGTGCCTTTATTTTTTAAATACAAGAAAATTATACTTCATTATACTCAAGTATAATCTCTTTGCTGGAGTGAATTTATTCTGTTCAAGTTTTACTTTAACTATTGAATTATTTATCTTAACATTTAGCCAGTAATAAAGTACAAATTGGGAACTGGGCTGCAGTTTTATACATCTTGCACAAAACACACCCTTCCTACAAACACACACACTCAGAGACAGAGAGAGATGCACTTGTTCTTTAACTTAGCTCTCTTAAGATATTTTTCAATTCCAAAATAGTTTCTCTTTCACCTGTTCTAAATTCTTTTCCTTATAACTTATTTATACCTGCTAAGTTCTGTACCAAGCAGAAATTAGATCTGTAATTTCTGTGCTAATCAGAGTTGGATACTAGCAGTAGCCTGGGGGTCTTGAGCAAATAGTGTGCCTCAGAGATGATTTGTGGCAGCAGGCACTCGCCCTCAGGGTGGGGTCATCAGGAGTGGGAGGCCCATCAGAAGTGGGCCTGTTGAGCAGTGCATTGTTGCCGCGTGGGAATGTGGGCCGGTGTTGCCAGGTCTTCTGATTTTTCACTGTAAGCCAGAAATCTGGATTATTGTGTAAAATCTGATTTTAAAGGTTGGCTAATTCAACATTTTAGAACTTCCTGTAAACCAAACAAAATAGCTTTGTGGGCTGGAAACCGCCTCTTTAGGCCCTTAGAGATAGCCCTTTAGTGGCCAGATAAATGGAAGCATAGGGTTTGAATAAAAAGCACAATACACTTTTTTTTTTTTTTTTTTTTGAGATGGAGTCTCACTCTGTGGCCCAGGCTGGAGTGCAGTGCTGTGATCTTGGCTCACTGCAACCTCCGCCTCCCGGGTTCAAGCGATTCTCCTACCTCAGCCTCCTGAGTAGCTGGGATTACAGGTACGCACCACCACACCCAGCTAATCTTTGTATTTTTAGGAGAGAGGGGGTTTCGCCATGTTGGCCAGGCTGGTCTCGAACTCCTAACCTCATGTAATCTGCCTGCCTCAGCCTCCCAAAGTGCTGGGATTACAGGCATGAGCCACCACGCCTGGCCCACAATACACTTTTAAACATTAATTTAAATTGACATGAATTGAAACTTGATTTCATCCTTTTCTTTCCCAACCCCAGACACAAAGCAGAGCAAAGCAACCCGCAAGCCCCGTACTTTAATGATAACAATTTCTGACCTTTAAATGTGGTGTATTACATCTGGAGTGGTTGCATTTGAACAGGTTGTCTGGCCTGAGGAGGAATAGGTTTAGGGAGAAATAGGTAGAGTATGAATATAAAAGGGGAGAGGACCGGTGGGACACACACAGAGAGAGAAGGAAGGGTAAGAGCCACTTGGAGTTGAGTAAAGAGATCATCTACCCCAGGAGATACGGGAAGATTTGTTCATATCTTAAAATTGATTTGGGGTAAATGGGGAAGAAAGAGAAAGAAAGAAAAAATGTCAATGTTTAGAAATAGTGCAGAATCTATGTTGGCAGGGGGCAAAGAGTGCTATTATTTTGCAATTCCTAGTGTATCATGTTAATGTGTACGGTGGCTTCTACAAAAGGGGAATTGGAATGAAAAGGAAGGAAAAGAGTTTATGTCAGAAAGAAGACTAGGGAGTGAGATAAAGAAGAGGGGTCCAGAGAACAGCTGATAGCAAAAAGTAAACCAAGAATGCTGGAAAATGTTTGCATAGGGGAAAGCTGGCTATGTTAGAGTACAAAGCATCATTTTTTTCCCCCATCCAAACTATGACATTGAGCGGGTATACACAGCAGTCCCTAGGAAAAAGACGGTTTGGAACACCAGCTTGTTTTGCTTTTGAAGGGCCAGCCTCCAGGGTCCCTTTGTGTGAAGCAGTGTCAGCAGGGCTGCGTCTGCGCTGTCAGGGCACACTGCCGGGAGGATATTGTCTACTGGGTTTTAGCCCCTCTCCACCATCTGGGTATCTTGGTGCAGGACAGGACCTCAGACCTTTACTGTGACCCCAATAGTGCTCCTGTCTTTAGTTTTATTTGCTTTTCTGGGGAAAATCTAACATCGTTTGTGTAATTTGTTGTACATACACCCTCTTTGAAAGAGAAGAGAGTAATAATTTGAACAGATTTCTGCTACTAGCAGAATCCTAGTCTGAGAGGATTTTTAAAAGCATTTTGCTCTTAATCATCCCAAGTATATAGTACCTTGTTCCTGGAATTTCAGCATTTTCTGTGGGGAGGGGAACAACGTCTTTTCATCATCTGCAGGTTTTATTCCAGTCCTGGGGCTATCATCCCTGTGTGATCTGAACTATGTCTTTCTAGACTGGAATAACTTTAAATTTCTAATACTTTGGTTGCTTTTTAGAATAAATTCATTTTAAAATGTCCCCTTCTATTTGTTACTTTAGTGCAGTAAGGATCTTTATGGATTTCTTTTCCCCCTTATGGAAACCATTTGTAGTATTGAGAGAATGGGTTCAGGTTTTCTTGCACTGTTGGGAAGAAGAAAAATTCTTCAAATTCCACTGCTCGGCCTTCTAGGGACTCTACTCTACAGATGGAAGTCCTGGAAGATCCTATCAGGAAGTGAAACTTGTAAATAATGTTTGTGCTCGTTTGGGGCATTATGCGTTAACAAGTTGTACAAGAAGTCTTCTTTAACCTTCTTATAAAATACACTTAAAAAAGAATCCAGTCCTAGTGACGAATCTGGAAATAAGACTAGGAAACACTTCACCATGTGCCAGGCACTGTTTGCAGCACTTTACATATATTAGCTCATTTACTTCTGACAACAGCCCCATTTTGTAGCAGAGGAAACCAAGGCTGGCTTCTCTAGTCTGGCTGCTCCTCCCAATCACCATGAGCAGCCAAGGTCATTACAGGAAGTGGCAGAACTGTGATTTGAACCCAAGCTGCCATGGCTTCAGGATCTGTGCTTTTTAGGACTCCTTCATTGCCCCTTGAACTCTCTCACAACAACGACGAACATAAATTTGCTTTAGAAACTTCTTTTGCCTTCCACATTACCTCAGTCTTAAAGTCAGCATCAGAGTTTGGTTGAAAAAAGAAATAAAATTATATTCCTTCCCTGATACTGCCTCCCCAAACCAAATGAACAAATGAAATCATGGAGACAGTTTCCATCTAGGAACAGAAACCTGACTAAAGGATCTTCCTGGAACACCGTACTAAAACGCTGGACTGATCATTACAAAGGCTGTAGTTGGAGCCTTGTTGCTGTGACAACCCGCATCCTTGGCACCAGACTTGTTTTTAACAGCACAAAACCCATCTTGTTTTACCTTTACCTTTACAACTGGTAGATTTGGTGAGCTTCTGAGAGCACTTTTTAAATTGCTTTTTGCAACCTATTTGGAGGCAGTGGGAAGGACCTAGGATTTGGAGCTTAAAAGACTTGAGTTCTAATCCCAGCACTCTCTTTTGTGGACTCGTGTGACCTTGGGTTTCATCTCCTGTAAATGGGGGAGGGGACAGTAACGGCACTAGGATTGGTTTGGTGAGGATAAGAAGCTATTATATATGACAGTATTTTATTCACAATAGCCATGTGTGTCAGGCAGTGAGCTGACCAGCAAGTCCTTTGTGAGTCTTGGAATGCATTTTCCATGGGTGGGTGGTGAGGTAGGTGGTTGGGGAAGGTTTGTGTTGATCTGAACCCCTTTTCTTTCCTGTTCTCTCCTTACCTGTATTCCAGTGTGAATGATAGTGTGGGTGTCAACTCAGTTTTTGGCCCAAATTCCTTTTCCTTGGTTTTCCCCCCTCCTACTTTGGGCTCTCTTCCAGTTTGCCTACAAAGTGCTATTTGTTGCAAGGGTGAAGCAGGCAATTCTCTGGGCAGCGACACTGTGGCTGCAGGCAGTTGCTGTAGTTCAAAGCAAACAGCCAAGCTAGAGTAGGAGGGACACTGACGGGGTTTGTTCATTAGAATTTTGAACATTAATTTTTGAAGGAAAGAAAGGGGAGTACAAATAGAATAGGAATAGAAATATTGTGAAATTTTCTTTATAACAGAACAAAATTGGGTCAGGAGAAAGGACTTTAAGAAATCACTTAACATTTATCATTACTTTGAAAGCAAATGCCTTTTTTGAGTAAAAGCAAATGCTTTTTGAGCATTTACTTTGTCTGCAGTGCACTCTAGTGGGGTGGGAAACGAAAGTTAGCACTAAATATTAACAACGGCTATCATGTTAGTGCATTTCAGGTGGTCCACAGTGGGCCACTTTTCTGTTCTATTCTTATATCAGCCATGAAGGTTGGTGTCATTGGTGTTCCATTTCAAAGATTACAAAACTGAGGCTCAGTGTGTTTAAATAACCCACTCAAGGATACAGTGCTAATAACTAGCAGGGAGAGCTAAACTTCGACCTAGGTCTCTTTCTCATCCACAATATGAAAGATGAGTAAGATATGCCCCTGCTTTGAAGATAAGACCTGCATGTAAACAGTTTAGTATAATTCAGCACAGTTTGCAGTATATGTTGTAATTCTTGTGAGAGCTACATTTTTTGGACATTTGCTCAGAAGGAGAGACTGATTTTGACTGGAAAGATCAGGGGAGGTCTCACAAGGAAAAATACCTTGAATAGGGCCTTGAAGGATGACAAAGATGGTGACAGGTAGAGAATTGATGGGAGAGCTGAGGGAACGTTGGAGCAGCAAAGCATGGAGTTGTAGAAGTACAGAATGTGTTTGGGAAATGCTGCTGGGATGGAGTGAGGGATGGAGGAGGAAAGGAAGCCAGAGAAGTAGTTTGGGACAGATTACAGAGGGCCTAGAGTGTCCTGCTGAGGAATTTAGACTTCACTTGGTTGCCTTTGAATAAAGGTTATTCCATTGAAGGTTCTTGAGAAGGGAAATAATTTTGCCTTGATCTCTGCCTTCAGCAATTCTGGTGGTAGCATGGGCTTTCGCCAGCACTAGGCTGCATCTAAGGATCACTTGGGAGTTTCCTAAATGTGCAGATTCCAGGAGCACCCCTCCACCCCCATGATTTCAGTGGTTCACATCTTGGGTAGGGCCTGGGAAAGTGTGTTTTGAAGGCTCTGCAGGTGGTTCTGAGGGCAGCCTGGTGAGGGAAGGGTTCTAGAGGGCATTGGGGCATTCTAGAGAAAGGTCTGAGCTGAAGCTAATTTTGAGTTTGTCCCTGTATGGATGATTTTTTAAACCATGGGAGGGGGCCAGTCATCAAACTTTGTGGAAGTTCTGTCTGTGTAGGTTCTATGGTTTGCTTTTTGTCCTCTGTAAGTATTAAACAGTAATCTCTCAGAGCATTGTCATTTGGCTGAAGTTTTTCACATGTATTTCCTGTTCAAATCTAGAATGTGGGATGGCTCTAATCCTTATGCCCCTGTGCTAGATTTCTCCTTTTTTGTTGCTGTTTCTTTTAGAAGGCAGAGGAATATATGGGATTTTATTGTGGGCTGTACCTGTCTTCAATGACAATCTCTTGGAGAGCATGAGCTCTGTAGTTTACTGCCTGGGTTTTTACTCTGCCTTTCTAGCCATGGGAACATGGGAAAGTTACTTAACTTACTATAAAATGAAGATACAATAATATTTACCTCCTAGGGTTAGTTGTGAGGATGGTTTATATAAAATGCTTAGAACAGTTCCTGGCACATAGTTAACACTCACGTGTTAGCTGCTGTTGCTGTTATTATTGTCATTAATTCTGCAGATACCTAAAGGTATTCCTTGCCTGCATTGCTCGCGTATTGAGGGCTTCACCTTAAAAAATAACTGTACAAATTATGATTGAGAGTAGTAAGGGTGACATATTAGAAAGTTTTAATTATTCAGTGACCCTCTTTCCTTTCAGAGCCTTTTATTTTCTAGAAACATATGCTTTCCTCCCATGAACAAGCCTGCTAGGACATACTTAAAACCCATATCTGGTCAAGAATCTCTTCCTGCATATTGGCTACAGAGCTAATAGTGCAGTTCTTCAGTCTCTTAGGAGCTACATGAAATGATGCTCACTTTTACATTTCCTAGGACCCAGCCTGAATATAGGTCATTTTTTTTTCAAATGTTTCAGAGCTCTCTTACTCTCATTTGTTAGTTCTAAATCAACTGCTAACATTTAAAATACAATTTTTGCTGGGAGGACAGATAGTTCTACCAAGGGATAAGCTATTTCTCAACATTAAAGAAATTAGAAATTATAATTTATGCTTAAAAAAATAATGTTAGTTCAAGTTTTAGCTTGCTTCTCTCTGCCTTCTCTACTGTTCTTTGTCCTGCCATGTGTTTGCAAACCATTCTCATGACCTTCTGCCTGTGCGGCATATTTGTAGTGGGGCCAGATTATACATACGCCACTGACATTTTCATCTGACCTCCTAAACTCAGCCTTTGAGCCCCTTCTTTTCTTTGGGTTTTCCTAACGAAGTCTTGTTGAAAGGAATATTATTTCCCATGGAACTTTACTGATAGTGTATGGAATAATACGATCATGCTCTGTGAAGTTCAGACCTGAAGTCTTAACATTTTAAACATGTATCTATTTGCTATTGCTTACTTAGTTCAGTCTTGGCATTTTAGGTTTAGAGGTGGTTACTACCCATTGGACATCCATAGCCACTCCCTGCAAATTAAAGGGGACACAAAAATGAAACTGAACTTCTGTTTTTCTTCACCTCTCTGCTAATTTAACTAAGTCAATTGGCTCGCCCTCATTTGCCCTCTTCACACCTCCCAAATTAATGTTATGTGCAAATTTGATTAAAACAGCGTGAGTAATTTCCAAGTTACTTTTGAATACGGATTGAATTCCGTTCCTTGTGGCTTTTTCTTCATCATACTAGTAGATGTAGCCAGTGTTTTTGTTTCTAGCCTGCTTAACTTGTGTGGTTCTTGGAACAACATAAGTTTTGGTTGATTTAGGATCCTGATTTCACAGGATACTGTATCAACTGCTTTACCAAGATCAAAGTACATGGGTTCACTGCATTCCTTTCAGTTGCTAATTCAGTTGTGCTGTAGCCAGGCAATCCTGGAGCCTTGAAATCCAGGATTCTGGTCAAGGTGAGGAAGCAGCCCTTCCTCCTGGCCTTTTCATTCTGCAAATACCTTTTCTTTCCTTCTTAATATTTATTTATTCAGCAATGTGGCCCAGGCTCTGCATCCCTGACTTCCTAAAGCTTTCAGCCTAGTGCCCCTAGACAAGTGGTTACATTCTTGCTACAAACTGGAAAGTCTCTGAGCCCCTCACCCCACTCCTCCCCACTTCTTTTCTTCTGCTGTATTTATGGCACTGTACCTCATGAACTTTCACACAAGGGAAAGCAAACTCAATCCAATTGGGTCTTATGGGTAAGAAAATGTGTTGGTTAAAGTAGATTCTGGTCAGCCAGGCTATCGAAGTTTTAGTATTTACTAGCAGTGTGACTTTGGGCAAATTACTTAACATCTCCATGTCCATGTCTCTTTTCTCATCTGTAATATGAAGATAACAATAACTCCTACCTCATAGGGTTGTTGTCAGGAATCATTGAAGTGTTAATACATGTAAAGTGCTTGGCATTTATTAAACTAGGGTTAGTTAAAAAATTGATGAATAAGCTATTAAAAGTTCATAATAAAGTTTCTGGAGTTTTCAGGTACTCCGTTTCTCTTTCGTGCTATTTGCCTTGGCTATTCCACTACAGGCAAAGGAAAGGAGATGAAATTTAAAGTATCTAATTTTGTAACCTTAAATTATTCATGAATTGTTTTTCTTCGTGTAGACTCCATTATAATGTATAATGGAGAATTGTATTCAAGATATGATGTGTGTGACTTATTCCTTATGAACTCTGAAAGTCATTTTTAAGAACACTTCTTAATAATGAACATTATATTTATTTGACTTTTTAGGATCCAACCCTTTTACATTGTTGGGCTTTTTAATATGTTATTTAAAAAACAAGATTGCCCAGGCCAGGCGTGGTGGCTCACGCCTGTAATCCCAGCACTTTGGGAGACCGAGGTGGGTGGATCATTTGAGTCCAGGAGTTTGAGACCAGCCTGGGCAACATGGCGAAACCCCTGTCCCTTAAAAAAAAAAAAAAGGGGGGAAAAAAGAAAAATTAGCTGGATGTGGCGAGCTCCTGTAGTCCCAGCTACTGGGGAGGCTAAGGTGGGAGGATTGGTTGAGCCTGAGAGAACAAGGCTACAGTGAGCTGAGACTGTGCCACTGCACTCCAGCCTGGGAAACAGAGTGAGACTCTGTCTCAAAAATAAAAATAAGATAAATAAGATTGCCCAAAGAGAATTAAAACAATGTTTCAAATAAGGAAGCAGATACTACCACAGAAGATTAACAGACAAAACATGCTTTCCAAAGAAGAATGAATTATAGGACAGTATTTCATCTATGTAATACACATCAAAATCAACAGTCATTAAATAATCCAAGGCTATTCATTCCTAGCAGTCTGTGCTGGGAGCATTTTGAACAGTCTTTTATACAGGTATTTGCATTTAGTCAGAATTTTGGGGGATCTTACCCTTCTTTCACAGTATTATGCCTAGTAAATCCCAGTACATCAACCATCATGTCCTACTTTACATGCATTTTTTTGCATACTAATTGAAGAATGAGAGAGGAAGCTTGGAAAAAATGTATTAAGATTTTGTTTATCACAGTTTGATCAGTGGATCAGTCTTATTATTTTATAAAATAATATCCAGCTGCAGCTCAAGTGCATATTTTACCTAATTTATATCTACTTATATTCCTATGGCTTAAAGTCAGTTGACCTATTACAAAATACATGTTTATCCTTTACACTTTACCAAAATCTGGCGAGGTGATGAGGGTGTATGATGCACTTGAGAGAGAGCATTACAAGTTATCTTTTTAAAGTGGGATTTTTTTTCTGAGCAAAAGATATGTAGTGCAGAATAATATATCCACAGCCAAAATGCACCCACTCATTTCTATTCAATTAAAAGAAGGAAGAACAGACCCAGGGTGAGTTTTCGTTCCATTACCTAAGGCTTTGAGAATATCACTTAACATCTGTGAGCCCTGCTGCTGCTTCTGTAACACATTAATAATGACACCTCCCTGCGAAGGTAGTTCTGAGAATTCATTGAGGCAGGGCCTGTGAGGGTTTGTCCTATGTAATGTTAGTAATTTTGTGCAAGGTGTGTGGGTTCATTGTGTGTGTTTGGAAGCTGAGGAAATTGGAGCACTGAGCTTAGAGAGATACCAGCTCAGGCCTGTAGCCACCCTGGCCCTACCTGCCTGGTGGTTGGATCTTCTAAGTCATGCTGTGGGGTGCTTTAAGTAGTGCTTTCCTTCTTGCTTTCTCAAAATCAGGAAACTATCTTACAGGCATATTTTTTTTTAAACATGATTTGCGACCCCTTGCTGCATTTTGTCATGTGAAATGACACTTACTCTGGTTCTTTAAAGATGGCTAATAATCCTCTATGGGTAAATGCCAATCAGGCCAGCCAGTTGGCTCTGCGAAAGGCTTCCTTGAAAGCCATGGTTCAGGTTTTGCAGAGACCAGGAAGTGAATGTGAGTGCCAGAGACCTCCTTCCCAGAAAATCCTGTTGCATGTGCTACCCCGGAGGTGAAGACAAGGTAGGGACACTGCTGTGAAGGCTGATAGTGCAGAGGGTCATCTCTTTGGCAACCAGACAGCTTGTCATTTTTTATTTTCTTGTTTGTAAAATCCATGTGTAATAATCACCAGGACTCCTGATATTCACACAGAGAATTGCTTGTGGCAAACATTTTTAACCGCCAAACTAAGATCTTTCTTAAGATGAAGAAAGATAAGCAGCATTGTTTTTTAGAGATGAGTTTATCATCTCCTCCTCCACACCCATTAGTCCTCAGAAAAGCTATTTCTTGAAACTGAATTTGGAGCTTCTAAAATGGCTTTCACAGTGTTGGTCTCTTCATCTGGGGATTATGGTACTTAGGGAGTGGAGACTTTCAAAGTGAACCTTCCACATTTTTCCAAAATCTTTTGTGGCATAATTTGTGCCTACCTGAGAGCGCATTTTTTCTTTTTATGAGGTTGTGATTTTAATATATATACATACACGTGCACACACACACGTGCGCATGCACACACACACACAAAAGCATAACAGCGGCTATGAGAAAGAAACACTTCTGCATGAAACACAGAAGGAGCGGGCGAATAGCTGACCAGGGGAAAGTATGAGATGGTGTTCAGGCCTCATGGTAGTTAGGATTAGGAAATGTCAGGGGCTGTGTTGTATTCTCCAAACTGTAAACTTTGGGAGTCGTACAGAGTGAATGTTAATAAATATTTTTGATAAGGAGGAGGGTTTGGGTTTATAGGGAGCCTAAGAAAGAGAAATGTGGCTGCCCTTCCCCCACAGCTGGCCACTGCTCTGGAGGGGAGAGTATTAGACATTTGGGTGTGGACATAGCAGCATAGGCGAATACCATTGTTAGTCTCCCACCAAATGCTCTTCTGTATTTTGTTACCTATTAAACCATACAAACTCTCCTATATATCATTAAATTATCACTCAGTACAGTACTTGGACAAAATAGGAATAGTCTACTGTTAACTGTTTTTAGATTAATGACTTTGAATTTTTCCTAAGAGAGATTTTAAGAAGTTAGATAGTCTAATCGCATGAGTCCCAAATATAAAAAACAAAGGCTCTGCAGGTTTAAGTTTTCCTTTGCCTTTTCTTAAGAATTTAAATATTTTTCTTCAGAGGTTTTCCTTGGGCTCTTAGATAATGAGTAACAAAAATGAAGGAGGGATACCAAAAGATATTTCAAAACATAATTGTGTCCTTAAAAACATGGTAATAATTGACAGGGTTTTTAAAATGAGAGAAGTTTCTAGCTAAATGCCCTGCTTCACATCCCCACTCCCCACACTGAGTACTTTGTGGAAAATATGTGGTAGCTGTTTGGGAAGAAGTATTAAGTTTGTGAAAAGACATGAAGAGTTGCCAGGACCACGGTAAGCAAAGGATTGAGAGAAGGAAAAAGGTGAACAGAGCTAGACCCTAAAAGGATGCTAAGATCCCTTGAGAAGTCTTTTAGTAAGAAGCCCTCCTTAGACTGCGAGTGCCTAGTGGACAGGAATGCATCTCACTGGTCCTTGCAGTCTTCTTCCCCGCCCCTGCCTTTGTACTTGAAGGCCATGGTCATCTGGGTGCACTACAATTCAAGTCTGTGAGGTGAGGAGAAAAGGGTGGGTGAGGTGTAGTTCATCGTCTGGAGGCCTCAGTATTGTCAAGACCACCCCCCCCCTTTTTTTTGTGAGTGCACAAGACTCTTAATCACCTTTTCATTTGGTTGCGTCAGGAGCCTCATAGCAGCATGCTACTGACAGGTGATTGTGAACTAAGTGTTATAGCAGAAGGAAACAGAAAATGAGAGAATGTCAACTTGAAGCCATGTGTGTTTTTGTGAACATCATTTGCCACTTTCTTAAAGAGCCCCAGTTAGAGAAAAAATAATGCAGGAATCGAATTTTAGTCAGCTTGTTAGGTTCTGAACTGGACAGACTTTGTACCTTGGCATATGAGTAGCCATTCTAGAACCTTTTGAACTTTTGCCACCAAGTAATTCTGGAAAGGCTGACAGCCAGCAGTAGGTAATGGAAAAAGCCAGTATCCTCTGCCCGAGAAATTAAGGTGTGTATTATTCAGGTGGTTAAAGAAACTGCCTACCACAACAGCAATAGCTGGTAAGTAGCAGGATCATTCAGAGATGAAGGGATGGATCACAGGATGGTTGCTGTGCTGGACTTTCTCCCTAGAATTCATGATCATTGGCCAGGAGTGGTGGTTTACGCCTGTAATCCCAGCACTTTGGGAGGCTGAGGCGGGTGGATCATGAGGTCAGGAGATCGAGATCATCCTGGCCAACATTGTGAAACCTCATCTGTACTAAAAATACAAAAAAATTAGCTGGGCATGGTGGCGTGTGCCTGTAGTTTAAGCTTCTCGGGAGGCTGAGGCAGGAGAATCGTTTGAACCCGAGAGGCGGAGGTTGCAGTGAGCCGAGATCACGCCACTGCACTCCAGCCTGGGCGACAGAGCGAGACTCTGTCTCAGAAAAAAAAAAAAAAAAAAGAATTTGTGATCATTGTAGGAATTCGCAGTGTAGGGGAAATGGTACAGATTTTATAATCAGGAAAGACCTGTATTCAGTTCTCCATTTGACCACTTTCTGCCAGAGCCATGGGAACAGTTTTTTAATTTCTCTGACCCTGTTTCCTCACTTGGGAATATGACTTTTGCAGATCTGTTGGAAAATATTAAGGCCAAGAGGGATTTAAAATGAGATGTTGTCTAGCACTGAGTAGGAGCTTAATATCTATCCGTTCCTTTCTGCTTCAGTCAAAACTGAGCTTCATATGTAGAATGATTATTGTTTGTATTACATTCTCCATTTTGAGTATGGAACCATGAATGCCAACAGCTTGATAATAAAAGGAGCCGTTTGTCAAGAGACAGTCCTGTAAGCGCTTTTTAACCTGGTAGACTGTGCATGTAAGGGCAGGCAGGTTACAAATGCGAATCCCCATAGCCAGCACACTCTACATACAGCAGATTCTTAAGCCATCTGTGTACTCTTTTTAACACTGTACTGAAGTCCACTTAAGTCAGAGTTCAACAAAATGAATGAATGTAATCCCAGGACTATGGAACTTCTCTGTGATTACATAGCACAGAGAACTACGGAATCATTTTCTGGAAGAATGCACCATGCGATTATGCTCCATGTGGAATTGGTATATATAAATGTTGGTAGACTGTGAGGATGAGGTTGACAGGTTGATCTGAGTAGAGACCCTAGGAGGAACCGAGGATACTATGTAGTTTTGTTGTTGTTACTGTTTTGCAGTTCCTGGCTGCTCTGTGTTGGCAGCTGTGTGCACGCTTTCTCTTTTGAGCCAGCGAGGCACAAGACAAGTAATTTCCCATCTTGAATCTCTCACAGCTGCTGAGCTGTAGTGGATATACTGGGATGTGGCTATGAACTTTAAAAATTTGCATAAATCCAGCCCCTACTCCCCTGCAAAGGCTCAGTCTTGTCTTTACACCTTCCCCGAGGTAATTATTTTCTGGGGGGTAGGGGTGGGGGTTGGGAGGGTGAAGAAAGGAAGAAAAAGAAGGCCGATCACACTGGGCACCGGCGGAGGAAGCGTGGAGTCCATTGATCTAGGTACTTGTGGGGAGGGGAGAACCCGAGCAGCAGCTGCAAACGGAAGGGCTGTGAGCGAGCGGGCGGGCGGGTGGCTGGCAGCGAGGCCACCAGCAGGGGGGGCCCGGGCCGAGGCCGCGCCACCTCGGCACCACGCGGGCAGCCGGTGCGGCGGGGTCGCCACGGCCAGGGGAGCGCTGGGTGCCCACCATGGCAGTTATGCAAGCGGTGACCCCCTGGTCTTGCCTCCCCGCCGCCCTGCACTCCTTCCTCCCCGCTGCCGACACTTGGATCTCTCTAGCTCTTTCTCTCCCCTGTGTTTTCAAACAGGAAGTGCACGGCTGTCTATAACGTGCTGCCGGGTCTCAGGATGGAGGAGTGAAGTCTCCTGTCGCCGTGGTTCCAGCCTCCGGAGCTCGCCCAAGCCGCGTCCCCAGAGAGCGCCCTGAGAGAACAGGGTGGCCGCTTGGTCCAGGTGCGCGGGGTCGGGTCTGGGTCCAGGGAGCGGGTCGGGAAGTCTGCGGCACGGAGCACTGCTAGTGTCGGATCTGCATCTCCAGCTCTGTGCTGCAGCTTCACTTGCCCGCCCCCCACCACTGGCTTCTCACCCGGGGTCTCTGCCAAACTCTGGCTGCTGCCGCCCTGGGTTCGGGCCGGCGGAAGGCCCTGGGCGTGCGCTGCGGAGCCGCCTGCGAGGACTCCACTAGGGCGCTTTCCAGGCTGGACTGCCCCGGGCTGCGCTGGAGCTGCCAGTGCTCGGGGAGTCTTCCTGGAGTCCCCAGCTGCCCTCTCCACCCTCTCCTCCAGCTGCTGCTGCCTGAAGCAGCAGCTCTTTGTTCCTCCCTTACTGGTCTGGGGTCATACACATAAATGTCCTGGGAGGCAGGGTGGTGGGAGGGTAAGGGGTTGGGACGTAGGGAAGAGGAAGAAGATGAGTTGTGGGTGAAGTGTAAGGTGGACAGGAGAAAAGAATCTTAGTGTCCATGCTCAGAAATCAGCTCTTCAGCTGCTGAAACAGAGGACCCCGGTTCCTTGGTTTCTGTTTTGGGAAAGCCAGGCCATGCCAAACAGAGGGAATTAATGATGCAGGCACACACCGGAAAGGTAGGGACCAGGAATGAGGCACAGCAGCGAGTTCTGAGATGTTTAGTCTGGTGTCTGGCTTGTTAACTCCACTGTGGTTTCTGAGCCAGGCCTCCTCGCTGAGACAGAAGGTACTTTAACATATGAGCCAGGCATCTTTATTAATTCCATTTGTCATCAAAGTAAAATTGAGAGTGACTTTTCTCAAATTCACCAGGTAGATTATACTTTCACTTCCACATCGTGTTCCATCTCAAATGTTCATAGGAGAATAAAACACTAGGGTTGGTTTTATGCTACAGACGTTTTGCATCTTTATTTCCCTGGCAGGTCCAATCTTTCTCCAGAATAACTCAGATTGACTTCTCCCCCCAGTGAAAGCCTAGCCTTGTTTTACCGCCTGTTTATCTACCTGGTGAAACTCTAGTCTTGGGGAGGACACTAAGGGGAGTGGGATGGCTGAGAATAATCAGTTTGATGGGATCATTATATGGCCTCAAATTAAATGTTTGAGCCCTGTTAAAGCCAGTAGCATCTTCTTAATTTTTATTTCCGAGGAAGGGATGTGAGCATATGACTAGAGGGGAGGAAAGTGAGACTCTGCCAAAGAAGATCTCTCCCTGTAGCACAGAGGAAAAGTGAATCTGTGTAGCACAGTATCACATACACTGCGCGCTTTCACTTTATCGGGTAGCCAAGCCATCTAAGGAGTCAGGGTTAGGTGTAGAATTTACATTCATGACGTGGGATGCTGACTATAGCATTCTGATGCTGAAAATTTTATCATAAAACATATTTACTACATAATTAAGTTTGCTTTGAAAGGAAAATTTACCAGGGTGGTACAAATTTACCAGCTTGAGTACAAAACATGTAATCAATAAGTACATGGCATTAAGTAGCCAAAATGCACTATGAAAACTGAACAATTAAACTTATCCTTCCTAGATAGACATGAACTTCGTAAGTTTGAATTTAATTGTGAGATGGCTGTGTTTATGCCTCTTCTTGCCAAATACGTCATGAAAAGTGAGAAAGTAATCGAGAGAGATTCTTTTTATTTTGAGACGGTTTTTCATTCTGTCACCCAGGCTGGAGTGCAGTGACGTGATCTCAGCTCACTGCAATCTCTGCCGCCTGGGTTCAAGCGATTCTCCTGCCTCAGCCTCCTGAGTAGCTGAGATTACAGGTGCACGCCACCACACCCAGCGAATTTTTGTATTTTTAGTAGAGACAGGGTTTCACCATGTTGGCCAGGCTGGTCTCGAACTCCTAACCTCAAGTGATCTGCCCACCTCAGCCTTCCAAAATACTGGGAGGCCACCACACTCAGCCAGTCAAGAGAGATTCTTGAAAGACCTGTACAACCATAGTGTTTTGCAGCTACTTTTTTTTTTTTATTTTTGAGACGGAGGAGTTTTGCTCTTGTTGCCCTGGCTGGAGTGCAATGGTGCGATCTTGGCTTACCACAACCTCCGTCTCCCGGGTTCAAGCGACTCTTCTGCCACAGCCTCCCGAGTAGCTGGGATTACAGGCACGCACCACCTCGCTCAGCTAATTTTGTATTTTTAGTATTGATGGGGTTTATCCATGTTGGTCAGACTGGTCTAGAACTCCTCACCCCATGATCCACCCGCCTCGGCCTCCCAAAGTGCTGGGATTACAGGAGTGAGCCACTGCACCCAGCCACTGCCTCTACTTTTATACCTATGTGTGTTCCTTGCCCCCCAGTTTATTAATTTATTTGGGGACTTTCTTTAGCATCTGTCACTCTGCTCTAAGATACAGTAGAACAGCTTTTGTGAGCCTCCAAATCTCCCATTTAAGAACAGAGTCTCCTTCTATTCTAGTGATATTTAAACTCAGAAATCATAACTGGCCTTTAGATTGTCATGTTCTGTTTACACAGTGTATATGATGTATTTTTTTTTTTTTTTTTACTCCTTTCAACAGAGCTAAACTCTTCTTGCTCCTTTCAATGATGTAGTGAAGTAGGATTCATTTTCTCCAGTTTATGGAGAGAGGAAACAGGCTGATGAGATGTAACTTGTCAGTGGTCGTATTAGTAAATGGAGTTGTTGGGACCTGAACAAGGTCTTCTGATGTAATCCGTGGTTCTTTTGTAGTCTGGAAAGCCGCTGCCTAAGGAAGAGGTGGCAGTGCTGATTCAGGTGGTCCTTTGCCATTCCAAAAGAAAGCTGGATTGCCTTACCAAATCTCCAGGTTTTTCGTTATACCTCTTCACTCAGGCTCTGCCCAGAACTCAAGGTTTGTTTTCATTTTTAAAGCAGTTTTTTTTTTCATATTTGAAATTTACACTTCCTGTGTGTCTGTGACTAGATTTAGCTGTGTTTGCACCAGTGTGATTTGTATTCTGCCAAAATTCTAGTAGTATATTTTAATTTACAGATACCTTTTGTCAGGTTTTAGTGAGCAAGTATCTTTCCAAGGGATCAGATTACCATATTTTAATTTTTTAGAATTAAAAAACCTCTTCTGGCTTACTCCTAGGGCAGTTTATATCCCAGAAAATTAATTAATTAGTAAATGATATATATGACTCTCCACTCCCCACTACTGCTGCCACTGTGCGCATCCCCTACTCTTTCATTCCAGCTCACAGTAATCCACTGAGAGGCTCACATTACAGAACAACGTGAGCAAACCCATGTAACTTTAAATTATAGATTAAATATTTTTGTAACATTCCTTAGATGCAAGTAAGTTTATTTCCTTATCTTTGTAGCGCTTAAAGTTGAGGCTCTCTTTAGTTACAGTTTTAATGTTGCACCATTAACTAAACTGTAAAATTATGGTTTAATTTGTTATACTGCAAATTAAAATTTGGAGTACAATTTTCATAAGTGTTGGATAAAATATTTGTCTTCTCTTCAATAATTGGAATATTTGTAGTGGCCTATAACTTCCCCTCTGTAAAACTGTGGTCAAAACCCTCAGGGAGAGGAGAAGGTAAAGGAGGAGCAAAAGAGAGGAAATGAGAGCTCATTGTTTTGTAAGGGAGGAATGAAATGATACATGTATGGTTCCTTAATACGCAGTGCACTGCCTTTTCTGTCTGTCGGTGAGTTGCAGTGGCTTGTGAACCAGCCGTGCATCTCTTCCAACAGAAAGGCTAAAAATGAAAGGGTAACTAGCTTTGATGTTAAATGCCAAGGAAAAGTTAATGGCCAAGAGGGGACTAGGAGTGGAGATAAATGCAAGTTAAGATTTCATTTTTTCAAAACTTTTTTTCCCTTCACGTATATTATAAAGTAAAAAATGCCTTCTTAGTCAAATTGTAAACTGTAATGCAGTGGCTCCTGACACCAAAATCAGGAAGCTTTTATTTAATATTAAAAGATTTCAACGATCTTAACTGGTTCACTGTTTTACTTCGTATCTCTTATAATTGCAGATGTTTCATGAGAGTTATTTAATATCAGCCAAGTATATATTGCAAATAATGACTTCAGCATCTTCCTGTATTTGTAAAATAGCACTGCATGTATATATGAGGTAGGGATTCAGCCTACAGACCTCTTGCAGTACCCTGAAGTCTACAGGTTGGGAATTGAGGCCAAAGCAAAACAACTGCTCCAGACTGAAAATGCTGAAATGGTGATGAAAAATGCATAATATGTTAGCCATCAGATTATAAAGATTCCCAGGTGGAATTTTTCCTCTTTGTTGTACATTAAAAGGATGATGTGTTAAGCCCTGATTTTGGATCTGGTCATGTTTCCGGGCTAATCGTTTTTCATGGTCAGCTTTGAGATCTTTGCAGTTAGTCATGGATAACTGGATTTCTCTTAAGAGCATTTTCCCTACAATACTTCTGCGAATATGCCTTCCCTGTTTTTGTAGAGTCAGGACTGTGAGGCCAGTTTCAGAATCATGATGGTCATAGCCACTACCACCACCACCACCAGCCCTATATTCATTTCCCAGAAGCTAAAAGAGGCTTCCCAATCTTAACCTTTACAATTTGTGGTAAGTTTAAGGAAAGGGAGATAGGATTTATCCCTGTTCTGCAGTGGGAAAAACTGATGTGTGGGTTCATATTGAATTAGTCTCTCTGATTTCTGTGTGTGTTGTATTGACATGAATGTAAGTCATTCTGCTTGAGATAGGTTGAGCAGGGCATGGAAATCTAATAGGGTTATTTCATGAAGTTCCTTTATTTGTTAAAAGAAATTACTTCCTATCTATTGAACACCATATTTTTCAGGCATTGACAAATAGACACTGATTATCTCTAATCCTCCTGGTGTTATGCAGAGTGGGTAATAACCCTGTTTGTTTTTTTGGTTTTTTGGGGTTTTTTTTTGAGACTGAGTCTCGCCTTGTCACCCAGGCTGGAGTGCAGTGGCGCGATCTCGGCTCACTGCAAGCTCTGCCTCCCAGGTTCATGCCATTCTCCTGCCTCAGCCTCCCGAGTAGCTGGGATTACAGGCGCCCACCACCACGCTGGCTAATTTTTTGTATTTTTAGTAGAGACGGGGTTTCACCGTGTTAGCCAGGATGATCTCGATCTCCTGACTTCTTGATCTGCCCGCCTCTGCCTCCCAAAGTGCTGGGATTACACGCATGAGCCACCGTACCTGGCCAATAACCCTGTTTTATGTGAAGAAACTGAGGCAGGCAGAGACTCCAAGTCACACAGACAAGCTAAGGCCTGGACTTGGATCCAGGTTTGTGCAGTCTCCAACACTAAAACATTTCCCTCACTGTATATCCTGCTTTCCTTGTTCTTGAACTAGACTATGTAAAGAAATGATCATGGTTTGTTTAGTCTTACCTACCCTTTCAGCAAAAGTTAAGTTAAAACTGTAAACAATATGGAGACAGTACAAATAGGGACATGAAAGGGTCAACATTTTTATGAATATTTTTGGCTTCCATGTAGTATGTATTAATTTTTTTCTAAGCAACCTAGGCATATGGAATTTATTGGCCTTCATGAGAATTTCTTGAGGCGATATTGACCACAAACAATATTGCTGGATCATAGGATATATGCGTACTAGGAACTGCATAATTTTACTGGGAACTGCACAGATAGTTGCCAACTTTATATCTCCACCAATACTGCATAATGCCTTTTTTTTTTTTTTAAACAAATTTCCTGATTGCTGCCAACCTGATAAATGTTGATTATACCTAATCAATTATAATTATACCTAACCAAAATTAATGGTTTAATTTTGCCTTTTTCTGATTGCTAGTGAGGCTGAACATGTCTTCATTTACTTAATTTAATTTCCCTTTTCCATGAATTGTCTTTTTATGTCTTTAGCCTGCCCTTTATTTTCTGTTGGGTCTCTTGCCTTTTTCTTGCAAGAACTTCTTGAGAGAATTTTTGTAATGTTTCTTGTGTATTCTAGAAATTAATTCCTCTTTGTCTTTAGACATTGTAACTTTCTTCTAGTGTGTCACTTTCCTAATAACTTTGTCTATGGTGCCTTTCAGTAATAGCAACAATAAAATCTTTAGTTTTAATGTACTTGTCTCATCACTTTATATTATTATTATGGTCTGTGCATTTTGAGTCATTTAAGAAATCCTCCCCTATTCTGGGCTCACAATGTTGTCTCTCCTCATTTTCTTTTATTAACTTCAAAGGTTACTCTTATTATTTGGGTTTTTAAACTCTTTGTAATTTGAGATACGAAGTATTAACCCAATTTTTATTTTTAAAAATCTGGTCATATTGTGAGCCAGTTTTCCCAGCACTATTTGCCAACTAGTACATTCTTTCTCCACAGAGTTTTGGTGCTACCCCTAGGATGTCAGTGCATATATGTAGATGTATCTTTCTGAGATCTCTATTTGGTTCCAGTTGACTTAATTGTATGTTCTTGGGCCTTTGATACACTGTTTTATTTATTTATTTTTCAACTTTTATTTTAAGTTTAGGGGTACAAGTGTATACTACAAAGGTAAACTCGTGTCATGGGGGTTTGTTATACAGATTATTTTATCACCCAGGTATTAAGCCTAGTACCCATTAGTTATTTTTCCTGATCCTCTTCCTTCTCCACTTTTCAAAAGGCCCCACTGTGTGTTATTTTCCTCTATGTGTCCATGTGTTCTCATCATTTAGCTCCCACTTATAAGTGAGAACATGTGGTATTCGGTTTTCTGTTCCTGTGTTAGTTTGCAAAGGATAATGGCCTCCCACTCCATGCAAGTCCCTGCAAAGCACATGATCTTGTTCTTTTCTATGAATTTTTATGTTCTTTTTTATCAAGGAATACTACTCCTTGGTGTATATGTACCCCATTTCCTTTATCCAGCCTGTCATTGATGGACATTTAGGTTGACTCCATTTCTTTACTATTGGATACACTGTTTTAATTGTTGCATGTACCTTTATATAACATGATTTTATTAGCATGACTTCTTGTTACATGTACATTTATATAACTTGACCTTATTGTTATGATTGATACATTAATATAAATTTTAAAGTTCAAGACTTTAAGATTATTTTGAGGCAGATTCCTTGCCCTTATTTGTATGTGTTAACTTTTTGCAGCTACACATTTTCTAAAAACACATTTCTAAAAGACACATTTTTCTAGAAATGTGTCGACCTATCTAGGAATATTGTTTAATTTCCTTACTTGGTAACATAATTTTAATATTGCTGACGTTACATTTTCTTCTGTTTTTTTGTGTTTTTTTTTTTGTCTTTTCTTTTCTTCTTTTGTTAGCAGTTATGGCTCCCTTTCATACTTGGTCATCTGTGTAGGGCAGTGGTGTGTCACTGCAAAGGCTTGTCCTCCTCTGTTGCTCTGTATGTGCTTGTAGAGCTATGAGGTACATTCCTGGTACGGCTTTTGAATGAATGTTTTATGAGGTGTGATGCTTACTGACTGCATGGGTGAATACTCTTGAAAGTCTCTTAATTACAGATGTCTCTTTATTATTGGGACAACTTTGTCAGTTTCAGCTTGATTTTCTCCAAGTTTACTTTGCTCTAGTCTTCTCAGTTTAGTGGGTCTTATTCTTCCCCGTCTGCAATTTATGTCACACTGAATGCTAGGTCACTTTATTTGGTAAGTGGGTGTTTGTGTGCCTCTGCAGAGTACAATGTATTTTCCCCTTGTCTTTCTTTTTCTTTTTTTTTTTTTGAGACGAGAGTCTTGCTGTGTTGCCCAGGCTGGAGTGCAATGGCACAATCTCGGCTCACTGCAGCCTCTGCCTCCTGGGTTCAAGTGATTCTCCTGTCTCAGCCTCCTGAGTGGCTGGGATTACAGGTGCACATTGCCACATCTGGCTAATTTTTTGTATTTTAGTAGAGATGGGGTTTCACCATGTTGCGCAGGCTGGTCTCAAACTCCTGAGCTCAGGCAATCCACCTGCCTCGGCCTCCCAAAGTGCTAGGATTACAGGCATGAGCCACCGCGACCGGCACCACCTTGGTTTTTAAAATGTGATGAAACCATGTTGTGTACATAGCATGGCTTATTATTATAAGTAAATTTGAAATCATGATGGGGACAAATTTAGGTCTCAAAATAGATATTGTGTGACAAGGTTAGGCTAAGACAAAGATGTTAACCTTGGCCAATAGTTATAGGATTACGTAGATAATAGCTGTATTTTTTTTTTTCTAGTGTCTGTAGTTCTTCAGGTGCTTTATGGACACAGGAGAGAGTTGCAGTCTTTTTAGTTAACTGCTGAGATTTACCAAGCTTGCACAAAGTCTGATAAAATCATAATATAGAATGTTCTAGGGTCCGAAACCTGCTGAGACGGATAAGACTGATATCTGTGGGTTGTTGGAATTGTTCTCGTATTGTGCTTTAAATGGGATTTATTAGCTATTCTCTTGAGTTTGATTATAACAGCCCTAGCTAGTTACCTGACTAAACTTACATGCTCATTAGAGGACTTTATCAGTATGGAAGTTCTCCATTTCTCATTCAGATTCCTCTGTGCTCCCCTTAGTAGCTGTCCTACCAGCCTTCCCTCTTATTCAATTATTGTAATATAATTGGCAGCCAAACTACTTCATCCATTCAACAGGAGACATTTGCTGAGCTCCAAATTATTAAATCTTAGTCCCCGCCCCTCCGTCATCCCCACCTCCTGTGTACTGGTCATTTTGTTAAGTTCTGAGGATGCAATGTGAGTATGAAATGGTGCCTAACCTCTGAAGATAGACTCATAAACCACTAACTGGAACTTAACTTTTTTATAACTTAAGGCACTTTATAGCAATATATTGTGACGATAATGATAGAGAGTAGGGCACATAGAAGGGAGTGTTTTGTTCTTTCTTGTTTGTGAGGAAGGAATTCCTGAAGGAGGGGATTTTGGTGCTGAATTTTGAGAGGCTGAGATCATTTACCAGGCCGAGATGGAGAAAGGACAGACTGAGGAAACAGCCCAGGTTCAGAGCCCCAAAGGGCTCAGTGAATGTGGAACATGGACTAGGAGTGAATGGAGCCAAGCGATGGTGGTACAGAGGGGAGAAGAGGCTGGAGGTGCCTACTGGCTTGGGTTCTTGGTCAAACCCATGTCTAGGGCCATGCATTTCATTTCTGAAAGTGTGAACTTTATCCTGACAGCATTGTGGAGTCATTAAAGGTAAAATAAGTGTTGCAATCACTGTTTTCAGATATGTGAAAAGAAAGCAGGGAGCACTTTAGTGGCTACCATCATAATCCAGGCAGACATCATGAGGACCCAAACTAAGGTGATGAAGGTGAGAAAGGAAAGGCGAGACTGGATTGAAGAAATGATTAGGAGAAATAATTAGTTATTGATTAGATGGAAAGTAGGAAGGGAGTAAGAGGAAGGAAAAAGATGATTCTTGATTCTTCTGGTTTTGATGACTTACATCTGAAGGTGTCATTAGTAAGGATGGAAAACATAAGAAGTTTAGGGACAATTGTGAGTTCAAGTTGAAGTGGAGTTGGGGTGTCTGTGGGGCATTCTTTTGATCTTAAGAGGCCTGAGCCCCAGGAGAGAAGTGAGGGCTGGAGACAATTATTGAAGAGTGACTAGGATTGATCGTGGTAGCCATGAATGTCGTTGAAACTCCACAGGGATGGCCAAAGGATCAAAGACTGAGCAGACAAAAGAAGAGGAAAATCTGAAAACAAAAGTGACAACATTGAGTACCCGGTGCTTTTTGTTTGTTTGTTTTTATATATTATACAATTCTTACAACAATCTCCTGTGAAATAATTATGTTATTGTCTTTTACAGACAGGGTGTCTAAACCTCAGGTGAGCAACTTGCCACGCTGCCCAGAGAGTAAATAGGGAAAAGCTGTCAGGTCCTATCAGGGCACAGAAGGGTCCGGTAGAGTGAAGATTGAATATAGGAGATTGGATCTGACAGTTAGGTATTCAGTGGGTAGTCAGAAGACCTCTAAAGCCTAACACTGGATTGTCACCAGTGAGGAATGAGGAGGAGTTAAGAAGTGGGGGCATCAAATGGAGAGACAGCGAGAGAGCACAGGCAGGAGAGCGAGCAGATACACGCGGGTGTGTACACGTTTGCGAGGAGTTGTGTGTATGTGTGTGATAGTGATTAGAGCTTATAGTTTGGTTGAGAATAGTGGTGAGGAAGTGACTACAAGTAGAAGAGGAAATCATTAATGGAGTAAAGTTCCAGAAAAGATAGGGGGGCCAAGTTCTAGAGCACAAGCATACTCAAAGGGGTTGTTATAAAAGGGAATTGGGACGTTTATTCCATTGGGACAGGAGAAGACGAGGAAGAGATATGTGTGGCTGTAGGTGAATATGCAAGTGGATGGGAAAGAAGTTGAGAAAGTTTGTTCCTGATGGCTTGGATATTTTCAGTAAAGGAGGAGATGAAATCTGCTGAGAGTGTGGGGCCTTGAGGAGACAGCTGGAAGTTAGTAACAGTTACCTTTGTAAAAGGAGCCCAGTGCTTTAGGATGAGTGATAGCTGTGTGTCATTGAAGGCCCAGTTGTAGTTTTGTCAGTGGTGGTTAGGTGCTGACGGAGGATTTTTTTTTTTCTGTTTGATAGAGTACTGTAATATGAATAGCATGAATGACCTTTTACAATAGAACGCACAGGCCCTGCCTGAAACATTAAGTTTGGATGGTGATTTAAAGATTGGACAGGAGGAGAGAAGGAGCAGCAGACTTAACATTAGGGAACTTGAGTTCTAGTCCTAGTTCTTCCATTTAATGGAAGACGGGGAGTTCTTCCTCCTCATCTTTCAATGGAGGAAGTTGCATTTGATGTCCTCTCAAGTCTTCTGTAGCTCTCAGAACTTCTGTGAGATTTGCACATCATTAGACAAAAATGAGTGGAGAAGAGAGTAAGAGCAGCTAGACTCCCATCACTTATCATTTATGGGTTCTTCTGATGGCAGCGCTAATCCCAGAGCCTTTGGGAAGTTGACAGCATGAACAGCAGGACAGCTGTTAGATAACCGTACCCAGGTGTCTGCAGTTGTGTCTGTACCTGGCAATGGGAGAGGGGTAGCAAGTCAGAAAAGGGGAAGGACAGGAGCATGAATCTGTGATGGGATTTGCGTGTGGGGTAGACAGTTTGGATTTACCCTTTGCCCCTCCTGCTGAGTGCCACGGTTTCCTGAGGAATCACTGGTAGCAGATAATTTAGTCGTTTCATAAGAGAAGGTGATGCTCTTTGCATTCATCTCTATGTTGTTTCTCTCTCTCTCTCTCTGGTTGCATTTTCTTTTTTCTAGGCTCATTTCTCACTCTTTGTTAAAAGTGTAGTATTGTAGAAGAGAATCGAACAGTTGGAGAAGGATAAGTATTCAGAGGATCTTACCTTAAGAGTCCTTTCTCCTTTCCGTTTCCATCACTGCACCTTGAATGTCTTTGCCTATAGATTTTGAAGGATTTCATCACTCTTCTGAGTTGGCTGTATTCTTCCTCTGGAAGGTGTACTTATTCTTCAAAGCCATTTAACTGTCTGAGCCCCCTTTTAAGAACAGGGATAACATCTTAAAGCCCTCAAGGTGTGGTTAGCATTAAAAGGTGAATCCAGTCAGATGAGTGGCTCCAGAGATTATTGTAATAATTTAACAAGCCTAAGCAGGTGATAGGACACTCCTTTGTAAATTAAGCCTCTAATCTTTCTTTATGCTCATGCCGATTTGAGAGAAACCTGGGAATTTCCTTTTCCCCCATTAAGCTATTACACAACTTAATGCTTGGAAAATTCTTCACAGGAAGAAACAGGGTGTAACAGTTTTTGTGAGGCATCTTTTAAAAATGCACCCTTTTAGCTGAAGTCTGACTATACAATTGCCTCTCCACCTCTTTGCTCTAGTTTCTTTTTGAGAGTCTTAATTTCTCCACATAATTATATACTCTTCAAAGTGAAAATAGTTAAAAAATTAAAACCACTTAAACTGAAAGTTAAAACATTGTTCATAAATATGTTCTTCCATTTCCTGAGAAACAACAGGAAAGATTGCTTTCTCAAAATAAACTAAGTAGCCTGAGTATGAAGTCAGACCAATAGAGATCAAAGATTCACGCATCATCACACAATGGGAAATTTTTAGTCATTTTTCTAACCACAAAAATAAGTCTAATGCTAGTTCTGGGGGTTTGTTTTGTTGCCTGTGGCATCAAGATATGTATGTATAATTCAGAATGTACCTTTGGCATATTTGAAATTGTCTTAGCCTAATGTGACTATCTAGTGTGTCTGAAAGAGCCTATTTTCAAGATATATTTGATGAGTGTGAACATACTACATATACAGCAATGGAAAATAGCCTTCTTGGGCATTAAATTTAGGAAGAATGTAGAAAACCAGCTGACTTTTTTTATCTGTTTAGCATCTAGAATTAAAATTAAACTTGCTAGATCAGTAAATAATTGCATAGCTATGCTAGTAGCAAAAGTTTAGCAGCTCATGTTGAACACTGAACCATATTGAAAAAGGCATCTGCTACAGTAATCTCTCTCTCTCACACACACACACACTCTCAGGTAAGGATAACAGCATTTATTAATATTTCTCTATTTCCAGAAATAAGATATGAGAGGTTATTTTAAAGAAAGAAAGTAAATGCTCTTATGATTGGCAGATTTTTATTTGTGGGATACAAGCAAGATGAGGGAGCAGTATATGCCTGCAGTATTCATCTGTCATTAATTTGTGTCAAATAATGTGATTCTGTATTCCTCAAATGTTGTAAAATAGGTAAACATTTTGTCTTTCACAGAAAGATAGAAAATCAGATCTCCAAGCAGTTTACTGCTATGATCTTAGCTTCCTTTTCAAATCCCTTAGGTATTTTAAACCTAAGTCTTTATATTTAAAATGGGTCTCTTGTAGACGGTATATATTTGGGTCTTGTTTTCTTTATCTACTCTGACAATCTGTGTCTTTTAATTGGTGTGTTTAGGTAATTTACATGTAAAGTGGTTATTGATACAGTTGGATTAATATCCACCACGCTTGTAACTGTTTTCTATTCATTGCATATGCTCTGTTTCTCCCCCCACATTTACTGCCTACTGTGGTTTTAAGTTAACATTTCATATAATTCCATTTTATCTCCTCTTTGAGAATGTCAATTATACTTTCTTTTTAAAAAGGTTTTAGTGATTACCCTAGAGTTTATAATTGATTTTAGTTTCTTAAAACAAAAAAATACCCCAAAACATATGTATGTGTATGCGTAGAAAAAAATTTGAAGGCTTTTCAACAAGACATTAAGAGTAATTATCGGGGTCAGGCACGGTGGCTCATGCCTGTAATCTCAGCATTTTGGGAGGTGAGGCAGGTGGATCACCTGAGGTTGGGAGTTCAAGACCAGCCTGACCAACATGGAGAAACCCCGTCTCTACTAAAAAATAGAAAATTAGCCGGGTGTGGTGGCGCATGCCTGTAATCCCAGTTACTTGGAGGCTGAGGCAGGAGAATTGCTTGAACCTGGGAGATGGAGGTTGCGGTGAGCTGAGATCACACCATTGCATTCCAGCCTGGGCAACAAGAGCGAAACTCCATCTCAAAAAAAAAAAAAAAAAAAAAAGTAATTATCTCTGAGTGGAGATTATAGGTGATTTTGACTTTTTATAATTTTCTGTATTATCTGATTTTTAAAAAAAATAACAAGCAGGTATTTTATAATCAGAAACAAAGCTTTTTCCATTTTGGTGAGAAAGAAAGAGGTAAATCACAGCGAAATAAGCTGAAAATCTATGATTCTAAAATGTATACCCTCTCTCTGCTTCCACCTTGAGATAAGCACATTATCCCATAATTACTTGCACTCCACTAGTGGGAAAAAGGAAAGGGGTTTACTGCTTTTAAGCTTGCATTGGAAAGGTTGTCAGCCCCTGTCCTATACCTTCTGTGCCTACACAATGAAAATTGAATCCTCAGAATGACTTGGAATCAGTCTACCCTGTGGTTTGACATAAAGTTTTCTACATATGTAAAGTTAACCAGGCCCCACTATTTCTGCATTATTGAGGTTCTCCTCTAAGTAGAATGTCTTTTTGCTCTTCACTATCTTTCAAAAAATAATGAGTAGGATTAGAGCACTTGAAAACCACTTTAAGGTATAGCCTTTGCCAGGCAAGGTGGCACACGCCTGTAATCATAGCACTTTTGGAGGCTGAGGTGGGTGGATCACCTGAGGTCAGGAGTTCGAGACCAGCCTGGCCAACATGGTGAAACCCCGTCTCTACTAAAAATACAAAAATTAGCCGGGCGTGGTGGCAAGCACCTGTAGTCCCAGCTAGTCAGGAGGCTGAGGCAGGAGAATCACTTGGACCTGGGAGGCAGAGATTGCCGTGAGCAGAGATGTCACGCTACTGCACTCCAGCCTGAGCGACAAGAGTGAAACTCCATCTCAAAAAAAGTATAGCTTTTCATGACAACTTTGTAATACTTTTTTTGTTTGCTGTTATGAAATATCTCCTTTTGGGTGGGGTGGAGAGGGGATGTCAGGTAGTATCTGTGGTAATAGGTGAAGAGATGATAGCTAATGTGAGGCTGTTGGTCCATCTGGATTTCAGGGAACTCACCTCCCCACCTTGTGAAATATTAGAGAAAATTACCATTACTGTTCTCATGATGTTAATTATATCTTCTGAAGTTTTAGAGGTTTACATATAAACCAAACCCCAATTAAGGTTTAAGAAAGTGGCATGACTTAGTGCAAACAGATGAAATGTTGATTTCTTTAAAAGTTGTCTTAATACTAATGGATCTTACAGGTGTTTTCAAGAAAGTTATAAGTTTTGTAAGTATAATTTTAGTAAATAAAATTTTGTAAATATAATTTTAATTTTGGACTTTTTTTTTTTCCTTCCTTACTTGCTGCATCAAAGTGAACAAATGACAAGTGAAATTTTTTTGAGTCTTCTGAGAGAAGGAAGTTTATAAAAGCAGATGCCTTTTTCTGTACTTCCAGGTCAAAAATTGTAGGCCTCCATTTTAATATAGCTTATTGTTAGAACAAGGAAATTTCATTTAAGACAAGAAATGAAGTCATAGTTACATTCTGTTTAAAACTAATAGAATTAAACATTTTGACATAAATAAAACAATTAGAAAACTTTACAAAATAAATGTAAAAAGAATTCATTCACAATACACTGATTATTACAGCTATGTTAAAGTCTACAATTGAACACAAAATATAAACAATTGTTATTTAAGGGATTATAAGTAAATTTAATAAATTTTCTTTACAAAATTTTTGGTGAGATATCTTATAAGAAGTAGAGGGGTCAGAAATCAAATTTCTGGGATGCTTATTAAGATAAGCTTGAAATGTAATTGAATTTTTAAATTCGCATTACAAGTCATAATAGTAGACTATTCGGTAAATGTAGGGAGTAATGGTAGGTAATAGCAAAGCTAGGTAATTTGACTCTTTTTTTTTTTTTAAGCTCATTTTCAAATGAGAGACTCCATACACGGAGATAGTAGTGTCGAACAATGATAAAAATTCTAGGAGTTGTTACTATCTTAACACATTTATCTAAGCATTTACCTATGTTGCCTTGGTGCCTTTGACTGCTGACATTGCACCCTTTCGTCTGTTTTTAACTTGTCGAAATTGTTGTTATAACATTTATCTGCCTCTGTTCCTCAGGTATAGCTGTGAAAATAGAAATGGTTCGGGGTTAAGGATTGTGAATGGGAGGAAGAAATAATCCTCTCATTATTTTCAATACAGGGAAAGAGGATTATTTGTAACCCTGAGCTTTTACCCCAAAAGGACATAAAGTATAATAGGTGATCTTTGCTTTTATAAATGTGAACCATAATAACTACTCTTGGGAAAGGATTGATAGGCCCTATTTTCTACTTGCCTTTTCATCCATTTATTTTGTGATAATTCCTCTATGTTTCCTAATCATTTGCTCTTTGAAAAAAGTGAGAGCTTGTGATCAGTCCTGCACGGAAGCCAGTACACAATCTAGGTATTAGAGCAGTGCATTGACAGAGAGGCTACCTTCCATTTTGTGCTTCCAAGAGGTGGTTGTAAATAGGAAAGTGAAAATTGTTAAATGACAAAAATTACTTTGAAGTAAATTTCTCTGCCTGTTTTAGAACTTAACTCTAGATGAAGAATCAGTATATTTTGGGGGGCAGTAATAGTAAGACCAAAAAGCAACGTTTTTACAGCAGTGTCAGAATATCTATTTGCCAAGTATTATTTCCACTTTATGGATGGGGCCTAAAAGCCAGATAGTTTGTTTGACTTGAAGGTCACTGGTTAATGAGCCTTTTATTACTACGTAGGTTTTCACCGGTGCTGAGCAAGAAAGCTTACAAATCTCCTACCTAAGGCATGCTTATATCCGAACCATTCCAAGATAAAGAAAATGTACAATTTAAGCTTTTCTGGAAGAAAGGAAAACCTCAACACTTTCTGATCTCTCTCAGATCAATAGCATTTTAAACTAAATCTTTTATGCGAAAAGTTAATTAAGGCAACTCCAATTCCTTTCTTAACAGAAATGGTTTTACATCATCCTCCATGAAGTAACTAACCAAAGACAGGCCCACCTTCATCTTTCTCCTTAGTAAGTTTATTGATCCCAGGGCTCTTTACTCTTACACGTCCAATTTTAAAATGTACACGTGGCCGGGCACAGTGGCTCACGCCTGTAATCCTAGCACTTTGTGAGGCCAGGGCGGGCAGATCATGAGGTCAAGAGATCGAGACCATCCTGGCCAACATGGTGAAACCCTGTCTCTACTAAAAATAAAAAAATTAGCTGAGCGTGGTGGTGCGCGGCTGTAACCAAAGCTACTTGGGAGTCTGAGGCAGGAGAATCACTTGAACCTGGGAGGTGGAGGTTGCAGTGAGCCGAGATCACGCCACTGCACTCCAGCCTGGCAACAGAGCAAGACTCTATCTCAAAAAAAAAAAAAAAAAAAAAAAAAAAAAATATATATATATATATATATATATACACACACAGACGCATTTTGTACGTATTTTTAAGATTTTCCTTGAAATTCTTTTTAACGTTCTCCATTCCCCCTTTTAAAGTTACTTAGAAGGGCTGTTATAGGAAACCTCATTTGCTGCAGATCTGATTATCTTCTGGGATAAAGATAGGTAGAAGTTGCAGGGAGACATACTTTAGGTTAATGCAAGGAACAAATCAACTTCAAAGCCATGCAGAGCTGGGCTGAATTGCTGGGTGCTGTCCAGGGCCTTAGCATCAAGGGCACTTTTGAGAGTCTGTCCATCCTTGGCCAAGGGAGTAGAGAGATTTGAAACTTCATGGGAGGGTGGGGCAGAGATGCTCTCTAAGGTTACACAGTGTGTACATACCATTCAGTCACAAGCTTTGTGCTAGAAAAGCCCATGCTTAAATACCACCTCTGTCCCCTGCTAACTGTGTGACCCTAGGAAAGTAAGCTAAATTCA
The DNA here is from genome assembly GCF_000001405.40 of Homo sapiens. NCBI lineage: Eukaryota > Metazoa > Chordata > Mammalia > Primates > Hominidae > Homo > Homo sapiens. The sequence goes on from NC_000001.11 coordinate 89,861,275, forward strand.
CTAAGCCTCAGTTTCCCCCTCTTTAAAATGAGGTCAAAATGATAAGAGGATTATCATGTGACTTTAACATACATAAGGCACTTGGTTTAGTTATTCCTTCCCACTGACTTTGTGATTCTATAGTTTTTCATTCTGTGCCTTTTTTCCTTTCTTTCTTCTTTTCTTACTCTCCAGTTCATTCATTGTAGAGCCATTAATGGTTTTTTCACCTTGTATTGTCCTCTTCTTTATTAATACCTGTGCCTTAGGGCCTACTAGTGGTGCCAGGGATTCCCTGAGCTCCTTTGGTAGCATCACTGTCCATGTCACATATCTGGACAAGTCAGCGAAGAGGTATTGGTCCTCTGTATCCTTTGGACTTGGCATATGGGCATCCCTGAAGACTTTTACAAAGCCAAGATTCATTGCTACTTTAGCTTTCCTGTGTTGTGTACTATAACAAGTTCTGCTCCATGAAAGCATCAGATAGCAGTTGGATATAGATGGAGAAAAAGGTTTTGTACAGGGACTTATGGATGTAGAAATCTATGCTGGTAACATTTATTTTTTCTTCATCTAAGTTTCTGTTTTTGGAGCCAGGCTTCTAATTACAAATAATTGTATTTGACAGAGAAGAAGAATATCAGATCCTGAAGGGCCAGAATGATTCATCCTCTTTAAGGGGAACATGTAACATAACTTTGGGGAATAGCTATAGATACTAAAGGGGCAACATAAAACAGTTATTGATTACAAAGTGTATGAAGACCCAGTTGCTTGGCAGAGTGATATCATTTAGAAAAGTGGTAGAATCTCATTCGTACACACTTCATGACTAAAAGAGCTGGTTATACCGTTAGATTGTTAAAGCTAGAAGGAGGCTTTCAGGTCACTCTATGCAGCGATTTTCTTCTATTAATAATAAAATGGAGATCAGAAGAGTGAAGTGACTTTTTCCTTGAAACATAACTCTTAATACTAAAAAAGGCAAGTCAGGGAGATGTGGGCCCTAATTTTGTTGTTATTTTCTTACATCTAGTGTACCACCCTGACTCCAGCCTCTGGACCTGGGAGTCATTTCATTGTAGCTCAAAGAAGGCTATATATACCCTGTTAGCCCATACTGCTTACTAAGTTGTTAATGAAAAAGTTATTGTTCTTCATAAGAGATCCGTCTTTTGTCCATGGTAAATGATGTTATGAAATTTTTGGTTTATTTGGTTGTTCTAGGTTAGGAATAATTGAAGTAGGCCAGTCTTTGGACAGTTTAGTTCTCCTGTGTTTAGCACTTTTTGTATTTCTTCTCTGTGCTGGATGTATTTATGTTTTTCAGTCTTTCTGTGAGTTAACTCTAGGAGATGGGTATAACTGTATCCATTTTTGTCAGATGATAAAAAGAGGCTTGAAATGCTTAAACAACTTGTTCCAGGTTATACAGCTTATAAACTGGAACTGGATCCCAGGTGAGTTTTCCAGAGCACATGTTCATAATTGCTGTCTTTTTTTTACATTTCCTGCTTCCCTTACTACCTGAGTATTGGGGGAACAGGCTGTGGAACTGAAGATTTTACTGTAACAAATGATCCAAGGAAGATCATCTGGCCTGACCCCTTGGCTTCCAGCAGGAAGGGTGTTTTCTCCCGTGATTTCATGGATGAGATATTCAAGGCCTTGTTTTTATTTATTTTTTGGTTTGCTGTTTCAAAATAAAAAGGCTTTTAGTTCTTTGTTATTATAAAAGTAATAAATTCTCATATAAAGAAAATATAGGAAATAAGGAGAATTAAAAATGACCTTTGTAGTTCCCTAGTCAGTTGATGAAGAGTGGATTCAGATAGCTGTATCCCCTCACTAGCCATTTGACTTTGGGCAAGTTTTATAGCCTTTTCATGCCTCAGTTCCCTGTATGTAAAACAAGAATAATAATAGTGCCTGCCTTATATAGTTGTTATGAGGATTACATGGGCTCTTATTTGTGAAGCATTTAGAACAGTGACTGGCACACAGCAAGTGCAGCACAAGCATTGGTTGGATAAAATAAAGGGCTGCCCATGTAGTCTTCTGGTCTGTGGCCCCTGGAGGAAGAGGCAGAGGCAGACCCAAAATGTAGATCACGCAGTACACAAGTGGGTAATGGGCTGAGCTGTGTGTTGAAGCAGAGACAGGAAGAGGCGGCCTGGGAACCTCAGTTTCTTTTTGCCTCCTTAGTGATCCTAATAACCTGGAATATTAATAAACTTATGTCCCTCACTTTCAAGATGCTGAAAATGATTATGCTTCTTTTTTTTTTCCTCCTAGCTTTCAGAGAGCTCATGGAAACCAAGCCTGTTTATTTGAGATTTTTCTGTTGCAGGGTAGGCCAGACATGAATTTCCTTTCATGTGATATTTTCTGTGGTCTGTGTTATTTAGTTCTTCCTTTGTTTTCTTGTGCTTTGGTGTGAAGAAAGAAGATGCCCTGTTTATAAAGCCTTGGTCTTTCATGTATCATGCATTCTTAAACTAATTCCAGTTGCTCTGACCCTTTGAGATTTTAAAATTGCTTTGTTCCGGTTTTTAAGTACTTTTGAAATATTAAAAATGTTCATGAGGGAGTGGGTCATGGGAAAAATTTCCCAGGGTTGTTTGTTCTTAGAAAATTGTGAATTTGCATGGAGAGGTTTTATGCTGGGTTAAATTCTGCCAGGTGCATTGGTCACTTGAACTTGAGTCTGGTTCTTTTGATATTTAAATCCGTGTTGTTATGGCATAAAGTGCAGAGCTGGAACCTCTTAAAACTAAATGCCTGCTATGTTGAGCTCTTGCCCCATTGTCCCATCAAAGAAAGGTCTTAACCAGTACTTGGGTTTGCATTGAGGCACCATGTCAATAGTGAGGATCAAAAGATTGGTCTGTTCTGTTTTTTGTCTTTGAACCAAGACTTTCCAAAAAGAACATAGACTTGTTTTGAATATTGCCGCCTCTGGGTGTGAGTGATTATGCAAGTCAGTAGCATTTTTGTTTTTTTGTTTTGAAAAAACTGTTCAACATAGATGCAGAGGTAAGAAATTGCAAGAAAAACAAAAACACTTTTTCAAACTTGTACAAAGCCATCTTTGAATGCAGGTGGTCCTCAGTTTACAAGGAGTTGTAATTCTTCCTTCATCTGATGAAAGACACCACTATCCACCAGTTACCATTTGAACACTTTCCATGATGTATCCTTCTCATTTAACTCCCAGATGCAATGAAGTGCCAAGCCCTCTCAATTCTATCTTAAATTTTATCTGGTATCTCTTAACTGTGCTGTGGGCTGCTGCAGTCCACAGCTCCAGTTGCGGCCTCCATCATGTTTTGCCTGGACTGCTGCAGCTGCCTCTGAACTCCAGTGCTCTCTATACATTGGAACCTTATGTCAGTGACCTCCTTAACACCCTCCAGTGAATTCTCATTATCCTTGGAACTCCTTAATAAGGAGTTAAAAGCCAGAGTCCTTAAGACATCAAGACCTTGCCGCAGGAAACCTCAGCCTCCATCTCTAGTCTAGAGTACTAGCTTTACCTACCCCCGACCCCTCACCATCTTCCAGACACAAAAAACTTCTTCCTGTACTTCTTATTGGCTAAGTTTTCATGACAATAAGCTTTGACTACAGGGTATGTCTGATGTCTAGCACACTTTTTCCCCTTCTGCTCCTTCACTTTTGTTTGGGTAACTCCTGTGTCTTCTTTTGGTTTTAATGTCCTTCCAGAAGCTGTCTAACCCCTAAACTGGATTAGGTCCCCTTGCTGTTTCCATAGAACATTTTACATCTCCAACATTTCACTTATTACATTGATTTGCCTTTTCTAATAGATTTCAAGCCCCATAAGGGCATAAATATGTCTATCTTGTTTCCCACTGTATCCCAATACCCAGCACACAGTAGGATCTCCCGTGTTTTTGAATGAATGTGGTCCAGATCATTCCCTTATTATTACTTGTAGTAGTGCTTAGCACACAACCTGTGAATGAATTTCATTCCTTTAAAGGGAGTTTTCAAAAACCATTCTTGTTGATTACTTTGCTTAATTGTACTAAATATGTATAAACATGAAATTATATATATATATATATATATATATATATACTTTCTGTGCTTATAGTTTTTATAAAACTATTAAACATTTTAAAATCGCAAATACAAATAATATATTAAAACCTTTGAAATTTAAATTAATAAGATGAATGCTTTTTTGCCAACACTAAATCACTTATGTTGATTTTTTAAAATATGAAGTTGTTCCATTGGGTCCAAATATGTACTTAAGGCATATGAGTCTTTTGACTGATAGTAGTAATGTAGAGAATACTTATTTGCATAAATAAGTTATTCAGAAGCACATTATGAACTCGAAAGCCTTGCTTGCTAGCTCAGGACTATCAGAACTTATCAGATCGTAAATCTGCCAGTGAATAGTTCTTTAGTTACAATTTTAATGATTTTAATGACTTACAACTTTTTTGTTAGAGCTGTAAATGTCCTGTTCATTCAAAGATGATGTTACCATTTCAGAATTACTGACATCAACTCCAAATATATATCTAATTCAACTATTGGCAGAATCAGGAACAGGAATATGTTTGTAAATTTTAGTTCTTAGAGATATGGAAAATTTTTAAGGTTTTCAGCATGCAGCCAAGTGTCAGACTGTTGAAGGAAGTCAATAGATTATAGAAATGACTCATTCAGATTATTTTGAAAACAACTTGAACAGAACTTTTTGTTATCATTGCCTCCTCTTTATAATTTTTGAATTGCTGAAACAAAACCTTTGCTCTACAATACCTGCATGTGTAGCACATACCTTCATGTCATTTGACCTTCCCTTGGTGTGTTTCTGCAGATTATGTATCAAGTCTGCCTCTGTCCTTTCCTCATCAGCCTGAAGCAGTTACTATAGTACATTCCTTCACTGTTTGTCATTTTATGGTGCCATGAAATTAAAGTCTTGCTCAATGACAGTCTTAAATTACATTTTATCATTGCCGTGTGTGCTTATCAGCACCCCAGGAGTACTGATCACTGATGAGGAATGCTTGGTGATGTGGCAATTATAAATACACACTTGGGCATGGTATTGCTAAGGGGGTCATTCGGATGGTCCAGTGTGCATTTATATCAGTTTCCTTTAGATTAACATTAAGATGAAAACACAAATTGAAAGATTATTCTGGAGAAGTCATAGACTCTTGAATGTGTCGGTAGTTTTTTAGAGATCCTTAGACCCCTGTTTGAGAACACTTGCTTACAGCATTCATAGACTGTGTACAAAAATACAGCCAGATTATTGTGTTTCTGGAAGTGTTCTGGCGTTTCTAGGCCATTCCTTTAGTTCTCTACTTTTCTTTAGCCTTTGAGCCTATCCCTACATCTTAGAAAACCCCTTCTTGGTGAGAGGAATGTCAAGCTTTGTTTTCTGGTCTCACGAAGGCCCGATAGGCTCTCTGTTGGGGTCTCTCTCTGGCTATTTCTGGTTACCTAGGTAACCCTGCAGCCCATCCCCTCAGGAGCATGGAGAATACACACCTGTTGAGGAGGGAATAGAGAGAGCAGGGCAGCAAGGAGAGTTAAGGGCGGCATGAGGATTTCAAGTGTATCAATCAGATAGATACTTACACTTAACATTAAAAGGAAAAATCGGTGTGATGTCGACCCCAAAGTCGAAGGTATTTTATTAAGCCAAACATCATCAGGGTAGCAAGTCACTTAGTATTTGTGTATTTTTTTAACTGTTTTATTGAGATATAATTCATATACCATACAATTGGCCCACTTAGAGTGTATAATCCAACAGTGTTTGTAGTACATTTAGAATCATGTGACCATTACCACATCAATTTTAGAGCATTTTATCACCCGAAAAGAAACTCTGTCCCCAGTTAACATCATTCTCCATCCTTTTCAGTCTCACCAGCCCCTGACCAACATTAATCTGTAGATTTGCCTATTAAGGACATTTAGAATAAATGAAATAATACAATATATACTTTTTCATAAATTATGTAGTCACTTTTTGACTGGCTTCTCTCATATTTTTAAGGTTCAGCTACACTGCAGCATGTGTCAGTATTTCATTTCTTTTTATTGCCAGATCATATCCCATTGTATAAATATGCCAGATTTTAAAGTGTACCATTCTGTAATGTTAAGTATATTCACATTGTTTTGAAACAGATCTCTGGGACTTTTTCATCTTACAAAACTGAAACTATATACTCCACATTTTATTTACCCATTCTCATAGATTGGGTTGTTTTCCACATTTGGGCAGTTGTGTATAATACTGCTGTGAACATTTGTATGCACGTTTTTAGGTGGAGATATATTTTCATTTTTCTTGCGTGTATTCTGCCTAGGAGTGGAATTGAAGGGCTAGTCATCTGGTTATTCTTTAACATTGTGAGGAACTGCCAAGCTGTTTTCCAAAGTGGCTGCACCATTTTGCATTCCCACCAGCAATGTCGTTTTTGATTTGCATTTTTCTAATAACTAAGGATGTAGAACATCTTTTCATGTGAAGACATTTAATTAAAATGTTTTCCTTAAAATAATGTTTTACTAGATTCTCAGGGTTATAACTTAGAAAGGAAACATCCTTTTAGAATTCTTCAAGGATACTAATTGTAACCCAAATTATGAGGATTGAAAGACAAAGAGTAAATGGCTGCCCTCATTGTAAGGACTGACTGTTGGCAGGTTAGGTTTTAAGTAGAAATGGTTTAGCAGTCTCATTTTCAGGAACATACTAAATGGAGTCCTGAACTGGGTTATCTGTGATAAGCAAAGGAGGAAAGAGAAAAAGAGGCAGATGGGCCAATGTAAGCCATTCCCTTTCAAGATGCTCAATTACTAGCACAATCAAGCCAAAGAATGGCCTTCAAATGATGAGAAAATACATAAGCCATCTATACATTTTCTAGTACCTTGTTTGGTGTCTGGCACAAAATATTTATTCTGGGTTTTGAAGAAGATAGAACCTTGAATGCAGCTGACACACCAAGATTTTGAATCATAAAATGTAAGGATTAGAAGCTAATGATTCCCACAGGAAACATTATAATAAGTAAAAACAGGCTGCGCAAACCGTCCCTGGGTTAAATTCTTAAAGCTACTGGGCTCCTTCAGATTATGCAAATTTCTTCAAAACTACATCTGATCTCTCCCATGATTCCCTCAACACATGCATGAAAGGTATATGTGAATTCCATGACACGAATGAGGTTTATTTATGTAAATATACCTCAGCATATTCCCCCACCCCCCACCAAATAAGGCACATCAATTTTTTACAATAATAAAGAGCTAATTGTTGAGTTCTAACTATATGCCAGGCACGTGCTAAGCAGTGTACATTGTGTCATTTAATTGACATAGCAACTCGATGAAGTTGATCCTACTCTTATTCCTGTATTACAGAAAAGGAAATTTAGGTTCAGCAAGACCAAGTAATTTGCCCAGTATCATACCAGCTCTAAAGAGGCTACCGGAGGATTCTAGGCTTCTGGTCAGTGCTCTCAACCACTGAACACAAAAATGTCTTTCTTATTCCTTTTAGTCTGCTGCAGTAATTGGGAGGATATAGAATAACTTTTTAAGTATTGACACTGTATTTTTTGTTGTTGTTTTTTTGTTTTGTTTTGTTTTGTTTTTCAGACAGAATCTCACTCTTTCGCCCAGGCTGGAGTGCAGTGGTATGATCTTTGCTCATTGCAACCTCTGCCTTCTAGGTTCAAGTGATTCTGCTGCATCAGCCTCCCAAGTAGCTGGGAGTACACACGCATGCCACCATGCCCGGCTAATTTTTGTACTTTTAGCAGAGATGGGGTTTCGCTATGTTGGCCAGGCTGGTCTCGAGCTCCTGACCTCAGGTGATCCGCCTACCTCGACCTCCCAAAGTGCTGAGATTACAGGTGTGAGCCACTGCACCCAGCCAACACTGCGTTATTTTGACTGAGATTTTGTGATTGCTACCTTGGCCTGTGCTGACTAGAATAACCAGTTTAGAGAAGAACGTAAATGACCTGATGGAGCTGAAAAACACAGCATGAGAACTTCGTGAAGCATACGCAAGTATCAATAGCTGAATCGATCAGGATCAACTTAATGAAATAAAGCGAGAAGACAAGATTAGAGAAGAAAGAATAAAAAGGAGCAAACAAAGCCTCCAAGAAATATGGGACTATGTGAAAAGACCAAATCTATGTTTGATTGGTGTACATGAAAGTGATGGGGAGAATGGAACCAAGTTGGAAGATACACTTCAGGATATTATCCAGGAGAACTTCCCCAACCTAGCAAGACATGCCGACATTCAAATTCAGGAAATACAGAGAACACCACAAAGATACTCCTCAAGAAGAGCAACCACAAGACACATAATCATCAGATTCACCAAGGCAGAAATGAAGGAAAAAATGTTAAGGGCAACCAGAGAGAAAGGTCGGGTTACCCACAAAGGGAAGCCCATCAGACTCAGCAGATCTCTCGGCAGAAACCCTACAAGCCAGAAGAGAGTGGGGACCAATATTCAACATTCTTAAATAAAAGAATTTTCACACGGCGTGGTGGCTCAATCCTGTAATCCCAGCACTTTGGGAGGCTGAGGCAGGCGGATCACAAGGTCAGGAGTTTGAGACCAGCCTGACCAGTGTGGTGAAACCCTGTCTCTACTAAAAATACAAAAATTAGCTGGCCATGATGGTGCACACCTGCAGTCCCAGCTACTCAGGAGGCTGAGGCAGGAGAATTGCTTGAACCCAGGAGGCAGAGGTTACAGTGAGCAAAGATTGCACCACTGCACTCCAGCCTGGGTGACAGAGCAAGACTCCGTCTCAAAAAAAAGAAAAAGAATTTTCAACCCTGAATTTCATATCCAGCCAAAGTAAGCTGCCTTTTAGTTTTTCTAAAAAACTGATAGAGATGCCAGGTGTGGTGGCTCACACCTGTAATCCCAGCACTTTGGGAGGCTGAGGCGGGTGGATCACGAGGTCAGGAGATAGAGACCATCCTGGCTAATGTGGTGAAACCCTGTCTCTACTAAAAATACAAAAAATTAGCTAGACGTGGTGGCACGTGCCTGTAGTCCCAGCTACACGGGAGGCTGAGGCAGGAGAATCGCTTGAACCCGGGAGGCAGAGGTTGCAGTGAGCCAAGATCGTGTCACTGCACTCTAGCCTGGGCGACAAAGCGAGACCCTGTATCAAAAAAAAAAAGAAGAAGATAGAAACTAAAGGTGTCTCCTGGCCTCAGTTTTCTAAGTCAAGAAGAGAGTCTAGTTAAATTTTGTGTACTTTTACTACAGATTTCCTATATTTTTGCAAAATTTTCTCTTAAGTTGGTGCATTTAGAAGGGAAACTCAATAAATATTTTGTCACTGAAGAGATGAGAGACATTTGACACCCCCTCCCCACCTTCCCCTCAGAATTCAACCTGATAATGCAGAGGCTTTCACAGCCATCTAGTCCCAACATTGTCTATAAGATGCTTCAAGATAGAACTTTAAGGAAAACACATGTAGGAGGCAGTGACCAGGGGTACTTGGAAATAGGTACCCTTTCCAATTTAGCTTTGTGAACATTTGTTCAATTTGGTAGTTTTTAAGCTAACTAATAGCATTGTGGGCATTTTATTCTTGGATTTAAATTTGGGTAATTTCTGTAGGACGCTGAAATACCTTCTACCTAGACATAGAATTCAACTTTAAATAATCCTACTTTAAGTTGGTTCCTGGGATGAGGTACTTAGTAATACAGTATTGAAGTGGTAGATGGTGAAGTTACTTCCTGTGGTGGTGTTTCATTCATGTCTCAGGTTGCAAAGTTATGTAAGTTGTTTACAGCAAAATACTAGTGAGGAAGAGTTCATTTGCCACTGCTAGAAGGTACAGACTCCCCGCATTTAGTATGATGACTATCTTTGGTCTTTTCTTGCAGCTGTCTTGTTTATAGAGTCAAATTATCTTATGTCTATCTAGGGTTAAATGTCACAGTCTCATGGGCAATGTAACAAAGTTTGTATTTTGTGCTTTGTTAAAGAAAGCTAGTAGGTGATTACTTGCGGTTGAATCGGTATTTGGAGACTCATTAATGATTAATTGAAAACACACACAAGCACTTTTTTGGTAACCGCCTGCGCATAGCGTTCTTTTGGGGTTCAGATATTTAGCAGATACCCCCTTCCCTCTCCTAAAAATATACATTCATTTTATATTGTGTTAGACTTAAAGTATATTTGAACAGAATATGAAGTTTATGATTCTTAAACTATTTGCATTTACATATGGTATAATTACTCTTAGGTCTCTGACGGTAATAGATGTCCATTTTTTTTCATTAATACTCTTGTTTCTTTCTACTGTTTACAGGAATACTAACAAAATACCTTAACTGTCATCTCAAAAGTTAATGATAAATGTTAATAAACTTCATTATAAAACTGTTCGGTGATTTACAATTTGAAAATATTGGCAACCCATAGTACCTGGTACCTACGGTTTGGAACATATGGTGAATGGATTTATTTCAATACCTTCAGTGGCTCTTTTCTGAAAAAGTCCATTGAAAATCTTATGAGGCCTTTTTTGTACTTTTGCCTGTTTGTTTGTTTGTTTGTTTTGTTTTGCTTGCTTACTCCTAAATACTACCTCGTATTTGTCCACTTTTACTTTTGGGCACTTACAGCTTTTACCTTCATTTGGCATTGGGGCCATTATGTTTCTATTGACCTAGTATTGTTCAGTTCCTTGGATGATCTCATCCTCATTACCTGGCAATCTCTGGCAAAGTTTCACACTTAAATTTTATAAATTGGGATATCACTTTCCTGAGAGTGTATTCCGTCTGCAACGTAAATGCAAGTTCTTTTGGGACAAGTGCCATAGTTTAAACGTAAATTATTCATTGACAGTAGCAAGCGTTGTGCAAACTATGCAGTGCTTTCTCAGTAAGTGCTCATTGAGTTGCCCTGTGTGCATGATGACCAGCTGTGTTATCTGGATGTGGAACATAGCGTTCTGCTATCTGTTTTCAGAAATGTCGCATATCCCTTCCAGGGCAGACCACTCATTGCCAAGGCATAAGGTCGAAAACTGCCCAGTGGGGTGGAAAGCAAAGGCAGTTGGTTAGCTGTTGGTGCTTTCTTTACTCTCTACGAGGATCTTTCAATGGCAGTGACCAGGACTTCATTCTGTTATTTGTTATAGAACAGGCAAGACATGAACCAACCCAGTCATATTCTGTACCAAACACATCTGTGGTCCATTCTGCTTTCCCCAGCTTTGGTTTCTTCATTTCACACGTCCAAGAGAATTTTCTTAAGGATAACCATCTTATTAGAAATATGTCTAATTGATAATGAAATGTCTGTATTTAGCTATTTAACTTTGTTCTGGGTTCTCTCTGCTTACTTAATGTGACTGCATTTCCCTGAGATGAATGCTGTGGGTTTTTGCAGTCTCTCCCCAACTTTGCCCCTCCCCTCTTAGATGAAGGTGCATCACTAGAGAACCTGCACCACTGTGTCTCCTACACTGTGTCAGGTAGACAGTACATGATTAGTAATGTGTGTGCAAAGCTTTCATGAATGCTTTTAAGAAGTTGAACTCTTAATATTTTGCTTAATTTCCACATGTTTAGGATAGGATTAATGTAGAGTTGAAATTAAGATAGCATCTTGGGAATTTTAGATAGGAATCGTTTGTGACCCAAAGTGAATAAAAATTGATATTACAAGCAGGCTTTTAATCCAGAAAATTTACTTATTCTGTCCAGACTGTGAACAGTTGTTTTGTTCTCACCAAAGGCAATTTTGGTGAAGTGTTCTTAGAAACAGTGTGTACAGGCTTCTGTAATTGTACAGGGGAGAGATCATAGAGATCCAGGGAACATCAAGATACTAATTCAACCTGTCCTCTTTGAAAAATTTGACCCCCTCCCCTGTAACTCAACAACCCCTCAAAGCTGTCGATGCAAAGTTGCAAAATAACAAAGGCTTCTGTATTAATTTCTGTGTTACAGCCTTCTGGGAAGAGAATGCTGGGAGAAAAAATATTTCTAAATGTATAATTGCATATATACACTTTTTAGGTTCTCCTTGTATTTTTAATGACCTAATACTAGAACATTTTGATAAGTTTAGTTCTTAAACAGAACTACCAAACACAAAAGCCAGCTGGAGGCAGCAAATGACTAGGTGGATGTTGAAGCTCATGACTTCCTTTCAGTGGCCTCTTCTTTGTATACAGCTCCATGTTTATGTCCAGATGGACTGACTATATTGATAGGTTCCAGATAAACAATGGACACATTAGAAGAGGGGTGTTATCATCAAAAACTAACAACTGAAGAGTTAAAATATGAAACATATCTTTGTCATGTAGGATTGAAAACTATCATATTTTATTGAATCAAATTTATGGCATGTTTCTCGTAAACCTAAATTTTATAATCCTGTCTGTTAAGTTGGTTGGCAAAGCCCAAATGTTTTCCCTTACATTCCTGAAACAAATTTATAAAGTCAAAGAATCAGCCATATCATAGCAAATTTAGAGTGCCGTTTGATAATGAACGACCTAGTAGGTCATTAATCTTTTCTATGGGCAGTGTTTTTTTTCCTCATCAGCTGCCTAAAGTATTTGGGAAATTGTATCTTGTGGGAGTTGCCATTCATCAGGAAATGCTTGTTCATAGATCTAAGCCAGACCACATGTAGCAGTAAATGTTATTTATCACTATGGAAACCAAAAATCACAAATGGGATAGTCTAAGTGTTAAGCATTCTGCTTCCTATGGCAGTAAGTCATACCCAAATTTGGTTCACTTCACTCAAATATTTGTGAGGCACTTAACGATTAAAGGGTTTGTAGGTACTTTGTTTAATGAATAAATTTCTCCTACACAAAGCTGAAAACATCATAAAGGGAAAAACTAGGAGGAAGAGTTGCCAGTTTATGTGGCTTATCAAGCTCATAATTGTAGACCCCTAAATTCGGAGGCAGAGGACTAGAGTTTTAGCTGTGGTGCTGCCAGAAGCTAGCTGTGTAGCTTTGAACTAGTTCTCTAACTTCTTTGGAACTCAGTTTTCTCATCTATAATGAGATGGAGTTGGATTCTATGACCTCGAAGTGTGAATCTGTTTTCCTTTATTATTCCTTGAGAAGTAAGAAACTATTTGTGTGTGTGTGTGTGTGTGTGTGTGTGTGTGTGTGTGGTAAGTGGGGCATAATATTTGGATTCATTATGTCAGGAGTAGTGAAGTTTACTATTACCCTTCAGTGACTTTATCACCTAAAAAAAGAACAAAAACCCATGCTTAGTAAGGATAGGGTCCACATGTTGCCATTTATCTATGGATTCTGCCTTCCTCTCCACTCAGTATGTATTGACAAAGGATGTCATTATTATCTAGCAATGATGAAGTATTGCAATAATCTGAATTGTAGATGTTGAATTGACTCGTAGCCAAAAGGTGGCATTTAAGGAGTATAATTGCTGTTCATAGATAAAAGTAAGAATAATGACTTAAGCAGTAATCCAAAAATGTTAAGAAGTTGGTGGAAGAAGAGGCTGGCTGAATTGATGAGTGAGAATGTTTATTCATAAATTCATTTAATTCTTAGTTCTACTGAGACTTTACCATGATTGTCATTGCAGTAGTTCCTATACAGTGGGAATATGTTCCTATAATGGGAATTTGAATCATTCAGTGTTGCTGATCTGGTTGTATCTGGACGAGGCAACTTCTCTTACCTGTTGTCTCATTATTTAGTGGGGGGAATATCTATCCCATCCTTACTTCTCAAGAATAATATGAGGATAAAAAAAACCTGTATAAAGCTACAAACCAATATTATTTTGTACAGGTTAAGTAGCCCGGTAGAATCTTTTGGAATTGATTGAAAATACAAATGCCTTTTTGACAGGCATTGCTGTTGGATTTTTTTTAACATGGGAGAAGTTTACTAGATTTCAAATTTTAAAATATGCATGGGATTGAAAGTTAGAAGCTCTGAAACATTTAACTATCTGGTCTTTACAAAATATCATAATAGGTGTCCATTAAATGTTCTTCATTCACTCATTCATTTATTTTATAGTTTTTGATCATTTGCTGAATGCCAAGCAGTGTTTTAGAAGCTAGATTATACAGTTGTGAATATAACAAAATCCTTATCCTTATGAAGACCATATAGTAGATGAGTCTGATAAGCATGTGTTTCATGGATATCTATTAGATATCCTTTAATAAGTGCTAATAACAAAATTAAGCAAGATAAAGAGATAGGGCAATGAGAGAAGGGGGTGTTACATGGTCAGAGAAAGCCTTTCATATACAACAGTGTAACTTCCACCTCTTTTAAGGTCTTCTTTATTTCTATATGTTGTCATCTGACACTGTACCCAACACATAGAAGGTGCTTATTAAATGTTTAAATGAAATTTTTATTTATTTAACAAACACTTATAGAGGACTTACTCTATGCCAAGCAGTGTTCTAAGTGCCTTGCAAATATTATTTTATTTGATTTTCACAAGAACGCTTTGTATACTGTTTCATTTTATGAGGAAACTGAGGCACCAGGATGTTGAGGAACTTCCGCAAGGTCACAGCTAATAATGAATGAATCAGTTTGTAAAGGAATTTAAAAAATAAAGATTCTTAAAGGTTCTTAGTGCCACCTCTTGCTTTCAGGAACACCAGATAGGGTGGGACTCCATATTTTGGGATCATGTTGGGTAGGGAGCATGTCAGCCCCTGAGGTCCTTTTGAAAAGCTCCTAATACCTCTACCTCCCAGGCCAGGCAGATACCACTCTTCTCCAGGCTTCCATCCACTCAGAGCTCTTTCCTGCTGGACCCGTTGGAAGCTTCGTCTGCTCTGCTGACACCTGGACTTTCCTGGGGCTGAGGTTAAGTGATAGCTTTTTCTCTGTGGTTGAGGAATTACAGCTACTAGAAAAGAATGTATCCTCTTCATCCATTCTCCTACCTACTATTTAAATGGCAAGTAGTGTTTTTATACTGTGGTCCACGGACCCCCAGGATTAAAACCACCGTGGGGCTCATTTACCATACAGATTCCTGGGCTCCACCTCAGACCCACTAAATCAGGCTTTGCAGATGGGGCCCAAAAATCTCTATTTTAAGCTTCTTAAAAACTACTGGGTTAGAGGATGTGCACTTCCCGTGTGAGGGGAAAGAGATGAAGAAAAGAGTTATATAAGACAGGTTTGTCTCCACAGAGAGTGCAGAGAGGTTCTGTAATTCTGATGGAATTCTTTCCCTGCCTGGTTAGAGCAGAGAGGTGGCAGGGTAGTGGGAGATCAGATATTAAGGGAAAATCCATGTGAAAACTCCAGAGTCATTTAGAATAAGGGTTAGTTAACCGTGGTCTACAGGACAGCTGCCTGTTTCTGCAATAAAGTTTCTTTGGAACATAGCCACATTCATTGGTTTATGCATTGTCTGTGGATGCTTTGCACTACACTGATAGAGTCGAGTAGTTGTTACAAAGACTATACTGCCTCCAAAGCCTAAAATATTTAGCATTCGGTCCTTTATAGACAAAGTTTGTTGGATAGCTTACCAAATAACTACATGAAGATTGAAAAGTTTCTATCTGCTCTCCAATTTGGTAGCCACTGGCCCTTGAAGTTTGGATAGTGAGCACATGAAGTGTGGAAAATGTGACCAGGTAACTGAAAGTTTCATATTATTTGGTTTTAATCAATTTTAAAAATTAATTTAAACCTCAATAGCCACATTTGGCTGATGGCTACCATGTTGGATAATGCAGAACTGCAGAACTAAAGTGAAGCTTTCAGATTGGGATTGGCTGTAAAATGTCAAATATGACAAGGGTCTGCTTTAGGCCTCTGGAAAGAGGGAGTCTAAGGAAAGGAACATCTAGATAGGATATATTTTAGAAGAAACTTCAAACAGTTCTTTCTCTCTCTCTCTCTTTTTTTTTTTTTAAATTTGTGTTTATTAAGAGTTACTTGTAGGGATCCAGTTCTGCCACTTACAGCTTTTTGACCTTGGTCAAGTTACTTAGCTTCTCTCTGCCTCAATTTCCTCATTGGCAAAACAAGGATAATAACAGTACCTTTTAAAATTTTTATGAGCTTTAAGTGTGTATGTGCTTTAAAAATACCTTGCACATAGTAAAAGCTTTGTGAGTGTTTGCTGTTCTTAATTATTGTTATTATTATTTCATGATTTTTTGTGGCCTAATCTAAGAAAATAATCCTTACATATTTGCCCCACTCCCCCTTTTCTGTTTTAAGGAAAGTGGATTCTGAATTTCAGAGTAATTTGTATATTAACCTGGCTAATGCAGCCTGTTCCTAAAACGTGGCTAATGCAGCCTGTTCCTAATTTAGGGACCAGCGGTGGTTCACCTCCTTCCACGCAGGTTTGTTACAGTTAACACGGTTGGGTCCAGCACGTGACATACATGGTATGGTATTGTCTAGGTTTTATTGATGGTCACTGTAAACTTTTATAGATAACTGAAACTCTTCAAAAATAAACTAGGCATTTTTATTTAGAAGCAGACTGTTTCTTAGTGTTAGTTCTTGTTCCTAAGCAGGAATCATAGTAATATTTGAAAGGAAGTATGTTTCTATTTTATCTTGAGACGTGTCAGAATCTCCTAACATGAGTATGCTTGGTGCCTTCCCTTTTATAGAAGCTGAGCAGGACTGGCAGGAACTGTTTGAGAGGTGCGAGTTCCCTTTGTTTGTGTAAATGATAGCAGTGATAGAAATTGAAAAATGAAAGAAAATTCAGAATCATGTCACTATGGGTTTTTAAAATCCAGTGGCTATTTCTTAACTCTTTCATCTTCAGTATTTTTTACTAATTAGTTCCATAGACTTGCAGTGGATAAACAATATCACTTAAAAACCTCCCAGAAGCCAGTGAGTGCAGCTTCTTGAAAATCTGCTTCTAAGTTTTCTGAGACAGCAGTGATGTGAAAATACTTTATAGTGCCTAGATCTGTTATCCAAGGCTCGAACAGCAGAGTGTTCAGCAGGTATTATGTGCTCAACAGTTGCTCATCAAGCTGCCTTTTTGACCTGTAAGATGGCATTGCCAACACCTGTTGATCAGTACATAATATGAGAAGAAAGCCCTTGGCTAGATGGCAAGAGGTATTTTCTTATGCAAGTAGTCCCATTCTCTAGGCCATATTGTTCTGTTGGTTGTCTTTTCTAATTCTGGATTGTGTTTGAATGTATCTGAGATGCATTGAACTTGCTTAGAGTTTCCATGGACTCATTGTACTTAGAGCAGAAGGAATGAGAACATGGTCAACTATTAATATCCTCTAGCTTGAAACTATCTACAGTCTGAAACTTTAGTCATCTTAGGGAAGGAGGATATGGAAGTATAGAAGTCTCTGATGAGGGCCATGTGCAGTGTCTCACGCCTGTAATCCCAGCACTTTGGGAGGCTGAGGCGGGTGGATCACCTGAGGTTAGGAGTTCGAGACCAGCCTGGACAACATGGTGAAACCCTGTCTCTACTAAAAATACAAAAATTTAGCCAGGCATGGTAGTGGGCACCTGTAATCCCAGCTACTTGGGAGGCTGAGGCAGGAGAATCACTTGAACCCAGGAGGCAGAGATTGCAGTGAGCTGAGGTCGCACCACTGCACTCTAGCCTGGGCAACAAGAGCGAAAATCCGTCTCAAAAAAAAAAAAAAAAAAGTCTCTAATGAGATGTGGCCCATGAAGGACTGGATTGCGCAGTAAGCACAGCTGTTTGGCTGCAGCCCCTATTTTTCTGTGCACATCCGTGCACCCCCCTGCTCTGTATCTCCCTGCTGCATTTGTCCGCTAGACTTTATCTATGCTTTTCTAGCACTCTTATCTACAGCCGTTGACACCCATTTGTATCTCTTCAGCTGAAAAAGAGTAAGCAATGAAAGAGTTTATCCTGCTATAAATTCAATGTCTGTTCTTCTCCTTTTGTTTGGGGATGCAGCTTGCAATTTAGAAGGTGGTTCCAATTATCAATTTCCTGGGGGTATAAACCTTATTAATATAAATTGCAGAGCTAGAATTAATGAGGAGAGCTTTTGAGCAGACCGACATCAGCTCACTGTAAGGAAACAATTGTTGAGAACTAGAGCCGTCCAGTAGTTTGCTACTGAAAGACCTTGGAAAAGCTCAGATGATTCTGGTAGAGATGTTGAAATGGATAGGAAGCTGGTGAGATGGTTTTTTATGTTGGGATATTGTATACTTCAAAGATATTATAACAAAAATACTTTCCTGGTAAATCTGTTGTGTTACCTTATGTATGATATTGTGTATAAGAAACAATTTCTTTTTTCTTAAATCATAGGTGAATGAGACTATCAAATGTGGCACACTAGTAGACACCGTTGTTCTAATGATGCATGTTGTATAATCATTTCTTCCCTACAAATTTATTTTAAAATTAATTAACAATTTACTAATTATAGTATACTTGGCTGTATTCAGTAGTTATTTGTTTGGGACCTGCTGTACCCATCACAGTGTGCTAGCTTCATGAGGGATAAAAACATAAATATGGTGCTGCTTTTGCATTCTAATTGGAAAAAGAGACATGTAGGTTAGCTAGAATATAAATGAAACTATGAAATGTATTAAAATTGAATTACAAAAAGGTAAGTAGAAGCCATTTAATTCTTCCTGGAGCAATCTAGAGAGATAGTGTGGACTGAACTTCAAAAGAAGTAAGGTTGAAAGAGGCAAGGATAATAATTATTAACATTTATTTGGTATTTAGTTATGTGTGAGACATTTATCTATGTGCTTTGCATGTCTCTACGACGTTTGGTACTGTTACCCTCATATTACTGATTGGAAATTGGTTGGGGCAAGGAGGAAATTTGATATAGATGTGTAAGCAGGGAATGTTGAGTAGTCTCGTGTAGCTGACTATAGAATTTGTGGGGACAGGGAACTGCATACGAGATGAGAAATGTAGACTGGAGTCAAATTATCTAATCCAAAAGAAAAATTTGACTTTCCAGATTCATTTCCAGGATCATCTGAGGCAAAGTGTTTAATGCAAAATACATTGGCATTGGAGTGATGAGCTTTAGATTTCAGTGCTAGACTGTAATAATGTGAAATCTCATTAGGTTGGACATTTGTCATAAATCAGAAAGAAGAGACCTAGGTTTGATTTTTTTTTTTTTTTGGCCTACCATTTACTTGCTGAGTGTTCTACATTCTGCAGAGATTTAGGTTCATTATCCATAACATGAGTAATAAAATTTCCCCATGAGTATGTGAAAGTTCCATGCTTGGTGCCTTATGTGTATATAGGAAGGATGTAATAAATATTAGTGGATCTAAATCAGAAAATAGAATTTAAAGCAGCAACTCTTGCCCAACCAGCTAGATACCCTTATATATATTTCCTTTGTATCACTCTTCAACCTTTTGAATTCAACACCTTATTTCTTCTTGCATGGACTGTTGTGCTAGTCTTTGAACTGATCTATTCATTCTATTCCAAATACAGAATGTTAGATTAATTTTTTCAAGCACAACATGTTATTGCTAACATACGTATGTCACTGTATTACATAATACAGTGTACATATTACATAATATATGTAATACATAATATATTTATTACATAATACATGTCACTAGCACTGGAATCTAAAGCTCATCACTCTAATGCCAATGTATTTTGCATTAAACACTTTGCCTCAGATGATCCTAGAAATGACTCTGGAAAGTGAAATTTTTGATGGCACTCCATTTCCTACAGAATGAAAAGCAAGTTCTTACCTATGGGCTCTTAACTATTCCATTATTAATCTCTTCTTTTTACTGGCCTATCTCATTTCCAGCTCCATTTCTATCCCTAATCCTCCCAGTTCAATGATTTCTCCTTTATGGTTCTTTACATCTTTGGACATTTTTCATCCAGTCATCTATTCAGCCAACAGGAAGGCTGGTAAAAGTGGGAGTATGTGGAAATTCTCCTTCGATTGCATATTCTTTGGAAAATACAAAGTGCAAGGTTTTCCAGCTGAGGGTGGGGAGGAGATTTCTAAAGAAAGGAGAATGTATGAAATAGTCATCTAAAAAACGAAAGAATGATGGACTTGGGAAATATGCTAGGATTGCTAGGCTAAACTAAGGACCCCCCTGAGATTAGTGGTCATAAGTTTAAAACAGTACTTGTCAGTCAGCATGGTGACTGATTTTCTCCAAACATGTTCAGCAGCCCAGGTACAGTTGCAGAGTAGGTGGAGATTTGGACTTAACAAAACTGTGGTTTGTCAGATGAGTAAGATGGAGAAAAGAAGAAGCAAGGGGAGCTATGGTGTAAGGAAGGAAGGAAGTGTTTATAGTAATAAGGCAAGTGGAAGGGAGAACCTAAGGGGGCTCAAGACATGAATGGCCTGAAAAGGCATGATCATGCCTTTTCTTAGGCATGAATTGTGATTTCCATCCATTAACCTGGAACAGCCTCACTGAACTTCATTTTTAGCTTCTGTTTTTCATTTCCAAATTCATAGTTGAGTGGTCATTGGCCTGATGACCCTTGGCCCAGAACAGCAAGGCCATGCTGAGGGTGCCCCTGGCTATGAAGTAAGAGATGGAGTTGGCCCTGTTAACTTTAACTCTGCGAGCTGTTCATGAGTCTTCATCTGGAAGCAGTTTATCCATATCCACTGCCTTGGTGATGGAGTAGTGCACTGGGAGGGGCTGGGACTCCTGAGGCCCTGCTCAGCAGAGCAGCTGCCAGAGAGAGGAAGATAAGGCCTCACTGCCATCAGAGTTAGGACCAGGACCTATGTTTCTGGTTGTATGCTGCCTACGGAGCTTTTGGATGCACTCTGGGACAGGAGACTAGAAACTTTGGCAGTTGTTTGAGAAACAAGTTCCTGTAGAACAGTAGCTATGGCTATTTAGCATATGTTTGTTAGGTCCCCTTATGTGCTAAGCCCTGTGCTGTGCCCCAGGAACACAAAGGTGAATAAGGTAGAGATATCCCTGCTGTCATGGTAATTTATTTCTTGCTTCCTACCATTCATTTGTTTCATTAGCTTTGCTGTTTAAGTACTACGTGCTGTGCACTGGACTGGCTATTGGAATTTTAAAAATTAATATGAGTCTACTCAAGGGTAAGCAGATAAATTATAATACCTTTATATTTACTCTGTGAGATACACTGCAGGCGCTGTGAGTCCACAGATGGTAAATGCTGTGGGAGATAATGAATGCAGAAAAGGGCTCATCCCCTGCCCTCAGGGAGGTTATAGTCCATCTAGGAGAAGAAAACCACAGTACCTCCAGAAGCATATCCCGCTATTTAAATTTTTCACTGTTTCATTATTTGTATGTCAAACTCCAAGTGTTTTTGTATTCCCAGCAGAGTTCTGGCGCCAAAGTGCTAATAAATGTTGATTGAATTAATGGATAAATAACTGTGTATTGCAAGACAGAAATTGACATGTTGCTATAATAGAGAGTAGTTCTTTTAGAAAGTGTGACATTTGAGCCAGGCCTAGGAAACTAGATGGCCGTTCCATATGAGAAAAGAAGAGGCATGCCAAACACCAGAAATAGCCACTTGTTAGGCCCAGGAAACCACCTGGGGTTCTGGCTGGTAATGAGCCTAGGGCATATGGAGAAATGTGGAGAGATTAGGAGGGAGGACGAGGGCAGATAGTGGATGGGGCTTCAACTGCCAGTCAAGGGAGTTTAGACTTTATTTAGCAGGTAGTAGAGTTTTTAAAGAGGAATTCCAGAGCTGGGCATGGTGATGCCTGCTTGTAGTCCTGGCTACTGAGGAGGCTGAGACGGGAGGATCCCTTGAGGCCAGGAGTTTGAGGGTATAGTGCATGATCACGCCTGTGAATAGCCACTGCACTTTCACCGGGGCAGCTTAGTGAGACCCCCATCCCTCAAAATACGTGTGTAGGCGTGTGTGTGTGTGTGTGTGTTAAGGGACAGTATTTTCAGAAACTTATTTCAGAGGGTACTTTGAGAAACTACTTTTGATAGCAATGTAGTGGGCAGATTGGAGCAGTTAGATCCAGTTGGATCAACTAAGATCCAATCTGATCTTCGTTGGATTAAAATAGGATTTTATTTTTGAGAATGGGGGATATCCAAGCATGACCAGAGGGTAAAGGGAAGGAACCCCTGGGTTTTCTGAGTGCAGGATCACGACCAGATGGTAAGGGAGGAGGAGATGAACAGCACATCTCATTGGGGGCCTGGTCAGCACTGGTATTGGAACCTCTCAGTAAAGTACCTGCTGAAGAGAGATGCCCTGGAGGAGCCGGCCTAGGCTGTGGATTCTGGGCCTTTAAGGCTGCTGTTAAAATCACTAACTGTGGGGTTTCAGCTAGGTGGGGAAACCAGAAAGAAAAAACAGGAGGGGCTAATGATAGACCCCTTGCATGCTCCAGAACATCTAACATGTTGTTCAAGTGGTATAATTGACATATTGATGATCAGACAGAAAATGCAGAGCACTGAACGTTCGTCTCTTAGGACCCTAATTACCTCCTTTGTAAAACAACCCTTCAGATTCTGTTCAGCACTAGCAGCCTGTGAATCTGTCAGTGGAGAAACATAGGGACTTTAGAAAAGCTGGGTGCTTTCTGAAAACCCAAACAAACACCCACTGCCAGCATCCAACTCAGGAAGGTCATCCGATCCTGTCAGTGTGGGTACTTTGATCCATTTAGTTCTTATTCATTATTACTGATTCTTTGTAGGTAAAGTTTATAAGAAAGCAAACCAGCTAGGTTAGAGCGTGTTTCATGTTAACCTTTTTTTCCTTTCTCATTGCTGAAGAAAGTAGGGCACGTTGTTTGAACGGCATCTAGTCATGCTACAGCCTGCACCTAAAATTGCAGATGGGCCTTTCTGCAAGAATCCTTAATGCGTGAACAGAGATTCTTCATTTGTTCTTTATATCTGGTTATAAAAGAAAACAATCTCACAGTAAGCCTTAGGGTGGGCTGTAGATGAGGTAGACTTTGTGTGTAATGGAGCCCTTTCTATTTCCTGACATTAGTCACTGAAGGAAAACGCCCACATAATAATAAAAATAATACCTAACATCTGTTCAGCACTTTGGAGCTCCCACTTGCCATATATATTCACATCCAGATATCAGAAGTCATATATGCGATGTTACACTCTAACTAATGAAAGCAAAGATAAGTATTGAATATTTAGGGGCATGCATTTATTTAGGTAAGGATTTATGGCGAAGAGCAGGTTCCTTCTGTTTTTTCAGGCGTTGACATTGGGGAAGCGATAGAGTGGATAAGAACCGTGGAGTTAGACAAACATGGGTTCAAACCCCAACTCTAGAAGCAGGGTGACCTTTAGCAAGCTGTTTAATGTCTCAAAGATCCCAGCTTTCTCATTGTAAACTAGAATTATAATTCCTCTCAGACTTGATGTGACAATGGAAAGAAATTAGGTTTATAAAACTCAGATACGCTTGGAACCAGAGAACGGCACAGTAACTGGTAATAACAATTACTTAAATGGTGTACTGTTGGATCTTGGCATCAGGAACCTTTCCTTGCCTTTGTGCCCTTAGACCCGAACTATTACAGTTCCCACCTACATTTCTCCTTTTAAGATGCTGTGTTTGCACTTTCTACCTCAGTCCCACTGATATCATGCTTGATGTTGCCTCCAGCTAAGTTATGACAGCAACCTCCCAGACAATTGCTAGTATCTCTCATCCTCCCATCTCCCCACAACCACACCACAGATCTCATATACCATGGTATGACTATACATTCTAAACCTATTTTATGTTATTGTGAATCTGTACCATCTGTCTGCTGCCTATTAAATAAAACTACACTCCCTTTAAATTTTGATATCCTCTGAAATCTGGCAAAATCTTACCCTTTGACTTTATTTCTTATGACTACTCAGTACGAATTTTTGGCTTCATCCAGGGATCTTAACCTTAGACATAGAATGAACTCAGTTCTCCTCAGTGCCTTTGTTCATGGTGATCTTCCTGCCTAAAATGCTGCATATAGCATTGTTTATAAAGTATGGATGCATGGATGCATGTATTATGAGTCATAAAAGAAACATGAGGGCCCAGAAACACATTTTCCTTTTAAAGAATGATGAGGAAATCCATATCTAGACACATTCCTCTGCTTTCCATTTCATTTCCGCCTTGACAATTAATATCCTGACAGTGTTAGAATGCATTAACTTAATAATGGTGTGAATACATCCTAGTAAGGATAGTACCAGCGCATTTAACAGCCTGAAGAAAGAGATTTTAAGTTAGGGTGTTTGGAAAGGGCAAAAAGGCAATAGTAAGTTTCCTATATATGTGCACTAAGAAATATCTGTCTGGACCCATCAGAGAACCCTTATTCTACTGTTGCTGGTGTTTACTGTCTTCCTTAACGTTGTTTTCTTTGAGAGAATAAACACATTGTGCTTGGGCATCAGTGAAGACCTGGTGTGCAAAGAGTGCCCTGCTGTCTTTCTCTTACAAGATCCTCAATTCCTCAAACCATGGCTTCAGGCTGCAGGCTGTGGAGGCAGAATGGGCAAGGAGTCATTTTAAGTTCACTCCCTGGTTTCCTTTACATCAGTTTTCATAAGATGTAACCTGATGTGTCTTGGACCTATAGACAAATGCTATTTTGCTTGGTCTTCACAATGTAAAATTATTCTGGTTTGTTGAGATGCTTTACCTCACTTACTTGCATTTTTCCTTCTATTCCTTTACTCCTTAAAGAAAAGTTAAGGGGTGAGAGTGGGGAGAGGAATAGTAATGGGAGAATCTGTTCCATATTATACCTCATCCATAATGAATCTCATTGCCTTCGAAATTTTTCCTCCCATTTTTAAGAGTGTAGTGCCTCATCCATGGCAGTTAGTGGAAACTTAAATATCCTAAGATTTATCCTTTGCCAATTCATTTAGTCTCTGAAGAGTGAGAGACTCTTCTCAAGTCTCAAGACAGGGAGGTGCTCTTCTCAAGAGCCCCGGACGGGGGAGGTCATTTGTAACTTCTTAAGGGATGGAAGTTACATTTAGGATTTTCTTTTACCTCCAAGTTTCTTCTTAGAAGTTTAAGTAGTGGAAGAAGGATCTAGTAGCTCTTATACTGTAGCTTACTCAGTAAAATTTTTCCTTATCCAATAAGGTAAGTACTTGTAAAATCATAGTAGCAATTAAGAGGCTGCTTCTCTCTTTCTGTTGGCATTCATTTATTGTAAAGACAAGAACATCTTTTTAGAAACCTTAAAGCACTTAATAATAAGCAATTTAAATAAGGTGAGAAGGAAGAAACATTTTCCTCAGTTTTTATCTCAAAACATATGGTGTATTCGCAGCCCATAAGTTGGCAGTAACAGCAGCCTATTTAATAAAACGGAAATATGCACGTGAGGTTAATCAGGTCAAATAGAAGTATGCATATGTAGAATGATAACCTCGAAGAAAACTGCAAATTTATTCATGCAAAGAGTGGAGGGGAATGCCATAAATATTAACAGTGGTCCGAAACTTACCTGATTTTTTATTCTTTTACTTGTATGTATTTATATTTTCCAAATTTTCCTTATTGAATGTCATTAACTTTATAATCAAAAAGTCACTTTTTAAAAAGACATTTTTAAAATGGGGCATTTTAATGTTTTTAAAAATGTTTTAAAAAGACATTTTTAAAAAGTGATGCCAAATGATGGGTGTGTGCTGATTTGGTGATTTGTTATTTAAATTTTATTTCTTAGAAGAAAAAAATGGGAGAAAAGTGTAAAATGTGGGAGAATAAATGATTAAATATGACTTGTTGAATATACTAGTCGTTTACATGGGCATAAATCTGGAAACCTCAG
The DNA here is from genome assembly GCF_000001405.40 of Homo sapiens. Taxonomy (NCBI): domain Eukaryota; kingdom Metazoa; phylum Chordata; class Mammalia; order Primates; family Hominidae; genus Homo; species Homo sapiens. The sequence goes on from NC_000001.11 coordinate 89,887,148, forward strand.
ATATCTTGAAGGGTCACAAAGAGCCGATTTATCTGATTAAGTTAATTAATACTTATGAAGTCCTTTGAGCAGTGCTTGGATATGATATGCCCTTTTTTATTGTTTTTATTTTCGTCATTATCACGCTTGGACACTAGCACATATTATAATACCTTATACGAATGGTAGCATTCACTAAATGCTTGTTGAGTGAATTTTTCTAGACTTTTCACAACTCTGGTTCATTTAGTAGTTGTGTCACATTTGGACTTTGATGCCTGGAACTGAACTGAACACAGAATGACACACATGATCTAACAAGTGCAGACTGACTGTCTCCTCCCCTGTCCTGGCCATTGTCCTGGTAATAGTTTTTTGATGAGCAAGTCCCTTTGTTGCCTCATACCAAGCTTTCAACCTATGAAAACACTGAAGTATCTCATAGATGCAGTAACTAAACTAGTTATCTTTCCCTGATGTGTACTCTTGAATTTTTTAATCAAATTATTAACTTCCCTGGTAATCTAACCTTTTTTTTTGGTTTGGCCCACCTTTCAGCCTGTTAAGGTGTTTTCATTGCTAACTCTTTCTATCCTGTATAGTATCCTCTTAAGCCTTATGCAATCAAAATTTCTGCAGCAGTATCATGAATTTAAAATATGGGATAGGAGGAGAGCCCTATGGCATGGCATTCTTCTTCTTATTTTCTTTATAATGTTACCACCTCAGTTATTTAGTTTGTTGGCTAATGACAGATTAGGGAGCCACAGGGTGGGAGGTTTCTTAGAAGAGGGGTGGACTGATCATACCCTGAGTTTATTATCTGATGCCACAGGAGAAAACAGAAAAGATGTAAAAAGGCACCAAGGGAGACGTGACACTGTGCATTTGTCAAAACCCATAAAACTTTACAGCACATATATTGAACATTAATGTATCCAGATTTTTAAAAGCCATTTAGGAGGTTGGAGGATCCCAGGATGAAATTCAGACTATGACAAAAGAATCCAACTGTATTACAAAGTACAGAATAAACTCACTGAAGAAAGTGAATGAAAAAGGGTTACCGACTTAAATAACTTAGGAACTATATGCAAGCACTATACTCTATTCGATAAAGTTGTTTCCCATGAGGATATAAGTTAATGATTCTGAAACTATTATATATGTACACTGGAATTGAATAATAAGTAAATGGATAGTGGATGATGAGGGCCTTGGTTTCTCACTTTGGAATGGAAAGTTATAGATAAGCAAGGAGGGAAATGATCCATGTGGTAATGGATTTGAATTGGAGATACCGATATGAATTCATGTTTAGCTTGATATAGATACAAAATACAAAGAAATATTTATAGATATGTGTATATACACAAGTTAGTACGCACACAATTTCTTCGCTGTGTCACCTGAGAGAGCCTAAAAGCAGCAATATCCCAGCAGCAACAAGCATATCTGGCATCCAGATCTTGGTTTCTAATACCATTATCCTGTGAAAGCCACCAGGTCTCCTGGCCGAATGACAGATTCCAGATTCTAGAGCGGGGGCAGGGAATGTGCAAGATGAACTTGGAGCATCTTGTAGTGCTGGAAAGTAAGGAAGAGCTTAACAAACCCACAATGACGAAGGTTTATCAGAGGGACACAGGAGTTACTGAAATAGCTCACAGTGGCCAAAGATGAAATAATTTGAGCAACAAAATAAAGTAGTAATGAACTGTAACCCAAACTATGAAATATGTACCCATCCTGATATAAATAAATGATTGAATCAATAAATAAATGAGGGAAATAGACAAATCTGTGCAGAAAAATTCCAAATGATTTATGTAGGTATTCCACTCTCAAAGAAGTGGGTTATAATACTTGTCATTTCCTTAAGTGTGGGCTGTGCATGGTGACTTCCCTCCAAAGAGCAATGTGGGAAGGCAGAGAAACCTGACAAATACTGCTCTAGTCTGGTGAGCAAGGTTAACATCAGTGGTGGTAAGTCAGGCTAGTGTTTATGCTTGATATGATGTGATGAGAATGGCACTTTACTTCTGGGGTCTTACTCCCAGAAACCTATAATTTCAGGCTAATCATGAGAAAAGCATGAGACTAATTCCAGTTGGTGGTCATTCTATAAAATACCTGACCAGTACTCCTCAAAACTGTCAAGGTTATCAAAAACAAGGAAAATCTGAGGAACTCTCTCAACCAAAAGGAACCTAAGGAGATATGAGTAATAAATGTAATATGGTATCCTGGATGGGATCCTGGAACAGAAAAAGAACATTAGGTAAAGACCAAGGAAATCTGCAAAAAGTGTGGGCTTTAGTGGATAATATATTTTTATTGGTCTGTGAATTGTGACTAATGTATGATATTATTAATGGGTGGAGTATATTGTAACTCCTGGCAGTAACTTAAATTTCCTCTAAATCTAAAACTATACTGTTTAAATGTTTGTTTAAAAAAAAAAAAAAAGGCAGCCTGGATGCACTGGCTCATTCCTGTAATCCCCGCACTTTGGGAGGCCGAGGCTGGTGGATCACTTGAAGTCAGGGGTTCGAGACCAGCCTGGCGAACATGGTGAAACCCCGTCTCTACTAAAAATACAAAAATTTAGCCAGCTCTTTTGGTGAGCGCCTGTGGTCCCAGCTACTTGGGAGGCTGAGGTAGGAGGATCGCTTGAGCCTGGGTAGTCGAGGCTGCAGTGAGCCGAGATTGTGCTCCTGCACTTCAGCCTGGGTAATAGAGTGAGACCCTGTCTGAAAAAAAAACATAAAATAAAATAGGCCGGATGCGGTGGCTCATGCCTGTAATCCCAGCACTTTGGGAGGCCGAGGTGGGTGGATCACGAGATCAGGAGATCGAGACCATCCTGGCTAACACAGTGAAACTCCATCTCTAATAAAAATACAAAAAATTAGTTGAGCGTGTTGGCGGGCGCCTGTAGTCCCAGCTACTTGGGAGGCTGAGGCAGGAGAATGCCATGAAACCGGGAGGCGGAGCTTGGCAGTGAGCCAAGATCACGCCACTGCTCTCTAGCCTGGGCGACAGAGCAAGACTCTGTCTCAATAAATAAATAAATAAAATAAAATAAAAGCCTTGAGGATTCCAAAAACATTGTAGGAGAGGGCAGCATACCACACCCTAGGAGCCTGGGGGCCTCCGTGTTACAAAAGTGTTGATTGATGCTCTTGATAATGGAGCTGAGTCATCAAGAACAGGTTCAACTTTGTCCTGAGAACCACTAATTCAGGGATGTTCTCACTACATTTTCCTGGTTACAGCCAACTTTTTGGTATTTATAGCCCCAGGCTTTGTATGCTATATCATTCATTCAGTCTTTTTCCTGACATGGTTTAACCTAGGAGGCTCAATATGTAGAATTCATGTCTGAGTCAGCCTCTCCGTATCCCCTTTATCTCCTGGCAGAATCTCTGGTTCCTGGCTCAGGCACATCCATGTTTTTGATTTTTGATTTTTGGTTTTGGAATTATCTTTTGACTTAAGAAGTCACAAAAATAATACAGAGTTCTCCAGTACCCTTCACTCACCTTCCCTTATGTTAATGCCTTACATACCGTAGAACAATTCTAGAAACCAGGAAATTGGCATTTATACAATACTGTTAACCAATCTAGAAACCTTATGCAAGTTTTGCCAGTTTTCCTACTAATGTCCTTTTTCTAGTCCAGGATCCAATTCAGAATCCCACATAGTACTTAGTCTCCTCCAAGCCATGATGATAGTTCCTCATTCTTTTTTTGTTTTTTATTTTTTTTAGAGACGGAGTCTTGCTGTGTCATCACTCTGGAGTGCAGTGGGGCGATTTCGGCACACTGCAAGCTCCGCCTCCCGGGTTCACACCATTCTGCTGCCTCAGCTTCCTGAGTAGCTGGGACTGCAGGCGCCCACCACCATGCCCAGCTAATTTTTGTATTTTTAGTATAGACGGGGTTTCACCGTGTTAGCCAGGATGGTCTCGATCTCGTGACCTTGTGATCCGCCCGCCTCAGCCTCCCAAAGGGCTGGGATTACAGGCGTGAGCCACCGCGCCTGGCCTCAGTTTTTGTCTTTCATAACATCAACACTTTGGAAGCATACTGGCCAGTTACTTTGTACCTTGTCTATCCATTTGGGTTTTCTGGTATTTTCTCATGATTAGATTGGGGTTATGCATTTTTGGCAAGAGTACCACATAAGTTATGTGTTCTTCCAAGTTCGTCATATCAAGATGCACGTGATGCTGATATGTTTTATTACTGGTGGTGATAACTGTGATCTGTTAGTAAGGATGATGTCTGCCACTCCATTATAGAATTATTGTTTTCTCTTTTGTAATAAATATCTTGTGGAGAGATACTTTGAGACTATGCAGATATCCTGTTTCTCATACTTTTGCTCACTACTTTTAGTGTTTATCAGTGTCTTGTGCCTGCAACAGTTATTGCTGTAATGTTTGCCTAACAGTGATTTTTGTCTTTCCATCATTTCCTCTACATATATTATTTGGAATTCTGCTTTAAGAAAGAGCTGTCAAGGTGCATTCATTTTTAGTAATAATGATAACCACAATAATGTTGATTATAATTATAATGGTACCCAACATTGTTATTATGACTTGCTTTGTGCCTGGCACAGTGCTGAGTTCTTGGTTTCACTTTTATAACACCTTCTTAATTAGCTCATCTGTCTGCAAGAGTTGTATTTCCTGGAGCACCCTCTCCAGCCTTTCCTTTCCCTTTGTTCCTGTAACTTTCATTTGCCCCTCTGTCATCATCCCCCTGCCCTCTGTATTAACAACTCTGGGTTCTCTCACTCCATACTAGACTTTGGTCTCTTATCTCTGTATCTCCGGTTCCATGTATAATGTCCATCACATCATAAGTGCTCAGAAACTGTTATTGAATGAAATAATTTGTTTTGAGCCTGTGTAACCCCAGTTCATCCTACCTGAGCATGCTACATTGTTCCGTTTCACATTCTGATAATTGTTCTTTAGTGGTCAAGCCATATGTTTGCCCCATATGAAGCTCACAATGATAAAATGCTGGATATTTCACAGTGCTGCTGCTGTTAAGCCAGGTGTCCTGAACGCCCTCGCTCCATGTTTGAGTTTTTAAATTATGTACAAGGCTTTAGGCTGATCCCTGTTAAATATCATCTTGTTTGTTTTAGCCTGCCTTTTCAACCTATGGAGATCTTTTTGATACCTGATTCTGTTCCCCAGCCCATTTGCTATCCTTTTCAGCATTGTGTGATTTAAAATTTTTCATCTTCCAAATGATTGATAACAGTGTGGGATAAGGTAGGACCAAGTTCCCCGCTTGGCATTATTTAGCACTCTAGGTGCAGTCATTTGACCTGTAAGGAATCTACAGAACCGTCACTAGATTGATATTTCCTTTTTTTTTTTCTTTTGAGACAGTCTCGCTCTGTCGCCCAGGCTGGAGTGCAGTGGCACCATTTCAGCTCACTGCAAGCTCCGCCTCCTGGGTTCACGCCATTTTCCTGCCTCAGCCTCCTGAGTAGCTGGGGCTATAGGCGCCCGCCAACACGCCCAGCTAATTTTTTTGTATTTTTTAGTAGAGACGGAGTTTCACTGTGTTAGCCAGGATGGTCTCGATCTTCTGACCTCATGATCCACCCACCTCGGCCTTCCAAAGTGCTGGGATTACAGGCGTGAGCCACTGTGCCTGGCCGTAGATTGATATTTCTGTCAAATTCACAAGGTTATTATATGTAACTTTGTTAAAACTTTCTTGAAATCAAGTAAAATTCAATCAGACAAAGTTTATTTGAAATTACATGTCCTCAGCTTTCAGTTGACATGTGGTTAATTTGTTCATTCATTCATTTATTTATTTATTAAACAGATAATCTATAAACATCTATATGACAGGTACTGTCCTAGGTGCTGAGAATAGAGTGTGAACAAAATAGACAGGATCTCAGCTTGTGGATCCATAAGCAACCAAAAACATAAACAAGATAATATAAAATAGCTGTAAAAGCTATGAAGAAATGAAATGAGATGGGGACTAATCAGGAAAGGCCTCAATGAAGAGGTGCCAGCTGAGCTAGGGCAGGAGTGTTGAGAAGAAGGGAACAATGAGAAGATCTGGGGAATGAACAGTCCTGCAGAGGGATGAGCACGTGCAGAGGTCCTGAGATACAGGTGAGCTTGGCATATTCAAAGAACTGAAGGGCAGCCAGTGGGCGAAAACATGGTTATAGCTTTCAGTTACTTGAAAAATATTCGTTATCACTTTTTTCCTAGAAAGCATCTAACTTCATGCTTAAAATTTGACTTTATTTGCTCATTTAACTAGGAAAAAAAAGGTAGACCAGAATTGCAAGGGAATTAGCATATTTCCCCAGGAACAAAGTATTCTGAAAACAAAACAACAGAAAATACTGGAAATTATGCATTTTCAAGATTGATAAGAATGCTCTTGTTTTCCCAAGCATACATTTTTTCCCTGAAGTAGATACAGTGGAACCCATCTATATTGTAATGGGACATACGTTATTGTTCTGAATGCTTTAATATCTAGTATTTTAGAATGTCTTTTATACTGGATAGTAGTGTAAAATGCCTTGAGACATGCAGTTGGTTTTTAGACTTAAGACCTCTTGATGATTGCAGACTTACTCTTTTTTCAGTAGAGCATAGTGGAAACTAAAGAGTTTTTTAGATGAATATCTGGAGTAATTTAATTACCATTTTAATTGTTCTGTATTTGCAGATAATTGGTGATGTGAGTTTTTGACTGACTTGAGATTAAAATGTGCTAAACCCTTACCTGATAACTCTCATTAGAGCAATATATGCTGGAAGCAGAGGGCTCTTGTTATGGACTAAGTGTTTATGTCCCCCACAAAGTGTTGAAATCCTAACCCCAGTGTAATGGTATTAGGAGGTAGGGCCTTTGGAAAGTAATTAGGGCATGAGGGCTCTGCCCTCATGGATGGGATTCATGCTGTTATAAAAGGGACCCCAGAGAGTTCTCCTGCCCTTTTCTCACCATGTGAGGATAGACAGGGAAGTCAGCTGTCTGCAATCTGGAAGAAGGCCCTCACCAAACTCGGCTGTGTTGGTACCCTGATCTTAGATTTCCAGATTCCAGAACTGTGAGGAATAAATGTTTGTCATTTAAGGCACCCAGCCTGTGTAATCTGTAATAGCAGTTCAGACTAAGACAGCCCCATATTACTCACTCTCCATCTGAGAGTGAGCCGAGCACATAGCATTCTTGGCATCAGTAGCACAAGGGTATGAAGGGAAATGCTTGAAGATAACTGGAATGTATAGTAGAAATGTGATTCCTGTTTATCTCTGAGTGTTAACTTTCAGAACATAGGAAATTGAGATGCTCCCTTAAACATTCTTTTAGATAGCAATTTAGGGAGGCAAGCTGAACTTAAATCTTTTAGGAAATTGGACAGAGTCATAGCCCATTGGGTTTAGAGGTAGTATAAGAAAGGTTGCTGACATTATTTGGCTAAAGTGAATGGAGAACAGAGTAAACCAAGAAGATAGTGTTCATGTACATCATCAGCACAATACTGAGTAAGCTGAAATATAGAAAAATAATGTATGCTTACTATTATTGGAATGTGAGTGACATAAGTAAATTTCATAAAGGGAATATAAGTCACCACTCAAATAGTTGTTTCTTTCCTTTCCTTAAGATACAAGTGTTCCATATCTTACGGGTGAGTACAATATTGGCTGATGTGATACGGAAAATTCTGTCAAGTTCGGAGACAGCCATAGTGTTGAAAGTTCTGAGTGCTTTCAACACTATCAAATAGTGCTCATATTCTTTCATTGTCAGATTCCATGACCCAAGTGTGTCTGTAGGTGAAGGTCTCCCACCCCCACCCCACCCACTGATCACTCAGTAAGCAAGCAGGCTGATGTCTCAGTGCCTACAGTGAGCAGTGTTAACTGACTCCTGTACTTGCTTGTCTGAGGACAGACAGGTGTGCTAGATAATTAACATTTTTTGGAAACAAAATTATTACATTATCCTAAAAATAAATCAACATACTGGGAACACATGCAGGACTTTTGTATTACTACGCAAGAAAAGATAAGCCTACTATATTCATATAATATATTATGAAGTCTGTTAGATGACCTTAAATTTGTTCATTTTTCTTATTTGACAAGAGTTTTAAATCCCTATGTATTTACAGATTTGGCAGACTTGGTATGTTTTCTTCAAGCTATCATAAACAAGCAAATGGCTCAGAAAAATTCCCAGCTAGGTAATTTTATCTCAAATATCTGCTTAATTTCAAAGGCAACTTGAGTTAGCCCTGTGCAAACTCAAAACACTGTGTGTAAATATATGTGTAATAATTTTTTTTCTACGTACCACATGTATCTTCTAAGTAGCATAATGTTGCTTTTAAAGATGTACTGTTTGTTTTTTTACTTTTAATTTTCTATGTGAACAAATTTGACATGTACTTTTAAAAATTAAAATATCTTCAAGTTTCTATTCATATATAATATTTCATTTTAGGCAACAATTGAACTTCTGAAAAGTTGATGAGACGTTGAACTTCTGTAAGCTAAATTATTTTTAGATGTCTTGAAAGAACTCTAAGAAGATGAATAATCATACCAATTTTTTTCATGATTTTAGTAATCTCTTTATCATGTTTCTTAAAGCAGTTTACATCTATGTATAATTTGTGAGGCCCAGGATAGAATGTCTCTGAGTCTGATACTCCAGAGTAGCATACTCAGCTCTACAGGGAAAACTTTTCCATAGGAAACATCAGAAAAGGAAAGGTATGACAGCACATGTTTATTAAACATATTACATAATATATGTCTCCTCCTGACAGGCAAGCGTTAGAACCTTTATTAGACATTGTCATCTTAATATAATGTAATGTCCACAAATACATTCTCTAATAGACAAGAAATGATACATGAGTTTTAGGTTTCCAGACTAACAACCCAAAATCTATGGCTTAAGTGGCTTTGTATAAATACATGGCCAATAACGGCATATTGCCGGGACTTGGAGCAGAGGTAAGAGTGTGGGGAGAGGATCAGCCTTGAAGACTCCCTTGTGGGTGAGTGGGAGGGTAGAGGGGTGGATGAAGGTGGTAAAGGATAGATGGGAAGAGGCCAGGAGGTGGGGAAGGGAGGGGTCGTAAACTTTGGTTCTGGAGGAGCCCTTAGAGATCGTGTCGTCTGACATCATCATTGCACAGAAGGGGAAGCAAGATAAAAATGTTTATGTGCCTGGCTCGTGGTCACGTAGCTAGTGGCCAAGCAGGACCTAGAATGCAGATTTCTGACTCCCAGCACACTTTACACACTGGGAGTTTGCTAAGAGTAGCTGAGAAATACACACAGTGGCTTGGCAGGGAGAGAGAGGCTGTGAAGACTTAACACAGGTGAGGGGTGTTCAGGCCGAGGGTAGGGCAAGCTCCTGTGTGAAGATCAGGGTTTACCACCCCTGGAGGACAAAGGTAGTGAGAACCCAGCACAGAGGTCAGGACTGTAGTCAAATAGATTAGCATTCAGGACAGAGTCCAGTCTAAGAGCGGGAAATCGCCATATCACACTAGTGATGATAATAATTACTCTTTCTTTCTCCCTTTCTGTCTTTCTCCCTTTCTCTCTCTCTGTCTCCTCTCTTTTCTTGTGAATCATAGTTGTTAATAAACAAGCTAAATCTATATAGTGCGAAATAAACATATTCACATATTCTCAAAAAAAATTACTACTTGTTGGATGCCTATTGTGCATTAGACATTAGGCTAGACACTTTATTGCAGCATAATCATTTAATTGTCATAATAATCCCTTTGGAAAGGTGTGGTGGTTCAGTTTTTGCAGATGGGGGTGCTGATTGATATTCAGAGAGTTAAATAATTTACTTGAAGTCAGCAGAGTGTATTAGAAACTATTCATTACTTTGGGACCAGAGGGGCAGAAGGAAATCCAAAGGAAGAGAAGTATGCAGATGTGTTCAGATACACACTTTGATGATAACTATTGATGTATGTACATCTCTCTTGGCTATGCTATAGGAATACCTTAAGTAATTCAGTGGCAATATACCTTCTTGCTAGTATTTTAATAGTATAGATCGGTTAATGAATTATCTTAGAAACATTATACTTGGTGTATTCTGTTGCTTTATGGTTTCATTTTAGGTTGAGTATTAAGGGAACACAGTATTTTAATCGGGACTCTGCCAGTGCTTTTATCTACAGGCCTGTTGCCATTTTTGTCTTCTGTGAAATTTTTGTCACAAGAAAGGCGAGATTATGTTTTTTCCTAGCAGATTGAGTTGGTGTAGTATATTCTTGGTTATCAAAATACTTACATAGATTTGAGATTTTGAATTGGTAAATATTCATGTGGTGTTTAAAAGCATGATACATATTGCACAATCTTAATCCCATTAAATTGGATGCTGTGTCTATACACACGCAGGACCTAGGAGGACACGTCAAACTGTAAACTGCTTGTGATTGTGGATAACTTTGTTCTTTGCTTCTTGTGTTTTTCAGTTTCCTATCAGGCATATATTAACTTTTTTTAAAAAAGGTTATTTTTAATAACCTGAAAAAAAAACTGATTTGCTGAAGGTCAATAGTTTGCTCTGAGAGAGGACACCATGATTTGAACTGGTCTGCCTTAGCCAAATCTCATTTGATTTCTGCAGTGCTATGTTGCCCTCCCAGAATCACAGATAAAAGTGGTGGGCAGCCGAGGTGCAGTGGAGGTAGAGGCTGGGACAAGGTGCATCCCGGTGAGTGCCTGGTACAGGGAAGGAGCAGCATGGTCATGGTGTGATAATTGGAGGCCACCTCTCCTAGCACAGCAGATAACAGAAGGAATTCCCACCTAACCGCCATACTCGCTCCTAAGCAGCTGAATAAAGATGTCTCTGATATGTGGCTGAACCTCTGTATGTGGTTTAGTGCTCACAGGCAGCCGATACTGAGAGGAAAAACCTTGGGTTCCTAAAACTTTTAAAACATTGAATACGAGCCAGTAAGCAGTCATTGGTATACTGCAGTTATTGTACCAGAGTTAACTGATGCTGTAGAAGTGAGGCCACCACATTTATCAAATCTAAAAGCAATTCATGGGAGGATGGTGAAAAATGGAAAACCGCAACCTGATGAGGAATCGTGAAATATCTACGTGTGGATGTTTAGCCTTGTACTCCACCTCTATGGGGAAGGGAAGGAAAGCGTTATTCATTGAGCATCTCACAATGTTCCAGATATTAGATGCTTGCCAATCCTCGCAAATTCTACGAAGGAAATACTCTCACTTCCTGTGGATCAGGACATTGAAGCTCAGAAAGAGCTCATTTGCTGTGGATCACATAGCTAGTAAATGGATTCACACCCAGATATGCCTGAATTCAGAGTCAAGTGGAAGAGGAATTAGACTTAAATCTGAGTGGCCCCAGCAGCAAGGCTAGGATCAGTGAGTGTAAAGGAGAGATCGGTTAATTTCATAGACTGATCCAAAAGAACTTTCTTGTAATAAGTGCTGTTCCCGAAATCAAGCAAAGTACCTTAAACACAGATACACATACACAAACAGCTTTACTAAGATTTAATTTACATACTGTAATATTCACCTGTTCTAAGCATACAACTACAAAGTACCTTTTAAGGTAGTACATTTCCTGTCATTAGAAATGTTTGTGCAGAAAGGGCTGGAAAATCTCCCAGATAGAGTAGAGGAATGTTGTGTTTCCATCTCTATGAAAGCCAGTGTTGAGTAACTCAAAAGCAGTGTCCATACTGTGATGTGCTGAGTGGCTGTTTACTTAAGTGTTTTAAATGTCGCTGGATGTAAAGGAAAGGAAAGTTCCAAAAGGTGTTCCAGTTGGGCTTTTCATCTTAAATTTAGATCAACGAGATGAGCTCTTCAGCTTCGGAAACACCCAGGCCTTTCATTCTGGCTGCATACTACAGTTGCAGAGGAACTTTTCAACAATTCAGGTGTAGATTCAAGGGCCTACCCTAGGTCCACTAAGTTGGTACCTCCGGGGGTGTGGCCTAGCATTACATTAGTTTCTGAGGCCACCCCGCATTATTCTAGGGTGCAGCTGTGCTGAAAACCACTTTCTTTGGCTGAGGAGAGGCTCAAGTGTGCCAGAGGGTCATGGAGGGTCAAAGTTACAAACCAATCCCATTCTGCCGGTGACCTGTCTTTTCTGCATGGTCAAATCAGCCACATCCAAGTTACTTCTAGTTCGCCAGCCATTGCTGCTGTGCCATGTCTGGCTCTTTGAAGATGTCTGACAGTGTTGGCAGTTAACCAGAGACAGTTTTGTGACTTAATAACCAGATCAACTTTGTATGTAATTCATGTCCACCAGACATTTTTGCAGAGCTTTAGGATGGAGAGGACCTTGAGGAAAGAATTAATGTAAACTGCATCACCTTAGCTGATCATCATTCCTGCTTTTAGAACAATTTGAACAATTACACTCACATTTGAAAATTTTGTGCATCTGTTCTTCAGTTGTGCAGGTCACAATGTATAGGCCCACATCAAAGGATCAATGCTTTCAGATTTGTCTTCTATGTGGAACTTGTATGGTTAAATGATTATAATGTAGTAAAGTGAAAATCTAGTCTGGGAGCTAGAGGGTGTCAGAACTGATGGTCCTGGGGATCCTTTGAAACCTTTCTGAGCTTGTTTCTTTGTCTGTAAAATGTGACCAACAATTCCTGCCTTGCAGTATCACTCTAAGGATTCAGCTAAAGAATATGTGTGATAAAGTCTTACAACTATGTATTTATTGCACCCCTTCCATGTGCTGGGTAGTATACTAGTCCCTGGGGAAACAAACGTGAATGAATTATGATCCCTGCCCTGGAGAATCTTACAGCTTTAGTGAAGGAGATAGACTCAAAACCAGATAATTGTACGAGAGTGTAGAGGGGCAGAAATGCACAGGATACTCTGGGAGCATCAAGGGAGGATTAAAAGGACTGGGTTATTGGTGTAGAGATTTCCAGGAAGGCTTACCATAGGCACTGATGGCAGGCAAAGACAGGTAATTAACAAGGTAAATTGGAGAAAACTGGATACTTTAGGCAGAGGAAATGCAATGGGCAAAAGCCTGTGGATGAGAACCTGGTAGAGGGACGATGTGTTACAAATGCTGATGGTGTTTTATTCAATTCTTGCTTTCCCCTGGGAGAAATGACTTTTGGGTACAGTGCATCAAGGAAGATTCAGAAGGTAAAGGTGGTGAGAGATGTAGGTTAAAAAGTCATCGTCTGTTTTCTTAGTTTGCCTGATTTCTTAGTTTGCCTGATTTCTTAGTTTGCCTGCTACACAAAGTGAAGCAGAATGCAGTTGAGTGATTTATGTCCATCATAAAAAAAAAAACTGACTAAAAATAAATCTTAGTTCAGGCCAGATGTAGTACATGTTTACCACTTGAGGTGAACATCGAAGCATAGTGGCACTTACTGGAAGTATCTCTCAGAGAAAGGAGGCTGATTTTATAAAGAAAGTCTTTGGAGCTCAGGAAGTCTGAAAGCTAAGAGTTGGTCCACAGAGCACTGAAGATAAGCTTGTTGAGCCTCACAGTAATTTTTGTCTGTCCCAATTTTTAGGCAGCAAAACCACAGCAGCATCTCATCAAGACTATTGTTAATGCAGGTGTCTCCATTGGTTTATGTGTCTTATCCTTACCCTGTTTCCTTCACAACTGTACCATCTTAGGAATCAGGAATCACAAAGCCAGGTATCCAATGGTGATTTCAGTTCTTTGCCATGGCGACTGGAGGCCAGAGGGGTCAGGGAATGTCAGGGGTGCATAATTCTTGTGCTGTAGGCTTTCCTGCCATACGTTATCAAGTGTACTCTACAGCATCCTGATAACAGCCTCTGCCCTGGGAAACAGACTGTGACCATGCATTTCTAGTCCAGCATATCCTATCAGAAGACCAAATGGCTTCATCAAAAACAGAGTGACAACCTCTTCTCTTTGCCTCTTCTGCTGACTCTGTTAACAGGCAGCATTGGGGCAGGAGAGCCTGCAGGCCTTTCACGGCTGCTTGAGTTCTCACCTGTTTGTCTGAGCTCTGATTCCTCTGCCCTGTAAGCGTAAAGGAGATGTGCTGAGTGGAAAGACCTCTAAACAGGCAGCCAGGAAGCCAGATTTCAGGTCCATCTCTGCCTCTAACTGGCAGCTTTGCCTTGGGTAAATCATCAGTGGGCAATAGTTTCTCTCCTGTAAAAGGAAAAGATTGGGTTTAGATTGTTTCTGAAGTTCTCTCTAGATTTAACCTGGAAGGAGTTGAAATTGCTAACCTTACTCTTAACTGCACCATTGCCCAGTCCCCAGCTGTCCTCACCTCTGCCCCACCCTTTCATTGCCACTGTCTCCTTCATACTTCCCTTTCCACCTGACCTGTCCCTGCCAACTCCATTCTTTCATGCCTGCCTCTCTGTATCTGGAGGGAATCCTTTGGTGCCCAAGCAGGGTTAGATTACCAGATACGCAGACTAAACATGTGTTTGGGGCACCAGAAAAGCAGACACCGTGCTCAAATATTTTTTTTAAAAAATAATTTGATATTTGCTGCTTAAAGAAATAAAGCCGTGATCATGAGAAAAAGCAGACCTTAGCTGGACTTTCTTATACTTATTTTATGGTTTATTATTTAAATTTGATTTCTGTTTGGAGGAACGCTATAATCTTTGCAGTACGTCGTGCCTCTGAAGGCTTCGTCTTCTTCCTCCTCCTAAACTTGTTGAACTCAGCCTTTCCACCGAAGCCTCACAGAGGTAGGGAGATGCTGCTTTGCTCTACCCTTTTCTCTGTACTGGCCTCATGTGTGCTGCTTTTAGTATAGTAACACATTTCTCTATAGCACTTTCTAGGTGAGCATCTCCATGCTGGGGGCTAGGCCCTGGGGCAGAAGTAGGCCAGGGAGAGAGGCACAAGGTGTGAGACACACTCTTCCTCCTCCAGAGTTTATAATTGAAACATATGTTTTCTCCACAACAATTAAATGCCAGAAATGGCCATACCTATTTGAAGGCGTGCAGACCAGTCTCTGGAAGATGCTCCTGCAGCAGGGACCTTGAAGAGAAGATGGAGGAAAGTTTAACCGTATTAACAAAGTGTGCATATCTGAATAGCCTGCTACTTTATTTCTAAGCCCTAAATCCCATGATTGTGGACTGTTGGCTGTTTCCCATTTTCAGAGCTGCCCCAAACCAGTTTCTCCCAGACTCAGGCATTCTCTCTGTGTCTTCATATCTCTTCTGAACTGACTTTTGTCCTTTGAGCCTGCCCTCTCTGATAAGCTGCCGTAGCCACTGAGAAGAATGACCAAGTTGAGTCCCTGAGCCCACAGAATAATAAAAGGATGTTTTCTTTTTCTTTTTTTCTTTTTTTTTTTTTGAGACTGAGTCTCGCTCTGTCGCCCTGGCTGGAGTGCGGTGACACCATCTTGGCTCACTGCAAGCTCCGCCTCCTAGGTCCACGCCATTCTCCTGCCTCAGCCTCCCGAGTAGCTGGGACTACAGGGCCCGGCTAATTTTTTGTATTTTTAGTAGAGATGGGTTTTCACCATGTTTAGCCAGGATGGTCTTGATCTCCTGACCTCGTGATCCACCCGCCTCAGCCTCCCAAAGTGCTGGGATTACAGGCGTGAGCCACCGTGCCCAGCCAATAAAAGGATGTTTTCTAATGGGTTCAGTCTGGTTGCCTAGGGGGAACATTTGGCTTTTGCATAGACTGTAATAATCCCCATTTCTTTATTTTCATAGTCTGGTTAATCCCATGTCATTGCCTTTGAAGTTAAATAAATTGATTGCTTAATGTGCACGGGGCACTGTGCTAAGTGTGGACATGTATGGGCTCACTAAATCCCCACCACAACCTCTGAGGTGAGTGCTGTTGTTTCCCACTTATTGAGAAAGAGGGAAACAGAGATGTTAGGTAACACACCTGACATCACACAGCTAATAAATGGCAGAGCCAGGATTCTTCGCTCTGGCAGTGTGACTCCTGTGTCTCTTCTCTTCATCATTGCACTGTATGTTCTCTGAGGGTAGAGTTGTGGGTGTGCTGGAGACAGCATGGGGAAAGTAGTAGCACTCTCCATTTGAGTTGTTGGACTGATTTTGAGTTTCTTTCTTTCACAGTGAAAGTTGTTTGAATTGTTAATGAGAGGAAATTTTAGAAAATGCTTCACCTTTAATATATTAGGTTATATCTCTTCTCTGTAACGGCATCTTTTCAATTCTCTTCATCACTTTTTTTGTTTACCTAGTATGTGATCAAAATTAAAGTTGTCTGCTGTGGCTGCCTTTTCAATGAGGTACACAGTATCACATTGCCACATGTAATTTCCACTCAGGTGACACTGTTCTCACTGCTGAGAGAAATGGCAGGATTAGCAGAAAGGGTGGTATTAGATATTTTATCTCCCTTAATCTACAAGCAAACATGGTTACACATATTGGAATATGTCTTTTCAGGATTCTGGTGGACTCGGTTGGTTTATTTTAAGGATGAGAGTTTCCTCCAGAAGGTTAAGCATTATTACATCTGCTGCTTTACCACACCTACTTTTGGGGTGTTTGCTGATGTTCATAACTAGCAATAACTGTGATTCATAAAAAGGAATCTCTTATTTTTATGAACATTTCAATCTGGTGTCTTGAGTTGAGCCCAGAAACTTTATAGCTGGCTCTGAGTTTATTTCTCCCAAAACATAAATGTATTTTTGAGATCCTCTTAATACCTCTGGTATCTGATATTCACACATCATTTTATTTAATGATTCTAGAGGCTTGGAAGGCTGCTAAAAGTCATTGTTTTCGCCTTTGAGAATAATTACCATCCTGGAATCCCCAGTTTAGCCTGAGACCACCTAACTTCCCCCTACTCAGGATTCAAGCCAGTTCTGTCCAAGGACAAACCAGAGAGGGCCTAAAGAATTAAAGTGGGTGGGGCAGGATGAAAACACTAATAGTAGAGAGAGCTTTCTGAGCTATCTGGAAGGATCGTCCTCACCCTCTCCCAATACTTCTGTCAAAGTTAAAAACATTTCCCCCTTAGTTTGGCTCCTTCGGGAATCCCCAGGCCCAGTTGCAGTTTTCATTGCAGCTGTAAGTGACCATCTGACCACTGGTGAATTCAAGAAAGTTGGACCTTCAGGCTCTTTTTGGAGTTAATGGAGCATCCTGTAGTTTAACAGATGTGAAACTGTTTTTAGAGATATCAGCTGCCTGCTGGTCTGGTTCCTGGGCTGTGCCTTTTCGGTTCAGCCCAGGGGAAAGGGAGGAAGGAAATAAAATGAAATGAGTTCATTCACTTTTCTTCCTTAAAAGGACTGCAGGAATACAGGAGGACAGGGGCATCTGAACTCAGTGAATTAACTTGTTCTTCTGTCTGCTCCAGGTTATTTCCTTTGGTTCTTGCTGACATGCTTTACCTGGAGCTCTATTGGCCACTCCTGCACTGCACAGGTATTAGGACCAGACTCTGTAAGGCTGCAGGGAGGGATGTAAACACCTTAGCATCCAGAGTCATGACTTAGTAGAAAACACGTCAGTTTTATTATGAGACCTAAGTTTGAGTCCCAGTGCCACTACTATTAATTAGCTGGGTAATATTGGGCAATCTTGGAGTTGAACTTTTTGAACAGTTTTTTCCCTAACTTGAAGTTGGTAATAACATTTACTTTACAGGATTGTTGAATGGTTGTGAGGATGAATTAAAATGTTGACCGCGTTAAAGTCATTTTGTAAGCCATCCAGTATCCTTGCTGTTATAGTTCTATGCACAGCTGATTTTTTAGTTGCAGGCAAACGAATTTTTACATGGAAGTACTTGATTTTGGAGGTTTTAAATAACCCTTTTATAAAGGATTGATAGTTTAAAATAGTTGGTTGTAAAAATGAAAAGGAACTTGGAAAGAAATGTCATGCTGCCCTTCAGATTTATTTCAGCACACATAAAAGAAGCCTCTTAAGAGTTAAGTTTTCACCTGTGTCATTTGGCTTAGAAAATAGTTTGAAGAAACTTTTCAAGGGGCTAATGCTCTACAAGGGTCAAAAACCTATTTCCATGTGCTAAGACATCAATAATATTTTTAATAGGGCTGTTTCTCTTTTGAATATATGTTAATTGTTTCCCTCTAAGAATTCACACAGAAATTGGATATCATATTTTGGACTGCCTCCCAAGACTTTTATGGGATGGAATATGGTCAAATACTCATTCATGAACAAATAAAACCAAACAGATTTGTTTCCCTCTCACCACATTTTTGCACATATATCTTTAATAAATATTCACTGAAAGCTGTGAGCTATACAAAGCAAGGAAAACTACCCACTATTGAAGTTTGAGGGAGCCAAGTGAATAACCCCTCTTTCCACACCAGTTAGAAAGATAAAGGAGTCAGGCTGGTAGATTGCAAAATATCATCTTTATTACTGATGATGCACTTTGGAGAATATGGCTTTGGGTCTGCAGCCAAGTAGGCCTCCAGAAATTTTATCCCTGAATTAGATAAAACTACCCACCTTTTCTTGGCATGCCAGAATAATGGAAGCTGGTACCCTGCAGGGGAAAGCTGCTTTCCCCCAGCAGGAGAGGAGTCCAGAATTCGTGACCTTTGCAGACAGGCAAATCTCAAAGAGGACGAAGAGGAGGAATTAGTGAGGGGGCAGCAAGGAAGGCCCGGTGTATTGTAAGGAATTCTCTCTTGGCGATGTAACATGAAGAGAGTGAGTAAGTGTCCTCTTACCTCAACACCTGCAGTAGGGTCTTCAAAGGTAGCTGAGACCTGACCCCTGCTTACCAGGGACATTGAATGGGGAAGGAAGAGAAGACCTCTCTACAATTGTATTTGAACAGTTGTCCTTCTTCGCAGCTTTAGCTAAGGCTGTAAATGCAAGTGGGAGCACATTTTTATGGGGCAGCCGCATTGTTCCCTGGTGTTTTAACTGCCCCCCAACTGCTGTTTACTTCTCACATCTGAATCTTCTTTCAAGCATCACTTTTAGGCTTAAAAAAATCCCTATTTGACTAAAGAAAATGAGCGGAACAATTCCTCTTTATAAAATGCTAAACAGAACAAGACATCTGGTACTGTACACACTGTAGCCCAAAGGTGAATTTTACCCTCAATATAAGCAGAGTATGCTGTATGTCAACAGTCAGCTCAAACAGAAGCTCGAGCATCGCTGTAGAGCCGCTATCATCACTGAAGGGAATTCATCATTATCCCTGTTAGTAATTTCATAGCTTTGGAAACTGGTTTATAGTACTTAACTGAAACAACCCCAAAATCCCACCCCTGACTCTGCCTTTTCTATTTTCCCCAACTTCTGTTCCCTTTCTAAAGAACAAGATTTTGTGGAATTTAAAGTAGACTGTGACTGGCCAGGTTGCTGCTTGCTCACAATGCCTGTCCTGTGTGTTGGCTTTCTCAGCCAAACTTTTGGGAGCCAGTTGTCACCCAGGACCCAAGGCTGGCATTCTTTGGAAAAACCTGCCTGTGTGTTGTGCCAAGTTGTGTTAGCCACTCCATGTTATTCTTAGATGGGCTCTGGAGTATGACCAGCCTGTGTGCATGCATTTGTAGTAGGCACTGGATAAGAACTGGAGTAATGACTACAGAAGTGAACGGTCACAGCTCTAACCTGCTGAGTCATCTCAGCTCAGCCTTGCTAGCAAGGCCTCCCAGGCTGCATATAGTTTGCTTTTCCTGTTCGTTGCATTCCAACCTGTCAACGGCTATTTTCTGAAGGTCTGTGGGGGCTCATGTAGAAAAGGAATAGGTCTGGGTGGAGGCCAAGAATCTGAATTTGTATCATGTACCCTAGCTCATCTTAATTCAAGTGTTAGTCTGTAAGAAACAGAAGAATGGGTAACTCAACTCCTCCAAACAAATCTGTCAGCATTTACTCATGCAGGAAGGCTATTTTCATGTATCACGTTCAGAACACAAAGGGTCCCAAAGGGCTTCCCATCTATCTTTCAGGTGTTGGGCTTCCTGTCTTCCACTGTGTCTTTTTTTTTTTTTTTTTTTTTTTTTTGATACTGAGTCTCACTCAGTTGCCCAGGCTGGAGTGCAGTGGTGTGATCTTGGCTCACTGCAACCTCCGCCTCCCGGGTTCAGGCGATTCTCCTGCCTAGCCTCCTGAGTAGCTGGGATTACAGGCACAGACCACCACACCTGGCTAATTTTTGTATATTTAGTAGAGACGGGGTTTTGCCATGTTGGCCAGGCTGGTCTTGAACTCCTGACCTCAGATGATCCACCCACCTAACCTCACAAAGTGCTGGGATTACAAGTGCGAGCCACCATGTCCGGCCAGTCAGTTGTTTTAAATCGTGTATTGCCTATGAGCAGATGAGGAAGAGGAATCACACTGTCTATTGAGATTACTGACAACCTTTCTAAGCCTCATTTTCTCAGAGTTTTAGCCTCAAAAGGGACATTGATCAATTTGTAGTCTGATTTCCTTCTTTTCTCAGTTTACAAAGAACTTAGAGGAATTATTTCATGAGTCCCCCAAAATTAGTCATTTCCTACTTTGTGACCCCACAGCATTTTGTTCATACTCCATATTTTAAGTAAACACTGTTTTGTAATTAATGTGTTTATATGTCACTTCTTTCCACCATCACCACCAGCCCCCTTGCGCCAACTGATTTCTTCAAGAGATTGAACCAGGTCTAATTTATGTTTGTCTCCCACCAACCCAGTGACAGATAGATGAATCATGTTGCCTGGAGAGGTTAAGGGATTTGCCTAGAGTAGCAGCCCTGAAATGTGAGTGGCTTTCATAACTCCCAGCCATGTACTTACCACTCGTATGTTGCCAGAAATGTTTTTAAATGATGTGAATTCATGCAAATGAGTTAGGACACAACTTTCCCATTATGTTCCTCTACACTAGCTCATTTATAAAACATTCATAATAGTGATGATGATGATGATGATGATGTCATTACCACCCACCCAACTGTATCATTTTAAGGATCAACCTAAATAATATTTGTGAAAGCTTTGAAACTGGCAAAGCCACCTTATGCAGGTATATAGATTGCTATTACTCTAGTCTGTTGTTATTTCTGTGTAATTTACAAAGTATTTCATATTCATCATCTCACTTCTCGTTACACCTCTGTGAAATAGGTGGTCTCATTGTCATTTCATAGACACAAGAACTGAGGCTGAGCGAGACTAAGTATTTCAACCATAATCACAAATGGATGAAAGAAGACTAGAACCCAGCCAGCCCTCTTGCTTTCTTCCAGTACAGCCACTAGATCAAGGCTGCAGAGTCCCTCAGGGGTGTTGTTATCATCATCATCTGTTGAATCTGTTGCATCTTCTGTTGTGTGTTTAGGTCCTCAGGTCCCTAAAGCCCTCCTGGGTGAGCCCAGGAAAGAGACAACTTCATGAGAAATGAGAGTGAGGCCCTTCTAAGACCAGTTATGTATGTGTGTTGAAATGCTAGTCAGGTTTTTCATTTTATCAAAATGCAGGGCTTAGACACAGAATGCTTTATAAGACAAAGCAAGTTTGATTTTGAATTGGCCGACCATTGACCATGTTGGACCAGCAGCAGCAGCATGTGGATATGTGGGTCCAGGCAGGAGGGGCTAACCTCTCCATGGCTTCTGTCTCAATGGGGAGTTCCTTACTGTGACTCTCAGAGGAAATGAAGGATGATAAATCCAGCTGCTGCTTCCTGTTTCTATAATTTGGGGATTTATTTTTTTAAAGGGTAGAATGCTTTATTTTTAAACCAGTGGAAAATACCCTCAACGTGTTCCTTGTTAGTATTTCCTTGAAATCTAGATGCACTCATTTGAGCTTTAAAGGAGTGGGTGTGTTTGCGTGTGTGTGTGTGTCTGTGTGTCTGTGTGTGTGTCTGAAATTCCCATGATGCTGCCTGAGATGGCTCGCTCTCTTTCAGTTTTTCAACAACAATAACAACAGAATGAAAACCAATTAAGGCAGATTTCACTGGGCAGGAAGCTCTATGTGAGATTGATGACAGTATCTGATTTAGAGGAGGCCTGTAATTTATATCTGTGGTATTACTATCTCTCTGGGTATGCTTGTGCAATTCAGGTCTGGTTTTTCTTCTGCTTGTGATTGTGTCATTAGTAATAAAGTCCCGAGGCATTTAGGAAACACACTGCCTTCTCACATATCATTGTTTACAGACAGTAGCTGTTTGGTATAGATGATTAGGATGCCATTTTTGGAGTTTGATTATGTAGCCCCTGACTCCATAACTAAAACCAATAGGTAGAAATATATTTTACCAGTGCCATTTTTTTTTTCATTTCCTAATTTAAGAGACAGAGGATGTATATGGGGTTCCAATGGTACATCGTTCAGGAGCAGCATAGGAAATTTATCTGGCAAAATAGAATTATAAGAATTTAGTAGGGCCAGGCACGGTGGCTCACGCCTGTAATCCCAGCACTTTGGGAGGCCGAGGCGGGCGGATCATGAGGTCAGGAGATCGAGACCATCCTGGCTAACACGGTGAAACCCCGTCTCTACTAAAAATACAAAAACTTAGCCAAGCGTGGTGGCGGGCGCCTGTAGTCCCAGCTACTTAGGAGGCTGAGGCAAGAGAATGGCATGAACCCAGGAGGCGGAGCTTGCAGTGAGCCGAGATCATGCCACTGCACTTCAGTCTGGGCAACAGAGCAAGACTCCGTCTCAAAAAAAAAAAAAAAAAAGAATTCAGTAAATATACCAAATCCCCTCACTGAGTAAGAATCTTGGCTCTAATTTAAGTCCCTTAGCCCCTCCTTTCATGTTCTTAAAATCATAGCTAAGGTACTATTCTTCTTATAGTGGGTGATCAGTACATATTTTGTACTTACGAACCAGTAGGCCTAAGTGAGTTGTTTATTCTTTTAAGAATTATGGTTACACTTTAATGAATTCAGAATAAAAAATAAATCTTCACAGCCTAAATTTAGTGAAGAGATTATACCGAATATTTGGTCTGACTTTGTTAACAACTTTTTGAAGGTAAGATTTAAAAACTTTGAGACTATGACACTTACTGGAGGACTGTTCCAGCACACTGGATGTTGTAGAAGTCTGGAATTCTCATCTCCATTCTGCCATTTCCTTGTAACAAGTTTCTTGGCTATAAAATAAAGTTGATATTATTTGTTTGTCTCATAGTAGTTTGTGAGGATCAGATTAGTTGGAATCCATGGAATTGTCTTTTAAAAAGTGAGATTATGATAAAGACCTTAGGTAATATTGTTATTAAATGACAGTTGGGTTGTTGTTTCATTTTTTAAGACTTTACTCCTTGTGCCCTTAGGCAGCCTTTGACTACCAGCATTTTGTCACCTTCACTTTAAGGGTTCCTTCTAGTGATTTTTTTTAATTTGTAGAAGCAAATTTAATTTAATTTGAGTTAATCTCTAGTTTAAAATAAGCTGAGGGGGCAGGTATGGGCTTCATAGTGTCAGTCAGATCTGGGTTTGAATCCTGGTCCACCTTGTATTAGCTGTGTGATCTCGGTCGAATTACTCAAACTTTCAAAACCTGTTTTCTCTCAGTAAAACTGAAGCAGTAATACCACTGCTCAGGATGGATAGGACAATTTAATAGGCTCAAGTATGTAAGTGCTTGGTTATTCAGGAGGGGTAATTTTCTTCCTGTCTTCCCCTGCCTATTAGCAGTAGCCTCAGTGTTGAATGGCAAGATACAGCCCAAGATTTTCCTGTAAATATGCCAGCAGTGCACAGCTCCTCCCCTCTCTACCTCATCTTTGTCCCTGTATACCATGGTCAAGGAAATGAGAAGTAAACTAGCCGCTGTAGGTCACTGACACTCTCCTTAGAAATGCTAAATATTTCTTTTCCCACCTTCTTTTCAGTGTAATCTGACCTGAGTTCTCTGAATGCTTGACCTTCCCAGGGAGTTTCAGCGGGTGAGAAAGCCTGACACTGCTTGGATTACTTGAATATATACAGAGCTACTCACTCATATGTCCATGCATTTTTGGGGTTTTTTTTTTTTTAGTTATATAGTTTGTGGAATTATTTTGCAAGTTACCTTTTTCCCTTTAGACTTTTCAAAAAAGAACCTTTTAAAATTTTATGACGGGATAAGCAATATGGTGGTTAGCAAGATTAATGTTTACCAGTTTGCTGAAGGGAAAATCAAACAACATATGTCCAAACTCTGTTTAAGAATTTCCATGGGATTCTGAATTCCTTAATCTCTGTAGTTTTATGAAGTCATAGCAACATGCCGCATACTTGAGTTATAGCTCCTTGTCGAAATGTGTTTGTATAATTTGACTTTATGTTCAAAATAAGAAACAAGTAGCCGTAAGAAAAACATCTTGGTACTCTCTCACCCTGCTACTTCCAACTTTTACCCCTCTACTCCTTTCCTATCCTGAAAAATACACCCTCCCATCATACCTGCCTCCCCCGCTTGCTGTTGTACCAGCCTTTTGTTTCATCCCCAGCTGAGATTTGAGAGGTGAATATTCACTTTCCCACATACCCTTGCACACGTGAGCCAGACTTTTTCACCGAAAGTGCTCAGGCCAAAGTGTCAGGTGACTCTCAGCTGCCAGATCCAGCGGTCACTTTTGCCCCTTAACGTGCGTGACTTGCTTTTGACACCTGCAATGCTGCTTACCACTCTCTTCCTGAAGGGGTTGCCTCTTTTGGCTTCTAGGCCAACATTCTCTTCATAGTTCTTGTCCTCTGACCCACCCTTCTTCCTCTCCTCTGCTGAATGCTTTTCTTCTCCCAGTTCCCTAAATGCTAGTGATCCCCTGGATTCTGCCATTGGCCTTTTTTCTCTGTGTATGCTCTCCTTGGATTATCTCATCCTGCATATGTGGATTAGTCACAAATCTGTAAATCCCAGATCTTTCTCTTAGGATTCAGGACAACCAACTACTAGATACCTTGACTTAAATTTATTATGCCACTACCAGCTATTCCAACTGAAAAATTGAATTGAGTGGAAATCATGTTGACTATAGAGTAGTTTTCTCCTTCATCTCCCTGCCTCCAGTCTTTCCTCCCTTCAATCTTGCTTCTACATTCCTGGTAGAATTCTTTTTAAAACGGAATGGTGACCTCATTGCCTCACTTGTTAAAACCCTTCAGGGGTTCCTTACTGTCCCTTTGTAATTAGGATCTTACAATATTGAACTTTCCCTGAGTTGTACCCTGGAAAATCTCCCCATCCTTCAATTTTCCAACCCTCACCCCCCACCCCCACCCTTTGGTGTTCTGGGAAACCACAAAGGACTATCTTGTTCTCCAATATTCTGAGATTAGACCCATCTCTGTCCTTCCTGACTCCCAGATGACTTCCTTGTTTACCTGCCTCTATAGAACTCCAGACCCTTTCCTTTTCTTTGAGACAGCCCTCATTAGTGTTTTATTCCAGTAGCTTGAAGAAAATCACCTCCTTAATTGTCTGGTGCATTTTGGCTCTCACAAGTCTTACCCTGTTAATTTGTTACAGTTATCATTCTATCATGTTATGTTTGTTTATAATATAATCTCTACATTGTATTATTTATAATAAATTACAATATATTGTTCATAAATTGTTAGTATAAAATACTATTTTATGTTTATACTTCCACTTTAAGTCCTTAGTGTTTATAAAATACTTGTATTTATAAACAAGGATGAATTATAAAATAAGTCTGTCCAAATCTATTTCTAGATGCTTTTAAGAGGTGTTTTTTAGTAGTTGGAGGTTTTATTAATTATGTTACCAACTAAACTGCTGAGACACCCAAATAGAATGACTTAAATAAGATAGATGTTTATTTCCTCCTTACAGAACAGTCCAGATATGAGCAGCCAGCAACTGGCAGGATAGCACTCCTGTGCTACACACGTGATTTCTAAGGTTGTCCTGCTGTCCCCATTTCTAGCCCGCAGGAAAAAAGGAAAAGGAAGGCCAAGTCAAGTAGCCTTGTCTTGTAGCCTTGTCTTTATGAAGGTTACCAGGAAATTAGTTGAACTGCTTCTTACATCCTGTTGGTCCCTCCTCATTAGGTGGCCACATCTGGCTGCAAATGAGGCTGGGAAATGTTATCTCTAGATGGGCACCTTTGCACCTAGCTAAACTGGGTGGTGATGGTGGCAGGTGTATGTTACTAAATAATGATTTTGGGGGCACACTTAGTAGTTATCATAGAAATGGAAGACTATTTTGATTAAAAAGTCAACTTGGGAGGAAATGAGTGATTAAAAAACATCTGGGCCTACCCTATAAGCTTCAGTACTTGCCATATGTAAGTAACAGGACTCAATACTTCTTTCTTTTTTCCTTCTAGAAAAGTATGCCATGCAGAGTTAAGAGTATGTAAATTTAAAAGACAGTTTGTAGCTCTTACTCTCAACCAGTGCATTTGTGGTGAAAATGGGTGGCATAGGATACATGTGCATATTACAAACAAATGCTTGCAACATGGAATTCTCTCTACACTTTTTTGTCTCATTACTTATATTTTCAGATTCAGTACAACTTGTGGTATCAGTTTATCACCATCTTCGAAATATTTTCTGAAAGATGATATATTTTCTAAGTGGAAGAATTATTCCTTTCCTGCTCTCTTGTATTCCTCACTCTCAAATGTCTTAGATAATTTGGGTCAATTTCCTGGCTGATGTCCCCTGGCCTACTAGTAATGGAATGAATACATGCTTGCCGACATGCAGATCCTCTCAGGCCATGGTACAGGGCAGCCTCTAACCATGAGCAGCTTCAGCTGTTTCCTGCTTTATGCAGTACGGATACTGTCATGTTGTACATATATTCTGATACGGAAAAGTGTGGGAAATGCTGTTTTAATGGTTTATGCCAATTTCATCTCTTTGTACTCCAAATTTTTTACTAGAAAATAATTGTAATATGTAACATCCTACCATGGTAAAAGGTCAGTCCCCTTGGTAAAGAAGTAAAAATTATCTTGCTATGTTATCCACTTTGGATGGACTGCAACTGTAAAATATCTAAGATATGATGTTGTGTCCGGAATTGGTGGGTTCTTGGTCTTACTGACTTCAAGAATGAAGGGCTGGCCAACTGCTCCGAGTGCGGGGCCCACCAAGCCCACGCCCACCCGGAACTCCAGCTGGCCCGCAAGCACAGCACGCAGCCTTGGTTCCCGCTCACGCCTCTGCCTCCACACCTCCCTGCAAGCTGAGGGAGTGGGCTCCAGCCTTGGCCAGCCCAGAAAGGGGCTCCCACAGTGCATTGGTGGGCTGAAGTGCTCCTCAAGTGCCACCAAAGTGGGAGCCCAGGCAGAGGAGGTGCCGAGAGCAAGCAAGGGCTTTGAGGACTGCCAGCACACAATGTGACTACAGATTATTTGCCTAAAAATATCTATACTTACGTTTATATGTCAGCCATACATAATGGCATCAGACCTTTCTAGCCCATGTGGCCTATAATTAGGGTGACAGTAACACTTGGTTTTCCTGGAAACGTCCCTGGTTTTTGTTTACTATTACTGCTTGTTGCTGGTCTCAGTTATCACAGTTTTTTTTTTTTTTTGCATTTATACACTTTATTGTCTTTTTAAAAATTTTTTACATATAGTGAAGATGGGGTCTTACTATGTTCCCAGGCTAGTCTCGAACTCCTGGGCTCAAGCAATCCTCCCAAAGTGCTAGGATTACAGGCGTGAGTCACTGCACGGGGCCGTGTCATTTTAGATATTAGCACTGCTTACCCTAAATAATTCTGGGCAGAATGGTGGTAGTGGTCCATGCTCCGTCTTTTCCAAACTACTTAAGATAAGTATGGGTGGATCTTTAAGCTCTTGGAGGGCAAGGACTCTATCTATCTTGCTCTACTGTGTGTGTGTGTGTGTGTGTGTGTGTGTGGTGTGTGTGTATGTGTGTGGTGTGTTCAGCACCTAGCACATTACCTAAGCTAAACATTTGAAAATGTAAATGATTATGAGCTTGATGGCTTCATGACAACACAGATTTGGTAAAGTCTATGATGGGCAAGATACTTTGTTGCCAACTACAAATCCTAAATACCTAACAGAGTGTAGCGTTTAGGAATGAATAGATTAATGATTGGTCACCTCAGTCTTATATATTTCTTAGCATTTGCAGTCTCTATCTAAAGATATTGTGGTCCATCAACACATTAGACAATCCTACAATTACAGTTGTAACATGTTGTATATAAAGTCACACAAACAAGCAACTGTTTCTTGGGTATAATGATCCGTGTTTACTGTTTTTTGATTTTATGAGGAAAAAAGATGGCATTTAATTACTCCAATAATGATCACATCGTAGATAGATAAATTCTATCACTTGTAAGATTTAGACCTTAATTTGTAACCAATGTATGATATTTTAGGCTGGAATTCCCAGTGGATGTGCCAGGAATGGCTACTGGATGGCTGAAATATTCACTCCTTTGGGCAGGGCTGGAGACCCTTTGCCTGACTGTATTCGCCCTCTTCAGTTTACCCCAGGGCATATATAAATGTCCTTTCCTCTGTGGGCCATAAAGTGAAACAGATTGGGAAACACTGTTAATGACCTCTACAACCAAAATAGCAGGTGCTTAAATAAATGCAGTGGCACCCTTGACATTTGAGTATGCAAAATAATTTTTCAAAAATGTTATCTTGGGCCATTTTTTGAGAGTTAAATAGATGTGCTTTATCAGAAAGTAAATATCCAAGATTATCAAAGTCAAAGACCATAATCTTCAAAGAAGCAATTCATCTAAAATAAGTAACAACATACTGAATTAGAAAGCATGTTCTCACATGAAGTTCACAAAAAAGTCTCACAAAAAAAGAGAGAAAGATAGTATGTTTGTTTATATTTTGGACCTTCCCACCACAGGAAGGTTTAAGCGTGTTTATGAACTGCAGGCTGCTCAATTGCGATTCAGTCCTACATCTCTACTAATGCTTTATTGCAGGGGGAAATGTTAGAAATTATAGCATCATGACAGTGGCTATCTACTAAAATTCTGCCAGTTAAGATAATTTGGGGAAAGGGAAGAAACCATTAATTCCAAGCACACCTTAGTTTGTGAAGGGCTTCCAGTTAAATGTCCTATCAGATCTGCTTTTCTAAAGATCATTTGTTATTTTCATAAGAGCTGCACAAATAGATGCTAAGTACTTAGAAACAGAATTAAATAAATCAAATGTGAATAAAACATTTGTTTGTTTTATCAAATCCTTTGAAATAGAACAAAAGTTATATTTAGCCAAATTTACCAATTTATCACTAAATCGAAAATAAGGACTTGTTTGTATTACTTCGAAAGGCCAACCCTTTAGGGGAATTTTTATTTAGCTCTAAAATGTTTTTTAATGTCAATAATGAATTCCACTGCAATAGCGATTATATTGCCAAAGGTCATTAATGATTTTTAAGTCTTCATTACGCTTTAATGAGATTGAGATTAAGATCTCTGTAATATTTGACTGATGTATAGTTTAACTCTGTGTCTCCTCATCTTTTGATTTTCTTGCTTTTCTGTTCTCTCTTTTCTTCGTTGATTTTTTTTTTCTTCTCAAAGCCTTCATGATCTTTATTTTTCCCCTGTCACCACTACATTTCAAATCCTGGGTTTTCCTCAGGGGCCGCCACCTTCCCCAAATTTTTCTGGACATTTAAATCCAATTTTGTGGAATTTTCAGGGTAGGAACATTCAATGAGCGGGCCTACCATGTGTTCAACATTAGACTGGGTGGTGTATGTACCTTGTCACAGTGGGGTTTTATTTCCATTTCATTGATAAGGAAAATGAAGGCCCAAGTTTACACAGTGATGTGAAACATTATCTGTGTTCCTATTGTACAGGTAAAAGGTGGAAATAGGGGTGAAAACTCAAGCAAGCTAACTACTTAAGCCACATTCTTATCCAGTATACTACCAACTTAAGAACTGAATTTCTAGTTTAAATTAGCTCTATAATAGAGACTCTAGGCTATTTGTGTTTAAATTATTCCATCTGTTAGATATCTTTATACAGGTGCAAACTATTTGCCCTAATTAGCCCATTAATCTATCCATTTTATTCAATACCTTTTCTACCACTCACAACCTAGTTTTAACTACCTACATATATCCTTTGCCTGGAGTCATGCAATAGCTGCTTTCCTGATCTTATATCTTCCCTCACTAATCTGTATGCTAAGCCCAGAGTAATCTTTAAAAGGGACAAATTTAATTTTCATCAACCTCCAATCTGCAGCTGAAAACACACCAG
This sequence comes from Homo sapiens, assembly GCF_000001405.40. Classification (NCBI taxonomy): domain Eukaryota; kingdom Metazoa; phylum Chordata; class Mammalia; order Primates; family Hominidae; genus Homo; species Homo sapiens. The sequence goes on from NC_000001.11 coordinate 89,917,418, forward strand.
TGACTTAAAACTGCCCTTAGTTTGATGACATCAAACTATGCTTCTAAGCATCATCTCACACTGCATGTTCCTGTGACTCTTCAAGCTTTGGGCACTAGCCTTCTTTCAGTTCTCTGGTCATTCTTTGTTCCCCTCTCTCCACAGGGCCTTTGCACATTCTGGGCCACCATACTCCTATACTCTTTCTTCACACCTCCCTTCCATCACGATTTCCTCAGAAAATTCCTCCCTGATCTTGCCAGCTGGAGGAAACACCCCATTATGCACTTTCATAGTACCATGCAAGCAGGGGAAGGTCCAAGCTTCCTGGGATCTGAAATTTTTGTAATTTGAGGGGCTGTCTTTAAGAAAAATAAAATTAGAGATACAAATATGAGTATAGGGCCTTGGAAGCGGTCAGTGCGAGGATAGGGTCCTGACCCTTAACCTTTCACTGCATGGCAAATCTACCTCAGCCTGTACCTCTTGTTGGTAGCTCTTCACATTGACAATTCAATTTATATACACAACTCGGTGAATATTTCTTTCCCCTACACTATGCACTGTGTGAGAGAGGAAATATGTCTGAATTTACTCCCCAAGCTTTCTCCAGGAATTTGCATAGTGTTAACACTTGAGTATACAGTATATATTTCTTGGGTAAAGGAATAAATGAGCAAATGAATAATTAGAAGAAGACTTAGAGTTAATGCTTATAATGCCCGTATAAAATTGTCCGAATTTTTTGGAACCCAAAGCCAAGTGGAGAACATCTGGGTTCCATGGCTCATACCATTTCATCATGAAAGACAAACTTCTCAGTACCAGGTGGTAAAGATGAATGTTGATAGGTTTATTTATATAAAGCACCTTATTCCACACAATGAATAATAACCAGCAGCTGTTACTCAGTGCTTACCATGTGCTGGGCACTTGCTCAACACTTGCACATGGTATTCTGCCTTAACACATATGGCATTCACCACTAACTGCAGAGTTACTCTCAGTCAGAATTTCTGCCTCCATGGTCCATGCAATGCAGAAGGGCAGAAAACCCCATGCAGGACAAGGAAAAGGAGGCCTGAGGTGCTGGCACCTTCACTGTCTCAAGGGTCCTCCCTCTCTGGAGCTCCTTCCTCTCTGCCATTTTATATCACCTTTTATGTGCTAAAATGGTGTTTGTTTGCCACTGCCCCAGAGATGATACTGGCTTATCACCTGCCCTCTGCTTAGTTCTTGGTATTATCTCCTAGTGAGGGTATGCCCAAGCTTACCTTTGTCTTTGTTTTCCTGTAGAGTGCTTAATTATGAGTCAAACTACATGCAGGTGGTCTATCCGAATGAGTTAGCATCAGAATGACCTGTTAAAAAGAGTTCTAATATGTTGCCCAGCTGGACATTGAAAAATGCCTGTTAGAGTTGTTGATCATTTTGACTTTGGTATAATTAATAGTGACCTTTTCTCACTGCCAGTATTTGGTTCAGGTTGGGTGCCTTCTGAGCACCCTTCTGGAATGCTGTACAGTTGTGAGTGATTCATTCTGTTAACAAATCTTTATTAAGTGCCTAATCTGTGCTGTGCCCTGAGGATACGCAGATAAAAGAAACTGTCCTCCCATTAGGTGGAGGCATTGAAACCCAAGTGGAGGAAGACAGGGAGACAGAACTGACAGTTCTGCAAGTATCATGAGCAGCCATTGTCTGACTTTGCATTCATTTCTGGTCTTACTGGCTAGAATCTCCTAATAAACTACCAAGTAATCCTTTTAACTGAATAAGCTACCTATCCAAGGATTAGAATTTGTATCTGAGTGTTTTTCTCTCATACTAACTTTGAGAACTTTTTGAGGGTTAGTGAGGTAAGCACCAGAGCAAGATACTCAGGTTCTTTTCCAGCAATCTGTACCAAACCAGGAATAAGGACTGACAGGCTCCCAGCTGTCTGTCACCAGAGCAGATATTTATGGGTTTATGATCAGAGGTTCTTTTGGTCCCAAAAAGTAACTGGAAAAGAATGTGGCAACTTCCTGGGACCATGGAAAGCTGCTTGGGTGTCAGGGATATGCTATGCCAGGTATATGCTAGAAGAAATACTATTAAATGTCAGTAAACTTAAAAGGAAAATGGTCAAGTTTAATCTAAGATGTCCATTTTGCAGATGGAAAGAAGCAGGGAATTTAAAAATGCAAGCAAAGCTCCCATTACAAATCCTACTAACTGTCTCATAAACTGGATGAAGTTAGGCGATAAAGTTGAACCAAATTCTTCACTCAGTTTGGGATGACTTTCTCTGGAGCCTTTATTAAGGTCTCTTAGCTGCCAGACTGTTTTAGGGACTAATGAAACTATTGTCATTATCCCTTGCTCTTTTTATGTTTCCTCTAAGTTGCTTTCTCAGTAAGGACAGCTTTTAATTTTTTAAAAAATTATTTCCCTTTTTAATCCCCAGAACCCTATAGCAAAAACTCCATAATTATTTGTTAAAGTTTCTAGTAGAGGGTACACTAAGTGGGGTCTATAGATACTGAAGCTCTTGTGAAATTCTGCTGGCCTGAGTTCATGATTTAAGGGAATGCTGGTGATAGCTTGTAGAAGAAACTGAGATTGTATGGAATAAAATGTGGAAGCCATTGATTTTAGAGCCTCTTTTTTATTGTTCTGTGAATAAAATCTCATTTGTAAGCCCTCAAATGTGGGCCTTGACTTTTAGAATTGAGAGCTAGAAGTAAAAACAAATTCACAGCAGTGTACTAACACATTTTTGTTAATTCCTAAGATATTTTGCTTTAGACCTATTAACATATTTAGAGTTATGTTCCTTAGTTCTGAGGCAAATTTGCTCTGTGAATAGCACTACACTAGGAAGAAATCCTAAAAGAGACATTAACATGTAATTTGTGTAAAGTTCTTTTTATATTTCACAAGTTATGAATTTTCTATAGTCCTTTTAAGTGTTAAATGGATTTATAAAAAGCTTTTGGTGGTTAGCAAAATGGGTGGTTTTTGCCTAATGTGAAATCTGAGATTGATAAGTTTTATATAAGGAGTGTTTTTTTAAATCTTGAGATTTTTTATGTAAAAAAATTGTTTCAGTTATTTTTGATATCTAAACCAAAATAGCATTAGAAAGGAGCTATTTTAAAAGTTTAATTTCTTATCATAATCTTTTAAGAGGGAGTGACACCAGTGACTTACGTTTCGTTTCTATATAGAATTATATCAGCTATAGAGTATATTGTATACTTGTAATACCCATAACTATTAACACTTAAATAATACAGTAATACAGAGGCCTATTGGGAAAAAAAAAAAAAAAAAAACTAAATCATTCCTTTTTCCCCTATTGCTTCTGAAGCATTTTTTATTTTCTTTAACTGTATAAATTTTTGATAACTGATTTGGGTGTGCTGTGTGAGTATCTGTGTGTACATACACATATGTGCTTACGTGTCTGTTGAGTGTTAGGGAAGGCTTGTTGTAGAGATGGTGTAGCTCATTATAAACTTTAGTTTGTTCTCATTTGATTTATTTCAATGAAAGATTTGAGAATTTGATCCTCGTAAGTCTCTTGCATGTTCTCCATTTGCCCAGGTTGACCAAGAGGGCTAACTTTTTTCCCTGCAGAAAGAAAGTGAAAGTTGATATTTGATTGGGTAGTTAATTCATGCCTACATGAAAAATTACAGGCCAGATGTGGTGGCTCATGCCTGTAATCCCAACACTTTGGGAGGCCAAGGCGGATGAATCACTTGAGTCCAGGAGTTCAAGACCAGCCTAGGCAACATGGTGAAACCCTGTCCCTACAAAAAATACAAAAAATTAGCTGGGCTACTCGGGAGGCTGAGGTAGGAGAATCACCTGAGCCCAGGAGGTCAAGGCTGCAGTGAGCCAAGATCACGCCACTGCACTCTAGCCTGGACAACTGGAGTGAGACCCTATTTCAAAAAAAACAACAAAAAAGAAAAACTAAGTATAATTGAGTGTTATATTGATTACATTAATCAAGCCATTTGCTTCTTTATACATTAAATTCTTATTTAAATAATATTTCAAAGCCATTTGGCTTCCTTCTTTTAATAGGGGTACTAAGACCTCCTAGTGCAGATAAACTTTTAAAGGTTTTTTTTGTTTGTTTGTTTTGTTTTGTTTTGTTTTGTTTTTTGAGAGAGAGAGAGTCTTGCTCTGTTGCCCAGGTTGGAGTGCAATGGCACAATCTCAGCTCACTACAACCTCCGCCTCCCAACTTCAAGCAATTCTTCTTCCTCAGCCTCCTGAGCAGCTGGGATTCCAGGCATCTGCCACCAAGCCCGGCTAATTTTTAAATTTTTAGTAGAGTCATGGTTTCACATGTTGGTCAGGCTGGTCTTGAACTCCTGACCTCAGGTGATCTGTCCTCCTCAGCCTCCCAAAGTGCTGGGATTACAAGCGTGAGCCACTGCACCCGGCCAACTTTTAAAGTTTTAATTTAGGTGATTATATTTTTCTGTTTTAATGCTAGGGTTTCTTTTATTGCTTATAACAATCTCATGAATATATGTTTTCTAGCAGTCACCAAGCTACCCACATTTACCCTGGCTAACAAATGGGAACAAAGAGCAAGATTTGAATCCAGGTCTCTTGGGCATCGGAGTTGTGCTCTTTCTAGTATCATTTGCCACCTCTTCATATAATTTTTTTTTTGGGGGAGATGGAGTTTTGCTCTTGTTACCCAGGCCAGGGTGCAGTGGGGCGATCTTGGCTCGCTGAAACCTCCGCCTCTCAGGTTCAAGCTATGCTCGTGCTTCAGCCTCCCAAGTAGCTGGGATTACAGGTGCTCGCCACCACACCTGGCTAATTTTTTGTATTTTTACTAGAGACCGGGTTTCATCATGTTGGCCAGGCTGGTCTCGAGCTCCTGACCTCAGGTGATCCACCTGCCTTGGCCTCCCAAAGTGCTGGGATTACAGACATGAGCCACTGCGTCTGGCCAATAATTTTGACTTAAATACATCTAAAAGAATAAATAAAATTAAATGCCACATATTTATCATTAGTCATTTATTCCAGGATTACTCTATGTGCGTGGTGCTACATGCTAGTTCAAAATTCAACGAATTGGTCTAGTCATCTTCAGTAAAGACTAAGACAGACTTTTCTCCTCAATGATTCTTTTTTTCTTTTTTAAATTCAGATTCAGCAAACATCTTTGGGGGCTTACTTTGTGCCAGACCCTAAACCAGGTGTTCCTAATACGTTACACTGTGAGGTGGTTTTTATTATTAAGATTTTACCAATGAGGCATGAATGTTAGAGAGGTAATAATATAAGCAATCATTTAAAAACATACTTGAACTTAGAATGTAGTATAGCATGAATAGTTACAATAGGCTACAATCATATCTACCTTCACTATCCTATTTCTGTTGAAAGGCAGTTTAGGCAGTAAAATAAACAAAGGTTGAGATCTGGTTTCTTTATTTTAACAGCTTTATGGAGATAAAATTTACATACCATACAATTTACTCATTTGAAGTATATAATTCAGTGTTTTTTAGTGTAATCACAGAATTGTCCAACAACCATGTCTTCTGATTTTTGAACTGTTACTGATTTTTTTTCATTACTACTAACCATACATTTGAATAAGAAAACAGGATCATAATTCTAAAAGGGTTATATTCAACCCTGTTGTTTTCAGATTTAGTTTTGTTCAACCAAAGTCCAATAACTTTCCCTTTTCAGTTCTACTACAAAAAGCTTCCTTGACTTCCATGAGAAATGTTTGCTTACAGGAATGTTAAGCTGATTTTCATGTGTGCCATTGACAAGGAGAAGCTTTGGAATGTGAAATCCACTTCCGCATAATGTAATTATTTAAGTCTTTTGCAATAGATGTACTATAAAAGAGAAATCAAAGAATATATGCGATTAATACTTACTAAATATATGTTTTTCAAGTTAAAAAACAAAAATCCCTTGATAACCATTTATAGCCATTCTGAGTCCTGATTCACTAAGGAGATCAAACCTCAAGATATGGATAGGATGCAGAGAAACCAGGTGCTGATCCCTTCTCTCATTGGCTTAAGTTCACATTAGAAAGAATCGTATTGTTATGATGGCCATACTTCCCAAAGCAATATGTAGATACAGTGCTATTCCTATCAAACTACCAGTGTCATTTTTCACAGAATTAGAAAAAAACGATTCTAAAATTCATATGGAACCCAAAAAAAGCCAAATCACCAAAGCAATCCTAAACACAAAGAATAAAGCTGGAGATATCACATTATGTGACTTCAAACTATACTACAAGACTACAGTAACCAAAACAGCATGGTACTGATACAAAAGCAGACACACAGACCACTGGAACAGGACAGAGTCCACAAAATTACACACATACAACCACCTGATCTTTGTGACAAAGTCGACAGTAACAAACAATGGGGAATGGACTCCCTATTCAATAAATGGTGCTGGAATAACTGGCTAGCCTTATGCAGAAGATTGAAACTGGACCCCGTCCTTTCACCATATACAAAAACTAACTCACGATGGATTAAAGGACTTAAAGGTAAGACCTAAAACAATAAAAACTCTGAAGAAAACCTAAAAAATACTATTCTGGATGTTGGCCTTGGCAAAGAATTTATGACTAAGTCCCCAAAGGCAATTGCAACAAAAACAAAAATTGACAAGTGGGACCTAATTAAACTAAAGAGCTTCTGCACAGCAAATTAAACTGTCAACAGTAAACAGACAGCATACAGAATGGGAGAAAATATTTGCAAACTATGCATCTGACAAAGGTCTAATATCTAGAATCTATAAGGAACTTAAATCAGCAAGCAAAAAACAATCCCATTAAGAAATGGGCAAAGGACATGAACAAACACTTCTCAAAAGAAGACATACATGCAGCCAACAAATATATGAAAAAATGCTCAGCATCACTAATCATTAGAGAAATGCAAATCAAAAAGTCAGTGAGATACCCTCTCACACCAGAATGGCTATTATTAAAAAGTCAAAAAACACCAGATGCTGGCAAGGTTGCAGAGAAAAGAAAACACTTACGCACTGCTGGTGGGGATGTAAATTAGTTCAGCCACTGTGGAAAGCAGTGTGTAGACTTCTCAAAAAAGTTAAAACAGAACTATAATTCAACCCAGCAATCTCTATTGTGTATATACCCAAAGGAAAACAAATCATTCTACAAAAAAGATGTGTACTTGTATGTTCATTGCAGCACTATTCACAATAGCAAAGACATGTAATCAACCAAGATGCCCGTTGACAGTGGACTGGATTTTTTTTTTAATATGGTACATATACACCATGGAATACTATGCAACCATAGAAAAGAATATATCATGTTTTTTGCAGCAACATGGATGCAGCTGCAGGCCATTATCCTAGGCATAGTAATACAGAAACATAAAACCAAATACCACATGTTCTCACTTATAAGTGGGAGCTAAACACTGAATACACATGGATACAAAGAAGGGAACAATAGACACAGGGGCCTGCTTAATAGGGGAGAGAAAGGAGGGGAGTTGGGTTGGAAGGCTCCCTATTAGGTACTATACTCATTACCTTGATTGGGGGTCCCCAACCCCTGGGCCACGGACTGCTGCTGATTCATGGCCTGTTAGGAACCGGGTCGCACAGCACCAGGTGAGCAGTGGGAGAGTGAGCAAAGCTTCATCTGTATTTACAGCCACTCCCCATTGTTGACATTACTGCCTTAGCTCTGCCTCTTGTCAGATCAGCAGCAGCATTAGATTCTCGTAGGAGTGTGAACCCTATTGTGAACTGTGAATTCAAGGGATCTAGGTTCTGCTATCCTTGTGAGAATCTAATGTCCGATGATTTGTCACTGTCTTCCATCACTCCCAGATGGGACCGTCTAGTTGCAGGAAAAGCTCAGGGATCGCGCTGATTCCACATTATGGTGAGTTGTATAATTATTTCATTATATATTACAGTGTAATAATAACAGAAATAAAGTGCATAACAAATGTGATGCACTTGAGTTAGCCCGAAACCATCCCCCTCCCCCGTCCATGGAAAAATTGTCTTCCATGAAACCAGTCCTTGGTGCCAAAATGGTTGGGGACTGCTGACCTTGGTGATGGGATCATTCATACATCAAGCCTTAGCAACTAGTTTACCCATGTTACAAACCTGCACATGTACACCCTGAACCTAAAATAAGTCACTAGAGGATCATAATGTACTTAATATACTATATTATATAAATATGTGTTAAATATGCTTTATACACATACACACTCAGTATATATGAAAAGCTACTTTTGTTTTCAAAGTGCTTGTGCATCTTTAATTCAGTCGATGGTTGAAATACCCCCCTGGTAGGAAGGGCATATGTCATTATCCCCATTTTTGGTGGGTAAAATGGTATAACAGATGCATTAATTCAAGTCCTGTGGCTGACATTGCTGGAAAGTACTGGCTTTCTTCCTTATGGCCTGGGCACTTTCTTAAGCCTATACTTAACATCCATGCTTTGGTTTCCATACTTTGGCTTACCCGTGAGATGTGATATCTGTACAGGGGTATACCAGACCACTAACTGGGATAGCATTAAAGTTATTTGTAGTTTCTCTAACGCATCATTTATCTCATGCTATGCCTTTGCCCTTGCTATTTCTTCAGTCAAAATTGTTTTCCCTCTCCCCACCACCTCATGTCTTACCCTTCCTTCATCTCTCAGCTCAAAACCACACCTCTGTGAAGTTCTCCCAGTTACTACATGCAGACTTGGGCTTGCCCCGTTCTGTGCATCTGCTATACTTTGTGTTAACTTCATATTACTTCGTATTAAGGTGATAGCAATGCCCTTACTATTAGGTTGGTGCAACTTTTGCCATTAAAAGTAGTGGCAAAAACTGCAATCACTTTCACACCAACCTAATATGTTGTAATTGTACACTTACTGCTTATCATCCTGCATTAGACTGGGATCTCCTTGAGGGCAAGGATCTATATTAGATCATCTCTGCATTCCCCTCCATGGTGCTTGGCACGGGGCTGGTAGCTTTCTTGAATTCCTAGTGAATGTCAGGAAGGGATGGTGGTGATTACATAATGTCATTGCTTTGTCACCTCTAAGCCAAGGACAACAGTGAGGAGTTGCCTCCTTCAATAGCCAACCCTTAGCCAATAACACAGGCATTGGATGATGCGTGGTAGAGAAAAAGATTTAGAGATGAAAGATTCTGTTAGCACTCTCACTTAATTAGCTCAGAGAGGTCATTTAAGCTTTTTGAGCCTCAGGTTTCCTCATACTGTTGGGCAGTAGTAATGCCTAGACCACTGGGTTATTATGAAAATAAATAGAGATCTTGTATAGGAAAGTAGCTTGCAAACCGAAAAGCACTGCAAACATGAGAAATAAAGAAGAAAAGGTAATCTGGTAGGAAGAACATGTGCTTTGGCCTTAGGTGGGATTTTAAATCCAGTCTCTGCTACTAATTATTTAATGTCCACAACTTCCGTGAGTCTATTTCTTCCCCTCTCAAGGGTAAATAACAACACTTTGGCTGCTTAGAGTAATGTTGTGAAGTTTAAATAGGATTCAGGCAATGTTCCACTGTGTTCCACCTGTGTTCAGCTTTTTCCACCCAGAGCTTTCAGATATTGTATGTTCCTACCTCTGCACCTTCTTTTCTATGGCAGAATCAGTCCTTTGTACTCCAGAGAAAGCAGGCACCTACTCTCAGGCCAGGGAAATAAATAGTGAGGGGAGACCACCAGAGGAAGAGACAGGCTTCCCTGGCATGTAATCCCAGCCAGCCGGGATGTGCCTTGGGACGGGGCGGAGGCGCAGCCTCAATGTCATGTCACAGCACATTCCTAGGACAGCTGTTTCTGCGGCAGCTTCTTTTACCATTTCCTTTGAAACTTTTTATTGAAGTGGAAGCCTGAGTGTACAGATCACATTTTATAAATTCAACACACCCATGTAACCAGATCATTCATTCTTGTTGCTGCCTAGTATTCTATTTTGTAAATATACCACATCTTTTATTCTACAGTTGATAGGCATTTGGATAGCTTACAATTTAGAGCTAATACAAATGGTGCTGCTATGAGCATTCTCATACATGTTTTTGGATGAATATATACCCGTGTTTCTTACAGGTATATACCTAGCAGTGGAATTGCAGGGTCATAAAGTGTGCTTATGCTCAATTTTAGTAGATAATACTAAAACATTTCCCAGAATTTCCCAACATTGACACACTCACCAGAAGTATTTGCATTCCAGTTGCTCCAGCATCCCTACCAGCACTTAGTATTATCTGTCATTTTAATTTTAGGAATTCTGGTGGATTTTATAATTTCATACATTTGGAAATAGAGCCATTCTCTTAGCCCCCAAAAGCTTAAACTAAACTTTTGTACATTCATTTTCAGGAATGTGCTCTCTATAAAACTGGGAAGTTGTATCAGATGTAAAGCCCCTAGTACAGTGCTTGCCACGTGGAAGGAAAATGACAAGTGATAGCCACTATTACTGTCACCATTATCATCACCACTAAATGCCATCTGTGTTCTTCAAGGGTGAGAGTAGGGCATGGTGGATTACAAAGGTGAATAAGACATATTCTCTGCCTACAAGGAGCTCAAGATCTAGTGGAAGAGACCAAGATTAGAAACAGATTTTGTTTTTGTTTTTGAGACGGGAGTCTTGCTCTGTTTCCCAGGCTGGAGTGCCATGGCATGATCTCGCCGCACTGCAACCTCCGCCACCCGGTTTCGAGCAATTCTTCCTGCCTCAGCCTCCTGAGTAGCTGGGATTACAGGCGCCTGGCACCAAGCCCCGCTAATTTTTGTATTTTTGGTGGAGACGGGGTTTCACCATGTTGGCCAGGCTGGTCTCAAACTCCTGACCTCAGGTGATCTGCCCACCTCGGCCTCCCAAAGTGCTGGGATTATAGACGTGAGCCACCATGCCCGGCCTACAAACACATTATTATTAGACAACATGATAGCAATTTGAAGGAAAAGGTAGTGCTTGAGCTGGGACTTAATAAGGAAAAGTTCAATAGAAAGAAAAAAGAAAAATGGGCTGGAGAAAACAGCAAGGGCACAAAACTTCTGGTGGGGGGTGGCAGAGTAGACAATGTGCTGGAAGAGAGGAGCTCATCTGAGGTTGGAGTGGTCATGTGCTGTCTGTTATTCAGTGTTACCATTCTTGCGGGGAGTCTGGGGCCGGAGCTGGTGACTGTGTGTGAAGTTACAGTACTCTGTACTCTGTTGCTATGCCCACTGCCACTACCTTTGAACTTTTCTTTTCCCACTGGGAAGGTGGACAGCCTCTTCTATTTCCTGGGATCAAAGCCTGTCCTGAGTACAAGGTGCTTGAAAACTACCATTGACACTTCAACAGCTGCAAAATAACACTGGTTGCAAGAATCCAACAATGTCTCTGCTGTGTGGTCCTTTAACTGTTTATTTTTATGCTGGGACCTGGCTTAGAGTGTTCATTCTTGCATAGATCCAGGTTGCTTTGTGGTAGCAATTCAGGTTAATAAAATGCTCCTCTGCCCAATACCATCTGTAGATGTTAATAAATGTTCTCAAGGAATTTTTAGGATGCTGAAGATGATGATCAAGATCTCAAAATCATTTCATTGATTAAGTACCTACTATGTGTCAGGCATTGGATACATAGGACAAAGAAGGAAGTGGGCATAGTGCATATCTTCATTGAATTGGTAATCCAATGGGAGATCAGACAAGTAAATACAGTGTGATAAGGGCTGTGATGGGCGGAGGTACAGAGTATTGTGGGAACACATGGAAGAAACACCTCACCCATACTAGGAGATCAGGGAAGGCTTTCTGGAAAAGGCTGCAGAAACCTGATAGCCTAGTGAAGAGGAGTAGGGAGGAAGTAATCAAGGCAGAGGAAACAAAGTGTTGGAGAGGCTGAACACAAGGGAGAGAATGGCTTGTTAGAGAAACTGGCAGAAGTTACTGGCCTGGAACAGAGAGAGCCTGAAGAGTTTTTACCAAGGGACCCATGGCAAGATGGAAAAGGGATTAAAGGAGGTAAAGACTGGCAGCAGAAAGACCAGTTGTAATAATCATGGTGTAAAAGACAAATAACCAATGTCCTCAGTACACTGACTTTCAAAATTCACTTATCTCTCAATCTGCCAAGCCAGACATCCTGGCCTCCCTAGAACCAGATACAATTACAGTCACATGTCTCTTCATGGGGATACCTTCTGAGAAATGTATTGTTAGGCAATTTCATTGTTGTGTAAATATCAGAGTGTACTTACACAAAGCTAGATGGTGTGTGTGTGTATATGCATGTATGTATGTATTCATATGGAAAACCAAATTCCCAACATCATTACTGAATATCAGTCCTTTCCCCTACTTCAGGAGTCCCCGGGCCCCAGGCTGCAGACTGGTACCTGTCGAGAGCTGTTAGGAACTGGGCTTCACGGCAGTAGGTGAGCGGCGGGAGAGTGAGCATTACTGCCTGAGCTCCGTTTTGTGTCAGATCAGCAGCAGCATTAGATTCTCATAGTAGCATGAATCCTATCATGAACTGCTCATGTGAGGGATCTAGGTTGTGCACACCTTGTGAGAATCTAATGCCTGATGATCCAACCAAGATGAAACAGTTTCATCCCAAAACCATCTCTCCCCCCAACCCCCATTTCTGGAAAAATTGTCTTCTACAAAACTTGTCTGTGGTGCCAAAAAGGTTGAGGACCGCTGCCCTACTTGATCTGTAATGCCAGTGATTAGTGCTCTGTATCAGGTTTCTATGTACTTCATTATAAAATGGAGTCTCACTCTGTCACCCAGGCTGGAGTGCAGTGGTGTGATCTTGGCTCACTGCAACCTCCTCCTCCTGGGTTCAAGCAATTTTTCTGCCTCAGCCTCCCAAGTAGCTGGGATTAAAGCGTGAACCACTATGCCTGGCTAATTTTTGTATTTTTAGTAGAGATGGGGTTTCACCATATTCGCCAGGCTGGTCTCAAACTCCGCCTCAAATGATCCACCCACCTCGGCCTCCCAAAGTGCTGGGATTATAGGCATGAGCCACCATCTCGTATCTTATGGGACCACCATCATATATGCAGTCCATTGTTGACCAAAACACCATTATGCAGTTCATGACTCTTTTTAAAAAGTAAAGAAAAATCCTATTTGAAAGAACTATTACATGCAAAAAAATCTATTGTTCCTATTACTCATGCAGATGGCCCTTTAAAGCCATGGTCCCCAGGTATGACTGTTACGTTCCTTGCCAGAAATAAACCTGTGCAAGGTGTACTCTCTAGTCTCTGTATGTGAAGTAAGAGTCATTCTGTGCTTGATGCTGTGTTTTGTGCATTCTAGATAGGAACTGAAGAGCTCAAAATGACATGAGGTTGAGCTGTTTCTCATTTAGGTTAGCTTGCTGTGATTCCAGTAGCTTTTCTTCCTGCTTATCCAAGCCATTCATGAAAGCAAAACCCACACAAGATACAGGAGCTCAGAATAAAAGGAGTTCAAGTGGGCGTGTTATCTCCCACTTCCCCTACTAAGGTACAAAGTTATTTTTCTTTTTTTCACTTCCTTGGTAATTTTTTTTTTTTTTTTTTTTTTTTACAAAGACTGGTTACCAGGCATTTCATACTTAAGCCCTGAAGTCTGGGAATGTGATTTCTAACAATTTTATGTTTGGAGTTCTTAGACTTGTGTTTACCTGCTTACATAAGAGATAATTTTGCTTACAAAACTAACTACAGATGTGATCATTGCTGTAGTATTCATTGTATTTTATTAAAAAATATTATGAACCTACTCTGTGCAGTACTAGGTATGTGGAAGGGTTTCGGAAAAAAAAAAAAAAAAAAAAAGACCTGGTCCCTGCCTTCAGAAACTTAATTTAAAACAGAGCAGAATCAAAGTACTAATGCCACCTTTCTTCATTGTGTCATCCAAGGAAGACACAAGTAATCAGTCACAGCACTGTTTCCTACTGAAACCAGAATCAGCCTCAGAATCCTCCTCAACACAGCATTCCAGACAACCCATGAATAGATAATTCATCTTCCTGGTTGGGTGTGGTGGCTCACACCTGTAATCCCAGCACTTTGGGAGGCCAAGGTGGGCAGATCACAAGGTCAGGAGTTCGAGACCAGCCTGGCCAATATGGTGAAACCCTGTCTCTACTAAAAATACAAAAATTAGGTGGGTGTGGTGGTGGATGCCTGTAGTCCCAGCTACTCGGGAGGCTGAGGCAGGAGAATCGCTTGAACCAAGGAGGCAGAGGTTGCAGTGAGCTGAGATCGCGCCACTGCACTCTAGCCTGGGTGACAGAGTGAGGCTCTGTCTCAAAAATAAATAAATAAATAAAAATATTAAAAATTCATCTTCCATCCTTAATTTAAAAAAATACATGCATTCCCAAAACTCTTGGGTACTTGCCTTGATTTTTATTGCTTGGTCTTTTGCTAGTTTTTAAAGAAATAACATGATTTCTTTCTTTAAAAAAGACAAAGCAATATAAATATGGAAACCCAAGAACCTCTCAAGAAATGAAAATATGGTCATGTGGTTTTTCAAGAAGTTGAAACATTCAGTTCATGCACATAATTAGAGAAGCCCATTCCCATTACTTGCCACTAGAAACACTGTTTTTCTTGGTTACTTCCAGGATGATTGTCCTTGTCCTTTATTATTTGTATAAACTAGTTCCGTGCTATAAAGCTGTCAGCTGATAGTGAATAATAACCACATTTTCAAGTTTCCTGGCACCGGGGCTTCATTCATGGCTGCTCGGGTCACCTGCTTTGGTAGAGATCGTATGTCTTCCTGGTGCTGACTTATTCAGCATCACCATCATTGATTATTTCATGGCCACCTGAGTCTTGAGCTGTCTTCTCAATCCACATGCTTTCCATAGGACTGCATCAAAGGCCAGAGTTTCAGCTATATATATTGATAAATCCCAAGTGTGTATAGTAAGACTCCTCCTAAACGCTAGACCCTTAGTTTCAACTGTTCATGGACACTTCCACCAGAGTGATTGGAGCTAACGTAAACAGCTAACAAACACTTGTGGCCAGAGGATGTGCTAAGAGCGTTACAATCATTACTTAATTTAACCTTTCCAACAACCCTTAGAAGTTTTCATCCCTATTATACAGATGGGAAATACACAAGGCTTAAGGAATCAACCATTAGTAAGTGTTAGAACTAAGTCTGGAACATAAGACTATCCAAAGTTTAACGGTATTTAATGGTATACACAGACCTTTCAATTTTGGCTTATACAAAATAAGAGTCATCCCACTCCTTGACCTCCAAATTTCAGTCTTAACCTTTAATGAGTCCACAACAAATGCCATCCTGCTGTCATACCCTCCTTCAAGGTCCACTAAGTAACCACTATGGACTTGGTGCAGTCTGTCATAATTTCTTACCTAGAATGCAATTCTTACTCATTCTTTCCCTCTTCCCTTGCACTAGGAGAGAAAAGCTGTATATTCCCCTTTTAGTTTATTTTCTACTACATTTATATTGGATAAAAAGATAGGACCTGAATGAGAAAACTTTAGTTAGGAGCAGGCATAGGGTTTTTCTCATTTACTCTTTTCATTTGCATCTCTAGAATAATGTCTTTTGTCTTCTTGTTTTCTAGGAATGTTTACCCTTGCGGAAGTTGCATCACTTAATGACATTCAGCCAACTTACCGAATCCTGAAACCATGGTGGGATGTGTTTATGGATTACCTAGCTGTTGTTATGTTAATGGTAGCCATCTTTGCAGGAACCATGCAACTTACCAAAGATCAGGTGGTCTGTTTGCCAGTATTGCCATCTCCTGTAAATTCAAAGGCACATACACCACCAGGAAATGCCGAGGTCACCACCAACATCCCAAAGATGGAAGCAGCCACCAACCAAGACCAAGATGGGCGGACAACAAACGACATTTCCTTTGGGACATCTGCTGTGACACCTGACATACCTCTCAGAGCCACATATCCTCGCACAGATTTCGCACTTCCAAATCAGGAGGCAAAGAAAGAGAAGAAAGATCCAACAGGTCGAAAAACAAACTTGGATTTTCAGCAATATGTATTTATTAATCAAATGTGTTACCATCTGGCCCTTCCGTGGTATTCTAAGTACTTTCCATACCTAGCTCTTATACATACTATTATTCTCATGGTCAGTAGCAACTTTTGGTTCAAATATCCCAAAACATGCTCAAAAGTAGAACATTTTGTTTCAATATTAGGAAAGTGCTTTGAATCCCCTTGGACGACAAAAGCGTTGTCTGAGACAGCATGCGAAGACTCAGAGGAAAACAAGCAGAGAATAACAGGTGCCCAGACTCTACCAAAGCATGTTTCTACCAGCAGTGATGAAGGGAGCCCCAGTGCCAGTACACCAATGATCAATAAAACTGGCTTTAAATTTTCAGCTGAGAAGCCTGTGATTGAAGTTCCCAGCATGACAATCCTGGATAAAAAGGATGGAGAGCAGGCCAAAGCCCTGTTTGAGAAAGTGAGGAAGTTCCGTGCCCATGTGGAAGATAGTGACTTGATCTATAAACTCTATGTGGTCCAAACAGTTATCAAAACAGCCAAGTTCATTTTTATTCTCTGCTATACAGCGAACTTTGTCAACGCAATCAGCTTTGAACACGTCTGCAAGCCCAAAGTTGAGCATCTGATTGGTTATGAGGTATTTGAGTGCACCCACAATATGGCTTACATGTTGAAAAAGCTTCTCATCAGTTACATATCCATTATTTGTGTTTATGGCTTTATCTGCCTCTACACTCTCTTCTGGTTATTCAGGATACCTTTGAAGGAATATTCTTTCGAAAAAGTCAGAGAAGAGAGCAGTTTTAGTGACATTCCAGATGTCAAAAACGATTTTGCGTTCCTTCTTCACATGGTAGACCAGTATGACCAGCTATATTCCAAGCGTTTTGGTGTGTTCTTGTCAGAAGTTAGTGAAAATAAACTTAGGGAAATTAGTTTGAACCATGAGTGGACATTTGAAAAACTCAGGCAGCACATTTCACGCAACGCCCAGGACAAGCAGGAGTTGCATCTGTTCATGCTGTCGGGGGTGCCCGATGCTGTCTTTGACCTCACAGACCTGGATGTGCTAAAGCTTGAACTAATTCCAGAAGCTAAAATTCCTGCTAAGATTTCTCAAATGACTAACCTCCAAGAGCTCCACCTCTGCCACTGCCCTGCAAAAGTTGAACAGACTGCTTTTAGCTTTCTTCGCGATCACTTGAGATGCCTTCACGTGAAGTTCACTGATGTGGCTGAAATTCCTGCCTGGGTGTATTTGCTCAAAAACCTTCGAGAGTTGTACTTAATAGGCAATTTGAACTCTGAAAACAATAAGATGATAGGACTTGAATCTCTCCGAGAGTTGCGGCACCTTAAGATTCTCCACGTGAAGAGCAATTTGACCAAAGTTCCCTCCAACATTACAGATGTGGCTCCACATCTTACAAAGTTAGTCATTCATAATGACGGCACTAAACTCTTGGTACTGAACAGCCTTAAGAAAATGATGAATGTCGCTGAGCTGGAACTCCAGAACTGTGAGCTAGAGAGAATCCCACATGCTATTTTCAGCCTCTCTAATTTACAGGAACTGGATTTAAAGTCCAATAACATTCGCACAATTGAGGAAATCATCAGTTTCCAGCATTTAAAACGACTGACTTGTTTAAAATTATGGCATAACAAAATTGTTACTATTCCTCCCTCTATTACCCATGTCAAAAACTTGGAGTCACTTTATTTCTCTAACAACAAGCTCGAATCCTTACCAGTGGCAGTATTTAGTTTACAGAAACTCAGATGCTTAGATGTGAGCTACAACAACATTTCAATGATTCCAATAGAAATAGGATTGCTTCAGAACCTGCAGCATTTGCATATCACTGGGAACAAAGTGGACATTCTGCCAAAACAATTGTTTAAATGCATAAAGTTGAGGACTTTGAATCTGGGACAGAACTGCATCACCTCACTCCCAGAGAAAGTTGGTCAGCTCTCCCAGCTCACTCAGCTGGAGCTGAAGGGGAACTGCTTGGACCGCCTGCCAGCCCAGCTGGGCCAGTGTCGGATGCTCAAGAAAAGCGGGCTTGTTGTGGAAGATCACCTTTTTGATACCCTGCCACTCGAAGTCAAAGAGGCATTGAATCAAGACATAAATATTCCCTTTGCAAATGGGATTTAAACTAAGATAATATATGCACAGTGATGTGCAGGAACAACTTCCTAGATTGCAAGTGCTCACGTACAAGTTATTACAAGATAATGCATTTTAGGAGTAGATACATCTTTTAAAATAAAACAGAGAGGATGCATAGAAGGCTGATAGAAGACATAACTGAATGTTCAATGTTTGTAGGGTTTTAAGTCATTCATTTCCAAATCATTTTTTTTTTTCTTTTGGGGAAAGGGAAGGAAAAATTATAATCACTAATCTTGGTTCTTTTTAAATTGTTTGTAACTTGGATGCTGCCGCTACTGAATGTTTACAAATTGCTTGCCTGCTAAAGTAAATGATTAAATTGACATTTTCTTACTATATCACCTTTTTTGAGGGGTCTTAATTTACTTTGCTTAATTGGTGCAATATTGCTTTAACTCCGTTCACTAAAGACAAACACATCAAGTCCAAACTTGTAAATTTAGATTTGCTGAAATACTGATTTATTTCCTGTTTTAATTTAAAGTGCCTCAAGTAAGCACCTCTCACAACAGTTGACTGGTACTGCTGCTCCTGAGCACCTCGTGTCATAGATTTTATACTCTTACAGACTTGGAATGCAGTAGAGGTATGTGGATTTTTAGGGGTTTTGTTTTTTTAAGAATAAGTAACAAGAAATAACACATTTCTTAATAATAGCTTTTTTGACATAGTTTGGAGTTCTGATTATATGGTACATTTTTCTACCAGTAATATAGGGTTGCCAATAAATAGAAAATGTTTTCTAAAAATAAATTTTATTACAACAAAATAAAAATTTTAATGACTTATTAACACAACCTCCAGTATCACCACCATTTGGAAGATAACACAGAATCACAAGTATCATTTAATTTCTTGCCCTTTTCAGTGTTGTTCTGGTGTTGGTGGGAAAATAATAGGAAATGTAGTTCATTGGGTAGGGAAACTCTTACCTTTCCCTATCTTAATGACAAGCTGTATTTTCTGTGTTTTTGTGCAGCTAGGCGTCATAGCCAGACAAATCCTAGGAGAATACACTTTTTAGATAATGATTTCCTTCATTATCTAACTGACCAGTATCTAATCAATCTCAGAAAAATCCAAAAAATTCCCTGCCACCTGTTTAGATATTAGTTGGCAGATGTTTCATAGGCCTTCTACAGGACTCTTCAAGAGAATAGAACAGTTTGGCACTCTGACAAAGTAGTGTCCTCTCGCTACAAAACTGGACTCACTTAAACACTGGACTTTTGTCACTTCTAAGCACAGCTTGAAGGATTTTGCTGATAATGGGCAAAGATGGACTCATATCTTTGCTTTCCTCCCCAGAACTGAACTCTGGGAGTCCTGGTCTGTGGCCAATGGAGGTGAATCTTTGCCTGCCATAGAGCCTGTGAATGCTCTGAGAAGTATTATCACAAATAGAAAAGGCTGCATCCCCTGTAGCTGAGTCAGGAATTGACGCTGGCTCTGGCACCCTGGCCATTCCTTCTCCTCCTCAAAGGCTTGAGGTAGGGGACTAGCTTATTAAACATTTTTAAGCTTAAGTTTGAATAATCAGACAAAAAGCAGTGGCATATTTTCAGTACAGCAAATTCTTTTCTATGCATCTTCCAGTTGTCTCAGCATTCATTAATGTATTCACTAGTGTTAATGATGTACCCTGGTGCCTATCTAATACAAGGAAGTAGGGATTCAGTGTTGGAATAAGTTCTGGCTACATGGAGGTTTATATAGCAAAGTAGAGAGATAAATATTAATTATGTAAATAATAGAAGTGTTTAATTACAATTATAGATGGTGTAGGTCAGGTGCAGTGGCTCACACCTATAATCCCAGCACTTTGAGAGGCTGAGGCAGGAGGATGGCTTGAGCCTGGGAGTTTGAGACCAGCCTGGGCAACATAGCAAGACCCCATCTCTACAAAAAATTTTAAAAATTAGCTGGGCATGTTAGCATGCACTTGTAGTCCCAGCTACTTGGGAGGCTGAGGTGGGAGGATCACTTGGGCTCAGGAGTATGAGGCTGCAGTGAGTTATGATTGTGCCATTGTACTCCAACCTGGTGACAGAGCAAGACCTTGCCTCAAACAAACAAAAAGTGTACAAAATCTGTGTAAATGAATAATGGCAGGGGTGGAGTGAACTTAAAGAAGAGCTTCAGGGAAGTTTTGTAGTTGTAAACGGTCCTGAACATTTCCCTTCCACCAGCCTTGTAGGGCACTGTTCTCCCTGCTTGGTAATGCCACCACCTGAAATTAGCACAGTATTTTTAGAAGGATGCCACTCCATCTTAGTTGTGAGATAAGGAGTCCAGATCTTAGGATCTTTGCTTTTAGGACTGGAAAACTTGTCTTCCCTTTTTTAAACAAAACAAAACAAAACACCTTATTGAAGTATAATTGGCATATAGAAGGCCCTACATCTGTAAGGCCTTTACATATGTACCTTAAATATGGTAGCAAACTACATCTCAATGAGCTGCCTTTCTTAAAACAAGTGTATGTTGTTTTTGAAGGGCAGGGGTGGCAGGATGCCACAGTTCACTTTGCTTTTCAGAGAAGAGCCATTCTGTAGGAACCACAATCTATGAGATAATCCCTAAGTTTGGCCACTGGCAGCCCTGCCCATAGGCTCCTGTTTCCTAAACACTACTTGGGGTTCAGTCACTTAGAACTGGTTGGTGTTAGATGCCTTCAAACAGTATCAAGGGGTACCTCTTTTACCCAAATTTCTGTTGACTATCAGCCCTTACTAATTTCCTTGAACTCTGAAAAGTTCACGGTCAGTTGGTTTAAATGTCACATTCCATACCACTGTTTGCAAATAGGAATACTCAGAGAGTTCCTGAGAAATGCTGACTCATGCAACAGACTTTAAATATACTGGGTTTTGACACCTCAACAACAGAAAAAGAGTTGTGGGCCCAAATAGACTGTCAACCTATGTGTCCTCGTGAATTTATGTTGGCATCGCATGGACCAGACATGGGAGAAAAACAAGTTAGTATGTATAAGCTTTGGCTTAATATTTTCATATCTTTCTACGAAGTCCGTTGAGCACCAATCTGAAGAAGAGTATTTAAAGTCTGTTTTTAAATATGCCATGTCTGGGTGAGTCTCTCAAAGTCTGAAAGAACTTGGTTTCCTTGTGGCTGTTTAATTTTTTCTCACTAGCAGTTAGTTGGCGTGACAGGATTGGCTCTTTCAAGGGTTCAGAAAGATGAGCCAAAATTGTCACAGGGACCTCATTCTTAGTAGTACAGATTTAGTAATTTAATAGTAGGCAGGAAGAGTTCATTCTATAATTCATGGCCAGCAAAGTCCTGACTGTTTGACATTTTTTTAATATAAAGAAAGAAAGCATATTCTTTCTTAATCCGTAATACTTTCTCTGTCTCCCCTGGTCTCTACTTCAACCAGTAACCAAAACTCTATAAGTTGCTGATGGCAGCAAACTCCAAAGTGCCCTTGAGGCCAACGCCCAATAGTTATTTCCATTCACCTTGTTGAATAAAAGCCAGAGTGCTGTCCTCTCGCTAAGATTTCTGCCAGCACTTGCGTCAGTAATTCATTCCAATAAAATGGTCCCTTTATCAACTGAATCCCCAAACAAAGGCTGTACTAACAAAAAGCTCCTTTCATGAAAAAAAGAAGGGGGGAAAAAAGAGCAAGCCCCTGGAAACCAGTTTTCAAAAGTCCTCTAACTTGTGACTGCAACACGAAGAAGTGGCCCCCTCTGATCCTGGCCAGCTGCGGCTCTCTTAAAGGCTCCGGGTATTCAAGGCGGTATCCACTGGGGCACAGGGAAGGCTGAAGCCAAGGGGGCAGAAGGGCAGCAGGCCAGGAACCATCTGCCTCTCAGGCCTGGCCTAGCCTATCCTGGGGTGACAGTCACAGCTGAAATCATGGAAATAAGTCCCTTCACTCACAAAGCCAATAGCAGATGTCCATTCTTCATCCTTGTGTCTCTGGACATAAAATGTATAAACTGTTCCAGGTAAGCATCACCTTTCTTGTGGAAATTCATGGGATTATTTGCTGAGAGTTAATCCTGAAAAGTTTCATCCCATAGTCTCATCCACCCCCTCCTACTGCTGTGGGACCCCTGATGGTAGAAACTTCCCCAGCCCCACCTACTGCCACTGTAAGCTGTCCTTCCTTCACTCCTAAGATTCCAGGCTCTGGAGTGACAGTGCCTGGATTTGCATCCTGCCTTGGCCCCAGCTGTGTGACTGTGCGGAAGCTACTTACCTAAGCCTCAGTTTTTTTACTGTAAATGGGAATAGTCATAATGCCTACCAAATGGGTTTTATTGTGTGTGACAATTGAATGAGGCGATTCATTTGAGGCACTGTGCCTGGCAGATAGTAAGTACGCAATAATACTATTGTTACTTTTATCCCCAGAGACTGTTGGCCTTCCCTAATATGCATTGTCTCCTTCCTTGGTAATGGAATTTTCAGTGGACACCTGGAACACAATAAAATGTGTATTTTTAAAAGCCAGGCAGTGGTGCATGCCTGTAGTCCCAGCAACTGTGAAGACTGAAGCAGGAAGATCACTTGAGCCCAGGTGTTCCAGTCCAGCTTGGGCAACACAGCAAGACCCTGATTCTTTTTAGAAAACAAAACAGGCCAGGCATGGTAGCTCACACCTGTAATCCCAGCACTTCACGGGCCAAGGCGAGTGGATCGCTTGAGGCCGGGAATTCGAGACCAGCCTAGCCAACATGGCAAAACCCTGTCTCTACCAAAAATAACAAAAATTAGCTGGCGCAGTGGTGCATGCCTGTAGTCCCAGCTACTCAGGAGGCTGAGGCAGGAGGATCACTTGAGCCCAGGAGGTAGAGGTTTCAGTGAGCAGAGATGGGGCCACTGCACTCCAGCCTGGGTGACAGAGCAAGACCTTGTCTCAAAAAAACAAAATGAAAACTATTTTCCAGCCTTCCTTGGGGCTAGATGTGCCATGGGGCTAGGATTTAGTTAAATTCTAGCCAAAGGAGTGGGAATGTAAGTGGAATGTGGGATTTCTGGATTAGGACCTTAAAGGAAGGGCATATCCTTTCCCATTCCTGCTGCTTAAATTGCACATATAGAAATAAGCCCAATTTAGATTGTGCAGATCAGGGCAACAAATCAGATGTGGCACAGAAGCACAGTAAAAGTCTGGGCCCCTGGTGACCTCAAGAAACAGGGTCATATAAAGGAGAAATAAATCTCTGTCCTGTTTAAGCCACAATTTGGGGGCTCTGATAGATGGAACAAATCCTGAAGACCTTGCTACTCAAACCCGTGGCTGGACAGCCATAGCAGCACTGGGGGCTTGTTAGAAATGCAGAATGTCAGATTCCTTTCCAGACTGATTGATTGAATCAAAATCTATGTTTTAACAGGTTGGTGTCCAGGTGATGTATAGGCAAATTAAAGTCTGAGAAGCATTGTCCTAAATAACACACCTACGAAAAACAAATCAGTCATCAGAAATGGTGTTTCTTCCCCCACTGGGTTATGCCTCTCCCATCAGCCTTCTGCTGGGTTCTAGTGGGAGAGGCAGGAATTGGGGATTTTGTTGGTGCTTGTGGCTTAGACCAACTTCCACATCCCCATTTGCTCTTGCTAGCAGCCATGCTTTTCATGTCACCATAGCAACTACAGAGCGGGGGGGAAAAAAGTGACAGTCATTGTGGGCTGCTGGAAGAGGTGGTGGCAATATAGGTCATCCTCCCAGTAGTGTGAGGTTTTGAAGGTCTATGACTGCCCCAATGGCATATGCACTTGTGCTAAGCCCTTCATTCATTGACACCCTTCACGTGCCCAGGTAGCTAAACTGTCCCATTCTGTTAATCTTCAGGCTGAGTCTGGCTTAGTTGCTTAAAGTTCAGTCGACCATGGGATAACCTGCGCATTCTGAGCCTTTTCAGAATGCTTCTGGAAAACTGCCAAATAGCCCAGCATGAAAATTAGCTAGAGTAGTTTTAGGGGAAGACCTACTCGAAGGAATCACACAGGTGTTACGCCAAGCTGCATAGATAATGTAAAGAAATACATTTTTTCAATTTGCCATTGAAAAACTATAAGTAATAGCCACATGTTTCAGTACTTTAAAATGAGGTTCTCCACTTTGGGAGGCCGAGGCCGGTGGATCACTTGAGGTCAGGAGTTCGAGACCAGCCTGGCCAACATGGTGAAACCCCGTCTCTACTAAAAATACAAAAATTAGCCAGGCATGGTGGTGCATGCCTGTAATCCCAGCTACTCAGGAGGCTGAGGCAGGAAAATCACTTGAACCCAGGAGGCAGAGGTTACAGTGAGCCAAGATTGCACCATTGCACTCCAGCCTGGGCGACAGAGCCAGACTCTGGTTAAAAAATACATACATACATAAAAATAAAAAAAAAAATGAAATGAAGTTCTGCCTGAATGAAAACTTCAAGATGTATCTCCAAGGGTTTAACCCAAGTATTTCCTGCAGCTTAGGCCTGTTACCTATCCGGCTTTGGTTATGATGGAAACATCTGGTTACTCTCCTGATGATAACCCTTCATCTTCCTGAAGATGGTGTTTAAATCACTCATCATCTCCACT
This sequence comes from Homo sapiens, assembly GCF_000001405.40. Classification (NCBI taxonomy): domain Eukaryota; kingdom Metazoa; phylum Chordata; class Mammalia; order Primates; family Hominidae; genus Homo; species Homo sapiens. The sequence goes on from NC_000001.11 coordinate 89,942,228, forward strand.
TCCCAGAATGTTGTGAAGATTATGTCAGCATGGTGCCTAGCACTCCCTGGAGATAAATGTGCATAATCAAGAGTTTGCTATTAATTTATCATCATGGTAGGAAATTCAGTAAAGAGAACATTTTCATCTTTGCCTTAGAAGTAGCTGACACATGAATTCAAGTCTACACCTTCCACGTATCAATCCTAAGTAACTGCTGTTCTTTAGGGGATTGATTATATGTTTTCAAGTTTCCATTTCTGAAGATAGAAGATGGTATTAGAAGTGAATTGGGCTGGGTACAGTAGCTCAGACCTGTAATCCCAGCACTTTGGGAGGCCAAGACAGGCAGATCACCTGGGGTCAGGAGTTTGACCAGCCTGGCCAACATGGCAAAACCCCATCTCTATTAAAAGTCCAAAATTTAGCCGGGCATTGTGGTGCACGCCTGTAGTCCCAGCTACTCAGGAGCCTGAGGCAGGAGAATTGCCTGAACCCAAGTGGCAGAGGTTGCAGTGAGCCAAGATCACACCACTGCACTCCAGCCTGGGCGACTGAGCAAGACTACATCTCAAAAAAAAAAAGTGAATTGGACAATATAAGTAACAATCGTAATGGCTCCGACTGTATGCCAGATGGGCATTTGACTTGTATCACAGACAAACAGGGAAGTGTGAGTTACTTCCATTTTATACATAAACTGTGAAGTTACACAATCTGTCCAAGGTCACCCAGCCATCAGGAGACAGGGGCACTGCTAAATCAGGCAATGTGCATATCTTGTCTCATTGAATCCTCACAAGACCACTAACAGAAAGGCATTGTCCTCATCTAAGAGATAAACAAACCTAGAGAATTTGACCTGTCTCTGTTCTCACATTGTAAATAGCAGTTACTAGTCTCTGACGCAGGCACCCCTACAACCAGAGAGGTGTTGCTTATGCTCTTCCACTCAAATACCCAGCAGATGACTGGTGCTCTGTCAGCAATTCAAAAAGATGTTTTGAAATCTGTATTGACATCCGGTTACATAAATATGCCCCAAGCTAGGATTTTTCTTCATTCTTTAGCCTTAGAGAGAAGTTTTGATGTATCTCAGCATCTGTCCTTAGCATTACAACTTGTTTCCTCTGTTAGGCTGTTGACAGTCATGAAAGGGCAATCCACCCAAGGTAATGTAATTATTTGCCCTCACTAAATGTTAAAAGCATGACCGTCTTTACTCATGGTCATTTACTCAGAAATGAGAAAGCTCTGTCTCAGCTGCTTGATGCAGAGTCAGTGTGGTAGAGAGTGACATTCAACAGATCCAGAAAGGTGGGTGCAGGAAAACACTGTAACATTTGCTAGGCCCTCTGGGCAGATGTGACTTTTCTTTCCAGCATGGCATTTCAAACATGGATTCTTCGGCTGTTCCCAACCCATGCGGCAGCAGGCGCCTGCATCGCCCTGACCTTTATTTTTACTGGATCTTTTCCTTTTTCTGTTGATGGTCACTGTACTCCACCATCTGGGCTGGGACAAGAAATCAAATATTTGTGGTCCACGGGGAGAAAGGACCCAGCTTCACATGGAAGAAACTGCTTAGAATAGAGGAAGAATGAAGAAAGTTGAGGAAAGTAACATTCCCACCCCTGCTGGTACATGTGTACCCTTTCCAGATTTGCATTTCAAAACCTCCAGGAGGTTTCAATTTTTTTTTTTTTTTTTTTTTTTTTGGCCTACCTTCTTCCCTTTCCATTGTAATCTATTCTAATTCCTCACCCCAAATGAGCTCAGTTTGGCAGAGTGAATTTTAAACAAAACATGAATTGTCAGATGAAAAGCATTTGTGTGTGTTTTATATCTTTGACCCCTTGTAAAAGTGAGCAGAGCTTTTACAGGATAATACAGTTTATATACAATCAATATAAGCAGGAGAATCGTGCCATTCACCAGGACTAAAATTACAGTCAGTAGTGACCAAGAAAAGTCTGCTGACGGAGCAATAAGGAGCTCAGAGGAGGCCAGGAAAGATGTTTTAAAATATTGTAAACAGTTATTCTATTATTTACAGAATAAAATTAGCCCAATGACATATTCTAAGTATGGCCTCAGTTCTTCTGCCAGCCAGAGCTAAAGCCATAGCAAATAACACATGTGCTCAATTGCAATGAATTGAGACCTATTGCAGGAGTTGCTTTTGAGAAGATTACAAGAGGTTCTAAGTTGGTTCTACTCATACTGAGTTTTTAGTTGCTAAAATCCTCCTCATTATATGAAACTAAGTTAATTTTCTTAGCCTAAGACTTAACTCCCTCTGTATAAAAAGCCTCCTGCCAGCAGCGTGACCACCTACTCTGTCGTTAGAGCTGGGAAGCTGCAGAATATGGTGGTTAGAGTTTAAGCTACTGGAACTGCCTCCTTAAAGGCAAGTTACTTAACAGGGGTGTGTTTTTGCTTTCTCATCTGTGAAAAGGGGTTAATGATAATATTTACCTTGCAGCATAGCTGTGTAGATTAAATGAGTTAACACATGAATTGCTTAGGACAATGCCTGGCATGTTGAATGTTTAATACATTTAAGTGGTTTTCGTTAATAATATTTCTATAATATTTGAGAGATGTATCCATCATTTAAGCCTGGAAAATAAAGCTATTCAAATGCAAGATTATACAAGAGATAAGGAAATGGACACTGCCCAAGTAAGAACTAATTTTGCCTTTCTCTCAAAAGACAGCAAAGACAAGTCACTGGTGATTTAATATCTCACAGACATCTTTTCATACATGTATTACTTTGTGTATTTTGCTTAGCAAATCAGGGGATTCAGACATTGTAATACCAAGAACCCTCTTGGGTTGCCTATGATTCTTTGTAAGTAAGTTCTCTGAACTTGGGTCAGACCCAGTGACCTACTGGCGAAAGACCTGAAGACAGATTTTCAAATAGCTGCAAGGAACTCTGACTTGGGGTAATTTATTGAGTCTTTGTCTTAGCCTTCTTGGTGTTGCTATAACAGAACACCAAAGACTGGGTAATTTATGAAGAAATTTACTTTTCACAGTTCTGGAGGCTGGGAAGTCCAATATCAAAGTGCCTGCAGCAAGGACCTTCGTGCTGCATCATCCCATGGCAGGAGACAGAAGCGCAAGAGAGCAGGAGAGCCAGGGCAAGAGAAAGAGGGCTAACCTCATCCTTTTATCAGGAGCCCACTACTGCAACAACAGCATTCAACTGTTCATGAGGGCAGAGCTCCCATGACCCAATCACATCTTAAAGTTTCCACCTCTCAACAACGTTGCATTGGGGATTAAGTTTCCAATACATAAACTTTGGGGTACACATTCAAACCACAGCAGTCCTCAATAAGGAATGTTGACTGTTTTCGTTGGGCAGGGAATAAGGAATTTGCTTCTGGGCTGACCAATATTTTGTATCTCTTTTTTGTTAACTTGAAACTTAGACTGGTCATTGGGACTAAAAGTGTTCTACCTTTTTAGTCTATTAAAAAAGATGAAAATTCATCTCTGTGACCACAGATATTAATAGTTGGTCATTTGCGTTCTTCAGAGGATTCATTTGAAATATACTTATGTTCGTAGTTTTAAAATATATGATCCATAAAAGCCCAAGTTTACAGAACAGATGACTAAGGGTATGATTTTCAAAACGAAAATAATCTTTTCTTCTATTCATCAGGGTCAGCTCCTCTAGAACTTAGAAAAAAAATGGTTATATACAATGTTTAGGAAATGAAACCATTGGTCACAGCAAAGCATACTTGCAGCACTTTTAGAATGAGCACTTTAGACAGAATGCTCATTTTAAAAGTACTGTACAGCCAGGTGTAGTGACTCACGCCTGTAATCCTAATGCTTTGGGAGGCCGAGGCAGATGAGTCATTTGAGCCCAGGAGTTTGAGACCAATCTGGGCAACATGGTGAAACCCCATCTCTACAAAAAATAATTTAAGAAACACTAGCTGAGCGCAGTGGTGTGCGCCTGTTGTCCCAGCTACTCAGGAGGCTGAGGTTGGAGGGTTACTTGAGCCCAGGAGGTTGAGGCTGCAATGAGCCAAGATTGCACCACTGCATTCTAGCCTGGGTAACAAAGAGAGACACTATAAGTAAGTCTATGGCATTTTCTGATGGCAGCCTGGGCCTACTAATACAGAAGACATACTGAAGTTTATCTGAAGTTGCAAAGGCAAGCTGGAATGCTGTGATACTGGAGCACAGTAAATGAGGACAGAATTGAAGGACTTGGGGTCAGAGATATAGAGTGGTAAGTAAATTTAAAAACAAACAAAAAACCAAAAAGAAACAATCCATCCAGGCTTGCATTGAGCATCTTTAACCATTCCTCCCTCTCTTTGTCTACTAAGGAAGGATGAAAGAAAGTGCTTAATCACCAGCTCTTTGTCGTTGGAACTGAGAAGCTGCAGAATATAGTGGCTGCTGGAACTGCCTCCTCAAAGGCATGTTACCTAACATGAGCCTTAGCTTCTGCTTCCTCATCTGTGAAATGGGGTTAATGATGATACTTTCCTTGTAGCACAGCTGTGTAGATTAAATGAGTAAACACATATAAAGTTACAAGATAACACAACTCATATAACCTTCCCATTGCAATGTTAACACTTCCAGTTACAATCCACAGTTAGATATAAACAATGATGAGATATAAAGGATTATCTGGGAAACTGTGAGATCTCAACTTTACTTGAAGATTCAGTTCAATCTGTTGCATTTTTAAACCTAGTAACAGACCATGAGGTATGCAGGACTTAAATAGAGCAGACTTTTGCTGTTTTATTATATTAAATATCAACCCTCCACTCCACTAACTCTTTGTTTTAAAAAAAGCCCTTTAGAATTCAGTTGTATCAAAAAAAAAAAAGGTGGGGCGGGGGGGCTGGAAATGGGGAAACTGGGAAAGCAGAATAAGGGGAATGGTCAAGCCAGTCATTTCTTCAAGACATATTAATCGAGCTCTTACTTCGTATAAGCCAGGCAACATGCTAGATTCTGGGGTAAATCAGATGTATTTGATCCCTACCAAGAAATGATTCAATCCATGCTTTGTTTTCTGTTCTTGCCCCTACCCCTTACTCCCTTCCCCCATCTGTTGTCAGGTGCCATTCTGCAGAGGTGCAATTAAGAGTGAGAGTTAGCCTGGCTAACATGGTGAAACCTCGTCTCTACTAAAAATATAAAAATTAGCCAGGCGTGATGGCGTGCACCTGTAATCCCAGCTACTTGGGAGTCCAAGGCAGGAGAATTGTATGAGCCCAGGAGAGGAGGTTGCGGTGAGCTGAGATTGCACCACTGCTCTCTAGCTCGGGTGACAGAATGAGACCCTGTCTCAAAAAAAAAAAAAAAAAAAAAAGTGGGAGTGCATTGCAAAGAATACAACAAGTATCTAGGTTCTCAACTAATTCCAAGATGGTGGCCTTTGGGGACTTGTACTTCTAGTCAGCTACAATCTCTTCTTCCCACCCTTTTATTTTTTTCTCCCTCTTCTCCCTTTCCTTTGTATCCCACAAGTTAACATTAAAGGTCCCATTCTTTTTTTTTTTTTTTTTTTTTGAGACGGAGTCTCGCTCTGTGGCCCAGGCTGGAGTGCAGTGGCGGCAATCTCGGCTCACTGCAAGCTCCGCCTCCCGGGTTCACGCCATTCTCCTGCCTCAGCCTCCTCAGTAGCTGGCACTACAGGCGCCCGCCACCATGCCTGGCTAATTTTTTCGTATTTTTTAGTAGAGACGGGGTTTCACCGTTTTAGCCAGGATGGTCTCAATGTCCTGACCTTGTGATCCGCCCGCCTCAGCCTCCCAATGCTGGGATTACAGGCATGAGCCACCGCGCCCGGCCTAAAGTTGCCATTCTTATGTAGCCTTCTAAGTGTCCTGATGTTTCCTGATTACAAAAGTAACACATGTTCATTGTTAAACAAAAGTAATGTATTGCAGAAATGCATGTCCTTTGAAAATATGTCACTCCACCCCTCAAAACTCCTCATTGACTTTTAACTCAAAGAGTAAAAGGCAGATGGCCTGTCGATTTGCACCCCACCTTACTTCTCTGACCCCATGTCCTCCAATTCTGTTGTTATTTACTGTGCTCCAGTATCGCAGCCTTCCAGCTGGCCTTTGCAACTTCAGGTAAACTTCGGCACAGTTTCTGTATTAGTAGGCCCTGGCTGCCATTACAAAATACCATAGACTGGATGGCTTAAACAACAGAAATTTATTTTCTCACAGTTGTAGAGGCTGGAAGTCCAAGATCAAGGTTATGATCAATTTGGTTTCTGGTGAAGTCTCCCTTCCTGGCTTGCAACCAGCTGCCTACTTGCTATATCCCCAACATGGTCTTTTTTCCATGAGTGCATTGGGAAGACCAGGGACTTGGGAGAGCTCTGTAGTGTCTCTTCTCATAAGAACACTAACCCTATCAGATAACAGCCCGTCCTTATGACCTGATTTAATCTTTATTATTTCCTTATAGGCCCCACCTCCAAATATAGCCACACAGGGTATTAGGGCTTCAAAATAAAAATTTGGGGAGAACACATTAAATCCACAACAGCTTCCTTCTTCAAGTTGTTGCTTAAGTATCACCTTCCCAAAGAGGCTTTCTCTGGCCTTTCTTAAAAACACTGATTTATTATTTCTAACAATTCTGTGGGCCAGCTGGGTTCCTGGGGTCATCTAGGGAGGCTGCGGTCGTCTGACAGCTGGATTGGGACCCGAGGGTATAAGATTACCTCACTTGCATGGCTGCAGTCTTGGTGCTGATGTTGACAGGGCCTTTCTTTTCATGGGTATCCCATTCTTCTATAGTCTAGTCTGGGATTCCTTACACAACAGCAACAATTTTCAAAAGTGGAAGCTTCAGTTTATGACCAGACTGGCCAACATAGCCAGACCCAGTCTCTACAAAAAATAAAAATCAGCTAATCGTGGTGGTGCGTGCCTGTGGTCCTAGCCACTTGAGAGGCTGAGGCAGGAGGATTTCTTGAGCCCAGGAGTTTGAGGCTGCAGTGAGTTTTTATCATGCCATTGCACTCCTGGGCAACAGAGAGAGACCCTATATCTTTTTTTTTTTTTTTTTTTTTTGGAGATGGAGTCCCGCTCTTTCTCCCAGGCTGCAGTACAGTGGCATGATCTCGGCTTACTGCAACCTCTGCCTCCTGGAGTTCAAGCGATTCTCCTGCCTCAGGCTCCTGAGTAGCTGGGACTACAGGCATGCACCAGCACACCCGGCTAATTTTTGTATTTTTTAGTAGAGACGGGGTTTCACCATATTGGCCAGGCTGGTCTTGAACTCCTGGCCTCAAGTGATCCACTCTCCTTGGCCTCCCAAAGTGCTGGGATTACAGGCATAAGTCACTGTGCCCAGCTGACCCTGTACCTTAAAAAAAAAAGTGGAAGCTTCAAGATCTCTCAGGCCCTTGGCTCCTGACTGGCAAGTTAGGAACAACAGAGCCCATTTTTGAGGGTGTGCGGACATAAGAAGGCATGATTTATGAGGGACCACTGTTGTAACAATCTGCCACACCATCCTATTTAAAATTGCAGCCTCACTCTTACTTTTTTCCCATAATTTTTTTCCTTGGCTAACTACAAACTCTATAAAAAGAGAGATATTTATTTATTTTTGTTCCCAGATTTATCTCCAACACCTAGAATAGAACCTGGCCTGTTGTAGGTGCTTAATAAACATCTGTTAAATAACTGAATGCATTAATTTGAAAATGCTTTCCAGAATGCATCATTCTAGATCTTATACCTTTCTGCATGTTTTTACTGTTAAAAAGCACTTTCCCATAAAAGATCTTGTCTTAATTTTTACAACAATCTTACTAGGCAGGCAGGGCAAATATCATTGATCCCACTTTATAAATGAAAAAACTGAAGCCTAGACAGGGGAATTTGCTTAAGGTCACACAGCTGATATGAAGTGAGCTTGTGACTTCACATCCCAGGATTTCTACCAGCCATCATGCAGCCCCAGGTGAAATGCCTTCTCACTCCATTCTATTTCCCTCCTCAGGGCTTTGTGCTTAGGAAGCTCTGTTAATCGTTTTTGTTGGCTGGCTAACTTTGTGCCATGGGGCCAAGAGGAAAAGAAAGCATTTTTTATTTTTCTGATATCTCTTCATGGAGGCCAAAACCTAAAGGTCTCAATGATCCAGAGTCATCAAGACACAAAAAGGCAAAGGTGTCAGGACCTTTCTTTATGGACCTTGTCCCTGGATTGTGTTGCACTGTTTGCATAAAGTTAAACTTTAAATTTGCATATCTAACCTGTGGTTACCAAGTTGTTCTGGTCTGGATAATCCTTGGTTTCAGCCTGGAGCAAGCAGAGAACAATCTCCTCTCAAACTTTGTGCTGCTATTCCACCTTGAGAAGGTTTGGTTAACAAGTCAATCTTAATATTAAAGAAAAGTGATACCAGACTGGAGAAAATACTCAACACAGTACATTCCGAATGTACTTTGATAATTTTGGAGGTGGTTAGAAGCTTTGGTCCCTTTAAAGAAAGCCCCTTGGGACAGCTTGCAGACTATAGCTAGAAGCAAGTTAGAGGTTAGAGAAGTCAGTTTCTTTCTTTAAAAAAAAATTTTTTTTTAAGAGACAAGGTCTTGCTGTGTTGCCCAGGCTGGAGTGCAGTGTGCAATCATAGCTCATTGCTGCCTCAAACTCCTACCCTCAAGGGATCCTCCCACCTCAGCTTCCCCAATAGCTAGAACTATAGGCAGGCAACAGCATGTCGAGGGGCTAATTTTTTTTTTTTTTTTTTTTTTTTTTTTGTAGAGACAGGGCCTTGCTATGTTGCTCAGACTGGTCTCAAACTCCTGGCCTCAAGCGATCCTTCTGCCTCTGCCTCCCAAAGCTCTGGGATTATAGGTGTGTGTTACCGCACCAAGCCAAATAAGCCATTTTCTAAAATAAAAAGTTTTATCCTTTCTCCCTCATTCTTTCTCTTGTCACAGTGTTTTTAATTGGTTACCAAATAGCATTCTAAATAAAAAAAAATTTTTTTAATTATTAGCATACATTTTACCACTTATCTGTATATTATACAATGTTCTTTTAAAATGCAAATATGGCCAGGCAGGGTGGCTCACGCCTGTAATCCCAGCACTTTGGGAGGCTGAGGCGGGCGGATCACAAGGTTGGGAGTTCGAGACCAGCCTGGCCAACATGGTGAGACCCCCCCATCTCTACTAAAAATACAAAAAAAATTAGCCGGGCATGATGGCAGGCGCCTGTAGTCCCAGCTACTTGGGAGGCTGAGGCAGGAGAATCGCTGGAACCTGGGAGGTTCAAGTGAAGGTGAGAAAGAGAAATCAAGAATGTCAACTAGATTTATGTTTTGATCAACACATACCAGGTGACACCATTTCCTGAGAGGTAAAACAGCAACAACAAAAATAACAACTTGTATTTCAGACAAATAGAAAATTATGAAGAATAACTTAACTTCTAAAACATTCATTTGTATGTATGCTGATGCAAATTTCATTTAGAATCTGACGTTAAAATGAAGAGAGAAGGGCAAATGCATCTAAGACTTTAGAATATTTTTGGTAATAATGTGTTAGGTAAGAAAAGAATATCTGGATAAGCGATGTAACTACTCTGGCAAATGATGTTTTACATTATAATGCAAGTTAAATAGACTATTTTGCCTATGCCTGGAATTTTCCAGTGGAGGTAGATGATTTCTTAGAACAGGGATGAGTGGAAAGTTAGGGTATTTCTGAAGACCCACTAGTGAAATAGCAGTGTTTCTCCCTCAGAGATTGTTCCCTTTTTGATTCCTATGACTAATTCTGTCATTTGCAGGAGTTTAAGAAAAAGTTACATTTTTTTTCCAGCTATGTCTCTAACACATTTTTCTGGCACTGTTTATAAGCTCAAATTTCCAGTTGAAAGGATGGTTAAGATTGAATTACTCTTCAAATTCCTTTTTCCTTTCACAGTTGTTTTTCCTTGACGAAGTCTCTTTGTCACTATCAAGGTTAAGTGAAGTCACTATTGAAGGAAAGAACAGAAGGAATTTGGAATGCTTTTCCATTAACTTCTGAACCACAGTGACTTATTCCTTGAGAATCTCCAGTAAGGCTTAGGGTCTTTCGGATAAGTCATTTTGGAGAAATGTTTTCTTCTTTTGCTGTTAGGTTGACATGGCAAAAGAAATAATATTATTTGTGTTAACCTTTGTCCTAGTATGTTATTGCTCAAAGCAAGGTTGTAGATACCATGAGAATTATGCCTAAATGATACAAAATTGCATTTTCACCACCCAGTACTGCACATGGCAGATATTTGGTAGGCATTAGTTGAATTACAAATTCCAAGAATCTGCTAGAAATCGTAGATTGGTTCCTTTCATCTTGCAGATAGCGTGATGGAAGAAGAGGAGTTGAAAGCTTTTAGCTCCTAGGCAAAAAGTCACATGTTGTTTAGAAATCTCACTATTTCCTCTGAAATTGAAGGCATCATATTTTTAAGGACATTTTGTAGAGCAAGGCCCTGAATCTGAAACCACCTTTGCAGAGATTATGATAGCGAGACCAGTCTAGCATGGCTGACTCCATCTTGCTTCTAGCCTCACAGCCTGGCTGTCTTTCCTCATTGCTGGGCATAGACCAAGCTAACCATGGGAGGAATTTAGTCATATAGTCATAGTTTACCTTTTTTTTTTTTTTTTTAACTAAATAGGGATGAGGTCTTGCTATGTTGACCAGGCTGGTCTCAAACTGCTGGTCTCAAGCCATACTCCCATCTCGGCCTCCCAAAGTGCTTGAGATTACAGGCATGAGCCACCACTCCCAGCCTATAGTTTAACTTTAAAGCAAGATGATAATAGTCCTTTTCTAAAAGTAATCTCTTTATTAACAGACTGAAACCACCTTTGTAAGACTGAGAGACCACAAGATTAAGATTATGGGAGGGGCCTGAATTCTGCTAAACTACAGGCATATTTTATATAATCCTTACTGCTCAGGAGTCATGTGGTCAGAGTCATGTGGTCACAAGATTTGTGACTTCCCCAGTTGCTCATGTAGATAACATCACTAATGTAGAACCTAAAATTGGTCTTTTGAGATACTTTTCAGATTTTTACATTCTGGCAACTGATTGACCTCACCCAGACCTGAGGCTCAGGCTTCAGCCAGTCCTGTGGCCCCACCCAGAGGCTGACTCAGTGCACGTAATTGTTTTCCACACCCCTGTGATTTCATTCCTAACCTATGAGCAGCACCCCTTCCCTTGCTCCCTACCCACCAAATTATCCATAAAAACCCTGGCCTCTGAGTTGCTGGGGAGACTGATTTGAGTAATAACTTCAGTTCTGCTTGGCTGGCCTTGTGTTAATTAAACTCTTTACTGCAATAATACTGTCTCAGTGAATTGCATTTACCTGTGCAGTGGGTAAGAACCTGTTAGGCAATTACAAATCCATAAACATAGCCTTTATAATTATCTTGCTAATTCTGTATGCAAACTTCTTTAAAATTTTTTAAAAATTATTTATTGTTTTTATTTTACTTTATTTTATTTTTATTTTAGAGAAAGACAGGATCTTGTTCTGTCACCCAAGCTGGAGTACAGTGGCATGATCATAGCTCACTGTAACCTTGAACTCCTGGACTCAAGCGATCCACCTGCCTTAGCCTCCTGAGGAGCTGGGACTACAGGTGTGTGCCACCACACCTAGCTAATTTCTTTCTTTCTGTCTTTTTTGGAAAAAACAGGGTCTCGCTATGTTGCATAGGCTGGTTTTGAACTCCTGGCTTCAAGCAATCCTCTCATCTCAGCCTCCCAAAGTGCTGGGTTTACAGGCATCTGAGCCACCCCACTCCAGTTATATGTAAACTTTCAAGTTTCTATTTAGTTTGCTTGGCAGGATAAGGGAGATCCTCCCCACCCCCACTCCATCTAGGGAGAGCTTTTAGGATAAAAAAAACTCTGTGGTAGGAAGTAAACAAACATTCTCAACTGACAGACTTTTGAACTGAAAAGGGCCAGGAAGACAACAGAAACTCCTTTACCACAATGATATAATAGGGTGAAGTGAAGAACATATTAATATGCTGGGAAAAAAAAAAAAAACCCAGGCATGGGGCTAGAGTACATGCCTGTCATCCCAGCTACTCAGGAGGCTGAGGCAGGAGAATCACTTGAGCCCAGGAGTTGGAGGCCGTTCTGGGCAACATAGTGATATTTCAGCTCCAAAAATTTAAAAAGCCTGAAAAATACTTTGCTCCTGTGTTACTGACCCCCATTGTCTTTGAAAGATGAGCAATACTGATTATGGGGAAATATTTGTCCTTAGGTATTTCAGGAGGAAATTGGCCTCAGCCATCAGCCCTCACTGCCCAAGGGGGAAAAGCATTTCAAGAAGTTCCACTACAGGGGTAGCCACATTCCTCCCACTTTAGAGTCAGCAGAAGGATAAGCCAAGGGAATCTGCCTTTAACACTCAGCAGAAGCCCAAGGCATTCATCTTTGCACTTCATAAGAAGAGACAGCAGCAACTGGGACCACTTTCTCTTTTTGAGAATGGGACTGATTTCTGAGGCAAAGGGATGGGATCATTAGAAAAGGAATCTCAGAGGGAAGATCGAAGAGGAGGACAGCAGAAACCTGAGGAGACAGAGAGCAAGGTAACAGCCATTTGGGATATCTTGTAAAGGTCTAAATTGTGAGTCCTTGTCCCGTCTGCTCACCTCCTTTCCTCATATGGTCGTAGGGAGCAGGTTACTCAGAGAGGGTTATAACTGTTGGTCCTCCTCTTCCGAATGATTTTGCAATGCTTATCTACATTTTTTTGGAAAAGATTAGTGTCCAGAGGGTGTTTGAGCTTGCGGAAATGGATGCATATGTGTTTGAGAAACAAATATCCTGATCAGTTGGTGGTCCCTAGCAGAGATGGGTCCGAGAGGGTTACAGGCCAGACTCCCCCCCATAACTAAGATAAGGAGGAGTTTACTGGTGTTGGGGCTCAAAACACAGTGCCCTAAAGTGTGGTGCTTTGGCATGCTGAGTACTTTGAACTGAAGGAGATTGCAAGGGCCTCAGAAGCAACATATTTCCGACCTTCTCCCACCCTCCTATCTCCAGACTCTCTTTCTCCCCTGAAGCAACTCATAAAACCAGAATAAGTCTTCCTCAAGATGGGTCATAGAAATTCTAACTCCTCTCCCCTGAAGCAGGCCATAAAACCTAGAAATGTCACTCTCTGACATTCTCCCCTCTTCCCTGAAGACCTTCATGTGACAAGTGTCTTGTGCTATACCCAGAGCTACATAGGGGGCCAAGAAGAAGCAGAACAGACAGGCCTTGCTGCATTCCCCTCAGTTGATTACCATTATTGCAGCATACCCTTGTTGTCCAATCTCATTTCTACGTGACTGTCCATTTGTCAGCAAACCTAAGCATAAGAATACCCAGCTTTTCCTGGGTCTTTGGTTCTTCATTTCTGAAGTCTCCCATGTCATTTAAAACTTTGTTAAATAAATTTGTCATGCTTTTCTCTTGCTAACTTGTCTTTTGTTATAGAAGTGTCTGCCATGACCATTGTGATGAGTGACGAAGGAGTATCGTACCTGTTTGTCCCTCCACAGGCTAGCAGATGACTCGCTAATCGTAGGAGACAAGCTATCTCCTTTGCCTTGACTAAACCTTGAAAACTAGCAAAACTCATCCACATAGCAGAATAGGAAGGCATTCCTGACACACCTGGGTCACATGAGATTTAATTGTTTTTATTACAAGGCCTTTTGTGAGGTCTTGCAAGCAGTGGGGAAATTACCAACTGGACTACTATTTCTTTCACAAATGCTAATTAAATGCCTTTAGGTGGCAGACTCTTTTCTTTTTTTTTTTCTTCTTGAGACAGAGTCTCACTCTGTCGCCCAGGCTGTAGTACAGTGGCAAGATCTCTGCTCACTGCAAACTCTGCCTCCCGGGTTCAAGTGATTCTCCTGCCTCAGCCTCCTGAGTAGCTGGGATTACAGGCAGGTGCCACCATGCCCGGCTAATTTTTGTATTTTTGGTAGAGACGGGGTTTCACCACACTGGTCAGGCTGGTAGGTGGCAGACTCTATGTCAAGTTCTATGCAAATTAATTGTTTTTGGTCTCTGACCTTAAAGATCTCATAATCTACTGAGGAAGACAACCATGAAGAGATAATTCAATTTAATTCAATTGGATTGAAGAAAAGACTGAGAAACAAAGACTGGTCAACATAGTGAGACCCCGTCTCTACAAAAACTAAAAAAAAAAAATGAGCCAGGCACAACAGTATGCACCTGTAGCCCCAGCTATTTGGTAAGCTGAGGCAGGAGGATTGCTTGAGCCCAGGAGTTTGAGACCAGCCTCAGCAACATAGTGAGACCCTGTCTCTACAAAAAATTTAGCCAGCTATGGTGGCATGCATCTGTAGTCCCAGCTACTCAGGAGACTGAGGCAGGAGGATTGCTTGGGCCCAGGAGGTTGAGGCTGCAATCAGCATGATCAGGCCACTGTACTCCAGCCTGGGTGACAGAGTGAGACCTGTCTAAAGAAAAAAAAAAAAAAAAAGACAGAAATGAGATGAATTAGTCCACCTAAGAGATGATAGAGATCTGAACTGATGCAGTGGCAGGAAAGATTCAATGGGAGAGGGAGGCTGAGAGATATTTCTGAAGTAGATGCAAATGGATTTCATAGGTAATTGGATACTGCAGAATGGGGGGTTGCAGTGCGGGGTAAGAAGTTCTTGGGCTCCTGTTGGGTAATTCTGACCTCACTTATTTAAAATAATAATAATAAACTTGAAGTTTAAACATCGATATTGCCAAAGTGAAAGGAAACACCTGAGAAGGCAGTCTGACTTGCTTTTGTTGTGTACTGCTCCACATGATCATGTTTGATTCAACTGACAGTTAAAGGATTTTGAACCTGGGCCCTTCTTGTGGGTTCCAAGGCAAGCCACAGCATGGCACTTACATCCGAGGGTGTCAAAGCTGTCCCTGGATGTCACACCCTAGGCTATCACAACCAAAGAGAAGACTCAGCACAGTTAGGGTGAGGCAAGGGTCAGGGAGAGACTGCAGCTGTGACACCAGGGCTTTGAGAATTCTGTGTCATGAATGAGGGTGTTGTTTTGCCTTTTTGGATGAGTACATGTGTGTTTTGGACAGTTTGTAGATTCTGGCAATTCTAGAAAGGGTGGGGCAGGGGACTTACCTCAGAAAAGGGAAGAGAACAAAGAGTAGGCAGAATAACTTGTCTAACACTAACAGCAAATACACCATTTTCCTCCTGCAAAAATGAAACAGTCAAGATGAGGAAGACCTGATCAGTAGCACAGTGAAGCGATTGAAGAGTATGGGCTCCAGAGTGAGATTAGCTGAATTCATCCTTAGCCTTGAGATCCCGCACTGATTACCCAAGCTGTCTGAACTCTAACAAGAGCCTGAGACATAGTAAGTGGTTGGTAAATATTAGCTTATACTATTCTAAGTAATTTTGGGCAGGAAAGAGAAATCAGACAATTTTTCTAACCCTGAACGGGAAGCTGGGAAAAAAAAATAGCTTTCAAAACAACACTGGAATAAAATTCCAAAAGCATAAGCAACTAAAGAAAAAAAATAGCTAAATTGGATATCTTCAAAATTAAAATCTTTGTGCTTCAAAGGATATCATTAAGAAAGTGAAAAGACAACGCACAAAATGAGAGAAAAATTGTGCAAATCATTATATCTAACAAGAGGCTTGTATCTAAAACATATAAAGAACTCTGGCCCGGCACAGTGGCTCACACCAGTAATCCCAGCACTTTGGGAGGCTGAGGCAGGGGGATTGCTTGAGCCCAGGACTTTGAGAAGAGCCTGTATTTGTATACTCTATCCTGTGATTGTATTGTATTGTATTGTATTCACATGGTGTGACCCCATCTCTATAAAAATTACAAAAATTAGCCAGGCATGGTAATGTGCACCAGTAGTCCCAGCTACTCAGGAAGATGAGATGGGAGGATTTATTGAGCCTGGGAGGTCAAGGCTGCAGCATTCCAGCTTAAGTAACAGAGAGAGACCCTGTCCCAAAACAACAACAATAAAAAACAAAACAAAACAAAAAAACAGAAAAGAAAAAAAAAGAACTCTTATGATTCAATTATAAAAATATACATAACCCAATTTTAAAGTAGGCAAAGGACCTGAACAAACATTTCTCCAAAGAAGATATATAAATGACCAATAAACACATGAAAAGACGCTCAACATCTTTAGTCACCACAGAAATGCAAATCAAAATCTTCACACACACTAGGATAACTATGATCAAAACAACAAATAATAAAAGGTGTTGGTGCCGGGCGCGATGGCTCATGCCTGTAATCTCAGCACTTTGGGAGGCCGAGGTGGGTGGATCACGAGGTCAAGAGATCGAGACCAGCCTGGCCAACATGGTGAAACCCCATCTCTACTGAAAATACAAAAATTAGCTGGGTGTGGTGGCACGCGCCCAGCTACTCAGGAAGCTGAGACAGAAGAATTGCTTGAACCTGGGAGGTGGAGGTTGCAGTGAGCCGAGATCGCACCACTGCACTCCAGCCTGGCAACAGAGTGAGATTCTGTCTTAAAAAAAAATAAAAAAAAGTGTTGGTAAGGATGTGGAGAAGAAATTGGAACCTTTACACTCTGCTGATAGGAATGTAAAATGGTGCAGCCAAAAACAGTCTGGCAGTTCCTGAAAGGTTTAAAATAAATTTACCATATGACCCAGAAATTCTACTTCTATGTATATACCTAAGAGAAAGGAAAGCATATGTTCACACAAACATTGTACATGAATTTCATAGCTGCATTATACATAACAGCCAAAAAGAAGAAACAACCCAAATGTTCATCGACTGATGAACAGATCAACAAATTGTGGGATAGCCATACGGTGAAATATCATTTGGCGGTAAAAATAAATGAAGCACTGATATGTGCTGCAACGTGGGTGAACCTCAAACACTTTATACTTAGTGAAAGAAGCTGATAGGGACAGGAAAAAACAAAGTGTTTTTCCTACTTTCACACACCACTCGACAGGAACTTCTGACACCAGATATGTAGGGGGGTTCTCCACACACCACACAGTTCTTTTGCAGATACTAACTGGGTGTCCTACAATTTAACTCCACCCTGACACTACTTACCTGGACTTAGCATCAGATCCCACAGGTCGAGGGCTCATTCCCACAAGACTGCCCCCCACTTCTGATACCAATTGCAATTTCTAACTGCAATTGGCTATAAATTAGGGTTCCCATGATCTCCTTCTTGGGTTTAATTTGCTAGACTGGTTCACAGAACTCAGGGAAACACCTGAAACATTTACCCATTTATTAAAAGGATATTACAAAAGATACAGATTGACAGAAAGATGGAAGAGATACATAGGGCAAGGTATCGGGGAGGGAATGCAGATCTTCCATACCCTCTCTGGATGTGCCACCCCCCAGGTACCTCCACATGTTCAGCAATCCAGTTTTCGGGGACTTTTATGGAGGCCTCATTATGTAGGCATGATCGATTACATCACTGGCCATTTGTGATCAACTTAACCTTCAGCCCCTCTCCCTTCCTGAGAGGTTGGGGGGTTTGAAAGCTCACACCTTCTAATGATATGGTTGGGTTGGTTTCCTTGGCAACTAGCCCCACACACCCCTACAATCCTGAGGCTATCTAGGAGATTCCAACCACTAGTCATCTCATTAGCATACAAAAGCTACTCTCTTCTCTCCAGAGACTCCCAGGGTTTCAGGAGCTGTAGTGCCAGGAACCAAGGACAGAGACCAAATATATGTTTCTTACTGTGTTACAATATTATAGAAACCAAACACAAAAGACCACCTTTTATGTAATTATATGAAATGTCCAGAGTAGACAAATACACAGAGACAGAAAGTAGACTAGTGGCTGCCGGGGACTGGCGGCATTGAAGAGGAATGAGGAGCAAATAAGAATGAGTATGGAGTTTCTTTGCAGAGTAATGAAAATATTATAAAATATAATAATGAGTATGGAGTCTCTTAGGGTAATGAAAATATTCTAAAATTGATTGTTACGATGGTTGCATAACTGTGAATACACTAAAATCTATTGATTTGTACATTGTAAATGGGTAAACTTTATTTTAATACAATTACAGGATAGAGTATACAAATACAGTGATTTGTACACTGTAATGGGTGAACTATATCTCAATACCTCAATAAAGCTAGTTTTCTTTTTTTTTTTTTGCACTAGAAGAAGGAGACATCAGTATGTTAAGAATGTAGATAGCTCTTGTTATTTTGAGATACATCCCATCAATACCTAATTTATTCAGAGTTTTTAGCATGAAGTGTTGTTGAATTTTGTCAAAGGCCTTTTCTGCATCTATTGAGATAATCATGTCGTTTTTGTCTTTGGTTCTGTTTATATGCTGGATTACATTTATTGATTTGCGTATATTGAACCGGCCTTGCATCCCAGGGATGAAGCCCACTTGATCATGGTGGATAAGCTTTTTGATGTGCTGCTGGCATTACCATTCAGGACACAGGCATGGGCAAGGACTTCATGTCTAAAACACCAAAAGCAATGGCAACAAAAGCCAAAACTGACAAATGGGATCTGATTAAACTAAAGAGCTTCTGCACAGCAAAAGAAACTACCATCAGAGTGAACAGGCAACCTACAAAATGGGAGAAAATTTTCGCAACCTACTCATCTGACAAAGGGCTAATATCCAGAATCTACAATGAACTCAAACAAATTTACAAGAAAAAAAACAAACAACCCCATCAAAAAGTGGGTGAAGGACATGAACAGACACTTCTCAAAAGAAGACATTTATGCAGCCAAAAAACACATGAAAAAATGCTCACCATCACTGGCCATCAGAGAAATGCAAATCAAAACCACAATGAGATATCATCTCACACCAGTTAGAATGGCAATCGTTAAAAAGTCAGGAAACAACAGGTGCTGGAGAGGATGTGGAGAAATAGGAACACTTTTACACTGTTGGTGGGACTGTAAACAAGTTCAACCATTGTGGAAGTCAGTGTGGCGATTCCTCAGGGATCTAGAACTAGAAATACCATTTGACCCAGCCATCCCATTACTGGGTATATACCCAAAGGACTATAAATCATGCTGCTATAAAGACACATGCACACGTATGTTTATTGCGGCACTATTCACAATAGCAAAGACTTGGAACCAAGCCAAATGTCCAACAATGATAGACTGGATTAAGAAAATGTGGCACATATACACCATGGAATACTATGCAGCCATAAAAAATGATGAGTTCATGTCCTTTGTAGGGACATGGATGAAATTGGAAATCATCATTCTCAGTAATCTATTGCAAGGACAAAAAACCAAACACCGCCTGTTCTCACTCATAGGTGGGAATTGAACAATGAGAACACATGGACACAGGAAGGGGAACATCACACTCTGGGGACTGTTGTGGGGTGGGGGGAGGAGGGAGGGATAGCATTAGGAGATATACCTAATGCTAAATGATGAGTTAATGGGTGCAGCACACCAGCATGGCACATGTATACATATGTAACTAACCTGCACATTGTGCACCTGTACCCTAAAACTTAAAGTATAATTAAAAAAAAAAAAAGAATGTAGAGTAATTTTCCTGGTTAAGATATATCATATGGTCAGTATGTTTCAGATTAATGAATCAACATGAAATGAAAAAATGTCTAGTGGGTATGCCAAGGATTTCCATTCATGGTCTTGGACGTTCTACCTTTTAATTAATGTCCCAGAGAAGTCCATTGCTCTCCCAGATCCACTCTCTACCCTGCTCTCTGTAGGGAGGCTGGCTTATACAAACCATGCCAATAGGCTCCTGTGGCTTACAGCTGGGTCTGGCCACAGGGAGTTCCAGCAGGAGACGCAATGGATAGAGGACATCCCCTCCCTGCAGTCCAGCCTATGACTCCCTCATTATGAGAGACAAGAAGGCTGCTTTGCCTTGATCCTCACTCTTCTTGTCAGCTTCTCTGAAGTTACTAGCCCTGGACAACCCCTTGTGGTTTCCCGGCACTCCGGTCAGTTTCCTGTTGGAACACTAACCAAAACACTGCCAGTGCATAAGTGACATAAAGCAGGATCCAAAGGACCTGGACTGAGAACAACAGGATGAATCTGACAAGAGGGTATTTAATGAAAAGTATAGATGAAGATGTGGTTACTACACTATTTGAAGCTTTGATTATTGACCGTGAATCAAGAGTTCGGACGATGCACTGCCTCCAAAATAAAATTCTAACTTTATACTGTTCCAAATAGAAAAGTGTTTGCATTCTCTTCCTGTGGTTAGACCACTCTTAGAGTACTGTGTTCAGCTATAAATAACACATGAAAAAGTTATCTGTGTCAAATTACTGTAGATTTTAATGCATCCATTTTACTTCCAGCCCCATCTCTTGGGTACTCAAACATGAGCAAATGGGGGCTATGAAATCAGATAATTTGATAGGTAGACATGGAGCTATTTTAAAAATTGCCTTTCCCTTCCAATTCTTGAGACACTGTTTTTGAACCAAATTGTCACTTCCATTAGAGTAAATTATTTCCCAAGGGACTTCTAGAATCTTTATACACATAGACTTAGTGACTCACCCCACAGTCTTGAAATAAACCCAAACCTATGCACACATTTTAGACTGAAGCCTGATGCACATGAAAGAACTATCCAATAAATAGATTACATCAGAAATTGTCTTATAGGCCTAGTTTTAAGTGTATGGCAAAATTCAAGTTGAGATCAAATAAACAATATCCGAATGTTCATGCTAGAAGTGCCTTTAATATCATTTAATACAAGTCTCTGGTTTTGTAAGTAGGAAGAATGAGGCTGTCTTGCTTAAATTCACGAAGCTAACTGGTGGTAGAACCTAGACAAAAATCTCAGTTTTTTTGCATCTATTCACTGTGCTACATTGCCTCCCTAATAAAATCACACTTCTAAACACCAATTTGGAGGGAACTTGGCAAGTCTTACTATTTTCTCAATGTTTGTTGGCTATCTACAGTGTGATGACACTACCACATTTCCAAGACATTTATATACCTTATTTGAAGCTGAAAAACAGTATTTGTAATGTTTAACTGAGAGATTTTTAAAAAGTTTTCTTGATTTTTCTTACCTATTCATTGCAAAAACATTTATTGAGAAGCTATTATGTGCTAGGCAATGTCCAAAGTACTAAGCAGTGAACAAAGATTAAAAAAAAAAAATCCTTGGCCAGGCATGGTGGCTCACGACTGTAATCCCAGCATTCTGGGAGACCAAGGTGGGTGGATCACGAGGTCAGGAGCTCGAGACCAACCTGGTCAACATAGTGAAACCCCATCTCTACTAAACTACAAAGAAATTAGCTGGGCGTGGTGGCGGGCACCTGTAATCCCAGCTATTTGGGAGGCTGAGGCAAGGAGAATTGCCTGAACCTGGGAGGCGGAGGTTGCAGTGAGCTGAGATCACACCACTGCACTCCAGCCTCGGCAACAGTGTAAGACTGTCTCGAAAAAAAAAAAAAAAATCCTTGCCTTCATAGAACTTACCTTGTAATTCTTATGTTTATATTTGGGGTAGACTTCAAGGGAATTGAGAGAATTCTTGCCCTACTTTTGTGATAGCCAGCATCTAAGATGGCCTCCAGTGATCCTTGCCTCCTGGTGACCACATCCCTGTATAATGCCCTCCCATGCTGCCCATGCATTCTGCATAAGCAACAGAATACTGTAGAAGTGACAGTATGTGACTTTGAGTTTTAGTCTTAAAAAGCACTGCAGCTGTCTTTGCTGTTCTTGCATCACTTCCTTGGGGAAAAGGACCCTCAAACAGCCCTACAGAAGCCACAAGCTGGGAGGAACTGGGATCTCCTGTTAGCAGTCAGCACTCTCCAGCATGTGCATGAGTTGTCCTCCAGCCTCTGTCAAGCCTTCAGATGACCGCAGCCCTAGCTAACATCTTGACTGCAGCCTCATGAGAGACTCCAAGCGAAAACTATCAGCTAGGTTGTTTCAAAATTCCTGAACCTCAGCGACTGTGAGAAATAGTAATGTCCATCATTCTTTTTCTTTCTTTTCTTTTTCTTTTTCTTTTTTTTTTTTTGAGACAGAGTCTCGCTCTGTCACCCAGGCTGGAGTGCAGTGGTGAGATCTCAGCTCACTGTAGCCTCTGCCTCCCGTTTCAAGTGATTCTCCTGTCTCGGCCTCCTGAGTAGCTGGGATTACAGGCACAGACCACCACACCCAGCTAATTTATGTATTTTTAGTAGAGACAGGGTTTTACCATGTTGGCCAGACTGGTCTCGAACTCCTGACCTCAAGTGATCCGCCCACCTTGGCCTCCCAAAGTGTTGGGATTACAACCGTGAGCCACCACGCCCAGCTGTCCATCATTCTTTTACACTACTGAGATTTAGGGTAATTTGTTATGTGGCAGTAGATAATTGACATACCCCATGAGTTTTAGGAAGGTTCCCTACAGAAGAACCATCTGAGAAGCACCTCAATATTAAAAATGGAAAAGGAAGCAACATTTTCCAGCACTTATGAGTTACAAGAAAAGAGAATCAACTCAGTGGAAAATATACATAAAGACCTTGGACGTTCCAAACCCATCATTTCTAATCAAGAGTTCTGTTTTTGGTGCCATCAGAAATTTGGGGCTTTAAAATGTGAGTAGGAAAAGTATAATGGTGGCAGGCGCCTGTAGTTCCAGCTACTCGGGAGGCTGAGGCAGGAGAATGGTGTGAACCCGGGAGGCGGAGCTTGCAGTGAGCCGAGATGGCACCACTGCACTCCAGCCTGGGCGACAGAGTGAGACTCGGTCTCAAAAAAAAAAAAAAAAAAAAAAAAAGTGATACACTTTTATTACATTGGAGAGAGGAAGAGACCCACAGGTGAGGAAAAGACAATCTTCCCAACTCTAATAAAGAAAGCTACTGAAATTAACCTAGGGTGGTTAAATTCAGCAGTGGGCCATGGCAACGGAAAACATTGCAAAAAGTACAACAACTCAGCAGGACTATTTGCCAATAATTTATTTTCATCAAGAAAAGAAAAACATATCCTTGGTAACCTGCCAATTCTCAACAAGCTAATTCACGTCAAGTCTTTCTCTGGGAAAAGAGATAATTAAATCTTTTGAAATCTTTGCTCCCTAACTACAGTGGTCATTAGGGCTGTTCACAAACATTCTTGTTCTCTTTCCTTCCTGACATATGGTGGATCGTAATTTCCCCCATACTTGGAGGCACTGCCATGTGACTTGGCCAATGAAATGTATGTGGAAGCTGTAAAAGTCAAGATGCTTCACCATCTTATCTTTTTGTTGTCATGGCAACCAGCAATATTCCTATAGTGGTCGCTCTGTCAGCCCCAGGTCTGGAGTAAGGATGACAATGGTGTGGAATAAAGCTTCTAGCAGACAATGATAGAGAGTATAATGAATAAGAACTATATCTTCAAGTTTAAGTCATGGAAATTTTGAATTTACTTGTAACTGCAGTGTAGCCCAGCCTAGCCTGGCTGAAATACTGATAAATAACAGAAGTTCATGTTCAACAGTCCTGTTTCTTCAGATGCTGGATTAGCAGCTGTTGGGCTCAGAAAAGGCTACTCCAAAATATGGTGCTTTGACATGCTGAATGGAGGAAGCAGCCTCAAAATTCTCTCTGACCTCCCTGCACCCCGTCTCTTAATCCTCCATCTCTCCCAAAGCACAGGATGAAATTGTTATCTAAAGTTCCCGTATCTGCCTACAGTCCAGATCTGCCAAGGGAAAAAACAAATCCCTCTCATCCCTTCCCTGAGTTTTAATTAACTAAACTCATATCACAGGAAGAAAGACAAATCTGTTGGCCAGGCGCGGTGGCTCACGCCTGTAATTCCAGCACTTTGGGAGGCCGAGGCAGGTGGATCATGAGGTCAGGAGTTCAAGACCAGCCTGGCCAAGATGGTGAAACCCTGTCTCTACTAAAATAAAAATGCAAAAAAGTTAGCCGGGCGTGGTGGTGGGCGCTTGTAATCCTGGCTACTCAGGGCTACTCAGGAGGCTGTGGCAGAGAATTGCTTGAACCCGTGAGGTGGAGGTTGCAGTGAGCCGAGATCACGCCACTGCACTCTCCAGCCTGGGCGACAGAGTGAGACCCAGTCTCAAAAAAAAAAAAAAAAAAAAAAAAAAAAAAAGGACAAGTCTGTCAACAAACCTGGACAGCCTTTTGTCCCAAAACATTGTCTGCTTTGTGAGCCCAACAGGCTTTGTCTCAGGCCATTATATGTTCTTGGAGCCCATTAAATTCCCCTAAAAATCATTTACTAACCCCCTTACATCACTCATACTTCCCCATCTCCCTTTCTTCTAAGAAGAAAGGCATAAAAACATCTAGACCCCAATTCACGGAGAAAGAGGGGATAATATCTGGGATTTTCCTCCATGCACTTTAATAAATTTATATGCTTTCCTCCTATTAATCTGCCTTTTGTCAGCTGATTTTCAGCAAACCTTTAGGGGGCAAAAGGGAAGTTTTCCTTTGGCTGCTACACAGCTCTGAACTGATGAGGAAGAGCTACTGCGTGTAAGAGTCTGGCTACGAGCCAGGTGCCTTCCATCCTACATCTCAGTTCAATTCCACAATAAAATGGAAAGGCAGGTATTACTGAACTCATTTTACCTATAAAGAACCTGAGAAGCGAAGTGACTTGCCCCAGCTCATTGGCAAGCAGCAGAGCTAAGACAGGAAGCCAGGTTTTCCGAGTATAAAACCCAAGCAGAGTCACTATGCTGTACTGAGACCTCCTATTACTGATTATGAACCAAGGTAATTTTATCCTACTTGATAACTCAGATGTCACCTCCTCCTGAATTAGTCACTTTTATATGCTCCTCTTGTCTCTCTTCTTTTCTATTTTCTCCAAGAACTGAGCTGTGGGACGCTTACCCTCATGATATTCCCTTACTTTGAGATAACTGCGATTCTCTCACTTAATGGCAAGGAAAAAAATACTTGGAATGTGGCCCCTGAAAGGTAATGTTAAACATTTTATATACATTGCAATCTTGTTTAGTCTTTATACAAACTCATAACAGAAGTATTATAGATCTATTTTAAAAGTGGGGAAACTGAAAGAAGAAAAAACTGAGAAACTGAAGCCGTGGCAGGTTATATAAATTGTCTAAGGCAGAGGCCGGGCGTGGTGGCTCACACCTGTAATCCCAACAGTTTAGGAGGTCGAGGCGGGCAGATCGCCTGAGGTCGGGAGTTTGAGACCAGCCTAACCAACATGGAGAAACCCCATCTCTACTAAAAATATAAAATCAGCTGGGTGTGGTGGTGCATGCCTGTAAAGTCCCAGCTACTTGGGAGGCTGAGGCAGGAGAATCGCTTGAACTCGGAAGGCGGAGGTTGTGGTGAGCCGAGATGGTGCCATTGCACTCCAGCCTGGGCAACAAGAGCAAAACTCTGTCTAAAAAAAAAATTGTCTAAGGTTGGGTGAAGTTCAAGCCTCTATCCACCTGAATCCAAACTCCTTCCCCTTTACAGTTTCTCTTCCCACAGTAATATTTGCTGTGTCTCAATTCTTTTTTTTTTGGTTGGGGGTGGGAGACAGGGTCTCACTCTGTTGCCCAGGCTGGAGTGCAGTGATGTGTTCACAGTTCACAGCAGCCTTGAATTTCTGGGCTTAAACTATGCTCCCACCTCAGTTTCCAGAGTAGCTAGGACTACAGGTCCCAGCTAATTATTTTAATTTTTTACTTTTTGTAGAGATGGGGCCTTGCTTTTTTGCCCAGGCTGGTCTCGAACTCCTGGCATCAAATAATTCTCCTGCTTCAGCTTCCCGAAATGCTGGGATTACAGGTGTGAGCCACTGCATCCATGCCTGGCCCTGCTTTCAGTTCCATTAGCACTTGGAATTCCCTCACCTCTATGATGGCACTCAAAGAAATGGATCTAAACTATGGCATTTGGACATTCTTGAGCGGGCTCTACTAGCATTTAATGAACTGAGACCATGGAGGAGAGACATGCTGCCATAGTGAGACAGCCCATACAACAAAGAATTTTCTGTCATCATATGGGATCTTCTAATGTCCCAACAGATAAAGGTTCTTGTACATGGAAAACCTGTTTATATTTCCAAGCCTAAGGTCTAATTCCATTTTATATACAAATATGAACCATTTAGGAATGCAATCACCAGCTAAACAAAGGGAAGATTGTACTGTGTTTTGTTTGGACTTTTCAAAAAATGATCACCACTTCAGAAAATATATCACCTATTGCAATACTGCTCATGGTATTTGACTCACTATAATGCCACACGTGTATCAGTCTGCAATTGTAGCTGTCAGGTGCAAATACGTACCGTAGAAGCTTTGACACATCTTTCAATAGACTTAGAATTGATCTGTGCCGCATAACCTCCATGTAACTCCTAATTTCTTTTCTTTTCTTTTTTTTTTTTTTTTTTGGGATGGAGCTTTGCTCTTGTTGCCCAGGCTGGAGTGCAATGGCACGATCTCGGCTCATCGCAACCTCCACCTCCCAGGTTTAAGTGATTCTCCTGCCTCCGCCTCCTGAGTAGCTGGGATTACAGGCATGTGCCACCATGCCTGGCTGATTTTGTATTTTTAGTAGAGACAGGGCTTCTCCATGTTGGTCAGGCTGGTCTCGAACTCCCGACCTCAGGTGATCTGCCTGCTTTGGCCTCCCAAAGTGCTGTGATTACAGGCATGAGCCACCGTGACTGGCCACTATTTCTTTACACAGTTTATTATCAAGTTCCTGTTGTCCATCCAAGAGCATGGTCCCCAAGGTCATTTTAAGTACTGGTGCCTAACTTGATGCCACAAAGCACAGAGGGATTTCAAGAAAAGAGACACTACTCTGTCCCATGAAGTAGCATATATCTGTACATATAGAGAGACCCTATGTTTATGACAAGACACAACTCAGCTGTGGATATCAGAGTCCTCATGTTTTCAACTTTGACATTGTAATTTGTTTTGCATGTTATCCCTATTCCAATTAAATTGACACTTTTTCCATTCTCACATGAATAAATTTAAATTTCTCTAAACTATATTTTATTCTAGTGTAGCCCACATCCTTGTTCTTTCATTTTCTTATTTCTTGTATAGATATGCTTATTTATATCCTAACATTCATTATAAGAAAGTGTAAGCAGGCTGGGCGCGGTGGCTCACACCTATAATCCCAGCACTTTGGGAGGCTGAGGCGGGCGGATCTCCTGAGGTCAGGAGTTCAAGACCAGCCTGACTAACATGGTGAAACCCCATCTCTACTAAAATTATAAAAATTAGCCGAGTGTGGTGGCATGCACCTGTAATCCCAGCTACTCAGGAGGCTGAGGCAGGAGAATCACTTGAACCCGGAAGGCAGAAGTTGCAGTGAGCCAACATCACGCCATTGCACTCCAGCCTGGGCGACAGAGCAAGACTCTGTCTAAAAAAAAAAAAAAAGTATAAGCAACTGACTACTTCAATGTGTCTTCTCATGTAACCTGGCCCAAGCAAAGTCTTCTAATACATGATAATTTATTTTTAATTACTCTCCTTTTATTGTTCTTTTTTATTATTATTATGGTTAAGGCTTAGTGCTGAAAATCTCTGTCCCAGAAAAATCCCTTAGTCCAAGGAAAACCAGGATTGTTGGTCACTCTAGATAGTGCTGGGTTTTTTCCTGAAATTATATGAGTAGGTAGGCTTTATTTTATTTTTATTATTTTTTTTTGAGACAGATTCCAATCCCTGCTCTGACTTAATTATTCTGTGTCTAAGCTTCTCTTACTGTAAAACGAGGATGATGTTAACGCATCTGTCTCACTGAGTTAATGTAAAGAATACAATGGACTAATGTCACTAATTCTTTGCACAACACACAGTAGATGTCTAAAATATTTTATTTATCATTCTTCCCAGGCCTACCCAGCTCTACCCTTCCCAGTAGTAACTCGTGAATCAAAATGATTCATTTCTCATTCCTTGACCTCCTCTCTCACCTGGGCCGCTGGTTTCTTATGGCTTATAGGAAAGCATTCCACTCAATGAAGCAATTCATATTGAGGTGTGAGTTGCTAATAGACCACCCTCTTAGCAGGCTGTAGGTATTTTAAAACTTATTACCCTCCACCAGAAGATTATGTATGAGATATTTTTTGAATTGAAGAGAGAATAGGAGTATATTTTCCAATGCCCCCTGTTATGGGCTACATTGTGACACCCCCAAATTTATATGTTGAAGCCCCAAACCCCAGTACCTTAGGAATTATTTGAAGATAGAGTCTTTAAAGAGACAAGGCTAAAGGAGGTCATTGGGGTAGGCCCTAATCCAAAATGTCTTGTGTCCTTATCAAAAGAGATTAGGACGCAGACACACACAGAGGGAAGACCATGTAAAGACAGAGAGAAGATGGCCATCTATAAGCCAAGAAGAGAGGCCCCAGAAGAAATGAACGCTGCTAATACCTTGATCCAGGGCTTCTTGCCTCCAGAATGGTGAGAAAATAGATTTCTGTTGTTTAAGCTACCCAGTCTGTGGTACTTGGTTATGACAGCCCTAGAAAATGAAAATGGTCCCTTATTTTTGTCACATACCTTTTGTAGATTAAAGCTTCTGGGACCAGATTCCAGATTAGTTCTCTGAATTCTCTGTTCTGCTTTTTCATTCCATGGCAAACCCCAGAACTTCAGTCTGTGGGTTCACCATGGGGAACATGCATGGCATTTAATCATCATGGTACTTATGGTGGTGGTTATGATTGATTGCAGATTGGGAATCCGAGTGTCAGGGAGGTTATATATCTTGTCTAAAGCAATCATTTATTCAACAAGTATTTATTGAACATCTATACGATATTTATATAGCAGGCACTATGAGAGATGCTGGAGTCACATCAAACTGACTTTGCCCTGCCCTCATAGAGCTAAAGGATTAGTAAGAAAAACAGATTTTAAATAAGTAATTATGTAATTATAATAAGTATCTGTGAATGTGATGACTTATGAAGGAGCATAACATTTTAGTAGGAGAGCCAAATCAGCTTAGCTCCACCCAAAACAAATTTAGTGAGCACCTATTATATGCCAAACATTGTGCTAAGTGTTTGAGAAATATCAGGGAACATGACAGATATGGACTCTTCCCTCATAGAACTTCCATGTCTAAAAGGAAAAGAAGACATCAAACAAGGCGTACAAATGAAAGAGAGATGTTACAAGGCTTAACTTCAAGATTATGTGTGAGCATTTGGCAAAGGCATATAATTTAGCATAAGAAGTCCAGGTAGGCCTCCTGGAAGAATCACTGTGCATACTGTGACCTGAAGAATCAGGTAGCTGTGAGCCTGACAGAGGTGTTGGAAGCCTTCTTCAGTGAGGTCATCTCCTGTTTAGACAGTGCTTTCCTCCCTGTACATTTTCTCTGAAGGCATCTTTGCTCTGCCTGCCCATAAACATGTTACTCAGCTAGAATACTGAACACTAACCAGAGAGCTATTTCAGTACTGTCTTGTCTAGAATGGGACTTTACCTTTTAGGGCATAAGCCTGAGAGCTTCCCACCTCAGAGGGTGACTTTAGATTGCTTCCTCTCCCTTACTATTCTGTTTGTGGCAGACGCTGGGGGTTGGCTTATCCAAAACCTTTTTCCTTATTGCCCTCTACTATAGAAGCCAGAAAGCCAGAATATTTATCTCCTGACTTAAATGTTGTGAGAGGCTACTAAGTCTGTCAATCTTAGGTGTTTTTGTTTGTTTTTCCCTTTTGTTTTTATTTGCAAAATATGCCCCCAATTGATTCATTCATTGTCCTACCTCTCTGGTAACAACAACAACAAAAAAAACCAGAGGCTTGAACCACTATACCTAAGCTTTGAAAGAATCCAGATACTTTCTTAATTCTGTTTCATGTCAGGATATTCCTGGTTGGAAAGCTCTTGGCATTACAACAAATTCAAGCTGAATCATATTTGTTTAGACTATTATATTCAGGATTGCAGAGCCAGCTGCCTTTTGAAGTGCTTTGATTTAGATACCTGGGGCCCTCATATTTAATGCTTCTTGTTAAAACAGGTAAAAGTATTTGGGAATATGGCCCCTCCCAAAAGTTTGAACACAATAAAAAATGATGCAGATTATCTTTTAAAAAGTATAGATAGCCAAGCATGGTGGCTCACATTTGTAATCCCAGCACTTTGAAAGGCTGAGGCAGGCTGATCACCAGGAGTTTGAGACCAGCCTGGGCAACATAGCGAAACATCATCTCTACAAAGAATACAAAGATTAGCTAGGCATGGTAGTGCACACCTGTAGTCCCAGCTACCCCGGGGCAGGCTGCGGTGGGAGGATCTATTGAGTCCAGGAGGTTGAGGCTGAAGTGAGCTGAGATCACGCCACTGCACTCCAGCCGGGATGAAAGAGTGAGACCCTGTCTCCAAAAAGAAAAAAAGTATAGCTAAAGGAAAAATGGAAAAGGGAAAAATGAAGAGAGGAAAAAAAGGCAAAGGTATGAAAACTAGTTCTAGGTGGTGAGTCAGATTATACTTCCTTTTATAATATCTAGGTGAGTGGAAAATACAGCCTCCTGGATAAAGTCTTTGCTTGAGATAGAAAATTCCTTCAAATTACTCCTTTCTTCCAACTATTGTATCTTTTAGTCACAGAGAGGTGTTTAGAAAACAGATTTTGTAAGGCCATCACATTGTTCTGCAGTATAATTTAAAAAATAGTGTCTCTTTTTTTCCTTTTTAATTTTTATTTTTTGAGACAAGGTCTCACTCTGTCACCCAGACAGTGTCATGGTCATGGCTCAGTGTAGTTTCAACCTCCTGCTCAAACAATCCTCCTGCCTTAGCCTCCTGAGCAGCTAGGACTACAGGCACGTGCCACCACACCTGGCTAGTTTTTAAATTTTTTGTAGAGAGGAGGATCTTGCTGTGTTCCTCAGGCTAGTCTCCAACTCCTGGGCACAAGCCATCTTCCTGCCTCAGCCTCCTAATGTGGTGGGATTGCAAATGTATGACACCATGCCCAGCCAAAACTATTCTCTTACTGAAACAAACCTACCTTTTTATTCGTAAGAATCTTTCCCCTTGGAACACAGTATCAGAGTTTGTCAATCAAAACTACATTGTTTACCTTATCATAGAATAAATTGTTTGATTCAAAAATTTTGATTTTTGTAAAGTTGATCTTTGAAGAGCCAGATTAACCACCTGGATTGAGTAATGTGTCCTGTGTGTTGCCTACCTCACCAGTTGAATTGGAGAGACCACAATGAGCTGAATTTCTTGGTTTGGCCAGAGCCTTTCTTTGTGGGTAGAGAGGAAATGAGAGCAGCAGAAAATCTGGAGATAGGATCAGCCACCTCCCCTAGTGAGATCTGAGAGACTCCCTTGCCCCATATCTCTTCCTGTTGGATAGTTGACAGGGGCCACTGCTTTGGAATAAGTCAGCGAAGATCACTACCAGGTAGAGAATGGAAAGCCTCCTTTGGTTTTAAGGAGGAGAGAAACACTGAGGCACTCCAGGAAAGGGAGTGTTTATCATAGATACACAAACTGGAACCAGAAAACTGTTCGGGGATTGAGGGAGCTCTAGGGACTGGCTGTTTCCTTTATCTTTCTCATAGCCAGGATCATCTCCCTCTTGTTATCTTTCTGCTTTTTTCCTATGAAGTGTCTGCTCTGTCTTCCCTCTTTATCAAGAGGCCAATCCCGGCCGGGCGCGGTGGCCTGTAATCTCAGCACTTTGGGCGGATCGTGAGGTCAAGAGATGGAGACCATCCTGAACAACATGGTGAAACCCCATCTCTACTAAAAAAAAAATACAAAAATTAGCCGGGTGTGGGGGTGCACACCTGTAGTCCCAGCTACTCAGGAGGCTGAAGCAGGAGAATCGCTTGAACCCGGGAGGCAGAGGTTGCAGTGAGCTGAGAATGTGCCACTGCACTCCAGCCTTGCGACAGAGTGAGACTTCATCTCAACAAAAAAAAAAAAAGAAAAAAAAAAGAAAAAAAAAGAGGCCAATCCCTCAATCCAAATGCCTGAGAGAGCAAGTCCAGTTGCCTTTGTTCCGTGAGGCTACCCTTTGGGTAGAGCTCTTTGCCCAAGGCATCTTCATGAGTCATTAACCAACTGATGGAAAGGCTGCCTCAGGCCAGGTGTCTACCTCTGGTCCACTTAGGGTCCCTTGTGCGTAGACACCAGCCTAAGGTAACTTCCTGATCCTGGGGATTATGGATGTGGCAGTTTATACTAAAAGCAACTGTTGGATGACAGTGCCTAGGATCTGCATTTAGTCTGAGTCCCAATGCGATCACATGCCTAATTTGTTTGACCAGTCAGCGCTCAGATTTCTTCCTCTGTAAATAGGGGATAATAATGAAACCAACTTCACAAAGTTGTAGTGAGGCTCCAACAGGGTAATATATTAGTGAAAGGGCTTTGTAAACTATTAAATATTATACGAATGATATTATTATCAAAAAGAGATAACCTCTTAAGCCATTTTGACCCCTTTGGGTTCTCAGGCTAGTCATTCATCTTAAAAAGGAACATGGCAGGGAACAAATGGGGAGTGTCAGGGGGCCGGGAATCTCTTGTTACCCTCTGTTAAGGGATGTCCAAGGACAGCTAGCTGGGAGTCTTGGGCCTCAGGGCATCACAAGGCTCTGGGTTCTTGATGTGTATATGTATAAAATGAGGGGGAATAGAGGACCCCTTTTCTCCTTGCCTCTAGTGACACATCCCTTTTCATTGATAACCCCTCCAAATTTCTTTAAAGAGAAAAGGAGACGAGAAGTAAGAAAATGAAAGTTGAAAAGAGAGAGGTGATGGTGACTAGGCAGAAGTAATAAGATACTGGGTGTGAGTTCCCTAGAAGGGCTGGGCAGTTCAGCTCACAGAACTGAATTGCTGGGGAATTTTGGCTCACAACTAAACATCCTGCAGCTGCCAGTAAATGGCAACCCCTTTGTATGAAATGTGGCCCTGACCTTGGGCAGAGCTCCATCTGAGCACCCCTGGACCCCCTGACTCACTGCTGAAGTAGCTAAATGAGGGTGGAGCACTGGACGGAGTACAGTGGCTTTGTAATTAAGTTTACCAAGTCCCTCATTGCACAAGGGGAAAGATGGAAAAGAGGTTGGAGAGATACTTCTTTAATAAGATCCCTGTCCCAAATCTGAAACCTAGGTCCTGTTTGAGTAGGCTCAAGTTGCTCATATCTAGGCTGTCATGTAAAAATGATCTGTGTGCTCCAGAAATTTATAATTTATTCATAAAAACACATTTTCAAAAACATACTGCAAACTGGAATGTTTTGGTGCAGCACAGACTAGCTATTAAATTCCGATGGCCTAGATGGGCCTCTGCAGAGCCATGTGGTGTGAGAAGATTAAATAGGGAGGAAGAAAAGTAGAAGCAAACTTTTGATATGTTCCTTTGAGAAGAGTATAGGAAGGTCAAGCAAGGGGAGATAGGGAAGTGAAGAAGTCGATGAATCATTCTCCTCTATATTTGGCTAATTTCCTCATTGGCAT
Source organism: Homo sapiens (assembly GCF_000001405.40). Taxonomy (NCBI): domain Eukaryota; kingdom Metazoa; phylum Chordata; class Mammalia; order Primates; family Hominidae; genus Homo; species Homo sapiens. The sequence goes on from NC_000001.11 coordinate 89,975,831, forward strand.
TGGCAGATATGACTTCCAAGTTCCGGGGTCCTGACTTTCTTTTTCCAGGGTTTTTCATTCTCTGTTAATTAGGACATTGGAAGAATTGTCATGATAATTATAATGTCTAGACTAGGGGAACTACAGGAGGCAATAAGAGAATATTTAATTGCAGAGCTGAGAAGACACATGAAGATGACATGATTGTGTAAGTCTCTCCTTAGAACAATGCCACACGGAGCTGTGTTTCACAGGTGCTCTGACATTGCCTCTTATGTAAGGGGACTCTTTGGTGTTTTCTCTGAGCATTTAGGGTTTTCAAAATTCCCATTTCCTCCAGAAGATACTAAGGATCTGCAGAAAAAGCAGGGCTGCAGTACTCTGATGTTTATCAGCTTTACCCTCAGAGTCTGTCATTGTAAAGGTAGGGATGGATGCTCTCAGAGTTTCTTGCCCAGACTAAAAGACACCTGCTGATTCCTTTGGAGAGGTAGGAAAAATGATCAGGCAGGGAAATCTCTTACCTTGCCAAGTTTGGTCATCATATTTCCTCTCCCGCAATTCAATTGTATGCTTTTTCCAGTTGGTTAGTAGAAGTATGGCGCAGAATGTTTTCCTTTCCAACACATAGTAAATCCTTGCTTATTGGTATCCAATTAACTAGGAGAAGACAAAATGATTGGTATTTATAAGGATGCCTGGAATGTGCCAGGCCATCTCCAATTACCTTTTATTTTCTCCAAATGGAATTATCACTGTTGTTTGTGCTGATGATGGATATAAAACTAGCTTATTATAAAAATTCAACATTGAAAACTGGGGTGGTGAAAAATCCCTTTGCAAATGTTTCACCTCATAGCTGACCTTCCAGTTAACCACTCTATAGATTAGACCCCTTGGAAATTTTCATGCACATAAATACACACATGTATATATAATGTAGACTATATGCAAATGAGTTCATACACATCCTGTGAGTAAGCTGCCTTTTCACTTTATATGTTATGAACATACATTTCAAACATATACCTCAACCTTTTCAGTGGTTACACTTTTTTTTTTTTTTTTTTTTTTTTGAGACAGGGTCTCACTCTGTCACCCAGGCTGGAGTGCAGTGGCATGATTATGGCTCACTGCAGCCTCAACCTCCTGGGCTCAAGTGATTCTCCTGCCTCAGCTTCCTGAGTAGCTGGGACTATAGGCACATGCCACCATGCCTGCTAATTTATTTTTTGTAGAGATGGGGTCTTGCTATGTTGTCCAGGCTGGTCTTGAACTCTTGACCTCAAGTGATCCTCTCACCATGGCTTCCCAAAGTGCTGGGATTACAGGTGTGATCCACTCTCTGCCTAGTATAGATTCTTCTAGTTGATTTTACTAAGCATCTGATAATGAATATTTCGTTTGCTTTCCATTTTTGCTACTGTAATCAATTCTTCAATGACATCGCAGTTCTCTGATTCTTTTTTTGTTGTATTTGTTGTTGTTGTGTTTTTTTTTTTTTGAGATGGAGTTTCACTCTTGTTGCCCAAGCTGGAGTGCAATGGCGTGATCTCGGCTCATGGCAACCTCCGCCTCCTGGGTTCAAGTGATTCTCGTGCCTCAGCCTCCTGAGTAGGTGGGATTACAGGCTCACGCCACCACGCCCAGCTAATATTTTGTATTTTTAGTAGAGTCGGGGTTTCACCATGTTGGCCAGGCTGGTCTGGAATTCCTGACCCCGTGATCGGCCTGCCTCGGCCTCCCGAAGTGCTGGGATTACAGGTGGGAGCCACTGCGCCCAGCCCTCTGATTCTTTTTTAAAAGATAACTATTATTGCTTCACAGTTCTCTGATTTTTTTTTTTAAAAAAAGCTAACTATTGGCCTGGTGCGGTGGCTCACGCCTGTCATCCCAGCACTTTGGGAGGCTGAGGCGGGTGGATCACCTGAGGTCGGGAGTTCGAGACCAGCCTGACCCACATGAAGAAACCCCGTCTCTACTAAAAATACAAAATTAGCTGGGCGTGGTGGCGCATGCCTGTAATCCCAGCTACTCGGGAGGCTGAGGCAGGAGAATCGCTTGAACCCGGGAGGCGGCGGTTGCGGTGAGCCGAGATCACGCCATTGCACTCCAGCCTGGGTGACAAGAGCAAAACTCCACCCCCGCCCCCCCACCAAAAAAGAAAAAAGGTAACTATTATTGCTTTTTAGAAAGTTAACTTTGTTGAAATATAGCTTATGTACAATAAACTGAAACCATGAACAGCTGTAGTTTGATGAGTTTTGACAAATGTATGCACTCATTTAACCTCTACTGCAGTCAAACTATAGAAAATTTCCATCACCTTAAAAAGTTCCCTCGTTCCCCTTTACAGTCAACATCACACCCATCCTCAGCCCCACGTAGCTGTTGCTCCACTTTGTGTTACTATAGGCTAGTTTACATTTTTGAGAATTTCATGTAAGAAAAATTATATAGTATGTGCTTTTTTGAGTTTGGCTTCTCTCACTCAGCTTAATGTTTTTCAGATTTGTCCATGCAGTTGCTTTTATCAATAGTTTTTTTTTTTTTTTTTTTTTTGACAAGGTCTCACTTTGTCACCCAGGCTGTAGTGCAGTGGCTCAACCTCCTGAACTCAAGCAATCATCTCACCTCAGCCTCCCGAGTAGTTGGGACTACAAGCTCGCCCATTAGGCCCAGCTAATTTTTTTGTTTTTTGTATCTTTTGTAGAGACTGGGTTTTACTATGTTGCCTGGGCTGGTCACGAACTCTTGAGCTCAAGCAATTGGCCTGCCTTAACCTACCAAAGTGCTGGGATTACCGGTGTGAACCACCGTGTAGGTCCGGTTCATTTCTTTTGAATGCTGCATAGTATTATCTTGTACAGATGAATCACTATTTATTTATCCATTCACTCATTGATGGATATGTATATTGTTTCCATTTTGGTAACATATAAAGTTGCTATGAACATTTGTGCAGAAGTCTTTATGTAGACATATGTGTTAATTTGTCTTCCCTATGAACTTTATAAGAAACTGACAAATTGTTTTCCAATGTGGTCGTACCATTTACATTCCTATCAGCAGTGTGTTAGAGTTCCAGCTATTATATATTTCTAGTTTTAGTCATTCTATTGGATGGATGGTAATATATGATTGTGGCTTTAGTTTGCATATCAATGATGACTAATGATGTTGAGTGTCTCTTCAAGAGCTTTTGACCATTGGTATGTCTTATTTTATGATGTATCTGTTCAAATATGTTGCCATTTAAAAACAGTAGGTTGTTGTCATCTTATTACTGAGTAGTAAGGGTTCTTTTTTGTCTTTTATATTTTCTTTTAATATTTGACTTTTATTAGTATGATTTTCTTTATTTTATTTATTTATTTATTTTTGAGACGGAGTTTCACTCTTTCGCCCAGGCTGGAGTGAAGTGGCACGATTTCGGCTCACGGCAACCTCTGCCCCTGGGTTCAAGCGATTCTCCTGCCTCAGCCCCCTGAGTAGCTGGGATTATAGGTGCACACCACCACGCCTGGTTAATTTTTGTATTTTTAGCAGAGACAGGGTTTCACCATGTTGGCCAGGCTGGTCTCGAACTCCTGACCTCAGGTGATCCACCAGCCTTGGCCTCCCAAACTGCTAGGATTACAGCTGTGAGCTACTGCGCCCGGCCCATATGATTTTCGTTTATAGTTTTTCTCCAGGTGGAAAGAGGTCTTTATATAATCTAGATACAAGTACCTTGTCAAATGAGTGCATTGCAAATGTTTTTCTCAATCTGTGGCTTGCCTCTTAATTTTCTTAACAATGTTTTCCAAAGAGCAACGTTTTCAATTTTAATAAGGTCCATGAATTATTTTTGGAAACATCTAAAAAAAAAAGAGAGAGAGCATGATAGGTTAAATTAGGTCAGTCTAGTTTTAATACTGAACTCATACAAAATTTCAATTCCTTGAAAATTGTCAACTATGTATTAATTAAAGTGTTGGATCAATCAAAACATGCCTTTTTCTTATTGCCTTTGATAACATAATTTGCTGTATTTATGTGTCCTCATGTAGTGACTCTGAAATTTAAATGCTATCTTAAACCTTTTTTTGTTTGTTTTAAGATGGAGTCTCACACTATTGCCTGGGCTGGAGTGCAGTGGTGCTATCTTGGCTCAGTGCAACCTCCGCCTCCCAGGTTCAAGCATTTCTCCTTGCCTCAGCCTCCCAAGTAGCTGGGATTACAGGTGCCTGCCACCATGCCCGACTAATTTTTTTGTATTTTTAGTAGAGATGGGGTTTCACTATGTTGGCCAGGCTGGTCTTGAACTCCTGACCTCATGATCCGCCCACCTTGGCCTCCCAAAGTGCTGGGATTACAGGCGTGAACCTCCAATATTAGCCTCTCAACGTGCTAAGATTACACCCAGCCTCCAATATTTTTTTAATGCCAATGTTTTATGCTATTAATAGATGTATAATAACCAGATAGTTCATCTTAACCACATTTTTTATTTTTAAATAGTTTTTATGTGGATATCTCATTATCCTTATCTAGGCATTCATTGATTTTGAGGGCAAACTATTTTGAGATTTTTAAAATATTTCATTTTAGCCTCAATAAGAATTTTCTCAATGTAGAGACTGGAGTTTTAAATTCATATTTGCCAATATTCTCAAGTAAAAAATTAGAAGATTCTAGTATTGAACCATTTAGTTCACTGGCGATGTACAGCTCCCAAAACAAAAATCTGGGAGGATGGAGAGAAGCTGCTAAGGGAGACGAGGTGTGTCCCTCATAAATAAGAAATTTTGCTAAGTCACAGCTGTCCTTCGTTTTCAGATAAATTAATAAGAATCAATGGAAGCTCTCAGTGCAGCACAGGGTTGCCTCCTAGGAAGGGGTGTATTTTCAACACGGGATCCAAAGAAATGGTTTATAGCACATTAGTGCCTTGGTTTTTGAAGGTTGAATACGGCTTTGTTATTCGACTCTCCAGTTACATCCTCTAGAGGATACAATCACTGTTGCCCTGGGGGAATAATATCTGAGTAGAGTTACAGAAGGCAATTGTAGGATATGGAGGAGGAAGGACTTCTCCCTCATTACTTTATGCTTTAACAATTAAATAAACAGTCAAGTGTACTGTTAGCATTTTTCTTTCTCTTCTCCAGTTTCTGGAAGCAAAAAACAACAAAGAATTAAAAAGTACAGGAAAAAATTCATTTTGCTTAATATATATGGTGTTTTTTTCTTTTTTTTTTTTTTGACGGAGTCTCACTCTGTCTCCCGGGCTGGAGTGCAGTGGCGCAATCTCAGCTCACTGCAACCTCAGCCTCCCAGGTTCAAGCAATTCTCCTGCCTCAGCCTCCCGAGTAGCTGGACTACAGGCGCCACGCCTGGCTAATTTTTTTTGTATTTTACTCACCATGTTGCCCAGGCTGGCCTCAAATTCCTGAGCTCAGGCAATCCACCCGCCTCAGCCTCCCAAAGTGATAGGATTACAGGCGTGAGCCACCGCACCTGGCCCCTTTTGCCTAATACTAATTTACTGAACTAAACATCATACACTTATGACCTTCCTTTTTTCAGTAATTCATATCAGCATGAATATTTAGGAATAAGAAAACTTTGAGGAGAAAGATTTATTATGTAAATATGAACATCTGCTATCCACCCAATGAGAGATATTTAATTCTAAAGCCAGGGCATATATTTTGTCAAAACAAGTAGAGCCAGGCCTGCTGTCTGTATCAGCCCCACCTAGGCAGGTTTGGGATAAGGGAGGGAGTGAAGAGGGAAGGCAAGTCCCCAGAGTTCTCTTATCTCAGCCACAGCAAATAGATCCCTGGAAAAAGCAGGAGACACTTTCCCGGCGAGTACTCTTAGCCTCCCACCGTACGTACCCCGCCCTCTCTCTAGGCCTCTTTTCAGAATTTCTGAAAAGGATATGGTCAGAGAGGAGAAGACCGGAGAGAAACAAGTGGGAAACAGCGATTCCAGGTTCAGGATGGGGTGTGTGTCAGAAAACTCCTCTGGCCACCCTTGTTTTTTTTTTTTTTTTTTTTGAGACCGAATCTCGCTCTGTGGCCCAGGCTGGAGTGCAGTGGCGCGATCTCGGCTCACTGCAAGCAATTCTCTGCCTCAGCCTCCAGAGTAGCTGGGATTACAGGCACGTGCCACCATGCCCGGCTAATTTTTTTTGTATTTTTGGTAGAGACGGGGTTTCATCATCTTGGCCAGGCTGGTGACCCACCCGCCTCGGCCTCCCAAAGTGCTGGGATTATAGGCGTGAGCCACCGTGCCCGGCTACCCTAGTTTGTTTTCTAGTGGTAATGCTTTCACTTATTTTATTAGCTGAATGACCTTGGACAAGTACCTTCAACCTTTCTGTTAAAATAACTCATTTTCCTACCATCATGTGCTCTTTAAAAACAAGTAAGAGAATTGTATTGATCAGAATAACTTGCTTCTAGAAATACCTGGGGCAGGAAGGTCACTAATTGATGGAAAGTACTATTTCTTTTTCCTTGAGTACTAGAACTAGCCCAGTATAACACTGCATACACTGTTCCTTTCTTTGAGTCAGATCTCAGCTAGTATACTCTAGTAAGTATTGATGAAATTGTATGAAAGGTGAAGTAAGTTTCTCTTTTGAGACAGGAGAGTGAACCTATATGCACTCACCTTCCCCCATGACCTCACTGAAATAAAAGTAAATAAGCACAGGGGAAAAAAAAAACCAAAACAAACAAACAAACAAAACATGTAGTAGGGAGAGGTAGAAAGCAATAAACTGGAAATTTCAACAAATCCTAAAATAAAGTGAAAGGGGAGGGTTAATGGTTAAAATGGGTAGAAAATGCCACGGGCTAGAATACACAAGATAAAATGACAATTGGAAACTTGAGAGAAACAAAATTCTGAACAATAAAGTCACAGACCACACATGAAGCAAACTACAACTGGACAGGAAAATAAGCAGTTAACAGAGTGTACGAAAAGGCAATTCATTTGACCTTCATGCTAGAAATAGCCTCATTTGAGAGACCCAGGGGTTATAACATTAAGTCCATGGAAAAGAAAATATCCTAGCACATTAACATTAAACAATGTTTATATTATTCATAATTGAGTATGTGCAGTATATTGGATTCTTTTTTTCTTTTTCTTTTGGAGACAGAGTCTCTCTCTGTCACCCAGGTTGGAGTGCAGTGGCACAATCTTGGCTCATGGCAATCTCCACCTCCCAGGTTCAAGGATTCTCTTGCCTCAGCCTTCCAAGTAGCTGGGACTACAAGCACACAGCACCATGCGCAGCTAATTTTTTGTATTTTTAGTAGAGGCAGGGTTTCACCATGTTGCCCAGGCTGATCTCAAACTCCTGAGCACAGGCAGTTGCCCACCTCAGCCTCCCAAAGTGCTAGGATTACAGGAGTGAGCCACCGTGCCCAGCCTGTTTCTATTTTTTAAAAAACATTTTAAATAACTTTATTTTTTAGGACTGTTTTAAATTTACAGAAAAATTGCAAAATAGTACAGAGAGTTGCTATATACCCTGCAGTCAGTTTCCCGTATTAACATCTTACATTAGTATAGTCCAGTTGTTACAATTAATGAATGAGTACTGATGTTATTAATAACTGAAGTTCATAACTTATGCAGTTTTTTTTATTTTCTCCCTCATGTCTTTCTTCTAGAATCTCATCGCATCCAGGTTATCACATTTCATTTCGTTGCCGCGTCTTCTTAGGCTCCTCTAGGCTATAGCAGTTTCTCAGGCTTTTCTTGTTTTCGATGATTTTGAATTTTGAGGAGTACTAATTACGGTTTTGTAGACTGTCTCTCACTTGGGATTTTTTTATTTTTATTTTTTTCTCATTATTAGACTGGGGTGATTGGTTTCGTGAAGAGGACCGCAAAGGTAAGGTGCCATTTTTATCACATGAAGTCAAGAGCACATTCATACTATGTATAGATAGTACATACTATCAGTATGACTGTTGACCCTGACTTCAATCACCTGATTGAGCTAGAGTTTACCAGGTTTCTCCAATGTATGATCACTTGTCCTCTCCCCCTTTCCTTATTATACTTTTGTGTCCGGAATTGGTGGGTTCTTGGTCTCACTGACTTCAAGAATCAAGCTGCGGACCCTCACGGTGAGTGTTACAGCTCTTGAGGTGGTGCGTCTGGAGTTTGTTCCTTCTGATGTTAGGATGTGTTCGGAGTTTCTTCCTTCTGGTGGGTTCGTGGTCTCGCTGGCTCAGGAGTGAAGCTGCAGACCTTCGCGGTGAGTGTGACAGCTCATAAAGGCAGTGTGGACCCAAAGAGGGAGCAGCAGCTGGATTTATTGCAAAGAGTGAAAGAACAAAGAGTCCACAGTGTGGAAGGCAACCCCAGCGGGTTGCCACTGCTGGCTCGGGCAGCCTGCTTTTATTCTCTTATCTGGCCCCACCCACATCCTGCTGATTGGTCCATTTTACAGAGAGCGGAGTGGTCTGTTTTGACAGGGTGCTGATTGGTGCGTTTACAATCCCTGAGCTAGACACAAAGGTTCTCCACGTCCCCACTAGATTAGCTAGATACAGAGTGTGGACAAAAAGGTTCTCCAAGTCCCCACCAGAGTAGCTAGATACAGAGTGTGGATTGGTGCATTCACAAACCCTGAGCTAGACACAGGGTGCTGATTGGTGTGTTTACAAACCTTGAGCTAGATACAGAGTGCTGATTGGTGTATTTACAATCCCTTAGCTAGACATAAAGGTTCTCCAAGTCCCCACCAGAGTCAGGAGCCTAGCTGGCTTCACCCAGTGGATCCTGCAGTGGGGGGCTGCAGGTGGAGCTGCCTGCCCGTCCCGCAACGTGCGCCCGCACTCCTCAGCCCTTGGGTGGTTGATGGGACTGGGTGCCATAGAGCAGGGGGCTGCGCTCCTCGGGGAGGCTCGGTCCGCACAGGAGCCCACGGAGCTTGGGGAGGCTCAGGCATGGCGGGCTGCAGGTCCCAAGCCCTGCCTGGTGGGAAGGCAGCTAAGGCCCTGCGAGAAATTGAGCACAGCAGCTGCTGGCCCAGGTGCTAAGCCCCTCACTGCCCGGGCCGGTGGGTCCGGCTGGCGGCTCCGAGTGCGGGGTCCGCCTAGCCCACGCCCACCCGGAACTCGCGCTGGCCCGCAAGCACCACGCGCAGCCCTGGTTCCCGCCCGCGCCTCTCCCTCCACACCTCCCTGCAAGCTGAGGGAGCCGGCTCCGGCCTTGGCCAGCCCAGAAAGGGGCTCCCACAGTGCAGCAGCGGGCTGAAGGGCTCCTCAAGTGCCGCCAAAGTGGGAGCCCAGGCAGAGGAGGCGCAGAGAGCAAGCGATGGCTGTGAGGACTGCCAGCACGCTGTCACCTCTCACTTTTTGGAAGGAATTATGTAGATTTTTAACTTCTAAAGTCAACCTATAAAAAAAGTAGAAAATAGTTTTTTATGATGGCAGTACACAATACAAATATTAACCATTTTGTTAGTTGTAAAGTATAGCTGACAAAAATGTAAGAGAGAAGAAAAGTGCAGGAATGGGAAGGGGAGCCACTACATTTTATAGAACAGAAAGCCAGAGATATGCTATTAAAAATCAATAGAAATTTGAGTACTTATTTAAAAATATAAAAGTTTAGTTCCAAAAGAGGAAATAAAATATATGATTACTGTTTTAAACATTGGGAAGAGGAGGGTAATATGAGACGTGCTCATTTTTATACTGTGAAATTAACGCTATTGATTAAAGTTGGTAAACCAAGAAGAGCAATATAGAGTGCAATGGAAGTAAACACCAAGTGATCTCATACCAGATGAAACAAGGAAGTTTTTCTCTGCAGAAGAACTGGAGCTGAGCAAGAAGGGGAGGGAGGAAAGGCTATTGCTTTTCAATGGAAATTATTTTATACAATGTGATTTATTACCACATGCACAAATTATTTGCTTTAAACAAGAGATGATGTATAGGGTAGTACCAGGACTCCTACTGGACAACCTGGTATGACCCTTTTTTTGGGTAGCACCCAGCTTCAGTTATACAAGCAAACCAGCGAACTGCAAAACCTTCATCCATACAAACCACATTACAACGTGGTGTTTTGTTGGAACCTCACTTGTGAGATAGTCAAAGGAGCAACCCTCTTAGGTCTTTGATTTGTAGGAAAGGCATTAAAAAAAGAACTTCCTTTGTTTCCCTGGGATTAAAGATTAGGAAGATTTCAGTTGCAAAAAAAAAAAAAAAAAAAAAAGAAATTGGCTGAAAGAGGTGTCCAATTGTCTCTGGTTGCAAAGTATTGGCAATCAGTGGAAATCCTCTGTGTGTTTCCTGTGTTTAGCATTTATATAACATGTTTCAAGTTTAAAAGCCCTTTACTGTCATTAGCTAATTATCTCCCAAGGGCTGCAGGGTAGTTAGAGGAAATGTTGGAATCAAGCCAGTTTTTAGAGCTGTAAGTTGTATACACACATACAACTGTGGCAGCCCTGATTCAGGGTGTAGTTGTTACACCATTTCCCACACATAGATCAATCAGTTAGTGTGTGGTTATTCAATCTCTGAAGTTCTTTTTCTAGACTTGACATTTTCTTCTCAAGAGGTACAAGTTACTGAAACAGAAGAGCACTTATTCTAATAGCACCTCTCCTAAGTGTCTTGAAAATAAACATTGTTGATAGTTTTAGGTTCATCATCAAATCAGAATCCCTGAAGTGAGGCCTGAGTTTGGCGATGGAGATGTGCCCTGGGTGATTCCAATGAAGAGCCACTATCAAGAACCACGGACTTAAATGGCCAATAGAGGTTCCCCACACCCACCATCAATAACTATATCTCCAAAAAGAATGAAACACAATATGTGGCTACAGAGAACTTTTCATAAACGCTACCCATTAATAAATATTAAATCTTGTTTTGTGCCAAATATATATTTTACATTATCAAAGTGCTCAAGAAATTTGGAGGATACAGAAAAATAAAAATGCATGTATATCTAAAAAGTCATCACAAAGAGAATCACTGTTCATGTTTCTTCTTTCCATTTTATTTCAATGCTTTGTCTTTTCTTTTTCTTTTCTTTTCTTTCTTTTTTTTTTTTTTGAGACAGGGTCTCACTCTGTTATCCAGGCTGGAGTGCAGCTGCGCATTCACAGTTCACTACAACCTCGAGCTCACAGACTCAAGCGATCCTCCCGCCTTAGCTTCCCAAGTAGGATAGCTGGGCACACACCATCATGCCAGGTTTGCTTTGTCTTTTAAGAAAATTTATTGACATAGCAGTTATCAGATTTCATATTGGCTCCATACACCAATAGACCTAAGCAGTTTTGTATCTTGCTTTTCAAATTTGCCATTATAATAAGCATTTTTCACTGTTTCATGCTTTAAAAGTCATCTCTGAAAATGAAATGAGGCAAACAGGAACATTTCTATCCGTGATTACACCAAAATAGAAATACAGGTACTTGCAGAGCACAGGCCAACAATATTCTCTGCTTTGGTGTCCATTTAGAATCCTTCAGATCAGCAGGAACTAGAACTTGAACTCAATTTCTGTAGCCACATTCTGACTACATTTGGTGTGTGATGCCCTCTACTGGCTATTCTAGGATGGTGCCTTTTCCGTTTGTAAACTGTGTAAGGACTCTAAAGAAGGGGGTTTAGATTGTGTCCATGCATGTTTGAATGTTCTGTGTCTGTATTTTTATTTATAGGTGTTGCCTTCATGTAGAATTGAAGCTATATGAATACAGGAGCCGGCTGTGTGTCTGTTTCCTTTTTTTTCATTCAAGAAACATTTTAAAAAATCTAACACATGCCAGGTATGGTGCTAGGAGGCTGGAGACACAAAGATGAAATCTCCACCTTCAAGTGGCTCATTATCTTAACTACTGGGAGAGACACAGTCAGGCAGGGGAACCTACTCAACATGCCTTGAGTATTCCAGCAGAAGAACTTGATTCTCTGTAGACCATGGTCTTTCTCCATCTAGAGAAATCATCCTCTCCAGTAAAGTGTCCAGATTTTGGAAAAACACATGTGGCAGAGCCAGGAAGAAATGGGACACCATCTTAACAGGGCAGATCCAGCAAATCAGTTCTGGCAATCAGTGGGGTTGACATGTCACAGCCAGCTTGCTGTCAATATACTTGGTAAATTAAAATTTATGATGGAGTGTAACACAAAAGTAAGATAAAATGAATGGCAATAATTCAGAGTTGTAACTGAGTTCCTATAAGGGAATATACTTCATTTTCCAGAAAAGTGTACTTTATATAATATGTAACCAATGAAGGAAGGTATCAATTACATTTTGAAAGCACTTTGTATTTGGAACTTTACCTTGCTTTCTGGGAAAAGAAATTCATATAAAATGAACCAGTTTTTTTTTTTTAATCTGAGGAAGACCTGGAGCATAGGACAAAGCATTTGATCACTTACATAGTTACCTTATATGTATTAATAGTTCTGTTTGACCGCATTATGCACAATTATATAAAAATCCTCTATAGATTAGCAAAGTCTTTTTTTTCAAACCTGAGGACTCTGATGATGGTATTGGCTCTACAAGGTTGGCTCCATACACCAATAGACCTAAGCATGACTAAACAATATTTATCATAAATATGAAGCCAGCAATTGCTGGTTGTATGGTCTTGAGTGAGTTACTTAACTTCTCTTCAGTTTTCCTTGTTTGGGAAAGGGTATAACCTACCTTATTGTAAAGAAATGGGCTTGTAAAGTATCCATCAGAATTCCTCAGTAGAGCACAGTAGGTACATCAAAATGACAGAGATGCAAGCTTAAGCCCTGGAGCCAGGCTGACTGGGTTTGAATCTTGGTGCTACACTTCATTAGCTTTGTGACTTTGAACAAATCTTTACTTTTCTGGGTCAGTTTCCTCATTGATAAATTAAGGATGATTATAATACCTACAATCATAGCATTGTTGAGCAGATAAAATGAGTTAACACCTGTAAAGTGCTTCGGAACATTTATGAACATATAGGCCTTAATAAAGGTTAATTGTAATTTATATTGCTATTCCTTTCAGCTTTTAGAGACACTTGCATCTTTTTGTAGTTCTATATTAAAACCAGGGAGAGACATCTTCCCGTGTATAAAATAACATTTCATTCAATGCTGTCATACCAGCTGTTTTCAGCAGTTTTCCACTATTGTGGCCCTGTAACTAGCTCTTCTTTGATATGACCTCAGATCCTCAGTAGAAATTACTTTAAGTTTGGCTGCTTGGCTGTACCATAGTAATTGTAATTGTTAGCTCTTGACTTCCTTCTCTAAGCCTCTATGGATTCCCTAAAGAACATGGAGGAAGATGGCCGGGCGCGGTGGCTCAAGCCCGTAATCTCAGCACTTTAGGAGGCCGAGGCGGGAGGATCATGAGGTCAGGAGATCGAGACCATCCTGGCTAACACAGTGAAACCTCGTCCCTACGAATAATACAAAAAATTAGCTGGGCGTGGCGGCGGGCGCCTGTAGTCCCAGCTACTCGGGGAGGGGGCTGAGGCAGGAGACTGGCGTGAACCCGGGAGGCTGAGCTTGCAGTGAGCGGAGAGCGCGCCACGCACTCCAGCTTGGGCTGCAGAGAAAAACAAACAAACAAACAAAACAAAACAAGAACAAAAAAAGAACACGGAGGAAGAATTATTTGGCGGCAAATTAGGAAAGCATCGTGTAATCAAGACTCTCCTTTGCAATGCTATTGTCACCTTCTCTCCAAAGTAATTGTACAACAGTGATTTTCTGCAGAAGAAGCTCTGAGACCTCATTTCAGTCTAAGTTTTTTCATCATTTGGTTGATGCTCCTCCCCTTCAACATACATAGTGACAATGTGCTATGTACAGGCCATACAAAGGGTTGCAAAGAAGGGTCTCCACACTCAAAGAGTGTGAACAAGAAGCAAGGCAAGGATATAACTAATTCACTCACTAATTATAGCAAAAATCCAGCTGTGATAACCACTTATAAGGTTACAGAGAGTGAAGGGGATTCTGATTAAGAACTTCGGGAGAGGTTTACAAAGAAGCAACATTTATACTGAGCCTGAAGAATGGCAAAGGAAGAGAGGAAACATGATAGAGGCAGAGAGTTCAACATGAGCAAAGTCCGGGAAAGTGAAAATACACAGCTTGTTCGGGGAACAGCAGATGGGCCTGTGTTGTTAGAGCAGAAGGAATGTAGGCAGGTGGTTAGGAGATGAGGAACAAAGGTCCCTGGCTCCTCAGGGAGTCCACTCACTTAGTTCTTCTCAGGTTCCAGGGTGGGGCTTCTCTGACAACTCCCTCAGGATCAGGTCCTAGGTGTAACCTCACATTTCCTCCTTCTCCCAGAAGTCTTCTCTTGACTTCAGCCCTATATCCTTTTACATCTTCACATAAAAAGCCCTATTCTTTTTTATTTTACTTCGGACTTTGCCGGTCTGGCATTATTTACCTGCCATCTGTTGTAAAATATATGGAAGATGAAATGGCATGAGACTTTGTACAAAGCATTGGCCCTTTAAGATAAAAATCTGCGCCTAACAAAGTAAGAACAGGACAGGCAGCCTAGCTAGACTGTGGGGGGTAGGGGGTGGGAGAGAGATAACTGTGAAGTGAGAAAATGATGCTTGGTACATAGTTGGTGTTCAGTCAATATTCGTTTAATAAATGAATTAGGAGACAGCTGGATAGTCTCATGTATTGTGAGATATCTCTGCGGTATGGCCATCTGCCTCTGGAACAGCACCTCCTATTTGGGAAAGAGGAGGGAAACAGGAAGGAAAGGGAGAAAATATATGTGTATTGTGGCTTTCCATGCATTTGTGCCAAGGTCAGGTTTGTTTCTAAGTTAGGAATTCCTTGTCTGGCAGTCTTCTCTTTTAGGGAAGAGGGGCGTGTGTGTGTATGTGTGTGTGCACACACATACACACATGACACACAAATACAATGACCCAATATTTATTCCCTTCTAGTCATGCCAACACCTAAAGACCTCAGGCTACAAAATCATTTCTTTGCCAGAGGAAAACGGGGGGAAAATTATAAGAAAAAAAAGCTAAAAACATTCAGTGAGAACTCAGTTTTCTTGGTAAACATATATATTTGGCACTTAAGATGCAAAGAAGTCTTGATTCTAATCCCAAAGAGCTTTTAATGTGGGAAGACATAAAGCCAGGGTATTTAATGCATGGGAGATAGTGCAGTCACAGAACCCAAGGCCTTCCTACTCCACGTGTGGCTCCACCAGCGGCAGCATCTCCTGGAAGTTTGTTAGAAATACAGACTGTCCAGTTCCACCCAAGACTGACTGAATGTGATTTTTGTCTTAACAAGTCCCTAGGTGAATCATTTGCATGCTAAATATTTGAGAAGTACTGACCCAGGGGGTGGGGTTGGGATCTGGGACTGATTCTTACAGGAAATAAATCCTGAGCTGTGTTTTGAAGATGAGTACGGTTAACCAGGTGGTGTTCCAAGCAGAGGAAACAACATAAGCAAAAGTTCAGTGGTATGAAAAAGCACAGGGGTGTTTTGGGAACCTGTCGCCTAAAATTGGTAATCAAAAGAGAGAGTGTGGGAGAGAGGAGGCAAGGGAAATGCAGAGAGATGACGCAGTTCAGGCAGTGGCCAGATCCTGCTGCATGTGTTCTAGGGTAAGGAGATTTGACTACACCTAATCCTTGACAGAGACGCATGATGACATGTTGAGATTTGCATTTAGATCACTGCAACCCTGAGGAGGCTGAAAGACAGAGAGATTAATTAGGAAGCTGAGGCAATAGTTTTGGAGAGAGATAATGAGAGTCTAAACTTAGGTTGTGGCAGTGGGGATGAAGAGGAGGGGGCAGGTTTAAGATATTTTAGGCACTAATAAACAGATGAAAGACTTCAGAATGGATTGGAGGTGGGAGGATGAGGGAGGGCTGAGTTTTGACTAGATGACTCGTAAGCTGGGATTAGTGTGTGGCTGTTCATGATGCCACTAACAGAGATGAAAGGATACAGGAGGACGAACAGGTTTGAAATTATGAGTTCAGTTTTCAAAATGTTCAGCTTAGGTGAATATAAAACATGTATAGATGGTCTCTGACTTACTATGGTTTGACTTTATAGCTGTGTGAAAGTGACGTGCATTTAGTAGAAACTATAATCCAATTTTGAATTTTGATCTTTTTGCAGGCTAGTGACATGAAGTAGGATACTCTTTTCCAAGGCTGGGCAGCGTCTCCCAGTCAGCGATGTAATCACAAGGGTAAACAACTGATATTCTACAATGTACTGTGCTGCCAGATGACTTTGCCCAACTGTAGGCTAATGTAAATGTTCTAAGCACATTTAAGGTAGGTTAGGTGAAGTTATGATGTTCAATAGGTTAGGCATATTAAATGCATTTTTGACTTGTGATATTTTCAGTTTATGAAGGGCTTATTGGGATGTAACCTCAAGTAAGTGGAGAAGTATCTGCATAGAAGGGAAAAAAGGAGGAAACAAGAAAAGGGTGGAGAACAGGGTGAATCAATCAGGATGGAGGAGGAAAAAATGCTCTGCCCATTTCCGGGGCAACAGTAATACACATAGTGTATCTGTGAGCTTTTCTTGTAGTTGTATTTCCAGAGGTTGCCTCCTTGAAACTTGGTTCCAGCAACTGGGTGGACCCTGAAAAAAGGTAAATAATTTGATTCATGGTTTCCTATCTGGTGATCAACTCATTGTTGCCACCGTTTGCTCTATGAAAAAAAAAAAGTTTTTTAATCTGTGGTTCAAACTGCTCCAATGTCAGTTTGTCTTTTTCCAGATTCCTGAATGTTTGAATAACTTTGTCCATGTCTCAAACACTGTTTCCAAAGTGGCAATAATACAATCCAGTATGTGTGTGTGTGTTTCTATAGGTCATCCTTCAAGCTCTGGATGACTCTTCTGCCACAAATCTTACCCATCTGTGAACTGTTACAGCTCTTTTATTTGCACCTTAAAATTCAGAACTGGATCATAGCCTGTCTCTAAAGTTATTTTTTCTAGACTTGACATTTTCTCAAGGAGTACAGGTTACTGAAACAGAAGAGAAATTAGTCCAATAACATCTCTTTTAAATGTCTTGAAAATAAACATTGGTGACAGTTTTGGTTCATTATCAAATCAGAACCCCTGAAGTGAAACCTGAGTATTGGCACTTACTAAAAGTGCCCTGGAGGATTCCAGAGTAGAGTCACAATCAAGAACCACTGACTTAAATGGCCAAGAGAGCCCCCCACCTCCGCATCACTAAGTATATCTTCAAAGAAAATGAAACATAATATTTGGCTAAAGAGAACTTTTAACAAACACTAATCATTAATAAATAATAAATCTTGTTTTAGGCCAAATATATATTTTACATTATGAAAGTGCTCAAGAATTTGGAGATATAGAAGAACACATAATCATGTGTATATAAAAAGTCATCACAAAAAGAATCATCGTTCATGTTTTAGAATTCTTTTTTTTTTTTCTAGGCAAGAACTTTAATGAATTGAACTGTTACTGACAACATAAAAAACCAGTATAATATATACAAAATTATCATTTTATGTCAGGATAAAATTTATCATGTTGGCAACAGAATATGTCCTGCCGACCTCCAAGTGGCTGGCACAGTACATCCACCCCGTGACAGGCCCACTGGGACTGTGGTGAACGTGCCTGTACCTCAGTACAAAGTCCCCTTTCCCTGAGAAATGTACAGAAGGAGAGATGAAGAGCGCGTATCCAAAAGGAAGAGGAAGAGGCTGGGTGCCCTGTGCCCCGAGCTCAGAACTTCGGGGGGATGACCGGCCAGTAATTAGGCTGCTTTGGATCACAGTGCTTGTCAAAGCTCAGCTGCACGTTAGCCTCCATGGCCTGGATCTTGGCGGCGCTGTCCCAGTACAAACGCTTCATTTCGGCCTGGCGCCGCTCACCAGGCCTCTCAGCTGGGGCCTCTACCGACCGGCGGGTGTTGCAGTACAGGTCGTGTTCAGCGTTCACGTAGCTGTTCAGGCGCTCCGCATCCAGCTGTTGCCGCCGCAGTAGTTCTTCTCTGTGCCTCTCTGTCTCTGCAAAGTACTGGCGGAGCTCTTCGGTGATTTCCATATTGCTCAGGTCACATGCTACCTCTGCATCTGACTCGGTCTCCATCTCTTCCTCCTTGGATAAGGCTTGGTCTTCTCTTGTGGATGCCTGGATCCTACTGCTGCCATGTGGATGTTGCCCAGACCCTCTGAAATGTGAAGAACTGCAGGGGGAGTCCTGCTAGGCCACATGATGGTCATAGAAGGACTGAGGATACGCAGCCTGGTTATCGTAAGAGCTTTGGGGAAGAAGCGCAGGAAGGAAGAACCATGGAAGACTGAAACAGGATTCCACCGCCTTCCTGTAGGCATTGTGGTGGCTTTGCATCCAAGCCATTGCTTGATGATAATGTTGCCAGTATCTTGCATATACTGGATGAGAATACCAAGGCCTGGTAGCTTTTGATGTTGATGCCTTCACCACTGCCATCTCCGATTGTGAAAGTCCAAATGGGTGCCGAAACTTGTGGGCGCGCAGCTTGCAGATCCTGGGCGGTGGCCAAGCAGGCCATGTTTTAGAATTCTTTCCAGGCGGGTCGCATTGGCTCACGCCTGTGATCCTAACACTTTGGGAGGCGGAGACGGGGCTGGGGGTGGGGGGATCGCTTGAGTCCAGGAGTTGGAGACCTGCTTGGGCAACATGGCAAAACCCCCATCTCTATAAAAATAATTTAAAAATTTTTTAAAAGAATTATTATTTCCATTTTATTTCAGTGCTTTGTCCTTTAAGAAAATTTATTGACATAGCGATAATCAGACTCCATACGCTATTTTGTATCTTGCTTTTCAAATTTGCCACAGGCTTCTAGAAACGTCCCAGACTTCTGTGTCTCCATGGAGGAAACCCCGTAAGTACTTACAAATGTTATGATTAGTCATCCCTAGCCAATACTAAGCAAAAGGTAGGCATGCGGTTTTATTAGTTTGGGCAGGAAGAAGGCATTCCAACCGGCTTCTTTCGCTCTTGCCAGGTTCAAACATGGCGGGCCGCAGCCGGCCCTTCCCGTACACTCGGCTTGCTTTCCCACAACCCCCGCCAATCTTTAGCGCTCCTTTTTTACCTTCCTTCCCCGTCAGCGGCTCCAGAGGGTCAGCACCTCCGAGCGTGACAGCGGACCTGCTTCCCGCCCCCCACGCGAGGGCCCGCCCACCAGCCCGCGTCAGCCAATAGCAGGCCGCGCCGATGGGGCTGGTAGCGCCGGTCGGCCCCGCCTCCCCAGCCTCGCTGTGGCCTGCGGCTCCCGGGCTGGTAGCGCGCCGCTCTCGGTCGCGCGGAGTGATCGTGTGGAATCGCGGGTCGCGGACGCTCGCCGCCGGCCATAGCTCAGCCTAGCGCCGCCAAGGCCGACGGCCCTCAGCCTCTGCCATGGACTTCGAGGACGGTAAGCGCTGCCTCTGGCTGGTCGGCGCAGCTGGCAGGAGGCGGGGTGGCCTACGCAGGGGGTCTGTTTACCGTCTCAAGATGGCCGTGTGGGCTTTGTTCTGCGGGCCCGGAGGCCGCCCGCCCGCCCCGGGCCCAGCGCCCGGAGTCGGCCTCTTTGGGGACCCACGCGCCCCGATTCGGCCCGCTCGGCGCCCGCTGCCGGCGGAGACAAGAGAACTCGGTGTCCGGTAGGACGCGCCTAGAGCGCGAGAGCCTCCGGGCTGGAGCCCCAGACTCGCCTTGGCCCCTGGTAGTGGAAATTGCCCCGACGTCTCCAACTTCCCGGTCTCGGGCAAACGGGCGAGTGCGGCCTCACCCACCTAGTCTCGCATTCGCCCCACAGGGCAGCGACCCAGACCGTCCGTTTAGTTAATCCTCAGCCTCGGGTTACTTCTTGCCAGATAGAATTTTCAGAGGCTTGTTCACAGTGATGTTTCTGTTTGTCCCGGTTTAAGATGAGTTGAAAGGGTGTCTGTAAGTGATATGTATAGATAAATATCTATGCAAAATGGAAAGCAAGATGTTTCCTGGTTAGTAAACTGGGGTGTTTATCACCAAAAATTACCTGCTTATTAATCCCTAACTTGAAATATTTATGTGAACCAAAGCACTTTTCTTTGGATCGTGTGTAGGTAGGATTTAAGTTAATCAGAATTTTGGCACAGCAAGCATCAAATGTCCTTCACATTTAGACCTGTACACAGCCTTGTAAGTGTTTGACTTACGGATTAAATAAACTGTATTTTAGCAATACTTTTCAGTTGTCTCAGATACTAATTCTTTAAACCACTTTTACAGGGTCACAAAGTAATATTAATTTGGTCTTCACTTTTGTTTTCAAACCTTGCTTGGAATTGGTGTCAAGATAAAGTGGTATGTAGTGACAACATTAGGGAGACATGGGAAAGGACTTATGTGATTAAACTGGATTTAATCCTGAGTAACCAGGCATGCTTAAGTAAAACCAGTTCACTAAGTAGGCTGTAAACTTTTAACCCCACCAAAAAAATGATCTTTAAATGAGGTGTGATCTCAGCATATGTCTTACTCGATGAGCTTTTGATTTTTCATAACATTTCATGCAACAAAGAATTAAAGCTTTCATATCTAGGTACAGATTTGTGAAAGGGGACTGGAATAGCCCTCTTGTAGATACTTTTCAGTTACTTTGAAATAGTAAGTTCAGCTCTTAAGAGTAGCACACTCTCGTGGTTTTGTTTGTTTTGGTTGGACTTTAACTCATTTTGATGTAGATACCTTTAAACTATGAATATTTGGGCTGGGCACGATGGCTCACACCTGTAATCTCAGCACTTTGGGAGGCGGAGGCAGAAGAATCCCTTGAACCCGGGAGGCGAAGGTTGCAGTGAGCCGAGATCGTGCCATTGCACTCTAGCCTGGGCAACAAGAGCCAAACTTCGTCTGAAAAAAAAAAAACAAAAAACCAACAACAAAACAAAAAACTATGAATATTTGAAGTGGCCAGAGTTGGGAGTGAAAATAAAAAATATATTATTGTATTTTCATGCTGTAGTTTGATGATAATGCCAACACCCAAGGTATAGCAGAGGCTAACAAAGTGGAGGTGGGGCAGTAGAAACAGTTCTTTCCACTCCCCACCCAAGGCAATAAGGGAATCCATTTCTATGGAGAATTGAAAAACAATAATAAAATGTAGTATGTCTGCTTTCTGTTATTGCCATATGCCAGAATTCTAAACAGTGTCAGTGATAGAAATTCTAAACAATATTAGTGATGAAATACGCCCTGTCTCACTGCCCAAATATACCACTGCTGTATTTGGAAGATGGAGTTTGACTAACACCATATATGAATCTATTCCTGTATAGTGTAGCAGGATTCTGTTGTATCCAGATGACCACTATATTAAATTCTGTTCTTTCAGTATATATTTGTAAAATTAACTAAAGAATTTAACAGTTGTTAAATTAGTTTTGATGAGGAAATTGGCAATATGGTTTTCAGTGATGACACATTCTGCTTGAATATAGAACACAGTCATATATGTATATGCATATGCATGTCTCAGATAAGATCTTGAAATCTTTTTTTTTTTGAGACAGAGTCTCGTTCTGTCGCCCAGGCTGGAGTGCAGTGGTGCAGTCTTGGCTCACTGCAGCCTCTGCCTCCTGGATTCAAGTGATTCTTCTGCCTCAGCCTCCCTAGTAGCTGGGACTACAGGCACGCACCACCAGGCCCGGCTAATTTTTATATTTCCAGTAGAGAAAGGGTTTCACCATATTGGACGGGCTGGTCTCGAACTCCTGACCTCGTGACCCGCCCACCTCACCTTCCCAAGTGCTGGGATTACAGGCGTGAGCCACCGTGCCCGGCCAAGATCTTGAAATCTTTAAAGAGCAAATTAAATGGTAAAAGAAATTAACTTAGCAAAAATTTCATGTTACGTACAATTCTCAGATGTCTTTGCTTTTGCATTATTTGATACATAATTTAATCTATCTGCCTTTGTGTTACTTGGTACAAATCAGTGCTGAATCCCCTCTTTTGGCTGTTATTATGTATCAGGTGTTGTAAACTAATGTTTACCATAATTTGGATAATAAACCTACCATTTGGGGAGATAGTGAAGAAAAAAGAGATACATTTTCTGGAATGGAGTATTGGTAATTATTTGTTTTAACTATTCTCAGTTTTGCAGATAATTGGGTTAATGTCATTTTAAAAATTGTGCTTGTTTTTTACTGGATCGGCATATAATTTTGAATTATTGCTAATATCACACTAATTCCTTTTTGTTAAATGTGTCTTCATAGATTACACACACTCCGCCTGCAGGAATACTTATCAGGGCTTTAATGGTAAGTATCCTCTTTCAGCTTTTCTCTTCATGCGCATAAAAATATAGTATCAATGTAAAAGGCCAGTTCTACCTATTTCAGTCCTTGTTTTGGTTCTTGATATATCATTTATGTGTTAATATTGTCTTACTATATATAGTATTTGAATTGGGGAATGTGCTATCAGAAAATGTTAGGGGTTATTCACATTAGTTTGATTTTTTTTTTGGTCCATTTTGTTTGAATTATGATTATTTTAATGTGTTCCAAAGGGCCTAACTACATTCTGAGTGATGAATCACAAGACACTGGCTGAGTTATTTTGGTTGAATTAGAGGCTTTGGTATTGAGTAATGTAGACTAAGTGGATTATTGGCTTGGTTCTATATAGCTTGTATTGTAATGCATTTTGACCTTGTTTTTGAGGTCATTTTCTTCAGTGTGTCCAAATGTGTTAGTATATAAAGAGCTGTCTAGAGGAGCACATGAAGAAGCTTGATTGTTTATTGACATGAGCATGACATTAGACTTGTGACTATAGAACTAGATAGAATCATGAGAGGTATGTAGAATACAATTGGATGTCATTTTGATAGTTATTAGAGTTAGGGCCCTGCCACACAAGATAATAATACAAAAAAAGAACACAGAACAATTAATGCAGGTTAAAAAACATATGAAGGACTTGAGGCATTAAATATCATGATTGCCAGAGAAATGTAAAATCCAACTTTCGTACAGAATAGAATATATTCACAAAGTAAAACTGAAGCAAATGTATACTAAAGACTATGCCATTTATGGGAATAATTACTGAACAGTTAATTTTTATTTCATTATCTTTAAAGATTAAGATAAACTTTGGATTTCATGTGGGCTAAAAAGGCTTAACATATAGGGAGTTAGTACTGAAGAATGTATTTGTGAGCTGGAAATTGAAAATTACCAAAGGAAGTTTAATTTGCATCCACATGTAAGTTATATTGAAAACTGGAAAATTAACGAGAAAGCCATTTCATAAGTTTTGATATAAAGATTTTAAGGCCTTGAACTTGGGAGGTGATAGTAGTAGTAATCTTAAAAATAAAGAGCAAATTAGCAGAACTTGCAGGCTGACTAGTAATGGGTAGAAAATTGAGAGGGTTGAATAAAAATGAATCCAGGATTTTAAACTGGAATGTATGACTAGTGCTTTTACAAGGGAGAGGGGGAGGGGAAGAGGGAGGGGGAGAGGGAGAGAGTTTGTAATGATAAAAGGCCATCTAGGATTTACTGGATAGTTGGATTTAATGTCTAAACATAGGACTTGAAATGCAGACTCATGCAGGGCCAGATGTTTATTTATTAATTAGTATACAGTGTTGCAAAAAGATCTAATATGACTTTTATTTTTTCTCTTAATTTTAGTTATAACTGGTTCTCATCTGAGGGTGATTGTTGGAATCTCTTGGGGAGCTTTTTCAAAGTCTCTCTTTTCACACATAGCCTATACCTCTTGAATCTTAATTTCAGGGCAAGTGGTCTTTGGCTGTGTATGTTGTGCAAAACTACTCTGAATGATTTTGGAAGGCACCTCTGATTAAAGACCAATGCTTGACAGTACTTCTAGGTCTAGATTATCTATATTTTACAAATGAGGAACTTAATTTCAGGGATTCAATTTGACTTTGTTCAGCAAATATTTATTTAGTGCCTGCTGGGCATCAGATATCGTTCTAGGAGGTGGGAATATAGCAGTGAACAAAATGGACAAATATTCCTGCCTTTGTGAGGCTTTCCGTCTAGTGGGATGAAATAGTAAACAAGATAAGAAATAATATATATGTCATAATTTAGTCCACAGGGGAAAAAGGGAGTAATATTTATTGTATGTTAGATGATGATCATTGCGAGGGAGAGTAACATAGAGAAGGAGGATAAATGTGTGTGTGTGCTTGTATGTGTTGCAATTTTAGAGTCTCTGGGGAAAGACTCACCAAAAAGATGACATTTGAGCATAGATTTAAGATGAGTGAGTATGCAAGCCATGAAGCCATTTAGAAGAAGACTTACGGGCTTTAAGAAATAAACAGTGTGTAGGTACCAAAAAGCCAAAAATATATTTTATTGTTAGCACTGTATTTTCTAGGAAGTGAAATGAAGTAGAAGGCATTGGAAAACATGGCAAGATACAGATTTTCCCCACACTATTTCTTGGAAGGAAAATGTATTTCCAGTGTCTCCATGTTTTCCTTCTTGCTTCATAATACCTTTTACATAAATAGCATATAGAAAAGGGGAGAGAAAAGGGTGTGGTAGCTCATGCCTATAATCCTAGTGCTTTGGGAGCCTGAGGTAGGAGCACTGCTTGAGGCCAGGTGATTGAAACTAGCTTGGGCAACATAGTGAGACCCTGTCTCTACAAAAAAATTTTTTAAAAACATTAGCCAGGCGTGGTGGTGCCCCCCTATAGTTCCAGTTACTCCAGAGGCTGAGATGGGAGGATCGATTGAGCCCAGGAGGTGGAGGCTGCAGTGAGCTATGATTGTGCCACTGCAGTCCAGCATGGGTGACAGAGCAAGACCTTAACGCTGGCTTGACTAGAACAGATGATTTTTTGCTGAGCAATCTTAAGACAAGGTTAGAGTGGTGAGGTGGAGCCAGAAAGCATTGAAAATCAAAGATAATTTGCTTATATATCAGAAGCAATACAAGTGAAGACCTGAAAAAGTTGAGGGAGTAAACAGTGCAGGTTCAGGGGAATGAGCATTCCAGGCAGAGGGAACAGCAGCTGCTAAAATGGGTATACACCTTGTGTTCTAGAGACATCAAGGGGCCTGGTGTTGTAGTAGTGGAGTGAACAGGGGTGTATGTAATTGATAATGAAGTTAAGAGGTGATGGGGCATATCATGTAGGGCAGGGTTTCTCAAATTTCTTACATTTTGGACTGGGTAATTTTTTGTTGTAGGGGGATGTCCTGTGCATTGTGGAACATTTAGCAGCCTCCTTGGCCTCTATAATATGCCAGATGTCAGTAGCATCTGCCCCCTAGTTGTGACAACCAAAAATGTTTCAGACATTGCCAATGTCCCCAGGGGGTGCAAAATCTCCCCTAGTTAAGAACCACTGGTATAGGTTCTTAGATGTTATTTTAAGCTTTGGCTTTTACTTGGAATAAGAGGAACCCATTGGAGGTTACTGAGCATTGAACATGATTGAACTTAACATTTTGTCAGAATTATTGTGGCTGTTGTCTTCAGAAAAAACAGCAAAGGAGCAAAAGTGGAGCAGGAAAACCAGTTAGGAGACTTTTGCAATAACCTAGGTGGTAGATGTTGGTATCTTGTAGTAGGGTGCTGGTAGTGTAGAGTTGCTAAAAAGTAGTCCCACTCAAGACTTAATGTCACATAGTTAGTTATTTTGGTCATAGGTCAGTTTTTAATTTTTTTTTTTTTTTGAGGTGGAGTTTCTCTCTTGTCGCCCAGGCTAGAGTGCAATGGTGTGATCTCAGCTCACTGCAACTTCCGCCTCCTGGGTTCAAGCAATTCTTTTGCCTCAGCCTCCTGAGTAGCTGGGATTACAGGCACCCACCACCATGCCTGGCTAATTTTTTTTGTGTTTTTTAGTAGAGACGGAGTTTTACCATGTTGGTCAGGCTGGTCTTGAACTCCTGACCTCAGGTGATCCACCCGCCTTGGCCTCCCAAAGGATTGGGATTACAGGTGTAAGCCACCTTGCCCAGCCCATAGGTCAGTTTTTTTTCCCCCAGTATGTCACAGCTGCTGCTTTGTGTTTTAATTAAAAATGAGTTTTAGCATTTTTGAGCGTATTATTTGTATGATAGAGTGATCCAAGTGATAGAATATATTTGATTTAAATTATTAGGTCAGTTTTATTTTTCTGGGTAAATTACTATCATTTAAGATATACTACTATGTTCTCATGGTTTTATTTTTAAAAGTGATTTTAAAATTCATTTTGGTGACCTGGAAGAAAAATTTATAAAAAAGCAGTCATCTTACATTATCTGTAGCCCTATAACTACACTGATTGTATACAATATAAAGACTTTTCCTCCTGTTTAAATGAGTAGTAACATTACTATGAACAATCAAACAGAATCATTGCTATATAAAAGTAGCTTTATTAATTTTTGTACATTTCACAGTGCCTAACACATACATGGTTAGTGTACAATAAATGTTAATAATTTTATGATTATAGTGAAATAAATAGAACAAAAAACTAAAGGTTTTAATATTCAAAGGCAGCCAGTGCTAACTCAAAATAGAAACTAGCAGAAATAAAACATAAGATTTTTTTCTCTGTGTACCTGACTAAACATAATCTTATTTTTTAATATGAGGCCTTAGAGGAAAACTTTTCATTTTGAAAACTTTATTTTAATCTCAGAATTATCCTCTGAGAGATATGAGCATAAATTTTACTATATACTTACCAACTGTATCACAAAAAATTAACTATTTTATTAATCTGGGACTGTGTTGTCCAGTTTGGTAGCTACTAGCTACATGTTACTGTTGAGCACTTAAAACATGGATAGTTTGAATTGAAGTGCTCTGTAAGTGTAAATTACACACCAGATTTGAAGTCTTCAAATGAAAAAAGCAGTAACATATCTCCATATGTTTTGTATATTGATAAACTTTTTGTACTGTTATATTAAAACCCATTAGTATGTCTTGCACTTTGAATGGATCTTTTTTACCATATATTATTTTGTAATATCGGCATTATTTGGAAAATACTAGTTTTTATATAAAATGCAGATTTTCCAAATATTGATCAGTTTTATGGCACAATATTTAAAAAATCATATTCAGTGATACCACCACCAACCTTTCAGAAAGCCTTTAAGTATTGGGAAGGTGTCAAGCTCAAGGTGGTAGATACAACTTTTAAAAAATTCTAATGTTCACTTGAAAGCATGAATTTTATCCTTGACAACAAATAATGTCGGTCGTTTTCGTTAAAACAATGTTTTCACTTAGTTCTTTTTTTTTTTTTTTTTCTTTGAGACGGGTCTCACTCTGTCGCCCAGGCTGGAGTGCAGTGGCACGATCTTGGCTCACTGCAAGCTCCACCTCCTGGGTTCATGCCATTCTCCTGCCTCAGCCTGCCGAGTAGCTGGGACTACAGGCACCTGCCACCACACCCAGCTAATTTTTTTTGTATTTTTAGTAGAGACGGGGTTTCACTGTGTTAGCCAGGATGGTCTTGATCTCCTGACCTCGTGATCTACCTGCCTCGACCTCCCAAAGTGCTGGGATTACAGGCGTGAGCCACCGCGCCCAGCAACTGCTGTTCTAAGATAAAATTTGGACCTTTACCACAGGACTAGTAAATTTAAGATGAGGCCACAAATGGCAGAGTAAGGCAGAGTATCACAAGCACCACGTGAGAGTTACAGGCTTTTGTAAATATTCAGAAGAAGGATGACACTCAGCTGAGAGAGTATCAGTAAAAGTTTTCTTGAATGCATTAGGATTTGAAATGGACTTTAAAAGATTAGAAAGTTTCAATAAGCTGATATTTAGGGTAGCAGAGGAAAATGTTTCATGTAGAAGCAATAGCATGAGACTAGACAAGAGGATATGTATAGAATTTTGGGAAAATCATTTCATCTCTTTGGACGTCAGTTCCCCAGATCTATAAAATGAGAGGATTGATTTTGAACATTCAGGTTGCTACCAGGTTTAAAGTTGGATGACTTTGAGTACTATTTTTATAAAGTTGTTATTGTTGTCATTATTGTTGGGACTAGAGATATTATATGATTATATAAAATTTAATGTTTTAAAAAATATAAAATTAAGATATTTACTCTGTGTGTACTATTGTATTTATTTGTGTATGACATTTGGGGAGAGTAATGAGGGATTTTTAAAGGACTTTATAGAAAACAAATTCTAAATGTTTGTTTTACTTTCTGATTTTTGTAGTCATCCTAAATTGATTTTGTTACCTCTTTTGTTTTATTTTTCATATCAGAGGTTGGTATATAGGCAGAATTGCAGTGTAATAAAATAGACTTAATATGCTTATTGTATTAGTTTTTTTTTTTTAGTGTTCACATTGCTAGAATTTGCATTCATTTGTTGAGTCATAATTTATAGGCACAGTGCCATAGATTGGTCTCAATCTGTGATTTTACTTTTTAAAAATATCTGTTTCAATTACTGTGAACAAGGCTAATTGGAAATGTGGCTGCTTCTGAGTTTTCAGACATTTAAAGAGCAGTTAGATGCAGAAAACAAGTATAGTCTACTGCTGTCATATAGGACAAAAATTTCCCCTTTGACTTTATTAAATGCTGACTTCTTTTAAGAATAGGAATTATGTATCATTAATTATATATGCTATAGTACTTAATACAAGGCCTTATAGTAGTCCCCTAGTCCAACAAATATTGGTTAAATTGAAAATAATTCTGTGGCCAGGTGCAGTGACTCATGCCTGTAATCCCAGCACTTTGGGAGGCCAAGGCAGGTGGATTGCTTGAGCCCAGGAGTTCGAGACCAGCCTGGGCAACACGGTGAAAGCCCATCTCTATCAAAAATACAAAAATTAGCCAGTCTCATAACCCAGTCTCAAAAGAAAATAAAAATAATTCTAATATAGAACTTTTTAGTTGAAAATATGTTTTTCTTTGAAATATCAGGGCTTTTTTTTTTTTTTTTTTTTTAGCAAATTTGATTTAGTAGCTTCTCATCTTTGTGTTTTTCCCTTCAGCATTTAGTGTGAATTTAGTTTAAATGTTAATGGTAAATTATCTCAGGTGATAGATAGGAATATCTTGTGTTTTGTGCAAAGATCCCTGAAGAGAATGGTGTATTTTACTGACAATTTCTTATTGACTCTCTTTTAGGAATGGATCGTGATTATGGCCCTGGATCTTATGGAGGTCTGACATTCAAGGATATTTATCTAAAAATTCTTCTTTTGAGTGCCAGTAAAGGTGAGCATCATATAACTTTTTTCTTTTTAAACTCTTATAGGGATGGATCGTGACTATGGCCATGGATCCTATGGGGGTCAGAGATCCATGGATTCCTACCTAAACCAGTCATATGGCATGGACAATCACAGTGGTGGTGGTGGGGGTAGCAGGTAAATTGCTTAATCATTTGGCCAAATAATTAGACAACTATAAGATTTTGGATATATTATTTTAAGTACTCTTTAGGCATGTTATGATACTTGAACTTCACTGTTTGCTATTGAATCATCACCTTAAATATTTAAAGGTGTTAATTAATGGGTATAAAATTTAAATCAGTATTACTGGCAGACGTTATTTTAGGAAAACACCAGATAACTATATCATGTCAATATAATAGAGTAAGATACACTTTTTAGCAGTGAACTTTTAAAAAATTCTTTTACTTTTAACTTCTTGTCAATCAAAGTATCCTGAAAAATGATATAAAAATGTTATTGAAAATATTATTTATGAAGCTTTTTCTTAATAATTAAAAAAAATCTTTTCTAATGTGGGGTGCTATGTAAATTAGCAAAGCAGTCTAACTAGAATGGATTTTACTGAACCAGTCTAACATTTACTTTCCAAGAAACATTCAGGACATATTCCTTTAATTCTAATTTTAAAGGAAGAGCATATTGCAATAATAAAAATATTTTTAAAATTATGTTCAGGTTATTTATTGACAGGTACTACTTACACCAAAGCACTTGTGCTCTAGGCTAGAAGCATTGTATTAAAGCCATGAATACTATACCTTTGACTAGTCGAGATTGTATTTATATTTTCCTGTTACTACTGTATAAAGCTTAAACCTACTTAAACAACTACAAGCTTTAAGGTTGACCATATTTCAGGAGAAGGGGTGTCTACTTTTTGAGGCACAAAGGTTCCTGCTGAATATAAGTAAAACTAGTTAGTAGACATGTGAAACAGTCATCCTTCTGCATAAATTGAAGGATCCGGATTCCTTAATGATGGACTGAATGATGCTTACTTTCCTTCTTTCTGCTTCCAGTGTACCACTATGGTTTATAGTAAAGAAAAATTAAGAAAGTGAACAGTTGCAACTATTTTGCTTATGTGATAGATGTTTTGAAAAATGTAGTTGGAAATAGGAATAATTTTTATATGGTTACTAGGATTCAGAAGTAAATCTATTTAGTGATCTGTAAATAATTGAAGTAATGTAACACTTAATGTTTTAATATGTCAGTTATTGCCCTTTTATATTGTGAATGTAATGTGCATAAGCTATATCCGTAGATGTTATTGTTTTATCTCATGTGTAATTGTGGGCCTTTATAAAATTGTGTTGTAAGATATCAAGCAACTTTTGTAATCCATGCTTTGGGTTTGTGAGAAGGAAGATGATTTATTTCTTCTGTTAACTCTCTTAAAACCTCGAGGAGACTGTGTGCTCCCTTTTTTAGGGTAGTTTTATGTGATAATTTCCTGAAGGAAATAATTTTGCAAATAATTGAATATATTATAAGATGTATTCTTTCTCATCTGCCTTGAAAATTCATATGCAGAGGGTATATGTTGGTGATCTTTTATGTTTTATCTGTTTATCCTTCTAGATTTGTTAGATTTTCTAGTCTACAAGTAAAAAGTGATTGAGGATTGATTAATTGACCTTGGCTGAAGTTTGGCAGATTGTTAAATTTTTATAACCAGAGATAATTCCCCAAATTTTGACTCCTACAGACACAATGAAGCAGTTTGTGATATAGATTATTGGGAGTGCAAAAGGATCTCTCTGTGTCACAAATAACCTACATCTAAGTAGACTTCAATTTGTGTCCCTATTGAAAGCCAAAATATTGTAAATGTTTTGTAATTTTTAATATTAGGGATAGATTCAAAAAAGTTTGAATAGTTTGTGAACTTTAGCAAATGACCTTTTCCAAGACTAGGGCTGGGCTTAAATAATGACAGACAAATCTTTTCTTCTTCATAAAATAGAAAAGCTGCTAAGAAGCAGATTTTAAAGCTAAGTTTTACTAAACTCAATTCATATTTATAATCTGACTCAGATAGCTTTCTATCTGGTCTCACGTTGAACTGCCCAGCCCTAATCAAATGTGAACAAAAGTAGAACTGTGCAAACCAGTATGGTATAAATGAATTTTAGTTGATAAATGTCATCTGATAATTTGTCTTTTGAATTGTCTAACATTAGTAAGCTTACTTTTGTTTTTTCCCTCACTGTGCAACTTTTCCAGGTTTGGACCTTATGAGTCTTACGACTCCAGGTCTTCTCTGGGTGGGCGAGATCTGTACAGATCTGGCTATGGTTTTAATGAACCCGAACAAAGCCGCTTCGGAGGTAGTTATGGTGGTCGATTTGAGAGCTCCTACCGGAATAGCCTTGACTCTTTCGGAGGTAGAAACCAGGGCGGGTCTAGCTGGGAAGCACCTTACTCCCGTTCAAAATTGAGGCCTGGGTTTATGGAGGACAGAGGAAGAGAGAATTACTCTTCCTACAGCAGTTTTTCTTCACCCCATATGAAGCCTGCACCTGTAGGCTCTCGGGGGAGAGGAACGCCTGCTTATCCTGAAAGTACGTTTGGAAGCAGAAACTATGATGCTTTTGGAGGACCATCAACAGGCAGAGGCCGAGGCCGAGGAGTAAGTACAACAGAATCTTTTCAGATTCTTTTCACTAGTCACTCTTTTAAACCCTTTCAAGACCATCGTTTTCAACTAGAATAAACACTGTTCATCCCGGTGTATTTTGAAGCAAAAGCTGAGTCATAAACATAATTTTTAGGTTGACTGTAAAAGTTTTTCTAGCACCTCAGAAAATAAGTGGCAGTTTGAGATGATCATAAAGTTGTGCCAAATCTCCCTTTATTAAAAAGGTGAGGCTACTGGTTTGGTCTAAAAGGGGTTAAAAGGAGTTGCATTTTCCTTGTAAACACTAGCAGTTTTGCTGGTGGAATAGTTTGTGGATTATTGTGAAAGGTCACTGAACCCTTTTTGAGTTTTTGAGTAGGTTAAAGGTGCAATGTATGATAAAATGTTTATACTTTGTGGCTAAACTCTAGCAAGTAGAATTTCTTCAAAGCTCCATGTTTCACATTAAACACAGGAGACTAAAAGTTGATGATAGATCAGGATAGCTTAGCCATGTTTATGTGGTGAAGAAGTTGATGTGTATAATAGATTGTACAATGATTTGTGGTCAGTGTAATTTTGCTAACTCACGCTTACAATATGTCCAGTTGCTGGTTGTTTTATTTTCCCTCGTGTTACTAGTTTTACTCTTGAGAAATAATTTCCACCTGTACAGATATGTTTATGGTTTCTTCTTAGGAAGTAATATTTTGTAAATTATTGCTTAAATGAGTAAATATACTAGTCCACAGTTGTTTAAGTTTAGGGTACATAGTGTAAACATTATGCTTTATGTTCTTAGGTCACTTGATTGACATGAAAATTTACCTAGTAAGTGTATGCAGATTGTGGGGTTATTATATAGTTTGATCATTTAAAGAGTATTGTATTTTTGTTATAATGTAAGAATCCTTTTAAGTCAGCTGCTCTTAATATTTTATTTGCAGAGGAAAGTATTTCTAGTAAAAAAGGTAGTAGGGTACACGTTTTTGACTGGTTATTAGCTTTTGATATGTCAGTGTAGCTTGTTATACTTGTGTAGAAATTTTGCATTTTTAACAGTTACTCTTTACTTATGTAAAAATGCATTGCACCTTTAATGCGTAATTAAGGAAGATTTTCCTGTTGTGACTTTTTAAATTACCTGGAAACACAACTAGGTTAGATAGGCATTCCTGAGCATAGTATACAAATGTAAGCAACTGATACATTACAGTTCCACTATACTTCATGATCATAGGTTAATTGAAAATAGTTGGGATGATAGGCTTTGGGTTTTGAATTGAAAATCCATTCTAGTTTGAAAATTTGGAAAACACTTAATATTTTCCATGCTGTATATTATTTTAGACAAAGTGTGTTTTCTTAATGAGGCTTCAAAAGTAAATTTCGTTTTCATAATAAACAAGTATTCCTGTACTTTGTATTTACCATTCTAGTCTGAATGGACTTTTCTTTCTTTCCTCCTGTTAGTGAAGTAGATGAGCCAATAGGACCTACATTTTAAATCTTCACTTGTACAATTCCCCTTGGGTCCTTCTCTTCAGATTACTCCTCCATCTTTATCTTCTAAAAGTAAGATTAGCAGAATAAATTTCTGTGGACATGTGGCCTCTTGGTGTAGTAGATTTGGATAATGACAAGAGAAGAGGAAGGGACACAAAGAGTCGTTTGGTTGCATGACTCTTCATCTGTAAACTTTTGTTTCTTGGGCTTCTGGGTCAGAAAATGTTTCTCTAGGTAAGAATGTGAATGGAACGTCAGATGCAATTCTTTATCTGAAGTGTGTCTTGGAAGTTGATGCATGGTTATGCTTTAACTCTCCTATTTCATACTAATGTTCCATCTCGCCTTCTCATTCCCTTTTTCAACAGGGAGAATACTAAATGATTTCTGGATCTTTTTTACTTCAAACTACAAATATGGTCTTCTTTGTGTATCTTAGTTTTAGTAAAATAAAGATTTCTTTTAGGGTCTTTTCATGGGAAAACATCAATTAGGAACTCTGAAGAGGAGTTGTCAGAGAGTTGTACAAGTGGTAACATTTGGACAGGCACATATGTTGTCTATAATCTCAAGTAATTTTGAAATGTAAAAGTAAAAACATAGTTAGCAAATATTCATTATTTGTTCTACTGGAAATAAAAATACTAATTCAATGGATTTGAGTTTATGTAATAATTTACAGAGTTTTTCAATGTGTTTTTTCAGAATGGACATGTAAAATTTAGTTACATTCCAGGGAATTTTCAGGTGAAAATTAGTAGATAGTTAACATGAAAATTTTATATGAATTCATATTTTTTCTTGGACAATATGCTAATATTTATTGATTTCACAAATTTACAGCATATGGGTGATTTTGGAAGCATTCATAGACCCGGAATTGTTGTTGACTATCAAAACAAATCCACCAATGTGACAGTTGCTGCTGCAAGAGGAATAAAGAGAAAAATGATGCAGCCATTTAATAAGCCCAGTGGAACCTTTATCAAGAAACCCAAACTAGCAAAACCTATGGAGAAGATAAGCCTCAGCAAATCACCCAGTAAGTAAGAAAACATAATTGCTATGATTCAGGATACTTTTTATTTTTTAAAATTCCATACTTTTTGGTAATTTTTTCATGTTTATATACAGAAACTACATAACAATTATGATTGTAGAAGTTAGATCTGTAAATCCCCTATTGCAGTTAATAATTGGTCATGAATACCCAAAGATACTTTTAAAATGTACATAACCTGGTCCATTCCTTTTTCCTGAATCCTTGTGGTTGTGTATCAAACCCTCTACAGCTGAGAAAACAGGCACAGAATAGATAAATAATTTGCTGCCTAAGTCAAACAACCAGTGAATGGTAATGCCAGTATTTATTCCAGAGCAAGTCATGCTCTAGAAGTCCTGTTCTTAAACCTCCATATGATTGTAACAGAAATTTGCTTTGTATTCATTTTTCCCTTTTATTTTAAAATAACTTTTTCCCTAATTATGACATTATAGACATTTTAATATGTAATATTTGAAAAAACTGAAATTGCAATGTTAGATTCTTTCCTCAAAATATATTTTCTATAATATAAAATTTGAAAAAGGTTTAAAAGGTGTACTTAAATTACTTTCTCATCAGGCCTTATTGTTTAATAAGAAACAATATTCTGGAATTTCTGGAGTTCTGGAAACCTGATACTAAGCAGAGTATGTGTTGTGGGGATACCTTTAACAGTGTGTCAATTGATAGACTGTTATGTATCAAATTTGACATTTTATTAGACATTACTATAATAGAAAATTCAGTTGATTCTCTTGGGACCTATTTCAAAGATATATTTTGCACGTATGGTTAAATATTGCAAAAGTTTGATAAAGAAACTGATTTGCCCTTAAAGCAGATATATATGTATCCCTCCCCCATACCCCCTTTTTATATAACAAAACTTGAGAAAAGTGTTGTGTAGCTAAGAATGAAACTAAAATTCTTTAAATTATGCCTTCTCTGTCAGGTGTAAAATGGGCATTTAAAAAGATGATTGCTGAATTTTCCTCAATACAAGGTCTTGCTATGCTATAGTATAGACTATGTGACTTTATAGAAAATTAGTAGGAAAGGAACCCTATTCTGTCACTTGGCTAGAAGTACAACATGTCATAGTTTTAGCATATGAAAGGAAGATTAAATTACTTATTTGAGGTAATATATAAATAAGTAGATTTTTCAAAGGCCATCCAAAAGGATAAGCAGTGCATAAAAGGAAAAATTTAAGGGCAAATAGTTAAGTTTTTTTTTTTTTTTTTTTTTTAAGTATAAAGTTAAATGTATTATAAGAAAGAACCTGCTCACAGTGAGTTACCACTCCATACCCACTTGGATGGTCATAATAAAAAAAGGAAAATAACAAATGTTGACAAGGATATGGAGAAATTGAAACCCTCACACATTACTGATGGGAATGTAAAGCAGTGAAGCCACTGTGGGAAGCAGATTGGTGCTTCCTGAAACAATTAAACATAGACTGTCCATATGATCCAGCAATTCCACTTCTAGGTATTCTTCTATTCCAAAGAATTTAAAGTAGTATTCCAACAAAAATTTATTTATTTATTTATTTTTATTTTTGAGACAGGATCTTACTCTGTTGCCCAGGCTGGAGTGCAGTGGTGCAGTCTTGGCTCACTGCAACCTCTGCCCCTGGGTTCAAGCGATTCTCGTTCCTCAGCCTCCTGAGTAGCTGGGACTACAGATGTGCACCACCACGCCCAGCTAATTGTTGTATCTTGAGTAGAGATGGTTTCGCCATGTTGGCCAGGCTGTCTTGAACCCCTGGCCTCAAGTGATCCATCCGCCTCAGCCTTCCAAAGTGCTAAGATTACAGGCATGAGCCACTGTGCCTGGTCCAAACAAAAATTTATATATGAATGTTTATAGTAGCATTATTCATAATTGCCAAAAGGTAGAAACAATTGAAATATACATCAACAGAAGAATGGTTTAAAAAATGTGGGTTATTCATACAATGGAATATTATTAAACCATAAAAAAGGAAGTACTTACTAATACATGGTACAACATGGGTGAACTGTGAAAACATGCTAAATAAAAGTCAGACCAAAAAGGCAACAGACAGGATGATTCTAGGTATATGAAATACTTAGAATAGGCAAATCCGTAGATCAGAAAGCAGATTAGTGGTTACCAGGGCCTTAGGGTAGGGTTGAAATGGGGAGTGACTGCTTTATGGGATGATGAACAGTTCTGTAACTAGATAGTGGAGATGGTTGCGTAACTTTGTGAATGTACTTAATGCCATTGAATTGCACATTTTAAAATGGTTAAACTAGTAAATCTTATGTTTTGTGTATTTTATCACAATAGAGAATATTTTTTAAAAAAGAGAACAAATTTGCTTTTATTTTGGAGGTTACAAATTTTAAGAAACTTTCTGAGAGCTCCTACAATATGAACATGAGTTCTTGCATCCAGGGCTCTGCAGTGTTTACTGGACTTCCATTTTCATGCTCGGTCAGGTTACTTTAGTGTTTTTCCCAAAGTATGTGATGCCCAAGATGATTTTAGGTGATAAGGATATTATTGCTTAGAATAAGGATAGGACAAATGAGCACATTTAAAGAAAAATATGTAGCAAATAATCACATAGATGACAAGCAGATATGACAGAATTCATGATGATGGTATTCAAATGAATGAAGTTCATTTAGTGAAGTTTCAGAAATACTGGATAGTCTCAAACTCCGATTTTTTTGGTGAGTTCAATTTTAGATTACAATCACTAAGTATACCTCATAAGTATGTACTTTACGAACTGATGATTGGAAAGAGAGAATGGAAAAATGAATTTTAGCTTTTACTTTTTTGTGTAATATCCTAGCAAAAACTGATCCTAAAAATGAAGAGGAAGAAAAGCGGCGAATTGAGGCTCGGCGAGAGAAACAAAGGCGCAGAAGAGAAAAAAACAGTGAGAAATACGGAGATGGATACAGGTTTGTACTTAGAGTCAGAAAATTAGGTTCATTAAAAAATGATTTCCTAGAAAAAGCCAACACATCAATTGTAATATTAAAAAGTTCTTAAGATTCAAATGAAAAGACTTGTTCAAAGATACAGAGGAATGCTTTTGGTTTTTGATATTTATATGTAATCACTACTTAGAAAACATAAGAAAAAAGGCATTCTATTCATATTGGCAATCCAAAAGATATCAAATATTCAGAAATAACAGTATTCTTAAAAAGAAACACTTGTCATTGAGATTTGACTGTATGGAGTCATAGTGATTTTCATGGGCAGGAATTAAATATTACAAATATGTAAGTTCTTTCCAATCCAGATCCCAAAGGAAATTCTGAAGAAGAGTAAATGAGTAGGTACTGGCTTTTATAGATAATCAATCATTAAAAAGCTATAATAGTTAAAAATATGTGGTAATACACAAAGCTAATTATTATACCAGATTAGCCTGTGAACAGACTGTAAGGAAGAATGTAATATTTAATAAAGAGGATATTAGAAATAAGAGGGGAATTGGGCTAGGCACAGTGGCTCATGCCTGTAATCCCAGCACTTTGGGAGGCCGAGGCGGGCAGATCACGAGGTCAGGAGATCAAGACCATCCTGGCTAACACGGTGAAACCCCGTCTCTACTAAAAAAATACAAAAAAAAATTAGCCAGGTGTGGTGGGTGCCTGTAGTCCCAGCTACTCGGGAGGCTGAGGCGGGACGATGGCGTGAACCCGGGAGTCGGAGCTTGCAGTGAGATGAGATTGAGCCACTGCACTCCAGCCTGGGCAACAGAGCGAGACTCTGTCTCAAAAAAAAAAAGAGGGGAATTGGTTGAACAATGAAATAACAACAAAAATCAGTTTAGAGCCTCCTCATATGACACCTGGAATGAATGTAGTAAAAAAAAAATGAAATTACAGAAAAACAAAATGTTCTGCAAGGAGATTTTTTTCCCAGGCTTAAAAGTTATAGAATAAATTACAAAGGAAATTATGAGCAGATTTGGCTAAATAAAAACTTAAAATTTGAAAGGAGTGCAAACAGACTTGGAAAATATAAACATGAGAAATGATTAATGTCCAAGTTAGATTAAAACATCACCCAAATTATTTTAAAAAGTAAGAAAACTAAGCTGTTTAATATGATGAGGAAACAAAAAACAGCTAGTAATAATTTTAAGGAAATTGTTTAAACTTAACAGTAATTTCATTAAACTAAAAATTTAAATAATAGTATGCCATTTTATTACTAAGGAGAAATTTGATTTGCTAATTAAGGAATGGTCAAAGGACGCTTAAAATTTGTTGGTGACAGTATATTATAACTATTAGCAATTTAGCAGTTTTTTAAAAATGTCTAAATTTTTCTTAAAGCCTTGAGCCCAGAATTTTGAGGCCAGCCTGGGCAACGTGGCAAGACCTCATCTCTAAACAAAACAAAACAATCCATAAAAAGAAGAGTAGTTCTAGTTTCAAGAACTACTGCTATTTTTAGTCCTTGTGAGTTCTCTGTCCCATTCATTATCTCTTGTGATTCCTTCTTTTGGTAGAAGTAACAGGCATAGTTAATATTTTGGTGTAGAAATGACTTTAAATTATCAGCGTCTTGGAGTGTAAAAATCATTTTACATTATAAGATGCAATTTTTTAAATTTAATTGCCCTATGAGTACTTTTCTCATGAAAAATTTTAGATATGGATTATGTTCATGTTAATATAATATATAAAATTGTGATATAGAGAAAATGAAAGAATTGAACTTTCATTTAGCTATTTTCTCTGTAACTCTAAATATAAATCTGATGATATAACCAAAAGAATGTTAACTCATAAATTATCATTTTAGGATATAATTTATTTAAAGTAGTCTAAGTTATTTTCATTTATCAGAGCAGTTTTACTTTGAGTTATGAGGATTCGAGATTGAGTAAATCACTATTCTTGTGATAGGTTCCTTCCCTTGGATATTTGAATGCTTCCCACATAATAAAGCACATGGAAAGGTTTATATCTACCCTTAAGGGAACCTAGGGAGAAAGAGATGGATGTGTGAGAGATGTACATAAATAATAGTGTATGGTGAAGGATACCAGGAGTACAATGTAGTCTCATGAGATATAACTTCTAAATAAGGGTATAGGAGACCAAGCATGGTAGCTCATGCCTGTAATTCCAGTACCTTGGGAGGCCAAGGCAGGCGGATTGCTTGAGCCTAGGAGTTCAAAACCAGCTTGGGCAACATGGTGAAACCTCATTTCTACAAAAAATACAAAAATTAGCCAGGTGTGGTGGCACGTGCCTGTGGTCCCAGCCACTTGGGAGGCTGAGGTAGGAGGATAGCTTGAGCTTGGGAGGTGGAGGTTGCAGTGAGTTGAGATCGCGCCACTGCACTCCATAGCCTGGGCAACAGAGCAAGACTCTGTCTCAAAAAATAAATAAATAAGGGTGCATGGAAATCAGGGGAGGCTGCAATGATGGAAGTAGTATTTGAATTGATCTGGGAATGGTAGGGTTACAGGAGGAGTTGTGAGAGGCAGCCCAGGTAGAGGCCATGGCTTGCCATCAAAGCAAACAGGAATGTGTTATTGTTATTTAGAAAATTGAAAGCAGTGTAGATTGAAGTGACTCTAATGGGTGAAAGGTATAATCTAATTTAAACATTTAATGAAGAAATGCTGTGCCAGATAATGTTAAAGGTATTGGTGAGTAAAGCCAAAAAGAAGAGATTAGGAAATTTCCTGGATGGCAGCTGAAAACATTTTTGTCTTTGTTTTTGGAGCTTATGGAGCTAATG
This sequence comes from Homo sapiens, assembly GCF_000001405.40. NCBI lineage: Eukaryota > Metazoa > Chordata > Mammalia > Primates > Hominidae > Homo > Homo sapiens. The sequence continues at coordinate 90,016,050 of NC_000001.11, forward strand.
AAGCCCTTTGAGCAGTAATGTGCTCTTACCTCCTATAGGAAGTAGCAATAATTAATTGAATAATTATTGTGTTTTAGGAAATGTTCTAAGGGCTTTGTCTGCATTAATTTTTAAAAATCCTCAGACACCTCTGTGAGCGTTCTCATCTCAATGTAAGAAAACCAAGGCCCAGAAAACCAAGTCAAGTAACTTGCCCAAGATCACAAAATGGAATTAGGATATGAACTCAGCAGTTGGCTCCAGAGCTCATACTCTCAACCAGGAAAATAAATCTAATAGCATTGCAAAGAATTAATTGGAAAATGGAGACTGGAGACAGAAACCAGTTATGTGACTGCTGGCATAATTCAAGGAAAAGAAAATAATGTAAAATAGAAACAGTTATTCTGGTCACGGTGGCTCACACTTGTAATCCCAGCACTTTGGGAGGCCGAGGCAGGCAGATCACCTGAGGTCAGGAGTTCAAGACCAGCCTGGCCAAGGTGGCAAAAACCCTGTCTCTACTAAAAATATAAAAATTAGCCAGGTGTGGTGGCGCATGCCTGTAGTCCCAGGTACTTGGGAGGCTGATGTGGGAGAATTGCTTGAACTGGGGAGGTGGAGGTTGCAGTGAGCTGAGATCGCACCACTGCACTCCAGCCTGGGCAGCAGAGCGAGGCTCCATCTCAAAAAAAAAAAAGAAAAAGAAAAAGAAAAAAAGAAGCAATTAGGTGGGACTGTTCATTATGGAGTGGCTCTTGAGCTTACAGATGTATGCATTTGTCCAGTCCAGGCCTATTAGTTATCCCTAAGTGAAGTAGTCTTTAGAAGGCAAGACTTTTATCACCCAAGAATTCCACAGGAGTGAATTATGATTGTCTGGTGGTGTGCCACCTTGCTTTATTGATACTACCATTGGTTTAGAAGCTTGAGGATGGAACAACATGTAAAATAAGTTGCAGAACTTTGGAACTTGATACTTCTTGAGGTTTGTTTTGCCTTTTTAATTGGTCCAGGCTTGAAGTGGATAACTTATAGATCCCCTGATTCAATTTTTCCTACCCGGAAGCTCCAAGGTGGGCTAGAAATGCAAAGTGGTATATGGGTACTGTCCAAATATGTACTTAAATACTGTTTTTTTTGGATTTAAGCTAAGTTTAATTCAGTCATAAAGAGGAAGAAAGGAAATCATTTATGTTGGTAAAATTAGTTTCAATGTTATATTCTTATGAACTCTTTATAGTTGAATAAAGTAATATTTAAAGGAAAACTTTTTTTTCTCTTACAGAATGGCATTTACATGTTCATTTTGTAAATTTCGAACATTTGAAGAAAAAGATATTGAACTGCATCTGGAAAGTTCTTCACATCAGGAAACATTAGATCATATACAGAAACAAACTAAATTTGATAAAGTAGTTATGGAGTTTTTGCATGTGAGTAGCTGTTTTTGAAGTGAGAAGCATTTTATTGATATGAATTTCTTATGATTTCATTTTTCACTCTCCCCATCTCTCACATTTATGTTTCTAAAATTTTAATTTACTATTTAAAGAAAGAGTTGTTTTAAAATTAACTCAGAATTACTTGTGAATTCCTCTATAATAGAATTTGTATTTGTTATTTCAGAAATTATTACATTTTTCACAGTTTCTGCGGGAGGTGTCCTTTAACAACTGTATTGATGTGGAGTCAGCTATCATCCATTAACTGGAGTTGTGCTGGTTACATTCATTCGTTATTTCAGTTGAGCCCTGTAACAATTCATTTTTATCATGAAAGATTATGCTCAGAGCAGTTAAATGACTGTTAAGTGACAATGCCAGGAATTCAGAAATAATGTAGGAGTTTAGCAAAGGGAAAGACAGTTGGGAATGTTAAGGAATGCTTAAAGAAGGGGCTTGAGCTGGACTGTTGATTGTACGTACAATTAATTTGGACAGAAGAGGTGGAATTATTAGAAAGTTAAAAATACAATGATCAGGCCGGGCGCAGTGGCTCACGCCTGTAATCACAGCACTTTGGGAGGCTGAAGCGGGTGGATCACGAGGTCAGGGGTTCAAGACCAGCCTGAGCAACATGGTGAAACCCCGTCTTTACTAAAAATATAAAAATTAGCCAGGCGTGGTGGCGCGTGCCTGTAATCCCAGCTACTTGGGAGGCTGAGGCAGGAGAATTGCTTAAACCCGGGAGGCAGAGGTTGCAGTGAGCAGAGATCGCACCACTGGACTCCAGCCTGGGTGACAGAGCGAGACTCCATCTCAAAAAAAAAAAAAAAAAGTGACCTTTCAGACCACTGTAATTCTCATAGAACTGTGACCCTTAATTAACAATCTTCTGTAATTTATTTCCTTAATGGGTTTCTGTGTGTCCTTTATAACTTAAATACCCACCTACTCTGGAAGACCTCTTAAATATTCTAGCTCCCTTTGATCCCTTTCTCTATATGCTTAAAATATACTTTGAAAAATGAATAATTTTTGTAGGTTCCTAATATTTTATGATTATCTTTTCAATTAAATTATAAACTCCTTGAGAAAAGATGTTAATTCTTATGTAGCAGATACTGTATCTTCCATAGAATGAACATAGTGCTAAGCATTATACTTGAGTGCTCATTGAAAGCTATTTAGATTCTTTCTATTTTGTTTTCTAGGAGTGTATGGTGAATAAATTCAAGAAAACATCTATTCGTAAGCAACAGACAAATAATCAAACAGAAGTAGTTAAAATAATTGAAAAAGATGTTATGGAAGGTAAGTATTTAAAACAAATTATTTTAAAATTCTACATGTATTTTTATATATCATAACCTGTTTAAATGTAAATGATAGCCACTAGAGTGATATAGTACAGTCATATATACAGTAGCTCTGAGTGAGTTACCAGAAATGAACTTCTTTGTCTTCCTGTTCTAATGCTTACAAATTTATCATTACCTGCCATTACTTTCTTCACTTCAGTTTGAGAGGAAAAGTTACCTTTTCCTCTAGATGAAAGATACTTCTCTCTGTTCTCTGTTTCTGTTATTCCTTCTCCCAAAATTCAAGTTATGAAATCTTCTGTTTTTTAGTCTTTCCTTCTCTTTTGATTCCATCTCTGGAGTCTGTAAATATGCTTTTACTTAAAAAAAACAAAACAAAACAAGAACAAAAACAAGAACTAACCAAACAAAAAACAGCCAACAAAAGGAATAAAAGAAAAGGAAAGAAAAACAGACACTAGTTCTCCTAAATAACCTGTCTTCTTTTTCTTTTTAAATAACCATGCTTCTTTAAGCATAACCCACACTATTCTCTGCTTCTTCATCTCCCATGTATTACATTAAGCTAATTAAACAACTTTCTACTACTGTTAGTCTACTGAAACTGCTGTGACAGAAGTTACCAACACCAACTTCTCTAGGTTCTTTGGAATCATTATCTTCCGTAACATTTTTTACTAACTATATGATTCATGAATCATTTTTCTTCCTTTGTTTCTGTGGCACTTCACTGGCCTAATGTTTTCTTTATCCTTTTGTCATTTTTTAAGTCTTTATGGTTTCTCTGCCACTCTTTTAGAATTTGATGTTTCTCAGTACCTTGTCATTAGCCCCATTACCATCTCTTTTTATATTCCTTCCTAATAAATTCACTTACAGAGCTTAAGTTAGTATCTAGATGTTCATTGCTTATACATCTATGTTTCTAGCACAGATCTTTCTTCTGAACTCTAGTCTTACACATCTAACTGCCTACTGACATCTCTTTACAGCAGTCACACAAAATCAACATATCCAAAAAAGTTATCGTCTCCTTGAGCATATCCTACCTTACAAAGAAAGCAAAACAAAACCTCACAGTTTTTTCCTTCACGTATCTTGAGAAGGGCCTGCACCATCTACCAAAGCCAGAAGTAGAGAGTTATATACTAGGTACTTTTTCCTTACTGTATCTATAGTACTGATCAGTTGATAACATCAATTCTCTTTTAAACATTTATCAAATCTGTTTCTTTACCTCTCCTTTAAATACTGTATTTGTTCAAATCCTTTTCTGTTGTCTTGACAATTGTAGTATTTCCGAAGTAGTTTCATTACTTCCAGTTTTTCTTATCTTACGATTTTATTACATGATCTCATTATTTCAGGAACTTTCAGTGGCTCTTCATCCTCTCCAGGATCAAGTTCAAATTCCTAGGCGTGGCACATACAGCTCTTTATTATTTAGGCCCTTCTTTTTTTCTATTTTCATCTTTAGTCTCTTCTTCTCTGTTCCAGTCGTACTAACTTGCAGAAAGTACCATTCTCTTACACCCTTCCCTTGCATATGTTTATACCTTCACCTGTAATAAACCCCGGTCACCATTTGCAAGATCCAGAATACCTTTGTTCCTTATGAATCCAGTTTTGACATCCTTTCCCCTTTTCTTACTCATCCACATTCATAATCATGGAAATTCTTATTTTACTACAAAATCAATATTTGTTTTCCTTTATATTATAGTTTTGGGAGGATGAATGTACAGGCCTCAGAGCATGGTTGTTTAACATGATTAGGAACTATAATGTAATTGTACCTTAATAATTTTAGTTAGCAATATAGTAAATCTACATATGTAGATTTATGAGATGTGGTAGAAATACTCAGCATAAACCTATGCACTCTGATCTTTATTTTGGAAGAAGGGGTATAAATAATCATGGAAATTAAGTAGTAAAAACTTCATTGGTCAGAAATAACATATGAATTATTTCTTTAATAATTGGATGTCTTTTGTAGGTGTTACTGTAGATGATCACATGATGAAGGTAGAGACAGTTCATTGCAGCGCTTGCAGTGTTTATATCCCTGCTTTACATAGTTCAGTTCAGCAGCACTTAAAATCTCCTGATCATATCAAAGGGAAGCAGGTAAAATTTTCATCTGTCTTAATAAAGTTGCCAGATTATCCATCAATCTTTTATTGTTCTTTGGCCATAGCTTCACACCTATCTGCAATTTTATCAATTTATCAATCTCATATGGAAATAACTGTAAGTATACTCAGAGAGGCAGTATATAGTGGTTAAGACTGAGCTCTAAAGTAAGACTCCCTGAGTTGTTCAATCTATAACATGTGTTACGCAAGCAAGTTAACCTTTCTTTGTCTAAGTTTCCTTATCTGTAAAATGAGGGTAGATGATCATTCTACTCTTATCTGATTTTTTTTAAGAATTAAATTAATTAAAACGTATAAGGCATTTAAAATAGTGCCTGGTAATGGTAAGCATTCAGGAAATCGTAGCTTTTGTTGAACTGTTAACTTTTTAAAAAGTCAGTACAAAACAGTTTTGTGAGAGAGTGTGTGTGTGTTGTGTGTGTCTGTGTTTTAGAATAAAAAAGAAAGTAAAGATTTGATTATTACTGATACATTTTTCTGATGGTTGGGAAAAATACATTTAAAAACAGCATTATCAGCTAGCATCTATTCTTACATTTTTTAGTAGAATATCCCTGAAAAATTTACTGTCTTCTTTTTGGTCAGTATATTTCTGCTTCTCTATTGGCTTGGCTGGTTTTATTTAGTCAGATTTACTTCAGACAATACAAATGTTTATATTGTGGGAAATCAGTTTGTTTGAAAAGCATATTTAAAGATTCAGATATTAAAGCCTTAAGTTTTAAATAGAACATACCCAAGTGTTAAACTTTTATTTTGTATTGAAGTGAACCTCATTTAATTCAGATTTCTTCAAGCATTTTTGAACACATACAATCTTTTCTTAATCTATGTCTTTTTCTTCTCTTGATATTCCCTTGACACCATTTTGGCAATTTTCTATACTGGTAACTTTCTTCCTCTGTATAATAGTCTTGAAATAACTACAGCCTAGAGGAAGACTAGATACTCTTGTAGTATGAAAAATTATTCTTTATTTTTTGACAGCGTGAAAATTAATAGTTGGGGGCTGGGGAGGCAGATGTGGAGTGGAAAGAAGAGAAGGCAGCTATCTAGTAGAATCTAGACTTGTAGATTTGTGGGACTGAGTGTTTTCTTTTGAAGCTGATTGGCTTGAATCTTCATTGTTTGAATTCATAGATTTAGACTGTGGTTATAGTAGTTGCTATTGCTCTATAGTTTGTAAGAAGATAAGTCATTTAAATCTAAGGGTTTGAGCATGAAATGCTGTTTTAATTATGGAAATATTTTTCATGGCATGGTTTTCAAGAACCCTCAGTGTGTTCTGTTTTTTATAGGCTTATAAGGAACAAATAAAAAGAGAGAGTGTCTTGACTGCTACAAGCATTTTAAATAATCCAATAGTGAAGGCGCGATATGAACGTTTTGTTAAGGTAAGATTTTAGGGCAAAAACCTTTTCAATAATATTGTAGTATTGCAATAATTAACTGGTGACATAGTAACCTTTTGTGATACTTGAATATAGTATAACATATTAAGAAGAATTTTACTCAGTATCTTGCATATAGGTAAAACATCTTTTTTCCTAATTGTTGGGTTGGTCAAGATGGGAGCAGTGATTCCTCTCTTATCACCTTTGTAGCTCTGAATCAATGAGAAATACACAAGCATTAGATAGAAAATCAAAATGTCAGCTTTATTCTTGATTTAAGAAAAAATTGACTTGGAGAATATATCTTAGCTATGTAGTTGCTGTGGACTTTTAATATTTCATTTCTGAATTAGGTAGACTTAGATCCTCCCAATTTCTGTTACCAGCCCAGATGGACAGCAACAGGCTTCTCCTAGTTTACCACATGGCATAGAACAGACTAGGATGTACCTTTTCTGTCACTAGGAAGACCCAAAAGAGGGGACCCACAAGGGACTGTGTTGTGTCCACCTAGTTTTTTCTTCCAAGCATACTAATTGCATAAATCATTCCTTTTCCCTGCATAAAAGTTGGAGGGTAGCAGGAAGGTCAGATGTTTCTCCAGAAGAAGGAATCTCATGGAATTTGGCGGGCGGGAGAAGAGAGGTTTGCTTCTAATATTATGAAACTCAGATGTGAACAATTGGATATATACTCTTTACTCCTCAGGGTTTTTGCCATATGTTATGGCTTGAATCCATCTTTACATAAAATTTATGATAAACACTTACTATACAAATAAGAGCTTACTGTGATTTGGGAATAAATTTTAGAGGTTAGTCTTTTGGTTTTGTTGTGTTTTTACTTCTCTTATAATACCCAGACTGGTCTGATAGAAGTTATTTTTCAGTCTTTACAAAATAATACCTACCTTAAAATCATTATTCTACACTGAAGAGAGCTGTTGTGTTGAGGATTTACAACAGTGTGTTATTTACATTAGTAAGTATAGATTAAAGAAGTTTTGTTTATTTTGTCTATTGTGACTCTTAACAGCTACTCTGTGAAGAAAACCTGATACATATTTAGTGACCATTAAATTGTCCCTCTACCAGTCCTTTCCAAGCTAAATAATATTAGTTCTTGCAGCTCGTTCCTTAGGGGCCTATTTTCTAATTTGTTAATCTAATATTCGTTAATATTTGTCGCCATTTACTACATTCTTGACACTACTTTAAAAAAATGAATGCAGCCCTCAATTGAAATCCAATTTTATGAGAGGTATGGCATCAAAAAGAAGCATCATAGCTAAAGAAGGAAAAATTAGATTTTTATTCTTGCATTGTCACAAACTTCTGAGAAAGTGGTTTCTATTGATGTATGAAGATAATTTTTAATGAGGGAAGAATGCAAAATTAGAATTTCTATATAGTGTTTTCAAGTTACACAATCGAGTCACTTCATGGAATGAGAGATGTCACTGGTGGGAGTATCCTGCTCATGCACATGTTGTAGAGAACACACCTGAACTGAGAACTCCTCTAGAACTTTGTTACTCAGAATGTGATCTGTGGATCAGCAGTATTGGCATCACTTGGGAGCTCATTAGAAATGCAGAATTTCAGGTCATACCCAGGCCTACTGAATAAGAATCTTCATTTTAACAAGATTCCTGTTGATTTGTATGCATGTGAAAATTCAAGAAGCACTGGGGTCACATTACTCAATGATGGCCCTTTATTCAGCATGCCTGTCTGCTGTGTTCCCTGTTGTCATTCCCCAGAACATCTTCTGCTCATGGTCAGCTCTGGTCATGGCTTAAAACTCCTCCACTGTCCCTCCACTGTCAAGTGCTCTCAGTCTGATAAAATGCCCTTTTAAATCTTTGTCCCTTAGAGACACGGCAGAGAAGACAAAAAAACAAAACAAAACAACTTTGTCCTCATTGAGATAATCAGTACATCAATTTCTCTTAATTCTCCAACTGTATCATCTTGTTCTGCCTTCACTCCCTGCTCTGGGCATTGATAATCACCCCTTTCAGTAGGGAATGTTGCCGCTCTCAAATTCCTTATTAGTTCTAGCTCTACGGTTAGCTTTAATGTTTGTCTTGCTAAAAAATGTGGAATTGTGCGTGCCAGTCCTGTGTTTCCCAGATTTTCACTCAATTCACAATAATTTTACTTATTAACTACCAGTGTAATGTGTTTCCTGTAGTGACTCTTCCAACCTTTAATAACCTCATGTCTCAGATTTCATTCTTGCTCTCTTTGCTTCCCATATTCTTTTTCTTATATATATATATTTTAAGACAGAATCTTTTTGTGTTGCCCAGGCCAGAGTTCAGTGGTGCGATAATAGCTCACTGCAGCCTTGAACTCCTGGGTTTAAAGCCATTCTCCCACCTCGGCCTCTCTAGTAGCTGGGATTACAGGCACACACCACCACACTCAGCCACTTCCCATATGCTTATTTCTTCTCCTGCATTAGGGAGATTGAGACCATTAGATGTAAATTCAGTAAGTGTTCTCATTTCTGCCTTAGATATATCTTTCCTTCACCTTTATTATTTGTGAGGAAAAATCTTCTTTGCCTTTCATCTTTGTTCTAATTCCATCATTATTTCTTCCCTTACTTGCATCTGATTTTTTTCCTGTTTTTTTTTTTTTTTTTCTAATCTTCCTCAAATAGACATGCTTATGAGTTCCCTAAACCAAAAATGACTTAACTTTTCCTAGACTTTGGCCCACCCTATTTTATCATCTTGTCTCTTCCCAGCATACTTGAAATGGTAGTTTACTTTGCACGTGCTCTTTGCTTCCTCTCTATTATTCACTCTTTAAACTAGTAGTTCTCAACCAGAGGAATGTGTTCAATCACCCGTGAGGCTAAGATAAACAAAAAGCTGCCTAAGCCCTTTTTTAGGCTTTCTGAATTAGGGTTTCCCAAACTTCACTGATAAATATCTCCAAAAATGCTTCTCTTATTTTGAGACAGAGTCTCACTCTGTTGCCCAGGCTGGAGTGCAGTGGTGTGATCTGGGCTTACTGCATACTCCACCTCCCGGGTTCAAACGATTCTCCTGGCTCAGCCTCCTGAGTAGCTAGGCCACACCCAGCTAATTTTTGCCCGAAATGCTTCTTAAATATGCAAGTTACTGAGCGTCTCCCCTGGAAATTTTGATTCAGGCAGTCTGAGATTGATCCAGGAATTTGTGTTTTCAGCAAGAGTTCCAGTACAGACTAAATGAAAATCTCAGGGTGCTGGAATCAGGGCCTGTGGTTTTTGACAGCTTCATAGGAAATTTTAAAGATACATTCTTGGACAACTGCTGCTGTCTAACTGTCACATCATACTTTTGAAACTGCTCTTCCTAAGATTACTAATGTTGTCATTATCAAATCTAGTGGTCTTTAAAAAATTATAACATATTAAATGTATGAAAATAAGGGGATAGTACAATAAATCCTCAAGAACCCCCATTCTGTATTGATGATTAACTCTAGTGACCTTTTTCAATTGCTTTCTGCTTTTTTATATGTATCATTTGACACTGTTGATCTATCACTTATTCTTGAAACTCTCTTTTATCAGGTAGTCTTTTTACTGTCCTGGGTTTCCTCCTGCACCAAGTGTTCCTTCACTTTTTTTTTTTTTTTCGAGACAGAGTCTCGCTGTGTCGCCCAGGCCATGCAGTGGCGCGATCTTGGCTCACTGCAGGCTCCACCTCCTGGGTTCACGCCATTCTCCTGTCTCAGTTTCCTGAGTAGCTGGGACTACAGGTGCCTGCTACCAGGCCTGGCTAATATTTTGTATGTTTAGTGGAGTCGGGGTTTCACCGTGTTAGCCAGGATGATCTCAATCTCCTGACCTTGTGATCCACCCGCCTCAGCCTTGCAGGTATGAGCCACCGCACCCAGCTGTGTTCCTTCACTTCTAACTTCTGCTGCTCCCATGTATAGTGTAGGCATCTTCATAGGGTTTTTATTGCAGCCCTTTTTTCTACTTAATCCACCAGTCCCATCCCAGGGCCTTCCCATTTAAGACCCTGGCTTCACCAATGCACTCTCTGCAAGCAGGCAATTCGTAAATGTAAATATCTTATTCTGAACTCTCCTCTCTTTTGAGTTGCAAATTTATAGCTGCCTATTAGACATCTAGATATCTGAAGTTATAATTATATATATTAATAGCATATATACACTTCCTCCCCTTTTCCTTTCCGTTGGAATAGTGATTGTAATTTACCTGTTCTGTGAATAATGTCACCACATCTTTTACATTTCCCTGGTCTGGGATATTAGAGTAGCCTCCTCACTAGTATTCCTTCTTTTGGTTCTCTGCTTCATCCTACACATTCCTGTGTCATTCATCTTAAAGGGTAGTGCCAATCTTAATATTTTCCTGCTTAATAACCTTCACTGTTACTTCATTTCTTACTACATTAATATAGCCTTCTGATATGGTCAAATTTATATGAGATTTGATCCAGATATATAATTGAAGTATTAAAATAAAATATTAAAGTTGTTCCTGTGAATGTTTACTGAGAGGTTTGTCTACTTTTTAAAAGTAGAAGTAAGGCATGGTATCTAGTAGATTAAGCGAGGTACCTGATTTTCATTTGAGTTTTAAAGAGATTCTGTAACATTAATACTCATATAATTAAGCAAAATGTAAATCTTTGCATCATCCCTTTGTTTCTACCAAAAACCACACTTGTCTTTGTCATGTGTATATATGTGTGTGTGTGTGTGTGTGTGTATGATTATTTAGAAATACAGTTAAGGGGAAAATATGACCTTTAAGCATTTCAGTTATGGAGGATAAAGTAATGGCTTCAGTAAATTATATGCTCACATTGGTATGGAATGGACAGTCAACAAATACTTAATGAATTTGTTATAATTTACAATGAAAAGTTTCAAAATGGCATTTATTTCTCATGATATGGCAAGTAAAAATTTCACTTGCCAGATCATGTAATAATGAATGTGCTGATTTTGAAAGCCATTTCTTATGTTTTTAGGGTGAGAATCCTTTTGAAATTCAAGACCATTCTCAGGATCAGCAAATAGAAGGAGATGAGGAGGATGAAGAGAAGATTGATGAACCTATTGAAGAAGAGGAGGATGAAGATGAGGAAGAAGAAGCAGAGGAAGTGGGGGAAGTAGAGGAAGTGGAAGAAGTAGAGGAAGTGAGAGAAGGAGGAATAGAGGGCGAGGGAAATATACAGGGAGTAGGGGAAGGAGGGGAAGTAGGGGTAGTGGGAGAAGTAGAGGGAGTGGGGGAAGTAGAGGAAGTAGAGGAATTAGAGGAAGAGACAGCAAAGGAAGAACCTGCTGACTTCCCTGTTGAGCAACCTGAAGAAAATTAAATATAAGGTATTAGATTTAAAAGGAGCTTTACATTTCGGTTCTAATGTAAAAAAGGGTAAGAAATTTAATAGCTTAAAATATGAATTAACACCCATGTTGCATGCATTCCACATATTAAAATTTGTTTTATATAATTTCTAAATGTTTAACATTTGTTTAATAAAATGAAGGCAAAACTATTTTAGTTTAGTTTTTATAGCTACCAGACTTAGATCCGATAAATTGTTTGTATAATTTTTAAGCTTAATTTTTATTACTTTATTGGTGTTAAGGATAACAAATGTGTATTGTTAGTATATCTATTCTAATCATTTTATCTTAAATGCTGCTCTTGGGAGTGAATATTCAAGTGTGCATCAATTTTTTGAATACTTACCCTGGAAGATATAAACTGGGCAAGTATTTTGTGCTCTGTGTATTTTTTTACTGCATTAGACATTGAATAGTAATTTGCGTTAAGATACGCTTAAAGGCTCTTTGTGACCATGTTTCCCTTTGTAGCAATAAAATGTTTTTTACGAAAACTTTCTCCCTGGATTAGCAGTTTAAATGAAACAGAGTTCATCAATGAAATGAGTATTTAAAATAAAAATTTGCCTTAATGTATCAGTTCAGCTCACAAGTATTTTAAGATGATTGAGAAGACTTGAATTAAAGAAAAAAAAATTCTCAATCATATTTTTAAAATATAAGACTAAAATTGTTTTTAAAACACATTTCAAATAGAAGTGAGTTTGAACTGACCTTATTTATACTCTTTTTAAGTTTGTTCCTTTTCCCTGTGCCTGTGTCAAATCTTCAAGTCTTGCTGAAAATACATTTGATACAAAGTTTTCTGTAGTTGTGTTAGTTCTTTTGTCATGTCTGTTTTTGGCTGAAGAACCAAGAAGCAGACTTTTCTTTTAAAAGAATTATTTCTCTTTCAAATATTTCTATCCTTTTTAAAAAATTCCTTTTTATGGCTTATATACCTACATATTTAAAAAGAGAACATGAGCTTGATAGAGGATCTATTCTTAAATAATTTATTTTCAAACAACCGTCTATGTCACTAAAAAGTAGTGCTCTTATTTTTTTCAATCTTTACTGTGGCCTCTTTTGAGAGTAGGGTCCGTAGTTTTTTTTTTTTTTCTTTTTTGGGACAGGGTTTCACTCTGTCACCCAGGCTGGAGTGCAGTGTAGCCTCAACCTCCTGGGCTCAAGCGATCCTCCAACTTAGCCTCCCAAGTAGCTGGGACTGTTAAGTGTGAGCCACCATGCCCAGCTAATTTTTGTAGTTTTTGTAGAGACAGGGTTTTACCATGTTGTCCAGGCTGGTTTTGAACTCCTGGGCTCAAGTGACCTGTCTGTCTTGGCCTCCCACAGTGCTGGGATTGCAGGTGTGAGCCACCATGCCTGGCATAGGGGGCTGTATTTCAGTGAAATTAGAAAAGTTTTGAGGCATCGAATGGATAAATGGATGGATATATCAAATTGTAAGGTATTAAGTGGGTGAATGTATGGACATTTGTAGAATCCCACAGATAATTTATCTTTTTGTGTAAAATAAGGCTTTTAAAACTAGACTTTCTGAACCAATACAGTTTTTTTTTTTTGAGGTGAACTAGGTTTGCCTAGCTTTAAGCTAGCAATATCTGATAGATACTTGCATCTAATTTTAGGGATTTGGTGCCAAATAAGAGAAGGGTAGTTGAAGACTAGATAAATTTGGATACTATCTAGGAGTCTGTATTTACTTAGCAGGCTTTTGAAAGCCGTTTTGCTTAGGAGTTCAAATTTTAAGGATAATAGGACTTGTTACCCTCTTATTTCTCCTTTATTTTTAAAAATATTTGTGGAAGGGCTAAGGTAAAAGAATAATAAATTCCTCTAGGTTATTAGTATTTGGTTCTTCTGATACTAAGCTGAGTGATTTTTTTTAAAACAATGTCTCTGGTAGTCTGATTGAGATATGAAACTTTTGGGAAGAAAACCATTATGTAACAAGAATCCTATGTAACAACTGGGTAAATGTTTTAGAATGAGAGATAGGAAAGAACATCTAAATAGTACTTTTTTGTGGGACGCATGAGCCTTTATACAGCCTAGCTAATTTGCAAGGTAATGATAAATAAAAGTGTATTTTGTTACTGTGCTTAATTCAGAAATTCAAATTCATGTATTTCCTATTGGATAATTTGTAGGCGGGCAGTTTACTTTATAGTCAGGTTAGTTTTTGTGATCCTTAGTGTTTATATTTGCATTGCTTTTGTAATAAGGATGTATATAAGATCTTAAACGCCTTTCAACTTCTGTTTTCAAGTATCACTTGTTTTCTCTATTACAAAGTGAGATACATAGTTCTAAATAACCAAAGAAATTTATTTATAACCTACACAGTTGTTTCAGCTCCATGCCTAGGGACTATCCTGTATTATTCGCTTTTTATCACTTTCTACCTACAGTCTACCAAAAAGTCTGTCTGTTCTACTTCCAAAATTTATCTGCCGACTCTTCTACCTCCACTGCAACCAACCCAGTTCAAGTCATGATAATTTCTTGTTAACTAATCTTGATTCCACCCTTACCATGATAGATTCAGTTTTCTACACAAGTATAAGCTTTTAAAAATGTAATTCAGATGATGTTAATCTCATGCTTTTTTTTTTTTTGTACCTATACAGTTAGAACTCCTTATCATGTTGATCAGACTGGCCTAGCTTTACAACTTTATATCATATACCATTCTTACCAGCCATAATGGCCTTTTGTTACTTTTTTGATGAGTTCTTTCCTACAAAGACCTTTGCATTTTCTTATTCTATAGCCTATACCCATCAGCTTTCCTTGGCTGATTCTTCATCCTTCAGGTCACCTTAAATGTTAGAAAAGGGGAGTAGTTCTAAAATGTTTGTAGAAACGAGGATTTGGGGGTACCAACCTAGATTTTACTAGAGCATATTCTTTGGAGGTGTTCTTTTTTTCTACTTTTTTTTTTTTTTTCTTTAGGTTCTGTCTTTGTCATGCAGGCTGGAATTCAGTGGCACGATCATGGCTTACTGCAGCTTTGACCTCCTGGGCTCAAGCGGTCGTCCCGCCTTAGCCTCCCAAGTAGCTGGGACCACAGACGTGCACCATCACACTCAGCTAATATTTTTTTTGTAGAGATGGGGTCTTGCTTTGTTGCCCAGGCTAGTCTTGAACTCCTGGACACAAGCAGTCCTCCCACCTCAGCTTCCCAAAGTGCTAGAATTACAGGCATGAGCCACCACGCCTATCCTGGAGGTGATATATTTTTAACAAATATCTCACATGATTTTGAAGGTAGTGGTCAGTGATTGCACTTTGAGGACATTCATAGGGCCCTCATACAAATTTCTGGTGCCTGTAACTCTTCCCCTATCAAGGCAGGAGTTTCCGCCCTTTTGAATATAAACATAGGTTTGGGGGATTCTTCATAATACTTTCTGAAAGCACTGGAATCTATAACAGACCTGTGGGAGTCAGAAAATGGGGACTTTTCCCCCCTCATTTAATACTTACAACTATATTGGTAAGTTAGTAGGAGTAGTAATTTTCCCATATAATAAGCCCACTCTTGTACATGTAGAAACAGAGAAAAGAACTACAAAGGTAAATGTTAGTGCATGTTGAAATGTATTTAAGAACTCTGTTTTTGTTGGCAAGATTGTTCTTATTGTAGAAGTGGATATTATCAGATTATTTTAGATGTTATTCAACATTTGATTTATTTACCAAATTGTCCTTACTTTGAATATAAGCAAACTTTTTTATTGTGGTAAAGTATACATAGCATAAAATTACCATTCTAATCATTTTTTAATGTACCATTTAGTGGCATTAATTACAAGCAACCTTTTTTTTTTTTTTTTGAGACATAGCCTCACTCTGTCACCCAGGCTGGAGTTCAGTGGCACTATCTCAGCTCACTGCAATCTCTGCTTCCTGGGTTCAAGCGATTCTTGTGCCTCAGCCCTCCCGAGTAACTGGGATTACAGGCACACACCACCATGCCCAGCTAATTTTTTTGTATTTTTAATAGAGATGGGGTTTCATTATATTGGTTAGGTTGGTCTTGAACTCCTGACCTCAAGTGATCTGCCTGCCTTGGCCTCCCAAAGTGCTGGGATTATAGGCATGAGCCACCGCGTCTGGCATACAAACTTTTGATTACAGTTTGACACCTGTTGATGGACAGAAAATGGAGTAACCGTCCAGGCAGGAATGTTCTAGTCTGTGTGACAGTTACAGTTCATTTTATAAATAAACAATTGACTTTTTTTGGTAGTTATGGTCCCTACCCTCAGTGCTGTATCTCTATTTGGTATTCAAACAAATCCAGGGAATCTGCAAGGCTGAAGGGCAGATTCTTGGCAATGGTAAATTCAGTAGGTCCTGCCACCATTTGAGGCCTCCTCGGAGACAGCCATACTAGTCTAATCTCTTCTTGACTTTCCCTTCTTCTTTCCCAGTCCTCTAATTCCCAGAGGTCTGTTGTGAATTCTAATGCTTTCAGAAAATATTACGGAGAATCCCACAATGATAAAATTTCCCAGTTTTTGTTTTAAAACAAAGTTGAAAAATATTATATTAGGGGTCAGGGTGAGGTGCTGTTGATGGTGACAGATGGCCCCCTTGGCGACAGGGAAGTATGAAATAGCATGGAGTGTGGAAGGGTACTATGGGTAGCTTATTTATTAGATCAGTATAAAGTATAGATTTAAGAGAGTTAGATTAAAATGGCATGCTTGATTCAAGTCATTAAATTCTAAAGTTCTATTAAAATTGTAGAGGAGATACAATAATACAAATTTCAGCAATAAGGATAGATTTATAATCACACTAGGAAGACAAGAAGGGTGCTGTGAAATATTTCTAGAAGATACAAAACAAGGAATTAGATCTTGGTGAAACCAAGAGAGCCAAGGAACTGACAGCCACATGCCGATGATAATTAAAGAATTACCTCCAGTTGTAGAGACAGCTCTGAGATGGGGTGTCTGTAGTGTGCTAAGCCAGATTTTTGAAGGACTAGATAGTTATTCTGGTCTCTGACTCAGAGCTGCTGGTCCACAGAATTCCTCTAAGCTAAAGCTGTAACACAATTTGATGTTTGCCAAATAAGGTGAGACTCACAGAGTATATGTGCAGAGCATATAATGCAGAGCATACAAATAGGGGCCATCGAAGTGTGGCAATGCCCTAGGTATATTGTGATTACCACAAGGAGCTTTATTCCTCATACTTAGAAAACAAGCACACAAAGAAAAATCTGCCAGCTGTCTATTTCCCAATTTTCCTTCTGACTGTTCCTTTCTCCTTCCTCACACAATTAAAATGCTAGGTTTCCTGTAATCGCAATCTTCAGGGAATTTTTCACTCAAGCCCAGAAAATAAACTCCAGATAATGATACTGAGAAATTTATTGGTTGGAAAACTGCTATCTACAGGCCTTCCACTACCTATTTCTTAGTAGATTTTACATTTTTAAAGGGTTGTAGAACACCAAAACAATATATGACAGATACTGTGTTTGGGCCTTAAAGCCTACCCTTTATATAAAAAGTTTGTTGACTCCTAGGCTCTCATTTGCAAGTAGACAAATGAGAAACAGCAAATATTTAAGGAAAAGAGCAACATGAAAAATACACAGCAAACTTAACAAGCAGAAAGAATTCCTGGGGAAACAATTCAGGGGGAAAAAATGACCAAGTATAATTAGTATTATATGGAATAATAATTACTACTACTTATAATAGTTTCATATGTAATCCTCATCATATTATATGTCATAATCTTCAAATATTTTAGAGGTTATTGTACTAATTTTAAAAATGCAAGTTGCTATAAAGAAGTATCTTGGAAATAAACAGTTGTGAAAATAAACTCTGTTTTAGGCTGATTAGTTGAATAAACATGGCTGAGAATCAAATTACTGAGCTAGAATTTTGAGCTGAAGATACTTCCAGAGCTTACAAGAAAAGATAAAAAAGATGGAAGTTACAGTAAAAGACATAGATGTATCTCTTAAAGACATAGAAAACCCAGAACACCATCTGTTTAAAAATTAAACTTCATGAGATTAAGAGCCATATGTATAGAGAATTCACCATTGAATACCCTGCATATATCACAGTGCCAGGTAAATACTATGCAATAAATATTTTTGAATGTATGTATGTATGTTACAGTATAAATATATAGAGGAGTTCCAGAAAGTGAAAAAAGAAGTGAAGAATAGGAAAAAAAAAAAAATCTTCTGATGAAAGATTCATATTAGAAGTCTCCAGTGCTGAGCAAAAACAATGAAAAAGTCATGCAGGATGAATACTGACAAAATATGTGTAATCCCAAGCTTAGAAAAATCTCAAAATGTCTAAAGAGAAACAGTGTACCTATAAGGGGAAAAGAATCACATTGGTCTCAGACTTGTCATCTGTTCGTTGGAGTGCTACAACATACTGCTATTTTTGAAGTTCTGAGGGAGAACTGTTTTGAATTTAGACTTCTATCTTGAGTGAAACTGTCAAGAGTAAGGGCACAGCAAGGACATTCTACCAATTTTAGAACATGCAAGGATTTCAGAAATTAACTCATAAAACACAACCTGCACGGCATGGTATCAAATTATGTAAAGAAAAACTTGGTAAACAAGAAATTGTCAAATTTATAATCATAGCTACGTATTTGAACACAGCGCTTAGAAATTGTCAGATAAAGAGTTCAAAATAGAGGAAACATTTTGAATTATATAGTGCACAAATTTTAATAGCTATAGAATATTTGTTTTCAAATGCCATGAAAAAATGACCATGAAGCAAAAACCACAATATTTTTTTGTTTGTTGATAGGTAGGAATTCAGGGTCCATCCTGTCATCACAATGCAATGAAACAAAAAATTAGCAAGTGGATAGCAATAAATCAATTTTTAAAAATCAGACAAAAGAAAACACTGTCCTTGTAATGCTTGCATTTAAAAGGAAATAAAAACTTATGAAAGAGAATCTTTATTTTATTTAAGCAGTTCTAGATTATACAAAATGTTGAAACATCTCAATTTGGTCTCTGAGGCTAGCATAATCCTTATTCCAGAAAATTGTTCATCAAAGATAGCTATAGACCAGTCTCACTTACGAACAAATGTAATTTGTTGAAACTGGTCATGTTGAAAAAACATGACCAATTAAATATCCCAAAATAATGTGTCATGGTAGAGTAGGGTTTATCTGAAAACTGCAACATGACGATTATGTAACTCAATCCTTTAGGAAATTTATTACTTTAACTTAAAAAAAAATACCATAAGCTTGATAGATGCTCGAAAAACATTTCCTAAGATTGAACACATTCCAGATTTAAATTTTTCAGGCTGAGAATAGAATAAAGCCTTTGTAACTTGGCTAAGGACTAGGAAGGTCTTCCAGAAAGCTTCATCAAACATCTGCATTCAAGTCAGGATTAAGACAATAATGACTGTTGCCTATGCAACAATCATTTAACCCTAAGAAATAGAAGTATTAGGAAGAGAAAACATAGTCCTTATTTTGAGCAGTGTGATTGTAGAGACAAACATCCAAGAGAAACAGTTGAAAAACTATTAGAAATGACAAAAGGTAGTTTTGTTTAATAGTTCACCATGAAAATCTGTACTATATAGAAAATCTGTATATAGAATATAGCATTGGCCAATTGGAAATGTAATTTGAAAATCCCATTTGCAGCAAAACTTGGAACTGTATACTGTCTAAGAATAAACAATGGGAAAAATGCAAAATCCTTATGAGGAAAATGATACATTTTAATGGAGGAAATAAAATGCCTGAATAAACACTGTGTTCCTGTCTGAAAAATATTGTCTGTATGCCAGTTATCTTCAGATAATTCATAAATTACCATTCCAATTGTTACTTAGAGTTAGTAGTGGTGGCGAGAGAAAGTTAAAAATACCAGCTTCAGGAATATTGAAGTGTCTTTCTCATATATATAAGTTCAGATAGACAAGGCAGGGCTGGTGTCACCCTTCAAGGTGTCAGAGACTGAGGCTCCCTCTATCTTGTTACTTTGCTGTCTTTAAAACCTTATCTTTGGCCGGGCGTGGTGGCTCATGCCTGTAATCCCAGCACTTTGGGAGGCCAAGGCGGGCAGATCATGAGATCAGGACATCGAGACCATTCTGGCTAACACGGTGAAACCCCGTCTCTACTAAAAATACAAAAAATTAGCTGGGCGTGGTGGCGGGCGCCTGTAGTCCCAGCTACTCGGGAGGCTGAGGTAGAATGGTGTGAACCCGGGAGGCAGAGCTTGCAGTGAGCCGAGATCATGCCACTGCACTCCAGACTGGGCGATAGAGGGAGACACCATCTCAAAGCAAACAAACAAGCAAACAAACAAACCTTATGTTCAGTCATCCTGTGTATATTCCAGCCAATGGAGAGGGAGAAAAGGACTGTTCCCAGAAATTGTACCTACTTTTCTACATGAATCTCATTGCTTAAAGCAGCCACATGAATACAACTAGCTTCCAGGATGGGAATTGTGTTTATTCTATATGGCCATGTTCCTAGGCAAAAAAGCAGGGTTTCTATTAGAGAAAAAGGGGAGAATGGATGTTAGCATATATTAGTGTATTACTAGAAGTATATACCACTTAAGTTTATTCAGAAACTCATATGCAAAGTAAATAACCAAGAAATTTGTTTTACATGAGGAATATTTGACTTACATTTCTTACTACGAACATACAACAAAACTACAATAAGTATATCAAAGATAAATACATCGGTGAAACATTAAAGAAACAAACTCAAGTAATATGTAGATACATAGTTATATGTTAAAATCATGGGTAAAAGCCCAGGCACAGTGGCTCATGCCTGTAATCCTAGCACTTTAGGAGGCCAAGGCAGGCAGATCACTTGAGGTCAAGAGTTTGAGACCAGCCTGGCCAACATGGTGAAACTCCCTCTTTACTAAAGACACAAAAATTAGCCGGGGGTGGTGGTGCGAGCCTGTAATCCCAGCTACTTGGGAGGCTGAGGCAGGAGAATCGCTTGAACTCAGGAGGCGGAGGTTGCAGTGAGCTGAGATCGCACCACTACACTCCAGCCTGGGCGACAGAGTGAGAACCTGTCTTAAAAAAGGAAAAAAGAAAAAAAAAATCATGGGTAAAAGAAAAGGAGCCTATGAATGATTAAAAAAAGAAAAACAAAAACAAAAAACACAACTACCCAAGTACGAAAACAAAATGTAGGAAAAATCTTTTCTAATTTCAGAGTGGAGGTCTTTCTAAGCGAGATATAAACCCCAGAAGCCATAAGGAAAAGGTTTGACAAATTTGGTACATGAAGAAAAAAACCGAAGGGTGAAAGATACCACTAACAAAGTTGAAAGAAGAGTGATGGGGTGGGGGGAATATTTGCAATACGTATAAGAGTCAAAAGAGTAAATTAAGTCAACAGCTCCAATTTATCAACCATTACCTTGGTAAATATGAAAAGAATTATAATAGTCATTGTTGGTGAGGAAAACAAAAGCCCTTTCCAAGATGATCCATGGCTGTATAAGTTGGAGGACAATTTGGAAGTATCTAGTAAAATTGAAAGTGTACATACCCCTTAATCTAGCAATCCCACCTGTAAATAGCTATGTATTTGCCAGAAATCACAAATGTCTGAAATACACACGAATGAAAAGATACTTATTTCATAAAATGTAAAATGCATTAAGGCTAATGCTTTTTTTTATTCCTGTAGGAAAACGTCAAAAACAAAGAGTTTACAAAACAAATACCACCTGGATGACAGTGATGGTAACAAGCCATCAGTTGTAAGATGCATCCAAACACCAAAAATGATAAAATTTGTATTTATCTTTGATATACTTATTGTAGTTTTGTTGTATGTTTGTAGTAAGAAATGTAAGTCAAATGTTCCTCATGTAAAACAAATTTCTTGGTTATTTACTTTGCATATGAGTTTCTGAATAAATTTAAGTGGTATATACTTCTAGTAATACACTAATATACGCTAACATCCATTCTCCCCTTTTTCTCTAATAGAAGCCCTGCTTTTTTGCCTAGGAACATGGCCATATAGAATAAACACAATTCCCATCCTGGAAGCTAGTTGTATTCATGTGGCTGCTTTAAGTTTTTTTCGTTTAAGAATTGATGAAACAGGATATAGCTATAAGAATGGTCTTTGCAGCATTATTTGTAATAATGAGAAATAGGAAACAAATTTAACAATAAAGGGAATAATTATGGTACGGGCATCAAAATTGAATACTCTAGCCATTAGGAAGAATGAGAGAGATCTCTCTGTTTTGACTTGGAAAAATCTCCAAGATACATTGTTAAGAGGAAAAAAGCAAGTTACAATATAATATATAGTATATATTAGAGTTTCACTTAGGAAAAGAGATATATATGTATATATGCAAGTATACAAATTCCAAACTGTTCCTACAGGATGCATAGAAATAAAAATACATTTGCCTAGAAAAAATGTCTGAAAGGATATATAAATAGTGTTTACGTATGAAGAGGGAAGTTGAACTGGGAGAGTGTGGACTTTTTTTTTTTACTCTACGAATTTCTTTTTTCTTTATTTTTAAAACAGTAGGTTATAATGATATGGTACATTATAATGTAAATGTTAAATCTGGAAAATGTAGAGAAGTATAAAGAATAAAATAAAAATAACTAGAATTTAACCACCAAGATAAATAGCGCTATTAATAGTTTTTGTACATTTCCTTATGATCCATTTTCCTTTGCAAGGAGACACATATTGATACTGTTTCTTGAGCCAAGAGAAACAAGAAGAGCAGGTTTACATGAGGGAGATGATAAATCAATTTTGGGACATGTTAAATTGGCATTGCCTGTGGGACGCTGAAATTGTGTTATCAAGCAATCGGATATATGGGTATGGCGCTTAGGGGAGCTCATGATCAGCTTAGAGTATTAATGATTTCTCTTTCAAGTAAAGATTTTTAACATTCACGTGTCTGACACAAATAAAAATGTAATTCCTTGGGGCAGCATAGTGTAACACAGCTTATTAGCCTTGGGATTTAACGAACCTTCCTTACCTGCTGTTCCCCACTCCTACCCCAGCTGTACCATCTTTTAGTTCTGTCCATCTTGGGAAAAACATTTAAGAAAAGCCTCTGTTTTCTCATCTATCACATGAAGATAATGTTATCTTCCTTGCTAGATTGTTAAAAAGATTAAATGAATATAAATAAACACCTAGCACTGTCTAGGGTGCCTGGTTGGCCCCTTAACATTTTAGTTTTCCTATTGTTACTTAAACAACAACAACAACAACAACAAAACAGCTTATTTGTTTGTTCATTTTTAATTAAGACAAAAAGAAGTATTGGCCTGGTAAATCCTTACATGAAGTTAAGGCAAAAACATTTTTTAAATTCATTTTGACCTTGTTTTGATCTTTCATAACATGTTTTGAAGATTACGTTATATCCATTTGTTTCTCTTTAAGGTTTGCACAGACCTTTGGTCAAAATTAACAAAATCATGACCTGATAATTTGGTATAATTGAAAGGAAATAATTTATGAAGTTCTCATAAAAGAATTAATCACACTTATTCCCAATGATTTTTTTTTTCATTTGGCATCAAAGATCCTCAACTTACAAGGACATTAATAACCTGCTAATAGAGCTTCAAACTTAGCCACCCCAAAGGGTTAAATCACTGTACTCAAGTGGGGTTTGAATTGCTTGTCAGTGCTGAGGGTCACTATCACGGTTAAATGACAGATGTTTTCCTGAAAATCCCTTGTATCCTTTCTGGTGATATAAAGTTCAGTGTCTGCAACAACAGGGTGCTGTTCTTTAATAACTGTTAAATTTACTCTTTAGAGACTTTACAAAGATGTCCTATTGCTCCTGGAGGACTCCCTTGACACCCAACTCTGCATTTTCTTTTTGCATAATGCCTACAATTTAGAGCCACCGGGCTCCTTGTTGTATAACTCCTGTGTCCCTAGTTCAGTATAACCAGAATACTCATAAATCTCCTTTTCTTCCAGTAGCTTTCTGCAGCAGCTGGGGTATGACAGTGATGTCCCTGATCTATAATTCCAGACAGCCCTAGGATGAACAGATAAACCAATCCAAAGCCACTACGTCAGATAAAATGATGTTGTTTGCACAACTCAGTGCCCTCAAGAGATAGTCATGTAATACTCCCAATTTGTATTCTGCATAAAACTCCCTTTACAAGTTGTAAACTTCCTATGGGGAACAAACGTATCCAGCTAAAAAATGCTGAACATGTGACTATATAATGTAATTTTAAACTCAAAAGGAGTGGGCTAAGCCTTTTCTATCCTAGAAACTGAAAGCTATACATAAAAAATCCTGTCTAAGTATGACATTCTTCAATTTGGAATTCTAATTAAGCAATGTTTTCCTGAGACCCTGGGCTTCATACATAATGTTAGGAATATAACTGATTAATATAAACATATGAATTGTACTTACGATATTTAAGTACTTTATTCATAGTCATCACAAAAAATTTAACTGATTGTTTTATTATTTGTACTTTATTGACTTACAGTTGAGGCATCTAATTAAATGATTTCCGTGGTCACATTAATTACATTGGAGAAACCTTGATTAAACCATATATATGTTTTTATTTGCATGGTACTTCCTAATTCTTCTCTCATTCTAGATCAGGGATTCTCAGTCTTGGCACTATGTGGCCAAAACTGGATTAATTCTTTGTTGTGGGAGGTTGTCCTGTGCATTGTAGGATGTTTAGCAACATCCCTGGTTTCTGCTTAATAGATTCCAATAGCATGCAGCAGTGTGACCATCAAAAATGTTCCCAGACAGTGCCAAATGGGAGGTAAAATCACTCCTAGTTGAGAACCACTGGTCTAGATATATTAAAGGAAATTAGGTGTGGAGTTTGAACTAACTTAGAGCAAAATTCTAAATGTTCTGTTAAAGGTAGTAAGATTTTCCTAAAAACAAAACAATGCAGTTTAGATTCAGCTGTTCCCTAGGAAGTATTCCTGGGTTTTCTCAGCCTTCTTTCTCTATATTCACCAGTAACTCTGAGCCCCCTGACCCCCTGCTTACTTCATCAGAACGTGCACAAAAATGTGGAGATGTTTCTTTCTCCACTCTGCACTGTGGGCCTCTGCTTCCCAGAAAGTTCTTGTGTCACTCTTTTTTCTATCTCCAGCTTCTAGCACAGTGCATGCCACATAATACATGCCCCAGAAAGGAATTTGTTGGATGAGTGAATGCTACAGCTATTTTTTTTCTTTTAGATGTATCATCTATAAATATATAGACTTTAAAAAAATGTGTGTAGGGACTTTTATTTTGCTTTCTGGTATCTCTTTAATTTGTATAAACTTGTATGACTTTGTTTTCTTGAAGCATTATTTATTCATCTTACTGATATTGGGTGCTTACTATCTGCCAGATACTGATGCTTGCGGCTAAGTATATGGTTATGAACAAAACAGATACAATCCTTGTCCTTAGGAATCTTAAAGACAATTAGGAGGCAACTACAATTCAGGAATGACCTACTTACCCAAGTCTATCTGACGACACTGATTTCCAAACAAAATTGTATAAGGCCTAGAAACTGCCTCTAGATACACTGTACATAAGAAACATGCCCTGTAGACTTCATGGGTTTCCCTCATGCTTCAGAGATCGCAGATTATTTCTTCTAACTTCATCCATGCTTAAAACCCCACAGGAGAAAATTCATAGTTAACGGTGGTGGTGTATGATTGTTAGGAAGTACAACACATCTTCAAATAATATTGTTTTGTTATAGTATTGATGAGAAAACAAACACTGATTCCTGGCTGGGCCACTGTTTGTGTGGAGTTTGCATGGTCTCCCCATGTCTGTGTTGGTTTTCTCTTGGCACTCCAGTTCCCTCTTGCATCCCAAAGCTGTGCATACTAGTTGAATTGGAGTGTCTAAATGGTCCCAGTCTGAGTGAATGAATGCGTGTGTGTGAGTGTGCCTTGCAAGGGAATGGCGTCCTGTGCAGGATGAGTTCCTGCCTTGTGTCCTGAGCTGCCCGGATGGACTCCATTCACCCACCACCCTGAATTGGAATAAGTGGGTTGGACAAACGAATGAATAAATGAACAAATATAAATTTCTATCAAAGTCAAAATTTGTAAAGTAGACAATAATCATACAAATGCACAACAATAAATGATGCGGTATGGAAGTACTCAGCGAGCCTGCCATATTTGTGATTGTTTTTGAACTGCATGGTGGGAGGAGGTAGTCCTTAACAATTTTTGCTCTGCAAATGTGTTCCTTGATTTAATCCACCAACACTATGGGTCACTCACTGATTCACCAAAAATTGGGTAAATAATTATCTTACTTGTTTTTATTAATCTTTCTTAAACATATGTATACTCATATTTATTTTGTGTTTAATGTCTTTAGTGTTTTTTGTCTTTATTTAGATATTTGGTGGTGGTTTGTGAGTAGATATATGAAATAGGAACTTAATTTTGTTTATATTAATTAGCCTGTGGTAAAATTAATTTTGTTATAGTTGTTTCCCTTAAAGTTGCAGTTTCCAAGCAACCATCTATGATGTTCAGTGAGGATTTAACTGTATGTAACACAGAGACAGTGCCCTGTTCTTCAATCGGTCGCTTCCCATGAAGGAGCCTCCCAGGAACTAAGAGAGGCAATATTCCAAGGAAGATTTTGAGAGAGGGAGAAAAGGTGTTGAATAGCTTTCTTTCTCCTCTAGTTACAAATGTATCCCTAAGTTTCATTAGGATCCATCAGCTGTCTGAGTACTCATGGAGTATAGTAAGGAAAACAGGTCAAGCTCTTTTGTCCGGTAACAAAAATAGGTCAAACTCTCCTGTCCTTACCTCTACCTGCTTGCTTACTTTCTTTAATTTCCCTGAAGTTACCACTCCTTATACCAGCTTTCCATATACCCCAAGGAGTGTCCACATGAATATTTGTTCACACTACATGTGGCCACTGCCAAACACTGAGGTCTTTCTGCGTGCCCTCTCTAAAAGCTTCCTGTGAATCTAAATTTGGTACTATGCCAGCAATATCATATGTGATCCTGCCCCTGTCTTTCTAATCTCTTGCCACTCTTCCCCTTACCCATTATGCCACAGGTACACTGGCCTTTTTACTCCTCTGATATACAACACTTGTTTCTGTCTTTTAGCCATTGTGGTTATTGTTTTCTTTGCCCAGAATGCTCTTTTCCCAAACCTTTGCATAACTGGTTCCCTTTCATCATTCAGCTATGTTAAATTGCAGCTTCCTCAGAGAGGACTTCTCATATAGTCATTCTCTATCCCATCACTCTGTTACCACTCACCACTATCTAAAATTATTTTATTTATTTGCTTATCACATGTCTCCTTCACTGGAATGTAAGCCCCATGAGAACAATAATTTTGTCGTTTAATTCGGCACTGGTACCTCAGCACTTAGAATGGCAGGCACTCAATGAACACAACCAAGGTTTTCTCAATGGGTCGTTACAGCTTTTTCCCTCAGGATTAGTTTCACAATGACTCTTAATTTGAATCCCTTCTAGATGTGTAAGACTCTTCCTATATGATGTTTTGATAAGATATTTGACTTTTATGCACTGAAGAGTCTTTGAATAACAGAGCTACATTATCTTTTAAAAATGTTCTCTTACATATACCCTAAACTACCTTGAGAGCTTGAGAATCATCTTGGTTGTATTTGGCTGCAAGCAACAAAAGTCTATGTATGTTGGCTTAAAGAAACAGGGTTTACTTTTCTCACGTAACAAGAAGTCTGGAGTTAGATGACTATTTGTATCGGATCAGCTGCTCAGTGTTGTCTGAGTCAGCGTCTCAATTTTTTTGGCCTTCCCCACAAAATCTCAAGATGCAGTTGCAACTCCAGGTAATGTATCTACATTAAAGATAGAAAGAAGGGATAGTAGGGAAGGTTGTCCCTAGACCTATCTGTCTCCTTTATCAGGAAAGCAAATATTTTCCTGGGAATTCTCTAACAGACCTTTGCCTCTGTCTCTTTGATTAGAACTGGGTCACATGGCCATTCCTATCTGTCTATAGTAAAAGATGGGAAGAAAGAAAGGGGTTGGGAATTACTGTCGTGTCAGTTTTCCAACGGAATCTGTCAGAGAAGCTGAAGAAGCAAGCATACCACTGGAATAGCAACACGCTCTGGGAAATAGTATCAACATGCTATGATTCAAAGGAAGACAACAGAAATAAATAATGATAGCTTCAAATTGTTGAACATGAATGTACCATGATTGCATTAGTTGCCTTGCATTTAGTATGTTACTTAGTGCTCACCCAAACTCAGATAAGGAAACTGAGGCTCAGAGAGGTGAAGTAACTTCCAGTCCCACCCCAGCTCACACAGCTGGTAAGGAGCAGTGGCGGAATTCATGCCTGGTTCTGATTCCAGTGACTGAGCACTTAACTCTTTTCTGAGTACACTTAAAATGGCTAATAATTTTTAAAACCAGGGAATCCATAAAATTAGACCCAGAAGTTAATCAGTTGCCGAGCGCGGTGGCTCACGCCTGTAATCCCAGCACTTTGAGAGGCCAAAGCAGGCAGATCACTTGAGGTCAGGAGTTTGAGACCAGCCTGGCCAACATGGTGAAACCTCATCTCTACTGAAAATACAAAAATCAGCCGAATGTGATGGCCGTGCCTGTAATCCCAGCTACTTGACAGGCTGAGGTGCGAGAATTGCTTGAACCCAGGAGGCGCAGGTTGCTGTGAGCTGAGATCACACCACTGCACTCCAGCCTGTGCAACAGAGTGAGACTGTCTCGAAAAAGAAAAAAAAAAAGTTAATCAGTTACTTTTGCTTGGGAAGTGAGTAATGACCCTGAAGCTCATCTATCTAGTAACATTTAACACATGTATTAATTTATTCAAATATGTATTAAAACACATGCAGTGTATTCTGCTAGATATTATGTATGAGAGGGGCATAAAATGAATGAAATACACATAAATGTAAAATTTCATACTGCATTTATGAAATTTTCAGTCTGGAAGGAAAAGTAAGACTTGCACAGAAAGAGAATACAAATTGGAAAGTGGCAGATATTAGACTGTTAGATCCACGAGGATAGGGATTATGTCTGTTTTGGTTTGCCCCAATTTTGCCCTTACCAGGCATATTCCTGTACACAGCAGAAATTGAGCACATATTTGTTCATTTGAACAAAAGAAAGGAACAGATAGAATGTGATTAGACTTCAGAGAAGGAAAGATATATTCCAATGGAAGGAATTAGGCAAGGCTTTGCAATGGAAGTGGTATTTAACCTAGGACTTGAATGATGCAAATGATTTGGAGCTAAAGAACTGAAGATGATGGGAGTGGTAGAAGAACAGCATTCACGGAAGAAGTATCAGCAGGAGCAAGGCACAGAAGAAAATCATGCACTGTCTCTAGGGAACAATATGTGCCTTATATGCAGGTCACTTGAATGCAGTAGAAGAATCAGTGGGTGGCAGGTCATGGAGAGCCTTGGATGCTAGCCTAGAGGGTTTGGATTTTTGTCTGAGGCATGAGGGAGACAATGGGGTGAAATGAGCAGAGCTGTACTTCAGGAGGATGAACCTGCCAGCAATTTTAAGATGTATTGGAATGAAGACAAGCTGGTATGAGGTGGAGAGTGCAGTTAGAAGGCTAGTGTAACATTCCAGACAGAAAAGGTGACGCCCCAAGGAAGGCCTAAACATGGGTAGCTGGAGAGGAGGCAACAGGTTTAAAAGATGTGCATAGAAGAAGGCAGTACCTGCCATTCATTTGAAGCAGGAGGTCAGTGAGATGGAAAAATATCAAAGATGGAATACGATTTTTTAACTAGAGTGACTGAAGAATAGTGGTACCATGAAAATAAATCAAGCTCACTGAAGGAAAGCCTCATATTTGTTGGTTTGTGAGGAGAAATGTTAAGCTTCGTTTTGGTCATTTGAGTTTGAAGGCCTTTTCGGATATTCAAGTATGAATAAAGTTTGGGTGGTAAGTGTTGGAGATTCTCTGTCAGCAAGGAAATGATGGTCAAAATCCAAGGAGTATTCCAGGAAGAGCACAGACGGAAGATTCTAAAGACAGATCTATGGTGCCCTTCAGCTTGCTGAAGCCATCCTGGGCCCTTATCACTGTGTCTAGGTAACCAGTGTTTACATAATAAAGGGGTTTGGGTAACAGAGGATGTCTTTGGAGACCCTAAGCTAAAGTATTGTCAGTAATTTTGGTTTGGGGGTATGTGTGCATGTGTATATGTGCGTGTGTGTGTGTGTGTGTGTGTGTGTGTGTCAGAGAGAGAGAGAGACAGACAGACAGAGACTGGTTCTTCAATGATTTAGTGATTGCCAGTTCTGCCCTAAGCAGTTTTTATAGTGGGAAGCAGGGGGCAGCAGAGTCCCACCTTTCAAAAGGGATTCAGCCCATAAAATCACATTTTTCTGCATCTTTTTTTGTTGTTGTCAATTAAACCATATCCCCTTCTTAAAGTTGGAGAAAATAATTTCTAAGTTGCTGTCTTTGGGCACAGCATATGGATCTGGAGCTTAACTTTCGGGGAACCTATCTCCAAACTGATTATGGAAACCTCTTTTAAAGAAGTGAGTTAAGAACTTAAAGAACTTATTTACTGGTGTTGGTCTGATTGATGCTATTTCAATGAAAGAGCTGGGATTAGAATTTCAATGGGGAATTTTTAGCCTGAAGGCTAACTCTGTCCTGAAGACTTTGGTTTGTATTTAAAGGAAAGAGAATTAGATTCATCACAGCAGCACTTTTAAGATACATTTGCTATTATAGTTACAGTAGTGAATACAGTCCACAGTCCTTGCTGCTATTGGCGGCTTTTCCTCAAGACAGGTTAACCTGGGATAAGGGTGGGAAATGAAGCCATGGTTACAATAATAACTCATATTGCTTTTTTTTTTTTTTAAACCTAACTCACTATTGCAGAACCTCTAGTTCTTTCTCATCTCTGTTGTTTTACCTCTCAGTCTTTGCCTGCTGTCTAGACTGCCTGTGAAGCAAGTGGCACGAGGCTTCTTCTTTCTGTTTCTAGTGCTTGGCTGTGGTGTCTTCCACCAGGTGATGTCACTGCTGGGCCCTGAGCAGTGG
Organism: Homo sapiens; assembly: GCF_000001405.40. Classification (NCBI taxonomy): domain Eukaryota; kingdom Metazoa; phylum Chordata; class Mammalia; order Primates; family Hominidae; genus Homo; species Homo sapiens. Next base: position 90,046,888 of record NC_000001.11, read on the forward strand.
GTCCTACTGTTGCAGAGCCATGCTGGACTGTGCAGAGGTGGGGGGCTTGCTTCTCCCTTTTCTGCCATACTTTGTTTGATGGACAAGGACCGTATCTACTGTGCATTTTCACATCTGATTCCCTACGATGTATAGGTGTTTGACAATTCTTTTTGATTGTTGTTAGGCACCAAAGACTTTTCAGCTCCATCTCATGGAATTTCAAATTAAAAATTGTTAAATTAGTTCTTGTACTTTTTCTTTCTAGGTTTCAGACATGTATCCATAGGGATAAGAACAAAAAGCAAACTGTCATGAGTTCCAGAAAAAAGGTGGGGGCAATGTGCAAATAACGGTGCTTAGCGCAAATCGTTGAGTTGAGATGAGGCCTGAGGTAGGGGCTGCACACACATACATCTTTAATATTGCTTTTGACTCTGGCCACACCACCCTATCTTCAGTTCTTTGATTATGGCATTCCCCTTAAACTTTCAGGCCTTTGTTCATAGTACTTTTCCCCTGGTAATCTGTTTCCTCTTTTCTGTTTCATCAGCTTTTCTTTCCTGCCTTAGTTTTCTTTTTCCCCCATAGCACTTACCACTTTTGAACACATTATATAATTTATTATGTTTATTGTCTGTTCTCCCATCCTCCTACTAGAATATAAAAGATCCATGAGTGCAGGGATCTTTGTTTTTTTGTTCACTGATCTATCTCAAGCACCTAGAATACTACTTTGAATATAATAGGTATTCAGTAAATGTTTGTTAAATGACCAAGCGGATCCTTGAAGGTGCAACTCAAATGTTATTGCCTCAGCACCCTACTCTCAAACCTGGATAAAATTTGTTTATTCTCCTATATTACCATTGTACTTTGTTTATATTTGTATCACAGCAGTTAAGTCTATCATAAAGAGTTAATTCATATTTCAATAAAAATGATAATGTAATAAAATATTAACTTGGACATTTTAACTGAGGTGCCAAGTTGCAACAAGTATGAAATTCCAAAGTGGTTTGCCATCCAAAAATGCAAGTTTTCATGAGTTTCTCGACTCTTAAAAAACCCCACCCACATTAAAGATACTGAAGGATCAAGAAAGTGGAGATGAGGGGAAGTTTGATAGGATTTCTTTTGAGAAAGCGTGGTTGTGAGTACCCTGCCCCTGCCAGGAAGAGCACAGAGACTGCTTTTCCCTTCAGATGAAGTCCAGAGACAGCTTCCGAAGGGACCTCATGGAGATGTGTGTCTCTGGAAGTGAGGAAGACACAGCTGCTTTCTGAATCCTACTTGGAAAATTTAAAAGGCGAAGAGACAGGCTGGCCAGCTGCTCTAATGACAGGAGTAAGGAGACGCTCCCAGAGTTAGCTGGGTGAGAGTTTCCCTTAGAGCAAATGTGAGCCATGTGGGAGCCTGAGCCAGGCAGGAGTCATTTAAAATCCTTCCCAAGATTGCTGCCTGGGGGAGAGACAGGGGACGGCAGAGAAAGGAGGTGGCTCGCAGGGGTAAGATACATTATTTCTCTCAGATGAAGAGTATTCAAATATTTCTAATTTTTTTTTTTTTGGTTGGGGGAGTGCCCTGAAGAACCCAGAGAATTGTTAGAAAAAGTCATCTTTAAACATCTATCAGGCCCTCAGAGCAAGAAGCTGGCCCAAAAGAGAATCAGTTAAAATAAGAACTTTCTGCCCACTTTTACCTCTCCTCCATCCCACTTTCTTTGCCTCTGGCAGGGTCAGAAGCTAGACAACAAGCTGGGGGAGAGAAGAAATGCTGAGGGCTGGAAAGGTGTGTGGGGATGGGGCAAGGGAGAGGCCTCTTTTTCTTACTAAATGCTGCCAGCCTGCAGCAAAACCCTCCTGGGAGACAATTTAACATTAAATCAGGTTACAAGTTATACTTCTTATGAGGGACTGGACTTTCTGATTTCTGAATTAAGAGCTTTTATGGCCTAAAGTGACCTGAACGCTTTTTTAAAAAAATTATTATTACCTAGGAATAATCAGAAATGTTGTGATGATGTCTGAGATTTTGTCCAGGGTCGGGGGAAGTACTTCCCCCACTACATAAATTTTAAAAGGGACAGTGGGAGTCAGAAATAGTCATGCTGTGTGATTACCTCCCATGAGTACTCACAGTGTCAGTGACAATAATCGTGTTCGCTGATGTTTATTGTGTGTCCACTGTTTTTCAGCCACTCTGCTAAATATTAATATATTTGCCTGTGCCCAACAATCCTATGTGGTAGGAACTCTTCTTATCCCATTTTGCACCTAGGAAAACTCAAGTTCAAAGACATAAATAACTTTCCTGAGGTTTCCAACCAGTTAGAAATAGAGTTAGTGTTTGAACCCAGGTGGTCTTACCATATTTTATTCTTTAATAGATTCAGATTTCCTTAGGAATTCGTGTTCATATTCCTTTTTTTTTCTGAGACAGAGTCTCACTCCGTCACCCTGGCTGGAGTGCAGTGGTGCGATGTCAGCTCACTGCAACCTCTGCCTCCCAGGTTCAAATGATTCTTCTGCCTCAGCCTCCTTACTAGCTGGGATTACAGGTGCCCGCCACCTCACCTGGTTAGTTTTTGTGTTTTTTTTACTAGATACAGGGTTTTATCATGTTGCCCAGGCTGGTCTCGAACTCCTGACCTCAGGTGATCCTCCTGCCTCAGCCTCCCAAAGTGCTGGGATTACAGGCATGAGCCACCGTGCCTGGCCTCATGTTCATATTCCCTGTGTACAGCACAGGGCCTGGCATCTAGTGCTGAACTGGGTCTTGCTCTTTTGCCCAGGCTGGAGTGCAGTGTGTGTGATCACAGCTCACTGTAGCCTTGATCCCAGGCACAATCAATTCTCCCACCTCAGCCTCCCGAGTAGCTGGGACTACAGGTGTGCGCCACCATGCTACAGCTAATTTTCATGTTTTTTGTAGATTCTGGGCTTCACCATGTTGCCCAGGCTGGTCTTGAGCTCCTGGGCTCACGCGATCCACCCACCTTGGCCTCCCAAAATGCTGGGATTACAGGTATGAGTCATCACGCCTGGACTAAGCAAAATTTTTAATTTATTATTATTATTTTCTTGGAGACGGAGTCTCGCTCTGTCGCCCAGGCTGGAGTGCAGTGGCTCAATCTTGGCTCACTGCAAGCTCCACCTCCTGGGTTCTCACCATTCTCCTGCCTCAGCCTCCCTAGTAGCTGGGACTACAGGTGCCTGCCACCACACCCAGCTAATTTTTTTGTATTTTTACTAGAGACGGGGTTTCACCGTGTTAGCCAGGATGGTCTTGATCTCCTGACCTCATGATCCACCTGCCTCAGCCTCCCAAAGTGCTGGGATTACAGACGTGAGCCACCGCACCCAGCCACAAAATTTTAAACTTTTAATATGTGTTGTTGACAATATTTTACAGTAACACATATAAAATTTAGCAAAATGTAGTAACAAGGAACGTAGACTTTAGAGTCAGTGGACATGGGTTTGAATCCTGGTTCCACATCTTGATCGCTGTTCTGTCTTTGGGAAAATGACTTAACCTGTCCATGCCCCAGTTTCCTCATTTATAAAATAGAAAAATAGTACCTATATCATAGTGTTATGGTGAGGAGCAAATAAGATAATAAACATAAAGCACCTAACACTGCCTAGCATTTGGCACATGGTAGATGTACTTGTCATACCCTGTGGCTCAAAAATGGGATGACATTTACTTATTTGGGTTATGTGTTATTTTGTATTTCTGAATTCTCAGCAGTAGAGTTTGGTCATAGTATACAGTCAGACCCAACCCTGAGAAAAATCGTGAAGTACAGTTGAAGCTCTTGACCAGCCCACATGCTCCATTTCTACAGCAGTCTTGCCTTTGGATGCCCCTGCTGGCTGGGTGCTCCTACTAGTTGGCCACTCACTGCTCCCATGTGCATCAGCCCACCTTGTAAGGTGTGCATTTGTAGTGCATCCCTGTGCTTGTTCCTAAATCTGTTTGTCATTGTAATTACATAATTCAATTAAATATTATTTAAATAGAGTGTGAGTATGAAGAGATTGGAGGACTTTTACAGTTATCTCCTTGCCTTGCCTTTTCTCTCTAATGAGGGCACTCTTTCCTTGTGCTTGCTTCCCTTTGTTTGGGGCAAAGAACTGACTAAATTCATTTATACTAAGGCACAAATGCCTGCTGCCCCTCTCAGGGTCAACTGCATTTTAATAGAGATTTAATGCTGTAGCCAAAGGAAGAAAGCTCTAATTTTGGAAGTTGGGTAGGATGACTGTTTGTCCTATCCAAAAACATGTCGTAAATCCTTCTTCATCCCTCCTCTGCATACTTTGAAATATGTTGTTATTTCTGTTACAAGCGTGCATTGTGTCTCCATGGCCATTCATACCTCTGGCCAGAGGAAATGTATGTTAACCCTTTTCGGATTTGCCTTGAGAATACTCACCAGTGGTGCTTGTGGCTGCAAGACCCCGAGATAACCTTGCCACAAAATATCTCACTTTTATTATTATTTTTGCATTGCTCTAGTATATCAACTTTGGAAATGAAAAACATCATTCTATTTATAGCATTCTGCTTTTAGTAGTGGTATTCTGGCTTACAAAATACAGTAATTCTTGATTGCTGAAAATGTCAGATCTTAGAAAACATAGCATTCCTATGTGTGATGCTAACATTGTCCTTGAACAGTTGTTGCCTGAAGATTGATTTGATGAATCCGATTTTTCTGAAATAGACAATTCTGATATTAGCGCTGTTTAGAAATAACTCCAAGAACGGCAATATGGTTTGGATCTGTGTCCCCACCAAAATCTCATCTTATATTGTAATCCCCATGTGTTGAGGGAGGGAGGTGATTGGATCATGCAGATGGTTCCCCCATGCTCTTCTCATGATAGTGAGTAAGTTCTCATGAGACTTGATGGTTTTATAAGTAGCAGTTTCCCTGCTCTTCCCTCTCCTACCACCTTGTGAAGAAGGTGCCTGCTTCCCCTTCCGCCATAATTATAAGTTTCCTGAGGCCTCCCCAGCCATGCAGAACTGAGTCAATTAAGCCTATTTTCTTTATAAATTACCCAGTCTTAGGGAACTTCTTAGAAGTGTGAGAACGGACTAATACAAATAGTTTTTATCTTTTATTTTCACATTGAAAATCTGTCAGATTTGCTTCAGCCTCAAAGAGCGTGCTTATGTAAAATTAAATGAGTGCTGGCAGTGAGTGGCACATTTTTTTCTAAGTGGGTTAATTTTCTAATTGTCATTTGTCTTATTTCACTGGGAGTGGTGCAGTACACACTGTAGTTAAATTTGGAAGCAGAAGCTATGGAACAACTTCTCCCACCCACAGAATATACTCACACCTTTTGTTCTTTTGTGGCCAACCCCCAGGTACAGAGATAATCACAAAATTTAAGTTTACTGAATTCCCATATGGCAACATGGGTCTTTTATTTATTTTTGCACACTGCCTTGGTAAATGTTCATAGAACAAAAAGCCTGATTCCCACTTAATATATGTTTATATATTCATATATGTTCATTTAGTGAAGAATTAAGAACATGTTACAACTGGAATTATACAATTGAAGGAAATTAGAGAAATTTTAGTCCAAACACCTCATTTTATGCATAAGGAAATTGAGCCAAAGAGAAGTGACTTGCCTAAGTTCATAGAGTGAGTTAATCCCAGGGTTGGATTTAGAACTCAGATCTTCTGACTCTTAATCTGGGGCTCTTTTGCTGTTCTAGCTATTATATTGGAAAATATTTAAATAATATCCAACATTTATTGACTACATATTACATTCCAGATGTTATTAATACTCTTTACATTTATTAATCATTTTACTCTCACAACAGCCCCACGAAGTGGGTACTATTATTATACTATTTTACAAATGCAGAAACTAAAGCATGCAGTGTTAAATAACTTATGCAAGGTCAAATGGTAGAATCGGATCTTGAAAGTAGGAATTTTAACAGAAGGTACTCCAGATAGATGGAGATTTCTTTGGTTCTTCTTATTTTTTCCAGCCTACATCTTTTGAATACTTGAGAATTCACTCAGTAGCTTTCTCATACATAAGGGAATGATAGTCTTGGTAATTGCACTTACCATGAATTGCCCTAAGTGGAAATTACCTTGGGCTGGTGTTCAGCTATGCTCTGAACCTCAGGTATGCATTGATTATGCTAGTTAAGATTATCCAAATAATCCTTGCTTTTCTGTAAGATGCCCCCCACCACCTTTTTAGAGATGATTATTCTTTACAGTTAACTAGTTGTGAGGTAACATGAGTTACCTCCCCTGAACTCAACACAGAAGCTGTGACAGAGCACGAAGAAGGTTGTTGACTCTGAGAGAAGGACAAAGAATTGTGACAAGTCCCTGAAGAGAGAGAAATTTGATGAGCCCCTTTATTGGAAATCAGTGGGGTGCTCAGAGCAGAAGAAGGCCATGTGCCTAGGACAGCAGTAGGCAATGGATAACTTTTCAGTTGTGCCATTTCTTTTCCTCCTCCCCATTGTTCTGAGTAGGTCATGACCTGAAGTGTCAAGAAAGAAAAATGGTAGCACTAGCCCAGCAACTGGTGGGAGTAAGGGAGTAACATCAGGCTTCTACTTGAGTCAGGTTGGGGATGGGAGCAGATGAAAGCCAGAGGTCTTCATCCCGGCCCACATCTACCCATACCACAAGGGCTAGGCCATAAGAAAGACCAGGATGGGGGTTCTCTAGGAAGCATAGTTCTCTGGTGCAGGAAACCCCAGTGGGAAGTGGTCAAACCTAGATTTTAATGCCAGGCACTCTCCACTAGAAGGCACATCTCCCGTTTTATACTCCCTAAGGTCACGCAAAGGAGAATAAGGGCCTGGGCTTTCGTGCCCCACTTTCAGGTACATAACACTGATCAGTGTTCTCTAGGGGGTCTGTTTCCTAGAGGAACCTGCATACTAGAAGGAAAGAAATACCAGGGGAGTAAAACTACTGTTACAGAAAGAAAACAAATGGAACAACCTTTACCAGGTTTAATGCAGGATTAGTGAAACCATAGAATAAGAATTTAAAATAAGCATACTGTCATCTAATAGGTTGATAGGAAATAAGTTGGAGATATGAAGCAGTAGCAAGAAGTTAGGAAGAACATAGTGCAAATATTGGGTATGAAATTGTAATTATTGAAAATAAGAATTAAATAAATTGATTAAATAGCAGAGTGAATATAGCCACAGAATGAATTAGTGAATTGGAAGATGAGGACAAGGAACTCTTTTGGAAGGCATTAAGAAGGATAAAAAGATAGAAACTATAAAGTGAATGTTAAGAGATTTGCAGGATTGGCATAGAGCTTTCTACATCGGTGTATCAGTCAGGGTCCCTGCAGGCAAGAGAGAACGAACACATTAAGCTGGAATTTTAAAGAGACCTTAATGAAAGCACTATTTAAATAATAGAATTTAAGGTGGAGGACATGGTATACTGGTAAAAGGAACAACAAATCAAGAAGACATAATTATAAAAGACAAAACTGACAAACTATGGAGAAAAAATGGATAAATTAAAAATTATAGTTGGAGATATTGTTGTATTGCTTTCGAGAACTAATTGAGCAAACAAAAAGCAAATAATATCTGGTAGAAGTAATATAATTAATAGGCTTGAACTAACATATACACATACACATGTAAACAATATAACCTTACTCTCAACAGAGAGTATAAATTATTTTCTAGCACAGGTAGAACATTTAAAAACTTTACTACCTACCAAGCACAAAGAAGTCTCAGTAAAGGTAATCAGCACTATTTAGACAATGTTCTCCGACCAAAGGGCAAAAAAAATAAGATATCATTTTTTGAATAAAAATATCACAGAGAAAAGTTGTAAGGGAAATTGGGAAGTACATAGAAGGGAAAGACAATGAAAAGACTATGTAGTATCTTCACGTAGCCAAAATAGAGCTTAGAAATAAATGTATAGCTCTGATAGAACGTATGAGAATATAATCAAATAAACTAATTTTCAATTTAGAAAGCTGGAAAAAGATAAATTGAATACACTAAGAAAAAGTAACCAGAAGGAAGGAAAAAGAAACAAAACAAAAGAAAACCAAGACAAAATAATAAACTATAGAATTACTTCAAATTAGAGAAGACTAGTAAGTTGAAAAGCTCATTGTCTGAAAATTTTAAGATAGGCAGTAACAGCTAACACCTATATAGTGCTTACTACATTGTTACACTTGTGTAGTACTTGTATATTACTCTAAACTCTTTACATCTACTACTGCATTTTATCCTCATGACAACCCTATGAGGTAGGTACTATTATCTCCATTTTACAGATGAGGAAATAAAGCAGAAGAGGCATATTAAATTTTGCAAAATAGAGAGTGTAAAGGAAACAGTTGCATGTACAAAGATATTATGAAACTTTTGAAGACTATCATGACCGAATGTTGACCAAAATGTTGAAAACAAGAAAGAAATGAATAAATTTCTGCAATAATATAAAATGTCAAACTTGTTTAAAGAATAAAGAAAATTTGAATAAGTCAAAGACCAATAAGGAGTCTGATGTTATAAAGATATCCCTCCCCTCAAAAAGCCCCAGGCCTAGGTGGTTTTATAGGTGACTTCTATTCAGTTTTTCAAGAAAGAGGACACCTCTATCTTAAACAAGTTGTACAACAAAATAGAAAATTAAAGGCAACTGCCCAAAATATTTTTAAAAATTAAGATGAAATTTACATAACATAAAATTAAACATTTTAAAGTGCTCAATTTATTTTATAGAGTTAAATTGTCAATGACTTCAAAACTGGATCAAAATAGTATGGGGGAGAAAGAAAATTAGTGATGCATTTTACTTATGAGCCCATTTATAAACTATGAAAAGATGCTAAATGGAAATATAAACTAACAAAACTCTGATGTTATACTATGAAATGATACATTACAATCAAGTAGGGTTTATCTATTGAATGCAAAGATTGTTTAGTATCTGAAAATTTGTCAGAGTAATTCACCACATTAACAGACTAAAGGAGAAAAATTATGTGATGATTTTAATCCATATGAAAAATTTTGATGTAGTTTAGCATATATATCTTGAAAAACAAACCCAGAAAACTGGCCATAGAAAGGGCATAATACAATATAGACCACATTCAATAATCTTCAAGAAATACAATACTTAACAATGACGAATTCCTTTTGAAATTCAGGAAAATTTGAGGATGTCCTTTATCTTTAATTTAATAATGATTCAACATTGTACTGGGGATTCTAGCCAGTATAATAAGAAAAATAAATAAGATATAGAAATTGGAAGGGAAGAGACATAACAGTCATAACTTACAGATGATATAATTATCAACATGGAAAATCTAGCAGAGTTTAGCAGTCAATTAGAGCTTAAATGAGAATTCAACAGTGTTATTTGATACAAGATAAACTTACATACATCGATAGTGCACTTTCTATACCAACAATAACCCACTAGAGTATGATGAAAAAGAAGATATTATTTACAATATTAACAAAAAACAATTAAGTATCTAGGAATTACCTAGTGAAGAACACATAGGACTTTTAAAGAGAAAAGTTTTAAACTTTTTTAAGGGGCACAAAAAGATCAGAATAAATAAAGTTCATGGATGTCATTACTTATAAAAATATCAACTTCTTTCTATATTTATCTATACATTATACAATATTAATAAAAATTCTAGTAGGATTTTTTTCAAGAACTCAAGGTTTAAAAAATTTACCTGGAATGAATATTCATGAAGAGTTATTTTTTTGAAAAGGAATAATAAGGAGAAGAAACATGTGCAATGTAGAACACACATAAGAACAAATGGAAAAAAAGAAACAAAATTAATATTGCAGACAGAGCCATGGATACATGGTGGTGTCATAAATTGGATGGAAAATGATAGATTGTTCACTACAGTGTGTTTGGAACATTATATAGCATTGGTTTACTCTTTCACCAACTGTATCTCCAATACTGTTGGATCTTTATTTTACATTATGTACACAGTTGAACCAAAGATAGATTAAAGACCTAAAGGTGAATGTGGAACAACATATCAAATAGAATTTATTATGAATATTGGTAACAAATGATAGTGGTATTTATAGTACCTGTGAATTTCATTAGTAGAAATTATAGACATTTTCATGCCACATTAAATTGTTGAAGGTATGTCATTAATACTTTGAGATTATGGTAATTATTAGATCTACTGACTTGTCTTCTCATTGAATGCTTTGATAAAGTAGTACATGTATTGTTATGTCGCAAATAAAAATATTTTGATAACAGTCTTTCAATAAATTGGTTTTCTTTGTAATTCCAACTATTTTATTTTATTTATTTTATTTTTTTATTGTTAACTTTTTTTAAAAATTTTTTTATTTCTTTATTATTATACTTTAAGTTTTAGGGTACATGTGCACATTGTGCAGGTTAGTTACATACATATACATGTGCCATGCTGGTGTGCTGCACCCACTAACTAGTCATCTAGCATTAGGTATATCTCCCAATGCTATCCCTTCCCCCTCCCCCCACCCCACAACAGTCCCCAGAGTGTGATGTTCCCCTTCCTGTGTCCATGTGATCTCATTGTTCAATTCCCACCTATGAGTGAGAATATGCGGTGTTTGGTTTTTTGTTCTTGCGATAGTTTGCTGAGAATTATGATTTCCAATTTCATCCATGTTCCTACAAAGGACATGAACTCATCATTTTTTATGGCTGCATAGTATTCCATGGTGTATATGTGCCACATTTTCTTAATCCAGTCTATCATTGTTGGACATTTGGCTTGGTTCCAAGTCTTTGCTATTGTGAATAATGCCACAATAAACATACGTGTGCATGTGTCTTTATAGCAGCATGATTTATAGTGCTTTGGGTATATACCCAGTAATGGGATGGCTGGGTCAAATGGTATTTCTAGTTCTAGATCCCTGAGGAATCGCCACACTGACTTCCACAATGGTTGAACTAGTTTACAGTCCCACCAACAGTGTAAAAGTGTTCCTATTTATCCACATCCTCTCCAGCACCTGTTGTTTCCTGACTTTTTAATGATTGCCATTCTAACTGGTGTGAGATGGTATCTCATTGTGGTTTTGATTTGCATTTCTCTGATGGCCAGTGATGGTGAGCATTTTTTCATGTGTTTTTTGGCTGCATAAATGTCTTCTTTTGAGAAGTGTCTGTTCATGTCCTTCGCCCACTTTTTGATGGGGTTGTTTGTTTTTTTCTTCTAAATTTGTTTGAGTTCATTGTAGATTCTGGATATTAGCCCTTTGTCAGATGAGTAGGTTGCAAAAATTTTCTCCCATTCTGTAGGTTGCCTGTTCACTCTGATGGTAGTTTCTTTTGCTGTGCAGAAGCTCTTTAGTTTAATTAGATCCCATTTGTCAATTTTGTCCTTTGTTGCCATTGCTTTTGGTGTTTTAGACATGAAGTCCTTGCCCATGCCTATGTCCTGAATGGTATTGCCTAGGTTTTCTTCTAGGGTTTTTATGGTTTTAGGTCTAACATTTAAGTCTTTAATCCATCTTGAATTGATTTTTGTACAAGGTGTAAGGAAGGGATCCAGTTTCAGCTTTCTACATATGGCTAGCCAGTTTTCCCAGCACCATTTATTAAATAGGGAATCCTTTCCCCATTGCTTGTTTTTCTCAGGTTTGTCAAAGATCAGATAGTTGTAGATATGCGGCGTTATTTCTGAGGGCTCTGTTCTGTTCCATTGATCTATATCTCTGTTTTGGTACCAGTACCATGCTGTTTTGGTTACTGTAGCCTCGTAGTATAGTTTGAAGTCAGGTAGTGTGATGCCTCCAGCTTTGTTCTTTTGGCTTAGGATTGACTTGGCGATGCGGGCTCTTTTTTGGTTCCATATGAACTTTAAAGTAGTTTTTTCCAATTCTCTGAAGAAAATCATTGGTAGCTTGATGGGGCTGGCAATGAATCTGTAAATTACCTTGGGCAGTATGGCCATTTTCACGATATTGATTCTTCCTACCCATGAGCATGGAATGTTCTTCCATTTGTTTGTATCCTCTTTTATTTCCTTGAGCAGCGGTTTGTAGTTCTCCTTGAAGAGGTCCTTCACATCCCTTGTAAGTTGGATTCCTAGGTATTTTATTCTCTTTGAAGTAATTGTGAATGGGAGTTCACTCATGATTTGGCTCTCTGTTTGTCTGTTGTTGGTGTATAGGAATTCTTGTGATTTTTGCACACTGATTTTGTATCCTGAGACTTTGCTGAAGTCGCTTATCAGCTTAAGGAGATTTTGGGCTGAGACAATGGGTTTTCTAAATATACAATCATGTCATCTGCAAACAGGGACAATTTGACTTCTTGTTTTCCTAATTGAATACCCTTTATTTCCTTCTCCTGCCTAATTGCCCTGGCCAGAACTTCCAACACTATGTTGAATAGGAGTGGTGAGAGAGGGCATCCCTGTCTTGTGCCAGTTTTCAAAGGGAATGCTTCCAGTTTTTGCCCATTCAGTATGATATTGGCTGTGGGTTTGTCATAGATAGCTCTTATTATTTTGAAATATGTCCCATCAATACCTAATTTATTGAGAGTTTTTAGCATGAAGGGTTGTTGAATTTTGTCAAAGGCCTTTTCTGCATTTATTGAGATAATCATGTGGTTTTTGTCTTTGGCTCTGTTTATATGCTGGATTACATTTATTGATTTGTATATATTGAACCAGCCTTGCATCCCAGGGATGAAGCCACTTGATCATGGTGGATAAGCTTTTTGATGTGCTGCTGGATTCGGTTTGCCAGTATTTTATTGAGGATTTTTGCATCAATGTTCATCAAGGATATTGGTCTAAAATTCTCTTTTTTGGTTGTGTCTCTGCCCGGCTTTGGTATCAGAATGATGCTGGCCTCATAAAATGAGTTAGGGAGGATTCCCTCTTTTTCTATTGATTGGAATAGTTTCAGAAGGAATGGTACCAGCTCCTCCTTGTACCTCTGGTAGAATTTGGCTGTGAATCCATCTGGTCCTGGACTCTTTTTGGTTGGTAAGCTATTGATTATTGCCACAATTTCAGATCCTGTTATTGGTCTATTCAGAGATTCAACTTCTTCCTGGTTTAGTCTTGGGAGAGTGTATGTGTCAAGGAATTTATCCATTTCTTCTAGATTTTCTAGTTTATCTGCGTAGAGGTGTTTGTAGTATTCTCTGATGGTAGTTTGTATTTCTGTGGGATCGGTGGTGATATCCCCTTTATCATTTTTTATTGCGTCTATTTGATTCTTCTCTCTTTTTTTCTTTATTAGTCTTGCTAGAGGTCTATCAATTTTGTTGATCCTTTCAAAAAACCAGCTCCTGGATTCATTAATTTTTTGAAGGGTTTTTTGTGTCTCTATTTCCTTCAGTTCTGCTCTGATTTAGTTATTTCTTGCCTTCTGCTAGCTTTTGAATGTGTTTGCTGTTGCTTTTCTAGTTCTTTTAATTGTGATGTTAGGGTGTCAATTTTGGATCTTTCCTGCTTTCTCTTGTGGGTATTTAGTGCTATAAATTTCCCTCTACACACTGCTTTGAATGCGTCCCAGAGATTCTGGTATGTTGTGTCTTTGTTCTCGTTGGTTTCAAAGAACATCTTTATTTCTGCCTTCATTTCGTTATGTACCCAGTAGTCATTCAGGAGCATGTTGTTCAGTTTCCATGTAGTTGAGCGGTTTTGAGTGAGATTCTTAATCCTGAGTTCTAGTTTGGTTGCACTGTGGTCTGAGAGATAGTTTGTTATAATTTCTGTTCTTTTACATTTGCTGAGGAGAGCTTTACTTCCAAGTATGTGGTCAATTTTGGAATAGGTGTGGTGTGGTGCTGAAAAAAATGTATATTCTGTTGATTTGGGGTGGAGAGTTCTGTAGATGTCTATTAGGTCTGCTTGGTGCAGAGCTGAGTTCAATTCCTGGGTATCCTTGTTGACTTTCTGTCTCGTTGATCTGTCTAATGTTGACAGTGGGATGTTAAAGTCTCCCATTATTAATGTGTGGGAGTCTATGTCTCTTTGTAGGTCACTCAGGACTTGCTTTATGAATCTGGGTGCTCCTGCATTGGGTGCATATATATTTAGGATAGTTAGCTCTTCTTGTTGAATTGATCCCTTTACCATTATGTAATGGCCTTCTTTGTCTCTTTTGATCTTTATTGGTTTAAAGTCTGTTTTATCAGAGACTGGGATTGCAACCCCTGCCTTTTTTTGTTTTCCATTTGCTTGGTAGATCTTCCTCCATCCTTTTATTTTGAGCCTATGTGTGTCTCTGCACGTGAGATGCGTTTCCTGAATACAGCACACCGATGGGTCTTGAGTCTTTATCCAATTTGCCAGTCTGTGTCTTTTAATTGGAGCATTTAGTCCATTTACATTTAAAGTTAATATTGTTCTGTGTGAATTTGATCCTGTCATTATGATGTTAGCTGGTTATTTTGCTCGTTAGTTGATGCAGTTTCTTCCTAGTCTCGATGGTCGTTACATTTTGGCATGACTTTGCAGCGGCTGGTACCGGTTGTTCCTTTCCACGTTTAGCGCTTCCTTCAGGAGCTCTTTTAGGGCAGGCCTGGTGGTGACAAAATCTCTCAGCATTTGCTTGTCTGTAAAGTATTTTATTTCTCCTTCACTTATGAAGCTTAGTTTGGCTGGATATGAAATTCTGGGTTGAAAATTCTTTTCTTTAAGAATGTTGAATATTGGCCCCCACTCTCTTCTGGCTTATAGGGTTTCTGCCGAGAGATCCGTTGTTAGTCTGATGGGCTTCCCTTTGAGGGTATCCCGACCTTTCTCTCTGGCTGCCCTTAACATTTTTTCCTTCATTTCAACTTTGGTGAATCTGACAATTATGTGTCTTGGTGTTGCTCTTCTTGAGGAGTATCTTTGTGGTGTTCTCTGTATTTCCTGAATCTGAACGTTGGCCTGCCTTGCTAGATTGGGGAAATTCTCCTGGATAATATCCTGCAGAGTGTTTTCCAACTTGGTTCCATTCTCCCCATCACTTTCAGGTACACCAATCAGACGTAGATTTGGTCTTTTCACATAGTCCCATATTTCTTGGAGGCTTTGCTCATTTCCTTTTATTCTTTTTTCTCTAAACTTTCCTTCTCGCTTCATTTCATTCATTTCATCTTCCATTGCTGATACCCTTTCTTCCAGTTGATCACATCGGCTCCTGAGGCTTCTGCATTCTTCACGTAGTTCTCGAGCCTTGGTTTTCAGCTCCATCAGCTTCTTTAAGCACTTCTCTGTATTGGTTATTCTAGTTATACATTCTTCTAAATTTTTTTCAAAGTTTTCAACTTCTTTGCCTTTGGTTTGAATGTCCTCCCATAGCTCAGAGTAATTTGATCGTCTGAAGCCTTCTTCTCTCAGCTCGTCAAAGTCATTCTCCATCCAGCTTTGTTCCGTTGCTGGTGAGGAGCTGCATTCCTTTGGAGGAGGAGAGGCGCTCTGATTTTTAGAGTTTCCAGTTTTTCTATTCTGTTTTTTCCCCATCTTTGTGGTTTTATCTACTTTTGGTCTTTGATGATGGTGATGTACGGATGGGTTTTTGGTGTGGATGTCCTTTCTGTTTGTTAGTTTTCCTTCTAACAGACAGGACCCTCAGCTGCAGGTCTGTTGGAGTACCCTGCAGTGTGAGGTGTCAGTGTGCCCCTGCTGGAGGGTGCCTCCCAGTTAGTCTGCTCGGGGGTCAGGGGTCAGGGACCCACTTGAGGAGGCAGTCTGCCCCTTCTCACGTCTCCAGCTGCATACTGGGAGAACCACTGCTCTCTTCAAAGCTGTCAGACAGGGACATTTAAGTCTGCAGAGGTTACTGCTGTCTTTTTGTTTGTCTGTGCCCTGCCCCCAGAGGTGGAGCCTACAGAGGCAGGCAGGCCTCCTTGAGCTGTGGTGGGCTCCACCCAGTTCGAGCTTCCCGGCTGCTTTGTTTACCTAAGCAAGCCTGGGCAATGGCGGGCGCCCCTCCCCCAGCCTCGCTGCCGCCTTGCAGTTTGATCTTAGACTGCTGTGCTAGCAATCAGCGAGACTCCATGGGGTAGGACCCTCGGAGCCAGGTGAGGGATATAATCTCGTGGTGCGCCGTTTTTTAAGCCCGTCGGAAAAGCGCAGTATTCGGGTGGGAGTGACCCGATTCTCCAGGTGCGGTCCGTCACCCCTTTCTTTGATTAGGAAAGGGAACTCCCTGACCCCTTGCACTTCCCGAGTGAGGCAATGCTTCGCCCTGCTTCGGCTCGTGCACGATGCGCGCACACACTGTCCTGTGCCCACTGTCTGGCACTCCCTAGTGAGATGAACCCGGTACCTCAGATGGAAATGCAGAAATCACCCGTCTTCTGCGTTGCTCAGGCTGGGAGCTGTAGACTGGAGCTGTTCCTATTCGGCCATCTTGGCTCCTGCCACTCAACTATATTATTTTATTATTTAAGGGCAATGTTTTGAGTAGTCCATACGCTCTATCAGACTATCAAAGGGGTCCATGGCACTAAAACAAGGTTCAGAAATTCTGAGAAAGAGGAAGTGATCTGTAGGTCAGATACTAACGAAAGGTCAAGTGAGATGAGGACTGCAAAGGAGACATCAGATTTGGCTGCCATTACAATAATTATGTTAGAGAGTCCCTATTTTAGGGGTGAAGGTGGAGGCAAAATCTGGATTAGAGTGAGATGAGAAGTGAATCCAATAGAGGGCATGCAAATAAGGAAGTCAACTATTTATTTGGCAGTAAAGGGAAATAACTGGTAGACAAAGGGAGTAACAGGATCAAGAAGAAAATGAAGAAAAAAATGAATGTACTTATAAGCAGAAGGCAAGAATCTGGTGGAAAGGGAGGGGTTGAGAGGAGAGGAGAGAGGATGATGGAGGACATGAGGTCTTAGACAACACAGGATGGAAGAAAATGGAGAACTTGGAGGGATTCGTCTCAGACCAGGGTTGATGGGCACAATGGGCTCAAATTTAGATAAATTAGAGGAAAAAGGAAAAGGACATGAAGGACTTTCAACTTTTGCTGGCTTCTCCCCCCTCTCCAACCCCCATCTCCCAAAAATGTTGAGGGCAGGGATGATTTATGGGCTTTGTGCTTAAGAGTATGAAGGTGTATAAAAGCTGGTGTGGAGTATGGTAAGGTTGCTGAGTAGAGATGAGGAAAGGACTGCAGAGCAGGTCTAGGGGATCTAGTGGTCAGAAACCACTCAGTTGTAATAAAGCCAACACACCCAAAGTGAGAAAAGAGGTGAACAGCTAAGAGCAACTGCGAGTTGAACTCAGGAGAGCAGTTAAAAGAGACTGACCTGGAAGCGTGTGCGTGTGTGTGTGTGTGTGTGTGTAAGCTACGCAATTCATTTCCTGTGAAGAAAGTAAGCATATACACCATGGAATACTATGCAGCCATAAAAAATGATGAGTTCATGTCTTTGCAGAGACATGGGTGAAACTGGAAACTATCATTCTCAGCAAACTAACACAGGAACAGAAAACCAAACACCACATGTTCTCACTAGTAAGTCGTAGTTGAACAGTGAGAACACATGGACACAGGGAGGGGAACATCACACACTGGGGCCTGTCGGAGGGTTGGGGGGCTAGGGGAGGGATAGCATTAAGATAAATATCTAATGTAGTTGACGGGTTGATGGGTGCAGCAAACCACCATGGCACGTGTATACCTATGTAACAAACCTGCACGTTCTGCACATGTATCCCAGAGCTTAAAGTATAATAAAAAAAGAGAAAGGTGCTTAATCAATGGTAACATTCTTTTTCTATATCATGTTTAAAAGCTTTCATCTTAAAAAAATTCTTGGGAGGTTTTATGCCTTATGTCCTCCTTGTTTCAGTTCTGTATTTGTTCTTTTAGTTCTCAGCTATATAGAATGTTCAAGAGTGCCTAGAGAAGGTGACGGAAGCCTGGCATATCTTATTTTTTCTTTTTCTTTTTCTTCTTCTTCTTATTATACTCTAAGTTTTAGGGTAGGGAAGAGCATAATCACTTACAAACAGCAAAATCTCCTAATTTTATGCTATATTTAGCAGTTAAATAGAATTTTTTCCTATTTGGAAGTGCTCTTATTTATTTGTCTTTTGATTAAAAGTAATAAAACACAAAAATCTTAGGAATAACTGGCGTTTTAGTTTTAGAAAATAAATTCACCATTTGACACCAGTGAGTTAAAAACAATTTACTTGTTAATAAACCGATGAAAAATCCTGTAAAAATTGTGATAAAATTTATGTTCCATTTTAATTTATTTGTTCCTACAATAGAGGAAACAAAACACATTAAAATCTTTTGCTTAATGTATTGATTTTGTATTTTAAATGCAAAATAGAAAACGTAAAAATTAATTGAAATGGAAAAAAGAAGAATGCAGAAACTGGAGCCAACCATCTATTTTACATAAGCTTTGTGTAAAAGAAAGTGAAGACTAAGAATCCATCTGGAGATGCTAAAGAAAGACCAATTTTTTAGCAGCTGTAAGAGAAACTTTGCTTCAAATGAGAGAGTCCCTTCAAAATGGTCACCTTGGAAAGGTAAGCACTTGTTGTAATGATGTTATCCTTACTCACATTATTTATAAAACACTTGTTTTAGAATTTCTTCTGGATGCTATTGCACTTTTGTTTTTTGGTAATGTTTTCAGTAATGGAAAATATCTTCCTCTGTGGAGGGATGAGTTTGATTTTTAGAAATAGTAAAAGTCCTTCAGAAACAGGTCCATTGAAACAGCAAACAAACTATTCATGGTCAAAGATAGGAAGCATGACCACAGTGCAATAAGACAAATTTTCTTACATTGGAAAAAAACCAAAACTGCCTGCGATGGTTATGTTGGTTTTGTATGTGAGACAAATTAGAAAGGCAGGTAGAATTCAAATTATAGAGGTTTGCATTGCAAAGCAAATGACTTTGAATATAATTTTAAATGCAATGGGAGATTATTTAAAGGTTTTTGGGCAGTGGAATGACATATATAATAATAATGAAAGTAGGGGAAGTGAATAGTGTGTGAAAAACCAACTCAAATGTCTTTTTGAGATCTAGGACATTATGATTTTCTTACAATGTACTGACATAATAACTCTTGTCAGGAAAAGGAAATGATTTGGCGTGATTTATTAGTAAACTGCTATTCTATTCTTTTAGGGTAGAAAAAATTTGCCTTGATGGAGAGGACAGAAGTGGGAGAGGGGAAAAGAAGGATTAATCAGTGTGACCGTGGGTCATTAATTGATTAAATCACCAGTTAAATTATTCAGTAATTAATACTTTAAGAATTCTTTTAAAATGGTGCACAACACCTTTTAAAGGGGACTATATATTTTATCTTATTTGTATCTTGGTGTATTTTCTATAATGCCTAAAATTTAGAAATAATGTTTTATTAGTGATTAGTTGAGTGGTCTTTTACCCTGAACTTTTTTTTCTTTCTGAGAGCATCGACATTCACTTGGTTGAATTAGAAACTTCTGAGTTATTCTAAACACTTTACTTTTCTATGCCATCCACATTAAATATACAATAAAGTCCTACTTTGCCACAATATCACTGCCTTATTTTAGGTAATCATAAATTGCGTATAAACTGTAACAGCTTTCTAATTGATCTTTTAAAATACCATCTCAATACCCTTTGATATGTATTGGTTAATTCATTTAATCATGCACAAAATTAACAAATGGCTTCTATACCAGGTACTGTGTTGGGTTCTGGGTATACCATAACAAAAAAAGTAGACAGCATCCCTGCTTTCATAGATTTATAATTTAGTGGGAATATGGGTATAAACTTAAAAATGATTATGAAATGTAATCAATGCTAGGAAAAGACGGGGATGAGGGGGAACACAGTGTAGCCACATTAATCTTTCTAAAGATAAATCTGACTATGCTTTAAATCTTGCATTTATTTCCAATTGCCTGCAGGATTAAATCTAGACTATTTAAAATTGCTCACAAGTAACCGTATGTTTGAACCCTAATATCTAGCACAGTATCAAACTCATAGAGGGTCAATGAGTATTAGTGGAATGAATGAATGATAAAACTTAAAAATGGTTTAAAGACAATTCTGCACTTACTTGCATTAATAAAATTTGTTAGTTTTGAAACAGATTGCCAAATACTTTATGAAAGGGAAAATAATGTTTCCATCACTGTTTGAGCCCAGATTGCTTTTAGAATTATGTTTTTTATTATTGAAAACACTGCTATAATTTTAATGGAAATATCAGAATGTCCTATTACTATAAAGCGTAAAGCCTTGCTTTTTTGTGTGTGGCAGGAGAAGTCTGTAGCAAGGGTAGTGAAAAACAGATTGACATTTGGTCATTATTTCTTATCAAGGGTGTTTTACTTGTAATGCTATTTGACAGCTATATTCTAGGTCTGACAGCATTGAACCAGCTTAATTCCCACTGAACTGCTCTAAATAGGCAGTATTGCAATCAGTTTAACAACCCCTGGAGGCAATAAAATCTCTCCTTTGAACGAATACTCAAGGGGAAGAAATCTAAGATTTATAAAGGGCAGCAAGTATTCAAGAAAGGGGCAAAGTTTATGTGTGAGCCTATAATTGATGTTTCCTTTGTTGGAAAAGAAAGCTTGAGGATGCTTTAAGAATTAATCTTTAACAAGTTCTAATCTGCACTAACAAGTGTGTTCAAGATGAGTGAAAGAGATATGTGATTCTGAGAATAGAGTTGCTTCCAGCCAACTAAGAAAATTTGGAGGGGTCATAAAAGTATGAGAAAGAAACTTTAAAATTAAACTGGATGACTTTAGCTTCATCTCTTTGAGGTCTGTGCCAGAGGGTTGCCATTGCTACAGACTGTGTTGATTATGCTTTACGATTGGCTCGTGGTTTGTACTTGCCTAATATATATGAACCTGTATGAAGAAATTTCCAGACAAATATAAAATCATCCTCATTCTAAATGAGCTTGGCTGTTTATCTTCTGTTGGTGGTAATTTAGTTAAACAGTTTAAGCAGGATTTACATTAAGATAGTCCTAGGTTTAAATCTCTGTTCCCACCACGGCTAGCTGTGGTGGAACACCCTGTCCTTGGGGATGTTATGCTATTATTCACAGCTATCTCATCTGCAAAATGAGGGTGAAGTTCCTATGGACTGGGGAGGTTTGGAAGTATGTAGCTCAGGAGAAGCGTTTTATTCATTCTGAACCAAGGAGTAATAGCTGGTTTAAATGAGGTCTTACTATGTGCTAAACAGCTATGCTAAGGCCTTTAAACTGCTAGATCCTCACAGTAACCATATAATGTAGGTACAATAGTATAGTACAAAGAATGCTCTGAGGTTGGGGGATATTAGGAGAAATAGGTCAAAATACGTAACCAACCTGTTATTTTTCAAACACCTGTGCTCAAGCAATCCTCTTACCTTAGCCTCCCAAAGTGCTTAGATTACAGGCATGAAGTCACCATGCCAGGTACTTGTTACTTATGTCTCCAGGACTTAATTGCTAGGGAAGTAACTTTGTCCTTGTCAGTGGAACCCACGAAGCTTGGTGCTGAAACTTTGGAAATCCTCAGCACATCTGGGTGGTCATGTCCCCTAGGATGGTAGTGGGGCAGGCACTACCATCAAATTTCCAGGGACAGCTATTGTCATTTCTCCATTTTAATATTTATGTAGTACGTATGTACATATGCATATACATATATATACACATATATTTCTGTGTGTGTATGGGCATATTATTGATTCCTACAGCCCTGGTTCTTTACCTCACCACTTGCACTCATGTTGCTGGCTGCAACTTCTATAACGCTAGCAGAACCAGTCAAGAGGATAAACTTTCCGTGCTTTCCTTATATATACTGCTCCTTCTGACTAGGACTGTCATCCTTAACCATCTATTTAATTTATTAAATTCCATTCATCTTTTGAGTCTCAGGTTAAGTATTATGTCCTCCAGCAATTTACAATGTCATTGTAATAGTCATTTTTACTGTTTACCAGTATCCCTCCCTTCCTTCCTTCCTCCCTCCCTCCTTTTCCTTCCTTCCTCCTTCCTTCCTTCCTTCCTTCCTTCCTTCCTTCCTTCCTTCCTTCCTTCCTTTCTTTCTCTCTCTCTCTCACTAGCTAAAAGGCAGCAAAGCCATGTATCTCACACATGCAAAGTCTGTTGTGTGTTTCAGCGACTCTACATGGCAGCTGCCCTCCATACATTGATTCACCATTACGCTTCCATGTCAACAAAAGCTTTCAGAATTGCCAAGGCAGAGGAAGAGAGAGAGGGACTTGAACACAAAAATTACGTCCATCCATTCTGCTCACAAATTATCAGCCACATCAAACCATGGCCACACCTAAATTCAAGAAGTATCTCTCTCTCTTTCTTTCTTTTTCTTTTTCTTTCTTTCTTTCTTTCTTTCTCTTTCTTTCTTTCTTTCTTTCTTTCTTTCTTTCTTTCTTTCTTTCTTTCTTTTTCTTTCTTTCCTTTCTTTCCTTTCTTTCTTTCTTTCATTCTTTTTTTTTTTCTCTCTCTCTCTCCCCTTTTTTTCTGAGACAGGGTCTGGCTCTGTCACCCAGGCTGGAGAGCAGTGGCATGATCTTGGCTCACTGCAACCTCGGCCTGGGCTCAAGCCATCCTCCCACCTCAGCCTCCCAAGTGTCTGGGACTACAGGCGTGTGACATCATGCCCAACTAATTTTTGTATTTTTAGCAGACACTGGGTTTTGCCGTGTTTGCCCAGGCTGGTCTTAAACTCCTGAGCTCAAGCAATCCACCCGCCTTGGCCTCCCAAAATGCTGAGATTACAGGTGTGAGCCACTGCGCCTGGCCCCATATCTGTTTCTTTACTTCTGAGCATATGAGAGGATTGCACCTTCACACCTTCTTGAATTTAGGTTTGGCCACGGTTTGATGTGGCTGATAATTTGTGAGCAGAAAGGACATATGTAATTTCTGCATTCAAGTCCCTCTCTCTCTTCCTCCGCCTTGGCAATTCTGAAAGCTTGTGTTGATATGGAGGAGTAATGGTGAATCAATGTACGGAGGGCAGCTGCCATGGAGAGTTACTGAAACACACAATAGGCATTGCATGTGTGAGAGACATGGCTTTGCTGCCTTTTAGCTAGTGAGATTTTTGGGGTTGTTGGTTACTGCAACCACTGATACAGTCACTGCTGGGCCATTGGCTTGCTTCCTTATCTGTCTATAGGTGTGACTGAAGAAAACAATTGTCTTGTTCATCATTCTATCCCCAGAGCCTTGTTATGGGACTGTCTGACATATGGAAGGCAACTAATAAATCATTCATGCAATGAAATAATGATTCTACATCAAGGAAGGATCTATCTGAAGATTTAATTTCCACAGTAGTAGAACCCTTGGCATGGCTCTGATGTGAGATAAAGTGATAAAAAAAATTATTTGAGATGAAAAATGATAATGGTTCTGTATCTAAACTTTAGAAAATAATTTCTTTAGAAAAAAGAAAATGTTTTATGATTGAAAGGTAATTATATATATAATTGTATATTATATATATAATGTATATTATATATATTATGTGTGTGTGTGTATATATATATATATATACACACACAAGAAATAAAATGCATACTTATCTTTTATTTGTGGATAAATAACAACAGTAAAATGTTCCAGGAACTGGAGTAAAAGGCCTGTAATATGAAGTCACATGAAAACAACTATTGCTATTCATTCATTCATTTATTCAACATTGGATGCTCACTGACCTTGTGTGTACTGTGGTGGGTGGGAAGAAGAGCTCACCGTTAAGTAGAAATAAACAGAGACCAGGCTAATTAGAATACAGTGGAATAAGAGCAATAACAGAAAAGCTCTTGGGGAAGAGTATAGAAAAAGGCTTTATTACTTTTGAGTTGGGGGATGATGAATTCACAGAAGTGACTTTTTAACTGGGCCCCTCCACTGTATAAACTCACCTTTTATTTCCAATGACCATCACCTATATTTATCTTCAGCAACTACCATGGCCGTATTCTGGGCTTTCTCATCATCCGGACTATACAAACTCTCATGCAACAAAATCCATGATCCTATGCTCTGACCAAACTGACTGGTCTTCCCAGTTTGCTTATTCAGTTATGGCCAACGACAGCCCTTCCTTGGAACTTACCAAGACTTTCACTCTCAGACCCCTCCTATTTACGCTTTTCTCTCCCCCAGCACAGACCTCCATAAACCAGGACTTTGGCCGCTCTCTTGCTGTAGTTCTTAATTTCTTTACTCCTTAATTGTTTTTTTTGGGAAAATCCCACCTTAGATCAAACCACCTGTGGCCTTCTCCATGCTCGTGTTTAGACTACTAGAGAAAAATCACAGGCAGATTGGGGACATTTAAAAACCATCATTCCCAATTTCAACTAGGATTTTAACATCTCTCAGTAATCCTTTTATGTTTTCCTACTTAATGTTCTTGCCAGTCCTCCATGATGACTATTTCAATATTCTTTTCTTTCCTAATATTCTTGGACTCTACCACCTTCTACTCATGTGTTTAGCAGATCATCTTGCTTGCTACTTTTTAGAGAAAATGGAAACCATCAGATTGGTAATTCTTTAACTTCCTGCAATCAAACCTAAAAAATTACTGGTGGCTATAGTATTTCTCCTTCTGTCCTATTAAAACCAGAGTTGGGCTTCTGTCTATCCTAGGCAAACAACTTGGGTATGTATTAAAATATCAGGTTAGCGGAAGGAGAGAAAATATGTTTATTCAGTAAGAAAAAGGCCTAAGAAAGAATCCTGAGGAATAGCAATATGAAAGAGGTAGATGCAGAAGGAAGAGAGCACCACGGGGACTCAGAAGGAGCATTCAGGGAGAGGGGAGGTAAAGTCAGAAAGTGTGAAGTCAAGGGGGCCAAAGGTAGAATGCACTTCAAGGAAGGGGGAGAACTGACATTACCAATCTCTAAAACTTTGGACAAAAAAAACAAAAACAAAAACAGATGGGCCACTGAGGACTTTGATAAGAGTACTTCAATGGAGAGACAGGGAAGGCAGACAGACTGGAGTAGTTTGAGAAGTGAATGGCAAGTGTGGACATGGAGATTCCAGTTGTAGATTTATATTTTAAGAAGTTCAGCTCTGGCCAGGTGCGGTGGCTCACACTTGTAACCCCAGCACTTTGGGAGGCCAAGGCGGGTGGATCACGAGATCAGGAGATCGAGACCATCCTGGCCAACATAGTGAAGCCCCGTGTTTACTATAAAAAAAAAAAATTAGCTGGGTGTGGTGGCACGTGCCTGTAATCCCAGCTACTTGGGAGGCTGAGACATGAGAATCGCTTGAACCCAGGAGGTGGAGGTTGCAGTGAGCTGAGATTGCACCACTGCATTCCAGCCTGGTGACAGCGAGACTCCATCTCAAAAAACAAAAAAAAAAAGAAAAAAAAAGTTCAGCTCTGATGGGGAGGAGGTAGATAGACAGAGCTGTAACTGGACAGAGTTATGGGGTAGGCAAAAGCTATTTATTGTTTTGATGATAGAGACTTAGTATACTTAAATGCCCATGGAAAAGGATAAATAAATATTTGATAGACTAAGGTCTGTGTGAAAGCAGGAAAGAAGAAAATAAAAAGCTTCTTGTAGGCTCCTCTTCTTCTTTTTCTTTTTTTTTTTTTTTAAGACAGAGTCTTGCTCTGTCGCCCAGGCTGGAGTGCAGTGGTGGAATCTCGGCTCACTGCGAGCTCCGCCTTCCGGGTTCACGCCATTCTCCTGCCTCAGTTTCCCAAGTAGCTGGGACTACAGGCGACCACCACCATGCCCGGCTAATATTTTGTATTTTTAGTAGAGACGGGGTTTCACCCTGTTAGCCAGGATGGTCGCGATCTCCTGACCTCGTGATCCGCCTGCCTCAGCCTCCTAAAGTGCTGGAATTACAGGCATGAGTCAACGCGCCCAGCCGGCTCCTCTTTTTCTACCTGTACTAGATTCTTCTTTTTACTCTGTATAACTCTTTCATGCTTCCAAGTATCATCTACCTGACAATGACTTCCAAATCTAGACCTTTGTGCAAAATCAGTCTCTTGAGCTCCACACCTTTTTATCCAGCTGCCTGTTGGACAGTACTCACTGGCTATCTACAGGCACCTCAGGCACATC
The DNA here is from genome assembly GCF_000001405.40 of Homo sapiens. Lineage (NCBI taxonomy): Eukaryota > Metazoa > Chordata > Mammalia > Primates > Hominidae > Homo > Homo sapiens. Next base: position 90,073,030 of record NC_000001.11, read on the forward strand.
AGATTCAAAACAGAGACAATTATTGTTTCTTCCAAACATGCTTTTTTTCCCCTATGTTTCATGTACCAGGAAAAGGCACTGTTAGCCAACTAGAATCTTAGTAGAGATCTCTGACTCTCCTTCACCTTTCCTTATCTCCTCCTACTTTCTTTCCTTGGTTAATTCCAGGTCTTGACTTAGATTTCCCTCTTCTCTAGGAGGCGTCTTTAGCCCCTCCTAGCCCACAAGTCAGGGCTGTTTTTCCTCTATTTTAGCATTTATTACTTTATTTTCTATTGCCTTTTTACTAGACTCTGAACTCTATGTTGATAGGCAGGGACTGTGCCTACTTCACAGTTTCATTCCAGTGCCTGGAACATAGCAAATGTTGAATAAATATTAGTGGAATGAATAATTATAATTTATAATATTTGTATACCACTTTAGGGCATTTCCACATTTGTTATCTTATTTAATCTACATATACAACTGTGAACATGGTGCCATTACATTTTTATTTTACTGATGAAGAAAAATGGGGCTCAAAACATTTAAGTGGTTTTATCCAAATCATCCACCCATAAGTGGCAGAGTGGGAAATCTCACTTTTTTTGGTATTTATCTCACAGCATGTTGTCTTTCCAAGGAAATTTGTCCTGGGCTTTCACTGGCTTGAGGCTGCAAGGTCTCCATAAAGTGCTTTTGATTTTGATCATATTGTTTCTTGATACTCTTTCATGCTTCCAAGTATTATCTACCTGACAATGAATCTTCTCTGGAAGTTTCTTAGTGTAATGGTAAAAAAAAGAAGAAAAGAAAAGAAAAGTACAGAAATGCTAGGGCTAGAATCAGGCTGCATATATTAGAACCCTGTATGTTACCTCTTGTGAGCTTGGGCAAGTTTTATAACTTCTCTAAGCCTTGGTTTTCTCAAAGGGAAAATGAGAACAGTAGTACCTATCTCACAGGTGCCTTCAAAGAAAGTGCTTAATATAGAGCTTGGCACAGATTTGGTGATTAATCAGTGGTAGATATTATTATGATCATCATCATCCCTGTGCTATCAGTCAGTACACCACTATGCAGGACACACGACAGACTCAGGGGTTCCTGTTTCCTGGGGGCAAGTAACGAATGTCATCTTGGAAGTTGCTATTGCTGATTAACTTGTGCAGACAGGTGTGGAGTTCCAGACCCCTCAGGTTCCCTCCTGCATGACTATACTTGAGGGAAGAATTCAGCCTTATAGAGTGTTGGTGTGGTTCTAAAGAGGCCAGACTGGGTAGCATTGGAGCCCGTGGGCGAGTTCCTGCTCAGAATCTGGAGATGCAAATTTGAGAGAGGAGTGGAGGAAGGTATGTTGTGCTTAGACGGGAAAACGAAAGTAGGGTTGTCCAGTAAGGAAGGAGAAGTAAAACCTAAATGAAGCCAAAAAAACTTTTAGATAGGTTATAGTGATTGATTGGTTAGTATGTGTCAGGTGCTTATGTACATTAAATTATTTCTTTATAACAACCTAGTCAATTGTGATATTATTCCTGTTTCGTATTTGAAGAAACTGAGGCTTAGAAAGGGTAAGTCACTTGCCCAAAATCTCACAGATGGAATCAAAAGGAGAGCATATCAGGAGTGCAGGAACAGAGCTGGAAGTAGAGGTAATAAGCTGCTTGAACATGATGCTCTGTCGAACACCGCTGTGGAAGACACTGTTGTTTCTGTGGGTTGTACTGATGAGTTTATGTGCCTGCTCCTGCTCAGGTGATCCCTTAAGGAAGCTGACAAACCTGGCTGCACATCACATTTCCCTGGGAGCTTGTCAATGTACAGATTCCTAGGCTGCATTCGCGCATATGCTTATGCAGTAGGTCTCAGATAGGTGCACCAAATCCATGTTTTTAACAATCACCCCAGATAATTCTGAATCACCTGGTCCCCTGGCTTATATTTAGAAAGTATTCCATTAAAGCCACCCACAGCTGGAGGCAATATGTGGTCTTTATGTAGCATTCTGACAAGTTAGCAATGGTAGCCCTAGCTAAAGAATCTGTTAATTACCCAGTTCTGGCAGGGGAAGGGTTGAAACTATGCCAAGAAATTCCCTTGGCTTCCCAAATTCCAGGCTTCAGAATAAAACCTGGATTAATAGATGCACACATAGAATGCAACATGGCAGTAATTCAAGCTGTAAAATATGTTCTTGTTAAATCGCCTTTATTCATAGAATGCTGCTGATCTGTTAGGTTAGCTTAAAATCCTGAATATTGGGTTTGAGGTTCTCAGCAATCATTTGTGTTCTGCATGAGTAAAGAAGCAATAAGCATTTTGTCTGCAGCAAGCTAAATCATCCTGAGGGAGCAGTTTACATCATTAGAATGTAATGAAATAAGTTGTCACCAGCAGCTGCCAACGATATTTCTGGTGACAAAAGGTTATGTTTAGCAGACATTTTCAGAGTTATATTTACTTTTGTGCATGGAGGGAGGCCAGGTATGCTGGCAGAGTGACTTTCTTTTTGATTTCATGTACTTTTTTTTGGAATAAATTTTATTATGTATATTTGAGTTTTACAACATGATGTTTTGGGTTTTGTACACATAATAAAATAGTTACTGTAGTGTGAAGCAGATTAACATATCTATCATCTCACATAGTTACTTCTTTTTGGTGACAAGAGCAGCTAAAATCCATTATACCTGTTTTAAAAATCCCTAACAATACAATTCTATTAACTTTAGTCCTCATGCCGTACATTGGATCTATAAACTTGTTCATCCCACATATGTGCTATTTTGTATCTTTTGCTCTACATTTTCTTATTTCCTCCCCATTCACAAGCATGTGGAATATATATATATAATATATATAATATATATAATATATATATAATATATATTATATATAATATATATAATATATATTATATATACATGTAAATATATAATATGCAGAATTTTATAAATGTATATATAATAATATGTATTACATATACATATAAATATATAACATATTATATACACATATGTAATATATACATATTATATACATATATACATATTATATATAAAAGATATGTGTGTGTATATAGTTCACACACACATAAATATGTATACACACATATATATATTTCGATTTGGCTTATTACTCACTTAGCATAATGTCTTCAAGGTCCATCCATGTTGTGGCCAATGGCAGGATCTCCCTTTTTAAGTCTGTATAATATTCCATTCTTGGGAGAAAATTTTTGCAATCTACCCATCTGACAAAGGGCTAATATCCAGAGTCTCCAAAAACTTAAACAAATTTGCAAGAAAAAAGCAACCCCATCAAAAAATGGGCAAAGGATATGAACAGACATTTCTCAAAAGAAGATATTTATGCAACCAACAGTCATATGAAAAAATGCTTATCATCACTGGTCATTAGAGAAAGGCAAATCAAAACCACAATGGGATACCATCTCACGCCAGTTAGAATGGTGATCATTAAAAAGTCAGGAAACAACAGATGCTGGAGGGGTTGTGGAAAAATAGGAACGCTTTTACACTGTTGGTGGGAATGTAAACTAATTCAACCATTGTGGAAGACAGTGTGGCGATTCCTCAAGGATCTAGAACTAGAAATACCATTTGACCCAGCAATCCCATTACTGGGCATATACCCAAAAGATAATAAATCATTCTACGATAAAGACACATGCACTCGTATGTTTATTGCAGCACTATTCACAATAGCAAAGACTTGGAACAAACCCAAATGTCTATCAATGATAGACTGGATTAAGAAAATGTGGCACGGCCGGGCATGGTGGCTCATGCCTGTAATCCCAGCACTTTGGGAGGCCAAGACGGGTGGATGACGAGGTCAGGAGATCTAGACCATCCTGGCTAACATGGTGAAACCCTGTCTCAACTAAAAATACAAAAAAATTAGCCAGGCATAGTGGTGGGCTCCTGTAGTCCCAGCTACTTGGGAGGCTGAGGCAGGAGAATGGCGTGAACCCGGGAGGCAGAGCTTGCAGTGAGCCGAGATCGCGCCACTGCACTCCAGCCTGGGCGACTGAGCAAGACTCCGTCTCAAAAAAAAAAAAAAAAAAAGTGGCATATATACACCATGGAATACTATGCAGCCATAAAAAAGGATAAGTTCATGTCCTTTGCAGGGACATGGATGAAGCTGGAAACCATCATTCTCAGCAAACTATCACAAGATCAGAAAACCAACACCTCATGTTCTCACTCATAGGTGGGAGTTGAACAATGAGAACACATGGACACAGGGTGGGGAACATCACACACTGAAGCCTGTTGTGGGGTGGGGGGCTAGGGGAGGGATAGCATTAGGAGAAATACCTATTGTAGGTGACGGGTTGATGGGTGCAGCAAACCACCATGGCACGTGTATATCTATGTAACAAAACTGCACGTTCTGCACATGTAACCCAGAACTTAAAGTATAATAATAATAATAATAAAAAGTCCTGAATCCCAAGAACTCATCATTCCTGGATCAACTCAGGCAGTTGGTTTCCTAACATACTGAATTTGGATACCTAGGAAGAAACTCTGTGGTGACTTACATACTTTTATTTCCACCAGTTGAACTGAATGTTTACCAAGAGTCTGTTAGGCCATTTGTTTCCAAGTCTGTTTAAGTCAGTTACTTGTTATTATAATTACAAATTTAATGAAATGTAATATAAACTGATGAAATATCTGTGTGAAAATAGAGAGTTGTGTCACTAGAGAAACTAATTAGAATGTTTTGGAAAGATCCAATAAAGGAAAGTTGCTTTTAAAAAAATATTCCATTCTGTATATATACCACACTTAAAAAAATCCATTTGTCTACTGATGGACATTACATTGTTTTCACATCATGACTATTTTGAATAATGCCACAGTGAACATGGGAGAGCAGACATCTTTATTATGTGGTGATTTCATCACCTTTGGGTATATACTCAGAAGAGGGATCACTGGGTCATGTGGTAGTTCTATTTTTAATTTCTTTAGAAACCTGTTTTCCATAATGCTCTACCAATCTACATTCTCATCAACAGTATACTAGGGTTCCCTTTTCTTCACATCCTTGCCGCCATCTGTTATCTCTTGTCTTTTTGATAATAGTCACCCTTACGGGTGTGAGGTGATATCTTATAGTGGCTTTAATTTGCCTTTTTCTTGATGATTAGTGATGTTGAGCACCTTTTCATATACCTGTTGGCTATTTTTATGTTTTCTTTGAAGAAATGTCGTTCAGGTCCTCTGTTTATTTTTAAAATGGAATTGTTTTTCTTCTTTTGAGTTGTAAGAATTCTTTGTAGATTTTAGTTATTAACTCCTTATCAGATATGTGGCTTGCAACTTTGTTTTTCTTTCTCACTATTGCTTTGGCTATTCATGAGTTTTTGTGGCTCCACACAAACTTTAGCAATTTTTTTCTATTTCTGTGAAAAATGCCTTTGGAATTTTGGTAGTGATTGTGTTAAATTTCTACATTGCTATGGGCAGTATGGACATTTCAACAGTATTAATTATTCCATCCATGAAAGTGGGATATATTTTTATTTATGTGTGGCTTCTTCAATTCCTTTTATCAATGTTTTATAGTTTTCAGTATACAAATCTTTCATCTCCTTGGTTAAAGTTGTTCTTAGGTATTTGATGCTATCATAAATGAGATTGTTTTTTGACTTCTTTTTCAGCTAGGCTGTTACTTATGTGTAGAAATGCTACTTATCTTTGCATGTTGATTTTATATTTAGCAACTTTACTGCATTCATTTATTAGTTATAACAGGTTTTAATTGAATTTTTGGACTTTTCTATGTATGAGACATGTCATCTGCCAATAGAGATATTTTCACTTCTTTCTTTCTCATTTGGATGGATACCTTTTATTTCTTTCTCTTTCCTGATTGCTCATGCTAGTACTTTCAGTACTATGTTGAATAGAAGTGGTTAGAGTGGGCATCCTTGTTTTATGTTGGATTTTAGTGGAAAAGCTTTCAGCTTTTCTTTGTTGATTATAATGTTAGCTGTGGGTTTTTCATAAAAGGCCTTTATTATGGTTGAGGAGTTTTCCTACTGTACCTAAACTAATATGAGTTTTTATCAAGAAGCAATGCTGAACTTTGTCAAATGTTTTTTCTGAGTCAATTGACATGATCATGTGGTTTTAATCTTTCATTCTGTTAATGTGATATGTCACATTGATTGATTTGTGTATGTTAAACCAGCCTTGCATGTCAGGGATAAATCCCACTTGGTCATGATGTATAATCTTTTTGATGTGTTGTTGAATTTTTTGCTAATATTTTATTGAGGATTTTTGCATCAGTGTTCATTAGGGGTATTGGCCTGTAGTTTTCTTTTCCTGTGGTATTTTGTCTGGCTTAGCTATCAAGGTGGTGCTGGCATTGTGAAATGTGAAATGTGAAATGTGTTTGAAAGTATTTCCTGTAGCTCTATTTTTGGAAGAGTTTGAGAAGTATTGGTAACAATTCTTCTATGAATGTTTGGTAGACTTCAGCTGTGAAGGCATTTTGTCCTGGGCTTTTCTTTGTTGGAATATTTTAAATTACTTGTTCAATCTCTTATTTCTTATTGGCTTTTGTACTTTTATTTTCTTTTTGAGACAGGGTCTGGGTCTGACACCCATGCTGGAGTGCAATGGCATGATCTCAGCTTACTGAAGACTCTGCCTCCAGAGCTCAAGCAATCCTCCCACCTCAGCCTCCTGAGTAGCTGGGACTCAAAATGCACACCACCACACCTGGCTAATTTTTGCATTTTTTTTGTAGAGATGGAGTCTCGCTATGTTGCCCAGGCTGGTCTCAAATTCTTGCTCTCAAGCAATCTGCTTGCCTCGGCTGTTCAAAGTGTTGGGATTACAGGCGTGAGCCACTGTGGCTGGCCTGGTTTATGTACTTTTAATAATGGTTTGTCTAGGTAGGCATGGACAGATCTAATAAAGTACTTAATAAAATGCTTGATGTTACAGCCAAAAGACACATGAAAAAATGCTCATCATCATTGGCCATCAGAGAAATGCAAATCAAAACCATAATGAGATACCATCTCACACCAGTTAGAATGGCGATCATTAAAAAGTCAGGAAACAACAGGTGCTGGAGAGGATGTGGATAAATAGGAACACTTTTACACTGTTGGTGGGACTGTAAACTAGTTCAACCATTGTGGAAGACAGTGTGGCGATTCCTCAGGGATCTAGAACTAGAAATACCATTTGACCCAGCCATCCCATTACTGGGTATAAACCCAAAGGATTATAAATCATGCTGCTATAAAGACACATGCACACGTATATCTATTGCGGCACTATTCACAATAGCAAAGACTTGGAACCAAGCCAAATGTCCAACAATGATAGACTGGATTAAGAAAATGTGGCACATATACACCATGGAATACCATGTGGCCATAAAAAATGATGAGTTCATGTCCTTTGTAGGGACATGGATGAAGCTAGAAACCATCATTCTCAGCAAACTGTCACAAGGACAAAAAACCAAACACTGCATGTTCTCACTCATAGATGGGAATTGAACAATGAGAACACATGGACACAGGAAGGGGAACATCACACTCTGGGGACTGTTGTGGGGTGGGGGTAGGGGGTAGGGATAGCATTAGGAGATATACCTAATGTAAATGACGAGTTAATGGGTGCAGCACACCAGCATTGCACGTGTATACACATGTAACAAACCTGCACGTTGTGCACATGTACCCTAAAACTTAAAGTATAATTAAAAAAAAGGCTTGATGTCAAAGCAATAATGTTTCAGTAGGTGGCTTCAGAAGCCTGCTCTTCCCAAAGATGAAGTATGTACTATGCTAAATGCTATTTATCACCAAACTTTCTTTTCCTATTGTTGGACACAGCAATGAAACTCTTGGCTAAGGGAGCCAATGCCTCTCCAAGACTTTTTTTCTGCCTATGTGGACACCACACTGACCCAAGCAACAATTAATCCTCCCTTGGGTTACAGTAATAAACTCCTAACTGGTCTCCCTCTCGCTCTTCTTGCCCTTCTATACACAGTTTTTTATTAAGTAGCTTGACTTTTTGTTCCTGTATAAATATCTGATCATGTCTAACTGCTATTTCCCTTGCACTTAGAAAAATCTTTGGCACATAGTATATGCCCAGTAATTATTTATTAACTGAGTTAGTAACTGTTACTCTCTGCTAAAACTTTTCAAACCCTTCTCACTGCTTTCAGGATACAGACCAAACTTTTAAATAGGGGGTTATAATTGCCCTGCCTACTCACTCATCTCTTACGTGTTCTGCTCCATACTAGACTACTTTCAGCTCATCCAGTTTACCATTTCTCGTTGCTGAAACTTCATACCTGCTATTCTACCTGTGCAGGCATCATCTCTTCCCCTACCTTGCCCACTTTTCTTTAACCAAGGAATTCATTTTATTCTTTAGATCTCAGCCTAGATGCCATCTTTTGCAACAAGTTTTCTCTGATCCTCCCATAATTGGGTAACTTGGACCTCATTTGTGATCCTTTAGCTTGTGAACTCTTCCATTGCACTGTAATTGCTGATTTGCTTGTCTCTGCATTCAACTAGGCTCTAAGGTCCTGGGTGCAGAGATGATACCTATCTTATTTACACTGTAAATGTTCTAGCACCTAGCACAGGTCTTTGCATCTAGTGTGTATTCAATAAATGAGTCAGATTGATAGTTAACAGCTTAGAGAGCCAAAAGCATAGCCTTGATTTCTCCCTTCAGCTGTAGTTGGGAAGAAAGTCCTACAGGTAAGATTTACATAAACTTACCTACAGGTAAGTTTATAGGCTTTCAGTGAGAGTGAACTCTTTGGTTCACCTCCCTCACTTCACACCTACATGGTCACCACCCTGACCCAGGTTACTATTAGTCCTGGCCTGGGTTACAGCAATAGACTCCTGACTTGTCTCCCTTACTCTCTTCTTGTCCTTCTTTACATAGTTCTGCACTCAGCAGCCAGAGAAATTGAACTCTAGAGTGTTCTTGTGGCTTGTTTAAAGCCTTACAATGGCTTAGTAGTGAAACAGAATGAGAAACCATGTTTTAGGAACTACTTTCTTCTTTTATAATAGTGGAATGCTGTTTAGCCCCAAACCTATCCTGATTAAATTCCATTTGATTCTGATTCACTCTTAAGTCTCTTCACTTAACAACAGTATTCTAATTTTAGCTGTGTTTTCCTTGAGGTCTTCGCACAGATCCTAGAGATAATACTATTACTCTCTCCTTATGGTTCTGAAAGTATCTGCTTTTCTTAATAAGCAACATCCTACCTAGTAACCACTTTCAGTGAGAGAAAGAGATTTCATTGACAGAAAAATATGTAATAAACCTTGAATATGGAGAATGCATATTAAGGCTGAATATTTTATTTTCAATGAGTATTTTTTTTATGAACTCAATCTCTGAAGACCCAAGTGGGAAGGTTGTTCAATTCCAGGAGTCTATGATATCTATCATAATTTGTTCATAGCAGATGTCTTTATCATTAATTACCTAATATTGTTAGCTTGTTTCACTGAACATTCAGATATCCCAATGGAAGAACTCTTCCATTTCTTTTTTTTTTCTTTTATTCTTGGTACCCATTTCTTAGCTGCTTCATGCAGCTGCCATTTTGTTTTCCTTGTGGCAGTTCCTCCCCTCACACACCCCATCCCAACACAACTTGTTCCTTTCAAAAACAATGGGTTTTTGAAAGAGAGAGAATAATTTTTGGTTTCAAAGACCAAAAGACTCAAAAACTTTCCTCCTTCTTTCCTCTAGCTGTAACTCTAAGACCTTTGCTCTATGCTTACCTGCAATTTTATACCATCTCCATTTCCCTTCTCCCAGAGGTAGAAACTGGGGTTTGCCATGTGACCCTGACACCACAATGGTATACATAGCTATAAGTGAGTATTCTTTCAAGAAGGTACAGAATTATTTCTAGACTTCAGGTCCTGTGGGCAGTTCCCCAAACCTGGGTTTTGGCAGGGGCATGAGTGAGAGGGCAGACAGGCAGGCAGTGTTAGGGGCCAAGCAGCTGGGACTACTTTCAAAGAAGTAGAAGGCAACACAGCCCTGGAGAATCTAACTGAAAAGCTTGTATATAACTAGCTAAGCATACACATCTCAGGGCTATTTCCCTAGCATGCTTCCTCTCCACGATCATAGCTTTTTCTTTTCTATTTCCTTTTATTTTTAATTTTGAAATAATTTCAAATTCACTTTTAAAATTGCAAAACGTAGTACTTTTTTTTTTTTTTTTGAGAGAGGATCTCACTTGGTCACCCAGGCTGGAGTGCAGTGGCATGATCTGGGCTCACTGCAGCCTCAACCTCCCAGGCTCAAGCGATTCTTCCACCTTAGCCCCCATAAATAGCTGAAACTACAAGCACACACTACCATACCTGACTAATTTATTTTTTGGTAGAGATGGGGTTTTGCCATGTTGTCCAGGCTGGTCTTGAACTGCTGGGCTCAAGCAATTCTGTCCACCTTGGCCTGCCAAAGTGCTGGGATTTCAGGCATGAGCTCCTGTGCTCAGCCTATAGTATGTTCTTATATATCCTTCATCTAGATTCCCCAAATGTTCATATTTTTTACCAAAATGTGTTCTTAGTGGGATGCCCTATAATTTTCTCTGTCTCTCTCTCTCTCTCTCTATATATATATATATGCACACATATAAAATGCTTATATTTATGCGTATATGTATATACGGACAGATATATATATAAAATGCCCTTTCTCTGAATCATTTGAGACTAAGTTGCAGACATACAACTTTACTGTCTTGCATTTCAGTGTGTATTTCCTAAAAACAATGACACTATCCCATATAACTATAGTATAACTATAGTATAATTGTCAAAATCAGGAAATTAACATGGATACAGTGTTAATTCATATCTAATCTATGTTAAAAGTAAACCCTGAGTTGAATTAAATTTAACGGAGTTGTATTGAGCAAAGAGGCATTCATCAAGTGGGGAGCCTCCTGCACCAGAATAGGCTCATAGAGACTCTAGCACAGCTGCGTGGTGGAAGATTTTTGGACACAAAAAGGAAAGCGACAGAAAACCGAAGTGAGGTACAGAAACAGCTGGATTGGTTACAGGTAGTTGTTTCCCTTATTTGAACATGGTTTGAACAGTTGGCTGCCACTGATTAGCCAAAACTTGTTGATTGACACAAGAATACGTTACAGTTCACGGAGAAACCTTTAGGCTGAACTTAAAATATGAAAGGAGGTGGTTTTAGGTTAAACTTAATTTAACATCTACGACTCTTACTTGAATTTTGCCAGTTATCATATTAATGTTTTTTATGACAAAAGAAAAAATAATTCTGGTTCAAGATCGAATCCAGCCTTATTTTTTGCATTTAGTTGGCATATCTTTTTAGTCTTCTTTAACCTGGGAGAGTACCTCAGTTTTTCTTTGTCATGAACTTGGTATTTTTGAACAGTATAGGCTAGTCATTTTAAAGACAGTCCTTCAGGTTAGTTTCTTTAATATTTCCTCATGGTTAGATTCAGACTGTACATTTTTGGCAGGGGAAATACAGAAGTGATCTTGCATCCCTCTTGGTGCATTGCATTAGGAGGCATGTGACGCCAATAAGTCTCATTAGCCATCATGCTAACTTTGATCGCTTGGTCAATGTGGTGTCTGCCAGATTTTCCCATTAAAAAGTTACCTTTGGTAATTAAGTATTTTGTGGAGAGATACTTTGAGACTATGCAAATATCTTACTTTTCATCAAGATACACCCACTAATTTTAACATCTATTAGTGATTTTTGACTGAAACAATTATTACTATGGTGGTTGTCAAAGTCGATTTTGAGTTTCGTAATTTCTTCTGTATTTATTATTTATTAGTTGCCATTTTACTTTCAGAAAATGTTTCCTTCCTTCCTTCCTCCCTCTTTTCTTCCTTCCTTCCTTCCTCCCTCTTTTCTTCCTTCCTCCTTTCCTTCCTTCCTTTTTATCTTCCTTCCTTCTGCATAGGCTCACAGGATTTTATTATATTCTATGGGTTGTAATTTGTTACTATAATGAGTTATTTTGATGCTCAGATTGACTCAGATTTAGCTAGTGAGGAGTCCTCTGAATCCGGATTCTCTGTCCTTCTGACATGCCCCCATCAGTTTTTGAATACTTCCTTACTTTCTAGTCCAGCAAGATGCTCCAGGCTTATCTTGTACACATCCTACCACAGAGCTGGAACCAGTCATTTGGTCATAGAGCCCTAATTCCTTTTGGTGAGGAGTGGCATTTAGAAAGCAAGAGCTGGATGCTAGGTGTGTTCATCAATACTGAGGTATCATTGCTTCTAGTTCTCCCACACATACATACGAATTCACACATCTATATGTAATTTCCATATCAATCTATGGGACCCTAGCTTTTGATTATTTATCTCACAGGCAATGAGAAAGGAATTATTGTCACTTTGTGTTTGGTTAGTACTTTAAAATAATTTTTGTAGGACTTACATTTTCATCAAGTTTAAAATGGCTCATCTTTTCCTACCCAGTTTCAGGTCACAGTTTCCCCATCTCTTTTAAGGTTGCAAACTCTAGCATATGTATTACACAGAGTATCAAGTGCTGATCAGTGCAAATGGCTAGAAATAATAGGAGTATGAAAGCCTCACTGCTCTTCTATGCTTGTTTGCAGAAGGCTATGGGGGCTAAACTACGTCCATGCTGGGGCATGTAAACTCATTCCTTCAATGAATCAGGTGAGATGGGAAGAGTTCATTGATTTGTACATAAGAGATCAACATTACTCTGGGAAAAACAAGTGCCACTATTTCATTTGGATTCATATGATGACACTGCTGTGGTCTGAGATTGTTGACTAATATTAGTTGGTATTCGATTAAAAAAAAGTTCTGTGGTAAAATAAGTAGAGCATTTACTATACTAATGGGTCTTATGGCTCTTCAAGAGAGGGATATACTACAAAATGTCCCAAACTTACCTATCCATGGAATCCCCTTTTCATGGAGCACTGGATGAATTTTTGTCCCATGAAACCAACTCTGAGGTTGGTTACACACACACTCTCGCTCATATGGTAAGTAACATAGAGTCATGATGTTATAAAGGTTCCAGAAAACCTGATTTGCTCTGAGCCTCACGACTCTCTTGAATGCAGTCCTAATGTTTTCTGTGATTCATTTTCTCTCTCTCTTCACTTTTTATGTGTCCCTCATCAAATGAAAGGCTTTGAGTTTTCATAGTGCTGTATTAGTGAGGTCCTGGAAACATTTATTTAGCAAGTGTGCTAATCACTCTACATCTCTAATATCTCCTGATTTTCTAATGGTTCATACTCATCCTCCACCAAACTCTGTCATGATTCCCTGAAGTGAATTTAGAACACTTTGGAAAATGCATGTGTGAGAGAGGGGTGGCTCTCATAGGATTAGAACGAGTACACATAGTTAAATTACACTGCAGATGACATTTTCATCTGCACTCTTTTTTTTTTGAGACAGAGTCTTGCTCTGTTGCCCAGGCTGGAGTGCAGGGGTGCAATCTCGGTTCACTGCAACCTCCGCCTCCCGGGTTCAAGTAATTCTCCTGCCTCAGCCTCCTGAGTAGCTGGGATTACAGGTGCATGCCACCATGCCTGGCTAATTTTTGTTTAGTAGAGATGGGGTTTCACCGTGGTGGTCAGGCTGGCCTGGAACTTCTCTCGTGATCCGCCCACCTCAGCCTCCCAAAGTTCTGAGATTACAGGCGTGAGACACTGTGCCTGGCTGTATTCTTAAAAAACTTATTTATTAAGAGTAATTAAGAGTTGATCACCTTAAGATATCTGCACTTTTAATTGATTTCATTTTTTCCAGACAGCCACAGCAAATGCAAGTTAAACTTAAAAATTTTTGCAAGTAGATTACATTTCACAAATATTTTAGTATTTTATGCATGTCGAGTAATGAAGTTAACTACCACATCTTTTTTGTACTGATATTTTTGACTGATAATTAGGTGTTTACTAATGCTACTAAATACAATCCTCCAGTGTTTGTAAAAAATCATAGACAAAACATTTTGGGTCCCTGAACGGGCTTTAGATCTGTAAATCAATCTCATGGATCATTTTAAATTACTAATCATAAGCAAATAGATAAGCAAGAATGACTATAAATTGGGTTAATTACTGTAGCTCAAGTTTTAGCTCATAATTTTGACTTTCAAAGGCTACACAAACCAATTTTGTACTCTTAGATTATAATGAGCAGTCTTTATTCTTTAATCAGTTCACCCCGTATCTAGCTGTCTAATGTAACATTCCTTTGAAGTCTAGAAAGATCTAACATAATTGAAGAAATGTCGAACTACTTGACGCTTTTTTTAATATAAAGGAATTAAACATTAATCAGGCTTGTGCATCTCAATTAAGCCAATTAAAATTATCACAGAATGCAGTGCATACTGCAATAGGTAGCCTTAATGCTTGAATACATTATCAACTTTTACCTAATATTCCCATCTTCATTATGTCTGTTACTCAAAAAGTAAATACAGATCTGAAGTCCATATTAGAAAGTCCACCAGTTAATACGGTCTTGCAAAGCCCTGGCAAAAGAAACACTTAAAGTGATGTTTATTCAACTACTGCTAATAGTGCTGGAACTCACCTTAAATCTTTCTGCCAAAGAAGAAATTCTGTAATTATGGTGATGACTGATGCCTTCATCCAAATAGCCCATTAACTACTCAATTTGCTCCCTAACAACTGGGAAAGGCAGTTCTGGTCTTGCAAGCTATAGTACATACACAAAGTCCATATAATTACTAATAATTTGTAACAAGTGTTAATTGATAAACAGCTCCCTCTGCTAGCTTAATTAAAGCTGTAGGATAGCTAGGTGATTTACAACTGGGATTGATCTCAATTAGTCAACAAAATCTGTGTAGTCTGTTCAAAGGAGAGTAAGGAAATTTAGCCTAGTGAGGCTTTGGGGATTTTGTCTCGTCTTCCTTGTTTCTTTTTCTTTCAAGAAGAGAAATGAAATCCGAAGAGCTGCCTTGCTTTATCAGTAGCGATCCACCTAGCTTAGACAGTGCATTACTTGTAGGCTCTTCAGCATTTGTTCTTCCATTTGTTTATTCTCTGGCCGGTTACTGAAAAATATTCAAGCATTTGCTTTTATTACACCCAGTGGTACACATTGCTGAATACCAACCCTGAGGGACCTAAAAGTAGAAGGAAAAAACAATTTTTTTAAATGTCAGGTTTTCATCTTGCAGATCTGTTTGCAAACTGGCATTTTGAGGCCATAATTAAAAGGAAGCCCAGGAACAGTGGCACAGGGGAATCACCTGAGACTTGGCAGCCTGGGGATCTTGTAAAGCCATCATGGCTGCTTCAGGACTCAACTTATTTTATCGTGTGAGCTGATACAGTAAAAACCTAATCTAAGCATTGCTGAAATTACCCCTATGGAATAGAAGAGGAAAAAAGTGTCATCTGTGCTCAGTGAGATCACAAACTGGCTGCAAACAGCTGCTGAAACATTAATTAATCTGTTTGCAAATAAATTGTGGATCTGTACTAGCTGAAATTGCTGTTATAAACAAGCTGGGATGCTGTACTTATCAGGTTTACTTGTATTTTAATATTTTTTTACCTATGCTGTAAAATCACCAGAGCCCAGATACAGCACTGTGTGTTTACTTCTGGAAGCTCTGAGCAAGTATACTGATGTTACCTTGTAGATACCCAGCTTGAAAGCAATTCATATCAATTGCGGGACTTTTGTAGGCTTACAATACTGTGTTGAAGCGTCCACACTTCTTTTAAGTCAGATTTGTTAATCAAAGAGAATGAAATATTCTACAGTGCAAATTGATGTGGATTTAGCAATTCTGTAATTTTAAAACATTTCGTAAGTGTCACAGTTGCTTAATTTGTTCTAACTAGGCTGTGGCAAATTCTAGTTGCCTTGACCCTTAAAAGATTAATGTTGGTTCCCTATGTTTACTCATTTTTAAAAAAGTGGTAGGATATGTAGCTGGAACAGAGAATCTGAGAGAGTTTGTCTTGCCAAAATTTGAAATTCTGATACTCCCTGTTCCCTGTTTTTCTGTCCTTTTTTTCTTGAAGATGATTTTAATTCAATAAACACTCACATCTCTTCATTTATTTAACAGATAGTTGTTCAATGTCTAGTATGAGCCAATTACTCTGTGAGGTGCTGTGATACAGAAGGTACCGGGAATATAACTCTTGCCTTCAAGGGGTTTATGGTCTTAACGGGTTTAGGGTGAAAGTAGCCATGGGCAATATGGAAATGAACGGCTATGACTGTGTTCCAATAAAACTTTATTTATAAAACCAATGGCAGGCTGGATTTAGTTCTTGGGCTACAGTTTACCAATTCCTGACCTAATGATAAAGAGTCAAATAAGCCAAACTACAAACCAGTGTGACTGTGATCTCGTATGGCTATAGGGTACCATTTGGGCATATTGGAGGGACACTTTATCCAGCTTTGGTGGTAGTGGTGATTGCAAGTTAAGGTCAACAAAACCTTTAAAGGAACTCTAAGTGAAAACATTTGGATGAGAAGGAGCTATTCAGATGAAGGGACAAGTTGGGCAGTGTGTCCCAGTCAGAAGAAACAAAATGGTCCACAGTCCAGGGTGAGATACAGCATGGTGTTGTGATATCATTATTATGTGCATCAATACTTTGATTTTCCTCCTCCTTCCAGCCACACTGTTGTACCACACTTCTGTATCCTGCTCTAAAAGTAAGCATGGCCATACAACTTACTTTGGCCATGAAATGTGAGAAGAAATGACATGGGTTACCTTAGGGTGGAAGACGTCAGAGCCAGTGTTCAATTCTCTATATTCACATCCCTTGCTGTAGGGAACATAGAAGCTCTTGTTGAGGTAGAACATCCATCTGCCTTGGTTTCTGAGAGATTATGATGACAAATTCCACCCCCTGCACCCTGACCCCCTTAAAACTTGCACTGGAAATTTAGTGAGATTCTGATAAACCTTAATAGAGTAAAACTACTGCAATATTGGGGATTGTGTTTTTATTCCAGCATAGCCTAATCTCTCCTGCCTTTTACAATGTGTCCCTGAGGCTGAAAATGTGGATGGCTTTGTCATGGGTACTGAGGTAGAGACAAGGACTTCAAGAAGTTAACAATATATTGACACTCAATTATGACACAAAGCAAAATATGGTAGGATGTCTGAGAAAAGTAAAAAGTGCTTGAGGACTACAGAAAAGAGAAGGCCCATCCTAGGATCTATCAGGAAATGTTCCATTAAAAAGCTGCCATTTGAACAGCTATAAAGAGCTATAAAGAACAATGAGGGTTCTATTAAGCCATCACATGCAATGGGGAGAAAAAGGCATATAGGTGTAAGAGGAATGAGGCAATGTATGGAAGCCAAAAACTATGAATTAGAACGACATAGTTTGGAAGCAAGACAAAAAATCAAAGCCAATGAATGGGGATTCTTATATGCCATGCTGAAGGGCTAGAACTTTGAGGTGGAGTGGGCAGAGCAACTGATGCAGAGTTGGAAGATCTGATTTCTAGTGCCCTTTCTACCAATTACCAGTTGGTAAAGGAAAAGGGTGTTTCTCTGCGCTGTCCCCTGCATTGTAGACTGCAGGCTACTGATTGGGCTTGTACTGAAATGCTGTTCTCAGGCTGGCACAGTCCTAGTCAGATTCCAGTTTCTGTCCCTGAAAACAGCAGGTGAAGAACCTGAAGATATTGGGGGACAGAAGCAGTGACTGAATTTCAGAGTACCTTGAGATAAAGCTTAGTCTGGGATTATTAACTAAGTTTTATGGATGATAAAATTGAGGTGCAGAGAGGTTGCATGAATCACTCAGCTAGTTCATGGAATTAGCCGAATGCACTAGAACTGAAATTTCCTGACTTCCAAGTCAGAGCCCTACAATACCACACTGCCACTGGGAGCAGAGAATTCTAACCTAGGATCACATCCTACAAGTGTACCCTAAAGGATATAGGAAGTCAGAGAGCAAAACTGCACCTGGGGTTATTGGAGGAACAGCTCCATGAGAGCAAAGGAGTTGCCACAGTACCTCTCCCCTTGGTTCATGCAGCTTGGAATCAAGGTATAAATAAAAGCCTGAAATTCCTATATTAATGTTGTCTTTGACCTCAGCCTAATGCTCCTGTTAGTATCCACTTACAGCTTATATTTCTTGAAATTTTGCAAATTCCTTTTCAAAAGCCTATTTATCGTTATGTTAATACCTGCTTATGGTTAGTGTCAAGAAAATACTATTCTAGGAGTAATAAGTTTTAAAAGTTTTGATAAATGGCTCTCTGTTTCAGAAGCAGTGAGTGTAAATCCCTGAATCGGGGGTTAGGTAACTCGGATCTAGTCTGAATTCCAAAACTTGCCAACTTTAATATCTTTGTATAAGACACCACTTTTTGAAATTTTCTCACCTAATCCCCTGAAAGGGTTTAATAAACTACTTGTAAATCTTTGTAAATAAAAGCTATTATTTTTGTTGCTATAAATGTTAAGAAGTGGTTTTCCAAGTTTAACCAAGAAGGAAGAGAAGAGATGGCTGCTCTAGGACGTTGGTACTGCCTGTTTGGGATGATGGGCCTGGGATTGGCCATTTTGCTTTTCTTGGGAAGTTTCCTCTTTCCTCTGTCTTCTGCGGGTAACGACCATTACATCCTTTGTACTTCCATGAGACTTTATGCTTACTTTTTACTAGAGGACCTAGTACATATTTGTTTACATCGTTTTTTCTTCCATTTACCTGGGAATTCAATGAGAAGTGTGTCTTACTCATCTTTGGGTCTTCACAGTGGGATAAAGTGGATTGCATGATATGTGAGTTGTACCTATACAAATGTATCTAACTACAGTTGACTCTTAAACAACATGTGTTTGAACTGCACAGGTTTACTTATAAACTTGTAGATTTTCTTCCACCTCTGTCACCCCTGAGACAGCAAGACCAACTACCCCTCTTCCTCCCACTCAATGTGAAGATGACGAGGATGAAGACCTTTGTGATGATTCACTTCCACTTAATGAATAGTAGATATGTTTTCTCTTCCTTGTGATTTTCTTCATAATGTTTCCTTTTCTCTAATTTACTTTATTATAAGAATATACTATGTAATACAACATACAAAATATGCATTGACTGTTTATGTTATCAGTAAGGCTTCTGGTCAACAATAGGCTATTGGTAGTTAAGTTTTGGGGGAGTCAAAAGTTATCCATGGATTTTTGACTGCACATGGGTCAGTCCCCCTAATCCCCATGTTGTTTAAAGGTCAACCATATAGATGGTTGGGTGGGGTTGTGGGAGGAAAGCGAAAGAAGAGAGGGAGAAAGATTTAACTAGGGCAAGTAAGTGATGCCACTTACCATTGCACTTAATGTGCCTATGGCCCTGAATAAGCAGTATTTTGGAGAGCATCATTTTCTATTTTCCATTCTCTCACACAGACCCTGTTTCTCTATGCCTCTTATAGTGTGAGCATATTGCTGTGCTGGGTGTGATTCTCGTGTTTAAAGGTACATATTTTTCCTACAACATGGCCGCTAAACTCAGCCAACTACTTCATCTGTCCCAATCTGAAATAGCTGCAAGCTGTTCCAGTGCTGGCAGAAAAACTTGCTCTGTTGGAATTAATGATAGATGGGGTGCTAGTCTCTGATGTAACCCTTTCCTGAAAGATTTTCAAGGGTAATTTTGGCTATGCCGTATATCTCACCTCTGCATTTAAATATGGACTGTTGGGTATCCCTCACAACTTGGCAATATCTTGGACATATTCCATAGCTTTTTCAGTCATATTTGGGTTTAGAATTATCTACTTTTGTAGATATTAAGATGCCCAGTTCACTGAGGGGCTGCTGCTATACATTCTGAAGTCCAAAGTCCAGATAGGCTGAAGTCTTGATGTCCAAAGCAGGAGAAGAAAAGGGTATCCCAGGTCTGGAGAGAGAGACCAAATCACCTTTTTTCTATTTTTGTTCTATTTGGGCCCCCAGCAGATTGAATGGTGCCCACCCACATTGAGGGAGAATCTCTTCCACTGATTCCACGTCGACTCACATATTAATCTCTTCTGGAAACACTTCATTCTAACTATTCCTTCATCCAGTAAAGTCAACACCTGAAATTACCATAATGCTACAATCCCAGATTCCTTTGCCGATTAGATTGTGGTAAGGTCTAAGCAGGAAAGATGGTGGAATATTGGAGCCCAAAAGGAGGGGAGAATCTCCCATTGCTTTAGGCTGTACCTACGTCAGGGGCAACATCTCCTTTGTTGTCCCAGCTCCCACCATCTAGCCTATTCCCTCTAGGTTCCTCTGGGTGACCCTAACACCTGAACACAGGCAGCACCAACTCCCTTACTTGTTTGTTCTCCAGTTCTTGTGGTAGCACCTTCCTACCATTGCTGATGTTTAAGTTGTCTTACCATTCCTTGTTTGAAGCTTTGCAAGTTAGTTTCCCATATTAAATTCTCTCCGTTGGATACAAATGAACAAATAAATAATAAATAGGATTGCCAGTTCATTTCAAATCACACCTTTATTCTCTCACCCAGTTCCAAAATTTCCTTCCCACACTTCCTACCAAGGTTAGACCCCATTCAAAAATCTGTAAGACAACAGAAGAAGATGTGTAGTATTTTGTTCCTTCCACTATTGTACTGCCTTGTTCTGCTCTTTTTCCCCTTTCTTTGTTTCTAGCTGCTCTTGTGCTAGGGTAAGAAAGATGAGATGAGAGATATAGGGGCAAAGTCATGCTTGACAGGTGAGGATAAAATTTGGCTGCAGTGCCTACCATGTGGCAGATAGTTGAAAATGGGCTCTCTCATTCTGGGAACTTCTGTGGGTTCTTTGGAGACTCCTTTGAGGGCCTTTGGCACTGCACTGATTCTTAATATTGGAAACCCGTTCCCTAGATGAGCTCTTACAAAACTCTTTGCTTAGTCCCTGCACACAACTCTTTGCTTAGTTCCTGCGTAGGATGGTAGACTGTCAGACTTTTTTACTGGTATTGTCTTGTTCTGGCAGGCAGCCTTCTAGGATGGAGGCCTTTCAAGATAGTAGCTCATGAGAGAATCCCTTAGCTCAGAGGAAAACTCGACGTCCTTGCCACACCAAACTCTGGAAGAATAAGCCACTTACACTGCTATCTTTTCTTCTCTTGTCACTTTGGTCCACACAAGGTTTGTCTTTACACATAACCTCAAAGCCCTGAGAACACTTTATCATCATCCCTCAAGAATTGCCCCAGGCTCAGCTCTGACCCAAGGGCACTAGAAAGTCTCTGCAGCTCACGTCTCAGTTGGAAGCTAACGTGTCAATCCTCTCTTCTGGAAGACAGTCTCTGTGAGAGATTTTCCTGAGCTCCTGTCTCACTTGACTTAGGAGGGGGTCACCTATGAGGAGAAGTGAGGAAATACTACAGTACTCCTGACTTGCTTTGCAGTTTTTTACCTCAATGGCTCTGAATTTCTCATTTCAAATGTCTTGAGTTTTTTGTTTTTTAAATAAGCTGAAGTTGGCTCACAGCACTAATTTTTTCATCTTATAATAAATCTTTCAAGGATGTAGGTTGCTTTTGTCTCAGATGTATGGATATTTGTTACCAGTTATCTTTTTCTTTGGGCTTCTGTTTAAATTTCAGGACAATAGAAAGTTCACTTCAACATTTTGATAAATAACATTTTAGATTTTTTGCCTTGTATACTAATTTTAAGAGCCAAATTCCCTCTTATATAATTTCACCCAATGCTTACTTGCTCAGTACATATTTTTGAATTAAATTATGTCCATATCCATACTTGGGGCTATACCAAAAGAAATCATTTGGTCTCCAGAGAATTCTCCATCTCTGGTTGAGGTCAGCTCTTAAATTGAGAAAATCTCTTCCGCCAGTTTTCAGAAAAGGCCTGCTGGCCTAACAGTGATCCTACTACAGTCATGTGTCACTTAACAATGGTGATATGTTCTGAGAAATTCATTGTTAAGCAATTTCATTATTGTGTGAACATCATAGAGTGTACGCACACAACTTAATTGGTTTAGCCTACCACGTACCTAGGGTATATGGTACAGCCTATTGCTCTTAGGCTACAAACCTGTACAACAGGCTACTGTACTGAATACTATAGGCAATTGTAGCACAATGGTATTTGTATATCTAAACATATCTAAATATAGAAAAAGTACAAAAATATACTATATTTTAATTTTATGGGACTACATTGTATATGTGGTCCATCATAGACTGAAACATCATTATGTAATACATGACTGTACCTGTCAAAGACAGCATATAAAGAAAAAAATATGCATAAACCTTACTAATGAATTTTAAAAACACCCTACCAAGTAAAACAGAGCAAATGGAATCCAATGCTACAGCAATAGAATATGATTAAATTGATTTATTTCAGGAATGCAAGAATAATTTGTTAGGAAATTTGTTAATATAATTTGCTATATAAATAGGTCAAAGGAGAAAATCTCAATAAATAGTAAAAAAATACTTGAAAAATTA
Organism: Homo sapiens; assembly: GCF_000001405.40. NCBI lineage: Eukaryota > Metazoa > Chordata > Mammalia > Primates > Hominidae > Homo > Homo sapiens. Next base: position 90,095,626 of record NC_000001.11, read on the forward strand.
AACATCTATCCCTCAGTTAAATGTTTTTTAAGGGTGAAAATAGATGGATTCTTCCTTGACATAATAAATAATGTATTTTAATTTAAACTCCAGTACCACTCTTAGTAATTCTAATTAAACTTAGGGAAAAGGCATTCTAATGAAACTAATTAAACATTCTAATTAAACTCAGGAACAAGACAAGTTGCTAACAATTATTATTATTGCTTAACATTGTTTAAAAAGTACTAGCCAATGCAATTAGAAAAGAAAAATAATTAATATGTAAATATTATGACAGAAAAAACTTTAAACATTATTTCTACTTGATATAATCATATGTCTGAAAACTCCAAGGAAATCAACTGGGAGGAAAAAAACTTTACAGACAATAAGAGAATCCAGTAGGTAACTGATACGTAATTTTTTTTTTTTTGAGATAGGGTCTCACTCTGTTGCCCAGGCTGGAGTGCAGTGGTGTGAACATAGCTCACAGCAGCCTCAACTTGCTGGGCTCAAATGAGCCTCCTGCCTCAACCCCCTAAGTAGCTGGAACTACAAGTGTGTGCCACCATGCCCAGCTAATTTTTATAGACAGGGTTTCGCCATGTTTCCCAGGCTGGTGTCGAACTTCTGAGCTCAGGTGATCCTACTGCTTTGGCCTCCCAGAATGCTGAGATTACAGGCATGAGCCACTGTGCCCGGCCTGGTATGAAATTAATAAATAAATGTTAATAACTAAAACAGAAAAAATGTAAAGTTTAGAAAATATACTGAGATAAAATATCTCATTTACCAAAGACACAAATGCAATTACTTACAAATAAATTCAACAAGGAAGGTGCAGGGCATATATGAGGAAAACTTTGTATCTTAAGGGAGAACATGATAATAATTCATGTTATCATGTATCACGGGCTATCATAATAGCACAAGGAAGAAAATCACTGTGCTCAATGAAATAAGAGAGGATACAAACAAATGGAAGAACATTCCATGCTCATGGGTAGGAAGAATCAATATTGGGAAAATGGCCATACTGTCCAAGGTAATTTATAGATTCAATGCCATCCCCATCAAGCTACCAATGACTTTCTTCACAGAATTGGAAAAAGCTACTTTAAAGTTCATATGGAACCAAAAAAAGAGCCCACATTGCCAAGTCAATCCTAAGCCAAAAGAACAAAGCTGGAGGCATCACGCTACCTGACTTCAAACTATACTACAAGGCTACAGTAACCAAAACAGCATGGTACTTGTACCAAAACAGAGATATAGACCAATGGAACAGAACAGAGCCCTCAGAAATAATGCCGCATGTCTACAACTATCTGTTCTTTGACAAACCTGACAAAAACAAGAAATGGGGAAACAATTCCCTATTTAATAAATGGTGCTGGGAAAACTGGCTAGCCATATGTAGAAAGCTGAAACTGGATCCCTGCCTTACACCTTATACGAAAATTAATTCAAGATGGATTGAAGACTTACATGTTAGACCTAAAACCATAAAAACCCTAGAAGAAAACCTAGGTGATACCACACAGGACATAGGCATGGGCAAAGACTTCATGTCTAAAACACCAAAAGCAATGGCAACAAAAGACAAAATTGACAAATGGGATCTAATTAAACTAAAGAGCTTCTGCACAGCAAAAGAAACTACCATCAGAGTGAACAGGCAACCTACAGAATGGGAGAAAATTTTTGCAATCTACTCATCTGACAAAGGGCTAATATCCAGAATCTACAATGAACTCAAACAAATTTACAAGAAAAAAACAAACAACCTCATCAAAAAGTGGGCAAAGGATATGAACAGAGACTTCTCAAAAGAAGACATTTATGCAGCTAAAAGACACATGAAAAAATGCTCACCATCACTGGCCATCAGAGAAATGCAAATCAAAACCACAATGAGATGCCATCTCACACCAGTTAGAATGGCAATCATTAAAAAGTCAGGAAACAACAGGTGCTGGAGAGGATGTGGAGAAATAGGAACACTTTTACACTGTTGGAGGGACTGTAAACTAGTTCAACCATCGTGGAAGTCAGTGTGGCAATTCCTCAGGGATCTAGAACTCGAAATACCATTTGACCCAGCCATCCCATTACTGGGTATATACCCAAAGGATTATAAATCATGCTGCTATAAAGACACATGCACAGGTATGTTTATTGTGGCACTATTCACAATAGCAAAGACTTGGAACCAAGCCAAATGTCCAACAATGATAGACTGGATTAAGAAAATGTGGCACATATACACCATGGAATACTATGCAGCCATAAAAAATGATGAGTTCATGTCCTTTTTAGGGACATGGATGAAGCTGGAAACCATAATTCTCAGCAAACTATCACAAGGACAAAAAACCAAACACCACATGTTCTCACTCATAGGTGGGAATTGAACAATGAGAGCACATGGACACAGGAAGGGGAACATCACACTCTGGGGAGTGTTGTGGGGTGGGGGGAGGGGGGAGGGATAGCATTAGGAGATATATCTAATGTTAAATGATGAGTTAATGGGTGCAGCACACCAACATGGCACATATATACATATGTAACAAACCTGCATGTTGTGCACATGTACCCTAGAACTTAAAGTGTAATGAAAAAAAAAAAAGAAAAGAAAATCACTGGTAACAAATATCTATACATCTGATAATTGAGAAGAATTATTCCTCATAACTCTCTGCTTCTATGGTGCAAAATGACAATTCAGCAAAACGAACTTTGCTGAGGGACATAAAACAAGACTAATGAATGAAAAAATATATTGTTCTTGGATAGGGAGAATGAATATTGTAAACATGCCAGTTCTCCCTACATTAATTTAGATAAGCAAGTAATTTCAATAAAAATACCAACTTTGTTTTGATTTTGATAAAGTGATGCTATAGTTCATTTGGAAAACTAAACATGGGAAAATTCTAGAGATTAAAGAGGGAGAACAAGCTTTGCAAATAATAAACTGTATTATGAATCTTTAATATTTAAAACAATAGATAATACAGAAATAGAATTAAAGCCACATGGAAATTGATTATTGATAAAAAGATATTTTAAATTAATACTGATTATTAATTATTTGTTAAAATATTTGGTTGGAGAAAACTGACATAGCATTTGGAATAAAATATTTTTTAAACAAATTTCTACTTGATACCTTGTGCCAAAATAAATACTAGATAAAGGTTTAAAATAAAACCCACACAGTAAATGTTCTACAAAAAAAAAATTGAACTTATTTTTAATACTTTTAATAATAAGGAAGATTATTCTAAGACATAAAATCCAGAAATCATAAAAAAGGATAAATTTAACAATATAGATATTTAATACTTGTACACAACAGAAAAAAGACATAAACAGTAATGAAAGGGAAAACACAAACTAGGAAAGTATTTGCTTATAAAGAGTGCTTTTAAAATATCAAGAAGACTAACAGAACATTAGAAAGATGGATGTGAAGATACAAAGAAATATAACTGAGTAACCTCACTTAGAAGAAATGCATTTTAACATATTCATTTGTCAAAGATTAAGAAGTGTGATCATTTCCAGTGTTGGCTTAGACATAGGAAAACAGGTGCACTCATGCATTGTTGGTAGGAGTGTAAATTGGTGAAATATTTTTTATAGATTACTTTGGCATGATTTGCCAAATTTTGAAATGTGCATATTCTTTGAATAACTCCATTTGTAAGAATTTATCATATATAAGTGATAAATTTCATATATATCATATATATGATGAATATGTGATAAGTTATATATCACATATATATGATGAATATATATGATACATATATATGGTGTTCAGCATTGCCTGCACACTCTATATATATGTTGCTGACAATGCTGCAAGATTGTCTGAGATAATCAAAAAGTTGGAAAAAATACATAAATGTTTACCAAGCAGGAATAGTTAAACAAATGATGATATGTTCATACTAGTATCCCTTAACAAGCTTGAGACAAATGGCTGGGCGCGGTGGCTCCCGCCTGTAATCCCAGCACTTTGGGAGGCCGAGGCGGGCGGATCACGAGATCAGGAGATCGAGACCATCTTGGCTAACGGTGAAACCCTATCTCTACTAAAAATACAAAAAATTAGCCAGGCGCAGTGGCGGGCGACTGTAGTCCCAGCTACTTGGGAGGCTGATGCAGGAGAATGGTATGAACCCGGGAGGCAGAGCTTGCAGTGAGCGGAGATCGCACCACTGCACTCCAGCCTGGGCGACAGAGCGAGACTCCGTCTCAAAAAAAAAAAAAAAAAAAAATTTTGAGACAAATATAGAGATGTTGATATGCAAAGATATCCACCATATATTATTGTGTGAAAAAAGCAAACAGCAGGAAATTATGTCATATATGATTTTATTTGTGTGGTATGAAAAGAATGTTCAATCAATGTGTGTTGTGTGTATTTTTATATATAGGTTTTACATGTAGAATTACAACAACTATAAAAGGTGGTTACTTCTGAGAATAAAACTGAGTGGCTGGGAGGAAAAGGGCCTTTAAAAAAGTCTGTGCTACTCCACTTTGGGAGGCTGAGGCAGGCGGATTGCCTGAGGTCAGGAGTTTGAGACCAGCCTGGCCAACATGGTAAAACCCCGTCTCTTCTAAAAATACAAAAATTAGCTGAGCGTGGTGGTGGGCACCTGTAATCTCAGCTACTTGGGAGGCTGAGACAGAAAAATCACTTGAACCTGGGAGGCGGAGGTTGCAGTCAGCTGAGACAGCGCTATTGCACTCCAGCCTGGGCAACAAGAGCGAAACTGTCTTAAAAAAAAAAAAAGAAAAAAAATTTGTGCTTCTCTATACTGCTTAAATTTGTGGCTGTTTTACATAAGCCATATACTTTCATAACTTAAAAACTAGTTAGAAAAGTTTCAACAATTAATAAAAGGCCAAGGCCTATAGCAGAGGCTGTGGACACTCTGTTCATATCCCTTTCTTTTTTGACTTCCGTGCATAGTTCCTGACTTCGGTGCATAGTTGCTGACTTCCAACTTCCAGCACACACTTATTGGAGGGGCGGTGGGCTTTCTCTGGCTCCTGAAGCCTTTTGCCTACCCATATGTTAGGCTGGAAAAGCCAAGGAATTAATGTCCCTCGGGAGCAGCCTTAACCAATGACTAATAGGAGAGTTGTATAAATTCTTTGGCTGCCTTACTCCTTGAGTGGGGTTTGTGTCCTATATTGGCTGAGAGTGTTCCCAGTGGGACTAAGTTCCAGGTTCCCAAGGCAGGAACTAGTTCCCAGCTAGTTCCCACTGGAACTTTACTGGCTGCCTTCATTTCTCTGTCTTACTCCTTTACCAATTTTTTTTTTCATCTTCCAAATAAACAACTAGCACCTACATCCTTGTCTTATGATTAGCCTCTGGAGGAACTTCGATCAGGACAGGGTCTCTCTGTGGTTGCTGTGCAGAGAGAAATGTGCTCGATCACGGTACCGAGTGGTTGAGCAGATCTGTCCAGGACACGTTTATGCAGATATTACCCAGATGTGAGCATCTATAAACCACTAAAAGGAGTTTTGGTTTGTGGGAAATCAAGACACCCTTTGTGCATGAGACCAGGAGCTGCTCAGTGCTAAGTTGGTGGGCAAGAGTGGGCTTTTTTGGTTTCTGCTCCTAAATCTTCTGGAAAGTTGAGGGAAGCTGAGGAGCTGAAGAATAAGACCTGAAGTATTCAGAGAGCTCACCCTGTATGGTTTTATGGTATCTCCTGTTTCCCTAAGCAGTCTTATTTACTCCATACAGGATGATGGGAAGTGTGCATGTGTGTTTATGTGTGTGTGTGTGTGTGTGTGCAGGCATGCGTGCATGTGTGTGTGGTGGGGAGGGTTAGTTGCAGAATCTGGGGACCTTTTCCACAGCCTGTGGTGGAGGTGTTTGTCCCAGGCCCTCAGCGTCCCAATCACAATTCGGTTTTACCCACACTTGTGTTCCACCAGGATTTATAGAGCTGTCAGCTTATAATTGGACTGAAGGGCTGAGTTCAGTTATGGAAACAGAATTTCTTTCAGTTCTTATGTTTTGAACAGTTGAGCATTTTACAGCTGGGTTAGTGAAACGTTTTAATGCTATTGGTGTCATGAAACATTTTATAGAAAGGGATAATTGAGTTTTTATTTTTACTAGAAAATAATGCTACCAGCCTGGCTTTGGAGACCAAAACAGGGAAGAGCTCAATTAAGGACCAGAATTCAGGGAGACTCAGTAATTATGAAAACTACATAGAGACAAATGCAGAAAAACAAGACCAGAGAAAGCACAAACTAATTTTGATTCTTCTGTAAAATTCTTGTCAGAACAATGAAACAGTCAAGGACATTATAAATCCATTCATTTATTTCAAAATTTGCAAAACAAATCCCTTCTTACACATAGTATTTGTACAACATGAAATTATTATTCAATAAGTTGACATTTTAAACCTATTACTGCCTAAACCCATCTATTACTGAGCTATTCAGAGCACTAAGTTAACATTTACCAGAACATTCATCCTCACATCATGGGGAGATCAAGCTGAAATCCTTTATTTCATATTCAGATCTTGCCAGGTCAGGATTGAAATCGGCTACCTTTCTGATACTTTACTGAAAAGCCACTGTGAAATCCACAAAAGAATTATTATCAAGTTAGTGCAGTTATTCAGCTGGATGTTGACTTTGATATGTCAAATCTCTGATCTTTAATAGAAAATTGATGGTCGTGCCCTGAGGGTCAGTCATATGCATGACCAGGATAGGCCAAGGTTTGCATTAAATTACATCCAGTCTTGTGGTCTCATTCCCTGGCAGCCAAAGTCAAACAAAGCAAATGGATCCCTTGCTAGTTGGGTCTCTTCATTGTTTTGTGTTGGCATATGGATTTAATTCTGTAATGGGGGACTGCTGGGCACAATCTGCCTTATTGATTTTCTGGAGAGAGGTTTTTCTTAGAGCACCCGGAAGTGCAATAAAATAAAAGCAACTGGTGCAATTTTTCTTTTTCTCTGCCTTGCATGGTTGTGCTAGCAGCAGATTGATTCTGCCACTAGAAATCTTATGAAGATATTAAATTATATTATCAATCAATTGGTTTTTAGAGGATTGGCTTTCTCTGTGTTAGAGGGCTAAAGAAAAGGAGATAGTAATTCCCTTATGTCTTAATCGTGAGGCAAGTTACTTGCCCATTGTGTTCCGTAGATTTGAGCTGTGCTAAAATGGACTCTTTCCCTAATGGTAATGGCTGACATGCTCAAATTTCCGGTATTAGAGGCGGGAAGGCTGGGGGATATTGGAGAGGAAGATCATTATATAAGGTTAGTAGTTTTCACAGATTCCAGTGTCAGCAGAGGGGGTCAGCAGCTGGTGGTGGAGAGTTCAGCTCCCCTGGCAGAAATCATACAGTATGGGCTAGAATGGCCCACCACATCCACTTCCTCCGCCCCCACACCCACACTCAGTGATGCAGATGAGAACTTTGAGACCCAAAGTTGAGGGATTTCTACAGTCTCAGAGATAGTGAGTGTCCTAGTCCAGTCTAGTAGGTTACTAAACAAAATGTTAAAAGAAAAAGAGAAATAAATAAAATGGCAATAAATCTCGTTTTCTTGATACTTTTTGTTTTTTTGACAAGAGTCTCCCTCTGTTGCCCAGGCTGGAGTGCAGTCGTGCGATCTCTGCTCACTGCAACCTCCGCCTCCCAGGTTCAAGTAATTCTCCTGTCTCAGCCTCCCAAGTAGCTGGGATTACAGGTGCATGCCACCATGCCTAGCTAATTTTTTTGTATTTTTAATAGAGACAGGGTTTTGCCATGTTGGCCAGGCTGGTCTCGAACTCCTGACCTCAAGTGATCCACCGGCCTCGGCCTCCCAAAGTGCTGGGATTACAGACCTGAGCCACCATGCCTGGCTGATACTATCATTTTTATACCTCAATTTTTTCATCTGTAAACTGTACCCTCCTTATAGGGTTGTTATGGGGATTATACGAGAGGGCTTGGTTTATAATTAATGTGCATAAATATCAGCAGTTGGTATTTGGCAGCTTCTCCTAGGACAGGGCTCACTGGAATGGGCCCTTGAAATTGGGTTTTGGGCCTCATCTCCTTTATGCCTGCTCAGAAGCAGTGGTTTTTATGCTGCATTGAACTTAAATCTGTGAGGAAATGGGCACAGCACTGTATATGTTGTTTGGGTTGGTTTATTACTTTCCCAGTTAAAACAAGCAGGACCCATTTTAGTTTCCCGGTGTTTGGTTGACCAAATCCACCTCAAGTTGCATTGCTGATATCTAAGTGAAGAAGGACTTACTTCTAAGAAGAGGACAATTATGTGAGGTGGGAACAAGAGCACATTGTCAGACCACAAGAGGCCAGAAGGTTACAACACATATTATTCATGTGACTATAGAGACTCACTTTTAAATTGCTTTGATGACTGTATATTTCTAAAATCTGCACTGGAGGCCACCACATCTGAAAATGTTTTGGGGATCAAGACGAATAATAGCAATAATATTAACAGCAATAGTTATATTTTTGAAAGTTTTACCATATACTAAATATTATGCTAAGCACATTACATGATTTTTTTTCACCCTAAAGAGGAAGCTTCTGAAAATATTCTTATTCTGCAGATGGGGGAAATACAGCTTAGGAAAGTGAAATAAGTTGCCTAGAGTCCTGTGGTAAGTGGGCCAATCAGCCTTCAATGCCAGGTGTGTTTGATTCCAAAGTACCAGTTCTCATCAACTCTGCCTTGCAATACCGGTATAGGATGCAAGCAGGAAAAAGCACAACTTCTTGCTTTCTTTATGCAGCTTTTCTCTGAAATGTTGGATGGAGGCGCTGAAAATAAATGGATATCCATCCTGTCATTTTCTAGAGTCATTCATTTGTTAACTCGACAAACATTTGTTAAGGCCGTGCTACCTGCAGCAAACCGTGTGCTAGGGGCTGGGGAGACAAAAATGGAGAAGTCTTGGTTTCTGTCTCATTAATGCAATCAAAATGCAGGCTTGGTAACAGGGCATGGTATGGCTGTGAATAAGGTGAAAAACTGATGTTTTGCCAAAGAAGAGGATAAGAAGAAATTGGGTTGGGTTCTGTAGGGGGCACTTTTTTCCCCTTTCATTGCTGATCATTATGTTCTTCTAGACAAATATTCACGATTTACCTTTGGGGGAAGAAAACACTGTGAGGATCTTAAAAATGTACTTTAATAAGGTCTTCCAGGTTTGTGGGGGTGTGAGCTTTGGAAATGACATTCATCAGACTCAAAGTAAATACTCATTAAATAATTTCAAAATAAGCCATGGGAGGCTCTTCTAAATCCAGGATCAACCGAAGCCATCCAAATTTAGAGCCGGCCTTATCTGCTCCCCACCCCCATCCCCAAAGATGAGTGTGTTTTAATGAAAGAGGAGCACTAAATGCTTTCCCTGCGTTTTAAGACATCGAACTCTCATAGAGCGAGTTCTGCCTCACAGCCAGAGCTGGCCCCTTCCTCACCCTGCCCCTTTCATCTCCCTTTGTTCCGTGTCTATGCTGAGGCTGAGATTTCCCCACCTCTCTCTGTCTTACTGTGGCTCTGAAAGATGATTGCCTTCTGGTGAAGCCCTTTCCCCTTCTTCTGTACCCAAGCTCCGTGTTCAATGAACATCAAAAAGCCTTATCATACCCTGATGGTTTAAATCTTTAAACAGAGCGTAACAGCCGGAGTACATCCAGACCGCTCACATCCTAGAGCCTTGTCACTATGTGTTCCTGCAACAATTACCAGGAGAGGGAGGCTGCGGAGTGAATCAAGTAGCGAGTGTTGTCTCCCCGGACTCCATGCTGATGCTCTGATCAGGACTTCAGCAAAATTCTGTTTGAAATGAGAATAGACTAATTTTCATCCGACTCTTCTCCGAGGAATCCCATGTGGCCCAACACGCCAAGGGTCATCATTAGAAAACTGCCTTCAAAAGAGCTGAGGCTTCTTGTGGCAAAGCTCTCTCCCTTTGTTAAATTTATAAACATTTATGTAAAAATGTATACATTAATTGTTCAGGCTCTTCTCAGCCTGGAAAGCTATGCCCTGGAATGTACTTGGGGGAAATAGACTCATAAAAATACCCCAAGTCAGGATGAAAATGGCCTCGTTTTGACTGAAAATTCAGAAGAATTCAGTGATCAAAGGCAATTCTTACTCCCAGCTTTTCAAAGGGACTTATATTAAAAAAAATCAGATGTGACCAAGTATAGAAAAGAACTCATTAAGAGCTTAATGAGACGGTGACAGGTGAAGTCATCAGTTGCTTAAACACTGCAATTTTTTTTTCCTTCCGTAGGAGTTACTCATTTATTTTCCTGGATTCAATTGAGATTTTCTCTAAATCGTTATAAAATACAGAGAAGTTCATCAAAGGAGGAACAGTTTTTAGTTGCGTGTCACTGGGCATCTATGCAATTAAGATATCATCTTCCCCTCTTGCCCCTCACCTCCATGGGAGATGTTTCCAAACACATCCAGGGAAACAAATAATTGAATTGCTTCTACTTTCCCCTCTTCATCGGTTTTCTTTGGAGGGAGAACCCATAAGAGTGAGCAAATATTCCAGAAAAAGCCTAATTTGAGGAAGTTTAACGATGAGCCCCATAACCGAAAAGAGAAGGTAAGTTTTGCTGTCTTTAGAGACACAAAAATAAGGAATCCTAGCGAGGTATGACAGCATACTTTTTTTCATAGATTTTGTTTTGCTACTCTGGTGTTTGTATAATACCAAACAAAGCAAAAGAAAAAAAAATTTTCTAATTCTCCTAAGCAGCTTAAATCCCTTTTCACTTTCCCCAGGCAAGACCGGATTCTCTTGCATGTTTCCAGGCTCTGACCTTCCTGACGTTGGTCTCCCAACACTAGTAGCCAGTTTTTTTATTCTTTAAGTGCTAGAGGAGTCATGAAAAATTCAGACACTGGGTTTCCCTGAGACCAATCTGGTGGCTTTTTCTTTGTGCTAACTGCTGCTTTCTATGCATCATTCAAAAGGTACATACCAAGTCGTCAGCCCCTGAACTGCTACTTGGTGTTAAACATGAATATTTGTAGCTTAGCAAGGGACTAAATTTAAAAAAAATTAATATTTGACAAGCCCAAAGAAAGGCATAACAGGTCCAGAAGATCCATTTGAAGGGTTTTTATTTGTAAAAAGTCAAAACTTTTTGTACAACTGGGGTGATTCTGAGCCACAAAAGGTTTGCTTTGAAAAAGCACTGATCACTAGACTTCTTCCAGGAACATCGATTATGATTATGCCGCCCCAAATACAGCACTGAAGTTGCTTTTTTATGTGGATGGCGGGAAGAATATTCATTCCATGCATGTGCCACTAATCTTTATGACTAGGACGCCAAGCGGGATGATATAAGACTTATTCCAGTTGCACATCAACTATACCTACAAAGGCAAAATTGCCTTTTCCCACATTTCTTAATTAGAATTAGAATCAGCTTAGAACTAATAGAATCTCTTATTAGTAACAAAAAGAATGACTGGCTCTCCAGTTCAAGTGGCATATCTGCATAACTTATAGCCTTAAGAGCTTATAGTCCCTGGTACTCTTATCTGACTGCCTTTAACTCTCCCATATTAATGAGTTGTTCTAAATTTAGTCTGCTGTGACAAACTAATATTAATACAGTATTTTATGGCCCAGAGCATTGTTAATACATAGGAATGAAACCCAGAGTCAAAGGAAAGTGGGAGAAGGAGGGAGATTACTTTGTGTGATTGTCAAGATATAAGATAATCCAAGTATGTAGATATTAAGACTTAAATATGATACACTGCTTATGGATTTATATTATGTGAAACATTTTCTATTATTTTAAATCCTCATGGCATTAGTTTCCTATTTTCAGGGGTTTATAACTTGGCCATACAAATTCACTCTGGGCTGAAACCTGGAATGCAGGGTCTTAACCTGGGGACATTTCATTTATTTATTTATTTTATTTAGCCAAATTAAAAGTCAGTTTGGCCATTTTTAACCCAGGCAAGTGGCAAAGGAGGAGCACAGGTTTGGAATACAATTTTGTACACAGAGCTCCAGCTGGCTTCAAAAAGTCAGCACCCGAAAAGCAAATGATAAATGACTGGTGGGGGAAATTTTATAAAAAGGAAAATAAAAGCTACAAATGCAAGCAATAAACATGATGAAAGGATTTCTTTCTTTAAGTGCAGATTGTTTCTTTTAAAGTATACACTTTGAGTAGCAGCTGATACATGGGTACTGGTTTGGGTTGCCACCCGTGGGTAGACAGCAAATTTGTAGAATTTGCAGAAGGTGTAGATGTGTATGGGTACGTATAAATATAATTTATATTTGTTGTTTGTGTCTAAGTAATAGAAACATTCAATGTGGGATCAACCTTGTTCTCTAGCAAGATGCAATGCTTTCTTTTTAATGAATCCACAACTTCAGAAGAAAAGCGAGTGTCACAGTTATTATCATAGGCAGCTCTGGGCTGCCAGCTGCATCAGTCAGGGAAATCTTGAGGTCCACGTAAGTGAGGAAGCAGTGGGGTAGGAGCCTGTGGCAGACTAGTTGTGAAACTTGTTTTAAAAGTCTGACAGGATGGGGGAGCCAGCCAAAAAAGAAGCAGCATTTTTATCCCAACTAAAAGCACTAAAAGCTTAATGAAAAGCCAGCTCTGTGAGTAACTCTCAAGATGTGTAAGTGGTCCATTTGGCAGTTGTTTTTAAAAAGCCTTTTTGCATCTTTAAAAGGAAAGCCTGTGTGGGAAATTGTCATTGTATTTCCAGGATATTATACTTTGTTATTCATAGAAAAATGTTCATTTACTAGCAATGGAAAAATGTTTTTTCTTTCCCTTATTTTTCTTATATATATGTTTAATTATATGGCACTGAGGTCAGTTGAGGAAATTTTTCTCTTTTTCTCTAAATTGTTCATTCTTTCAAGTCAATGCTAATTAATTCATACAACATTGTCTTTCTGTACCAAAACTTCCTAAGGACATGCTGGGAATAGATTTTTTTTTTTGACCTGGAATTTCACAAAGGAAATTTTTCATAAGGAAAATGAGGACTGGCTGCTCTTCAGAAAAGAAGAAAAAACTCAACTACCTTGGCAAGGTTGTCAAACATCTTCCCAGAGCACAGAAATAGCTCAGTGGCCCCACCACAGAGTGGCTAGGAGACCCTTTGCGGCAAGTAGAAACAGGAGGCTGTGCTCACAGTTTTTGGATCTCTAGTGCTGGATGATGATATATTGGATGGTGATGCATCTGAAGAAATTGGAAACAACAACAACAAAAGGCAGAATAATATAAAACTTTCAAAAGCAATTGATTCCTCTACATAAAAATGTAATCAAATATACAAAAACCAGAAATATCTACTTTGAAGTTTTTCAGTGTAAGATGTCTATTTGTAAAACCCTTAACCTCATAATAGCCTTCTTTTTAATGGGCTAAAATAAAGCATAAACCAATAATCAGATGCAAATTAGTGGTAATATCTGTTAAGGTGAACATCTTCCCTCAGGGCTAGTTAGGATAAATTTCTATCCCTATTGCTGCATGATGACCCGTTATATGACTGATGCTTTGTATATGCCGGATTTTCCTACTTGAAATGTGTGGTTCACATTAGTTTTAGCTGTTGGTTCTATGTTATAGGCATTGATAGGTTTTTGAGCTAAGAAGGTAAATTTTTGCTTTACCAAAAGAGAACAACTTCTGTATTTTATGTTACATCTGTTGAGTTTCACAATTACACTGAAGATCAGGAAGGGAAAGATAACTGTTGGATTTCTAAGCTTTGTTACAAATTTGAATTGGGTCCTCGTTTAGCAGAGGTTGGCTGAATATCTTTAACTGGGCTTGGTTTTAAGAAAATCTGGGTTGATTTTTATATGGTGGGTTCAGATGAGATAAATTGCCAGAACTGACAAAATGATTCCATGCTCTTAGGAGATTTTCCTTCCCAGGTCTTTCTCGTGATATAGTTCATTTTTTCCTGGGTTTTTTTTTTTTTTTAATTTGCTTTTTAGAGAGTGGAGGGACCTCCTTACATTTGCCAGAGCCGCCTGTAAAAATGTAGGACATCTTTCAAGGGTCTCTCACCATTATAACTAAAACTATGCCACTTAATTTTTAACTTAATTTTTAAAACCAAGTAGCACATTCATAATGTTCAAAATAAAAATATAGTATACAGTAAAAAGTCTATCTTTGAGGGTTACCCTCCACTTGCCCTTTTCTCTTCTCCTCCCCCCAAATTGCTGGCATTCACATCTACTAGTCTGTTCTTTCAAAAATATCCTAGGTCCATACCGTCTTTCCCCTTTCATACAAATGGTAGTGTTCTCACACACTGTTCTGCACTTTGGGTCTTCTCTGTATAATTGATCTTGGAGATCTTCTATATCAAATCATGAGGGCTTCCTCATCCTTTTTTAGTGGCAGCATTATATTCCATTTTGTGATGTGTTATGATTAATTTAACTAGTCTTCAACTGATAAAATTGAAAGTGTTTCCAGTATTTGGCCGTTAATCTAAAGTGTTTCCAGTATTTTGCCATTAAAAACACTGCAGCAAAAAATTACTTTAAACATATGACATATCACACATATGCAAAAATATCTGTAGTATAAGTTTCTAGAAATGTAATTGCTGGTCAAATGAAATTGCATTTGTAATTTGGATGGATGTAGCCAAATTATCTTCCATAGACATTGTACTGATTACACTCCATCCCGAATTGGATGAGTGTGCCTAATTTTCTACACCCTCATCCTGCGTTAAGTGGCCTTATCAAACTTGATCTTTGTCAATTTGATATATATGAAAAAAAGATACTTTGGTATAATTTTAAATCACATTTCTCCTCTTATGAATTGAGGTAAGCGTTTGAACATATATTTAACAGTTACTTGTTTACCACTTTCTGTGAACAGTCTGTTTATATCTTAAATTACATCTATGGAACAAGTCAAATCCCATATTTTCCACCTTGATTTTACAGAATCATGTGATTTTACAAAATCACAGATTTTACAGATGATTTTACCATCCCTGGAAATTGATACTAGGGATTCTACTCAATGTTTTATCTCTTGGACAGGAGGACTGGGAAAAACATCTTGGGCTGATATGAACATGAAGAACACGATGAGATTTTGTTGACCCCTTCCTTTTTAAGAAAAGATTGTGAAAGTCCTAATTTTATTTGAAGATTTGAAGGCAGAGACCAGGAAAAGGATTTTTGACTGGTATCAAGCGCAAGCCTTCAGGTTGTCTGGAATTGAAAATGTGTAAATTTTCTTTTTGTAGAATGCATCTCTGCACTTACATTCCAGGATCCATTTATGTAGATATTTGCCTTCATTCTCTATTAAATACAGGTTGACCCTATAGTCAGATGATTGCATATGTTGATCAGCAGATGAAGATCATCAAACAAAGATTGGAAGGATCTGAGGGTCATTGCACCAGCCCTATGTTAACCTCTTTAACAAGGTGTTTTACTGTTTATTTTTGTTAGCTGAAAATAATTTTAATTTTAATTTAATTTTATTATCATTTTTTGAGGCAGGGTTTCACTCTGTTGCAGTGGTGCAATCTCAGCCTGCTGCAGCCTTGAACTCCTGAGCTCAAGTAGTCCTCCTGCTTCAGCCTCCCAAGTAGCTGGGACTACAGGTGCAAGCCACCACTTGAGACTAATTTTTTTTTCCTCATTCTTTGTAGAGACGGTATCTAGCCATGTTGCCTCGGTTGGTCTAGAACTCCTGGGCTCAAGTGATCTCCTGCCTTGCCCTCCCAAAGTGTTGGGAATACCAGCATGAGTCACTGCACCCAGCCCGAAATAAAGTTTAAAAAGGAATCTAAAAGATATAGTTTAAAAAAATCCCTAAAGAACAAATGGAACACAGCCTTATTCTTAGCACTCAGAACTAATGGTTAACTCTTTGTCATATTTCTTTGAGTTTTGTTTCTTTTCCTCTATATTGAGAGACAATCACTGTACTTTTTTAAAATAAAAGTTGTATATCTATATGCAACTTTTAAACAACATAGTATTGTTTTGTGTGATTTTAAAAAATATAGGTAGTACAATTGTGTATCATTCTGTATCTTACATTTTTTACTCAATGATATAGTTTTTATTGAGATTTATCAATGTTCATGTATTCTATATGGATGTATATAGAATATACATATAAATGTATATATTTAGGTTATTCTTTTTATTTGCCGTGTGGTATTTCACTGTATGAGTATACCAGATTTTGTTTATTCTTTCCCTATTGGTGGATGTTTAGGTTGTTGCCAGTTTGCTATAGTTTTTAGTGCATATTCACAAAGAGTAGCTCACAGGCTCCTTACGTAAACTCAGTGTCATACGTGAGACAGGACAAATGAGAAAATTCAAACACAGAGAAGTAATCAATTAACTTGGCTAAGATTTGTTACACTCTCAGATAGAACCCCGTTTTTCTAATTCTTCCTGTAAGGATCTTGCACCTACTTTGTACAGCTTTCTGTTTTTCAGAGCTTGGAGTAATATTTAGAAGTTGTAACTGAACCTACTTACATGCAATTTGGGTTAAGAATACCCTATGCTTTTCTCCTTGATATATACATATATTTTAAGCTCTGTTTTAAAATTCTTATTCTGCACTAAAATTAGTTTTAAGAAATAAATATCTATAAGACAGGTATTTTAAAAGACAAATAAAAATCCCGGCAAACTTTTCCACATGCGTGTTTAAATTTTGATGTTAAATGTTAAAGGAAACTAAAAGATCTCTTAAGTAGCAAATTTCCTGAGCTTAATTCTTCTTATAGAGATATGTTCTTGATATATTGCTGACATTTTAATCTAGAACCAGGACTTTAGTAAACACTCCCCCACAAACTTCAATTTCTATTTCCTTTTTGTTCTCACTCATAGGTGGGAATTGAACAATGAGAACACTTGGACACAGGGAACATCACACACCGGGACTTGTCGTGGGGTGGGTGATGGGGGGAGGGATAGCATTAGGAGAAATACCTAATGTAAATGACGAGTTAATGGGTGCAGCAAACCAACATGGCACATGTATACATATGTAACAAACCTGCACGTTGTGCACATGTACCCTAGAACTTAAAGCATAATAAAAATAAATAATAAAAAAAGAAAGAACAAGATTAAATCCTACTCAAGCAAGAGTTTGTCTTCTGTAAACCATGATGACCATGGTGACTAGAAGATGAAAAACTGAAAGTCAACAACAAGTACAATACTTTAAAATGAAGAGTCTAATTGATTGATTGATTGATTGAGACAGGGTCTCACTCTGTTGCCCAGGCTAAAGTGCAGTGGTGTGATCTCAGCTTACTACAAACTTTGCCTCTCAGGCTCAAGCCTCAGCCTCCCAAGTAGCTTGGATTACAGACACATGCCACTATGTCTGACTAATTTTTATTTTTATTTTTGTATTTTTGGTAGAGCCGGGTTTTGCCATGTTGCCCAGGCTGGTCTCGAACTCCTGAACTCAGGGTGATCCATCCACCTCTGTCTCCCAAAGTGCTGAGATTACAGGCATGAGCCACTGTGCCAGGCCAAGAGTAATTTATATAGAGAGTCACTGATAGACTTACAGAATATTGGAGCTGAAAGGATCCAGACTGTAGATGTATGACTTGCCCAAGACCACATAGGGTACTAGCAGGTCTACTAGAGCACATGACGACAATATACTTACACAATAATTTAATTTTAGTTTTCTTATTTTTTTTTGAAAAGGAAAGGCATATTGTTGTGTAGATGTGTTTAAAATTAAGAAAGGAGAATACAATTTTCTATTAAGTAAATATACTAAAATATAAATATTTTACTTTACATTTATGGGGAGAGTTAATTCAAATGTAAGTGTCACCAGTGCTGAGTGTGGAAATACCATCACTGCATATCTAACTGGGAATGATTTACTGAAGAAAGCACAAAACCATCAGGGAAATTGCTTCTGCAAAAAGAAATTGGTCTGTATGGCTCACACTACTTTCAGAGGACTTTCAATGGCTGTAGAACCTTGTTGAAACTCAAGTCTTACTTTCTTGGGGAGTGGAGCATTCCTGTTTTCCCAATATGGATCAGGTACACCTTCTACCTGCTTCTGGAGAGTACTATGTCTCTCTTCATCGTAAGGCTTCATAATTACCTGATTGCGTATCTGTTTCCCTCATTCGATTACAGGATACATATGTTTTGGAACCAGGCCCATCCTTTTCACCATTATATCCAAAATGACTAGCAGAGTGTGGGTTTAGAGCAGGTAGCCATGAAGTTCACTAAAAGACGTAACAGAAGAATGAATAAATGCTCTAATAAGATTGTGTCTTAGGAGGAAATTTGCACTGTCAGGGTTTACGAAGTCTAGAATACAATTTAAAAAATGCTAAATGCCTGTTTCTGCTAAATGAATAAAATGTACTAGAATTGCGTGAAGAAACTTGAAAGTAGAGATTTTCCTTTGCTGAATTAGAAGTGAGTAGTTGAGTTTTCTATTTGAAGATATAACAATATTCTTATATTGTTAAAGAACATTAGAAATCTTGACTTTTACAGCAAAATAAATATCTAGAAGTGAAGTATTGATTATTAATGCAAATATTCTGTGGAATATCTACCACTTGTTTTACGTTTTTTTAATTGACAGAGTGGGAGACCATATTATCACCCATTTTATTTTATACAAATTCTTTAGCTGCATCACTAGCTAAAACAAATAAATGTATCATACTTTAATATCAATTACTATTATTGGATTATCAAATGTAAAAGCCTAAAAATATCTAAATATCACACGGGTTGAGCTATCCCTACCATGGTAATTTAAATATGTTACCTATTTACAAGATACTTTTAGAAAGAAAATATAGGCATTATTAACAAAGTAAAAATGAAATAGATATTTTAATCTAGAATAACTGTGGTTTCTAGTTGAAGATTTTACTTGGTTAATCTTATTTGGGTGTCTTTTCTTTGAAGTTATGAATGCTTTGTAATCTTAGGGCCTTTTGTAGCCTTTAACAGAGTTTTCTCACTAGAGGGCAGCATTTGACTAAATGTCCATCCAAACAGAAGGTTTTTCTGGTGAACTGGGAATATCCATGCAGATCACTTTAATAACTCAGTTAGCAGACTTACATGGATTTCTAATTCGATTTGTTGGGCTGGGACCCAATTTGGTTTGATAAGCCTTTAGAAAGGAATTTTAGGGATTTATTCCAGTAATAAATATGAATTGTTTTTAGATAGGTATTATATCAGGTTTGTGAAAGTCATGCTTACCCTAGAGCTTCTATTGCCTAGCCTTTTAAATGCACGTAAATTATTATATTAAATTATTTATTATTGAAACTGAATAAAAAAAGAATCGGGTTACTGTTTTATAAGCCCCCCTCCCTTTTTTTTTTTTAAAAAAACTCTTCAATTGTATCTATTTCTCAGTTAATCTTATCTATATTATTTCTCTGGGAATTTTGTTTTGAAGTGTGAGCCCTGCAGAAGTGTTATGGATGACTGCAAGAGCTGCTAGTGGAGGTCTGTAACATGGAAGATGCTCTTCCTTTGATCTGAGCCTTGAGGATAACTGATGCTCAGGGACAATGCTTTTACCTCCTGAAGAGCATCCTCAGAGTCTGGTCCACAGTCCACGGAGTGAGGTTGAGGACCCAAAAAGGTAGCCTCATTCTTGATTTTGGCTGTCAAGAGGGTAAGCCATTGCTTGGTTCTCATTATTATTCTGTCAGTGTTGGGACAAAATTTCTTCGATTTTTCAAGATAGAGTTGAATGTGTAGTGGAGACATCTGGGATATGCAGTTTTTCATAGAGATTGGATATGACAGCCAATTACCAAAATACATCCCACCATTAGTTAATCGCAGTATTGCTATGGAAGCCAATGTTGGAGAAAATGGCTTTATCTTAAGTGGCCATTTAAATAGTCTTTTTTGTCCAATGACTTATTGCTCAAAGGAACCATTCAAATAGTTGCAACAGAAATTCATATTCACAAACATACAAGTATAGTACCACATAAGTACATACAATTATGTATCAATAAAAAACATACAAGTATAGGTGTATGTACACATACGTATATATTGTACCATTTAATTTGTATTTTCAAGTTTTTATATAAATTTATTTTGGTGATGACATGTTTTCTAGGTGAAAGTGATAATTACATTTGAATCCTTATAACATTGAAAGAGACACTTCTCTTCCTGTTCCAATTCAAATTTGGATGAAATATCAAAAGTAATTTTTAAAATGCTCTTTTGAGATGTTATACTGGGCTTCTAATGATGTAAGCAGAATTAAATTTCTCAAACATTGTGATGGTTGCACCAGGTAATTTAGGAACAAATACTTTTCTCAAAAAGTCCAGAGAAAATCTAAAAGCAGAAATGTT
This sequence comes from Homo sapiens, assembly GCF_000001405.40. NCBI lineage: Eukaryota > Metazoa > Chordata > Mammalia > Primates > Hominidae > Homo > Homo sapiens. Next base: position 90,116,097 of record NC_000001.11, read on the forward strand.
ATTGCATAAGGCACGCAAGCAGAATTTTTTTCATTTTTGTGTTCTTTGGACCTTTGTGCGTATAGTCACATAACAATAACCAGACCCTGCCCAATTCTTTTTCACTATAGATCAATTTGGGAGATTTTCACCACTTCCTTTCTATTTTTTGTGTTTTATGGGGCTTTAATAGCCAGCATACTTTTGCAAAAAAAAAAAAAAAAAGGCATAACTTAAACAGTGTACCCAGTTGTTCCAGGGCTAACTCTATTTTATTTGGTATTTAGAACATATTTGATATTAATATTTACATATTTTTCAGAATTAGAATTAAAGGCTTTAATGCTCTCTACTGAGCATTGTTTCTCTTTAAAAAAAATCAAAAGGAAATAATCTAACCAATTAGATTCAATGAATAATAATGCTTAGATATAAGTAACTGATCAAATGCTAATTTTCTGTTCAGATTTTTATGTTTTTAATGAATGTTTTTGGCAACCTCAGGGAATGCAAGGAATCAAAATGATCCATTTCTACATAACTTCCTCTTCAAGTGTTTGAAGTCTATTTCTTACACTTCCAACCACTTTCTCTGCCTCTCTGTTTGGATAATATATGTCTGTGGACAAAGTGAGAGATACAGAAGTTAGAGGGAAGAAGGAGAATTTCCAAGTCGCCGAAACCTTTGTTCATTCATGGAGCAAACATATGTCGAATGCCTGCTTAATGACATGGACAGTGCTAGGCACTGGAAACACACATAAATAAGATGCAGTCTTTGCCTTCAAAAACTCATAGTCAAGTACAGGCAACAAAAAAGTCAATTGTTGTGGTCCAGTGTGACAGGTGCTTTGATAGAACATATTGCCTGGCTATTATGGAATCATACAGTGAATGGGGTGAATGGGTATCTAAACTCTAAAAATCACGGAAGACTCACCTGGTATTAGCTTGGTACAAAAGTAATTGCGGTTTTTGCCATTACTTTTAAATGGCAAAAACCACAATTCCTTTTTTCACCAATGTAATAAAATGATTCAGGAAGGAACTGGTAGGAGTTAGTTAGAAGAAAGAGGGAGAAAATGAAGGTGGAGGAGAAAGGAGTTTCAGATGGAGGAAACAGCATGTGTGATGTAATGGAAGCAGGAGACAGGATTGCAGGCTGGGAATCACAAGCAGTCACATTTGCTTGGAATAAAGGGGTCTTGTGGAATTATGGAGGCAGGAGCTCCATCATGAAGGGCTTTGTTAAAGATGTATGTTAACACCATTTATTTCCTCTTTACAATTGCCCTGTTATCACCATGTGGCATAGTGATTTGGGCTCCCAACATATGATTTGTGGGAAAGACTGTTGGGACAACATATTTAGCCTAAGGGATTAAGGGGAAAGATCAGCAGTAGAGGGGATGAAAGAAGAACTAATACTTAGGGAATTCGCTAAAAGTATGAAATCTGCCGGGGTTTTAATCTCAGCTCTGTCACTTTCTAGCTGTGTCAACTTGGGAAAGTTATTTAGCCTCTCCATACCCCAGTTACCTTATCTGTAAAATGGCAATAAGAATAATCCCTACCTTAATAGGGTTATTATGAGGATCAAATGAATTTTTGTTTTGTGAAGCTATTAGAACTGTGGGTTTGTTAACATACTAATAAACCTGTTTATAAGTAAAATATTGAATGCCTACTGTGAACCTGGCATTTTCATAACGTCACTTCATTTTGACCTTATTCTACCTCTCTGAGTAACTATTATTCACCCATGTTCACAGATTTTAAAAACTGAGGTTGAAAAGGAGTTGGTAATTGGCTCAGGAGTTCATGGACGCAAACCCTTGACTGGAGCCCATGATGTCACCTGGAGAGAGAGACAAGTAAGTGTGACTCTGGCTTATGCTGGAAGCATGTGGTGCCACAGAGAACAGTGCAGGATTTGGCAAGACCTCTTGGAGAGCTGGACCCCACACCTGTGGGGAGGGAGACATGAGTATTGTGAATCTGATTCTTGCTCCTGCTGGTCCTGAGTGAAGTCCTCACCTCAGGAGAGTCGGGCGCTCATCTCAGAGAAAATACCCTTCTTGGTGGAAGCATACAGACTCCCTAGAGAGAAATGTACTATAGATGCTGTAGCTCAAGGATAAAGACTTTAAGAAACATCAAGGAAAACCTAAAAAATTACTTATTAAATCAATCCTGGAGTTAGAGGCTTAGGTTTTTTGATGTATTTTTCAGGTCTCTGTTCAATTGACATTATAGGTCAGAAGTTAGGAGTATGAACTTTGGAGTCATACTAACTGAAGTTTAATTCCCAACTGTGATATTCAATACTATTATTAATTCCGAGTACTTGCTGGGCATGTGGTAGGTATATACCAGGTACTGAGCTAGGCACTTCACGTGAATCACCTCATTTCATCCTCCCTGCAGTTCTGAGGATTGTCATCCCTGGTTCACAGCTAAGGAGACCAAAGCTCAGTTAATTTAAGTAACTTTTCCACAGCAAAACAGCATGAAAGCCTAGAGCACTGGCTGTAGCATCAGGTTCCTGAGGATGAATCTTGAAATGCCTTCTAGACTGTACAAACTAAGGTGAGTAACTGAACCTCTCTAAGCTGAGTTTCCTCATCTGTAAAAATGGAAAATGATGACCTAATTCATAGGGTTGATATGACACTAAATATATGGGAATACATACGGCACCTAACATGGTGCCTGGCACACACAGTAAGCATAGTAAATAGAGGTAATTTGCTGGCTGACTGTCCATACATGCTCATAGTCAGGAGCACCCATTTTGGTGCCTGCTTAGCTCAGTGTCTCATGTGCTTGCTTCATCTTCTTTATTTTCATCATCAAACACTCAGGGAGCTCATATTGGGTGCTGAGCACAGTTGAAGACCAGAACCTCTCCTAAGAACCAAATGCTTATGGAGCTGGTAATGTGCTGAAGAACTTAAGAGGAGAATTGCACCATCCTGGTTGGGGTGTGCTGGGAACATGTGATAGAAGACAATAATGGCCAGTGTTTACATGACATTTTTTTTTCTTGAGGTTTTAATTTTTTAAAATTATTAAAAAAATTTTTTATGTGTACATAATAGGTATATATATTTATAGTGTACATGCAATGTTTTATTACAGGCCTATAATGCAAAATAAGCACATCAAGGTGAATGGGGTATTCATCCCCTCAAGCATTTATCTTTTGAGTTACAAATAATTCAATTATATGCTTTAAGTTATTTTAAAATATATAATTTATTATTGACTATAGTCATCCTATGTGCTATCAAATAGTAGCTGTTATTAATTCTTTTCAGTTTTTTGTACCCATTAACTATCCTTACCTTCCTCTCAACCCCCGACTACCCTTCCCAATCTCTGATAACCATCCTTCTTCTCTCCATGACTGTGAGTTCAATTGATTTGATTTTTAGATCCACAAATAAGTGAGAACATGTGATGTTTGTCTCTCCGTGCCTGGCTTATTTCATTAAACATAAATTATTTCCACTTCTATCCATGTTGTTGCAAATGACTGGATCCCATTCTTTTTTATGACTGAATAGTACTCCATTGTGTGTAAGTACCACATTTTCTTAATACATTCTTCTGTTGATGGACACTTTGGTTGATTCCAAATCTTAGCTTTTGTAAATGGTGCTGCAACAAACATAGGAGTGCAGATATCTCTTCAACGTACCGATTTCCTCTCTTTTGGGTATATACCTAGCAGTGGGATTGCAGGATCATATGGTAGCTCAATTTTTAGTTTTTTGGGGAACCTCTAAACTGTTTTCCATAGTGCTTGTACTAATTTACATTCCCACCAACAGTGTTCGAGGGTTCCCTTTCTCCACATCCTTGCCAGCATTTGTTATTGCCTGTCATTGGATAAAAGCCATTTTAACTGGGGTGAGATAATATTTCATTGTAGTTCTGATTTGCATTTCTCTGATGATCAGTGATGCTGATCACCTTTTTATATGCCTGTTTGCCATTTGTGTGTCTTTTTTTTGAGAAATGTCTATTCAAATTTTTGTCCATTTTTCAATCCGATTATCAGATTTTTTCCTATAGAGTTGTTTGAGCTCCTTATATATTCTAGTTATTAATACGTCAGATGGATAGTTTGCAAATATTTTCTCCCATTCTGTGGATTGTCTCTTCACTTTGTTGATTGTGTTTTTTGCTGTGCAGAAGCTTTTAAGCTTGATGTGATCTCATTTCTCCATGTTAGCTTTGCTTGCCTGTGCTTGTGGAGTATTGCTCAAGAAATCTTTGCCCAGACCAATTGTCCTGGAGAGTGTTTCCAAAGGTCTTTGTGTAGTAGTTTTATAGTTTGAGGTCTTAGGTTTAAATCTTTAATCCATTTTGATTTGATTTTTGTATATGATGAGAGATAGGAGTCTAGTTTCATTCTTTTGCATGTGAATATCTAGTTTTCCCAGCACAATTTATTAAAGAGATTCTCTTTTCCCCAGTGTATCTTCTTGGCAGCTTTGTAAAAAATGAGTTTCCTTTAGGTGGGTGGATTTGTTTCTGGGTTCTCTATTCTGTTCCATTGGCCTATGTGTCCATTTTTATGTCAGTGCCATGCTGTTTTCTTTACTATAGCTTTGTAGTAGAATTTGAAGTCAGGAAACGTGATTCCTCCAGTTTTGTTCTTTTTGCTCAGGACAGCTTTGGCTATTCTGGGTCTCTTGTGATTCCATATAAATTTTAGGATTCCTTTTCTATTTCTGTGAAGAATGTCATCAGTATTTTGATAGGGATTGCATTGAATCTATAGATTGCTTTAGGTAGTATGGACATTTTAACAATATTGATTCTTCCAGTTCATGAATGTTAAATATTTTTCCAATTCTTGGTGTTCTCTTCAATTTTTTTCATCTGTGTTTTATAGTTTTCATTACAGAGATATTTCACTTCTTTGGTTAAGTTAATTCCCAGGTATTTAATTTTATGCATGGCTATTGTAGATGGGATTACTTTTTAAATTTCATTTTCACATTGTTCACTGTTGGCAAATAGAAATGCTACTGATTTTTATATGTTGATTTTGTATCTTGCAACTTTACTGAATTTGTTTATCAGTTCTAATAGTTTTCTTGTGGAATCTTTAGGTTTTTCCAACTATAAGATCATATCATCAGCAAACAAGGATAATTTGACTTCTTCCTTTCCAATTTGGATGACTTTTATATCTTCTTTTGTCTGATTACCGTAGCTAGGACTTCCAGTAATATGTTGAAAAACAGTTGTGACAGTAGGCATTCTTCTCATGTTCTAGATCTTAGAGGAAGGCATTTTCTATTGCCAAGTATAGTATGCCTGCACATTTTACATATGAGTAAACTGAGGCACAGATATGCAGAATAACTTACCTAATATCCCTTAAGCTTATAAGAGAGAGCCAGGATCTAAATATAGGCAGACAATTTCTGGGTCTCTGTGCTTATAAGCTGGCTTTGAATGATGTAATGACAACAACAACATTAGTAGCAATAACTATTGTTTTTAAGTAATTACTATGTGCCAGGTAATTCACTTTAGTACATTATTGTATTTATTCCTCACAATAACCTTAGGGAGCAGGGTTATGTCACTTGCTTTAAAGGTGAAGAAACAAAAACTTAGAGTTGTCATTTAAGAAATGATGATGAATCTTGTCCAAGAACTTGCAATTAGTGAGTAGCAATTCCAGGATTCAAACTTAGGTTGAACTGGCTCCAAAGTGAAGTAAACATTCTTTCCACTGCTAACTTTGTCTCACGTAAACAAGTGAAATGAGGATGGAGACCTCTCCAAGTAGTTGTGATGACTGGGCTGTGCATGGCATTTGAGGGATCACTAAGGACCATAGTTTGGCTGGAGGAGTATGTGTGTACATGTGTGTGTGTATATGTGTGTGTGTGTATAGTGGGATGATGGAACATAAAGCTTGAGAGATGCCACGGACAGCTAAAACAAGACTCAATTATTGAAATCCTCTAATAATCAAAGGCCCTTCCCACATAGGAAAGTGAGTGTTTTCAGATAAAAAATGATTTATCAGTGCCACTCTGATTCTAAGATGTTAATTCTGACAGCTGTCCTAGGGTTGCCCCAAATCTCCTTAAATTTTCTTCCTTGCTCCTTTTCTTCAGCTTGATCTAAGAGCTGGGTTACCAGACCTCACAAATAAAAACACAACACCAACTAAATTTGAATTTCAGACAAACAAAAACTAATTTTTTAGTATAAGTGTGTCCCACGTAATTCGATAGATGCAACCATATCTGAGAAGCCTGTAGACAGGCATGTTTCCCAGCCATGGAGCCTCATCGGAGGCTAGCACCCAGCCCTGGTGATAGCTTAATAAGCTGCATCTACATATTTTAGGGAAGGTTCTCCCATAAATGGTGCCATATGTCCTATCCTATGCGTGGCCTCCCAGAAAAAGTCTGGCCAACCAGGCTTTACCTGCCCTAAATTTAGAATTCCACATCTGGCAACCACTTAGGAAAAGGGATACAGAATAAAAACTGGCTTTGATGATATTATGCCAACAATTGTCAGTAGATCAGCTGCCTTGTAATGCAGCATGTGTTCCTCATTTGGCTTTGTTAGCTACCAGGAGGTCTTTTTGCAAATAAGGCATCATTACATTCACTGCTACCACTTTTGAAACCTTTCTTTGGTTGATCTCCATTCCCCACCCCCGTCTGAACATGGCACACCACCTTTGATGAGGGCATGCTGCCAGCAGAGCAGATGGCTGTGAACCTTGGCATGCCAGGAAGCCATTAGGTTCATCAGTATGAGCAACAGGGGGTAAGTTTCTATCTGCAAATGTAAAATTAACAGCCCTTGCAGGGCAAAGGGCAGAAGCCCTCTTGATCCAAGGGGGCTGACTTTTCAGTCTCATATATGGTCTCTGCAGAGCTGCAAGTTTAGAGCAAGGCATGAAGGAGTGGCCTCAGGAGAGACCTAGCCCGAGAGGAACGGGCTGCTGAAATTGACAAAAGGCTTCATTTCTACTTGGCTAGAGGACTGTGAGGGCCAGGGCTGCTTGTGGGTGACAGCAAGTGAATTCACCAGCAGCCAGCTTTCCATTTCTGTTGAGTAATCTCCTGTAGAGAAGCAGCAAGCCTGCCAAGGACAGACTGTGTTCTAGTTTACACCAGAGACCATAGTGTCCCCCTAAACCTGAATTCTTTGGCATTTACTTATCCAGCAGACACAGGTAAAATGAAAACAGCTTTCCTTAAACCGGGGATGACAATTGAAGAAGGCATTATGGAAAGGATAAAAATTTGTTGGAAAAATATATAGGTTTTCAATTTGTTTTCTTTTAATCTTTTTTTTTTGCTTAAAATGCTTGATCATTAGAAAAACTTCACATACCGCTGGGCACGGTGGCTCATGCCTGTAATCCCAGAACTTTGGGAGGCTGAGGTGGGCGGATCACTAGGTCACGAGATTGAGACCATCCTGGCCAACATGGTGAAACCCTGTCTCTAGTAAAAATACAAAAATAATCTGAGCGTGGTGGCGTGTGCCTGTAATCCCAGCTACTCGGGAGGCTGAGGCAGGAGAATAGCTTGAACTGGGGAGTTGGAGGTTGCAGTGAGCCGAGATCGTGCCTCTGCACTCCAGCCTGGTGACAGAGCGAGACTCCATCTCAAACAAACAAACAAAAAAAGTAAAATACTACAGAAATACACAAGAAAAATGGATGTCTCTTCTAACCCATGTACCTAAAAGATACTTACATTAATGATTTGTTATATATTTGTGTGTGTTATATGTGTGTGATATTTTTCTTGAATATCAGGTGTCCACTTTGAAATCATAGTTTTCTTTAGATCAAGAAACCTATTTTTTCCTCTTTATTAAAATATTCTCATCAAGGTAGAAGTCAATAAAAATATCTTTAGCTGAAGAGAATCAACCTGCCAGACATGAATCTTTTGTTTACTCCTAAATTCAGTGAAATTGCTGGACTCTCTTATTTTCAGTTTTAATGGTCATATTATCAATTTCATGCCAGCCAGTGTAAAATGATTTCCTATTTAGAAATGTTGTGGTTGATATTTCATTACATTTTCTTTTTTAAAATGGTTCCTCAAATCCTCTTCCTATGCTGGTCTCTTAAGCCATTGATGTTGCTCAGATTTTCTCTTGTTGGCCCGTTGCTCTGGTACTGACCTCTTTTCTGACTTCTGACCTATTTATTCAAATGTATGCTAGATATAAGTACTTGGATGTTTTGCATATTTCCCAAACTCTGTTTATCCCCTTGTCTGAGTCTCAATCAATTAATATTAAATATACTACCACACATCAGATCATCCGTGTCAGAAATATGATCTTCCTCACTCTCTCTCTTTTCATAGCTCTTCATACCACATTCAATCCATCATCAAGACCAAGAGGTTTTATTACCCAAATATTTCTCAAATCTTTACTTTCAAAGACATCCTACTTTTCAAAGACTATCTAAATTCATTCCCTGAAAATAGACCTGTTACATTCTGCCAAAATGCAATTTCAGTAAAAACACTTTGCCACAGACAACTGAAGTAATGCCGTCCAAGTACCAAGCTCTCTGTGACCCGGCTTAACCCAGTAGTAGAACTCAAAGATCTAAGAGGAATGTATTGACTCTCTCCCTGAGGAAATTCTCCAAAAGCTATTTCTTTAAGCTGAAAATTTGATAAGATGTACTCCCTAAAATGTATCTGCATCACAGCTGGTATATAGTGCCAAATAAAGAGTTATGTCTATATTTTTGTTTGTTTGTTTTTGAGACGGAGTCTCACTCTGTTGCCAGGCTAGAGTGCAGTGGCGTGATCTTGGCTCACTGCAACCTCCACCTCCCAGGTTCAAGTGATTATCCTGCCTCAGCCTCCCGAGTAGCTGGGACCACAGGTGCCCACCACCACGCCCGGCTAATTTTTGTATTTTTAATAGAGATGGGGTTTCACCATGTTGGGCAGGATAGTCTCGATGTCCTAACCTGGTGATCCGCCCGCCTCAGCCTCCCAAAGTGCTGGGATTACAGGCGTGAGCCACCGCTCCCGGCATGTCTACCTTAACAGACAATTAAGCAAAGATAAGTTTGATATTCCGTTGTGGAATTTGAGCAAGGAAGGCTGCCTGGAGAGAAGGGCTTATCTCTGCTTTAAAATGAGCCAAGTGAGTATCTGTAGATAGGTCCAGAGTTCAACTCAGAAAAACAGTTATGAATCTGTTCTAATGTCAACACAAATGTGTGATTGAGGGCCCGAAGTGTTATTCCATAGAATAAGGCTAGCCTGGGGAAATGTTAAAATAGATTTAACTTGATATCTGACTTTACCTTTAGAAAAAAACCACAAACGTCAAACACTGTAAGCATGCTCACCTTTAGCAATCCTGAATCCTGGTCTGTCATAACCTCCAAGATAAACAATGGTGAAATGTGTACCAATGTCAGTGATCAAGGCTACTTGTTGCTTGAGATCTTGATTTATAAACCAGGTAAGATCTAGGCCAGTGATACTAAATACAATAGATCTAGATTTAGAATAGACATTTTGTAGCCATACTTTCTGGCAAAACTAACAACCAGTACCAGTTGCTCTAAGGCATCAGGTAAATATTAAAAATTTGCTTGTTTTTCTTTTCTCTAAAAACCAGCATGCAGTGATGATAGTGGGAGTCTTCATTTATTCTAAGTATGCTATATTTCATTTTTACCATCTAAAAAACAAGTATTAGAAAAGAACACTGATATTTTCAGTGGTTGTCAAAGTATTGGGAAATGTACTGATGATATGCTATCATGAAAACAGGTTTTTGAAAAAAACCAATGATGAGCGCCATCTAGTCCTAATTATCCTCCAGAGAGTTCTATATTTGGTTTGGAGGAATGTTTGGTCTTAAAAATTACATGAGCTGGAATGGTAATCCTGGAATGGGATGGCGGGAGGGGCGGGGTGGGAAGGGATGGTGGTGAACAGTCATGCTTGAAGAAAATAAACCTGCTGACTGTGTGTTGCTCATCGTCAGCTGAAAATCCTGCAGTCAGCTGAGAACTGTCCAGTCTTCTTTCTGCATCTTTTTATACTCTTTGGATTTCTAAAATTTAACAGTAGCTTTAAAGGTGAGTGAGAGGCCCAGGTCTGGTAACACTCATTGTCTAAGTAATCTGAAACATGGGATCAGGAAGATCAAGAGTGATGGTTCCTTTTGGGAAAACTGAGTCAGTGTTCAGCATCCAAGTTATTCCTGGACATTTCCAACCTAGGAAGCCACCCAGTCTCTTTGGCATTTGGTATTAGTTGGTGGCTGGCCTAAGGAGAGATACTTAACGTATTTATCTTTTTACGCTTCACAATATTATTAGACACAGAGCTGATGTTCTATAAACTTTTGGACAATGGATAGTGGAGATCAGGGCATGCTCTTGGAAGGTGAAACAGTGACATAGCTTTGCAATCAGCACCAGGGAGGAAGTCATTTATGAACAGATGGGCTCTATTGCCTCTATGACAAGAAACATGCAAGTTAGTCTAAAAATCAACTACTTATTTATAATTAGAAAGCTAACCAAGATATACTCAATTTACTTTAGATTGGCGATGTAGTCAAATTTTACCAAGGTCTATCCATGGGATCAAACAGGACACGGTATCTTGGGTTGGCCAGAAGTCCTTAAATAGTGAGGCTGGCCTATTATTCCCTTTTTCATGGCTCCAAAGAGAGTAGGGAAAACACTGAACTGTCCAAAATCAAAGTAAAATTTTGCAATATTAAATCTCATCACATCAGCTTCTTTAATGTGTGATATGGTTTGGGTTTGTGTTCCCGCCCAAATCTCATGTCAAATTGTAATCCCTAATGTTGGAGGAAGGGCCTGATGAGAGGTGATTAGATCATGTGGGTGGATTTCCCCCTTGCTGTTCTCATGATAGTGAGTGAGTTATCGCGGGATATGGTTGTTTAAAATTGTGTAGCACCTTGCCCTTTGCTCTCTCTTCCGTGCTTCCCCTTTGCCTTCTGCCATGATTATAAGTTTCCTGAGGATTTCCCAGCCATGCTCCCTGTAGAGCCTGCAGAACTGTGAGCCAATTAAACCTCTTTTCTTTATAAATTACCCAGTTTCAGGTATTTTTTATAGTAGCGTGAGAACAGACTAATACAATGTGGAAATATAATTTTCACTAATTTTTCAGCTGGACAACTTTCCTTATTTATTGAACCTGTAAATAAACTTAATGTTGACACATTGAGTTTTTTCATGCATTTGACAAAAGAGATGGAGATCTAACTGGACCTAACTTCATTAGTGAAATTGGAAGAAACCTGAAACTGTGACATAGAACAGGAAATGGGGGGGGGAATTCTCAAACATTTCAGAGTCATAAAGAGAGATATGAGGTATTGCTTTCATTACGCAGGGAAGCAATAAAGTGATGCTGCAGTGGAACAGTGTGTTTTGACAGCCTCAACATAGTTAAGTGGACTCAATCCATCTCATACATCCCAGTATAACTTTCCTTTTGTTCTTTCAGATCAGAACTGCCTTTTCTTAAGCCTTGGTATTTCAGGTGGTAAAATGTGAAATGGATTTTTGAAGGCAAAATGTTTATTTGGTTTATCACTTGTTTATGTCCTTGAATTTTCTTGTAAGAGCAGAGTCTGAATACATGTAAACCACCAGGTGGTTTTCTGGCTTGGAAGAATGCAGAAAATGAATCTTTTATTTATTACATCATAAGAGTTCTCTGTATTTGGTATGAGTAATCATTGCAGCCAGTGCCCACTAGCCTTTTATTAAAAGTATAACTGTAAAAGAAGACTTTTCTTTTTTATTTCTTCTTTAATATTTGCTTTAGTCTTTGGACTAAAGAATCCTTGCCAATGGTCATTGACCCATTCGTAATAAGACTTAATAGAGTTTAAAGCCTTATCAAGAGCCTGGTCATCAAACATGCAATAATAACAATGCCATGTCCAGCACTGTTTTGGTGCAGAGTCATTGCTCAGCAATTGTTTGTAGGATAAAAAATACACCTTAATTCTATGAGGCTCAATCTAAGAGGTGATTATAATGATGTTTTCTGGGGTTGCTTTTGAGTTTAATGCTTTAAAAATTATGCATATTTTATATAAAGAAAATAGTGTGTGCAAAATTCTTTCCTAGGGAATGTCCCTGTCTCCTCTACAATGAGAGGAGAGCAAAACTGGAGCAGGTTTTAGCTTCAGCCAGAAAAAAAATTGGTTAGAGGCAATAAAGAAGCTCCCAGTGAAGTTTATTAAATCCTGGACTAAGCAACTGGTGACGGTGGTATTGCTGGTGAATCTCCTATAAAGAAAAGATCTTTCCTGGCTAACACGGTGCAACCCCGTCTCTACTAAAAATACAAAAAATTAGCCAGGCGTGGTGGTACATGCCTGTAATCTCAGCTACCCGGGAGGCTGAGGCAGGAGGATTGCTTGAACCCGGGAGGTGAAGTTTGCAGTGCGCTGAGATCACGCCACGGCACTCCAGCCTGGACGGGATGACAGAGCAAGACTCTGTCTCAAAAAAAAAAAAAAAAAAAAACACAAAAAACAAAACAGAAAGGATCTTATAAAATCACCAAAATTTCCTTCTTTGGGATGGTATAAATCAGATCTTGATCTTGATTGCAGGCAGGGATGAAAATAGATGGCTGTGAAGACCACCTGTCCCTTCCTAAAATGACATTTGTTCACTTCATTCTGGAAACCCCAGGCCTTTGGAGAAGTGTCAGTGCCAGGTCCCTGTGTTGGATGTGGAGGCAGAGCCCGCAGGTCATCTTTACTCCACTCTGTGATAGCTCTCATCCCTGGACATTCACCCTTTCTCAGGCAGCCCACCATTCTCACTCTTCTGTCCCTGAGTTCTCAGGGGAAGGCATGTTTCCTGTTGCCAGTATGTTGCTGCTTAAAGATTTTCCAGGATTTAAGTGTAATCCCCAAGGTGTTGTTAAACACACAGCACTAAGTGCAACACTGGAGGGAGGCAGTGGAATTTAAGTTTCCTCTGAGATGATCACTTTTATTAAAGGAGCTCTCTCACCCAAGGAAAGAAAAAGAGCGACAGTAAAGTACCAACTGTGGTTAAATAAGAGGTACCCGTATGGACTGCTTGCCAAGAATAGCTATAGAAATATCAGGAAATAATTTTGGGCACAAGAGGAACAGGCCAAATAATTAAAAGCACAGATTTGTGATGCCACATTTATTAGGATTCTTTGGGGCCCTTATTCTGTAGAACTCTTGGTTTGAAATCTGTACATGTTACATCATTTCAGGAACATGGAGGAGCTAACATGTAGATTAAAATGCCTGATACGTTGTCAGGCATTATAACAAGGAATAATATGTAGGGACTGGGGTGAAATGGCAGAGTTATGGGAGCAATGTATGGAGAGGAGTTCATATTTCATTAAAATAAGTTTCTAGATGTTTGAGGTGGATGGAGTGAGCCTCCAAATGATCCTAGCTGGGATGAGAACTCAAATATAAAGATAGACAAAAAACTTAAGATTCTTTGAATTGAAGGATGAGGAGTTCCAATAGAAGTGACATGAACTCATCAAAAAATCTTGGAAAAGCAGGACTAGTAGACACCCTCCTTCAAATGGAGATGAAGCAAGTTGCAGTAACATCAAAAGTTAATGTTAAGCATTGAGTTTCCAAGTCCAGGGAGCGATAATAGAGATAACTTCTTAAAGAGGTATAGATAAATTCATGGTTGGTAGGTTCATGAAAACTATTTAAAGGAAATATTGATGTCTGTGATTAGTCATAAACCTTTTGATTGATATCAGGGAGGACGGTCTTTGTCTGTCTGAACCATACACTTATTGCCATAGTTGTAGGCTTTTTAAAAAAATTCATAATAGTTTTCTTTTCACTTTGGCTGATGAACTCTTAAATTAGGCTTTACAACCCATCTCAGATTGCCTTTGCAAAACTATCTGGCCTCCTTATTTCCTGAATAGTTGTCCACTCTTCCTTTTCTCTGCTGCCTTGTCATGTACAGCTCTCTATGATGGTATGCATACTGCAGTCTGATTGTTTGTTTACTTCTTGCCTCACTCTCTTGCTTGACTGTGGGGCCCCATCTGCCATCGGTGTTGAGCATGTTCTAAAAAGGAAGTCCAGTTTTCAAGCTAAGTGGCTAAAAATCTTTTTTTTGAGACAGAGTCTTGCCCTATTGCCCAGGCTGGAGTGCAATGGCACAATCTCGGCTCACTGCAACCCCTGCTTCCTGGGTTCAAGTGATTCTCCTTTCATAGCCTCCTGAATAGCTGGGATTACAGGCATGTACCACCACGCCTGGCTAATTTTTTGTGTCTTTAGTAGAGATGGGCTTTCACCATGTTGGCCAGGCTGGTCTTGAACTGACCTCGTGATCCACCTGCCTCGGCCTCCCAAAGTGCTGGGATTTCAGGGGTGAGCCACTGCGCCTGCCCAAAATTCTCTTTTAAAATTCAGTTTTCCAGCCATTTTTGATCCAATGCAGTGCTTATATTTTCTGTTGAGTGAAATAATTATCTAAGGCAATCAGTTTGTTTTTACTGTTTTTTAAAGAAAAAAACAATACCTCAATGATTTATTTAGGGTTTCTGCAAAATATTCCAAATGATTGCTCAGATTGTCCCCTTCTCCCTATATCCTTTAAAAATATTCCTTCAGAATCCAGGAATTTTGAATTATGTCACCCTCTTTTCCTAAACTCTAGGTGCTTCCCATTATCAGTAAAGTCAAACTCTTCAGCAAGACACTCACAACTCCCCTGATGTGGCACCCACTAACTTCATGCCTTCTTTGCCACCACATCCCCTGGTGTCACTGTTCCAGGCATGTCAAATCACTGAGTCCCTTTTTGTTCTCTTGCCTTTCTTATTTCATTATCATCTGCCTGGGCTTTCTTCCTCCATCTTCCCTTATAGCTAAGTGCAAGTGTTATCTCATCTGTCCCCCATATCCATCCACTCTTAAGGTGATTGTATCTCTAGTTAGCATTTATTTTAAAAATGCTTATATGTCTTCTTGTCCACCAGACTAAGTTCATTGAGCCTTTGAAATCCCTAGCACAGTGCCTGGCACCAAGTTGATGTACAATACATTGATGGTCTTTGATCGATTGGCTCTAAGGCAGTCTTCAAAGATGTATGACCAAATTCCAAATACTGAGAAGAAGAGGTTAACAATATTAGGTTGTAAACAGACTGAATATCTTCCTATTTCATTTCCCTGCAAGAGTGAAGGTGAAACAGATGGAAATGTCTGTATTTAAAGGATGTTTCCATAAATTATTCTGTGTAAAAGACACCTAGGAGCCCACTCAGTCATGAAAACTCAGGCCATTCTGCCTTTGTTTTCATTGATTTTTCAGTTATCCTGTCACAGCCAGGCACAAAATAATGCTAACTAGATGAGGCTTATCTAAGGACACCTTATTAAGAAACTAAAAAAGGACCTTAGAATGTGTAAAGGCAATGCAGAAGCCTTAGGAAGGGGAGAGAAAACGTATTAAGTGTTTTTCAGAAGAGGTAGTTGAAACAGTCCTGAAGCACCTGAGAAAAAGTTATAGAGCATTATTTATCTTCCAAGATGGCACAGCATCTTGAATCTGCCTTCCACTATCAATATTAAAGTTACTCTTTCAGTAAGGAGGTCCTTAGTACCTCTTGTGTGTCAGTACCCTGGCAGGGGCTGGGGAAATCAACACCATCTCTGTCTCCAGGGCACTTGCAGTCTGAGGAGGCAGGTGTGTGGTTATCACACAGTAGGATGAGTTCAGTGATAAGAGAGAGGCAAAGAGCAAAAGGGGCCGTGCACACCTCTGACTGGGTGGGTCTGAGAAGGATTCATACAGACACTTGATTTAATCTTGGTAGATGAGTAGGTGTTCACTGAGTTTACCTGTGGAAGGCATTCCCAGTGAAGGAAACAGCCCATGCAAAGGCATCGTAGAATGAAACCTCAGGTGATGTAGAGAGAAAGCTTCAGGTTACCTCATTTTCCAGTGCATAAACGTTGTGATGTAAGCCCTTCCCCTGGGGGTTGCTGCAACTGGAGTATGACTATGGATCTAAGTGTGGCTTACCCTTATGTCTTTGGAAGCACTGAACTGCTTTGCTTCCCTTTTTTTTTTTTTTTTTTTGGAGGAGTCACCTACTCCTAATCAAGATTAGAACTTTCTTAGATGTTCCCATTCTTACTAACTAGCATTCTTATTAGCAGAAGTGAACAGATAGGGCTTGGGCTGACAAATGGAGGGGCTGACTTGCTTGTTGAGAATCTTCTCTAATGTTTCCTGAGCAAACCCAGCCAGTGGGCAGTGGCAGGGGATGCTGCAGCTGTGTGTGGTTTGTCTACTTGAGACCCATTCTGGCCCTGTTTAAGGAAGTTCTGTTAATTGCTTCAGTTCCCCAGGTGCTCTATCCAGTTCAATAGCTCTGCAGCCTTGGGGGATATCCTGGGGAGCTTCTGATCAGTGGCAGTGGCTGGGATCTTTGAACCTGCTGTTCAGCTGTAACTTTGGCAAAATATAGACCGTTTGAGCAGGGAGAGTTGGCATGTAGAATTAGAATTTTCCACTGGAATAGTCCAAACAGAGGTAGGCAAGAGAGAGAAGAGAGAAAAAGGGCTGGACTCTTAAAAATTAGTGCACTGCCTCATTGCTGTGTCTCATTTTCTCTTTTCTCCCAAATATCCCTTCCCTAGGTGCAGCAAATCAGTGCCACATCCAGTCAATTATGAAAAGCCAAAAAGGTCTTTTGTCTTTTTCTCTGCACATTTGGATAAAACATCTTTGTTTATGACTGCGTAACATCATTTCACCTGGATTTAACAACAGTAATCTGTCATATCTGGAATTAATTTTGATTCATGGCCAAGTGCCCTTATAAATCTACTGATGAATTTTCCTGATGTTTTGAGTGAGTAAGCTCATTGTTGGGCTGGGCACGTGCTCATTGGCTGCAGCTGTGAATTCCATACCCAGTACATCCTGTAAATCTGGCGTAATCTGTAAAATAAATGGCGAGCCAGATTCTCAGACTAGCAGAGCTAGAAGTGACAGGGCCACTGCATATAATCTTGCAATCTGGGCACTGGAAAACTCTAGGGGGAGCCATTGACACATTTTATGATGTAAATGGTGCCCACTAGGGTTAATTAAACCACAATCTTCTCTTTCTCAGAGTCTAAGAGTTCTCGGGCCAACTTTTCAGTCACGTATTTCCTCACTTTTATTTTTTCTGTTTTTCATCCATTCCTGAGGCCAGCTGAGGTTTTTACATGTTTGTACTTGGTTGCTGGCATGGCATAGTATTGTATTTGTCAGGGTAGACTAGGTTGCATGCACTGCAGTAACCAACTGCCTCAGCATCTCAGAGGCTTATGTAACAAAGGTTTATTTCTTGCTTAGTCTTCATGCCCATTATTAGGGCTGTGCATTGCTCCAAGTCATCCTCAGATCCAGGCGGATTTTTTCCTCATAGAGGACAGGGTGAACCACACACTTTCTTTTAAGGCTTCTGTTTGCATTCCATTGGTTAAAGTAGTTCACATGGCTATGTTAGCTTGAAAGAAGGGCAAGGAAACATAACCTTATATGACCCAAAGGATGGGCCCCAGATCACCTGTGAACAGCTCTAATGACGGCCACAGGTGTAGTGGAGAGGAATAGTGAAATCATGGATTTTGAGCTTAGTCAGAAGTTCAAATCCTGGTTCTGCTTCTCCCTGGATGTTTAGTAACTTGCAAGCAAGTTGTGTAATCTCTCTGTGCCCCAGTTTCCTTACCTGTGTAAGAGAAGTTACTAGTATTTTCTCATGGATGATGGTGATATGCCAGTTTTGTAGTAAGGGACCCTCAAAATTTCTTTTGTGTCTCTCTGCCCGCTCTCCACCTAGGGTCCCCCATAGTGCCTACACTTTGTATCAGTCTGCTTAATAAGGGGAGATACTGTCCCTGTCTCCCAGCCAACAAACAAGAAAGCCCTGGTGACATTTGCCAAAGCTCATGAAAATAGCTATTAGGAAGGCAAACTGTGCTTAGAATAATATTAATTGGACTTTAAGCTCATTAGGAATTAAAAACAGCAACAAAATTTTCACCTCTAGCATAAGGGGAAAAAAATCCTTGAGAGCCACATAGCTCCCCACTAAAATGCATAGCTGCTGACCGTCTGTAAATGCCCAGAGGATTCTCTTTGCCTGGCTACAGAGGTTCAGGATAACATAGCAGATGCGAATGACTTCAGGATACCTTTCATGCTTGGCAGGCGTCCCCATTTTATTTATGATATCAAAGCTGCTATGCTGTGTTCTCTTCTGCTGAAGACATAAAAGAGATTCAGAAGTCATCCAAATCATCTTGTAATTAATGTTACCATGCACGCCCAGGACATTAAAATGTTAACAGTGTTAGAATCGTGTGCTTTGGAATACCGAGTGAGGGCTTTATTAGAGAGAAATGCTCAGCAGATGTCATCCACCCTAATTGAGGACATCAGGGTGCCTGCTGCTTGTTCTTATCAGTGGTGCAGAGTGTTTTTTTTTTAATTTATTCATTTTCTTTACTGCTAGAATCTGCTCTCATTATTAGACTATCTTGTCACTCATTTGCATTTCAAGTGCTGGGACTGGGGGGGAGCAGCTATCTGCCTTAGAAGAACACTTCAAGGGTTACTCTATCAAATAGCAGCACTGTAGCACAGTGATTCTGACATCTGGGTTATCTTATTCCCAGATGCTCTGTGGTGTCATTAGCAGGATTAATCTTAGCTTTAATTTCATAATGATTCTTATTCTAATATATGTGAATGAACACAAAGTCTCTTGACTCATTATCACCAATTTACCCAAGATATGTAATCAGGCTCTTACATTCACCAACATTTATTTTTGCTAATACATCTAAAATTGTAGATTAAGCAAATATAGTTAGTTCCAGCTGAGTGAATGCCTACCGAGGTAGCACTGTAGTATTTATGTTTTAATTAAAGTACATTAATGGCGTTGTTTTTTAAATATGTACTGACCAGAAATGTGTTCACGGGGAATAGTAAAGTCGTTGTTCAAGCAGGGTCCAGCTGTAAAATTAGTCACAGCAGCATTACATTAGAAGCCACTACCCACTTCTTTTTCAAATTATTGAAATTCCCTTTGCTAATTAGGTTTTTAACCTTTATAAACAAGATGGAGATACACAGCCTTAATTCCAAACAACTCTGCTCCCCTAAGGAAACAGAACGGCAAGTCCTTAATGGTGAGTGTAATTGCGATAAGCCTTGTTGTTTTCATTCCCATTCAAGGTTAACTTGTCACATCAAATATTGTCACTTTTAGTTTATGATCCAGGGTTGGCAACAAACCATTTCCCCTATCATTTGACACTGAGTGTGGTCATGTACTAGTGGGAGTGAGGGGGTGGGAGAAGAGATGGTGATGCAATAGCAAATTCCAAATTCTTCCTTGTTAACTTCAACACTGGACTCACTTTTTTCATTTGCCAGATGTTGTCGCCCAGCAGCATGTAGTGCTTTATTATTGATGGATAAAATGTTCAAACATTTAAAGAAATGAAAGTCAGCTTTGCATTTTTAATTAATTAATTAAAAGTACTGTAAATGCCAGCTTGTTAATTGCTTTGCACCTGCAAGCCAACACAGGTTTTGTGCACTCTTTCTTTGAATATTAAATTTTTTCTCGCATGTCTTTGTAATGCTTGGGAAGTCTCTCCAGCAAACATATTAGTAAAGAGTAAATATTGAATCTTAGACAAAACTCATGGCTTCATCTTTCACTGTACCCAGAATAGGATTTAAAGGAGGATTTAGATTTCCAAGGCTTCTAATTAAGTAGTGATAATCAGGCTTTCTGCTGAGGGTCACTTCCTGGGAGTAATTTGAGTTATTAAAATGCATGTTTTTGTTTGTTCTGCTTTGCGAGCTAAAACCGATCCCTTTTAATATAGCAGCAAATATGCAAATTGGTGTTTCATTATATTGTGCAATTTATGGCAATCTTCTCTAATTTATTGAAAGGTCAGGAGCCTGACCTTGTCATTCAAATTTTTTTTTCTGGTAAAGCTAAACTAATTATGTGGATTTTAAAAAAATTTATGAAACTCTGAAAGTGTGCAGCATGGTAAAGAATGTGACAAATTTAACTTTCATTTAGCTTTCATATTCATCAAGACGGCCTTCGGTTTTATTTGGATCCTAGCAGGGAAGAATAGGTGATTTAGGAATCAGTTGGTTTTAAGTACTGAAAAAAGAAGGTAAAAAAATTCTTCTATCTCAGAAAAACATGGCAGCCAGAATAGCTTAGCCTTACTGAAATAATTAATGTGTACATGCTTTAAATTGACATTGGCCAGAAAATATTAAAAAGAATGATCACAGGCTCAACAGCTATGTATCTTTGCTCTGTAAAGAAATGAAAGAAATGGGGAAATATAAAATCAGTGCAAAGATAAAAGTCTCATCAAACAACAAAAAAAGAACAAACACAATTGAACACAAGATCAGGGATACAGCGGTTAGAAAATCACCCAAAATAAAATAAAAAAGAAGAAATAAAAATGAATAAGGAGTTTTATTGTTTATGGTCTTTGATCCATTCTGAAGTAATGTTTGTATATGGTGTTAGGTAAAGATACAACTTCATTCTTTTGCATGTGATATCCAATTTATCCAGCACCATTTGTTGAAAAACCTGTCCTTTCCCTATTGAATGGTTCCTGGCACCATGTCAAAAATCATTTGACCATATATATGAGGGTTTATTTCTGGGCTTTCTATTCTATCTCATTGGTCTATATGTCAGTCTTCATGCCATCACCACACTGTTTTCATTACTACAGCTTTGTAGTAAGTTTTGAAATCAAGAAGTGTGAGTCCTCTGGCTTTGTTCTCCTTTTTTAAGATTGTTTTAAATATTTACAGTCCCTTGAGATTCCATATGAAATTTGGGATGAGTTTTGCTATTTCTGCAAAGAAGTTCATTGCTATTTTGATAGAGATTGCATTAAATATATAGATCATTTTAGGTAGTATCGATATCTTAACAATTTTAAGACTTCCGATCCACGAACATGGGATGTGTTTCCATTTATTTACGTCTTTTTAAATTTTTTTCAGCATTGTTTTGTAGTTGTCATTGTACAAATCGTTTACCTCCTTGGTTAAGTCAATTCTTAAGTATTTTATTCTTTTTGATGTTATTGTAAATTGGATTGTTTTTGTAATTTCCTTTCCAGATTATTCATTGTTGGTGTATATAAATGCAAATGATTGTTGTGCATTAACTTTGTATCCTGCTACTTTGCTGAGTTCACTTACTAGTTCTGTATATTTTTTGTGGAATTTTTAGGGTTTATCTACATATAAGATCATATCATCTACAAACAGAGATAATGTTAATTCTTCCTTTCCAATTTTGATGCCTTTTATTTCTTTTTCTTGTCTAACTCCTCTGGCTAGGATTTCCAGTACTGTGTTGAATAGTACTGGAGTTGTGAAAGTGAGTGTCCTTGGTAAAACTCTTAGAAGAAAACATAGGGCAAAATCTTCACAACACTGCATTTGGCAATGATTTCTTGAATGTAACACCAAAGGCACAGATAACAAAAGAAAAAATAGACAAATTAGAATTCATGAAAATTTAAAAAATTTTGTGCATCAAAAGACACTATTGATGAGGTAAAAAAAGCAACCCATAGGCTGGGTGCAGTGGCTCACTCCTGTAATCCCAGCATTTTGGGAGGCTGAGGCGGATGGATCACCTGAGGTCAGGAGTTTGAGACCAGCCTGACCAATATGGTGAAACCCTGTCTCTACTAAAAATATAAAATATTAGTCGGGTGTGGTGGCATGTGCCTGTAGTCCCAGCTACTCAGGAAGCTGAGACAGGAGAATCACTTGAACCTGGGAGGCAGAGGTTGCAGTGAGCTGAGGTTGTGCCATTGCACTTCAGCCTGGGTGACAGAGTGAGACTCCGTGTCAAAAAAAAAAAAAAAAAAAAAAGGAACCCACAGAACAGGAGAAAATATTTGCAAATCATATATCTGATAAGGCATTAACATCTGGAATCTGGAATATATAGGGAACTCCTAAACTCAACAACAACAACAACAACAACAGCAACAAAAAACAAGCAGGTTCAAACACAGGCAAAGGACTTGAATAGACATTTTTCTAAAGAATATATAAAAATGGCCAATCAGCACATAAAAATATGCTGAGCATCACTAAGCATTAGGGAAATGCAAGTAAAAATCACAATGAGTTACTACCTGACATCCATTATGATGGTGCTATGTGCTAAAAGCAGAAAATGAACTTGGTGAGATTGTGGAAAAATTATAATTCTTCTGCTCCATTAATGGAAATATAAAATAGTACAGCTACTATGGAAAACAGCATGACAGTTCCTAAAAAAAATTAAAAATAAAATCATCATGATACCCAAAATAATTGAAAGTAGGGTCTTGAAGAGATATTTGTACACCCATATTTATATCAGCATGGGTCACAATAGCTAAAACAGGGAAGCAACCTGTGTCTATTTATGGATGAATAGAGAAGAAAAATATGATATATCATGGAATATTATTATTCAGCATTAAAATGGAAGGAAATTCTGACACATGCTGTATTAGTCCATTCTCACACTGCTAATAAAGACATACCCAAGACTGGGTAATTTATAAAGGAAAGAGGTTTAATTGACTCAGAGTTCCACATGGCTGGGGAGGCCTCACAATCATGGTGGAAGGTAAATGAGAAGCAAAGTCAAGTCTTACGTGGCAGCAGGCAAAACAGCTTGAATCAGGGAACTCTCCTTTATAAAACCATCAGATCTAATGAGACTTATTCACTATCACAAGAACAGCATGGGATAGACCCGCCCCCATGATTCAATTGCCTCCCACCAGGTCCCTCCCACAACACATGGGAATTATGGGAGCTACAATTCAAGATGAGATTGGGGTGGGGACACAGACAAATCATATCATTCTGCCCTGGCCCCTCCCAAATCTCATGTCCTTGCATTTCAAAATCAATTATGCCTTTCCAACAGTCCCCCAAAGTCTTAATTCATTTCAGCATTAACTCAGAAGTCCATAGCCCAAAGTCTGATCTGAGACAAGGCAAGTTCCTTCCACCTATGAGCCTGTAAAATGAAAAGCAAGTTGCTTCCTAGATACAACGGGAGTACAGGCATTGTGTAAATACAGCCGTACCAAATGGGAGAGAACGGCCAAAATGAAGGGGGTACCGGCCCCATGCACGTCCAAAATTCAGTGGGGCAGTCAAATCTTAAAGCTTCGAAATGATCTTCTTTGACTCCAGGTCTCAGATCCAGGTCACACTGATTCAAGAGGTGGGGTCCCACTGTCTTGGGCAGCATCTCCCCTGTAGCTTTGCAGGGTACAGCTCCTCTCCTGGCTACTTTCATGGGCTGGTGTTGGGTGCCTGAGGCTTTTCCAAGTGCATGGTGCAAACTGTCAATGGATCTACCATTCTGGGGTCTGGAGGACGGTGGCCCTCTTCTCACAGCTCCACTAGGCTGTGCCCCAGTGGAGACTCTGTGTGGGGAATCCAACCCCACATTTCCCTTCCACACTGCCTTAGCAGAGGTTCTTCATGAAGGCCTCGCCCCTGCAGCAAACTTCTGCCTGGACTTCCAGGTATTTCCATACATCCTCTGAAATCTAGGTGGAGGTTCCCAAACCTCCATTTTTGACTTCTGTGCACCCACAGGACCAACACCATGTGTAAGCCACCAAGGCTTGGGGCTTGAACCCTCTGAAGCAATGGGCTGAGCTGTATGTTGGTCCCTTTTAGCCATGGCTGGAGATGAAACAGCTGGGATGTAGGGCACTATGTTTGGAGGCTGCATAAACAGGGGGGCCCTGGGTTCAGCCCACAAAACCATTTTTTCCTCCTAAGCCTCTGGGCCTGTGCTGGGAGGGGCTGCAGTGAAGGTCTCTGACATGCCCTGGAGACATTTTCCCTATTGTCTTGGTGATTAGCATTTGGCTCTTTGGTTACTTATGCAAATTTATGCAGCTGGCTTGATTTTCTCCCCAGATACTGGGGTTTTCTTTTCTACTGCATTGCCAGGCTGCAAATTTTCCAAGCTTTTATGGTCTTTCACCTCTTGAATGCTTTGCCACTTAGAAATTTTTTCTACCAGATAACCCATATCATCTCCCTCAAAGTTCCACAGATATCTAGGGCAGGGGCAAAATGCCACCAATCTCTTTGTATAGCAAGAGTGACCTTTACTCTGGTTCCCAACAAGTTCCTCATCTCTATCTGAGACCACCTCAGCCTGGACCTTATTTTCCATATGACTATCAGCATTTTGGTCAAAGTCATTCAACAAGTCTCTAGGAAGTTCCAAACTTTCCCACATCTTCCTGTCTTCTGAGATCTCCAAGTCTCTAGGAAGTTCCAAATGTTCCTACATTTTCCTCTCTTCTTCTGAGCCCTCCAAACTGTTCCAACCTCTGCCTGTTACCCAGTTCCAAAGTTGCTTCCAAATTTTGGGGTGTCTTTACAGCAGTGCCCCACTACCTGGTACCAATTTACTGTATTAGTCCATTCTCATGCTGCTAATAAAGACATGGGTAATTGATAAAGGAAAGAGATTTAATTGATTCACAGTTCCACGTGGCTGGGGAGGCCTCATGAGGAGCAAAGTCACATCTTACATGGAAGCAGGCAGGAGAGCTTGTGTAGGGGAACTCCCCTTTATAAACCATCAGATCTCATGAGACTCATTCACTATAATCAGAACAGCATGGGAAAGACCCACCACCCCATGATTCAATTACCTCCCACCAGGTCCCTCCCTCAACACGTGGAAATTGTGGGAGCTACAATTATTCAAGATAAGATTTGGGTGGGGTCAGGGACAAACCATATCACATGCAGTAATATGGATGAATCTTGAGGATACTGTGCTAGATGGAGCCAGATATGAAAGAACGTATATTACATAATTCAATTTATATGAGGTACTTAAGAATAGTAAAAATCACAGAGACAGAAAGGAGAATGGTGATTGAAGCAACTGAGGTCAGGGAGCATGAAGAGTTATTGTTTAATGTGTATAGAGTTTTAGTTTTATAAGATGAAAAAGAGTTATGGAAATGGATTGTGGTGACGGTTGCACATTATTAATGTATGTATTTAATACTACTGAATCATATACTTAAAATGGTTAAGAGAGTCACTTTTATGTTTTGTATATATTGCCACAATAAAAAATTAAAAAAATAAAAGAAAAAGAAACAGTGACAGATAAAAATGACAGATAGGAATATCTAACATGTATGCAATTGATTTTTATAAAGAATAAAATAGCACTAATGAAAACATAAAATACTTACAGATAATATTGGAAACAGGCCAGGCACAGTGGCTCATGCCTGTAATCCCAGCACTTTGGGAGGCCTGGGGGAGCAGATCACTTGAGGTCAGGAGTTCAAGCATAGCCTGGCCAACATGGTGAAGTCCCAGCTCTACCAAAAAAATCCAAAAAAAAAAAAAAAGAGTTGGCTATGGTGGTGCATGCCTGTAGTCCCAGCCAGTCAGGAGGCTGAGGCAGAACTGCTTGAACCTGGGAGGTGCAGATTGCAGTGAGCCGAGATCGCACCACTATACTCCAGCCTGGGTGACTGGGTGACTGGGTGACAGAGCGAGACTCCCTCTCAAAAAAAAAAAAAAAAATATATATATATATATATATATATATATATATTTTTTTTTTTCATATATATATACACACACATATATGAACATATATGTATATATGTTCATATATATATACATATATATATATATATATATGAAACTTTCCTGCAAAAAAGACTTGACTCTTTGACTTGGCTCTTGAAGATGGCAAGAGCACACTGTGACCCAGAAAAAGCCTATCATGATCAAGCCACATTATGACATAGTTTGGTGGCTTACTTAGTATTATTGAAAAAGATGGAATCCCTTGGCCTCCAGGTAGAAAAAGCATGGCAGAAAGGGAAAGTTCCTATCTGCAAGAAAAAAGTAAGGAGTGAAGGCAAGTTCACCTGGCCTCATCTGTGTGTTTGTGTAATTTGAAGTTGTCTTATTGGTAGAGTCTGGATTTTCACAGCTCCTTCATGGCCAGCAGAGCATGAGAGGAAGTGAGGGCAGAGCAAAGAGCAGGAGCTGGGATGATCACTAGCCCAAGGGAAAAACAGAATTCAGAAATCTGCTATTTTTTTTTTAACAAAGACATTTATTTTGGAGAAAGGATTGATTGTAGATTTTGAAACTATTTTTATGATGTTTTCTCCTCTTGGTGCCAGCAAAAAATGCAACTTTTCTAAGACTTTGAAAAGTTATTAGTAAACTGCCTGACATTCCTTCCTGATATCCTTATAGGTGTAAATATTTACAGAACTGGGAATGATCCTAATCCAAATCCATAAAATTGAATAACTTTTTTTCCAGTTTCTGATCAACATTAAATACATTAAGTGTACTCAGAATCAATGTTTGATTGTGATTAATGTTGATTTTATTAATCTTTAGGAAATAGATGATTTGTTTACAGATCACTGGTTTTAATAAGAAAAATAAATTCATCCTCCTAAGTCTCTGCATTCTAGTTTTTAACTTTGAGTTCTGCTTCTTCACTCTGGTTGTTTTGAGTGCTTTGTAGCATTATCTTACAGTTAATACCTTAAAATACATTTGTTCCATCAAGGGATGCAAAGCCTCATTTCCCTTTTATTTATTTATTTATTTATTTATTTATTTATTTTTGAGTCAGAATCTCGCTCTTTCTCCCAGGCTGGAGTGCAGAGGTGTGATCTTGGCTTGCCGCAACCTCTGCCTCCTGGGTTCAAGTGATTCTCCTGCCTCAGCCTCTCTATTAGCTGGGATTACAGGTGCCCACCACCACACCCAGCTAATTTGTGTAGTTTTTTTGTTTTGTTTTGTTTTGTTTTGAGATGGTGTCTGATTCTGTTGCCCAGGCTGGAGTGCAGTGGTGTGATCCCGGCTCACTGCAAACTCTGCCTCCCAGGTTCAGGCGATTCTCCTGCCTCAGCCTCCTGAGTAGCTGGGATTACAGGTGCCTACCACCACACCCAGCTAATTTTTGTTTTTTAGTAGAGGCGGGGTTGCACCATGTTGTCTAGGCTGGTCTCCAACTCCTGACTTCAAGTGATCCACCTGCCCTGGCCTCCCAAAGTGTGGGGATTACAGGCATGAGCCACTGCGCCCAGCCTCATATCTCTTTTAGATGTCTCTTTTTGAAGCTTTTCCCATTTCTCCTAGAATTCTTGCCTTGATGTCATATTCTATTAATGAGTAAGAGGGGAGCTGGCATTTGGATGAATGCCAGTAATGCAATGAATTCTTTCATCCCTTTTCAGTCCTCCTTCAGATACTAAGTTATTCTTTTCCAATGTCTTTATCCTTTTAGGGTTTCCTTTAATGTTCTTATAACCAGAATTTTCATGGCGTGAAAATACTGATGGTATAAATTGGTGAAGGAAGAACATATGGCCAATGGCCATGCTGGCTGAGTTCCCATTAAGATCTACATAGATAATAAGAGAGATGTCTGAAATCCTGTGAAATATGACTTAAGCATTATCTGCCCACAAAGGTATTTTAATCTCTTAGAACTCAGCCTCACAATGCCTCTTAAGATGATGACCTTTGAGTGGTACTCCTGCTCTGCAGAGGTGAAGATGTTTCTGAACTGTTGTCATTAAGCTAATGACTTTGAGCTTAACTGACTGGAAGAATCTTTGACAAGTAATTTTAATGGAGAAGTCCATCTGCCAAGGGGTGGACCTTAAGTTAATCTCTTAGTGTCCTTTCCCAAGGGAGTCAATTTCTGTTGCCTAATGGGCAACTGTTTATCCTTGATTTGGGCTTTTTTGAAGAACTTGATACCATAGGACAGTGTATGTGTGTGCTTATATTCTACTCAGTCTACCAAAAACTTCAACTCATGCTCAATGCTTGGCACCCAAGGCCTAATCTCCTGGAAAAATGTGATTTAATGTCATTATTATTATTTTTCAAAGCTCTTGAGCATAACTAAGCTACTGTTTGCCTTGTTTTCTAGCACTCCACATACTAGCTAGGGCTGGTGAACCTAGTGTTAGGAATTCAGGCAGCTCTGAGGCTTCCTTTGGACTGTGTTGGCTCACTCCTGTGTTTCCTTGACTAACAGTGCAAAAGGATCAAGAAAGCTCTCTCCATAGGAAGTTTACTAGCAAGAACAGTAAATAACCTCTTAGGGCCTCAGATGTGCCAAGACCTCACTATACCACAGAACTTGTACTAGAAAAGAAAAAAACTGGGCGCCCTTTCCATCAACTCAGTGAATGGTGCCACCATCCACCAAGCCAGAATTATCCTTGATTCCTCTCTTGCCCTCATCACTCATATCTAAGTTACCACCAAGTCCTTTTGATTTTACCTCAAAAATGTCTTCTCCCCATCTCACTTCTGCACTCCAGTGCCGGGCTCTCATTAGCTCTCATTTGGATTATTGTAATAGTTTCCTGTTTCCCCGCATCCACTAATTTCCTCCTCCAGTCAATTCTCTTCATAGTAGCCAGCGCAATATGAAACATAAATTAAATGATTTCACTCTCCTGTTTAAATCTCTAACAGTTTGCAATTCCCATCAGAATAAAACAGAAGTCTTTATCATGACCTTCAATGTCTTGAATAATCTAGCCCCTGCCTATCTCTCTCTCGGCACACTCCAGTCACACTGAATTCCTTTTGATGCCATGAGCACATCAAGCCCTGTCAATTCATTGTATGTGCTGTTTCTCTCTTCTGAAAATGTTTTTTCCCAAATTCTGCATGGATGATATCATCTCATTTTTCAGGGCTTAACTTAATTTGCACATATTTTGTTAAGTGTTCCCTTCATATCCTTTCTAAAGTAATTGTATCCCACCCCTTTTATTCTCCACTCAGCCCTCTGTTTTTTCTTTCTTACATCTTTAATCATTTATAATAATTTGTTTGTTTATTTACTTTTTTCCTCTCTGGAGAAATCTCAAGAGCACTTCAAGAGCAAGTACCCAGTCTGTCTTGTTTTGTTCACTGATATACACCCAGGACTTTTCACCCTGCCCAACAAATAATGCATTCATGCAACAAATATTTGTTTGAATGAATGAACAAATGAATCTGTTCTTGCAGACCATGTATGAATGTAGAACCCTTGCCTGTTGCACATGCACATGTTGTGCTCCCTTTTCACTTCAGATTTTTAAAGAAATACATCATATTTGGAAATATTTTATTTTCTGAATCCTTTGAACTATAATTTGTCAAGTAAATGTCAATAGGTTTCAAAAAGTTGAAGTCTGTTATGTACCACTTAGTTCCACAAAGGCATGGTCTGGAAGATGACCTGTTGTTCCCCTATAAGTTTTGATTGCTAATAGAAGTTCAAAATAATCTAACCACAAACCAATTCAACCACAGACTTTCACAAGGTTCTGGTCACTTATGGCAATACATAGTGGTTTACATCAGCTACCAGAGTTTAGTAAGCCAACATAAAATGGATATTGATGAGAACTTTATAAGCAACATCTGTCAGTTGAAAAAATGACCTACCTGTGATTTATGACTAAGAAAACAATAAGATATACCTATTTCAAACGTTTCTTCCACTGGGAGAGACTACTGTGGGAGAAGCATGGGAATGGGAAATTTGAATCAGATTATGCAAATATATATATTTTAAAGTGACATTGGAAGGGTACACTACTTACTTTTGGGTGTATTTGGGAGAATGGGTTTTTCCTGTTCTCTACATGTCTTTTTTTTTTTTTTTTTTTTTTTGAGACAGAGTCTCACTCTGTTGCCCAGGCTGGAGTTGCAGAGGTGTGATCTCGGCTCACTGCAAACTCCGCCTCCAAGATTCAAATGATTCTTTTTCCTCAGCCTCCCTAGTAGCTGGGATTACAGGCCTGTGCCACCACGCCTGGCTAATTTTTGTATGTTTTTTAGTAGAGACAGGGTTTCTCCATGTTGGCCAGGCTGGTCTCGAACTCCTGACCTCAAGTGATCCGCCTGCCTAGGCCTCCCAAAGTGCTGGGATTACAGGTGTGAGCCACCGCACCCGGCCCATCTTGAATTCTATCACTTTTTGTTATTTCTGGCAGAAAAGGTCAAGACTAAGGAGTGCACTGAGATATTGGAGGAAGATAGAAGATTAGAAAAGGAAAAAGAGGCCGGGTGCGGTGGCTCACGCCTGTAATCCCAGCACTTTGGGAGGCCGAGGCGGGCGGATCACGAGGTCAGGAGATCGAGACCATCCCGGCTAAAACGGTGAAACCCCGTCTCTACTAAAAATACAAAAAATTAGCCGGGCGTAGTGGCGGGCGCCTGTAGTCCCAGCTACTTGGGAGGCTGAGGCAGGAGAATGGCGTGAACCCGGGAGGCGGAGCTTGCAGTGAGCCGAGATCCCGCCACTGCACTCCAGCCTGGGCGACAGAGCGAGACTCCGTCTCAAAAAAAAAAAAAAAAAAAAAAAAAAGAAAAGGAAAAAGAAGGAAGAGGGTATTCTTGGGTATCTACCTAAGATTTCTGGGAATTCATCCAAGGCTGATTGTATGAACTAAAAGGTGGCCCCATCCAATCAACAAACAAATGTTCTGGCCATCTTTCAGATTCCAGGGAAGCTGGGATCAGCCCATGGTAGGATATGCCTGCACTGCCTGCCTTCCTAGATATTTTTTCATTGTGGGGGGTGTTGGGTAACAGGTTGAATTTACATAGTTTTATCTAGAATCTCATAAGCAGGAAGTCTACCTCTGCTTAAAATATTCTCCAAACCAAGGATTGGAAACTGGAAGCCTTGGCTATTTTCTCCAAGGTTATTGAGGCCCTCATCCAACACCAGGTATGTGGGTGACACCATTTTATCTTTCTATTTTCTGTCTCCTAAACTTGATTTAAGATCTATTTTATGTTTAGTGGAAAAGTACAAAGATTCTGGCAGGATGCACTTAAACATAATGTAGCTAATGTCTACTACTTAATTGTAGCTGTTAATACAAAATTTGATTATGATATCTCAGCTGGTATGATTAGCATTTAATCATTTTTTATCATGTTGATACTGCATTGACTGCCTTCCTGCTTTGCAGATGTCAGCAGTTTCCTTTATTCCTTTAGAATTTTATGTGTTAAAAACTTTGGCTTTAGATTTTCAAGGTTTTGAGGCCATGAGTGCTTAGAGAAAACTATTTACATTTCTACAGACCACAGATGATTTCTAGGTTTTCTTTTTTGGTCCTTGAGCTGTTTTGTGCAGGTCAAGGGTAAGGGCTTTGGGACTGTTTGAACCTTCAGGACAAGTCCATTAGCTGCATAACCTTGGACAAATCATTAACCTCACTATGCCTCAGCCTCTTCATCTGTCAACTGGGGATAATAATACCCGACCACTATCTCCTGGGGGTGGTTATGAGCATCACATGAGAGGTGTGTGAAAGTGTCTAGAAAACCCATAAGCTGTTAAATGAGTTACACTTGCATCATGATGATTTTCGTCATCTTCATCATCACCATCTAAGATAACCCAATGTGGAACCTCAGATGAATCAATGATGATTATTTGTTAGACTTGCCCTTGTTTAACAAAATTCCACTTCATGAGCTTTCTTTGAGTGGTGGGCATCCTCAGGACTTTTAAA
This sequence comes from Homo sapiens, assembly GCF_000001405.40. Lineage (NCBI taxonomy): Eukaryota > Metazoa > Chordata > Mammalia > Primates > Hominidae > Homo > Homo sapiens. Next base: position 90,147,840 of record NC_000001.11, read on the forward strand.
TCTGGACTTCGTTCACATAAAATTTTGAGGAATACAGTTGTTACATAAAGGAAGGTACTCCTATAAAGGAAACAAAAGGATTCTTTTTTATCTGTGGGTGAAAAGCCTCTGTCATATGAATGACTTAATTTCATCCTTTTGGGAAAGGTTTGAAGGGGGATATTAAGCCACTTTAACGGAAGAGAAAATTTAGGTACAATGAAGCTAAATAAAAGATTTGAGGTATCCTAACGAGTTTGAGGTGGAGCACAATGATTTGTACCATGGATACCCAAATAAAATGCAATGGTCTTTGAACAGGAAGGAAGGGGCCAAGTTTAAAAATCCCTATTGAAGGGAAATCAGGCTGGCAGGAGAAGGACAGGAACTTAAAGCCCCTTTAAAGAGGTGATGAGAGGGAGCAGTGATGATGGGGTACTTAAAGGAAGCCTTTGTTGAGGTCTGGACTCCCCACAAAAATCCTGCTTTGTTATGACATTTTCTTTTTTCTGGTAACCAGATTATCTTTAAATTAATTGAAACGTACAGACCTTAATACAGTGCTAGCTGAAGCAAATAAATTATTTTGTTTGAATTCTAAGCATTATTTTAAAAGGGTTGGTGGATCACTTATGGGTGGGCAGCTTAACTCCTGAATTTGTAGACATCTCTAAATGGCAAGATCAAACTCAATTCATGCAATAAATAGAGAGGGTCCGTTGTTTGGGCAGCCTGAGGCACAGGTCATACAGTGATGCTGTCCATGTGGCTACTGTTACACTTCCTGAAGCCACTGATGGAGACCTGTTTTCTCCCTTCTCAACTCTGGATCAAGTTTGGTTTCTTGGGGCTGCTTAACCTATTAAAACCTGGGCCACTGCTGGGCTTGCCATGACTTTTTGCAAATTAAAAAAAGCAGACCATTTGGGGTCTACCCAGCTCAAGGTACATGAAGTGGTAAGCATAAGGTACCTTTGAGTAATGAAAGAGACACTTCTTCAACTGAGTAGTTGCAAAACTGCCAAGGCTAGTAGATTTCGCTAGTAGATTTCATCTCTCACGCACCCCTTCAGCCAGAGCCCCTTGTGCTTTTTACAAACTACAGTTTGCATATGTCAGTCCTAGATGGAATAACTACACCTACTTCTCCTGAACTCCTCTACTTGGAATAAGTGGAACCCTTGTACTTCCCTCTTTGGATTAAGCGTACTCCACTTTATTCCCTTTTTAAGGAGAATGGGAGGCGCTGTTTACATTTCCTTTGATTTTACTCATACCTTGAGTGTGTGTATCCTCTGTTTAAAGGCCCTACATTTAGACAAAAAAAGAGATATTGCTTCAAGTTCCTTTTCTTATCAGACTAACTCAGAGGAGGACGTGGCACCTGCCGTGTTTTGGGAAACCAAACTGATGGATATGCAGAATACATTCCCTGGTTTATGTGGAGCCTGGAACTGGTAAGATGTATCCCAGTGCGGAACTGAAAAATGACTCCCCCTATTGGTGGGGAAAGGCGTGAGTGATGCATTCTTCGTCAAGACTCAGATTCCTAGTGTTTATGGAAAAACACTTATCATAAACTTAGCGTTTATGATACCATACTGGGGCATGATAATAGCCACTAGACATAGCTACCCTTTACTTTGTGTCATACATTGTGCTATGCACCTATACACATTATGACAACCGATGAAGAAACTTTGCCCAAGATCATGTAGCCAGTATTTGGCAAAGCCAATAGACTGTAACCATCAAAAATTAAAATCTGGCAGGGCACGGTGGCTCACGCCTGTAATCCCAGCACTTTGGGAGGCTGAGGCAGGCGGATCACGAGGTCAGGAGATCGAGACCATTCTGGCTAACAGGGTGAAACCCCGTCTCTACTAAAAATACAAAAAAATTAGCCGGGCGTGATGGCGGGCGCTTGTAGTCCCAGCTACTCGGGAGGCTGAGGCAGGAGAATGGCGTGAACCTGGGAGGCGGAGCTTGCAGTGAGCCAAAATCGCACCACTGCACTCCAGCCTGGGCGACAGAGCGAGACTCCGTCTCAAAAAAAAAAAAAAAAAAAAAAAAAAAAAATTAAAATCTTTGTTTTTATCAGAACCTAGAATTAATTGTGCGTGGTTATATTGTAGATGCTTAATAGATATTCACTGAGTGGAGGAAGCTGGGCTTATAATGCAGGTCTATCTGACAGATTGACAGCTAATGCATTATTATATAGTCTTTACATTGTGCCTGGCTGACAGTTTTACATATATTAACTAATTTGCACTACAAACCTATGAGTTAGATACTATTATCACCAATGTACAGATGAAAAACCTGAAGCATAGAGAAGCACCTTTCCCAGGGTCCGGAAGTGGTGGAACTGGGATTTGAACCAAGGTAGTCTGTCTTTAAAGACTGTTTTTAACTAATAGCTCAATCATCTGCGTATACATTTCCTTTATATTCTCAAACTTTGGTGTATATAAGAACTGTTGTACCAGGTTGTATACATAAAAAATGTACACTGTATTTTATGGGGGAGTTAATGAATTTTCAAGGGTAAATTTAGCCTTATGAGTTAATATTAGAATTAACTTCCTCATAACATGAAACTACATTGTGTCATTTAATTCTCACAACATTGTAAGTTGGATATTTTTATCACTTAGGACTCTTTTTAAAATTTGTTTTTTATTTCAATAGGTTTTTGGGGAACTGGTGATGTTTGGTTACATGAATAAGTTCTTTGGTGGTGATTTCTGAGGTTTCAGTGCACCCACCATCACCCAAGCAGTGTACACTGTACCCAATGTGTAGTTTTTTTATCCCTCACCCACCTCCTAGCCTTTTCCCTAAGTCCCCAAAGTCCATTGTATCATTCTTATGCTTTTGCATCCTCATAGCCTAGCTCCCAATTATGAGTGAGAACATATGATGCTTGGTTTTCCATTCCTGAGTTACTTCACTTAGAATAATAGTCTCGAATTCCATCCAGGTTGCTGCGAATGCCATTATTTCGTTCCTTTTTAGGGCTGAGTAGTATTCCATTGTATATATATACCACATTTTCTTTATCCACCCATTGATTGATGGACATTTGGGCTGGTTCCATATTTTTGCAATTGCAAATTGTGCTGCTATAAACATGCGTGTGGAAGTCTCTTTTTCGTATAATGACTATTTTTCTTCTGGGTAGATACCTAGTAGTGGGATTGCTGCATCTGCTTTTAGTTATTTAAGGAATCTCCACATTGTTTTCCACAGTGGTTGTACTAGTTTACATTCCCACCAACAGTGTAAAAATGTTCCCTTTTCAGCACATCCATGCCAATATCTATTATTTTTTGATTTTTTGATTATGGCCATCCTTGCAGGAGTAAGGTGGTATCACATTGTGGCTTTGATTTGCATTTCCCTGATAATTAATGATGTTGAGCATTTTTCCAAATTGCTTATTGGCTATTTGTATATCTTCTTTCGAGAATTGTCTATTGATGTCCTTAGCCCACTTTTTGATGAGATTGTTCTTTTCATTCCGATTTGTTTGAGTTCTTTGTAGATTCTGGATATTAGCCCTTTGTCGGATGTATAGATTGTGATGATTTTCTCCCACTCTGTGGGTTGTCTGTTTAATTTGCTGATTCCTTCTTTTTGCTGTGAATAGTTTTTTAGTTTAAGTCCCATCTATTTATCTTTTTTTTTGTTGAATTTGCTTTCGGGTTTTTGGTCATGAAGTCTTTGCCTAAGCCAATGTCTAGAAGGACTTTTCTGATGTCATCTTCTACAATTTTTATGGCTTCAGTTCTTAGATTTAAGCTTTTTATCCATGTTGAATTGATTTTTATATAAGGTGAGATATGAGGATCCAGTTTCACTCTTCTACCTGTGGCTCGCCAATTATCCCAGCACCATTTGTTGAATAGGGTGTCCTTTCCCCACTTTATGTTTTTGCTTGCTTTCTTAAAGATCAGTTGGTTGTAAGTATTTGGATTTGTTTCTGAGTTCTCTATTCTGTTCCATTGGTCTACGTGCCTATTTCTTTCTTTCTTTTTTTTTTTTTTTGAGACAGAGTCTTGCTCTGTTGCCAGGCTGGAGTGCGGTGGCATGGTCTCTGCTCACTGCAACCTCTGCCTCCCCAGTTCAAGCTATTCTCCCTGCCTCAGCTTCCCAAGTAGCTGGGATTACAGGTGTCTGCCACCACACCCACTAATTTTTTGTATTTTTAGTAGAGATGGGGTTTTGCCATGTTGGCCAGGCTGGTCTTGAACTCCTGACTTCAGGTGATCCATCCGCCTCAGCCTCCCAAAGTGCTGGGATTACAGGTGTAAGCCAGTGCGCCTGGTCTGTGTGCCTATTTTTATACTAGTACCATGCTGTTTTAGTGACTATGGCCTTATAGTATAGTTCAAAGTCAGGTAATGTGATGCCACCTGAATTGTTCTTTTCATTTAGTCTTGCTTTGGCTATGAGTCTCTTTTTTGGTTCCTTATGAATTTTAGGATTGTTTTTTCTAGTTCTGTGAAGAATGATGATGGTATTTTGATGGGAATTGCATTAAATTTGTAAATTGACTTTGGCAGTATGGTCATTTTCACAATATTGATTCTACCCATTCATGAGCATGGGATGTGTTTCCATTTGTTTGTGTCATCTATGATTTCTTTGAGCAGTGTTTTGTAGTTTTTCTTGTAAAGGTCTTTCACCTCCTTGGTGAGGTGTATTCCTAATTACTTCATTTTTTTGAAGCTATTATAAAAGGAGTTAAGTTCTTGATTTGATTCTCGGCTTGGTTGCTTTTGGTGTATAGCAGAGCTACTGATTTTTGTACATTAATTTTGTATCCTAAAATTTTGCTGAATTCATTTACCAGTTCTAGGAGCTTTTTGGATGAGTCTTTAGGGTTTCCTAGGTATAAGATCATATCATCAACAAACAGTGACAGTTTGACTTCCTCTTTACTAGCTTGGATGCCCTTCATTTCTTTCTCTTGTCTGATTGCGCTGGTTAGGACTTCCAATATGTAGTAGCCCATTCTTATGCTGCTAATAGACACAACTGAGACTGGGTAATTTTTAATGGAAAGAAGTTTAGTTGACTCACAGCTCAGCATGGCTGGGGAGGCCTCGGGAAACTTACAATCATGGCAATAGAGGAAGCAAACATGTCCTTCTTCACATGGCAGCAGCAAGGATAAGTGCTGAGCAAAAGTGGGAGAAGCCCCTTATGAAACCATCAGATCTTGTGAGAACTCACTCACTATCACAAGAACAGCAGCATGGGGTTGACAGCCCCCATGATTCATTTACCTCCCACTGGGTTCCTCCCATGACACATAGGGATTATGGGAACTACAATATAATATGAGATTTGGTTGGGGACACAGCCAACACATATCATTCTGCCCTGGCCCCTCTCAAATCTCATGTCCTCACATTTCAAAACATAATCATGCATTCCCAACAGTCCTGCAAATTCTTCACATTCTGGCATTAACTCAAAAGTCCAAGTCCAAAGTCTCATCTGAGACAAGGCAAGTCCCTTCCACCTATGAGCATGTAAAATCAAAAGCAAGTTAGTCACTTCCTAGATACAATGGGGTGTACAGGCATTGGGTAAATACAGCTGTTCCAAATGGGAGAAATTGGCCAGAACAAAGGGGCCGCAGGCCCCATGCAAGTCCGAAATCCAGTAGGGCAGTCATTAAAACTTAAAGTTCCAAAATGATCTCCTTTGACTCCATGTCTCACATCCAAGTCACGCTGATGCAAGAGGGGGGCTCCCACAGCCTTGGGCAGCTTTGCCCCTGTGGCTTTGCAGGATATAGCCCCCTTCCCGGCTGCTTTTATGGGATGGCATTGAATGTCTGTGGCTTGTAGGTTTTCTGCTGAGAAATCTGCTGTTAATCTGATAGGTTTTTCTTTATAAGTTATCTGATGCCTTTGCCTCACAGCTGTTAAGATTCTTTCCTTCATCTTGACTTTAGATAATCTGATGACTATGTGCATAGGCAATGATCTTTTCGCAATGAATTTACCAGGTGTTCTTTGGGTTTCTTGTATTTAGATGTCTAGATCTCTAGCAAGGCCAGGGAAGTTTTCCTTGATTATTCCCTCAAACATATTTTCCAGACTTTTAGATTTCTCTTATTCCTCAGCAACACCAATTATTCTTAGGTTTGGATGCTTAACATAGTCCCAAACTTCTTGGAGGGTTTGCTCATTTTTAAAAATTCTTTTTTCTTTGTCTTTGATAGATTGGGTTAGTTTGAAAGCCTTGTCTTTGAGCTCTGAAGTTCTTTCTTCTGCTTATCTGATTATATTGCTGAGACTTTCCAGTGCATTTTGCGTCTTTCTAAGTGCATCCTTGATTTCCAGAAGTTGTGATTGGTTTTATTTATGCTAGCTATTTCACTGAAGATTTTTCCTTTCATATCCTGTATCATGTTTTCAATTTCTTTAATTTGGAGTTCACCTTTCTCTGGTACCTCCTTCATTAGCTTAATAACTGACCTTCTGAATTCTTTTTCTGGCAATTCAGATATTTCATCTTGGTTTGGATCCATTGTTGGTGAGCTGGTGTGATCTTTTGGGGGTGTTAAAGAACCTTGTTTTTTCCTATTACCAGAATTGTTTTTCTGGTTCCTTCTCATTTGTGTAGACTATGTCAGAGGGAAGATCTGGGACTCAGGGCTGCTGTTCAGAATATTTTGTCCCACAAGGTGCTCTCTTGATGTGGTGTTCTCTCCCTTGGGATGGGCTTCATGAGAGCCAAACTGCAGTGATTGTTTTGCTTTTCTGGGTCTAGTCATCTAGAGGTGCTACCAGGCTCCAGGCTGGTACTGGGGAGTGTCTGCAAAGAGTCCTGTGATGTGATTCATCTTCAGGTCTTTCATCTGTGGATACCAGCACCTGCTCTGGTGGAGGTAGCAGGGGAGTGAAGTGGACTCTGTGAGGGTCCTTGTTTGTATTTTTGTTTAGTGCACCAGTTTTGTGTTGGTTGGCCTCCAGCCAATAGGTGGCACTTTCAAGAGCACATCAGCTCTGTTTTTATAGGGAGGATCAGGTGGTAGGTGGGGCTATAGAGCTCCCAAGAGATTGTCCTTTGTCTTTCACAACCAGGAAGAGTAGAGAAAGATCATCAGGTGGGGGCAGGGTCAGCCGTGTCTGAACTCAGACTCTCCTTGGGTGGGGCTTGCTGTGACTGCTGTGAGAGATGGGGGTGTAGTTCCCAGGCCAATGGAGTTATGTTCTCGGGGGATTATGGCTGACTATGCCGCATCACGCAGGTCACCAGGGAAGTAGGGGAAAGCTGGCAGTCACAAGCCTCACCCTGCTTCCATGCAGCCCGCAGTCCTAAAGGCTGGTCTCACTCCCACTGTGCCCCCCAACAGCACTGAGTCTATTTCCAGGCATCTGGAGAGGAGGGCTGAGAACTTGCTCCAGACCACCAGCCTCATCATTGAGCAAGCAAGCAGTCTCATAGTTTTTCAGAGTCTCGGGGAGCCTGCAGTGATTATTCAGTTCCTTCAAAGGGTCTGTGGATTCTTTCAACTTTCCTGGTATATTGCTGTGCTAGTTCTTGGAGCAAAAGTTCACTATGTGAGTCTCCACATGCTGCTCTGTCTGTCCAAGTGGGAGCTGCAAGTTAGTCTTGCCTCCTATTCTCCATCTTCATCCAGGGAGTCTCACTTAGAACTCTTAATTGAAAGTTATAGGAACACATTGGTACTAGTTTAAGCAAATGAAGTTACTTTTTTCTCCATGAAAATGTAAAAATCAGATTTACTGAGATATAATTTACTTACAGTAACGTTCATCATTTGTAGTGTACAGGTCTGTGTTTTGATAAACCCATACAGTTTTGTAGGCTCCACCACAATCAAGATATAGAACATTTCTGACACCTCAAAAGTTCCCTTATGGGCTGGGCTCAGTGGCTCACACCTGTGTTCCCAGCACTTCAGGCAGCCAAGGCAAGTGGATCACTTGAGCCCAGGAGTTTAAGACCAGCCCGGGCAACATGGTGAAACCCTGTCTCTATAAAAAATACAAAAATTAGCCAGGTGCAGTGGCTCATGCTTGTAGTCCCACCCACTTGGCAGGCTGAGGTAGGAGGATCACTTGATCTTGGGAGGTGGAGGTTGCAGTGAGCCAAGATCACACCACTGCACACCAGCCTGGGCAACAGAGTGAGATCATGTCTCAAAAAAAAAAAATGTCCCTTATGCTCTGTGATGGTTAATATTGAGTGTCAGCTTGATATTAACAAGTCCAAATTCATAAGGAAGAAATTGATTGGCCCGAGTTGAGTCAGGTGACCCATCCCCAAATACTACTCACCTGCCCTACCTCAAACAAGTCTACAGTGTCCAGAATGATGAGGGTTGAGTGGACTGGACTCTAACTGTCCCAGCTTGGGTCAAATATAGGTCTTGGTACAATCAAACCAAAACTGCAGAGTCATGAGTACAAAAATAGTTGCTGATGACTCAGTACTATCACCAGGTGGATAAGGTGTGGTGGAGAGAAAGGTCTTCAAAAAGGAGGGAGGAGACAGGGCCACATTATGACTTTTGTGGGCCCTTGTCACTTAACCCCTTGAGACCTTGAAGGGAGCTTCATAAAATATTAAAAACTATATTTTATGATTGCTTTGATATAGTGATGAATATAATCCAGGCTAGATTAAATTACTCTTTTCTTCTGACTTTAAAAGAATTTTAATTTTTTTTGTCTCCTTTAGGTATTGTGGGCTGTAGGTACTGTGCCTTCTGTGCCTAATAGATAAGTCAGTGCTAAGCAGAGAAGAAATAGGATAAGTATTTACTAAACACTATCATTCCAATTTTTACAAACACAGAAACTGATGCTCAGTGAGGTGATCATGGAATACCTAGTAGGTCTTTTGATTCCAAGACCTGTGTTTCTTCAGTGTGGCACATGAAAGAGATTTCAAGTTACGCTCTATCTAGCACAACCCCTTCAGGCTAATTGGCTGTGCTCTTCAGTGGTGTCAGGAGTAGATAGACTTTCTTGGTCTCAGCTCTCTCCATCCTGTCAGTTATTTTCGGATTCTAATTCCTCTCTTGACCCCCTCCTTTGGCCCCCCACCTCCTCACTGCTGGAAGAACTATGTCTTCTCTCCATGCTTGCCTGAAGTGCAGAGGCTGGAGAGCTAGTGTTCTGGATGAGATTGAGGCTGCACAATCAGACGTTCCTGACTGAGGCTGGGAAGGCAGGAGTGGAGCCCTGTGAGCCAGAGTCAAGTCTCTGCTGGCCCACGGCATGGGGAGCATTTAGCTTTCCTGCTGAAGCAGAGGTCCCAGTGCCCTGGCCCTGGCCCTTAGGGCTTTGACTGGCAGAGAGTAGGGCATCCACCTTGCTGGGTCAATTGTGGTAGAGGCAACATGGCTTTGGAGTCAGCTACTTAGCAGCCACTTCCTTGTTCTCCAGGTTTCTAGTTCCCCAGCTTCCTGGGGGTGGGCAGCAGAAGCTCCCTTGGAGCTCCTGGCCTGAGATAGGACTGACTTTGGGATTATTTTTTGAAGGTTAGTATGGAGTTTCTCAGTCCTCCAGTGAGTTTGTAAATCATTTCTGTCAGGAAAACCAATTATAATGAATTATGTTATCTCCAACTAGACTGTGCTTGAAGTGTGATGGCCACACAGGGGTGGTGAATTAGATCAGCGACATAGGAAGGGCTTTCCAGGCAGGGTCATGGCATGTTCTGTGGCATTGATCAGTTTTGAAACTAAGTCAAGGACTGTGTTTGGTCAGGATCTAAGGCTGTGAGGAGCCCTCACAGTGCAGCCCATGGTGAGCAGTTCTTATAAGAATCTCACCAAACAAACAAGTCAACTAACTGAGAACTTACCAGCTGAGCTTGGATGCACCCACATCTGTGCAGAGCCGATTCATATCTTCCCTCCCTCCCTCCCTCCCTCCTTTCTTTCCTTCCTTCCTTCCTTCTTCAAAATCAATCCGAGTTTCTGTTCCATTTACAGATATGTGCCATTCTATAAAACTTTCAAATAAATAGATATTCTCAAAATGTTCACATAACATGGTCCCATCTTACCAGGAAGGGATCTGCATTTCTTTAAAGGTTAAATGTTGAAGCAGGCCAGTCCTTAGATAAAACAAACTGGGAATTACTAATGCCAAATTCACAGTACACCAATTTAACATTAAGTGGCCATCAACCTGATCTTGAACAAGAACTGACCTGCATAGAAGCCGAATTTTTCTGCTGGGTCGGAAGGGACAGTGTGTTCAGACCAGGCTTTAGCCAGGGATCTGTATGTAGAGACCATTCCCTACTGTTGTAATGGCCTGGTCAGGTAGAGGTAGCATGAATTATTCATGCAAAGAAGACAAATTAGAGTTAGAACCAGGTGCTCTGCTTTCCCTAGTGAGGACTCTGCCAATCATGATAAAGAAGGAACTCTCACTCAATCAAGCCACAGCCTACTGTTGTATGTGCTTAACCCAGTTTCCCTAACTGGGCTTGGAAATGGATTAGTGGATGATGAGCTTGTTTTAAAGGTGATGTAGTCTTCAAGAGAGAGGGAGAGTTACTTCCACTAGTGGTTTTAAAATTGAAATGCAAAGTTCAAAATGAATTGCTTTAATAGCATTTGCCATGAAATGCCTGTTAAATAATGTTACGCTCATTTTGGAGAAGTTGCTGTTGCTTTCAAGGTGTAAAAACTACTAATTCAGACGTATTTTCAGACCAGAGCATACCTTTCTGGGGACCCATCGTTTTAGGTCCCTAAAATGGAAGAACTGCAAAGGACTTAGTAATTTGGTTGGTCAGATTTGTCAAAGTTACTCCTAGGCCACTGTGCCTTGGGAATGTGAACAAACTAGTTATTATTAGAGACTTAAGACTAGGTGTGATAAAAGGAAACAATCTCATCATGCCTGCTTTTCAGCAACCCCAGGGCGTCCATCTCCAGGATGAGTGGTCCTGACTGAAAATTGTGAGGGGATATGGTGAAGGTTTAGAAGTCACATCCGTGCCACTAAACAGGTCTATGTGATGATCTTCCTGCTCTGCATTCTTATCTGTTCTTCAAATTTTTCCTAAGCATAGGAAAAAATGAAACTAAGTAGCTGTCTTCTAATTATTAAGATCTTTAAAAAATTTTCCATATCATGGATAAGTAATAAGTCAATCAATAAACATTTATTAAACACTTGATATGTACAAGGCACTGCTAGGAGCTCGGGTGAATTCCCCAAATCATAATATTTTGGCTGTAGGAAAGATAATAATAAAGAAAAGTGATAATCCACCACCAAATAGACCATATCACTAAGAAATGGGTTCCTTCAGGAAGGATAAAGCTTCATTGATCTCGAGAGCCTTCCCAGAGGAGGTGAAATTGGGGCTGGGCCTTGAAGAGGAAATAATATACCACAAAAAAAGATGACAGAGGCCAGTACAAGTGGGTAGAATGAAGTGTAATGTCTCAGTGCATTTTCTGGTCAAGAAAATGTGGCTCCTCTTCTATATTAGAAAATTCAGATCGTCTAATATTTTCAGAACTTGAATGGTCTCGTGTGTGTGTGTGTGTGTGTGTGTGTGTGCGCGTGTATTCCTGTTTTCTGAAGATTCATTTCATATATAGGTAAATTCAAGGAAGATTATAAATCAGCTTTAGAGACTTGAGAAACCAACAGAAAATAAAGTTTTTCTGAATCTCACACTGCACATGGAAAGCACAACTATTAGGTCAAAGACAGCTGTTTTAATGACCCATTCACTAGCATCCTTGATTCCTCTTCCTTTTCTTTTGCCACATGTATTCTTTTGTCAGCAAGCTTCAGTGAATCCCACCGTCCTCTTCATCTGCTTCTGCTCATGGGCAACAAGATTAACAAGAGAAAATAAGCATGAGAGATTTGTACTTCCTAACCTCACCCGTGCCTAAGACAATTCTTTTACTTGACACCACGCAGCTTCCTCTTGCATTCTGCATCAGGATCTCAGGTAGGAAATGAGTGGCACACCTCAATGTGAAGAGTGGAGACTTTAATGAAAGGACTGTTTGCCCAGGTGTGGGCAGGATTATGGGAAACCAACAAAGGCTGTTGAAGTGCCCCAGGGCTAGCAAAAGAGGGAAAGCCATTACTCCCTGAAGCCTGCAGGGGATGAGGAATCCATTAAGACCTGTAGCTGTAAGGGAAGTCCTCTGATGAGAGCTGCGGCCCTCTGAAGAGGAAGTCTGCCACTGGCTGCTCACAGCCAGGTAGAAAGGGACCTAGGGAAATAAATATCCCACATTCTCCTGTCTCCCACTGGTTGAAACCAGCCAAAAACCAGAGAGTTAGGAAACTGGTGGGTGCAATCCACAACTGACAAAGTCACTTGGGGCATAGAACAGGGGAACAGGGTAGAAAGTATGAAGAATGGATCTAGCGGGGCAAAAGCAGAATCCACTGTAAACATTCCTTCTAGAAGTTGTGCTGCGCATCTACCATTTTTCTCAAACTTCTACCTGTTCTTTATCTTTCTTTCTCTTTGAAAATAATTCTATTCCATTCTATTGTCAATAAAAATAAGAGGCATTTCTCTTATTCTTCCTTCCCTACTTTCCACTTCTAGATTTTAATTGTTCTCGTATTTCTTCCTTCCCTTACATGCCAGGCATAGAAGTGTTCCTCCTTCCCAGATAGCATCTTCTAGCTATGCCCACAGCTTACCACACATCAGTCTGGAGGCTCCCTACATAAATTATCTTTATTCTTTCCTGTATCCTTAGTGTCTTCCAACTATTTGGATCCTTGCTTTGAAGTTTATAAACATACTTAAATTTATCTCAGAACAAAAACAACCTTTCTATTTGATATCTCTACCTTTCCAGTTGCCGCCATATCTGATTTCTCCTTTTTGTTACTTATCTTCTGAAATAAAGTCTGTGCTTGTTGGCTGTGCTTTCTCGCTTGCTTTACCTATAGTCTGGATTCTGATCTTCCCCCAACTCAACTAAAAATGTTCTTGTTGAAGTCACCAGCGACCTCCCCGAGGCCACATCCAATTTTCTGTTTCCAATCATCAACCTACTCTGCCTCAGTAGCATTTAACTTGAAGAATGGCTAAGAATTAGCCAGGTAAAGGAGTGGTGGAGGGGAGGAGGCTGATGAACAAGAGGCTAAGTGCCGCAGGTGTCTTATTTAGGGTTTGCATTTTCAGAACCTATTGCACAGTGGATGTGAAACAAATGTTTGTTGAGGGATAAAATGAACAAATAGAAAATTGCTGGTGTTTCAATATTGGATAAGCATATCTTATATGTAAACACTGAAGGAAGCAATGACAATACTCTCTAGCAAAACGACAACCAAAAAAATATCAATGAACAGGAAGTTCTGGTACAATGTTATTGAATACCATTAGTGGAGAAGAAAGTAAGATAGCATGCAATAAGGAAGGCCGCAGATAATTCAGGTTGAGAAAAATGACCAATCATCAGAAAACAATTTATTTTGTAGAAAATGTGGCAAAAATGAACAGAGATTAACACCTATTGCCCATCTTAGAGTATTAATGGTAACATTATAATTTAACCTATTTTACAACATACAATATGCTACATGTCAGTGTGATCTGAAACATGGGCACAAAATTGAAATCAATGCAGCTAACATCACCTACAACATAAATTTGAATAGAAAAGGATAATTAAGTTGACCCTGAAACAAGGGGGTGACTTTGTTTGCAAAAAAGTGACTTTATTCTACAAAAGAAGTCCCTTTGCCCAAAATTATTTATATCACATTTCCTTTAAATGGCAAATTCTAAATAAACATTCTGATAAATTTTAGATATGATTCTCCCTGCCCTTTTTGGATCCTCAACAGAGAAAGCTGTTACCATTCTTTGGCATCATTTGCGCTGGAAACACTGCTGAAGGATAGTACAAAATGATTTAATATCAGGATTAGGAGTGACAGTCTGACTGATAATTGAAAGCACCCTTCTCCAAATTCATAATGCCTTTCTCTAAGAGAGTTTCCAGTCCTTAGAATGACCTCAGCTGAATCAGAGATAGTATGTAGGCCATTATACTATAATTTATCAGTTAAGATGTTTTTATGCTGAGCTTGTTTCATTCTCTTTCCTTATCATCTGACTGTAATTAAATTGGTCTTTCTAATATTACTCACTGCAATTAAACTTTACTTTTGTTAACTTTCTGGTATATTTCTTGGGATATAGTTTTTTTTCCCACCCTGAGTTAATGCAACAATTGGAAACTTGCGTTGTGACCTTTCCAGATCCTTCTACTAGCCTCTTAGAACAGTAGGCAGCAAAGTTTTCACTGAGATGGTGCTGCTCCTATGGTACCATCTGCTGAAATTACTCAGCCTAAGCATACTCTCTCTAAGCCCTTGCCTTTTGACTCTGACCCTCTACAGAGCATTACATGGGTTAATCCTTCCTCAGGTTGGTTTCTCTGTAGATCAAGAAATTTAAACACGAATGCACTTATTGGGAAAGAATAAGGATGACCTGTTTCTAAAGATAATTCCCCATAGAGGCAGGACTAATATCCAAAGAATGTCAGTGCCCACACAAAGGTTTTTAAGGTAGGGCTTGCACACATTTCTGTTGGAGAATTCAAGTAGTGACACGTTCAAATGGTTACTGATTCGGAAACTGTCTAGAAGAGAACAACTATTCTTCTTTCTGAAAGGGTGTCTGTGAGAGAAAGTTGCCTGCACTGCACACTGACAACATTGCTGAGAGGTTGGTCTGATGTGTTGGAAATATCCCCTAAGAAACAGCAACTTGAATGAAAAAGAAAAAATAAGTAATTAGATATTATGGATTTTGAGATGATTGACTAAATTTTGAATCAAATAATATGAAATTTGGAATAAAAAATATAATGTAGACCTACTTGATAGCTGGCCCCGTGTAGTTCCCATATCTTATTTTTAATATGAAATATTTGAACAGTACAGAAAAGTATAAGGGTAATATCGCATCCACCCTACCATCTGTATGTAAGTTTACTTTGGGTCTTCTTAATAAGGTTCTTCCTCTTTTTCCATTCTATGAAAGAGTCGTGCGAAATAAGGATAATGGTTTCTTAAAAGTTTAGCGAATGTTAACTAGTGGGCCTGGTGCTTTTAGGGGGAGGAGTAGTAGAATTTGACTACAGAGTCAATCTCTTTAATTGCTACTGGTATATTTATTTTTTAGCTTTTTAAGTCAGTTTTAGGATTTAAATCTTTTCAGAAGATTGCACCTTTCATCCATGTTTTAAAAGATCGCTATAAAGTTGATGATAGTATTATCTTACATATTTTAAAACTTCTGCCATATCTGTAGTTATATTTCTATCATGATTATATATGCTCTTTTTATTCGTTAAGTTTTTGATTGGTCTCATAAACAGTTTATAATTTTGTCTTCTCAGAAAATCAGCTTTTGATTTGTTGAACACCTCTACTGTTTCTCAGTTTTCTATTTTATTCATTCTTTGCCCTTGCTTCTATTACTAAAAGTTGGACCCTGGAACCAGAGTGTCTGGATTTACATCCAGCCCTGCTCCTATCTGATTTGTGTGACTTTGGACAAGTCTCTTAACTTTTGGGCCTCAGGTTTCCCATAAGTAAACTGAGAATATAATAGTACCTCCTTCATAGGTTGTTTGTGAAGATTAGTTTCAGTTGTTGTAACTGCTCTATGTGTGCTTAAAAAAAATCATGTAGTCTCTTTATCTGTTGTTTGTGAAATTCTCTGTGTGTCTGATTGGAACAAGCGTATTCATTGTTCAATCAGCCCTGACTGATTGGCTCTGACCATCACCACTTGGCCCTCTCCTTATGCCTACCCCATTCCCTCACAGCTAAGGCCTGCCCGCCCTGCCCCTGAAAGACAGCTCACCCTGCCCCTCCAGTGGCCTCTCTAGGGTTTTTCTAATGCTGCATTTTGCCTTGAATTCTATTTTGTGTCTTATTAATATTGCCACCACAGGTTTGTTTAGCTAATATTTGCTCAGTATATTTTTGCCATTCCTTTAACTTTCAACTTTTTGCTGTCATTATGTTTTCCATGTGTCTCTTATAAGCACCATATAATAGCTGGAATTGGTTTTGTCTTGTTATCAGTATTCCTTCTGAGAATTTCCAACTTTGTATAGGTAATTATAATCCATTTGCTTTTTTAGTGATTAGTAACAGACTGATTTCTTCCATCTTACTTCATTTTTTTAAAAAAATTATAATGCTGCTTCTCTACCCTTTTGTACCTCCTATTTCGCTAGCTATTCTGTTGGAATACTTTTTAGAAAGGTTTCCTGTAACTCTTTCTGAATGGAAAGGAGATTTGTGAAGCCATTTGGAGGCTGTGGAGTACCCTCCTGGCCTGTCTGAGCTGGAGTTCATTGACACAGATTTGTTGTGATGAGCCCTTCCTTTTCTCTTCCTTTGCCTCCCTGAATACATTCTCATTTTCTTCTGTCTTCTTTTTCTCCTTCTCTCCTTCTTTCCATAAGGTTTGTGCAGTGAGTGCAACTTCCTGCATTGCACTGGAAGCCTCTGATGACTTAATTCACAAGAAATATACCACATTATTGATGCTGCTTATAATTCTACATATGAAATGTACATCACCAACTGAAGGTCACAGTGCAGCCTGCTGAAGGCTAATTCAGTGGAAACTCTCCTGAATGAATACTCAGGCTACATACAGAAACATGTATTGTTTAGAGTGTGCTTCAGAATACTTATTATAGTCTTGTTTAATCTGAGACAGATATTCTGTTTGTTTTTCAGAAGGTGTAATGTAGCAGGATAAATTCATTCTAAATACAACAACATGTGAATCAACAAGCTTTATTGGGCACCACTTCTGGTCGGCGTGCAATACAAGGTGAAGTCCTGTCTTCAAGAAGCTTACTGTCTAATTACAGTTCCCAGGATGGCACCCATGAATGGCCAGAGAGCAGGATAATTGTGATAAGTAGTGTGAAGTAGACCGCAAGAGCTACAGAGGTGTGCATATGAATGAGTCTAATTGTCTAAGCAAACACTGATCCCAATAAGTAGTTATTGGGCAGTTTCTATATGGAGGGCACTCTGCTAGTTGCCATGGTGGACCTACATACACGTGCAGTCTGCCTTTTTGCCTCAGGGAGCTTACAATTGTTGTAGGGTGACAAGGCAGGCACACTAAAGTGAAGAATCCTCACAGCAGTTCTTCAAGACTTCAAGCACTTTCAGGTCCAGGGAACATTCCTTTTCTTTCTTTTGTTCTGGTTTAAGTTTTCTTTTATTTTGAATTTGAAACAGCAGAATACGGCAGTTTGGCTGAAACAACCTTTAGAGAAAAGAAAAGCAGAGCCTTTATTAGTTAAAAAAACAAACTCCTAAATGTTAAGCCAGCTGCCCCACCTCCCTCAAAGTAGAGAATAGGGCACAATCAAATCAGGATTGGTGATGGTCAGCAGATTTACAGCAAAGGTCACCTTTCCAAGTTTCTGCAGTTACAGAAAAAAGGGTGGCATTTAAATTTAAAAACAATCAGCCATTTATAGACTTCTGACCCATAAAGATTCCTAAAAGTCTTTGTTTCTTTTTCCTTTGGGGAAGTGGTGACTCGAGACAAGTGGATGGTCACAGTTTTCTCCATCTCTGGGTAGAGAACTTTTTGGTTTCTTCAGCTTTTCAGAAGCAGGTTGGGGATGGGATGGTGGTGCCTTCCTTAATTCCCCCTCACTTACGATCCCTGCGAGATCTCATCAGTTTCCACTATTTGTATTCCACTATCTGTGTTCATGGCTCCAAAAGTCATGTCTCCATCCTAGTTCTTACTCCCGAGTTTTGATGTGTGTATCCAACTGCCTCCTACTTGACTATCTCACAGGCATCTCAAACTCATTAGGTCTAAAATGAAATTCACCTTTTTCCTTACCAATCTGCTCCTGCCCCTGTATTTCTATCTCAGTAAATGTCATCCGTGGCCACTCAACTGCTCTAGTCAGAATTCTGGAAATGATCCTCGACTCCCTACTCACTCTGACTTCAAGTCTAACTTTACCCAATCCTATAAATCCAACCTCCTGTAAATCCAACCTTTCTTCCCCACTGAGATGGCTTTAATTCATTTCATACATAGTTTACTAAAATTGCTTCCTAACAAGCCTCTCTGCCTAGGGCCTGTCCTCCCTTTCAGTCCACTCTTGCCTTAATGAACCTTATAAAAGACAAATCTGATCAGGTTATTTCCCTGTTTACAATCCTTCAAAAGTCCCCCATTAGTGTAAGGATAACATATGGGCTTTTGGGCATAGTGCACTCTTCCTTATTCAGCTCACACTACTTCTTGATGTCCCTCTCTTACCTCTTCTGTGCATGCTAGCCATACTCAATTCATTGTGCTTTCCTTTCCTGCAGCCTCTGTGGATGCTACTTTGCCTGAAAGGAGCTTTCCTCTTTTTACCTGGCTCACTTCATCATTTCTTTAAGACTCTGCTCTGGTGATACCTCCTCCAAAAAACTTTCCCTGCGGGACCATCTTCACGAGTGCCCATCATCACCTATAGGCTGTCAGGTGCCACCTTCAGTGTTTCCTCTGTAACATTCAGTGTTAAGAATGTTCATTTTAGGCTAGGCACGTGTAATCCCAGCACTTTGGGAGGCCGAGGCTGGAGGATCACTTGAACCCAGGAGTTTGAGACCAGTCTGGGCAACAAAGTGAGACCCTGTTTCTACAAAAAATTTTTTTAAAATGTTCATTTTAGTGGGCAATGCTTAGCTTCCAGTGAACTTCAAACCTCTGAGGGCAGGAAATATGTCTCTTCCATCTGCACTCCCAAAGATTAGCTCACCTCACACTATTGAGCAGTCAATGGCTGTTTGCTTAATGAATGTTGGCAATTAGACATACTATTAGATGTTAAGTGAGGGATATAGATTTCTGGGGAGGGAAGGATCTTGGTTCTCTAGAGATGAGTTGTGGGAAGGGTGGCCCAGGTGATAGAAAAATCTTGAGTGAATGTGCAAGAGTGAGAATGCAAGAGAGTCTAAGATGGCCGAATAGGAACAGCTCCAGTCTACAGCTCTCAGCATGAGCAATGCAGAAGACAGATGATTTCTGCATTTCCAGCTGAGGTACTGGGTTCATCTCACTGGGGATTGTTGGACACTGGGTGCAGGACAGTGGGTGCAGTGCACTGAGCATGAGCTGAAGCAGGGTGAGGCATCGCCTCACCCGGGAAGCGCAAGGGGTCAGGGAATTCCCTTTCCTAGCCAAGGGAAAGGGGTGACAGACGGCACCTGGAATATCGGGTCACTCCCACCCTAATACTGCGCCTTTCCAATGGTCTTAGCAAATGGCACACCAGGAGATTATATCCCACGCATGGCTCAGAGGGTCCCACTCCCACAGAGCCTCACTCATTGCTAGCACAGCAGACTGAGATCAAACTGCAAGGCAGCAGTGAGGCTGGGGGAGGGGCGCCCGCCATTGCTGAGGCTTGAGCAGGTAAACAAAGCAGCCGGGAAGCTCGAACTGGGTGGAGCCCACCGCAGCTCAAGGAGGCCTGCCTGCCTCTGTAGACTCCACCTCTGGGGGCAGGGCATAGCCGAACAAAAGGCAAAAGAAACCTCTGCAGACTTAAATGTCCCTGTCTGACAGCTTAGAAGACAGTAGTGGTTCTCCAAGCATGCAGCTGGAGATCTGAGAACAGACAGACTGCCTCCTCAAGTGGGTCCTTGACCCCCGAGTAGCCTAACTGGGAGGCACCCCTGAGTAGGGGCAGACTGATACCTCACACAGGCGGGTACCCCTCTGAGACAAAACTTCCAGAGGAACGATCAGGCAGCAACATTTGCTGTTCACCAATATTCTCTGTTCTGAAGCCTCTGCTGCTGATACCCAGGCAAACAGGTCTGGAGTGGACCTCCGGCAAACTCCAATGGACCCGCAGCTGAGGGTCCTGACTGTTAGAAGGAAAACTAACAAACAGAAAGGACATCCACACCAAAACCCCATCTGTACATCACCGTCATCAAAGACCAAAGGTAGGTAAAACCACAAAGATGGGGAAAAAACAGAGCAGAAAAACTGAAAATTTTAAAAATCAGAGCCCCTCTTCTCCTCCAAAGGAACGCAGCTCCTCACCAGCAATGGACCAAAGCTGGATGGAGAATGACTTTGATGAGTTGAGAGAAGAAGGTTTCAGACGATCAAACTTCTCCGAGCTAAAGGAGGAATTTCGAACCCATGGCAAAGAAGTTAAAAACCTTGAAAAAAGATTAGACGAATGGCTAACTAGAATAGCCAATGCAGAGAAGTCCTTAAAGGACCTGATGGAGCTGAAAACCACGGCATGAGAACTACGTGACGAATGCACAAGCTGCAGTAGCTGATTTGATCAACTGGAAGAAAGGGTATCAGTGATGGAAGATCAAATGAATGAAATGAAGCAAGAAGAGAAGTTTAGAGAAAAAAGAATAAAAAGAAATAAACAAAGCCGCCAAGAAATATGGGACTATGTGAAAAGACCAAATCTATGTCTGATTGGTGTACCTGAAAGTGAAGGGGGGAATGGAACCAATTTGGAAAACACTCTGCAGGATATTATCCAGGAGAACTTCCCCAATCTAGCAAGGCAGGCCAACATTCAAATTCAGGAAATACAGAGAATGCCACAAAGATACTCCTCGAGAAGAGCAACTCCAAGACACATAATTGTCAGATTCACCAAAGTTGAAATGAAGGAAAAAATGTTAAGGGCAGCCAGAGAGAAAGGTCGGGTTACCTACAAAGGGAAGCCCATGAGACTAACAGCTGATCTCTCGGCAGAAACTCTACAAGCCAAAAGAGAGTGGGGGCCAATATTCAACATTCTTAAAGAAAAGAATTTTCAACCCAGAATTTCATATCCAGCCAAACTAAGCTTCATAAGTGAAGGAGAAATAAAATCCTTTACAGACAAGCAAATGCTGAGAGATTTTTGTCACCACCAGGCCTGCCCTACAACAGCTCCAGAAGGAAGCACTAAACATGGAAAGGAACAACCGGTACCAGCCACTGCAAAAACTTGCCAAATTGTAAAGACCATCAAGGCTAGGAAGAAACTGCATCAACTAACAAGCAAAATAACCAGCTAACATCATAATGACAGGATCAAATTCACACATAACAATATTAACCTTAAATGTAAACGGGCTAAATGCTCCAATTAAAAGACACAGACTGGCAAATTGGATAAAGAGTCAAGACCCATCAGTGTGCTGTATTCAAGAAACTCATCTCACGTGCAGAGACACACATAGGCTCAAAATAAAGGGATGGAGGAAGGTCTACCAAGCAAATGGAAAACAAAAAAAGGCAGGGATTGCAATCCTAGTCTCTGATAAAACAGACTTTAAACCAACAAAGATCGAAAGAGACAAAGAAGGCCATTACATAATGGTAAAGGGATCAATTCAACAAGAAGAGCTAACTATCCTAAATATATATGCACCCAATACAGGAGCACCCAGATTCATAAAGCAAGTCCTTAGAGACCTACAAAGAGACTTAGACTCCCACACAATAATAATGGGAGACTTTAACACCCCACTGTCAACATTAGACAGATCAACGAGACAGAAGGTTAACAAGGATATACAGGAATTGAACTCAGCTCTGCACCAAGCAGACCTAATAGACATCTACAGAACTCTCCACCCCAAATCAACAGAATATACATTCTTCTCAGCACCACATCGCACTTATTCCAAGACTGACCACATAGTTGGAAGTAAAGCACTCCTCAGCAAATGTAAAAGAACAGAAATTATAACAAACTGTCTCTCAGACCACAGTGCAATCAAACTAGAACTCAGGATTAAGAAACTCACTCAAAGCTGCTCGACTACATGGAAACTGAACAACCTGCTCCTGAATGACTACTGGGTACATAACAAAATGAAGGCAGAAATAAAGATGTTCTTTGAAACGAATGAGAACAAAGAAAAACATACCAGAATCTCTGGGACACATTTAATGCATTGTGTAGAGGGAAATTTATAGCACTAAATGCCCACAAGAGAAAGCAGGAAAGTTCTAAAATTGATAACCTAACATACAATTAAAAGAACTAGAGAAGCAAGAGCAAACACATTCGAAAGCTAGCAGAAAGCAAGAAATAACTAAGATCAGAGCATAACTGAAGGAGATAGAGACACAAAAAACCCTTCAAAAAATCAATGAATCCAGGAGCTGGTTTTTTGAAAAGATCAACAAAATTGATAGACCACTAGCAAGACTAATAAAGAAGAAAAGAGAGAAGAATCAAATAGACGCAATAAAAAATGATAAAGGGGATATCACCACCGATCCCACAGAAATACAAACTACCATCAGAGAATACTATAAACACCTCTATGCAAATAAACTAGAAAATCTAGAGGAAATGGATAAATTCCTGGACACATACACCCTCCCAAGACTAAACCAGGAAGAAGTTGAATCTCTGAATAGACCAATAATAGGCTCTGAAATTGAGGCAATAATTAATAGCTTACCAACCAAAAAAAGTCCAGGACCAGATGGATTCACAGCCGAATTCTAGCAGAGGTACAAAGGGGAGCTGGTACCATTCCTTCTGAAACTATTCCAATCAATAGAAAAAGAGGGAATCCTCCCTAACTCATTTTATGAGGCCAGCATCATCCTGATACCAAAGCCTGGCAGAGACACAACAAAAAAAGAGAATTTTAGACCAAAATCCCTGATGAACATTGATGCAAAAATCCTCAATAAAATACTGGCAAACCGAATCCAGCAGCACATCAAAAAGCTTATCCACCATGATCAAGTGGGGTTCATCTCTGGGATGCAAGGCTGGTTCAACATATGCAAATTAATAAACGTAATCCATTACATAAACAGAACCAATGACAAAAACCACATGATTATCTCAATAGATGCAGAAAAGGCCTTTGACAAAATTCAACAGCCCTTCATGCTAAAAACTCTCAATAAATTAGGTATTGATGGGACGTATCTCAAAATAAAGGAGCTATTTTTGACAAACCCACAGCCAATATCATACTGAATGGGCCAAAACTGGAAGCATTCCCTTTGAAAACTGGCACAAGACAGGGATGCCCTCTCTCACCACTCCTATTCAACATAGTGTTGGAAGTTCTGGCCAGGGCAATCAGGCACGAGAAAGAAATAAAGGGTATTCAATTAGGAAAAGAGGAAGTCAAATTGTCCCTGTTTGCAGATGACATGCTTGTGTATCTAGAAAACCCCATTGTCTCAGCCCAAAATCTCCTTAAGCTGATAAGCAACTTCAGCAATGTCTCAGGATACAAAATCAATGTGCAAAAATCACAAGTATTCTTATACACCAATAACAGACAAACAGAGAGCCAAATCAGGAGTGAACTCCCATTCACAATTGCTTCAAAGAGAATAAAATACCTAGGAATCCAACTTACAAGGGATGTGAAGGACCTCTTCAAGGAGAACTACAAACAGCTGCTCAATGAAATAGAAGAGGATACAAACAAATGGAAGAACATTTCATGCTCATGGATAGGAAGAATCAATATTGTGAAAATGGCCATACTGCCCAAGGTAATTTACAGATTCAATGCCTGCCCCATCAAGCTACCAATGCCTTTCTTCACAGAATTGGAAAAAACTACTTTAAAGCTCATATGGGAGCAAAAAAGAGCCTGCATCGCCAAGACAATCCTAAGCCAAAAGAACAAAGCTGGAGGCATCACGCTACCTGACTTCAAACTATACTACAAGGCTACAGTAACCAAAACAGCATGGTACTGGTACCAAAACAGAGATATAGACCAATGGAACAGAACAGAGCCCTCAGAAATAATGCCACACATCTACAACTATCTGATCTTTGACAAACCTGACAAAAACAAGCAATGGGGAAAGGATTCCCTATTTAATAAATGGTGCTGGGAAAACTGGCTAGCCATATGTAGAAAGCTGAAACTGGATCCCTTCCTTACACCTTATACAAAAATGAATTCAAGATGGATTAAAGACTTAAATGTTAGACCTAAAACCATAAAAACCCTAGAAGAAAACCTAGGCAATACCATTCAGGACATAGGCATGGGCAAAGACTTCATGTCTAAAACACCAAAAGCAATGGCAACAAAAGCCAAAATTGACATATGGGATCTAATTAAACTAAAGAGTTTCTGCACAGCAAAAGAAACTACCATCAGAGTGAACAGGAAACATACAGAATGGGAGAAAATTTTTGCAATCTACTCATCTGACAAAGGGCTAACATCCAGAATCTACAATGAACTCAAACAAATTTACAAGAAAAAAAACCCCACCCCATCAACAAGTGGGCGAAGGATATGAACAGACACTTCTCAAAAGAAGACATTTACGCAGCCGACAGACACATGAAAAAATGCTCATCATCACTGGTCATTAGAGAAATGCAAATCAAAACCACAATGAGATACCATCTCATACCAGTTAGAATGGTGATCATCAAAAAGTCAAGAAACAACAGGTGCTGGAGAGGATGTGGAGAAATAGGAATGCTTTTACACCGTTGGTGGTACTGTAAACTAGTTCAACCATTGTGGAAGTCAGTGTGGCGATTCCTCAAGGATCTAGAACTAGAAATACCATTTGACCCAGCCATCCCATTACTGGGTATATATCCAAAGGATTATAAATCATGCTGCTATAAAGAGACATGCACACGTATGTTTATTGCGGCACTATTCACAATAGCAAAGACTTGGAACCAACCCAAATGTCCATCAATGATAGACTGGATTAAGAAAATGTGGCACATACACACCATGGAATACTATGCAGCCATAAAAAATGATGAGTTCATGTCCTTTGTAGGGACATGGATGAAGCTGGAAACCATCATTCTCAGCAAACTATCGCAAGCACAAAAAACCAAACACTGCATGTTCTCACTCATAGGTGGGAATTGAACAATGAGAACACATGGACACAGGATGGGGAACATCACACACCAGGGCCTGTTGTGGGATGGTGGGAGGGGGGAGGGATAGCATTAGGAGATATACCTAATGTGAATGACGAGTTAATGGGTGCAGCACACCAACATGGCACATGTATACATATGTAACAAACCTGCACATTGTGCACATGTACCCTAAAACTTAAAGTATAATAAAAAAAAATTCTGGATTAAAAAAAAAAAAAGAGAGTCTGGGAGACCAGGAGGGGTCATGTGGTATTTATAAACTTGTTCCCCATACATTTATCAAGTCCCTAACTATGTGTAAAATACCATATATTATTATATAACATTTATTTTAGCTATGTTGATTTTGACTCCAGTTGGATTACAAGTCTCTCTGAGGGCAAAAACAGTCTTTTTGAACTTATAGTCATCAATTTCCCTTTTAAAAATCATTCAGCCAATGTTTACTGAAAATCTACTATATGCTTGGAGCTATGATAGAGATATACCAAAGGTAAAGAGACACTTGGTTTTGTCAGGGTGACACCAATAGTTACATATAACACCAAATATAGCTGATCTACTTGAGTTATATGATGAATGATGTTTGGGGATCATTGATGGAGGTTATTAATATACAGGAGAGTTGCAAAAGACTCTCAGAGGCAATATGAGCTCAATATACAACTCCCTATATATGTTCCCAAGTGAGGAATTTCCTCTATGCATCGTTGATAGGAAGTCTTCTCATTTTAATAATGCTGATAGTTATATAAAATGCTTGTTTCCATTTTGAACCATTATCTTGGATGGAAGTTATTTCTTATAAAGTTATCCAATATTTCTCTCCCTGTAATGTTAATCTATTAATTCTATTTGTGAAGCTACACATAATAAGTCTAATTAAAAGAGATATCTTTGCTATTTTCCAAAAATACATTCAGTTCTTTTAACTATTTCTCATTTGAGGCTAGTCTGTAGACATTGTTTAGACCTGTTATTTTGGGTTTCTTTCTTTTATGGCAGGGACTGGCACACCTACAACATTGCTGGATGTCTTGATGTTTGCATGGGTAAAACAGTTTTTGAAGCTCAATAAACAAATGTACTTCATATATTCAAATGTTATGCTCTCCCTAGAAAAGAATATGAGATTAGTAAAGTGGTATAGCCATTATGTCATCCCCTATGCACGGCATAGAGTTGTGAAAAATCTGCTGGAAGAGGCCTTAGAGACTTACCTTGTCCAATCTCCTCATTGTGCAGATGGCGAAGCCAAGATCCAGAAAGATAAAGTGGCTTTAAAAGTGTACACAGTTAGTTTATTCCCCCAATCTTAAAGTATTTCTAGTTGGTATTTGAAGATGAGGCATGGGAGAGTTTGGGAGCTCATTGAAAGATGAAAGTGAAGTAATTATTTATCCTAACTAAAGGAGAATCTAAAATACATGCTTAAAGCATTTTCCAAGTAACTGTTTATATAAGTAATGCTGTTGCTTTTTCTCTCTTTCCTCAAAGCCTCAGGGATTGGCTATTCTGACCCACAGCTTTATCTGCTGTGGACAATCTTCTATGTCTGTGGTTTATTGGGTTTAATGATTTATATTTGCAAGGGAATGCTTGACTGGCGTGGGCTGGGTTAGTTCAGCTAGAGAAACTTACTAATAAAGCCAAGGTTGAGGAGTTTGGTCCCTGTGAGCTCCTCAGCTTTGCTGTGATCCTTAGCTGAGGCAATGCTCCTAATCCCCATTAGTCATTGCACATGTGTGGGCTTTTGAATGCCATGGCTGCAGGGCCTGGGGAGAGTGAAGAAGGATCATTACTTCCAAATACTCACCTACAATGGAAATCCACACATGTATTAAACACTAATGATGATGATGATGATGATAATTAGCGTAGCTAATGTTTATGAAGCACTAAATATGTTGCTGGAACTATGCAAGTATACTTATACAGGCATTATCTTGTTTAATTCTCACAACTCTGTGAGGTAAGTACTATCATCTCCACTTTAAAGATGGGGGAAATGAGCCTTGAGATAGTCAATTAACTTGTTCAAGTTTAACTGTCTTAGTCTGTTTGGGCTTCTGTAACAAAAATACCATAAATTGGGTGGCTTATAAACAATAGAAACTTATATTTCAGAATTCTGGAGGTTGGGAAGTTCAAGAGCAAAGTGATGGTAGGTTCAGTGTCTGGTGTGGGTCCACTTTCTGGTTCAAAGAGGACACTTTCTTGCTGTATCCTTACATGGTGGAAAGGCCAAGGCGGCTCTCTAGGGCCTCTATTATAAGTATACTAATTTATTTATGAGGGTTCTGCCCTCATAACCTAATCAACTCCCAAAGCCCCCACCTCCTAATAATGCCACCTTGGGGGTTAGGATTTCCACATATGACTTTTAGGGGGACATAAACATTCAGTTTATTGCACTGACTAATGTGTAGTAGAGTCTGCCCAAGATTTGAATCTGGGTTTGGCTACAATGTTCATGATCTGATTGAAGCATCCAGCTTTACCAGCCTGAATGCTTGATTATGCATTGGTTACCTCATATATACCTCAATTCATATATTAATTTGCCTGCTCTTATTTTCTTATTAGTAGGATTGAAAGGCATTAGAGTAAGACATGCTACTTAAGAGCATGGACTCCAATGCTAGAAGTGCTGGGTTCAAATCCTAGCTCTACCATGTATATTTTAACTCTGTGACACAGAGAAGGTTGTTAGACCTCTTTGTGCTTCCTCTTTCACATCTGTAAAAATGGGAAAAATAACAGCAAATGCTTAGGATCTTTGGAAGGATTAAATTAGTTAATACCAATAGAGAGTTTAGAGCAACACCTTGTGTTTATTGCAGGATGACCTAATAAGGAACTAACAGCAGCATCGTAGTCTTTGAAAAATGTGCTTATTTACATTGTCTTATTATTCCAGGATGCATCACTCTCATACTGCAAGTCTGCATGCTCCTAAAGAGAGGATGAGAAAGCTGGGCAGCTCACAGAGAGCCACTGGGGAATGTGTATTGAAAACAAGCATAGACTCCTTAAAAAATTATGGAAGGTGGCCCTGTGAAAGTTTAAGCTTTTGTCACCTCAGCCCCCTCCATTCTTTTTTGAGTGTGCCAGGAACTCATCAGTCATAGAAGGCCATTGTGCAATATCCTTTGCTGGGAAAACAGAACATGTATATTGCATTCCCTCCCGTGGCCAACCTGTTCCCATGCTTGTTATCTGGCTCCAGCCTCCCATTAACAGAATCCCTGGGGGAAGAGCAGTTCCCTTACATTAGGTAGTAATGCTCTTGTTAATGATAAATTGATGAAGAGCGACTTTTTTACATTAGGTGAATGGTCCTTTGATAATAGGATTGGAATCAGAACAGGAGTTTTATTTTATTTAGCTGGGAGAGTGAGAACTACCTAAAATATTCTTTTTTTCTTGTCTGTTACTAGAAAGCAATAAAATCAAAGCATTTTTGTTTTCCATTTAAACAGAACAACTCAAACTGTATGGATGTGACAGGTAGCTTTATTCCTTTTTTCTTTTACACTGTCTTTTGGTGGGTGATGAGTTTCAAAATGGATCTTAAGACTTCCACATAAACCATGGTTCATTGATGTTCCCACCATCATTCACCTCACGCCCCCACCTCTCCTCCAGTTGGGCTGAGTGGTGAGAGTGTGCTTTCAGCTGGATTCTAGGTCTTTTCTTCTATATTGAGGAGTAAAGTTACTCTTTCTAGAGAGGTCTTGTGATTTGGTTCATTTTCAGATGTCTGTGGTCACTGTGGCCTGACCTTGGAAAAAATACTGAGTTCTGGATGGCCAGTAGAACTGTAACTGGTTAGTGAAGCTCTTTGGTGTCTAACTAACACCCTGAACAATTTGGCCTTCACTTCACCTTTTAGGTTGCGAAAAAATGAGATAAGCTTGTGTGACTGAGAGAGGAAGCTCTATTTCTTAAGAAATTGACCCCATGGTGATGGGTACTTTGTTTGTTATGGTTACCTAAATAAAGGCAGCTTGGGGGCCAGCAGGTCCTAGTTACTTAGTCTCTTTTGCTTTGGTTCATGAGACATCTGAGAAAGAGTCTCCTGTTCTAGATTAAAAGTCCCCTGTAATTTCCCCCAACGATTTTTAAGAAAGAAGAGCTTTTGAGAAATTCTTTAGATTCCTTCCTAAACTATACACATTGGAAACTAATCAAAGTCATGTTGACTTGTTATTTAGACCCAGGATCTGTATCAACAAGCATAATCCACCTTTGGGACAAATTATTGAAAGCAAGTACTTTGGATGTAATTAGCATAGCATACACTTTTGAAAAAAATAGTGTTGGCATTCTGTTTTGGTTGAGTGATTGTAGGTTCATAATAAGTTGCTTATTTGCATGATTGATCCTTACTTAGTTTTTTTTCCCCCCAAAATGTTTAGAGGAGAGTAAGTTCTGGGTAGGGATATGTTTTTGAAAAAAGGAAAACAATAATTTTTGAGCATCTACTATATGTTGGACATTGTGATAGATGCTTTATATAAATTATTTTCTTAGGGCAACCCTGTGAGGTAAATTTTTAAATCAGTTTTTTACTCATCTAACCAATTAAAAAAAAAACCCAAGACTTGTGATCCCATGGCTAATACATTTGTTGATCTGGGATTCTAACCAGTCTGACTTTCAAGTTTACTATAAAGTGTAGTAATGATGAATTGGACACAGGGGCTCAGGAAGCTGTGGGCCACTGGACAGGGTACCACTCTACCAAGGAGCAGCAGCAGAACTTACTTAATCAAGTTTCCACATTGCACCCTTTGTATGAGATGCCTCCAGCACAAGGCAGCTAGGGATCTTATTTTAGCAGAATTAAACTCTTTAATGGATTTTTCCCCCAGTGCCCTGAGAATATTTCTGGTCTAAGAGATATCATTTTTTTTTTCTTCAGGAAGATCTGTTCACTACAACAAAAAACCACAAGCAAAATGCATTTCTAGTCTAGTGAAGAAAAAGAAAGAAAAGGAATTAATTAGACTTTATTTTTTTTCTGCACATGAAGCACACTTTAAAAAATGTTTCCTTAACTCTATCTTTATATGAATTTAGAATTTTGCATAAAGTGACTGTACTAAAAACAAGCCAATAAAAGCAACACTGGTAAGTGTTGATGCATTGATAAGTGGACATGCAATTCTGCTTGTCAAAATTCTCATACTAGAGAGTTGACTGTAGGTTTGAAAGTGGAGCCTTTCCCATTCTTCTTTTTAATACATGGAGCTTGAATATTAACACTTCAGGTGAAATATAAGTTTCAGACTTGCAAATTTTTATCACGAAATCAAAAGGAATAGAAAATGATAAGAGCAGAGGGGGAAGTGGTTGGAAAATAAGAGGACCTCTTAATGTCAGTAGGATGGAAATCAACAGGATAATGAGGATTGCTAGAGTAAATAATTTCCATTTTATCCCCAATAAGAATATTCCCTCCATCACCTTTCAAATTCCCTGCTCGACTCCTGTGCATCCAAAACAAATGATTATCTACTCTTCATTCCTGAAATGAGCCCTGAAGTAGGTGTAGTTGTGGAATTCTGAAGTGCTTCTCTCTGGGGCCCTCCATCTTAAGCTGGTAGACCATGGGCATTAACATGTATGTTGGTTTTACGCATGTTTTGCAAAGCCCTATTTGTTTTTATCATTTGAATTTGTGAGCGATGTAACATCTTCCAAAGTATATTAGATATTCTCATCTTGGGAATTCATAGACAGCTCTGAAACTTCTGTAGAAAAACAAGAGATTCTGTACACTGTGTCCAGTTAAAGCTAGCAGAAACACAAAATCAAATGGATAGGCTGTATATACGCCGCCATCTTAAAATGACATTTATTTTTTTTCTGTCTCATGTCACTAGAACAGATTGTGACACTTTCTGTGGCCCACATGGCAGGAATGATCTTGTAGAATACCTTAAAACTACACAGCAAGTTTCTGGCATGGGTTTAGCCCTTCTTTATGTGAAAGACTCTGAACAGCTGTACCAAATTAGCCAAACCATGAATAGACACAAGAAAAACACCCTTTATTGCTATTGGTTTTCAATGGCTGGAGTGGAACATTAGGATGGCTATGTAGATCCATCTGGGATGGCGCTCATCACTTAATCTGCTTTGGTGTGAAAACTGAGCCACTTAACCATGTAATAGGCAATTTTTTTTTTTTTGGTTTGTCCTCTTAGGTTTTTTTTTTTTTCTTTTTAAACTTTTGTTTCAGGTTCAGGGGGTACATGTGGAGGTTTGTCATATGGGTAAATTGCATATTGCTAGGATTTGATATACAAATGATACAGGTAGTGAACATTGTATCTAGTAGGTAGTTTTTCAACTCTCATCCCTCTCTCACTCTCCGCCCTCAAGTAGGCCTAGTGTCTATTGTTCCCCTTTGTGTCCATGTGTACTCAATGTTTAGCTCCCACTTTTACAAATGAGAAGATGTGGTACTTAGTTTTCTGTTCCTGTATTAGTTCGCTTGGGATAATGGCCTCCTACTGCATCCATTTTGCTGCAAAGACATGATTTTGTTCTTTTTTATGGCTGCATAATATTTCATGGTGTATGTGTACCACATTTTCTTTATCCAGTCCACTGTGGACTGGCATCTAGGTTGATTCCATGCGTTTGCTCTTGTGAACAGCACTGTGATGAACATATGAGTCCATGTGTTTTTTTGGTAGAATGATTTATATTCCTCTAGGAATATCCCAGTTAATGGGATTGCTGGGTCAAATGGTAGTTCTGTTTTAAGTTCTTTGAGAATTCTCCAAACTGCTTTCCACAGTGGCAGAACTAATTTACATTCCCACCAGCAGTGTGTAAGTGTTCCCGTCTCTCTGCAACCTCACCAACATCTATTATTTTCTGATGTTTTAATAAGAGAATAGGCATATCTTTTCTCTTTCTCTTTTAGGTATGTATAAAGCACCTCAGATTAAGGTAAAATCAGCACATGGAACCAATCATTTCTGGGATGGGCTTCAAAGCAAGGCTCTGGCACTCAGACCTCAGCAAAGTGTAAAATGTCTCTGTAAGCATTCCTTCTTCTCTGCCTCCCCATCCCCTTCTGTGTTGGATTTAGAAACTTATATTCATATATACTACCATCATTGGTTAGCACTTGAAAACAAGAAAAAGACAGGTTTATCAACCCTCAGCGATTTTAATGGGAAAACGTCTTGCATTTATGTATTTTAGTGGCAGAATCAGATGGTATATGAACTTGCTGTTCTTCATAGAAAACTATATTGAAAAGGGAACATAGTTATGCCAATGTTGCCCTGGAAAATAATGATGAATTATACAACATAAAAACATTATTGTCTAAAATGTTTTTTAAGAGAAAACTACATACAATCTCAAGCTTGACTTAACTATCTGTTTATTCACCCCATCTTATCCTGCAAAGCATTTTAAATGACTGGTTATTATTTGCATGTTGGGACCTTTCAGTTCTTTTATTATTTTTGACTTTGTTGAGAACACACCTAATTCTTTTTATGCCTTCACTGAACTCTAACTCCTGGAGTCCAAGGATTGTGTTATTTGTATTTATATCTTCAGTATATAGAACTGTGCCTAGTAAGTGATCAATGAATATTTTTTAATAAAATGATGGAGACAAAGGCAGTCCTTTATAATATAATTTTTATATTAAAAACTAGGGAGAAGGTCAGTTTGAATTAGTTAATGGTGAATTGAGGGATGTATGTTAAAAAACTTCATAAGGTTCTGTTTGTGTGTTTCAGCTAACTGGAATGAGTAAGAAAATATTTTCAGGTAGGCAAGCTGTGGGTCCTGCTGTAACCAATAGATTCAATCATGTAATATATCTAATTTGAAATTAATTTTTCTACTTGAGACTACTAAAATATTTAATAATTAGTTCATCTCTTAGGCTGATATGACCTTCCACTCAATTTTTTTTTTTTATTATATGTCCCTTTGCAAACTCTTCTTACTGCAAGTTAGTGTAAGCCTGACTGGTGGGGTCTAGATAACTAACTGGTGGCCAAGGTGACATACCTTTTTGTAATATGCTAAGCATTATTTCACAAGAGTAGCAATTTATAATAGATTTTTATTTTGAAATATGTTATATTTTGGTAAGGTCTTGGGTAGAATGTACTCCAACTTTAAATACATCTGATAATAACAATGAATATTTGCTGAACTGAATACTGAAGCTTTTTGATGAATAAAACCCTACGCATTTATAAGCTCTTATTGATAGATTGCAATCTTAGTTAGTAGGTTTACAGAGACAAACTTTCCTTCAGTAGCTGTGTTTTCCTCACACTGTGGCCCTCATTTCTCCTCCTTTCAAAAGGAAAGCATGCAGGAGAAAAACTCCTATGATTAAAACCTCCTAAGTCTTTCCAAATGAAACCTGAAATCCCATATCT
Source organism: Homo sapiens (assembly GCF_000001405.40). Classification (NCBI taxonomy): domain Eukaryota; kingdom Metazoa; phylum Chordata; class Mammalia; order Primates; family Hominidae; genus Homo; species Homo sapiens. The sequence continues at coordinate 90,181,227 of NC_000001.11, forward strand.
GAGGGCCAGAACTCCTTAGGTGAGGTTGGTTTCAGCCTAGGGGAGGAGTGTGACTGTACCTGTAGCCTGCCTCTTTTCTTTTAAGGCGTAAGGCAGGAGGATGTCAACTCTTTACCACAAATGTATTTCTAGATTTGAATATATAAATGATAGAGTTCTTACCTTTTATAAGTTTCTCTCTGACAGGTAGGCTCAGAAAACATCTCTCTCTAAAACGGAAATGTTGATATAAATATCTGAAGAAAAATTCTAATCACAGTATACATTGAACAGGCTTACTGATCTTGTATACCTGGAAAAAGATTTTCAAACAGACTTTGTCAGCTCAGCCTTGGCATTCCTTGTCAAACAAAAGCATGCCTAAAGACACATTTCAAAAGCAGACAATGCAGCACTTGCTAACCTGCAGAAAATCGAAAAGGAACACAGAGGCCAAGAACAAACAGAATAGGGAACCAATGAGAAAATGGAGCACAGTTCTGAGAAACCATTTCAGAGAACCAAAAATGTTTTTAAAAGACCACATCAATAATTAAGCCTCAGCAAGTCAAATTCCATTTTTTTATTTGCTGCAATTGTCTTAAGATTTGTAATGAAGAAATGAAATTTTTGATTCAGCCTCAGTAAAAAGGAAGCTAATTCTTACAATCCAGAGGGTAGGATGGAAAAAAGAAGGTGGCAGAGGGAAAGAAATCTTATTTGCAGGAAATGCTTGCCCAAGTTGAGTTATCTTTGGTTATGTCAGAATGTAAACATTTCAGTCAACTGTAGATTTGGGCCAGGTGGCCCTTAGCAGAATTAAAAGTTTATCTCTTTTTTTTCTTCTTTCAAAAGTGAGACTATTTTCCTGCTAGTATTTATGTTGATCATGTGACTTAACTTGGGTTGACTATTTGGTGATTTGATAATGTACAAAATAGCATGACACAAGCCTGTTTACTGCTATCCAAATAAAATCATATGGTTTTCTATGGATTTCGTATTTCATTTCTTTGCAGAGTGTAACTTGCAATGCAATTGAGCCTAGACATATCCAACAGAGATTCTTTTGTTTTTTTTTTACCTAAATAAAATTTTTATTTCTCATAAGGAGCATAAATGTGCTGTCACACACACACAGCTCATGTTAAGGCAGGGACAAGTAGCAGGTTTGAAAACGAGAGGACAATGCTGAGGATTCTGTGGAGAGATGGCTGCAGATGTGGGCACAGGCGTGTAAGGCTGGTTTTCATGGAAGTGAAGTGGGAGCTTCACTTTGGCAGACTTTAAGCATTGGCACCTTTTACTCCTCTCTGTGGTCAAACAGACCTGGATCCACAAACTGGAGTAGAATGAAGATTAGCAGGGCCTGCTCTTGATAGCAAATTGTGATGCTGATGTGAATATCCTGCCTTTCAGTGGTAGTGTTTTAACAGAAATGCTAGTTTTCCTCTGTGAAAAATGACTGGTAAGAAGAATTGGATGATACTTATGAGACTTTTATATAATTTCAGACTAAATTTCTAAATTCTTAATTTGTTACTAAAGAGAAAAAGAATAAGTAATGCAAACATTGTTTATTTCCCATGATTATTTGAGTAAAATGAGACATCTATTTGATACAGCAATTGCAGTGATTTGATCATTTCATTCCCTCCTAATATTTGCAGAGCTACCTCTTCTTAGGTGTGTGACATAACAAGTTATTTAACCTCTTTGTGCCTCAGTTTTATGTGCAAAATAGGATGATAATGGCACCTGCCTATTTGCATTTTTGTGAGGATTCCATGTATACATAGTTAACAGGTATAAAATGCTTGGATAGCTGCCTGCGCATGGTAGGTGCATAAATGCATGTTGTCATTACAGTGGTACTTGTGACATCTATACAGATATAAAGCTGTCACTTATTTTTTAAAGCTTTATTCAGGTATAATTTACATATCATTAAATGTATCTATTTTAAGTATCCGATTTAATGATGTTTTGTAAATTTACAGAGTTGTGCAATGATCGCCACAATCCACTTTTGTTTCTCCATTCACCAGTTGATGGACAAGTGGACTGTTTCCTCTCTTCAGCTATTAAGAATAATGCTGCTATGAACATTCTTGTACAAGTCTTTGTGTAGAAACCCATTTTCAATTTTTTTGTGTAGATTACATTTTAATTTCTTTTAGGGAGACGCTTAAGGGTTGAATGGCTGAGTCATATCGTAAATTTATGTTAAACTTTTAGAAAATGACCAAACTCTTTTCCAAAGTAGTTGCGTCATTTGACATTCCCAGTAGCAGACTTTTGAGAATTCTGGTTTCTCTATATCAATGCCAACAGTTTATGTTGTCTTTTTCTATTATGATTTTTCTAGTGAGAGTGCAGTGATATTTCACTGAAGTTCTAATTTTCATTTCTCTAATGATAAATGATGTTGAACATTTTTCCATGTGCTTATTGGCCATTCATATATCTTTTTTGGTGAAATGTCTATTCAAATCCTTTTCCCATTTTAAAATTTGGTCTTTTGTTTTTTTATTGTCGAGTTGTAAGAGCTTTATACATATTCTGGATATGTGTTCTATAATATAAATTATATAAATATAATTATATAAAAATATAAATTATATAAATATAATTATATAAAAATATAAATTATATAAATATAGTTATATAAAAATATAAATTATATAAATATAGTTATATAAAAATATAAATTATATAAATATAGTTATATAAAAATATAAATTATATAAATTTGTGTATTTATTATATTTATTATATTAATAAATATTTATATTATATATAAATATAATGTAAATTATATAAATATAATTATATAAATGTAAATTATATAAATATAATTTGCAAATCTTTTCTTTCAATCTGTGACTTGTCTTTTCGTTTCCTTAATGGTGTCTTTTGAAGCCCCAAAGCATTCAATTTTTATGAAGTTCAATTCATCAATTTATTTTATGGATCATACTTTTGATGTCATATTTAGAAACTCTTTGTCCAACCTGCTTGGTCATGAAGATTTTCTCCTATGTGTTCTTCAAAAAGTTTTGCAGTATAGTTTAAGCCTGTGATCATTTATTCTTTCATCGAGCAAATATTTGAGTGCTGTGATGACACAGGTAAAAATATTTGGTCCTCATCTGAAGAAGTTTACATTCTAGTGGGAAGATAGACGCATTCACAAGTGATCACAGCACACTGTTGCTATGCCAGAGGCAGGTAAACTATGTAGAGGAGCACAGGAACAGAGAGATCCAAGTTCGTTTGTGGAAGTCAAGGCCCATTTTGGTATTGGTGCCACTTAGGAAATTCAGGAGGAGGAATAATATGGTTGGGGTGAATGGGAGAGGGAGAGGGATCCCTAATATAAGTATTAGGGATCCCAAGTTCGAGGGGCCTGTGGAAGAGCCAGCTGGAGATATCTAGCAGCAATTATTTGCATAGCTCTCTAGTTCAGGAAAGTAGTTTGGGCTGGAGAGAGGAGATTAAGGCATCTTCATGTAATCCTTGTAACTATGGGCTTGGGTATGTGAGAACCTACAGTAAAATCATTTTGTTAGGGTTGGTGGAACATGCTTGAATTCCTCATTAAATGTACAGAGGCACACTCTGCAAGCCAATTAGCCTTCAGCTGGATAACTCATCATGTATTAATGCATGAGAGTTTAATTGCTTCTCATTTTGAACTGCTCTTCTCCTCAGTGGCAATTTTACCCTTTCAGAGGTAGGTAAGTGATTGTTTAGCTGTAACAAACCACGGGTTTCCGTAGCTAAACACGATAAAAGCATTTCTCATATACGTGACAGTCCAATGCACATGATAGTGATTGGCAGGAAGTTCTTCCATGTGGTGATTCAGGGATCCAGTTCCTTCGAACTTTTGACTCCACCATTCTCTCTAAAGCTTCAAGAGACCTGCATCCAGGTGGCATCTCTCCAGCTGGGAAAAGAGAAGGTGGAGAAGGCATACCCACATTTTAGCCATGTTGGCTCAGAAATGACCTTGGCTACATTCCACTGGTGGCTTCAGTTAGATGCAAGATTGCTGCTTCTCAGGGACAACTCGATCTGAAGAAAGAGGGAGCACACATTTTGGAAGGATAGCTAACCTTCTGTAACACAGAAGCCATACTGATTGATAGAGAATATTTCAACCTATATGTAGTGGATTAGAAAATGCTTCACAAAGTGTCTATTGATTAACTAAATTTTTGAGTCTCTCCTGTATGTGCAGCACTATTTTAAGTACTATAATGATAGAATTAAAGCATGAATTGATTGACCAATTGACTCATTTGGCACCTACTATAACCATAGCACTATGTGGAAACATACATACATTTATGTTATGACCTTTCTCCTTGCAGAAGCAAAAATGGCTCCTATGAAGTACCTAGCAATCAGTAATAGAGAAAACATTTGCCTTTAATAGTAAGTAATATTATAATACTGTTCAAGAATAAGATCTTGGATGGTGGGGTATCTAGGGCAAGCACACCTGAGGGAATGAACCTTGAATTAAGCCTTACAGAATGGGATTTGGATGGAGGGAGTAGTGGGGAAGAAGCATGCCAAGAGGAACCACGCAGATGTGCAGGCACAGTCAGTGTGACTGCAGGTTTCTGTGGAACATGAGACCAGCCTGACGAGAGCAGAGGACAGATGAAGGGCAATCAGCTATCTCAATAAAATTGCTTTTGTTTGTTACTGCAACATGAAAAATAGTTTGATAGATTTGTACTAATTTTGGATTCATGGGAAAGGGACTGTTTTTGTGTAGATGGGGGTGGGTGGGCCATAGACCAAGAAAACCAATAGTGTTTTTTAACCTGAGCTCTAAGTTGTAATTCACAAGGGCAGGTGCTTTAAATTGCAGACTTTACTTCTGGATTTTATTGTTTCTCACATTGGCAGCTCTGTGTGACTTGTTTACTCTTTGTAGAGGGCTCCAGGGTAAGCAGTAGCAGGGATTTATTTATTCAATGATGGCTGATGATTCTCCTGAGCCAAGCAGGGTAAGACAACCCATGGAAACTAAGGCTATCTCGATTGAATGGTGTCATCTTATAAAGGGCTTTGACAATCAAATGACTGAGTTCAGACTTGATGTGGCAGGTACTGGGGAGCCATTGAAAGTTTCCAAATTGGTGAACAACTTTTTGAGAGTGTTAGTTAATGAAGATTCATGTTTCATTAATATGCAGGATGGTTGGAGGTGAGGAAGGCTGGTGGGACAGAGTTCCAGTGGACAGTTTTTAAAATGCTGGGGCACAGGGCTGAGGGCTGGAATAGAGGGAATAGAGGAGAAATATACAGGAAAATGGTAAATGTGAGGGGGGAGTCAATGTTCCATTTATGGGCTTGGGAGATTGGCAGTGCAGAGAAAGGGAATTAGTGGCTGGCAGAATGTGGGGGCGGGGAGTGAGAAGATGAAGCCAGTGATTACAGCGGAGGCGCAGGTTGACAGCCTTGGCTGAGAGAGAATGCTCACTAGCTCTTCAGTCTCTCATCAGGCTGGGGAGCACATTTGTGACTCAGTCCGACCACTTGCTCCCCACAGCAGCAGGCTTTGCTCAGTCTCCTCAGGTGCTCAGCAGCCCTCTAATCTGAGGATAAGGGATTGCAAGCCAAGACTGAAGGCTTCTGAGTAGTCTCTAATTTTTTATCGACAGCCCCCAAAAGTTCTAGATGCACTTAGCACCTCCATAGAAGCGCTAAATGATTTAACATTTTGGGGACAAATTGGTTCTATTAGTCTCTAGTGCCAAATTCACCAAAAATAGCTCATTAGCTGTGCATTGTGATTTCACTGGGGTGCCCTTCTCTTGGCTGGATTCCAAAGAACACATTTGTATAAAAATGTTCCCATTATAGAGTGTGATACCTATTAATGGAACACCATATGCAGCAGAGCATCTCCCCTTGCCTCCTCCTCGTCTTTCAACCTGAAGTTTGTATTCTCCATTCATTTTTGCCAAGTGACCTGCTTTGCAGGGGTTAAACTTTACCTAATGGGCTAAGGCCTGAGATGCTGCAGCAATCAATCTTTCCTCTGAATTTAAGCATCTTGGTTTTCCCTTTCTCTGTGCCTACTGCCAATCCTGACCCTTTCATTCCATCCTAGCCTGGGGGAAAGAAAGGGAGGGGCAAGGTTGAGAGTGGGCTCCAAGCCCAGACCTACAGCTGTGCCTGATTGACCGACATTTCTGTTGTTAGCCACAAAAAAGGCCACTTTTAATGGCTAAAGCAAGGATGACCAGCTGGTGTGACAGGCATTGGGTTTTTGCCTAGTTATATTAAAATTCATCAGTTCCGGTCCTTTTTCATCACATGCATGATTTCAGGGATAGTATTTCCAAAATATATCTTCTACTGAAGCTTTTGGCTATCAAATAATATTTGCAGTTCTTTTTTTAAAACCAATATCCTGCATCTTGTAGGTGGCTTTAAAATTTCATTAAAATGTAGTGGAGCAAAAATAAATGGAAGATGCTTGTTATTCATCAGGAGAGACCTGCAGAGAGGTTCAATAATAATAGAAAATCAAGAGATTATACAAAATTCAAGAAAGTCCACCAAATATAAACATTTGTCTGCAAAATTTTCCTGAAATTCTGGACCTGAAACCCATGGTGACTTCAATATTTAAATTGAGCATGGAATCTTTGGATCTGGGATCTGGGATCTGGATTTTCCTTTTTGTCTGGACCTAGAGTGGCATAACTGAGAAAGGCACCATGGGTTGGTATGATGGAGAAAGCTGTAGATCAATGCAAAACATAATTAGGACCGGGTGCATTTTTTTTCACTCAGTCATTTGAAAGAAATACATTTGTTCTTAAAGTAATGTATTAATTCAACAAACAGAGTGAACACCTACAATGGACTAACACTGTGGGTAATGATGCAGAAATGAGCAACATAGAATCTCCGACCTCAAAGTGTTCACGTCCATGTGCAACATGTACACAAATGAGTGCTTTTAAAAACTCGGAAAGTGAAAGGTGGTAAAATTAACAAGCAAACAAAGAAGCAAACAAGCACAAAATAGGAAGTAGTGTGGAATATTTTGCTAATTCAGTTGATGGCAGGATTGCTTCCTGTTGGAGATATCGAAGAATTAAGGCTTTGTGCCTTTTTTTTTTTTTTTTTTTTGAGATGGAGTCTCACTCTGTCGCCCAGGCCATGCAGTGGCACGATCTTGGCTCACAGCAAGCTCCGCCTCCCAGGTTCACGCCATTGTCCTCCCTCAGCATCCCGAGTAGCTGGGACTACAGGAGCCCGCCACCGAATTTTTCCTGTATTTTTAGTAGAGATGGGGTTTCACCGTGCTAGCCAGGATGGTCTTGATCTCCTGACCTCATGATCCGCCCACCTAGGCCTCCCAAAACGCTGAGATTACAGGTGTGAGCCACCGCGCCTGGCCTGCCTTTTAATATACATTGTGTTGTTTATTCTCTGGAGGGATTTGAGCTGGGTTTGGAAGGCCATAGAGGTAAGTTTTAGTTTGCTCATTTAAAAAATTTTATTTATTTATTTTTGAGACAGGGTCTCACTCTATGGTCCAGGCTGGAGTGTGGTGGTGCGATCTCAGCTCATTGCAACCTCTGTGTCCCAGGCTCAGGTGATCCTCCCACCTCAGCCTCCCAAGTAGCCGGGATGACAGGCATGCACCACCACACTCAGCTAATTTTTCTGTTTTTAGTAGAGATGGGATTTCTCCATGTTGCACAGGCTGGTCTCAAACTCCTGGGCTCAAATGATCTGCCCATCTTGGCCTCCCAAAGTGCTGGAATTATAGGCATGAGCCACTGCACCCGACCTTAGTTTGTTCATTTTAATTTTTAAAAATGCCACAGTCCTAGTCTTTAACACAAAGAATTTTTAATTCTGTCTATGAAAAGCCTCAATTTGAATTAAATCCATTTCTTTTTAAAAGCATGAAATTATGTGAAAGTTAAATTCTATTTCCCTTGGGTATATAGCTCCAACTAACCAATTATCTTGTGACTAACTAACATGGGAGATCTTTTAAAAACATAACATAGAATGATGTTAAAGAGACTTGGATGCAAATTTCTATGTAGAGCTACCCAATCATATGTCCATAATTTTAAATAAATGATTCTCCATTGAGGCTCTGTGGGACAGATCGCAGAATTCTGTACTAGATACAAGTTCTGAAGTTGATGTTGACAAACAGCCAGGATGAAGACCATTGCTTTATATCTATAGTTGGAACACATAAAATTACCCACTTAAAAAAAAGCACAATCCATAGAAACTACATTAATTGCTGTTTTTATTCCAGACATTATCAGTTAGAAAACAGAAAATTTTCCTCCTTAATATGTTTCTGCAACCAAAAGAGTGATGTAGCACAAATCTTAGGAGCATCGGAGAGGATCACAATCACAAGTAAGATTATAGTACATTCTTTCTTTAGAAATTAAAATGACCTCTCTTTTCCAGCAACACTAACAAAGACGTGTTAGAGTCAAACAAGTAGGAAGTTCTTTAGGCTCCCGTGGAAGGCTGTGTAGATGAAGTTTTGCTGTGGTGCACAGGATGACAGGGTGCAGTTTCATTTACAGGTTTAGAGACATGCACTTTCATGTACATTGTGCTAGTTATTCTCTGCTCACCCTTCCCCGCCTTCCCTGTGAGATTCATTCCCTCCTCTTTCCCTCTCTGCAGTGGGCTCCAGGTGGCTGACCCCTTGGCTGTAACACCTGCCCGTCCCTGCCTGGTAGAGTCTCCATCCTCCCAGACTATAGCTCCTGCCGGCTGGCCCCTTATCCGTGACTGCAGCCCTCACCAAGCTCTGGCATGAAACACTATTTCCTTCCCTGGCCCCTTCAGGCCCATGGTGCCAACAGCTTCCTACTGTTGCTAGTCCTGGATGCCTCTGTGTTCCTATTCTTTGTTGGATCCCCTGACCCTGCTTTATAAATAGACCTTCCTTGCATCCTTTTCCATCCCATTCCTTCAGAGTCCCATCTGAGCGGCCCTTCTGCTTCCCACTAGGACCTGTTGATACACCAATCACATTCCAAATTGCTCCCTGGATGTTTCTACACAGGAGCCCAGAAGATTTCATCTCTTTAGAGATCAATCAGAGAAGCTTACAATGACTAAGTACCAGGGTGGTAGCATCAGAAAGAAGAGACTGACAAAAGGAGTTATTGGGGACAAAATCCTGAAAGATTAAAGCAAAAAGAAATGTAGGAAAGGTTTGTGTTGAGTGTTGAGAATGTCTAAGCACATGAAAAACAAACAAAACAACTATTAGATTTACCTTGCATTCACAAAAGAACTTTTTGAAAATAGATATTATAAGCCAAATGATAAAGACTGGCAATCATATCTCACAATGTAGCCATGGATCTGAAGGGAATGAAGCTGACAACAGATCAGAGTGAAAATAAATATAGTAACTACTAACTATGGGCAGGGCACCATCCTTGCTCTGGTCACCAATGTTTCTGGCATCCACTGCAGCATTTGTGTGTCACTGGGAAGGTGGGGAAATGCTGATGACAGCTCTGCATGTCAGGAAAAGTTTCTGTGGGCTGTCAGACTTTTTCAGTCTTGGCAAATTACCAGAAGGCAAAATTTGACTTTGTGTTATGTCTTGTTTCTCAGTTGTATGTGGATACTTTCAAAGATACATACTTTATGTATGTAAAGGCACATTAGATATAGGCACAAATTTGATATAGACACTTGGATTCTTCTTCTTGGTATAAGATTATGACAACAAAAAGCCAACAAGTATATTATAAGAACAGCTTATGTTAGGCACTATGTAAACCTCATGTGTTTAATTTCAATATTTGTCATACATATATATGAACCAGCCACAAAGATAAGATGCTGTCCCTACTCCTAAGCATCTAACTTTAAGATGGAGAACTTCAATTTATTGTGAACTCACCTAAAACCCCTCCCGGCTAAGGGAGATGAGAGACCTCTCTAAACATGTAAGAAAAGTGGATAGAAGTAGAGGGGCAAGATGCTATGCAAATAAGGAAGTAAGGCAAAACTTTTCAAGAAATACAAGTTCTATTGGAGTTCTTAGCTAATAGCCAATAATAGCACTTAGCTTCACTTGATCTTAACCAAAAGGCCAAGAAGTGATAGCACTTAGCTTCAATAAGTGTTACATAGGCCAGATAGCAATCTAAGCACTATTCATGGGTTCAATTTTTGACTCTCATTGCCCTTTGATTTAGGTTGTATTATTCTCCCAATTTTACAGATGAGTAAATTGGGGCACATGGTGTTTAAATAACTTTCCCAGTTTCCTGATGCTAGAATGCACAGGGCTAGAATTAGATACTAGGTAGTCTGACACCAGAGTTGAGGAAATAAGTCACATCTGGTAGAATCTAGAAAGACCCTTTGGAGGCTGCATTTGAGAAGGGTCTTGGAAGACAGTAAGGATGTTATAATTTGAGATGCTGTCTATGGAAGATGGACAAGAGGGGATTTTCTCTCTGCACATGAAAACATAAGCGTCTAAAAGTTTTAGCTGTAACCATATCTATTTAATAGTTACTTCTTTTGCATTTTTTCCATTGCCACTACATAATAAAGACACATAACTCAATCCCAAAGTGACCACAGGAGTCTCTGGAAAACAGAAGGGTGAACTGATAGCATCACTGAACATACCTAAGTAGTGGCAATGTAGAGCTGGTAATGCAGGTTGGAAACCATAGAATGTAGAACCCAAAATTCTATATGTTTAGGGAGATCCCTCAAGTTCTGCAGCCAAGAGCATTTTTGGTGAGTTTGGGGTAAGTTGAAGTTCCCTTTCTACATCAATGATTCACAAAAAATGTGAAGTTACTGAATAAAAGTAAAATTGGGCTTTCAAGTGCCTCTGGCCATTTTTGAGTCATGCCTTCAGTTGGCTCCTTGCTGTGTAGGTGTTTTTTCTTCTTGGTGTGATTTCACCTTAAAGCAGAGGTTTCTAAAGCAGGATGTTCTTGGGCAGCAAAGCCTTTAAGGAGAACCATGGGAAGCATTTCTGAGCATGGTCTGAGAGAGAAGACTTGATCAATTAATCAACCAAAAATGAGCACTTACTTTATTGAGCACTTACTTTATAGATCTAGACCTGTGCTAAGTTTACAAGCAACTACATTTTAAAGAAGCATTAAGGATATCCTGTTTTATGGTTAGAATTTGCCTTCCCCCTAAACTGAGCTATCTCTGAGACAAAGGTAGTTCCATTTTTCAATTGCAGCCAGGGGTCAATGTTTCTGAGGGTCATACACCATGAAGAACTCCGCCTTGTCCCTTTGCAAGCATGGAGGCTGGCATCTCCACTGTGCTACTGAGAAAGGCTGGCTTGAGGAGTGACAGATTTATTCAGAGAGCTCCACTGGGAAGCGATAATGAATGGAAATGAGGGAGGGTCATGAGATAGAAACAGAATGTGACTGTCTCCAGTTCAGACACTCAGGATAGTGCTGCACAAACTGTCTTGAAAGCCATTATTGATTCTAGGCACAGTTAGAAGGAGGGTGAATTTTTGTTTTAACTTTTCTGTCTATACTCAGTTTCCTCTACCTGAGTTACTCTGTCTTAAAAAAACATTTTTCTGTTCTCTAAACACACGAGTTCATAAAACAGATGCAAAATATTTCCACCTGGACATGAGCCAAGTGTAGGGCATCCTGCCTTGCATTGCAAACTGTTTCAATACGTCCGGGAATCTAGAAACCCCTGCCCACACATTTAGGAGCCTGACTTCTCCCACTTTGTGCACCTTCCTGGCTCTTTAAAGAATGAACACTCCTTAATGACCTTTGGATTCTGAACCAGTAACTCTTTTAGACCCTCTCTTGGAGAGACAGCTGACTTCTCTCCAGTCTTAGAGAGAGCTGAAGGGTGGCAGTTCCTGATATCTCAGCGCCTCCTCCACCTCCGCTGTGACTGGCAAGAGCTGAGTGTGCGGCACTGGTATAGTATAAAGGGAGGAAAAAGTCTTTGTGACAGAGAAGGAAAAAGGGACAGGTGGTCAGATGGAACAAGAAGGCCCCCAGCCAGCTCTTTGAAAGAAGGTAATGCATTTGATGTACTTTAATGGTACCCCTGACAGAGGGGCCATATGGAGCCCTGGATCCTTCATAATTCCATCTCACTCCCCAGTTGAGACCAACTTTTCCTGCCGAAATCATAGCGTCAATTGGGTCAAGCAGTTGCTGCTGGTAGTTCCTAATGCTCTTATTCAGAAGGGAAAAGATTAAAAATATAAAGGGTACCCTGGCGTCCAATCCTAGTATAACTTTTGTAAGTAGTTTGGTCAAACTTTAGCATTGTAGAGCCTTCTGGGAATGTGTTGTTTCAAATACCTGCATTTTAAAGATAGTCAAAGTTAACCCTTTAAGCCACAGGGCACAAGTTGGGGGTAGGACAAAGGCCCAAATCTGGTTGCAGATGCACCTGGAGAATTTTAACCAGCTCATACAGCTCCCTAAGACTCTGCCCCACCCTGATTTACACAGTTAGGTGACCTGAGCCCCTAAGACATTTGGGTTGTAGCCCCTGCTTAGTCACCAGCACTTGTAGGTAGCTTTTTGATGGGAATATTTCTAAATCTCTGCTTACTGAAGTAATATGCAATGAAAATAATTTTCTGTCCTCATAATTTGATCTAGCCACAGCTATAAACTCAGAGTTGGAGAGTGCAGACCAAAAAGGGACTGGGGACTGACCCAAGCAGACTTTGGAACTTACTCTGAAAAGGTCTCTGAAGCCAGGCTGCCCTTTAGTTGACTGCCTGATGCTCTCCAAGGCTAGGTGAAGCTAGGACAACTACCTGACCTGTATAGCATCTGTGTCACTTGCATGACTCTGGCCTTGGCTGCCCAGTCCAAGAATGTTGGGGGAACTTCTGCCTGGTGGACACAGAGGACCAATGCTGTGCAGAGCCCCATCAAACGGAGCATCTCTTCCTCCAATCTGTGGTTTTCTGGGCCTTTGGGGGTTCCAGTGACTTGTAGCCTCTGACCCCTATAATGGGATTTTCCAGTGGTTCAAGTTAATTTGGCACATTCCCACAGTGTGAGCGCTCAGGCTCAACGCTGTCTTCTTAATGAATCCTTTCCCAATTCCTTCTGGCAGAAGCTCTTGACTCTCTGTAAACACCCCTGGAAACTGTTTTCCCCTTTCTTATGACATTTTCTCCATGATGCAATATAGATTTGTATCTTGTGCATGTCATCTTCTTGGCTAGATTGTGAGCACCTTAAACAGTGTTATCTCTTATTCATTTTGTAGCTCCAGCACACTGCTGGGCACACGGAGGATTGGGTGAATTTTTTTTTTTTTGAGTGAGATATATTTTCCTGATAATGGAAATGCAGGTGCTATTTGTGGACCTCACAGAAAGTAGCATAAAACCTTGTATATGATAGCATATAAGTCAGAGGGTTCTCCAGAGAAACAGAACCAATACGATATATGTTGGTTATATATAGAAATGTGTATATGTATGTGCACACACACATATATGTGTACACACACACATACATGTGATTGTTGGGGTACAAAGTCTGAAATTTGTAGGTCAGGCTAATAGCTGGAAATTCAGGTAAAAGTGATGATGTTGCAGTCTTGAGTCCGAATTCTGCAGCAAGCTGGAAACCCAAGCAGTCTTGAGACAGAATTCCCTCTTCTTTGGGAAATCCGTTTTTGCTCTTAAGGCCTTCAACTGATTAGATGAGGCCTATCCACATTATGGAGGATAATCTGCTTTACTCTGATTTAAATATTAGTCACACCTAAAAAATACCTCCACAGCAATATCTGGACTGGTATCAGACCAAACAACTAGGTATCAAAACTTAGTCAAGTTGACACATAAAATTGACCATCACAGGCAGATATTCAATATGTGTTTGATGAAGTCATTTATGGCCCACATTAATATGTATATAATTACTTTTATACTTTACAGATTTATTAGTTGTCCTACTTAGTTAGCTCTTTTAAAAGCCGTGGTGTGATTAGGAACTATTAGGAAATAGGAAAAGGAGGAAACTTTAGAAAACAGTAGAAGTGAATAACATTGGCAACAAAAGTCTCCAGTAATATTATAATGGGAGTTGTGGCCACTATATGTCCTCTCTCCCTCTTTTCATCTACCTACTTATTCTTAAAATTTTAAATAAATTTAAATAAATTTAAAGAAACTTTAAGCTGATGTTTCATATCTCTTGTCTTTGCATTTTTTTTTTGAGACAGAGTTTCAGTCTTGCTGCCTAAGCTAGAGTGCAATGGCGTGGTCTCGGCTCACTGCAACCTCCACCTCCCAGGTTCAAGTGATTCTCCTGCCTCAGCCTCCCAGGTAGCTGGGATTACAGGCTCCCCCGACCATGCCCATCTAATTTTTTGTATTTTTAGTAGAGACGGGGTTTCACCATGTTGGCCAGGCCGGTCTCGAACTCCTGACCTCAGGTGATCTGCCCGTGTCAGCCTCCCAAAGTGCTGGGATTACAGGCGTGAGCCACTGTGCCCAGGCTTGTCTTTCCATTTTTTATATTGCATCTCTATAGAAAACAAACAGTAATTTGGAGAAGGCAGTTGAGAAAGTTCCCAAGAACATAGAGGAAAAGGATAGTGATAATTTTCCTTATTCTTGCCTCTAATGCAGATTTTCTACTGGAAGATTCCATTTTAGATGTCCTGCCCTTTTTCCCTAGTTTCCTTTTCAGCTCTTCCTTTGCTTCATAGTATTCTACCCCATGTATCCCTGCCTTGGTTTCATGAAGGACTAGCAAATATTTTCCAGTATTTTAAAAATTTTCCTGTAGAAACATTTTTGAGCTGTGATCTGAATATTCTGGGATATACCTTTTTTTGGTATAGAGTTTGTTTTCTCACAATCCCCAGTACTTTCCCCTTTCTCATTTTCTAAGCACTGGGGGGGCATCCATCCAAATGAGGCATTTGCCACTAGATTGGGAGGTTCGTGAGCAGGCCTAAAGCCCCTCATTGTTCACTTGGGTGAAAACACTTTGGACTGTTAGAGTCACATGGCTACGGGTGGAGGGCCGTCTGCTGGGCTCAGCCTCTGGCCTTGTGGAGGATGGGGTCCCTGGCTGTGTTGGAGAGTGGGGAGGAGGCTGCAGTGGTTCCTGTGACATGGTAGATCCTAAAAGTCAATGCACTTCCATGTGTCTTCTCCCACAACTTTTCCTGACTCCTTCCTTGCCTTTCTGCAAGGGAGAAAAGTCTCCCTTCTTTTCTGCAGGAGACTCTATATCCCAAGATGCGAGATTCTGCCATTTAATCCTTCAGACTCATGTGCTGCCTCCATAGGAATGATGTCAAGCAGGCATTGCTGGGCAGCAGTTATTTCTGGAAGCTCAGGGGGCAATCCAATGCCACTGAAGGGTGGCCGGAGACTTTCTTGGTCAATGCACCTTTCTTGATTAGTGCACCCTGGGGTTGGGAGCAGACACTGGGATCAAAGTCCTTCTCTATCATTTTCAAGGTCCTCCATATTGTTTGGATTCAAAAGATACTATGTGTACATCCTAAGAGTGTGCTTTTAAATCTATCCTCACTTATTTTAGCAGTTAGTGGAGCCTCCTCCTTGAACATCGCCTATGATTACCTGTCATGATCAGCTTTCAGGGCTGTTGCCAATTTTTGTCCTTTTGTGAATCTTTTTGATTACTTGGATCAGAAGTTGAAGAGTGAATGGGCATTACAGGCATTGCTCTATGCCCCCGTCTTTCTCCTGGAGTCCTGTCTCCTGTATTGAAAAGAGTCAGTGAGAGGAGAGTAAAAGTCTGATCTTGTTTCTCTTATTTTCTTGTCTAAAAGTTTTTGTTAAAATTGTGTCATTTACTAGAAAAACAATGTCCTTTCTCTCTAATCTCCTCTCATTTGCTGTTTTGAATTTGAATTTTTGTCCTCATTTTCAGTTGTGAGCCGTAATCTCTTCCTAGTAATTCTGAATCGGTGTTAACAGAGTGGCTAATGCACTGATAAGCAGCTGATTTAGAATCAGAAGGTCAAGGGTGGAATCATCTCGCAGTTGCCATGATTTCTCTTTTCCTCAGTATATTGGAACAGGGACCATTTCACATTTTTCTTCCTACCCTGCTTGCCTAGCACGGTACCTGGCACAAAGTAATAGGTCAAGACACGTAGAATAAATACTCCTTCTAGGCACTCTCTTTACAGGTGGCCTTTTTTAAAATTTTTTTCTGTCCTGGAGATTTATCCCATACTATTTGCATCCTGGAGTCTCTGTGGCCCTAATTATTCTTCTCATTCAAAGCTCTTCTGGAAGCTGACTTCTGTAAAATCTGCCCCTTCCATGGGGAAGGGGGATGGAGAGAAAGAAGATAAAGGAGAAGAGACTAAAGGAAAAATACAGGAAGAAGAGAGGAAGCTGTGCATTCCTTTATACAAACGCCTCTCCTCAGTGACAGTTTAAGCTGTTGTTACCTTTGAAAAAAATCATCCCTGTTTATAACCATTAATAAGTGATGGCCATAAACTACAGAGCAACGAGAGCACCAGTAAGGTTTGAGGAGCAAGATTGAAAGCCATCTCGACAGAAAGTCAACTGCATCATTTTTAAGTGAGCACAGCTCCAAGCAACAGCAGATATTTAACAATTAATAGTGGGTAGATAAAATGCCCCACTGCTCTGCCCGAATATGACCTGGACACTTATAAGCAGAGATGGAAACCATTCGGGGGACTTAGAAATTCTGGTCTTTGACCTACAGGTCTGTAATGTATCAGCCAAACTTTTACATGATGATACATTTGTTTGTATAATACAGAGTGAGGTCAGGTGGGACCATCCCTTCCAGCTACTTAAAATGTCAAAGGCCAAATTCTGCACTATGATGAGCAGTTATCAGAACTCCTAGCCCAGCCTGTCAATAGATTCTTGCCTCCTTCTGTTTTTTTTTTTTGTTTGTTTGTTTTTTAAAGCAACATATAGTTGTTTACCAGCTGCATACTATTACTAGATTCCAGCCTCTTTGCTTTTACATCTATAGGTTTGGTCAATTATTGCAATAGCTTTTTGGTCTTGCTAAGAAAAGCCATTTAAATTTTTCAAGATTTCCACAGACAGGTAGTGATTAGAATATATTGTCAAATCCCTTCTTTTTTTTTTTTTTTTTTGTCACATAGCTCACCTGCCAACTTGTTCTTGTTAATTCATCTCTTCCAGCTTATGCTTGTTTCTACACTTAGTTGTGGGAAGATGAGGTGACTGAGCCTGAATAGGAGATAGCAGCGGTAGCTGAAGCAAGATGAAAATGAACGATATTTTCAAATCCTAAGCAAGGCGGCAGAGGCCAATAATTACATTAAAAAGGCCCTCTGTAGGTAGGTGCAAATAGGCTAGTCTAAACAAGTGCCGCTGTTTTAATATGGGCTGTTGGAGAGATGTCATTACCTGACGAGACTGCCACCTTTCACCTCTAGCCATTGTGATCCGTTAGGTCTCACTAACGGGGAGCGTGAGGAACTTGTTTGCAGGGGATTTGTTGTCTCACGCTCAGAGGCAGCTGAGAGACTTGCCAAATGACAGGAAGACGCTTACATTCACAAGGTGTGATTGCCTAAGTGTTTGTCTGTGTCTAATTAGTTTGCCTTTGCTGGTTGGTAGCTCCACAGCAAGGAGGCAGATTGACTCTGCAGGCTGTAAGCAAAGAGGGTTGATTGGTGTTGTTATCATTTGTTTATTTAACCCTCCCTCAAACCAGGAAATCTTCTTTAAAGAAAAGCCTTTTCTGCTGCCTCTGAAAAAGGCATTAAAAAAAAAGAAAGAAAAGAGAAAAAGAAAGAAAGCAGCTGCCACCAAGGCTGAGGTTGTTACGCTGTCCCCTTTATCGCGTACTGGTAACAGGCAAGTCCACTGGTCACAGATGCTCTTTGTTCAAGAGAACACGCACAACGTTTTGCTCGGAGATGATGGACTTGATGCTCACATCCTTTAGACTGAGGAGGAGAAGATTAATTTGAGACCAATGCTGCTTTTTCTCTCTTCAATTTTATAAACAACAGAGGAAAGAAAAGCAGTGGTCTGGGCCCCTGCTGCTGCTGCCTTCTAGAGCTGCACACACCCTGCAGAAATATGTGCCGAGAAGTTAATTTAAAGCGGGGAATTTGGCTTGAGTCTCGTTGGTTGCCTTCCTGATGTGCATCGGTGGGTCTGCCATAACAACTACTGTTGACAGACATTCCTGGGCCTTAAATCTTTTGGGTTTGGGGTGCCCTTTTAGATCAGGCCCTAGGGAAGCCATGCCCCCTTCCTTACCCCATGTGCACTTGTCCTCAAAGCTGCCTCAAATGTGAGCCAGAGCTCAGGGGATCATTACTTCAGGTAGGTTTTTACAAGCGATCAGGTTTCCCAAGGACACAGCTTAACATCAGTTCATACCCTCAGATATTTGTTTGGCTAGCAAAGATGATACAAGAATTGTTATTTTCTTTTTATGGGTTTGCTTTTTCCAATATGTGTGAGCTCCTCATTAAGGCATCCTGCCTTATTAACCTAACACAGTAACCAGCACTAAGTAGGTCCTGAGTAAACACATCCTGAATAAATGAGCAGGGTTATAGGAATCAACAATCATATTCACTTATATTTTATTTTTCAGCTCAATTTCTTCAAATGTTCTTTGTTACCTGTTAGAGGACATGGTGTGCCTCCTGTCCCCCAGGACAGATTACAATAATAGCTAACTTTTATTGAGTGTCTACTATGTCCCAGGCACTGCAATAACTTTATATATACCATCTAATTTAATCCTCACAGTAACCCTCTGGGCCAGGTGCTATCGTCATTTCCATTTTATAGATGAGTACACCAGGTCTCCATGACTCTAAGTAACCTGTCCAAGGTCATACAGCTGCCACATGGTGGACCCAAGACTTAAATGTAGTTCTGCCTGACTTGGAAATCTGTGCTTATAACTAGAAAGGATATTCCTTATGGCTCTGTGTGTGCACTGAGGGCCATGTGGCAATCGTGACAACCCAACCACAAAGAAAGGCAAGAACAAAGCTCAGAGAGAGTGAATTGTGTGCTACGGCACATTGCTAGAGTCAACAAGGGTCAAGCTAATGTATGAAGCTCATGATTTAGAGTAAGTGGGGACACTTTTGTGAAATGTATTCATCATTCTGCGAGCTCTGAGTATAGCATGACTTTTCTGGGGAATCTGAGACATCTCATGAAATCAAGGGAGACTTCTCAAAGAAATCATGGTTTTATTGTTACTGCCATATTTATTTGCTCCCTACTTATAGCTTATACTTTTTAACAGGCATATTTTGGAGAGGAAGCGCTAGCACACAAAAAGCCACAGGCCAGAAACAAAGCCAATAAGCCCCAAAGGAATGACAGAAATGGAGTGTGGTGGGCAGAGGGAGTAAGCAGTGTTTGTCTGAGGAATGAAATGGCACTATTAAAAGGGTGGACATTGAGCGGGAGGCAAAGGAGCAGAACAGCAAATGGCAGAAGAAATGTCAGGGCATCCAGGAGTTCAAAGTCCCTCTCATGTTAATGTTGCCACCGAGAGAGGGCCTAGGCATTGCTCTTACCCTCTTAGCCGTGTCCTTGCTGCACTTAGGAATTCACATTTCACAGCAAGCTCAGTCTCCTCAGTCCTCACTTCTTGCAAGAACTGTTTGCACAAGATTAGAGAAATAAGTATAATTCAAGAAGAAAATAAATAACAAATATGCATACGAAGCCTTGCCAAATCTCCATGGGAGGCAACAGGAAGTTTTCTTGTAGCTCCTCTCTTTGTAGTCCTCTCTGCTGAGCTGCCGCTGGCCACTAGAATGTGCCTTCATCATTGAAATCAGTGGGCTGTCCCCAGAATGCTGGATCACCTGGCAGGGGAACAGGGGTGAAGACAGCTGTTCTATTTCTGCTACTACTGTCACCCACTTCTTTGGGCAACCATGCCATATCATTTGCTCACTTGATAGTCTTGGAATTTTAGAGGTGGATTCTTACATGGTTTGGTGTCTAGTTCCTTCAGCCCAAGGGCAAGCTCGGGGTAAGAGATGTCTGGAATGATAGTGTCATTTATTTTGTGTATACTTATTTTATATTATTTTTAAAATAATTCATTTTAGAGCATTTGTAGTGTTAGTCCATAACTCATAGGAAAGTAAAAAGCAAAACCAAATAACAAAAACTTTTTCTTCACCACAGATAGTTTGAAAAGCACTCATTTGGAGTACTTCTAAGTCTTTGCAGGGTTGGAGAAAGGAAAAATTTTCAGATCTTTTCTTCTATCTCTCTCTCTATCTCTCTATCCCTATCTGTGTGTGTGTGTGTATTTTTCTGTACTATTGGAATGTATTTCCTCCCCTGACCTAGCTGCCTTCTTTTGTTTATACATACAAGCATGCGCACACACACACACTCACACGCACACATACACACATCAGCATTCACTGTTACCTGACTCATTAGGCTTAAGATTTGACTTTCACTTTCTCTAACAATCGACCAAATGAATCCACGGCTATAGTAATCTTTCTTTGTTTATTTCAATGCCTTTCTTAGGAATGAATCAAAGTACTATTTGTTGCTGGGTGCAGTTGCTTCTGCCTGTAATCTCATCTACTTGAGAGGCTGAGGCAGGAGGATCGCTTGAAGCCAGTAATTTGAAACCAGCCTGGGCAATGTAGTGAGACCCACACAAAAGAAAGGAAGAAAAGAAGAAAGAAAGAGAGACAGAGAGAGAGACAGAGAGGAAGGAAGGAAAGAAGGAAGGAAGAGAGAGAAAGAGGAGGGAGGGAGGGAGGAAGGAAGGAAGGAATGAAAGAAGGAAGGAAGGAAAGAAGGAAGGAAGGAAGAAAAGAAAAGCAAATGTAAAAAATTGTGTTAAATTGTGATTATTTTATATGAAAAGGAGCCTGTTTAGCATACATATAAAACTGGCAGGTTGCCAAAATAAAAAAAGCTGCCCGGACACCTCTAAATGGGTCAATGAACCATAAAAAAAAATCTCTGGAATAAACAGAGGGAAGAAACCCAGTCCAGTCTCCTGCCACCATAACCTGAGACTGTATTTTCCAAGTTGAGTGAATTTCATTCATTAACTTACTCAATAAACATTCATTAAACAGCCAATCTAAGATGAGAAGTGAGTTCCAGCCCATTGTTTTCATAAGTGCCTCCAGACTTCATGGTGGTTCTCTAGAATTTTCTTTCTTCTTGAGAAGACACATCATGTGGTCTCCTCCCAACCCAAGCCAAGACTGGCAGAATCCACAGCTGATTCCTGAGCTGTTGGGGAATACAGAAGTTTTAGTAGGGTATTGAAGAAGAATGCCTGTGGACTGCCTATGACCTATGAATGAATGAATCATGAATAGTCTTAGGCAAGATACAAGGGTTTGTGAGTTAGAGTTGACAGTGGGCTAAGAGGTGACCTTGGAAGGTAGTTGGGAGCATGAGCTCTGGGTAGAAGTGGGGTTTAAGGGTTTGTAAAGGGAAAGTCTATATTTTATTCTGCATACTTTTGGTAAGTGCTTATTTGCCAGATCCTGATCTAAGTGCTTTACACACATTATCTTATCATCCTGACCACACAACAACCCCGTGAAGTAGGCATTATTGTTATACCTAGTTTACAAAGAAAAGAATGGAGACCTGGGGAGCTCACACAGCAGAAGAATGATGGGGAAGGATACAAGCCCAGACTATCTGACCTGAGCGTCTAAGTCCAGGGCCAGTGCTTCTCAGTCTTTAACACACATAAGAATCATTTGAAACACTTATTAAAACACAGATTCCTGGACTCCAGCCCTAGAGATTCTGACCATCAGTATGTCTAAGTGGGATCCAATGTTTAGCATTTCTAACTAGCTCCCTGGTGACGCTGATGCTGCTGGTCCTTGGACCACACTTGGTGTTATTGTGAGGCCCATACTGTTAACCATGAAGGCTGTCTCTAACCTTCATCTCTCTACCTCCCCTCTATTGCTCTTCCAGCACAGAGGGCACTAACCCTGCTGCAATTGACTGAATGTTTGTTCCTCCCCAAATTCACATGTTGAAATCCTAACTCCCAATATGATGGTTTTAGGGAGTGGGGCCTTTGGGAGGTAATTAGATCATGAGGGCAGAGCCTTAAGAATGGAATTAGTGCCTTTATAAAAGAGACCCCAGAGAGCTCTCTTGCCTTCTTCCTGCTATGTGAGGATATAATAAGTCGGTAGTCTGCAATCTAGAAGAACCTCACCATGCTGGCACCCTGAACTCGGAATTCCAGCCTCCAGAATTCATGAGAAACAAATTCCTGTTGTTTATAAGCCCTCAAGTCTAATGTGCTTTGTTATAGCAGCCTAAGCTGACTAAAACCACTGCTTAGTTCTTTAGGTTTGCAAACCCAAGTCTCATCCTGGCTACTTCTCTAGTAAATCCAGCGGTGAAAATTTCACAATACCTTTGTCTTTGTGTGTGCTGGGGAGGTAGAGGTCCAGGCAAAATAGAATTCATTGCTTTGTGTTCCAAGTTACTGATCCAAGTAAACACATTTTGTACCCTGCACTAACCTTACCTAATGCAAAGCAAGGCATCCAAGAACTGCTGGGGTTCCTGTGGGAACTGGCATCTCAGGAACTGCTTTCCAGCCTGCCCACTGGGTATGGGCCACCACAACACTACTAACAGCACACGTATGGACACCAATGATTAATCTTGTAAATAACTTTGTAAAATACTCCTGCATGTGGCTTAAACATTGCTTGTAGCTCCTCACCACCGGAGAGTTTGTGGATCCCCAGAGTGTACATTTCAAGGTTCAATTTTCATTCCCTTTTTCTTCTGAAATAAACAGATTGAATTGGCTTCTTGCAGTGTGTCACCAGGTCTTTCCATCCAGAAGTCTGCAGAGGCTTTGCAAAGCCCCTCCCAAAGGAATGAATTCTGCAGTCCTGGCAGGAGGAGATGGTTTGAGCCCTGACTCAGCACCACCTGCCTCTTACTCTTCTGGGTTTTCAATCCCTCTGCTGCTAAGCCCTGAAGAATATGCTGACCTCCCTTCCTGGAGGTGCTGCAGGGATGGTAAATAAGCAGAGCACCTGAGAAACACCAAGTGCTGCCCAAGAATGTGTGATGACCTTACATCATGCCACCATGGCTGCCCCTGCCTCGGCTGCCCTGCAATAAAGGAAAGTACAATAAATCACACCCATACAGACACAGTAAGGAGTTCATGTTCCTCCAGCCATTCTTTCTAGTGTGTCGGGGTAAAGCCTTTCCACAGACAGGGAAGGACAGTATTTTCTTATAAAAATCAAAGAACACACAAAACAAACAACACATAGAAGAATATGGTAATTTTCATTTAGTGTATAAAGAGCCTAACTCAAGTTCAAGGGTACTTCTTTTCCAGTCTACAGATTGCATTATAAGTATATCAGGAAAAAATGTACGTCCTGGTGAAGGAATGGGGGGTGACAAGTGCAGAGAATCAAACACACCTGCAGTAATGGGCTGCCTCCCCCAGACTCAGTCGATTTGTTGTTTGATTAATTTCCTTGATATGCCTTTACTTAAAAACATTTATTGAGCATTTGTTATGTTCCTAGCGCTGGGCTAAGCCCTGGGAATTCAGGAATAAAAACAGCACAGCCTCTGTTCTTAAAGTGCTCTAGCTTGGATGGAGCATACAGACAAGTAGAAAGAGGAAGCAGAAACCACTGTGCTGAGGCTCACACATAAGACCTGGTGTTGTGGGAGACTCCCTTCCATCTGGGGGAGCTTGGGGGCTGAATATGTGAATTCTGAGGTTGAAACTTTCTTTCCTGGATCTTGAACCAGAAAATAGACTTGTGTACGCTAGGCCTGTAGTGAATTCCTAACATGACCCTGGTACACAGGGAGGAAAGGTTTCCTCACTTCACACTGTTGTGGCATTTAAGTAACTGGCAGAACTGCTGGGTACATGCTCTGACCACTGGGAATGGACTTCAACATGGTGCTGGGTATTTAAAATACATTTATTGTTGTCAAGGCCTTTTTAAATGTGTGGGGTCCCACTGAGGGCTTAGAAGGCCTGGAGAATGGAAAAGATTGGGAAAATGAGAGGAAAAAAAGACTGAGTGGGTATTGGGAATAAAAAGCCTGAAGAGTCAGAGATGGGATATGGAATCTGGGGACTAAGGTAGCCATGCACCCATAATTTACTGCATGAGATCACCTCCTGTGAAAATAGCTGCAGGCTAAGGAAAGTGGTCATCTCCTTAGAGTGCTGGGAGGAGATGCCCCCGTCCCCATCACTCATGGTATAGGGTACTGAACAGGTTATGTAATTACTCTCTGATACCCACCAGTGTTTCTCAAGGCATGATACTGAGATCCCTTCCCCACCCCCATTAACTGAATCACCAGTTGCCTGACACAAATACAGATTCCTAGGCCCACTCACTCTAAAACCAGTGGTTAAGTTTTGGGTGGGGCAGGGACCTTGGAATCTATATTTTAATGAACACAAGGTGATTCTAACACTTCCTGAAATCTGAGAGCTACTGATTTGGTATAGCTACCATTAGCTATTTTATATGATTTTGTGATTGAATCATGAAATGTTAGCCATCCAAGGCAAAAGATCCTTATAAATACAAGAACATCATTAGGTCTCTAGTATTACAATTGTTCTGATGTGGGTATCTTCAAAAATGATTTCAGTGGGCTTGTTAGAAAATTCTTTCCATCACAGTCATTGTTCTGTCTGCTAGTAAAATATACTCCTGTGATTTTTGCTGATAATAGCCATTCTTTTTCTGATTTCCTGTAGGTACAGCCACATCATGGGAAGAGCTCAGCCTTTAGAATCAGGCCAAGTTGGGCTATGTCCTAGCTCTGCCACTTACAAACTGTGGGACTCAGACATGGAATTTCCCTCTCTGTCCCTTAGTTTTCTCATCTATAAAATGGCAACCATAATGCCTACTTTGTAAGGCTATTGGGAGAATTAAGAGTTCATCTGACAGTGTCTGGCACATAGGCACTTGACAAATATTTATTATTACAAAGTCTTTGAAATTGCATCTTTCCCTTAAATTTGACAACTTAGTGGCAGGTTACTCTTTTATAATCTTGACACAGCCCCACTGTGCAAAGCTCCCTGATCTCAGCTTCACTAATTTGTCATGTGAAATGACTGTGATGAAACAAATTGTAATTACATAGAAAGATCACTTAGAATGTTAGAGTAGCTGCTGTTGCTTGTTTCTGTGCTGTTTTACTTGCATACTAATTGACACTGCCTCCTTAGGTGACCAGGTCAAATGCCTAGGACTGTGTTAACTATTTTCCAACAGCTAACATAAGCAAGAAACAGAGGAGCAGGGTGACTGCTTAAGCTAAAGGAAGTTATTTCTTCACCAATTTTTGCCACTTTTTAAATTTTGTGATCAATTATCAATTCAGTGGAAAAATGTGAATAGTTGCCATGTAACACATACACACACACACACACACACACACACACACACACAAGCATGTCCTTGGCCAAGAGCAGACAATTTATATTATTCATTCTTTATAGTGAGCGTTTATAAAATTTCATCCATTTATGAGAATAGTTACAAAATCTAGGGAATTAACAGGAAAACTGGACAAGACTTCTACTGAGTATTGTTAAGTGCCAGTTAAAGTGTACTTCTGGGTAAAATGAGTAATAAAAGTTGCCAAATCTAAAATTGGTTGACTGAAATTTATTCTTAGTTTTACAATAGATCTTAACCAAAAGTTTAGAGCTGTGAGGGCTTTTATGACAAAATATGTATATATTTAAGTTTCATTGGTTGCAGAATTACATCAGATCCAACTGATGTAAATGTAAATTTATTCAGTGGAAAAAAAACCCCACTACCATAATGCATTCATTTGCATGTGCAATGCCAGTTCAATCTTTCTTTCTCTCTCTTTTTTTTTTTTTTTGTAATTTCTTTAACTCTCTCCTTCCAATGCTGTCATTCAGGATAAAAACTGATAGTAGAAAAAACAGTCTAATTGAGATTTTAAACTACATAAAAGATATAATTCTAGGCTTTAACTTGATTCCCTCACAAAAATGTCAATTTCCATTTAATATACCTGATAGGAGCACACTTTGATTATGGTGACAATTAAATTATTTTTCTTTGACTAATGGAGGGATGGGTTTTTCCATGTTATCAGATCTCTGGTTTATTCTAATTGCTGTAGTTCCTTTGAGGATTGCTTCTTGTCTCTTTTTCTCCTATCCATTCCATTGCACAACCATTTTTAGGAAAATTCAAATAACAATTCTGGAAAAGATTTGAGCTGTTAGATTTTTAGAATGATGAATTAGAAGATGGTAGCCCAAATTGCTACACAGCTGTGATTTCACAGGGCAGTACTAGGGCCAGGACTCAGTGCCTCTGGATTCCATGAGTAAAGGGTGCTTTGTGTGTCTGCGTGTGCTGCTTTGCTTTCCAGATCATGGGCATTTCAGTGGAATTTTGTGACCGTTTTCCCTTTTTTCAGAGCATGGGGTCAGCATCGCAGGGGTTTAGGCTTGAGTTGGGACTGGGAATTCTGGTTATGTCTTGGTGGTGATAAATCTTACATTCCACATGGGAAGAGCTACCCGTGTCTGTCTATATGTTTCTTGAGCTGTCCTTGGTACATAGCAAGCTCTGGGGGATCTGCAGAACAGAGTTTGTTGCAGGATAGGGTTCACTGCTATCAGCTCACGGTAGTCCTGTATGAAATAAAGCACTACACTCAAAACATTTCTTTACAACTCTCTTTTCCAGACCTCAGTTTCAGGTAGCTGCCTGGCTACTGGCTGGAAATTTTCAGGCCATTCCGTACTTACCGCTACAGTCTCCCGAAGTTAACATGCATGCTCCACCCTTTAGACACAAAGACCTTGAAACCATGACTTGGACACAATTGGTTCAACTCATTCTCTCCACTGATCGGAGTTTCCTGAAGAAGCATGGGTTAGTAGTCAAAGCCTTAAGGACATCTACAAAAGAAGGAAGTGAATCTGTAATTAATGTATGTCCTGAGTTTAACATATTAAAGTAAAAACACCTTTGGTGTTTGGTGCCTCGGTGCTCCTTTCTTCTGGGATATGTTCAGGAAGTGACACACATAAGGTATGGAGTTCAGTGGCTTTTACTGGAATCCAGGAAAGCCCTGATACAACTCTAATAATCACCCTCCGAATGCAGGTCATCCATGGTAAGTGTGACTGGCCTCCCCAGTAAGGTTTCCTATTCCATCCTCCTACTCACCTGATTACAGAGCAAATGCCAGGCTCTTGCAACAACCACTGGTCAGGGATCTAGATCAGACACAGCTAAGAGGAAGGCTGGGTCTGTGGACAGCCTGCTTTGGAGAGCATACCCAAGGGGACAAGAAGCAAGGGATAGATTCCTGGTTGTGGGCAGGAGGGAGGATGCTGGACTCTTCAGTAGAAGAAAGAGGCTGGCTTTGTGCCAGCCTGGAAAGTGTGCACAGGAAGAGGCATCCTTGTCCTTCTGCATGATAATTAGTTTCCTCTGCCATGACTGCCCACTAGTAAAATGTGGTCCAATATATTGGATTAGCAACTTGGCTGGTGGGGAGGAGCTTAGAAGGGGATGACAGAGAAGTTAAGGAAAGAGAATTCCTTCCTCTGTGGGCTGAGGCGGAAAAACGGAAGATGCAGACAGGGCCTTCCCTCCCTTTCACCGACAAAACCAGTCGGCCCAGCACCGTGATTTCTGTGGCCTTCAGGGGTGATTCTAGCTGACTGGGAGGATCTGCCCTCCTACAGTGAATACCGTATTTCCTTGTTTCTAAGACTGCTTAAATTATAAGGCTATTTAATAATAGCTTCTAAGAAAAAAAAAGAAACACTTCCATGGAAAAGGTCCATAACAGTACTTGCTTGCTGGCCCATCAACTGCACTGTCCTACTTCCCATTTCCTGGGGGAACTGGCAAATTTGGCAGAGCAAGCTGTGTCTGGGGAAATTTGGTAACACACCAGGAAGGTGAATGCGCTGGGGAATCTCTGCAGAGGCAAGCCTAGTCCTACTTTATGCAGCAGCAAAATTGACAAGGTGCCCAGGCATCAGAAAAGGAGCACATTACAGCACTTGTCCTTCAGTGTATCCTCTCTCCTTATTTACATATTTCCCATAAAAGGTACATCTTCAGCAGCTCCTAAAAGCATACATGCTAATTTTTCTACAGATCTATTATGTATGAATGAGAAAAGTCTGTTTTTTTCTTGGTGTGTGGAGGATTTGTGCGCCTAACCCCCCATTAGTGTTAATGGCAGATCTATGCATAATTTCCCTAACTCCCAGAATCCGGGGCACCTAACTAAGCCACATGCAATTACTTACCCACACACTGACAGGGAGTAGGTGCCAGGGCTAAGGAAAATGGGGTCTGGGCTGGGATTTTAAGTTCTCACACTTTGGTTGTCTGTGTTCAAAAAAGGTTACAAAGGATGTAAACAGAAGAAATTTCCTTATCTTAAAACCCCTATGAAACATTTCAGGGCTTCATTAAGACGTGTCTCTGCCCATAAGACTATAAACTAGTGGAAGTCAGGGACTGCAAAGCTCTGTAGAGTAGCTGGCCCAGGGAAGGCACATAGTGCCTGGGTTTTGTTGTTGTTGTTACTTGAGTGACTGAACTAATGAAAGAATAAACAAAATAAGGATTTTGTTACTAGGTTTGGTGATTCCCCGGATTTTGGTCTTAGATTTGCCTCTGGATTTTGATCTTAGATTAGGGCATTCATCTACCTGGTGGGTTACCGAATTTCCCCGGATACAGCTCACTTTGCCAAATTTGCCAATTCCCCTAGGGAAAGGGAAGTAGGACAGCACAGTTGATTGGTCGTTCAACTTTTGGGTTGGGAGCCATTAGCTGCTACCATGCAACATGTTTCTTAGATGTCAGAAACCTTACCTCCATTGTTACAGTGAATCCTCCTAATTACCTTATTATTTCCATTTAGACCTGAGTGAACCAAAGCTAGGAGAACATAAGTTATTTGTGTAAGATCTCACAGCTAGTACAAAATACAACTAGAATTTGAACGTGGACCTTTTGACTACAAAGTTCATTTTCTTTCTTTTACAATATCTCCCTACTTCTGTTCTATTACCCCATCATGACACTCTCTCTAAACAGCTAGCAATCCTACTCCTACGCCTACTTATTTATACTCATACCTACAGTTGTCTGAATATGAAAACCTAAGCTTCTGATACGGTAAAGATGCTCCCCTACCCCCCACATCTTTTTTTTTTTTTAATGTTTAAACTTTTATTTTAGGCTCAGGGGTCCATGTGCAGGTTTGTTATATAGGGAAACTCATGTCACAGGGGTTTGGTGTACAGATTATTTCACCACGCAGGTACTAAGCATAGCACTCAATAGTTACTTTTTCTGATGCTCTCCCTCCTCAAGCCTCAAGTAGGCCCCAGAATCTGTTGTTTCCTCTGTGTCCTCTGTTGGACAAGCAGTGCCTGAGATAATTGTCCAGGAACCTTTAGAGACTTGCCCGAGTGAGCAGCTGGCCAGCGCCTGAACTGTGGACATCGAAGACAGTCCATTGGGCAGGAGAGTTGCTGACAACCTTGCCTTCATGATTACATGACTGAATCATTAACGAATAAAAACATTTCATGCAAAGCAATTCAAAGCTGCAAGATAATCACTTCAGTAAGATTAGAATCTTACTTGACAGTATAGGAAGAATAAGAGAGATCCAGAGAGCGAGAGTGAGTCAGAGAGAGAGAGAGAGAGAGACATTCTTTGAGTTGATAAATTACACCAGTTGCTCAGTTTACTAATTTACATTGAGAATTGTGTTAATTAACTTGCTCTGGAGGAGAATCTACTATTGATACTTGATGTCAGCTTATTCATCATAATGTGTAGAAATAATCTGAACTGCTGTGGCTAGAAAAAGGAAAGAGTATATACTAGAATGTGGGATCTCTGTCAAAGAGTCTAAGGCAGTAAAGAATGCTTTGTAAGAGTGTCTGACACCATGAGCCAATACACATACATAAATGTGTGAACATAAATGTTTGCTTTGGGATGGCTGACTCATTCAAAGCACAACTGGACATATGTATTGTGAAGAGCAAGGATATAGTCTGGGGTCACTGTATACAAAAGGAATGAGGCAAACATGTTGAGGCTTTTTGCTTGCCTGAATTACAGATCTAGTGAGGAGAAAAATAGCTCATCTTCCCCAATTATCTTGCTGTCTTTGGGTTTCTCTATCTATGTGCTTGGAAGCTTCTTACTGAAGCATAGTGTGAGTTGGAGTCTACTGTAGTTACAATGTACTGTGTGCTGAACTGGTTTGGAAAGAAGTTGGTATGTGTCATATGTATTAAGAAGGGGAGTAATCTATCAAAGTATAATGAAGAAAAGTGAAGATTGTCTTTTGTTTAATTCTGCAAAATCAATATCCTTAATGTTTTCTGTTTACTTTTTCTGTCAATTATTGATAGCAGTGTTGGAACTCTCCAACTATAATCACGATCTGTTTTCAGTTTTCTTAGTTTTTCTTCATGTATTTTGAAGCCTTCATTAGGTATATATGTGTTTAGGATTGTTTTGTTCTCTTGATGAATAGACCCCTTTATCATTACGAAACGTCCCTTTTAATTTCTTTACTATGTTTGATACTAATACAGTTACTCTACCTTCCTTCCTTCATTCCTCTCCACCCTCTCTCTTTTTTTTTAATGTTTAGTTTACACAGTCTGTCATTTGCTGTCTTTTTATTTTTAGCCTTTTTGTGTCTTTAGAAGCTTTCTTACTTAGAGTATGTATTTGGGTCTTATATTTTAACCTACTTCTCTGACAACCTACGCCTTTAATTGAAATATTTGCACCACGTACTTTTAATTATTAATATTGCCAGATTTAAATCTACCAACTTGCTGTTTTTTATTTATCTTGCCTTTTCTTTGTTTCTTTTTTCCTCTTTTGCATTTATGTGTGTTTTTAAAAAATTTCCACTTTTGTCCCATTATTGGCTTATTAACTATATATCTTTTATTTATTTTCAGCTATTGTTTTAATATTACAACATAGATTTTTAACTTATAGTAATGTGTTTTAAGTAATATGTCATGTTATATACGATGGATGAAAGTTATGACAGTCTAGTTCTCCTTCCCTTCTTTTTCCCCATCCTTTGTGCTATTTTTATACATTTAAATGTGTTATATTTTATAAGCTCCACAATATATTGTTATTATTGCTTTAAGCAGTTATTTATCATTTAAAGTTAAAAGTGTTAAAAATGTCTTTTTTTTTTTTATTTGAGACAGAGTCTCACTCTGTTGTCCAGGTTGGAGTGCAGTGGTGTGATCTTGGCTCACTGCAACCTCTGCCTCCTGGATTCAAGTGATCCTCACACCTCAGCCTCCTGAGTAGCTGGGACCATAGGCTGTGCCACCATGCTCAGCTAATTTTTGTATTTTTTTTTTTTTAGTAGAGATGGGGTTTCTACACATTGGCCAGGCTGGTCTTGAACTCCTGATCTCAGGTGATCCACCCACCTCAGCCACCCAAAGTGCTAGGATTACAGCCATGAGCCACCATGCCTGGCCTAAAAATGTCTTTTATAGTAAAGGGTAAAGGTATTTACCCTTTCTACCTTTCTTTATTTCTTTGTGTATGTTCAGACTTCCATTTGGTATCATCTATTTTCTGTCCAAATAATTTACTTTAATCTTTCTTATGGTGTTGGTGTGCTGGCCATTAATTTTCTCAGATCTTACTTGTTTAAAAGAGTATTTTGCCTTTATTTAAAATAATTATTTTCACTGGGTATAGAATTCTAGGTTGATGGTTTTTCCTTTCAGTACTTTAAAGATGTGAATTCATTGTCTTCTGCCTTACATCGTTCCTGACAAGAAGTCTGATACTATTCTTATCTTTCTTCCACTGTTTACATTGTATCTATTTTTTCCTCTTGATGCTTGTAAGGTTTTCTCTTTCTCAGTGGTTTCAGGCATTATAATTATATTGTACCTTCATGTGCTTTTCTTTATGGTTATTCATCTTAAAGTTGGTTAAACTTCTTGAATCTGTGAATTCATAGTTATGATTGATTTTGGAAAAATTTTGGTGATAATAGTTTCAAATTTTGTTAGTTTACTTCCACTCTCTTTCTGATACTTCACTTACCTGTATGTTAGACTACTCTGTATTGCTGCATAGGTCATTGATGTTCTGTTTATTTTTTAAGTATTTTTATCTGTCTATGCTTCATTTTGAATAGTTATTATTGCTATGTCTTCAAGTTCACTGATTGCTTTTTTCTTTCATAGGAATTATTCTGCTATTAATCCCATGCAGTTTATTTTCATTTGAGACATTTTAGTTTGTATTGCTAGAAGTTCCATTTTTGTCTTTTTAAAATGGATCTTCCATATATTTCCTTGTTATACCCATGCTTTTCTTTATATTTTTAAACTTATGAAGCATATTTATAATATCAGTTTCAGTGTCCCTATGTAATTTAGGTAATGTCCCTAGCTAATTTAATCAATTATTATTTCTGTCTCTGATTCCAGTGATTGATTTCTTTTCTCCTGATTGGGTGTAATATTTTTCTGTTTATTTACATGTCTGGTAAATTTAGGTTAGATGCCAGGAATTTTATGCTGTTAGGTGTTAGCTTTGGTTGTATTCCTTTATATAGTGTTGGACTTGTTCTGATATGCAGTTCTGTTACTTAGAATCAGTAGCATCCTTTTGTGGCTTGCTTGAAGCTTTGTTAGGGTGTGTCTAGGACAGCCTTTATTATATAGATAATTTAAATTAGCTACTAAGATTGTACCCTTCTGATAACTCTACCTCATTCCCTGTGTGTTATTATGTTTGTCCACTCTGCCTGGTGGGAATATAAGATGAGCTTCACGAATTATTTGGTCTTTTGTTTTCTGGAAGGTTTCCCTGGGGCCTTGGAGAATTTACTCTCATCCATGTGCAGACCCATCCTCAGCAAGACTTGAGGGACTCTCAGCAGATCTACACAGCTTTTTTTCTTTCTCTCTGTGCAGCTCCTCCCTCCCTGGCTTCCTATTCCAGAGGCTGTAGATGTTTTACCTTCCTGATCTTCTATATCTGTGTCTTCATCTAAGTGAGACCTTTGGCTTATATTTAGGTCCCTTTCCCTGTGCTGCAGCCTAGGACCTGCCTCCAGGTAGTGAGCTGCAGCAATGGTCCAGCTTGCTTCCCTTTTGTCAGGGATCATATTCCTGTATTGCCTATTCTCCAATGGAAGAAAACCCATTGTTCTGTGTATTTTGTTAATTTTTTCTAGCTGTTTAATGCAGGAGTTTCGAGTACTCCATTTTGGTCAGAAGTAGCAGCTCTTGTGAGGTTTAAATGAGGTCATGGTACATATAATTAATGTTTTAAAAAGTAAGCTATTCTTTTTTTATTTTTTATTTATTTATTTATTTATTTATTTATTTATTATACTTTAAGTTTTAGGGTACATGTGCACATTGTGCAGGTTAGTTACATACGTATACATGTGCCATGCTGGTGTGCTGCACCCACTAACTCGTCATCTAGCATTAGGTATATCTCCCAATGCTATCCCTCCCCCCTCCCCCCACCCCACAACAGTCCCCAGAGTGTGATGTTCCCCTTCCTGTGTCCATGTGTTCTCATTGTTCAATTCCCACCTATGAGTGAGAATATGTGGTGTTTGGTTTTTTGTTCTTGTGATAGTTTACTGAGAATGATGATTTCCAATTTCATCCATGTTCCTACAAAGGACATGAACTCATCATTTTTTATGGCTGCATAGTATTCCATGGTGTATATGTGCCACATTTTCTTAATCCAGTCTATCATTGATGGACATTTGGGTTGGTTCCAAGTCTTTGCTATTGTGAATAATGCCGCAATAAACATACGTGTGCATGTGTCTTTACAGCAGCATGATTTATAGTCCTTTGGGTATATACCCAGTAATGGGATGGCTGGGTCAAATGGTATTTCTAGTTCTAGATCCCTGAGGAATCGCCACACTGACTTCCACAATGGTTGAACTAGTTTACAGTCCCACCAACAGTGTAAAAGTGTTCCTATTTCTCCACATCCTCTCCAGCACCTGTTGTTTCCTGACTTTTTAATGATTGCCATTCTAACTGGTGTGAGATGGTATCTCATTGTGGTTTTGATTTGCATTTCTCTGATGGCCAGTGATGGTGAGCATTTTTTCGTGTGTTTTTTGGCTGCATAAATGTCTTCTTTTGAGAAGTGTCTGTTCATGTCCTTCGCCCACTTTTTGATGGGGTTGTTTGTTTTTTTCTTGTAAATTTGTTTGAGTTCTTTGTGGATTCTGGATATTAGCCCTTTGTCAGATGAGTAGGTTGCAAAAATTTTCTCCCATTTTGTAGGTTGCCTGTTCACTCTGATGGTAGTTTCTTTTGCTGTGCAGAAGCTCTTTAGTTTAATTAGATCCCATTTGTCAATTTTGTCTTTTGTTGCCATTGCTTTTGGTGTTTTAGACATGAAGTCCTTGCCCATGCCTATGTCCTGAATGGTAATGCCTAGGTTTTCTTCTAGGGTTTTTATGGTTTTAGGTCTAATGTTTAAGTCTTTAATCCATATTGAATTGATTTTTGTATAAGGTGTAAGGAAGGATCCAGTTTCAGCTTTCTACATATGGCTAGCCAGTTTTCCCAGCACCATTTATTAAATAGGGAATCCTTTCCCCATTGCTTGTTTTTCTCAGGTTTGTCAAAGATCAGATAGTTGTAGATATGCGGCATAATTTCTGAGGACTCTGTTCTGTTCCATTGATCTATATCTCTGTTTTGGTACCAGTACCATGCTGTTTTGGTTACTGTAGCCTTGTAGTATAGTTTGAAGTCAGGTAGTGTGATGCCTCCAGCTTTGTTCTTTTGGCTTAGGATTGACTTGGCGATGCGGGCTCTTTTTTGGTTTCATATGAACTTTAAAGTAGTTTTTTCCAATTCTGTGAAGAAAGGCCTTGGTAGCTTGATGGGGATGGCATTGAATCTGTAAATTACCTTGGGAAGTATGGCCATTTTCACGATATTGATTCTTCCTACCCATGAGCATGGAATGTTCTTCCATTTGTTTGTATCCTCTTTTATTTCCTTGAGCAGCGGTTTGTAGTTCTCCTTGAAGAGGTCCTTCACATCCCTTGTAAGTTGGATTCCTAGGTATTTTATTCTCTTTGAAGCAGTTGTGAATGGGACTTCACTCATGATTTGGCTCTCTGTTTGTCTGTTGTTGGTGTATAGGAGTGCTTGTGATTTTGGTACATTGATTTTGTATCCTGAGACTTTGCTGAAGTCGCTTATCAGCTTAAGGAGATTTTGGGCTGAGACAATGGGGTTTTCTAGATATACAATCATGTCATCTGCAAACAGGGACAATTTGACTTCCTCTTTTCCTAATTGAATACCCTTTATTTCCTTCTCCTGCCTAATTGCCCTGGCCAGAACTTCCAACACTATGTTGAATAGGAGTGGTGAGAGAGGGCATCCCTGTCTTGTGCCAGTTTTCAAAGGGAATGCTTCCAGTTTTTGCCCATTTGGTATGATATTGGCTGTGGATTTGTCATAGATAGCTCTTATTATTTTGAAATATGTCCCATCAATACCTAATTTATTGAGAGTTTTTAGCATGAAGGGTTGTTGAATTTTGTCAAAGGCCTTTTCTGCATCTATTGAGATAATCATGTGGTTTTTGTCTTTGGCTCTGTTTATATGCTGGATTACATTTATTGATTTGCGTATATTGAACCAGCCTTGCATCCCAGGGATGAAGCCCACTTGATCATGGTGGATAAGCTTTTTGATGTGCTGCTGGATTCGATTTGCCAGTATTTTATTGAGGATTTTTGCATCAATGTTCATCAAGGATATTGGTCTAAAATTCTCTTTTTCGGTTGTGTCTCTGCCCGGCTTTGGTATCAGAATGATGCTGGCCTCATAAAATGAGTTAGGGAGGATTCCCTCTTTTTCTATTGATTGGAATAGTTTCAGAAGGAATGGTACCAGTTCCTCCTTGTACCTCTGGTAGAATTCGGCTGTGAATTCATCTGGTCCTGGACTTTTTTTGGTTGGTAAGCTATTGATTATTGCCACAATTTCAGATCCTGTTATTGGTCTATTCAGAGATTCAACTTCCTGGTTTAGTCTTGGGAGAGTGTATGTGTCCAGGAATTTATCCATTTCTTCTAGATTTTCTAGTTTATTTGCATAGAGGTGTTCATAGTATTCTCTGATGGTAGTTTGTATTTCTGTGGGATCGGTGGTGATATCCCCTTTATCATTTTTTATTGCGTCTATTTGATTCTTCTCTCTTTTTTTCTTTATTAGTCTTGCTAGCGGTCTATCAATTTTGTTGATCCCTTCAAAAAACCAGCTCCTGGATTCATTAATTTTTTGAAGGGTTTTTTGTGTCTCTATTTCCTTCAGTTCTGCTCCGATTTTAGTTATTTCTTGCCTTCTGCTAGCTTTTGAATGTGTTTGCTCTTGCTTTTCTAGTTCTTTTAATTGTGATGTTAGGGTGTCAATTTTGGATCTTTCCTGCTTTCTCTTGTGGGCATTTAGTGCTATAAATTTCCCTCTACACACTGCTTTGAATGCGTCCCAGAGATTCTGGTATGTTGTGTCTTTGTTTTCGTGGGTTTCAAAGAACATCTTTATTTCTGCCTTCATTTCGTTATGTACCCAGTAGTCATTCAGGAGCAGGTTGTTCAGTTTCCATGTAGTTGAGCGGTTTTGAGTGAGATTCTTAATCCTGAGTTCTAGTTTGATTGCACTGTGGTCTGAGAGACAGTTTGTTATAATATCTGTTCTTTTACATTTGCTGAGGAGAGCTTTACTTCCAAGTATGTGGTCAATTTTGGAATAGGTGCGGTGTGGTGCTGAAAAATATGTATATTCTGTTGATTTGGGGTGGAGAGTTCTGTAGATGTCTATTAGGTCCACTTGGTGCAGAGCTGAGTTCAATTCATGGGTATCCTTGTTGACTTTCTGTCTCGTTGATCTGTCTAATGTTGACAGTGGGGTGTTAAAGTCTCCCATTATTAATGTGTGGGAGTCTAACTCTCTTTGTAAGTCACTTAGGACTTGCCTTATGAATCTGGGTGCTCCTGTATTGGGTGCATATATATTTAGGATAGTTAGCTCTTCTTGTTGAATTGATCCCTTTACCATAATGTAATGGCCTTCTTTGTCTCTTTTTATCTTTGTTGGTTTAAAGTCTGTTTTATCAGAGACTAGGATTGCAACCCCTGCCTTTTTTTGTTTTCCATTTGCTTGGTAGATCTTCCTCCATCCTTTTATTTTGAGCCTATGTGTATCTCTGCACGTGAGATGGGTTTCCTGAATACAGCACACCGATGGGTCTTGACTCTTTATCCAATTTGCCAGTCTGTGTCTTTTAACTGGAGCATTTAGTCCATTTGCATTTAAAGTTAATAGTGTTATGTGTGAATTTGATCCTGTCATTATGATGTCCTCCCATAGCTCAGAGTAATTTGATCGTCTGAAGCCTCCTTCTCTCAGCTCGTCAAAGTCATTCTCTGTCCAGCTTTTTTCCGTTGCTGGTGAGGAGCTGCCTTCCTTTGGAGGAGGAGAGGCGCTCTGATTTTTAGAGTTTCCAGTTTTTCTGTTCTGTTTTTTCCCCATGTTTGTGGTTTTATCTACTTTTGGTCTTTGATGATGGTGATGTACAGATGGGTTTTTGGTGTGGATGTCCTTTCTGTTTGTTAGTTTTCCTTCTAACAGACAGGACCCTCAGCTGCAGGTCTGTTGGAGTACCCTGCAGTGTGAGGTGTCAGTGTGCCCCTGTTGGGGGGTGCCTCCCAGTTAGGCTGCTCAGGGGTCAGGGGTCAGGCACCCACTTGAGGAGGCAGTCTGCCCCTTCTCAGATCTCCAGCTGCATACTGGGAGAACCACTGCTCTCTTCAAAGCTGTCAGACAGGGACATTTAAGTCTGCAGAGGTTACTGCTGTCTTTTTGTTTGTACCCTGACCCCAGAGGTGGAGCCTACAGAGGCAGGCAGGCCTCCTTGAGCTGTGGTGGGCTCCACCCAGTTCGAGCTTCCAGGCTGCTTTGTTTACCTAAGCAAGCCTGGGCAATAGTGGGCGCCCCTCCCCCAGCCTCGCTGCCGCCTTGCAGTTTGATCTCAGACTGCTGTGCTAGCAATCAGCGAGACTCCGTGGGGTAGGACCCTCTGAGCCAGGTGTGGGATATAATCTCGTGGTGCGCCGTTTTTTAAGCCCGTCAGAAAAGCGCAGTATTCGGGTGGGAGTGACCCGAGTTTCCAGGTGCTGTCCATCACCCCTTTCTTTGATTAAGAAAGGGAACTCCCTGACCCCTTGCGCTTCCCGAGTGAGGCAATGCCTCGCCCTGCTTCGGCTCGCACACGGTGCGCGCACCCACTGACCTGCGCTCACTGACTGGCACTCCCTAGTGAGATGAACCCGGTACCTCAGATGGAAATGCAGAAATCACCCGTCTTCTGCGTCCTTCAGGCTGGGAGCTGTAGACCTGAGCCGTTCCTATTCGGCCATCTTGGCTCCTCAAATCTATATTCAAAAGTAAGCTATTCTTAATTTTCTTTGTAGAACTAGGAGCAAAGATGGAAGTGGTTGTTAGAAAAATCTTTCTACCATGCCTTTTCAGCAATGAAAATAGGCAGGAAATAGTAAGCTTTTGTTTTGAATCACAGAAAATATTTACATAGGCTGGAGAAGAGAGGCTTTCTTCTGAAAAAACCCTCCTCATTTCTCAGTGACCTCTGTATTTCTCCCCAAATTTCAGATTCCATAATACTTTTGATAATGTCTCAGCAAAATAGTGCTAGGGAGAGCTGATGTAGAGATCAGTTCTTCTGAATCCTAGGTTAGTGATATGTCTATGACTAATCTTTAGAATTGCCTCTTCAATTTTAACTAAACTATCCATGAAAATGGCCATGAAAGAGAAACAAACTTTAAAATTGAGTGTGAGAATGTTTTCTAAGTGTAGAGTTTATAACAATTTTGTTTTAAGTGTCTACTTACACAGTTTTTGTCTCTTTGAATGTGTCAATATCCTAGCCATGATAAGATCAGTGATTTTACTCAAAGGGTAGAAAAAGACTAAATAGCCTAAAGATTTCCCCAAGAAGTGCTTTTATAATACCCCAATGAATTACCAAGGGATAAAGTGAATTCCTGGAAAACAAACCAGACCCTAAGGTGAATTTTCTTCTAAAAATTATATGGAGTTAAAAGGAAAAGGTAAAAATAAAAGTATAGGGGTGGAATGTGTTTCAAAATATTGGCTGGGTTTATTGCATCTCCAGATTGCTTTAGCTACTTGAGAAAACCCCCGAGGGCCCCATGACTGGTCTCCAAAGTTGTCCACTTAAGGAAGAGTGTCTCAAAGGAAACTCCCAAAGGCCATTTGAGTTCCAGGAGCTTGTTTTTCAGCCTCTTTTTAAAATTTGCCTGAAAAACCCTTTGGAGAACTGTGATAGGAGAGATGGGAATTTGACAAGCCTCTATTCTGGATCGCAGAATCCGCCTTTCCAGCCTCTGGACATTACAAATGAGGAGAGTGAAGCCCTGTGAGATGGCATGACCTAACTCAAATCACAAGCTGGTTCCTGGGACAGCTAGGGCTATTCTCTCATTTAACAAATATTCACTAAATACATAGTGTGTGAATTGCATCTAGTCCAGGACTCTTTATACCACATCACAAGCCTCCCTTCATGAATTATAATAATGTGAAAAGAGCTTATCAGAATCTTTTAAAAACTAGCCTCTCTGAATGTATCATTGAGATATGTCTGGGGAAATTCAGCACCTGTGGTGACAGGAAAGAGGCTCAATCAGAATAGGAAGTGAGTGGCTGTGTGCCAGAGCATGATGTGTTTCTGCTGAGAGGGAGATTTCCATGCAAAAGTGGGACCAGAGGTCAGAGACCAAACACAATGGTCAAATGTGAATTAAGCACAATTAATGAGTCTGGACTCAAATTAATTGAGTTCTTACCCGATAAACAGTCAGGTCATACTAGCACTTGAATTCAATGTTGCAACAGCAAGAAAATAGAGGATGTTGAATTGGTTATATTATTATTCAGAAGAGAAGGGATGCTGGTGTTGTCAAGTACAAACTCTTGTCAGATGCCTTTATCTGCTCAGATCTCCAGTTACTGTTCAAAGTTCAAGTTTCACTAGCTATGAATTGCACAATTATGTCAGCTTCTCAGGTTCAATCGAGACAACATCAGAGAAAAAGGAACCATGTTCAGTAGAAATAAGCAAAAGCTGTTTGCATTTCTGGAGTGGAGGAGAAACAGTAACGTGCGGATGTGGGACAAGACAAGGGATGCTACCAGAAAAATTGCCTTCTGATATTCCGATATCAATGAAGTTTGGTCTCTTCTTTCACTTAAATTTTACAAAAGTTCTAAGCAAGAGAGACAGCAGTTTAGCAGGCTCTGTTAATGTTCTCACTGTAGTGAAAAAAAGCCCAACCATTGTGAATCTGAATCATGCTTGGCTGATTTTGAAATAGGGACTTCTTTTGTATAGATGATACCTTTGGGCAAATTAGGAAAAGGTGACATAAAAGACATTTTTGAGTGGACCAATTGGGAAATAATAGTACTTCTAGGATGCAGTCTAGCACTGAGGCTCAGATCTTGGAGACAAGAGCATGAATTGGATTTCAAACCCAGCTTGACCCTTTGGCTGGGCACCTTGTGTGGGGTGTGGTTTTGCCTAATTGTCTGCTTTGAAAACTTAAATGATTTCTGAACTTCTCTCTTGGTCGATATAAGCTGTCATAGGTCTCTTGTTAGGCCTGGGGTTTGTTGCAAAGGTGTAAGTCAGCAGTAACCTAAGACTTTAGGCATGGAGCAAGGGAACTTAAAAAGGCAATGTCTACTGGCAAAGGTGGGGCCGAGGACCAGACAGTCCAAATGATTGCCACATCCAAAGGGAATGGGCAGAAAAGCAGAAACTGGATTTAACCAGACAGTAAGGTGGCAAAAGCAGTCTCAGGAGGGAAGATGGCAGGGGCCTGGGTGATTCCCAAAGGTGCAGGTCCTGCTGGCATGCTGAGCTGGATTGGACAGGGGTCAGCAGTGGCTGTGGGTGAGGCTCTGAGGGAGGAAGGCAGTAATTGTAGTGGTTGAGTCCTTGCTAGCTCTGGAGCTGCACTGCTGGGATTCAAATTCTAACAGTGCTCAGCCTAAAAACTCAGAATCATCCCTGACTCCTTTTATTTCATCATACCCCATATCCAGTCCACCAGCAAATCCCGTTGGCCCTACTTTCAAAATATATTCAGATGATAACCACTTTTCACCATTGCCGCTACTCCTGTTTGAAGCCATTGAAGTAGCCGCCCAACTAATATCTCTGCTTTTGCCCTTGTTTCAACCCCTTGCCTCCACCTGAGTTTATTCTCATCACAGCAGCCAGAGTGAATCTCTGTGAAGGGTCCTGCCGCTCCTCTGCTCAACTTTTCCTGTGACTTCCCATCTCAGACTGAAACTGGGAGTCTTCACAATGACTTTCAAGACCTGTGTGATCTGAATTCCCATCCTCTTGGCCCTCATCTCCTAACACTACCTGAAGGGAAAACTAACAAACAAATAGTTTTTTTCCTTCCCCTCTCGCGCTCTCAACACAGAACACCTCACTTTGGTAAGCAAAATGTGTGTGGGGACTTCTCCCTACCAACAACTAATCAATTCTCCATTGGACACCAACTGTGAATAATTTACCTCAATTCTGACAGTACCTGGAGATCGCTTCAGATCCCACAGGTTGAGGGCTCAGTCCCACAGGGCTGCCCTCCCCCCACTTCAGATGCTAATTGCAAGCACAAATTGTGACCTGTATTTCTGACCAATCAGATATGAATCAGAGTTCCCACAACCCCTTCCCCGGGTTCAATTAATTTGCTAGAGCAGCTCACAGAACTCAGGGAAACACTTTATTTACATTGACCCATTTATTATAAAGCATATTACAAAGGATACAAACAAGCAGTCAGATGAAAAAATGCATAGGGCAAGGAACAGGGAAGGGGCCCAGAGCTTTCATGTCCTCTCTGGGCACCTCATCCTGCAGGAATCTTCACCTGTTCAGCTGTTTGGAAAAATTCTCTGAACTCTGTCCTTTTGGGGTTTCATGGAGGCTTTATTACACAGGCATGATTGATTACATCATTGGCCATTGGTAATAACTCAACCTTCACTCTCTCTCCCCTCCCTGGAAGTTGGGTGGTGGGACTGAAAGCTTCAACCCTCTCATCACATGATTGGTTCCCCTGGCAACCAGCCTCCCTCTTGAAGCTGTCTAGGATTCCCCATTCACCAGTCATCTCATGATCATACAAAAAGGCATTTATCACTGAAGAGATGCCAAAGTCTTTAGGAAGTGTGTGCCAGGAAACTAGAGGAAGAATATATATATATATATATACACATACACACATACATATACATTTCACAACATTACAGTCCCCCTTGAATATGTCACTTAAACCATGTTGACCTCCTTGCTGTTCCTTGAGCAAGCCAAGGGTGCTCTTGCCTTGAGGCACTTGTTCTTTCTGATTTCTACCTTGAGCACTCTCCTCCCAATTAGTCGCTTCCTTCAGGTTTTTTCTTCAAATGCCACCCAGCAGAGGACTTCCCAAATTACCCTATCTAAAATAGCAACTGACTGTATATTGCACACTGCATTGCCTCTCTTTTCTTTACTTTTCTTCTTAGTAAGCCTCAACTTCTGATATAATATCTATTTTAATATTATTGAGGTACAGTGTATACATAGTTAGGTACATGATTTTTCTTTTTTCTTTTTTTTTGTAGAGACAAAGTCTCGCACTGTCACCCAGGCTGGAGTGCAATGGTGTGATCTTGGCTCACTGCAACCTCTGCCTCCTGGGTTCAAACAAT
The DNA here is from genome assembly GCF_000001405.40 of Homo sapiens. Taxonomy (NCBI): domain Eukaryota; kingdom Metazoa; phylum Chordata; class Mammalia; order Primates; family Hominidae; genus Homo; species Homo sapiens. The sequence goes on from NC_000001.11 coordinate 90,224,228, forward strand.
TCTCCTGCCTCAGCCTCCTGAGTAGCTGGGACTACAGGTGCACACCATACGCCTGGCTAATTTTGTTTCTATTTTAGTAGAGACGGGGTTTCACCACGTTGCCCAGGCTGGTTTTGAACTCCTTAGCTCAGGCAATCCGCCCTCCTCAACCCCCAAAGTGCTAGGATTTAAGTGCACCAGTTGTTTGTTTTTATTGCAGAGTAGCTCCCTTATATGGTTTGGCTGTGTGCCCACCCAAATCTTGAATTGTAGCTCCCATAATTCCCACGTGTCCTGGGAGGGACGCTATGGGAAGTAATTGAATCATGAGGCTGGGTCTTTCCCATGCTCTTCTTGTGACAGTGAATAAGTCTCATAAGATGTGATAGTTTTATAGATAGTTTTATAAAAGGTTTCCCCTTTTTCTTGGCTCTCATTCTCTCTTGCCTGCCGCGATGTAAGATGTGCCTTTTGCCTTCCACCATGATTGTGAGGCCTCTCCAGCCATGTGGAACTGTGAATCCATTAAACCTCTTTTTCTTTATAAAATACCCAGTCTGGGATATGTCTTTATTAGCAGCATGAAAATGAACTAATACAGTAAACTGGTACTGGGAGTGAGGCGCTACTGTAAAGATATCCGAAAAAGTGAAAGCAACTTTAGAACTGGGTAACAGGCAGAGGTTGGAACAGTTTGGAGGGCCCAGAAGAAGACAGGAAAATGTGGGAAAGTTTAGAACTTCCTAGAGACTTGTTGAATGGCTTTGACCAAAATGCTGATAGTGATATGAACAATAAGGTCCAGGCTGAGGTGGTCTCAGATGGAGATGAGGAACTTTTTGGGAACTGGAGTAAAGGTCACTCTGGCTGTACAAATAGACTGGTGGCATTTTGCCCCTGTCCTAGAGGTCTGTGGAACTTTGAACTTGAGAGAGATGATTTGGGGTATCTGGTGGAAGAAACTTCCAAGTGGAAAAGCATTCAAGAGGTGACAGAGCATAAAAGTTTGGAAAATTTGCAGCCTCACAATGTAGTAGAAAAGAAAAAAACATTTTCTGGGGAGAAATTTAAGCTGGCTGTAGAAATTTGCGTAAGTAATGAGGAACCAAATGCTAATCACCAAGACAATGGAGAAAATGTCTCTAGGCCATGTCAGAGATCTTCAGGGCAGCCCCTCCCTTTATAGGCCCAGAGGCCTAAGAGGAAAAAATGGTTTCTTGGGCCAGGCCCAGGCTCCCCACTGCTGTGTGCAGCTTAGGGACTTGGTGCCCTGTGTTCTGGCTGCTCTAGCCATGGCTAAAAGGGGCCAAGGTACAGCTCAGGCCATGGCTTCAGAGTGTGCAAACCCTAAGCCTTGGCAGCTTCCATGTGGTGTTGAGCCTGCAGGTGAACAGAAGTCAAGAATTGAGGTTTGGGAACCTCTGCCTAGATTTCAGAGGATGTATGGAAATGCCTGGATGTCCAGGCAGAAGTTTGCTGCAGGAGCAGAGCCCTCATGGAGAACCCGTGCTAGGGCAATGCGAAAGGGAAATATGGGGTTGGAGCCCTGACACAGAGTCCCCACTGGAGCACTGTCTAGTGGAGCTGTGAGAAGAGGGCCAGTGTCCTCCAGGTCCCAGAATGGTAGATCCACCTACAGCTTGCACCATGCACCTGGAAAAGCCACAGACACTCAAAGCCAGCCTGTGAAAGCAGCTGGGAGAGACTGTACCCTGCAAAGCCACAGGGGTGGAGTTGCCCAAGACCATGGGAACCCACCTCTTGCATTAGTGACCTGGATGTGAGGCATAGAGTCCAAGGAGATCATCTTGGACATTTAAGAGTTAATTACTGCTCTATTACATTTTGGACTTCCTTGGGGCCTGGAGCCCTTTTGTTTTGGACAATTTATTTCATTTGGAATGGGTGTCTTTATCCAATGCCTGTACCCCCATTGTATCTAGGAAGTAACCAACTTGCTTTTGACTTTACAGGCTCATAGGTGAAAGGGATTTACCTTGTCTCAGCTGAGACTTTAGACTGTGGACTTTTGAGTTAATGCTGAAATGAGTTAAGACTTTGTGGGACTGACAAAAAGTTAGCTGGGTGTGGTGGCAGATGCCTGTAGTCCCAGCTACTCAGGAGACTGAGGCAGGAGAATGGTGTGACCCTGGGAGGCAGAGCTTGCAGTGAGCTGAGATCACGCCACTGCACTCCAGCCTGGTCGACAGAACAAGACTCCGTCTCAAAAAAAAGACTTTATGGGACTGTTGGGAAGGCATGATTAGTTTTGAAATGTGAAGACATGAGATTTGGGAGGTGCCAGGGGTGGAATTATATGGTTTGGCTGTGTCCCCACCCAAATCTCTAATGTGGTTCTCATAATTCCCATGCATCATGTGAGAGACCCAGTGAGAGGTAATTGAATCATGAGGGTGAGTCTTTCCTGTGTTGTTCTTGTGATAGTGAATAAATCTCATGAGATCTGATGGTTTTATAAAGGGGAGTTCCCCTGCACATGCTCTCATTCTCTCTTGCCTGCTACCATGTAAGTTGTGACTTTTGCCTTCTGCCATGATTGTTAGGCCTCTCCAGCCATGTGGAACTGTGAGTCCATTCAACCTCTTTTTCTTTATAAATTTCCCAGTCTTGTGTATGTCTTTATCAGCAGTGTGAAAATGGACTAATGCACACCCAATTGGATAAATGTGCCATGATGTATTTGCCTAGTCATTTTTTGATAGACAATTTGGTTGTTTCCAGTTGAGGACTATATTAAGAATAAAGGTATTATGATCCTTCTTCTACAAGTTTGTGTAGACACGTACTTTAATTTCTCTTGGATAAATACCTAAAAGTGGGAGTAATGGGCCATATGGTAAATATGTATGTAACTTTATAAAAAATTGACAAAAGGTTTTTTGAAACAGTTGTTCAACTTTACACTCTCACCAGCAATGTATGACAGTTCCAGTTGCTCTACACTCTCTCCAGCATTTAGTTTTATCTGTCTTTCTAATTTTTGCCATTTACTGAATACATAGAGATATCGTTGTTGTTTAATTTGCTTTTCCCTGGCAACTAATGATGTTGAATACCTTTTCATTGGGTTCTGGCCATATATATTCATATATCTTGTTTTATGAGAGGCTGTTCAAATCTGTTGCTGATATTATCAATGCACTGTCTTTTTGCTATTAGTCGGAGCTCTTTATACATTCTGATCATAAGTTCTTTGCTGGAGGGATGTGTTATGAATATTTTTTCTCACTTTTTTTGCCTATTCATTTTCTTTTTTTGTTTTGACAAGCAGAAGCTTTACATTTTGTCCACCAGTCATTTTCAAAATTTTCTTTTTAATGCTCTTTAAGACTTGCCTAAGAAAATTTTTCTTATTCAAGTTCATGAAAATATTCTCTTATGTTTTCTTCTAGAAGCTTTGTAGTTTCAACTTTTGTAATTGGATCTATGAGCCATCCAAAATTAATTTTTGTTCATGGTGTGAGGTAGGAGTTGAAATTATTTTTTTGTCATATAGTTATCCAGTTCTTCTAGAATTATTTGTTAGAAAGTTTCCTTTCCCCTCTGAATTCCTTATTGCCTCTGTAAACAATTGATGATATATATGTGGGTCTATTTATGTATTCTTTATTCTGTTCATTTGATCTGTTTGCTTCTCCTATTCCTTACTGCCTAGATTACAGTAGTTTTATTATGTCTTTAAATCAGGTAGTATAAATCTTCCGTATTATCTTTCAAGATTATTTTGTTTTTTACATAACTTACTTGTTTCCTTTATTTCATATACATTTTAGGATCCATTTATCAATTTTTACAAAAATGCCTGTTTGGACTTTGATTACAATAGCATAGCATCTATTGATCAACTTGGGGAGATTAAAATCTGTATTATTTTGGTAGTACTACCATGACAAAATACCACTGATGTGGTGGCTTAAATGACAGAACTTTATTGTCTCACAGTTCTGGAGGCTAGAAGTCCAAGATAAAGGTGTCAGCAGGTTTGGTTTCTTCTGAGGCCTCTTTACTTGGCTTGCAGATGGCTGCCTTCTTGATGTGTCCTCACAAGGTTGCCCCTGAATCTGTGTGTTGCCTGTGTACTAATTTCCTCTCCTTATAAGGACACTAGTCCTATCAGACTATGGCCTGCCTATATGACCTCATTTTATCTTATTTACCTCTTTAAAGGTGTTATTTTCCAATACAGTCACATTCTCAAATAATGGGAATTAGGAGCTTAACATGAATCTTAGAGGACACAATTCAGCCCATAACAACATCTCAACAATATTAAATCTTTTCATCTTTGAATATGGTGTATCTTTCTATGTATTTAATATTTGAATATGATATATCTTTCTATTTATTTAAGTTATCTTTAACTTCTCTTAATTCTTTGTAGTTTTCAGTGTGCAGGTCTTGCACCTTAATAATTTATATGTAAGTATTTGTGTTTAATGTTTTGGGTGCTACTATTGATAGTATTTTTTTCAAATTCAATTCTTAGTTACTAGTATACAGAAATTCAATAAATTTTTGACTGTTGATGATGTAAATTGATACTTGCTAAATTCACTTATTCTCATAGTGTATTTTTGGTGTGTGCCTTCTTTTGGATTTTTTACATACATAATCATATTGTCTTTGAATAAACATTGTCGGATGTTGTTTACAATCTGTTATTTTGCTTTTTTTCCTCTTGCCTTTCTGCACTTGTTAGGACTTCCAGTACAATGTGGAATAGTTTTGATGATTCTTGCCTTTCTGCTGATCTTAGGGGAAATGTATTCAATTTTTTACCACTAAATAGCTGCATGTTTTTCATAGATGCCCTTTATTAGATTGAGGAATCTCCTTTCTATTAGTACTTTGCAGAGGTTTTTATTATAAACGATGTTGAATTACGTCAAATTATTTTTAAAAAATCTATTGATACAATTATTTGTTTTCTTTCTCTTAATTTTCTTAATGTAATGAATTGATTGGTTAAATATTTTATTAATTTTAATTTTTGTGGGTATGTAGTAGGTGTATATATTTATGGAGTACCTGAGTTATTTTGGTACAGGCTTGCCATGCATATAATCAGACCATGGAAAATTGGATATTTGTTTCCTTGAGCATTTATCTTTTTGTTACAAAGAGTCCAACTGTTATACTTTAAGTTATTTTAAAATATACTATTATTATTGACTATACTCACCCTGTTGTGCAATATATTAGGTCTTATTTATTATTCCTATTTTATTTTTTGTACTCATCAACTATCCCCACCTCACCCCTCTCCTCACTACCCTTCCCAGCCTCTGATAACCATCCTTGTATTCTCTATCTCCAGGAATTCAATTGTTTTGATTTTTAGATTCCACAATAAAAGTAAGAACATGTGACGTTTGTCTTTATGTGCCTGGCTTATCTCACTTAACATAATGACCTCCAGTTCCATCCATTTTGTTGCAAATCACAGAATATTCTTTTCTGTGGCTGAATAGTACTCTATTGTGTGTAAGTATCACATTTTCTTTATCCATTCTTCTGTTGAGGGACATTTAGGTTGCTTCCAATCTTGGCTATTGTGAACAGTGCTGCAACAAACATGGGGGTGCCAGATATCTGTTTGATATACCAATTTCCTTTCTTTAGAGCTATACCTAGTAGTGGGATTGCTGGGTCATATGGTAGCTCTATTTTTAGTTTTTTGAGTAACCTCTGAACTGTTCTCCATAGTGGTTGTACTAATTTATATTCCCACCAACAGCCAATGAGACTTTCCTTTACTCGACATCCTTGCTAGCATTTGCTTTTGCCTGACTTTTGGATAAAAGCCATTTTAACTGGGGTGAAATGATATCTCATTGTAGTTTTGATTTGCATTTTTCTGATGATCAGTGATGCTGAGCACCTTTTTGTATGCCTGTTTGCCATTTGTATATCTTCTTTTGAGAAATGTCTATTCATATGTTTTGCCCATTTTAAAATTGGATTGTTAGAGATTTTCGTATAGAGTTGTTTGAGCTCCTTATACATTCTGGTTATTAATCCCTTGTCAGATGGGTAGTTTGCAAATATTTTCTCCCTTTCTGTGGGTTGTCTCTCCACTTTGTTGATTGTTTCATTTGCTGTTCAGAAGCTTTTTAAGTTGATGTGATCCCATTTTTCCATTTTTGCTTTGGTTGCCTGTGCTTGTGAGGTATTACCCAAAAAAATTTTGCCCAGGCCAATGTCCTGGGGAGTTTCCCCAATGCCTTCCTTTAGTAGTTTCATAGTTTGAGGTCTTACATTTAAGTCTTTAATCCGTTTTTTTTTTTTTTTTTTTTTGTATATAGTGAGAGATAGGGTCTAATTCCATGCTTCTGCATATGGATATCTAGTTTTCCCAGCACCATTTATTGAAAGACTGTCTTTTCCCCAATGTATATTCTTGGCACCTTTGTAAAAAATAAGTTCACTGTAGATGTGTGGATTTGTTTCTGGGATCTCTACTCTGTTCCATTGGTCTATGTGTCTGTTTTTATGCCAGTACTGCATGCAGTTTTACTATAGAGCTACAGAGCTTTCTATAGCTTGGTAGTATAATGTGAAGTCAGGAAATGTGATTCCTGCAGTTGTTCTTTTTGCTCAGGATAGCTTTGGCTATTCTGAGTCTTTTGTGATTCCATATACATTTTAGAATTGGTTTTTCTATTTCTGTGAAGAATATCATTGGTATTTTGATAGAGATTGCACTGAATATGTACATTGCTTTGGGTAGCATGGAATTTTAACAATATTGATGCTTATAATCCATGAACATATTTTTCCTTTTTTGTGTGCCCTCTTCAGTTTCTTTAATCATGATTTATAGTTTTCATAGCAGAGATCTTTTACTTCTTTGGTTGAATTAATCCCTCACCTTTAATTTTGTTTGTGGTTATTATAAATGAGATTACTCTTGATTTCTTTTTCAGATTGTTCACTGTTGGCTTATAGAAATGATGCTGACTTTTGTATGTGGACTTTGTATCCTACAACTTTACTGCACTTATCAGTTTTAATAGTTTTTTTGGTAGAGCCTTAGGGTTTTTCCAAATATAAGATCATATCATCTGCAAACAAGGACAGTTTGACTTCTTTCTTTCTAATTTGGATGCCCTTTATTTCTTTCTCTTGTATGATTGCTCTAGATAGGACTTCAAATACTATGTTGAATAACAGTGGTACAAATGGACATTCTTGTCATATTCATATTCTAGATTTTGGAGAAAAGGCTTTTAGTTTTTCCCTATTCAATATACTAGCTGTGGGTCTGTCATATATAGCTTTTATTATGTTTAGGTATGTTCCTTCCATACCCAGTTTTTACAGGGTTTTTATCATGAAGTGATGTTAAACTTTATCAAATGCCTTTTCAGCATCAATTGAAGTGATATATGATCTTTGTCATTCATTCTGTTGATGTAATGTATCACCTTGATTAATTTGCATATGTTGAATCATCCTCACATTCCTAGGATAAATGCCACTTGCTCATGATGACTGATCTTTTTAAGGTGTTGTTGAATTTGGTTTGCTAATATTTGTTGAAGATTTTTACATTAATATTCACCAGAGACATGGGCCTGTAGTTTTTTCTTTGGTGTGTGTTTATCTGATTTTGGTATCAGGGCAATACTGGCCTCATAGAATGAGTTTGGAAGGATACTCTTCTCTATTTTTTGAAACAATTTAAGTAAGATTGTTGTTAGTTCTTCTTTAAATGTTTGTTAGAATTCAGCAGTGAAGCCATTGGGTCCTGGGTTTTTCTTTACTGGGAGATTTTTGTTCAGGCTTCGATCTCATTATTTGTTATTGGTCTATACAGGTTTTGGATTTCTTCATGGTTTAATCTTGGTAGGTTGTGTATGTCTAGGAATTTGTTCATTTCTTCTAGATTTTCCAATTTATTGGCATATAGTTGCTCATAGTAGCCACTAGTGATCCTTTGAGTTTCTGCAGTATCAGCTGTAGTGTCTCTTTTTTCATCCCTGATTTTATTTATTTGGGTCTTTCTTCTTTTCTTAGTTAGTTTGGCTACAAGTTTATCAGTTTTGTTATCTTCTCAAAAAAAAAAAAACAACTTTTTTTTTTTTTTTTTTTTTGTTTTGAGACGGAGTCTCGCTCTGTCGCCCAGGCCGGACTGCGGACTGCAGTGGCGCAATCTCGGCTCACTGCAAGCTCCGCTTCCGGGGTTCATGCCATTCTCCTGCCTCAGCCTCCCGAGTAGCTGGGACTACAGGCACCCGCCACTGCGCCCGGCTAATTTTTTGTATTTTTAGTAGAGACGGGGTTTCACCTTGTTAGCCAGGATGGTCTCGATCTCCTGACCTCATGATCCACCCGCCTCGGCCTCCCAAAGTGCTGGGATTACAGGCGTGAGCCACCGCGCCCGGCCAACTTTTTGTTTTTGTTTCATTGATTTTTGTATTGTTTCTTCATTTCAAATTCATTTATTTCTGCTCTCATCCTTATTATTTCTTTTCTTCTCCTAATTTTGGGTTTGGCTTGTTCTTGCTTTTCTCATTCTTTAAGATGCATCATTAGGTTATTTATTGGATGTTTTTCTTCTTTTCTGATATAGGTACTTATAGCTAGAAATATTTCCCTCTTAGCACTGCTTTTGCTGTATGCCATGGGTTTTGGTATATTGTGCTTCCTTTCTCATTTGTTTCCAGAAAATTTTCAATTTCTTTCTTAATTTCTTCATTGTCCTACTGGTCATTCAAGAGCATATTGTTTAATTTCTATGTGTTTCTATAGTTTCCAAAATTCCTCTTGTTATTGATTTCTAGTTTTAGTCCATTGTGGTCAGAGAAGATGCTTGATATTATTTCAATTTTTTGAATGTTTTGAGACTTATTTTGTGACCTAACATGTGATTTATCTTTGAGAATGATCCATGTGCTGAAGAGAAGAATGTGTATTCTTCAGTCGTTGGATGAAATGTTCTGTAAATATCTATTAGATCCGTTTGTTCTATAGCGCAGATTAAGTCCTGTATTTCTTTGTTGATTATCTGTCTGGGAGATCTGTCCAATGCTGAAAGTGGCGTACTGAAGTCTACAGATATTATTGTATCGGGGTCTATCTCCCTCTTTATCGCAAATAATATTTGCTTTATATATTTGGGTGTTCCAGTGTTGGATGCATATGTACTTACAGTTGTTATATCTTCTTGCTGAAGTAACCCCTTTATCATTATATAACGAACTTTATTTTGGTCTTTTCTTACAGTTTTTGTCTTGAAATCTATTTTGTCTGATATAAGTATAGCTGCTATTGCTCTTTTTTTTGGTTTACATTGGCATGGAATATCTTTTTGTATTCCTTTATTTTCAGTCTTCATGTATCTTTATAGGTGAAGTGTGTTTCTTATAAGTAATAGATCATTGGGTTTTGTTTTTTCTTCAATTCAGCCACTTTACATCTTTTGATTGGAGAGTTTAGTCCATTTACAGTTAGTGTTTTTATTGATAAGTAGGGACTTAACTCTGCCACTTTTTGTTTGATTTCTGGTTGTTTTGCAGTCCTCTCTTCCTTCTTTCTTTCCTTCCTGTCTTCCTTTTAGTGGAAGTGATTTTCTTTGGTGGTATGCTTTAACTTCTTTCCTTCAATTTTTTGTGTATTTATTGTCTGTTTTTTCAATTTGAGGTTACCATGAGGCTTTCAAATACTGTCCTATAACCCGTTATTTTAAACTGATGACAACTTAACTCTGATTACATATACAAACAAAGAAACAAAAAGAAAACTAGTAAAATTTCTACACTTTAACTTCGTCTCACCACTTTAAACTTTTTGTTTTTTTTATGTATTATTGTAGAGTCTATGTCTTAAAAAGCCGTTGTAGTTATTATTTTTTATTGGCTCATCATGTAGTCTTTCTACTTAAGAGCAGTTTGTACACCACCATTACAGTGTTATACTAGTCAATGTTTTTCTGTGTGTTTACTATTACCAGTGAGTTTTGTACCTTCACACTCTCTCTTCTTGCTCATTAAGGTCCTTTTCTTTCAGATTGAATAACTCCCTTTAGTATTTCTTGTAGGAAAGATCTGAAGTTGATGAAACCCCTTAGCTTTTGTTTGTCCAGGAAGGCCTTTATTTCTTCTTCATGCTTGAAATATATTTTCTCTGGATATACTATTCTAGGGTAAAACTTTTTTTCTTCAGCATTTTAAATATATCATGCCTCTCTTTTGGGCTGTAAGGTTCCCACTGAAAAGTCTTCTGCCAGGCATATTGGAGTTCCATTGTATGCTATTTTGTTCTTTTCTCTTGCTGCTTTTAGAATTCTTTCTTTATTCTTGACTTTTGGGAGTTTGATTATTAAATGTCTTGAGGTAATCTTCTTTGAGTTAGATCTGTTTGGTGTTCTATAACCTTCTTGCATTTAAATGTTGATATCTTTCTATAGGCTTTGGAAGTTCTCTGATATTCTTTTGGATAAACTTTCTGCCCCTATCTCTTTCTCTACCTCCTCTTTAAGGCCAATAACTCTTAGATTTGCTTTTTTGAGGCCATTTTCTAGATCTTGTAGCATACTTTATTGTTTTTTCTTCATTTTTTGGTCTCCTCTGACTGTGTAATTTCAAATGGCCTGTCTTGAAGTTCACTAATTCTTCTGCTTGATCAGTTCTGCTGTTAAGAGACTCTGACGCATTCTTCAATATGTCAATTGCGTTTTTCACTCTAGAATTTCTGCTTGATTTTTTTAACCATTTCAATATGTTTGTTAAATTTATCTGATAAAATTCTGAATTCCTTCTCTCCATTATCGTGAATTTTTTTGAGTTTCCTTAAAACAGCTATTTTGAATTCTATTTCTGAGTGGTGATATATCTCTGTCTCTCCAGGATTGGTCCCTAGTGTCTTATTTGGTTCATTTGATGAGGTCATGTTTTCCTGGATGGAGTTGATGCTTACAAAGCAACATTTGTCAATGTCTGGGCATGGAAGAGTTAGATATTTACTGTAGTCTTCATTGGCTGGGTTTATTTGTGCCTGTCCTTGGTAGGAAGGCTTTCCAGGTGTTTGAAGAACTCGGGCCCCAGCCCAACAGCACTATGGTTTTTGCAGATTTGTAAAACCACCCTTGTGGTCTTGAATAAGATCCAGAAGAATCCTCTGGATTACCAGGCAAAGACTCTTGTTCGTTTTCCTTACTTTCTCCCAAATGAATAGAATCACTCTAAGGTGCTAAGCCACCTGAAGTTGACGCTGTGGTGATGCAAGCACCACTGTGGCCCCACCACTGGGACTGTGCTAGGTTAGTCCTGAAAACAGTGCATCACTGGGTCTTTTACAAGGCCCTTCCCTTAAGGATGGTGAATTCTCCCAGGCCCCATTCATGTCCAGAGATGCTGTCTGGGAGCCAGGGATCAAAGTCAAATACCTTAGCAGTTTACCTGATGTTCTATTCTACTGTGGCTAAGCTGGCACTCATACCAAAATACAAAATCCTTCCTATTCTTCCCTCCACTTTCCACAGACATAGGAGCCTCTCCCTGTGGCCACCACCACCACTGGTCCACGAGGGATGTGCCAGGCCACCTCTGATTTCACTTAAAGCCCAAGGGCTCTTCCATTAGCTTGAAATGAATGCTGCCAGCCCTGGAACTCACCCTTGAGGGCAGTAAGCTCTCTTCTGGCCCAGGTCAGGTCCAGAAATTCTATCCAAGAGCCTAGGCCTGGACACAGAGACCCTGAGGTTACCCTTTTGTGGCCATGCTGGCATCTAAGGTGCAAGACAAAGTACCCTTTACTTTTCCCTCTGCTTTTCTCAAACAGAAGGAGTCTTTCACCATAGCCAGCACAGCTGGGAATGCACTGGCTTTCCCCTGAAGCCAGTAAGTCTTAGAGCCCAAGGCCCATGGTGTACTCCCCTTGGTATCACTACTGGTTATTCAGGGCTCTAGGGCACTTTAATCAGCAGGTGATGAATCCTGCCAGGACTGGGTCCTTCCCATTTAGGAAGCAATTCCCTTTGGGCCCAGGGCGTGTCTAGAAATGTTGTCCAGGAGCTAGGACCTGAAATGGGCACCTCACAATTCTTCTTGGTGCCCTATCCTATTGTAGCTGAGCAGTATCCAAGATGCATGAATAAATCTTTTTTACCCTTCACTTTCCTCTCCTTAAGCAGAAAGAAGGAGTCACTTTTCTTTGCTGTGAGCTGCACTGCCTGGGGTTGGAGGAGGGATGGTGCAAGCACTCCCTTAGTTGCCCCAGCTGGTGTGTCCCTTGGTTATGTGCCACCCTAGTCTACGGGCTTTAAGTCCAGCCTCGCACTAGGACTTACCTAGGAACTGCAGTCCTCATGCTCTAGATTGCCTTTCAAGTTTACTTAGGATCCCAGAGTACTTCAGTCTATGGTGGTGAGGTTTTCTGAGAAGCTCAAGTTCTGACCACTGGGATGGATAATTCCCCTCTGGCTAGGACTAGTCCAAATGCTCCCTCTGTGCATGCGCACTGGCTTAGCCCAGCACAGCTTTATTCTCTGCTGTGACAGGGCAGCATCGAGTTCAATGTAAATTTCCCCAGCCACTGCACTCTCTCTCCCAAAAGTGCACAGATTCTCTCTCCACCTCGCCTCTGCCGGGGGATGGCAGGAGTGGCATCCATGATTCAAGACTGTCTTTGCCGCCTTCATACATGCCTTTTTCAGTGAACCTGAAGTTAAAACCAGTTACTGTGATTGCTCATTTGCTTTTTGGTTCTTGTGACAGTGGTTTTCTGTGTGCAGATAGTTCTTAAAAATTGGTAGTCCAGGAAGGGGTGGCAATGAATGGTGTAGGCCTCTATCTGCCATCTTGCTCTGCACCCCTTAATTGGTTTTTTGTTTTGTTTTGTTTTTTGAGACTGAGCCTTGCTGTGTCTCCCAGGCTGGAGTGCTGTGGTGTGATCTCAGCTCACTGCAGCCTCTGCCTCCTGAGTTTAAGCAGTTCTCGTGCCTCAGCCTCCCAAGTAGCTGGGATTACAGGTGCCCACCACTATGCCCAGCTAATTTTTGTATTTTTAGTAGAGACGGGGTTTCACCATGTTGGCCAGGCTGCTGTCAAACTCCTGTCCTCAAGTGATCTGCCCACTTCTGCTTCCCAAAGTGCTGGGATTACAGGCGTGAGCCACCACGCCTGGCCTTTAATTGGTTTTTGAAAGTTAAACCAACTTTACATTCCTGGGACAAAACCCAATTGATCATGTGGTATCATTCTTTTCAAATATTATTGGATTTCATTTACTAATATTTCATTTTTCTTTCCTTTTAATGTCTTTGTCAGCTTATAAGGTCAGGGTTATACTGAACTTACAAACAAGTTAAGAAATATTTCTTCATTCTCTATTTTCTTAATGATTTTGTATAAAATTGGCTATCTTTATATTTTAAAAATATTTGATTAAATATGCAAATAAAGCCACCGGGAAATGTTTTGAATTATGGCTCTAAGCTCTTTAACAGGTATAAGGCTATTGATTTGTATTTGTATTTAATTTTTATGTATTTTCAATTTTTTTCTTGTTTCTTGTTTTTTTGTTTCTTGTTCAGTAAGTTGTATCTTTCAAAGAATTTGTCCATTTTATGTATGCCAACACATTTAGTGGCATACCTTTTCATAAGATTCCCTTATTATCTTTTAAGTATCTGAAAGACCTATAATAACATCTCTTCTTTTTTCCCCTGTTATTGGTTGTGTGTGTGGTTTTTTTATAATGGACTTTTTTGAGGAGCAGTTTTAAACGTTTACAAAAAAATTGAGCCGAAAACATAGAGTTCCCATATGCCCCCTTATTGCTTCACATCAGTTTCCCCTATTACTAATACCTTGCATTAATGTCATTCATTTGTTACAGCAATGAGCCAATATTGATACATTCTTATTGACTAAAGTTCATAGTTTACATTAGAGTTCACTCTGTATTGTACATTTTATGGGTTTTGACAAATATATAATGATATGTATCCACCATTACCGTGTCATACTGAACAATTTCACTCTCCTAAAAATTCCCTGCACTCTACCTACTTATGCCTACTTTTCTCCTCCCAGGCTCTTGGTAACCACAGGCCTTTCTACTGTCTTTATAGCTTTATCTTTTCCTGGATGTCATATAATAGGAAGCACACAATATGTAGCCTTTTTCAGATTGGCTTCTTTCACTTAGCAATATGCATTTAAAGGTTTCTTTATGTCTTTTTGTAGCTTGATAGCTCATTTCCTTTTTTTAATTTTTTTCTCTTGTGAGGGCCTTATCAATTTTATTAATCATTTCAAAGAAAAAACTTTTGCTCTTCTTTCTCTACTTTGTATTTCACTGTGATCAAAGAGTATGCTACATATAATTTTCTTTCTTTGACGCTTACAGAGATTTGACTTTATGGCCCAGAATATGGTTTCTTTCGGTGGATGTTTTTCATGTACTCAAGAAGAATGTTTATTCGGTTCTGGTTGTGTGACATAGTCTGTTAATGTCATATAGGGTAAGTTTGATAGAGTTGTTTGAGATTTCCATATATTTGCCTTTTCTTTTCTATTTGTTCTATCAGTTACTGAGAAAGAATTATTAGAGTCTCCAACTGTAATTGTGTGTTTATTGGTTTCTTCTTTTAGTTCAGCCAGGTTTTGCTCTATTATGAAGCTCTGTTGTTAGATACATATACATTGAATATTGTTATGTCTATTAATGAGCTGACCCATTTATCACTATCAAATATCCTTCTTTATTTCTAATAAAGTAATATCTGTTGTTTTGAATTCCATTTTATCTGATACTAATATAGCCATATCAGCTTTTGCCTTTTTACATTTGCATGGTATATCTGGTTCTATCCTTTTGCCTTCAACTATCTGTGTCTTTATACTTCAACTGTGTCTTTTACAGTTGTATCTTTTTCCCTCTATTATCTAGTTTGACATTCTGTCACTTTCAATTGTTTTATGTACCAATATACATTTAATATAATTATTCTTATTCCTGGGTTCAAGTCTAGCATTTTGCTCTTTCTTTTCTACTTGTTCCCTCTGTTCTTTGTTCCTCCTTTTCTAGCTTCTTTTGGACCACTCAGGTATTTTTATTATTTCATTTTGTCTTTTCTATCAACTTTTAGATGCACTACTTTGTTTTATTTATTTTTAGTGATTACCTTAGGTATTACAATGTATCCTTAATTCATTGTAATCTGTCTTAAATTAATATTATACCATTTCATGTTTAAGAAACTTACAACAGTATATGTTCATTTATTGCCCTCCTTTCCTTTCTGCAACTGTTATATATATGAGGTGTATTAACATTTATTAACACGTTATTAACCCTATAATACCTTGTTATTATTTTTGTTATTTAAAGAAATTGAAGAAAGTAGATCATTCATTATATTTTCCCACAATTTAAGCATTTTTTATGTTTTTCATTTCCTCCTGTGTATTTGTTCTTCCATCTGGTATTATTTCTCTTCAGCTTCATGAACTTTTTTTACATTTCTTGTAGTACAGATCTGCTGACTATGAGTTCCCTCCACTTTTGTTTCTCTGAAATATCTTTATTTCATCATTACTTTTGATATACATATTTCCACTGGATATAGAATTCTAAGCTGACAGTATTTTATTTTCTCTCAGCAATTTAGTGATGTTATTCACTATCTTCTGACTTGGATTATTTCTAGTCAGAAGTCAGCAATTATTCTTATTGCTGTTCTCCTGTAATGTGGTTTTTTTCCAGATGATTTTAAGATTTTCATTTTACCAGTTTTTTTCTGCAATTTGACTATAATGTATACTGGCATAGTTTTCTTTGTATTTCCCTGCTTAAGGTTGGTTGAGGTTCTACTTGCTTTAGTGAGTTTATGATTTTCATCAAATTTTTGAAAAAATTTGGTCATTTTTTTTCAAATAGTTTTTTGTCCCTTCTCTCACCCCTCTTATTTTCAAACTCTAATTACACATATGCCTTTTTTGACACATTTAATTATGTTTTGTGGGGAATAATTACTTATCTATATATCTGTTTCTTCAGCTAGGATAGAGCTTTTGAGAAATCAGGGGCTTGTATTATTTTTCTATATCCTCATAACTTCACATAACATATGCATGGGGAAAGCTCAAAATATCTTTGTAGAATTAATGAGAAAATGAATGACAGTAATGACCATTTATTGATGGCTTACCATGTGCTACATACTATTTTAGCTACTTTCATGTGAATTAGTAATCTCTAGCTCACAACAGTCTTGAAAATAAATAATGTATACTTTAATTTTATAGAGGAGCAACCTAAGGCTCAGAGCTCACCAAACTTGCTCAGGTTTACATAGTTCACAAGTGAGGAGCTGGAATTGAAACTGGCATATCTCTGTATGATAAAGGGGAAAGGAGAAAGTGCACAGCATTGTCTTACATTGGTGGGCTTGATTCTTCCTCTCATCCTGTATCATCATTCATTAATGAGAGTAAAATAAACTGTGGGCAATACCAGGAATTGAAGAAGCAGATGGCAAGATGGCCTTGAGCTGAATGGGATGGGGCATGCCCAGCAGGGGAGTACTCCAACTGAGATGGGAAGAGAGAGGGCAAGGCTGGGGCAGGTGCCCCATTTTCACCTACTCATACAGTTTAAGAAGATGGCAACAAACAGCCTTCCTAGTGACACCAGGAAGCTTGTTAGCTGCTGTTTCTTACCTATTTTGGTCTCTGCAAAATTGATCAATTTTGGTCTCCACTGGGAGCAACTTGCAAGGGCTTAGAAGGAAAGAATATTGCATATGAATTCTCAGAGAAAACACTTCCAGGCACACCATCAAGGTAAACATAGGAGCAGCATTCTGAGTTTATTTTCTGTTCTGTGCTTCTTGTGATCCTGGTAATTTCTGTTGAGGAAAGGGGTTATCTCTTCCCTTAAGTAGAAAATGAGGATTAGCTAATTATTTTATTATTTTGCTTATTTTATGTTTATTTCATGCTTTTGTTGATCTGTATAAAGTCTATATTTATCTCTCCATATCTTCTATTTATTCATTGATCTTGTTATCTAGCTAGCATCTGCCTCTCTGTGCAGCTTTTAAAATTTATTCTACTTTTTGGAAATCTTCAGTATCCCTATTCCAATTTATGGCATTTTTAATGTAGCTTGTTAGTGTACATTTTGGACAATGTTAACATAATTTCAGGTATTGGGGACAAGTGAGGAATCTGCTTAAGTCCTTAGGAGAAGCTAAAAAGACTATTAACAACCCAAGTCCATAAAAAACATCTGTTCCAGTCACGCTGGTGATTTTTTATTAGTCCTTCAAATCCACAACAAAGATCTCTAGAGCAAGACAAATGTTCTAGTGGAGTGCAATTTCCAATTTCTTAGCTAACCTGATTTTGTTGATTCATACATATGCACGATTCAGTGCAGTTCCTGAATACAGACACACACACACACACACACACACACACACACACACAAAAAAAAAAAAAAAAAAAAAAAAAAAAAAAAAAAAAAAAAAACGAAAGAAGAGGAAAGAAAAATTCTTTGGGGCTCTACTTCTTTTTATATTATTTACATTCCTTGAAATGCCCTTGAAATTTCATTTGCTAAGGGAAGCTAAACAAATAATTGCATACTAAAAGGGAAATGAGACTGGCAAGCCAGATAATTTGTAACATCAAACATTCTTATTTCACGGTTGATATTTTCTCTGTGAGGAAACATGAGGAGTAAACAGACTGATTTATCTTAAATGCAATAACTAATAACAATGCCAAATGCATGAAGTGAAAATACCTCGGGATACACTTTCCCAGTTCTGTTCCATCATAGCTGAATGCAATATGCTGTAACAATAATAGGAGTCACGCTTGTCCTATTTCCCCTGATCTCTAAAGAAGGATGCCAATGCAGTAGTAATGCACCTTGCTTCTCTTTGTGGCTACCAACATTTTGTTGTTGTTGTTGTTGGGATCTATTACATACTTTGAAAAATTTCCTCTGAAAACAAACTTGACAGTACTCTGAGGCCAATGTAATGAGACAGACATCAAGACTTCATTTGAAATTGATCATGACCACCAACAGAAGGAGTGGGTAAACTTATCAGGTGTTATTTAGAATTCATAGCATTGTTCTCTGTGGGAAGCCAGAAAGGCAGTGTGGGGATGAAACTTAATTTCTCTGACATGACATTCATTGTCTTCAAATCCACTGTCAGTAGAGTTTGCATGGTGAGACACAATTCTCATTGACTACTAACTGAGAAATGACTTGAAAATGAGGTATATAGTAATTTAAATGAGTAGATTTGAATTAGGGAACAGAGTCAGGTCCAATTTCAGCTTAGTGGACTGACTATATTTCTGTTTTCAATTAGATTTCTCCTAAGAAGGAACTATATTTTAACTCTCAAACTTCATGGTAAAATTGGGGTTCTGAGTGCTAAAAAGAATATTAAGAAACGGGTCAATCTACTTCTGGATATTGACATCTGGTCCTAAATTCCTATTCTAATCAGAAAATAGAAGAGTTTTAGAGGTGGAAAAGATAGAAAAACTGGGACAGAGAAAGGAGGGGTAGGAGAGTTATAAGGTTGCCAGGCCACTAGGCCTCCAAGCCTCTTCCTAGACCCAAACCTTTTTTTTCCAATTGGGTCTTGGGACTCTGTTGCTTCACTCTCCTTTGTCACTTTTATCACCCACTATGTACAGATTGTACACTTTCTTTCCAAAATTCACACCTCTGGTTAATTATTTTCACACTTACCTCCTCATATCCATTGGCCAACTTTCCCTGGTGCCCCTTCCTTTTGTGCCATCAGAGACAAGCCCATACATTCTTTATATTTTAAGGGCTCTACTGCTACTCCTTGCTGGAAATCATGGGCATAACATGACTATAATAAAAGAGTGTACCTTAGAAATGTTTATAAGACTGTCAACCTAAAATAACAACAGAGAGAGTGGTTCTCAAAATAAATGAGTTTATTTCGGAATGAATGACAGGGGATTATAATTTGGGATATGCAGTCTGTGACTAATTATAGTTGCATCTGGAGAGGCTGGAGCAAGAGGAAACTTTTAAAGGCGAAATAAGGAAGGTTACATAATTTGTTTTGAGACAATTACCCTTGTCTACACAGATCAATAACAATGGTGGCACCAGTCCAAGGTTGAATAGGCAGTTGCTGGGCAGATGTCCTCACAGAAGTATTCTTTCGGTAAGGTTGCAGTGGTTTTTGGGCAAGGTTGTGGTTTTCATTGTCCTTGTAATAGGTTTTAGCATAGGTGGGTACGTGACAGCCCCTCCTTTGTGACCTCCCAACTCCATTTTGTTAATGTTTGGCATAAATTACTCCATTTTGATCCTAACAACTTCCAAAGGACCAAAGGGCAAAAGGAATAGAGGAAGAGGATTTTATAGAAAAGAAAGAGGTAGAACTCTAGAGAAACAAAGTTAATTATCTTCCAGGAATTCTTACTTTCTATGAGCACTCTAACTAATGTGGAATACATATGACACATATTATGTTTTAGTCATCAAAGTCCTTTGTAGAGCCCTTAAATAAGAATGTCTGATCAGTATGCAAGAGGTTGTAGAGCTAATGGTTAAGACCTCGGACTCTGGAGCCAAACTGCCTGTATTTTTTTTTTTTTTTTTTTTTTGAGACAGAGTCTCACTTTGTCACCCAGACTGGAGTGCCGGTGGCGCGATCTCAGCTCACTGCAACATCCCCCCAGGCTCAAGCAATCCTCATGCCTCAGCTTCCCAAGTAGCTGGGATTACAGGCATGCGCCATCATGCCCGGCTGATTTTTTATATTTTTAGTAGAGTTGGGAGTTCGCCATGTTGGCCAGGATGGTCTCCAACTCCTGGCCTCAGGTGATCTACCCACCTTTGCCTCCCAAACTGCTGGGATTACAGGTGTGAGCCACCACGCCCAGCCCCAAACTGCCTGTATTTGAACCTGGTTCTGCCACATAGTGATCTTAGTAGATGTCTCTTCATCTAAAGTATTGGGGCTAACAATACTGCCCAACTGAAAGGATTAAATGAGTTTGTATTACAGCTTAGAACAGTGCCTGGCCTGAAGTAAGCATCATGTAGGTATTTGCTGTTATTATTACTCTTTTTAAAGATATTATATGGATTTCTAGAGAAGGAAGGTTTGTCTCTACTTGGACTTTGTTGTTCAGCTCCTTACATATCCTAGTCGTTGTGGTGACTGGACTCTTGCCAGAATCCTAGCTTGAGTTTCAAATTGCTCTTGGCCACCCCAATCTATGTTAGATTTTATTTTCTTCAGTAACTTATTTGGATCTTTCAGCAGGTTCTGGTAGAGCCCAATTACATGAGATGATTTGCATAAATGAGACTAAAACAAAAGTTGAGCAAACTTGCAGATCTGCCATAGGGCCTCACTAGTGGACCTTGGTCTGTAGTTCCTGCCTCCCATTAAGAGACTGATTAGGAACCTCCACTGAGCACATCGGGCTCCAATTTCCATCTAATGCAGACTGTGTGGAAGGCCAGTGGACTTTTCCTTCATCACGGCCCCTCTTCCCACTATGGGTCTTGGAGAAAGGAGGTTGCCAATATAGCTCCTACTTTTTATGTGTTCTAAGCTTTTCCTCCATTAACCCAAAAACAACCTATTAAAGCCGAAGCTACAAAGGTCATGGAGGTGCTTTCCTATCTTAGCAAATACAACCTGACCTATGAGGATTTTACTCATTTTCCTTTCAGTTAAGCTGTAACTTGAAAAGATTTAAAAAAATTATACAGCATTTTATGTGCCTTTTTCTGGAAAGATTTTGACACATTATTGAAATGAAAGTCTTAGTTCCTGAATTTTCAATTAGCAATCACATTATTAGCTTTTTCTCATAAAAATAAACATAATTCAGCCAGGTGCGGTGGCTCTCACCTGTAATCCCAGCACTTTGGGAGGCCGAGGCGGGTGGATCACAAGGTTAGGAGATCAAGACCATCCTGGCTAAGAAATGGTGAAACCCCATCTCTACTAAAAATACAAAAAAATTAGCTGGACATGGTGACGGGCACCTGTAGTCCCAGCTACTCGGGAGACTGAGGCAGAAGAACAGCGTGAACCCAAGAGGCGGAGCTTGCAGTGAGCCGAGATCACACCACTGCACTCCAGGCTGGGTGACAGTGCGAGACTCTGTCTCAAAATAAATAAATAAATATAAATAAAATAAAATAAACATGATTCTAAAAAAATTGCTTATTATTTCACTTATAGCTTTCCCATAGTATTAGAAGTTTGATGTGCTAGTCCCTCCAGTAGAAAACAGGCAAAAGTAGCCACGTAGGGAACAAAGCACCATATCAATTAGGTCCTATAAGTCCCAGAATTCAGAAGTATCTGGAGAAGTTAGCTTTAAGAGAGAGACTGGGATCTGAGACCTTCCATTTTCCTGGTATTGGATGCTTCTGTTGGAATAACTGAGTTTGTAAGGTGAATTTCAAGATGCTCAACTAGGCACCTGCACGGAAGTTTTAGGTAGGCCTGCCTCATAAATCCATCAATGGTAGAATGGAGAATCAGAGAGAGTGCAGGTCTTCATTCTGATATAGATCATACACGTATCATAAAGAAACAGAGAGGAAGTCTGGTCTTTTCCTAAGAAACTGAGTGTAAGAAAGAATGGAAAATGTTTCCTGTCAACCCAACTATGTGGCACATGACTAATAGATATGACAGTCTCTGAAATTTCTTTTTGGGAAAGGAACAAATAAGGAGTGAAGGAATTGTTTAATATGTTTTCCTTGCCAGTACTTCCCAAATGGGGAGATGAACAGAAGTAATCTGGGCTATAAGGTGAAATGAGAGCATGGAGATAGCAATAGTGTTGCTCCCTACCCATAATTTATTTAACCGTTTTTTTATTGTCAGACATTTAGGTTATTTCCAATTGTTTATACTATAGTGAACATATTTGCACATACTTCTTTGATCACATCTTGGATTATTTACTTAGGGTAGGCTTCTAATGTGGACTCAGGGTTCCATGAGAAGAGCAGAGTAAAGGCTCTTGTGTATACTACGGAAGTGTATTTCACAATGGTGCAACACTGATTCATACTCAACCAAAGTGGTGTTACCACACTGTGCCAGCACTGAGAATAACAATTAAGGAAGATTTCAACAAAGAGATCAATAAATAATGGCATTTAATTGTTTTAACTTATATTTCTTTTATTACAAGCAATGGTGTATAATTTTCATCTTTATAGGACATTTATATTGCTTGTTTGTGTCCTCTGCTTATTTTTTGGTGCATTGGTGTTTTTTTTCTTGTTATAAGATAAATTTTATGTTATAAGAGGACAACAGTTTTCCATATTTGCTGCAAGTATGGTTCCCCAGTTAGCTCTCTGCCTTTCCATTGTTTTTAGAGTAGTGTGGTAGATATTGCTATTTTCTACCTAAATTTGTTCTCTTTTTCCTATAGTTAATTATAGCTAAGCATGTGGCTACCTAACTAGGGACAACCTGTTCCAACCCTTCTTGTAGTTAAATGGAGCCATGCAATGTTTTGGCAATGCAATGTAAGCAGAAGTAATGGCTACCATTTTCTGACTAGATCAGTGGAGTAGAAGTGCTTACTTCATACTCTTCCTTCTGCACTTTTACCAGCTGGAAACCCAGAGGAGGTACTGGCCCAGCTTTGACCATATAGGCAAAAAGAGTGCCCTAGGAGATAGCAGAGCAAGAAATTGGAAAGAACCTGGGTGATCGTAAATGGCACACCCTAGACTCTTGGGTAAGAGCACATAAACTGCTTGTTCTTTAAACCATCTGCTATAGACTAATGTGTTCTCTTGAAATTCATATGTTGAAATCCTAACCTTTAATGGTGTTGAGAGGTAAGGCCTTTGGTAAGTGAATGGGTTATGAGGGTAGAACCCTCATAAATAAGATTAATGCCTTGATAAAAGAAGTCCCAGAGAGAGCTTCCTTGCCTCTTCTACCCATGTGAGGTTACAGCGAGAAGATAACTGCCTGTGAACTAGAAAAGTGGGCCTTCACCAGCCACCAAATCTGCCAGCTCCTTACTCTTGGACTTCCAAGCTTCTATAAAAGTAAGAAATAAACTTCTGTTGTATACAAGCCATACAGTTTATGATATTCTGTTAGAGCAGCAAGAGTGGACTAAGACACTATCATGTTGTTGACACTTTGTTACAGTAGCCTATATTTACCCTAATGTCTTTTGTCAAACAGAGGTTAGCTTTTTTTTTTTCTTTCTTTTTTTTAAAAAAATATAGAATGGGCTCATTCCAAGATGGCTGAATAGGAACAGCTGTGGTCTGCAGCTCCCAGCATGATCGATGCAGAAGATGGGTGATTTTTGCATTTCCAACTGAGCTCTGAAAAGAGCAGTGGTTCTCCCAGCACAGGATTTGAGCTCTGAGAATGGACAGACTGCCTCCTCAAGTGGGTCCCTGACCCCCGTGTAGCCTAACTGGGAGACACCTCTCAGTAGGGGCCGACTGACACCTCATGCAGCTGGGTGCCCCTCTGAGACGAAGCTTCCAGAGGAAGGATCAGGCAGCAATATTTGCTGTTCTGCAATATTTGCTGTTCTGCAGCCTCTGCTGGTGATACCCAGGCAAACAGGGTCTGGAATGGACCTCCAGCAAACTCCAACTGACCTGCAGCTGAGGGACCTGACTGTTAGAAGGAAAACTAGCAAACAGAAAGGAATAGCATCAACATCAACAAAAAGGACATCCACACCAAAACCCCATCTGTAGGTCACCAACATCAAAGACCAAAGGTAGATAAAACCAAAAAGATGGGGAGAAACCAGAGCAGAAAAGCTGAAAATTCTAAAAACCAGAGCACCTCTTCTCCTCCTAAGGATCGCAGCTCCTTGCCAGGAATAGAACACAACTGGACGGAGAATGAGTTTGATGAGTTGACACAAGTAGGCTTCAGAAGACTGGTAATAACAAACTTCTCCGAGCTAAAGGAGCATGTCCTAACCCTTCGCTAGGAAACTAAAAACCTTGAAAAAAGTTGAAGAATGGCTAACAAGAATAAACAGTGTAGAGAAGACCATAAATGACCTGATGGAGCTGAAAACCATGGCACAAGAACTTTGTGACGCACGCACAAGCTTCAATAGCCGATCTGATCAAGCGGAAGAAAGGATATCAGCAATTGAAGATCAAATTAATGAAAAAGAGCAAGAAGAGAAGTTTAGAGAAAAAAGAGCAAAAAGAAATGAACAAAGCCTCCAAGAAATATGGGACTATGTGAAAAAAACAAATCTATGTTTGATTGGTGTACCTGAAAGTGACGGGGAGAATGGAACCAAGTTGGAAAACACTCTTCAGGATATTGTCCGGGAGAACTTCCCCAACCTAGCAAGGCAGGCCAACATTCAAATTCAGGAAATACAGAGAATGCCACAAAGATACTCCTTGAGAAGAGTAACCCCAAGACACATAATTGTCAGATTCACAAAGGTTGAAATGAAGGAAAAAATGTTAAGGGCAGCCAGAGAGAAAGGTTGGGTTACCCACAAAGGGAAGCCCATCAGACTAACAGCGGATGTCTTGGCAGAAGCCCTACAAGCCAGAAGAGAATGGGGACCAATATTCAACATTCTTAAAGCAAAGAATTTTCAACCCAGAATTTCATATCCAGCCAAACTAAGCTTTATAAGTGAATGAGAAATAAAATCCTTTACAGACAAGCAAATGCTGAGAGATTTTGTCACCACAGGCCTGCCTTACAAGAGCTCCTGAAGGAAGCACTAAACATGGAAAGAAACAACCGGTACCAGCCGCTGCAAAAAAAATGCCAAATTGTAAAGACCATCAATGCTGTGAAGAAACTGCATCAACTAACGAGCAAAATAACCAGCTAACATCATAATGACAGGATCAAATTCACACATAACAATATTAACCTTAAATGTAAATGGGTTAAACTCCCCAATTAAAAGACACAGACTGGCAAATTGGATAAAGCGTCAAGACCCATCAGTGTGCTGAATTCAGGAGACCCATCTCACGTGCAGAGACACACATAGGCTCAAAATAAAGGGATGGAGGAAGATCTACCAAGCAAATGGAAAGCAAAAAAAAGCAGGGGTTTTAATCTTAGTCTCTGATAAAACAGACTTTAAACCAACAAAGATCAAAAGAGACAAAGAAGGTCATTACATAATGGTAAAGGGATCCATTCAACAAGAAGAGTTAACTATCCTGAATATGTATACACCCAATACAGGAGCACCCAGATTCATAAAGCAAGTCCTTAGAGACCTACAAAGAGACTTAGACTCCCACACAATAATAATGGGAGACTTTAACACCCCACTGTCAATATTAGACAGATCAGTGAGACAGAAGGTTAACAAGGATATCCAGGACTTGAACTCAGCTCTGCCCCAATAGCAGACCTAATAGGCATCTACAGAACTCTCCACCCCAAATCAACAGAGTATACATTTTTCTCAGCACCACATTGCGCTTATTCCAAAACTGACCACATAGTTGAAAGTAAAGCACTCCTCAGCAAATGTCAAAGAACAGAAATCACAACAAACTGTCTCTCAGACCACAGTGCAATGAAATTAGAACTCAGGATTAAGAAACTCACTCAAAACTGCACAACTACATGGAACGTGAACAACCTGCTCCTGAATGGCTACTGGGTAAATAACAAATTAAAGGGAGAAATAAAGATATTATTTGAAACCAGTGAGAACAAAGACATAACATACCGGAATCTCTGGGACATATTTAAAGCAGTGTGTAGAGGGAAATTTATAGCACTAAATGCCCACAAGAGAAAGCAGGAATATCTAAAATCGACACCCTAATTTCACAATTAAGAGAACTAGAGAAGCAAGGGCAAACAAATTCAAAAGCTAGCAGAAGACAAGAAATAACTAAGATCGGAGCAGAAGTAAAGGAGATAGAGACATAAACAAAAAACCCTTCAAAAAATCACTGAATCCAGGAGCTGGTTTTTTGAAAAGATCAACAAAATTGATAGACCACTAGCAAGATTAATAAAGAAAAAAAGAGAGAAGAATCAAATAGATGCAATAAAAAATGATAAAGGGGATATCATCACCGATCCCACAGAAATATAAACTACCATCAGAGAACACTATAAACACCTCTACACAAATAAACTAGAAAATCTAGAAGAAATGGATAAATTCCTGGAAACATACACCCTCCCAAGACTAAACCAGGAAGAAGTTGAATCTCTGAATAGGCCAATAACAGGCTCTGAAATTGAGGTAATAATTAATAGCCTACCAACCAAAAAAAGCCCAGGACCAGATGGATTCACAGCAAAATTCTACCAGAGGTACAAAGAGGAGCTGGTACTATTCCTTCGGAAACTATTCCAATAAATAGAAAAAGAGGAAATCCTCCCTACCTCATTTTATGAGGCCAGCATCATCCTGATACCAAAGGTTGGCAGAGACACAACCAAAAAAAAGAGAATTTTAGACCAATATTCCTGATGAGCATTGACGCGAAAATCCTCAGTAAAATACAGGCAAACTGAATCCAGCAACACATCAAAAAGCTTATCCACCAATATCAAGTTGGCTTCATCCCTGGGATGCAAGGCTGATTCAACATATACAAAGCAATAAACGTAATCCATCGCATAAACAGAACCAATGACAAAAACCACATGATTATCTCAATAGATGCAGAAAAGGCCTTTGACAAAATTCAACATCCCTTCATGCTAAAAACTCTCAATAAACTAAGCACTGATGGAATGTATCTCAAAATAATAAGAGCTATTTATGAAAACCCACAGCCAATATCATACTGAATGGGCAAAAACTGGAAGCATTCCCTTTGAAAACTGGCACAAGACAGGGATGCCCTCTCTCACCACTCCTATTCAACATAGTGTTGGATGTTCCAGCCATGGCAATCAGGCAAAAAAAAAGAAATAAAGGGTATTCAATTAGAAAAAGAGGAAGTCAAATTATGCCTGTTTGCAGATGACATGATCGTATATTTAGAAAACTGCATCATCTCAGCCCAAAATCTCCTTAAGCTGATAAGCAACTTCAGCAAAGTCTCAGGATACAAAATCAATGTGCAAAAATCACAAGCATTCGTATACACCAATAAGAGACAGAGAGCCAAATCATGAGTGAACTCCCATTCACAATTGCTACAAAGAGAATAAAATACCTAGGAATCCAACTTACAAGAGATGTGAAGGACCTCTTCAAGGATAACTACAAACCACTGCTCAAGGAAATAAGAGAGGATACAAACAAATGGAAAAACATTCCATGCTCATGGGTAGGAGAATCAATATCGTGAAAAAGGCCATACTGCCCAAAGTAATTTATAGATTCAGTGCCATCCCTATCAAACTACCATTGACTTTCTTCACAGAATTAGAAAGAACTACTTTAAATTTCATATGGAACCAAAAAAGAGCATGTATAGCCAATACAATCCTAAGCAAAAAGAACAAAGCTGGAGACATCATGCTACCTGACTGCAAACTATACTGCAAGTCCACAGTAACTAAAACAGCATGGTACTTGTACCAAAACAGATACATAGACCAACGGAACAGAACAGAGGCCTCAGAAATAACAACACACATCTACAACCATCTGATCTTTGACAAACCTGACAAAAACAAGAAATGGGGAAAGGATTCCCTATTTAATAAATGGTGCTGGGAAAACTGGCTAGCCATATGTAGAAAGCTGAAACTGGAACCCTTCCTTACACCTACACAAAAATTAATTCAAGATGGATTAAAGACTTAAATGTTAGACCTAAAACTGTAAAAACCCTAGGATAAAACCTAGGCAATACCATTCAGGACACAGGCATGGGCAGTGACTTCATGACTAAAACACCAAAAGCAATGGCAACAAAAGCCAAAATGGACAAATGAGATCTAATTAAACTAAAGAGCTTCTGCACAGAAAAAGAAACTACCATCAGAGTGAACAGGCAACCTAAAGAATGGGAGAAAATTTTTGCAATCTACCCATCTGACAAAGGGCTAATATCCAGAATCTACAAGGAACTTAAACAAATTTGCAAGAAAAAAACAACCCCATCAAAAAGTGGTGAAGGATATGAACAGACACTTCTCAAAAGAAGGCATTTATGTGGCCAAAAAACGTATGAAAAAAGCTAATCATCACTGGTCATTAGGGAAATGCAAATCAAAACCGCAGTGAGATACCATCTCATGCCAGTTAGAATGGAATGGTGATCATTAAAAAGTCAGGAAACAACAGATGCTGGAGAGGATGTGGAGAAATAGGAATGCTTTTACACTGTTGGTGGGGGTGTAAATTAGTTCAGCCATTGTGGAAGACAGTGTGGCGATTCCTCAAGAATCTAGAACCAGAAATACCATTTGACCCAGCAATCCTATTACTGGGTTTATACCCAAAGGATTATAAATCATTCTACTATAAAGACACATGCACATGTATGTTCATTGCAGTGCTGTTCACAATAGCAAAGACTTGGAACCAACCAAAATGCCTATCAATGATAGACTGGATAAAGAAAATGTGGCATATATATACCATGGAATACTATGCAGCCATAAAAAAGAATGAGTTCGGCCCGGCGCGATGGCTCACGCCTGTAATCCCAGCACTTTGGGAGGCTGAGCTGGGCAGATCACGAGGTCAGGAGATCGAGACCATCCTGGCTAACACAGTGAAACCCCATCTCTACTAAAAATACAAAAAATTAGCCGGGCATGGTGGCGGGTGCCTGTAGTCCCTGCTACTCCGGAGGCTGAGGCAGGAGAATTGCGTGAACCCGGGAGGCGGAGCTTGCAGTGAGCGGAGATCGCGCCACTGCACTGCCGCCTGGGCGACAGAGCCAGACTCCGTCTCAAAAAAAAAAAAGGCTGAGTTCATGTCCTTTGCAGGGACATGGATGAAGCTGGAAACCATCATTCTCAGCAAATTAACACAGGAACAGAAAGCCAAACACCGCATGTTCTCACTCATAAGTGTGAGTTGAACAACCAGAATATACGGGCACAGGGAGGAGAACATCACACACTGGGACCTGTGGGGGGCTGGAGTGGTAGGGGAGGGATAGCATTAGGGACAGCATTAGGAGAAATGCCTAATGTAGATGACGGTTTGATGGGTGCAGCAAACCACCGTGGCACTTGAATACTGATGTAACAAACACGTGCGTTCTGCACATGTATCCCAGAACTTAAAGTATATATACATGTATATGTAGAATACTTCACAAATGTGCGTCTCATCCTTGTGCAGGGGATGTACTAATCTCTTTGTTGTTCTAATTTCAGTATATGTGCTGCCGAAGACAGCACTAGCTTTTTTAAAAAAAACTAATAAACTATTTCTTTATGATATTTTGTGTTACTTTTATGTGGAAAATTCTTCCTCAATCCAAGATCTTATAAGTATGTATCAATTTGTCTAGCTTTTTTTGGTATAATTTATGGTATAATTTAACAATTATAGTTCTTTAATTCATTTGGAATTGGTTTTGGTGTAATATGAGGTGAAGTGGCACACATTTTTTTCAAAAATTTTACCTCATGTTTTAACATCAATTATTGAATAATCTCTTTTCTTCATGGATTTATGATGTCTCACTATGTACTTATAAAATTATTATTTTAAAAATATCATTCTCTTGCATGTATTAGCTTTTTTCATAATTGTACAACTAATAAAATGCTTTAATTATTGTAACTTAATACTGTAGTTTGGTAGGTCAATTTTTTTTCTTTGAACTTGTTTTTCTTTGCTATTTTTTGCACATTTTCTTACATAAATTCAAAATCATTTTGTCAAGTTCTTGCTCTTTCCACTGCAGACCAAACATAAGTCCCACTAGAATTTTGATTATTATTGCATTAAAACCCCTATATTAATTTGTGCATAATTGATATTTTTACAGTAGTGAATCTTCTTAGTCAATAATATAACATGCCATTCCATTTATTTTTTATAACTCAATAAAGCTCTATAGTTTTCCTCATACTACTCTATAAATTAATTTGTTGTTAATATAAAAATATATTAAGTAAAGTATATAATTATTGTTTCTAAGATTAATGGTATCTTTTCCTGTTATGGTTTCTACATAGCTATTCTGATATATTAGAAAGCTTTGCTTATTGAATGTCCATCTTGTATGTAGGCTATTTAGTAACTTCACTTAGTGCTCAGCTTATTTTCAGCTGATGTTTTTTATACATTTCTTCTGTGTGTGATGGAGTCCCTCAAGTGAATTCCTCACAACCAATGACTTGATTTTATTCAGTGGCAATTCTGCTCTTTACTGCTTCTAATGCAGATCTTACTTCTTCTACTTTGCCTTTAATTTCTTTAGAATCTTCATGATCCAAGCCAGATCCTTTTCATCTTAGTCTTTTAGGGTTAACTGCTTTATTGAAAGTAGTGTTTTAGGTTATTTCTTAATTTTTAAATAAATTTTAAAAGGAAAATGATTGTAAACAACTTTTTACAGTCTTTCTTATAATACAGTGATAGGAATCATAGTCTTCCTATAGGAATCTGTATTACAATATGGTTTGTTTCAATTTAATGCTTTCTTATGTAATCTAAGTCTGACAAGATTTTTCTTCAGCTTATGTTTATTTTTATGACTGCTTAATAAATAGCACCCTTGTTTTATTTTTGCCCTCTGGGTAGGCTAGGCATTTTGCTTTGGTAACTTTCATTCTACCAACTGTGTCAGTCAGGGTTCCAGCTGGAAACAGATGGTACACTCCAATTTGGTAATTTGAAAGACACTCTAATAAAAAGACTATTTACAAGGATGTGGATGAGGAGCAGGGAGAACTCACAAGGGATAATGCCAGACTCCAGAGCTAGGGAACCTCAGGTCTCAATGAGTGAGGAAGAAAGTGGTTAGCAAAACCCAGGGAAGGAGAGAGAGCTGTGTAGAGAGGCCTTTTAATTGAGGCTGTGCCAGTGGTTGAGGGACACTCCTATAGAGCAGGAAATGAGTTTGGGAGTAAATAACCAGATCCTATCACCAGATCCTATCTCCAGATCTCCTTCTAGTATTCCCCATTGACCAAATTCAACCACAAGTTAGAGGACAAAGGATTCTTGTCCTCCATCAAACCCCACAGGTCAGCCCTGGGACCTAGAACAGAGTGCAGAAGGGTGTATCTGGAAGGGTAGGCAAGTGACAGTACATTAATCAAAGAGTCCTTACCTTTTCATTAGTTTAAACATTATTCTCCACTCACTGGCTAAACCTCATTTTGGTGAGTACTCTGGATGGAGACCACCCAAGGTCAAGTGTGCATTTCCAGAGGAAAAGAGCCTAGAAGGCTGATTCTTAGGAGGTAGTTGAATGGAACAAAATATCTTTGGGGATTGCAGAAAAGATGGATAGGTAGCACAAATAAGTATGGAACCACTCTCTAGGTAGGCCTAGAAAGCTTCCGCAATGTGGTCCCATACCAGAGCAGTAGTCTAGTTAAAAGATTATGGTTCCAATAAAAATTCAAAGCTTCTCTTGTATATTTCAGTCATTGAAATAAGTTCAAGTACATAGACCAATGCAAGGTATGGTAATATCACCCATTGTCTTCCATTGTTTTGCCCAAAAAAAACTTGCAGAAATTTCTCACTTAGTCCAAAAAAATACTTTCCTTTTGCCCCTACATTAGTCCTTTTGCCACCTCTTTTCTCCAGGCTCCCCCTCCTGCACAATGCCTCCCAATATGCCACATTTCCTTCACCATACAGCCCCTTGGGGCATCATATGGTTTCTTTTATTCTTATTGATTTTCTCTGTAGATTCTTCCGGTATAACTTCTACCTCTCCTTTTCTCAGAACACTAGGGAATGGAGATCAGGTAAACAGGCAAGACCCAAAACCTCTGAGACAGGCAGAAGAAGGAGGCAAGTTGTGAAAACATCTTGCCTTCTCTTCTCCTCTCTGCGTTCCTCTTTTCCCCTTATTAGGAAGGTAGAGAAAGGATTATGAAAAGGCTATCTACTAATCTGAATTCTTTTGCCAGATTTTCCCCATGGTGTGTACGGCACTTTGGAATCCCACAGAGGGAAGCACATTCACAGGGAAGCTGCTGTTACTATTATATGTGCATGGTAAAGCTTGGCATCCCTGGAGAATAAGCCTGCAAGGGTGTGTGAGTGCCTCCCCACAGAAGATTTTAAAAGCCTAATTATTCCCTTTGAGTGAGGTGTGTACATCTGGAAATTTTCTTTGTCAGGAAAAAGGAGCAGCCAGTGAGAGGGGCCATGGTCTTGACTGTGGGTGAGTAGGTAGTTGTACCTGCCGCTCATGATGCCTGGTGGTCACCCCAGGAGCCCCATCTTGGGCTGTTCCCATGTGGTACTGTGCGGACTCTGAGTGTGCTATTTCCTGTGGTTTTTCAAGGGATATGTGTAGCTGCAGCATTATGTCTGTCCTGGCCTGCCAACCTGATTTCACGGAGTTTTGGAAAAACAGTCCCCTCAGGGAAGTCCATGGTTGTTTTGACATTTGGGATAGAAAATATTTGCCATGTAACCTTTACATTAAAGGACCCATAGGTAGGGACAAACAAAGAGCATATTTACTTGTCTCCATGTGAGCATTTGGGATGTTGCTCAAAGTCAATTTTTTAAATGGAAAAAGAACAAGGGAGGAATGTAGGGGAAGAGAGAGAGGAGACGAAAGATGAGAAGATACAAATTAGAATGTTCACATCAAGACTTTCATCTGCTGATATATATTTCCTGCTTTGAATTTGGGCCCAGGCAATACTTATTCAGTATGAAAATATGCATTAGCATTGGCCAAGAGCTTTCTTTCTTGAAGATCTCTGCTGAGGCTGGGAAGTTGAAGAGGGGAGTTGGAATCGGAACAGTTTAGATTGTAGTGGAAATGCTCACCTGTTTGCCATTTAGTTTTGCCCTCTTTGAGCATTCACAAGCAGAACCTCCATCATGAAACCAGTGTTTTTTGATACTGAAGAGATGAGGTTGGGCAATGGTAGGAGGGTTACTCACTTCTAGAAGACTTGTAAGGTAAGACAGAGCACCTTTGAATGGGCATATGACATGACAGTTTTTCCCCTACCAGCTTCCCCACTAGCTTCTACATTTCTTGAGCATACACTATTTTGTTGATCTTTGCATCCCCCACACAACATTAAGCATCTTTAGGAAGAAGGCACATAAGGAGCTTTTGCTGAGTGACAGAATCTATAAAAGAAACATGTCATCCAAATAGGAAGCAAGACAACTTCTTCATGGCTCCTTGGTCACTCTACATTTTGGCAGAAGGATCTAGAAAGGCAGGAATTGGAGACCGCAATTAGAGACCACCACCGCTTTCTTATATTTGTGTTCTCAGAGTTGGTCTGGGTTTAGAGGAAAAAGTGAAAGCTGAGGAGAAGCTCTCTAACTTCTGCACTCCTCGCGACTCCACTTTCATCTGTTTATTTTTCATAGTTCTGCACAATATTTATAAAAACAACAATCACCCCTGCCCCCAAACTTTGGGACTTCTGTTTAAACATGGCAGATTGACCATATGTATTTCTCTTCTCTTCCACTTGAATTTCTCTATTAATAAAATATGCAAAGAACAAAAACAAAATTTCATAAACCCACGGGGACAAAGAAGCAGGAAGGGAGAAACAAGCAGACAAGAGGAGGCTAAGACATTTCTGGAAGATAGGAAGTCAGTGGAGGGGGTGAATGATTCAGCAGGGCAGAGGAAGTTAAAGCACAAGTGCTAACAGTATTAACAACAAATGAGTGAATTTATCCGACAAAACCCTAGAAAAAATCAGAATTGGACACCAGCTGTCACATAATGGGGTGAAAAAATCAGATGAAGCAGAAATCAGGAGAATTCCTGGAAGCTTAGTACATGGAGCATTTGGACCCCTAGACCCCCTGCCCAGTCCAATACAGCCCAGGTCTACACTGTCTCTTTTTCCTCCCTCCACCGCCTCTATTCACCACAGAGGGCAGGGATTTAATCTCTGGAAAAGTGTAACCAGGGAGGCTCTGGGGTGGGGCATATGGCCACACGGGAGGGCAAAAGATGAGGTGCAGAGTCAGAAGACAGGGGTATTGAGTGATGGTATATTGACTGGTAGGGATCTTGGCATCCTTTCCCTGCCCTGCTCACAGATTAGATGTACCCAGTCCTATATAGTGTCCAAGGAGGAGTTTGGAGGCCTCTTTTCAGAATCCAAAGAATCCCAAAGAAAAGACCTATGAGTATTGACATTTGTGAATCTTTCAACAAAAAAGCCAGCTCATCACTTACACACTGACAGTAAAGCCCAACAATTGGGGAAAAAAATTTCAAATTCATACAAAATCCATGTAAAGGAATTTTCTGTAATCTTTTTAGTAACTCGTTGTTGAACAAGCATTCACATGCAGAATCTCACACATCTGAGGAAAGATTCCAAAATAAAAGGAAGAGACTAATAATGGAAAACAGAAGATAGAAGTTATGAATTTAGAATATGGGAGGAGTATGTATTCAGACCAACTTGAATCTATGCCTCTGGATTGCAGTCTTCAAAATCTCAATCTCTCTCTAGTCATTTCAAACTAGTGGTTCTCAACCTTGGCTGCACCAGAATCACCTGGGAGCTTTAAAAATACTGATGTCTGGGTCTCTCCTCCAAAGATCCTGTTTTAAATAGCCTGGGGTGAAGCCTTGGTATTAGATTTGTAAAAGCTTCCCAAGTGGTTCTGATGTACATTCAAAGTTTAGACTGCTGCTTTAAGCTTTGAACGTATTTTAAACTGGACTGCAGGATCAAATAACATCTTTTTAGCCTGTGCTCAAGGCTGCCCTCCTTCCCTAGCTTACCTGCCTGACTTCATCTCCCAGGGTTCAGTGTTCAAGCCATGCCCACCCCACACCTCTACCATCCCACACACCTAGGCTCCTTCCCTTCACTTTTGTTCATAGTAGTTATCCCACTTCAAATTCACTCATATTTAATTACTCATATCTGTTTACTGATGCTGAAATCATTATTAAATGTCCAGCTGCAATCCAACCTTGTCATGATTATACTAGCATAAAAGCAAGCTCTTCCATAGCTGACCTTTACCACAACTTACTCCTTGTCTCACTTATTTCATAATGAATGTTTTCATTGTTATTGACATCTAAAGATAGCTGGTAACTCATGTGACCACTAAGGTTTGCCTAA
The DNA here is from genome assembly GCF_000001405.40 of Homo sapiens. NCBI lineage: Eukaryota > Metazoa > Chordata > Mammalia > Primates > Hominidae > Homo > Homo sapiens. Next base: position 90,259,434 of record NC_000001.11, read on the forward strand.
CTCCTCAAACCTGAGATTGTCTGAAAATAGCACATTTTTAACAGCTTAGTTTTTTTTTTTTTATCACAAACAGTATTAACATTATCTTCTTTAATCTTCACAGTAACTATGTGGGGTAACTATTAATATCTTCATTTTACATATGAAGAAAGAGTCCCAGAGTGATCATGTGACAAGTGTGGTATTGTCCAGGCAGCAAAAGGCAGAGCTGGGACTTGAACCCAGGTCTTAGGAGTCTGCTTTAATACCAGAATAACACCAGAATAATACCAGAATAACAGAATAAATAATTTTGAGATTTAAGTGGGCAAATGTTTTTGTTTTCCCAACAGAGGCATACCTCATTTTATTGTGCTTCACTTCACTGTGCTTTGCAGATACTGTGTTTTTTACAAACTGAAGGTTTGTGGCAAACCTGCTTTGTCATCTATTGGTGCCATTTTCCCAAAATCCTGTGCTCACTTTGAGTCTTTGTGTCACATTTTGGTAATTCTTGCAATATTTCAAACTTTTTATGCTTACTACCTGTGTTATAGTGATCTGTAATCAGTGATCTTTTATGTTACTGTTGTAATTTTTTGGGGGGACCACGTAAGATGGCAAACCTAATTGGTAAGTGTGTGTGTTCTGACTGCTCCACCAAGCAGCTGTTCCTCTTTCTCTCTCACTCTCCTCAGGCCTCCCTATTCCCCGAGACACAGGAATATTGAAATTAAGCCAGTTAATACAGTTAATAATCCTACAAAGGCCTCTAAGTGTTCCAGTGAAAGGAAGAGTCACATGTTTCTCACTTTCAATCAAAAGCTAGCAATGATTAAGCTCAGTGAGGAAGGCATGTTGAAAATTGAGATAGGCCAAAAGCTAGCTCTCTTGAACCAAACAGTTAGCCAAGTTGTGAATGCAAAAGGAAAGTTCTTGAAGGAAATTAAAAGTGCTATTCCAGGGAACACAGGAATGTTAAGAAAACCAAACAGGCTCACTGTTGATATGAAGAAAGTTTTAGTGATTGGACGGAAAAGCAAACCAACCGGCCAGGCGCAGTGGCTCACGCCTGTAATCCCAGCACTTTTGGAGGCTGAGCGGGGCGGATCATGAGGTCAGGAGTTCGAGATCATCCTGGCCAACATGGTGAAACCCCGTCTCTACTAAAATACAAAAAATTAGCTGGGCGTGGTGGTGCGTGCCTGTAGTCCCAGCTACTCAAGAGGCTGAGGCAGGGGAATCACTTGAACCCGGGAGGCAGAGATTGCAGTCAGCCAAGATCATGCCACTGCACTCCAGCCTGGTGACAGAGTTAGACTCTATCTCAAAAAAAAAAAAAAAAAAAAAAAAAGAAGGAAAATCCAAAAATCAAACCAACCAACCACAGCATTCCCTTAAGTCAAAGCCTAATCCAGAGCAAGGTCCTAACTATCTTCAATTTTGTGAATGGTGAGAGAGGTGAGGAAACTGTAGAAGAAAGTTTGAAGCTAGCAGAGGTTAGTTCATGAGGTTTAAGGAAAAGGAGCCATCTGTGTAACATAAAAGTGCCTGATGAAGCAGCAGTGCTGATGTAGCAGCTGCAGCAAGTTATCCAGAGATCTAGCTAAACTCATTGATGAAGGTGGCTACACTAAACAACAGATTTTCAACGTAGTCAAATCAGCTTTCTATTGGAAGAAGATGTGTCTAAGACTTTCTTAGCTGGAGAGAAGTCAATGCCTGGCTTTAAAGCTTCAAAGAACAGGCTGACTCTCTTGTTAGGGGCTAATGCAGCTGGTGACTTAAAGTTGAGGCCATTTACCATTCTAAAAATCCTAGGGCCCTTTAGAATTATACTTAATCTACTCTGCCTGTGCTCTATACATGGAACAACAAATCTTGGATGACAGCACATCTGTTTACAGCATGGTTTACTGAATATTCTAAGCCCAGAGTTGAGACCTACTGTTCAGAAAAAAAGATTCCTTTCACAATATTACTGTTCATTGACAATGTACCTAGTCAACCAAGAACTCAGATGGAGATGTACAAGGAGATGAATGTTGTTTTCACATCCTTCTGCAAAACAAAGATCAAAGAGTAATTTCAACTTTCAAGTCTTATTAAGAAATACATTTCATGAAGCTATAGCTACCATAGATAGTGATTACTCTAATGGATTTGGGCAAAGTAAATTGAAAACCTTCTGGGAAGGATTCAGCATTCTAGATGTCATTAAGAACATTCATGATTCATGGGAGGAAGTCAAAATATAAACATTAACAGGAGTTTGGAAGAAGTTGATTCCAATTCTCATGGATGACTTTGAGGGGGTCAAGACTTCAGTGGAGGAATAAACTGTAGACATGGTGAAAATAGCAAAAGAACTAGAATTAGAAGTAGATCCTGAAAATCTGACTGAATTGCTGGGATCTCATGATAAAAATTGAACAGAGGAGAAATTGTTTCTTATGGATAAGCAAAGGAAGAGGTTTCTTGAGATAGTGTCTATTCTTGGTGAAGATGTAGTGAACATTGTTAAAATGACAGCAAAGTATTTAGAATATTACATAAATAGTTGATAAAGCAGTAGGATTTGAGAAGATTGACTCCAATTTTGAAAGAAGTTCTACTGTGGGTAAAATGCTATCAAACAACATTGCATGCTACTGTGGAGTTGTTCATGAAAGGAAGTGAATCAATGTGGCATACTTCATTGTTGTATTGTTGTCTTATTTTAATAAATTGCCACAGCCACCCCAACCTTCAGCAACTGCCACCTGACCAGTTAGCAGCCATCAACATTGAGGTAAGACCCTTCACCAGCAAAAAGATTGCAACTTGCTAATGACTCAGATGATTGTTAGCATTTTTAAAACTTTTTTTTAGACATAATGCTATTACACACTTAATAGAATACAGTATGATGGGAACATAACTTTTATACGTACCAGAAAACCAAAAAATTTGTGTGTGATTTGCTTTATTGTGTTGATCTGGAACCAAATCTGCAATATCTCTGAAGTATTCAAAATAATAAGATTAATAAATAAATTAGTAAGTTTAATAAGTAAATTAATAACAAAATAATAAGATTAATAAGTAAATTATAACAAAATAATAAGATTAATAAGTACATTAATTACTTGAGAATGAGAACCCCATAATCTGATTATAGGTACAAATGCAGTGCCTTGCACACTACAGGCACTCCCAAGGTATTTGCTTATTTGATTTTGGTGATGATAATAGGAAATATTTATGCCATTTGTGACAGGTCTTTAAAGAGATTATCTCATTTAATCATCACAAGAACTATGTTGTTGGTACAATTATCATTTAAAAAATCAATAACCAATACTTGAAGATGTGAAGGAACATTCACGAGTTCACACAGCCTGTCAGGGTGGAGCTGAGACTGCAACCCAGAGCTGTCAGAGTCCAGAATCGGAAATGTTTTGCCTTACTTCTCCATACGAAGTTCCTAAGAGGAGCTGTCCATGAAGGTTTCTCAATCCAGATTTACAACCATCATTCTTTAAATTTTCCCAAGACACAGTTGGCATAACCAAGTGTTACTTATCTGGTGGATAGTATTTACCATGGCAGGCTCAGAGGATATTTGAATGCAGACTCATATAAACTAACAAACCCATGTGCCAAGCTTTGTCTGGCAGTACATTCCTGCCTCCTAAGAGTAGCTCAAGTTCAAGAAAAGCAAATCTATCTGTCAGCTGAAACTTTAAATCTTGTGAAAAGGAAAACAAAACAAAACAAAACAAAACCCCACAAACATTTGAAACTTGGCCTCAAAGTTTTAGAAAATAAATGCACACACAGAGTTTTTTTCCTTTTGCCACGTGGCAGTGGTTGTGAAGTAAATATATCCCACTGCACTGATCTTACATCCTGTCACATTAATGTTTCAGAGCACTCAATATAAATATTAAAACTAATAGCTTCACTCTTCAGCTATTACTCCACCATCCCCTGAAATCATCATAAAACTTTCAAAGCCTTTTAGAACATTTACACACTTGAATCTGATGGTGGGGAAAGGAGATTCACACACGCAGCCCATAAGCTTAAATAATAGTGAAGAGCTGTTTATGGAATATGCTTTATTTATTCATCATTTCAAGTAAAGTTTTCATTTTGATGGAGGGGAAAAAATCAAAGTATAGCTGTCAAGGGATAAGGCTGAAGTATTGCTTTTCTATACTGAGGACTTGCAAAAAAAAGAAGTCCATGAGAATCTCAGTCCAAGGTCAATCAATGCTAAGACTGTGGGTACGTAAACAGCTAATGGATTGTAAAGACACATACTGGTGTGATGAATTTTTAAAGAGCAACTCTTCAGCACAGAACCCCATAAATCAATGATGACTTATTGGCTGGATCAATTATGCAAACTTTTTAAAACATTTAATGACAGGTAATGAACAGGTCTCTAGAGAACATCAGTCAACAGTGTTTTTGCAGTTGTAGTTACATCTGCTTAAGTGAATCGGGTGGGGGCAGTCATTCCTAGGAAGTAATTAAAAGTTAAACTAAGAATCTTCCTAAAGCGAAAAAGAGTAACTATTTTAGTCTTCATATATACCTTAAATAGCCAGGGAAATGAGTTGCATCTTAATGTATCCATAGGTAGTCCAGTATCTATGGACTGAGTATGCCAAATAGAAGTTCAGGGAGCTTCTATTCCTAAGCATTTGATTGGAGGTTTTCTGCAGAGCTATCTGAGGAACGAGGGAGAAGATGATTTTTGAAAGAAGTAAAAGTATAGCATGGATATGACACAGATAGATAGGTTCTAATAATTATTTATTTTGAAATTAACTTTAAATAATTAGAGGAACAGACAGGCAATGATGGCTGATACTGTAGAATTCTGCTCAACCAAGAAGTGAAGGACAGAAGGCTGAATGTGGGTGGACTAATCCTGCAGAAAGTCTCACATCATCACATGTGGCATTACAGTGCTTTAATCACATATTAAGATAGTGACCCAGTGAAAGATGAAAGACTTTAGGGGGTAGATTTTTTAACTTAACAGTCTTTTAGAGTTTAAACATTGATCTTTTTTATTGTATAACTTCAAATAAGTCTTTAGATTATGAAAAAGGCAGAAGTTAAACATGCCATTCAATACTAAGCATAGTTCTTTAAGTCTAAGCCACTGACATTGATGCTGTATTTCTGTGTTAACATAGTTAAAGCATCACTCAGATCAGAAAGCCTTCTGACTGAATCTGAAAACACTAAAAATTCTAATATTCCTTTATAGGTCTCACTCATTTTGCTGCTCAGCAGAAGGATTGTAAAAATGAAAAATAAAAAGTAAGTAGATTGTAAAGTGCCCAAGTTCAAATGTCTCTGGCCTGGGATTGTTTTCTGTGTCAGAGAAGCTTCCTAGAATTGTTGCTGGGTTTTCCAGATACTCTCAGTTAAGCAGAAAAAAGGAAGTATCTTTAAACTATTACTGATTTTTGAATATTATTTTCTCAAGAGCCTCTGCTAACTATCAAACTTACTTAAGAAGCTTAAACACTTAATGGTATTAAAAATGCTCCTCATTACTAATCATTAGAGAAATGCAAATCAAAACCACAATGAGCTACCATCTCACACCAGTCAGAATGGCTATTAATAAAAAGTAAAAAAATAACAAATGCCTGTGTGGTTGCAGGAAAAGAGAATGCTTATACACTGCTGATGGGAATGCAAATTAGTCCAGCCATTGTGGAAAGTAGTTTGGTGATTGCTCAAAGAACTTAAAACAGAGCTACCGTTTGACCCAGCAATCCCATTATTGGGTATATACCCCCCAAAACACAAATTGTTCTATTATAAAGACACATGCACGTGTATGTTCATCACAGCACTATTCACAATAGCAAAAACATGGAATCAATCTAAATGCCCATCAGCAGTAGACTAGATAAAGAAAATGTGGTACATATACACTATGGAATACTACATAGTCATAAAAAAGAATGAGATTGGCTGAGCACAGTGGCTCATGCCTGTAATCCTAGCACTTTGGGAGGCCGAGGCGGGCAGATCATGAGGTCAAGAGATTGAGACCATCCTGGCCAACATGTCGGAACCCCATTTCTACTAAAATACAAAAAATTAGCTGGGCGTGGTGGTGTGCACCTGTAGTCCCAGCTACTCGGGAGGCTGAGGCAGGAGAATTGCTTGAACCCAGGAGGCGAAGGTTGCAGTGAGCCGAGATCGCGCCACTGTACTCCAGCCTGGCGACAGAGCGAGACTCCGTCTCAAAGAAAAAAAAATGAATGAGATCACGTCCTTTGCTGCAATATGGATGGAGCTGGAGTCCATTATCCTAAGTAAACTAATGCAGGAATAGAAAACCAAATACTGCATGTTTTCACTTATAAGTAGGAGCTATACATTGAGTACACATGGACACAAAGAAGGGAACAACAGATACTGGGTTCTATTTGAGGGTGGAGTGTAGGAGGAGGATGAAGATGGAAAAACTACTTATTGGGTACTGTGCTTATTACCTGGATGACAAAATAATCTGTACACCAAACCCCTGTGACATGCAATTTATCTATATAACAAACCTGCACACATACCCTGAACCTAATATGAAAGTTAAAATAAAGAAGAAGCTTGAGGGGCTGGGTGCGGTGGCTCATGCCTGTAATCCCAGCAGTTTGGGAGGCCAAGGAAGGCAGATCACCTGAGGTCAGGAGTTCCAGGCCAGCCTGGCCATCATGGTGAAACCCCGTCTCTACTAAAAATACAAAAATTAGCCGGGCGTGGTGGTGCATGCCTGTAACCCCAGCTAGTTGGGAGGCTGAGGCGGGAGAATTGCTTGAACCCTGGAGGCGGAGGTTGCAGTGAGCAGAGACTGTGCCATTGCACTCCAGCCTGGGCAACAGATCAAGACTCCGTCTCACAAAAAAAAAAAAAAAAAAAAAGAAGAAGCTTAAACACTGTGTGTGTACGTGTGTGTGTGTGTGTGTGTGTGTGTGTGTGTGTATGCCTGGTAGAGACAGACTTCCCTGATAATGAAGATCACAAGATAATTTGGCATGTTTTCTATCCCATACCCTGTGATATGTGTTTATCATCATATTCACATTCATGGATGAGTAAAATGAGTGGGATACTCTTGTATCTGGATTCTTTGTTGAAATGTATACATCCTTCTTTGTGTTGATAGAAAAGAATAATCAAAAGCTCAGCATTCAGAGGTAAACAGTTGAGAATCCAAATCCTGACTCTGCTATTTACTGGCCATATGACTGTAGGCAAGTTTCTTAATCTCTTTTGTCCTATATCCTCACCTGTACAATTTCTATCTTGAAGAAAACACGTAGTGTGTAGGTACTCAATAACTGGCAGTCGTTATTATCTGCCAAATCTGAAGCATCCCTGAAACCAATAATTGGAATAGCATCAGGGCAGTAGTTGTTGCAAAATTTGGGGAATTAACATTCTTCCACAAAAGGGAAGGTTGCCTTTTGAAGTAAAAATAGCTGTTAACACCAAGGTCTTTATTACGTATCATGTACTTTACCTGTATTAGCTCATCCGAGTCTGTCAACCCTTTGACATAAGCACTATTATCATCATTTTACAGATGGGGACATAGAATCTCAGAGAAATTAAGAAACTTGCTTAAGGTCACTCAGCTATTAAATGGCAAAACTGGTATTCAAAAATAGGTGAAATAGTGTCTTACTGGAGTCTATGCCACAGTGCCAAGCTTGTAATAGGTTAAACTAAAAACAAAGGACTAAAAATACGATATCAAAAATTTTCTCTGTTGATATGCATGGCTACTGTAGAAATAAAAAGGGTTTCAGGATAGTGGATTTCCTCTGTTGCCTCAGAAGGCAAATGAGGATTGCAATACTGGTCATTTATCCCAAGTATGAAGGAACAAGAGGTGATGGTGGGTAGCTTAGTTCAGTCTTGTGTATACGACTTACCAAGTAATTCTATGAGACAGGAGTCATGCTGTGAGTAATAAATGGTCTGTTTCTCTGACCCAGGGGTCTTGTGTCTTCTGTCAGTATATGTATATAAAACTATGGCAGGCTAACTTGTTAGCTTCCAAGTAGGTAAAATCTCAGACCCTTCATAGTTTCTGACTTAACACTGGGAGGAGGAGGTCATGATTGTCACACCTCCACATGGAGGGAAACAACAGTAGGGTCCTCTGATATGCAAGTTCTCTGAGTTTCCCAGCAGAATGAGGGGTGAGGAGTGAGATAGTGGAGACAACATTTTCCGATTATCTTATGCTTGGGCCTGTATTCTCACAAAGATAAGAGTTGGAGAAATGCAAATTAAAATCTAGTAAAATATCACTTCACACTTATTAGAATGGCAAATATGAAAATGTTGAACATACCAAGTCATGCAAGAAAGTGGGTCAGTGGGGATTATATCTTGCTGGTAGGAGTGTAAATTGGGGCAATTTATACTTTAGAGAACAATTTGATAATACTTATCAACTAAATGTTCTAGAAATTCTACCATAGAGAAAGTCTTGCACAAGTTGCATATATAAGAATACTCATTGTGACATTGTAAAAGTGAAAATTAGAAAAAAATCTTAAATATTAATCAGGAATAGAATGGATAAAAAATTGAGGTAAATTCATACTATCTAGCAGTTTAAATAAATAAACAAACTACATATATCAATGTGGATAAATTTTACATACAATATTATATTAGTAAAAGCAAGTTGTTGACACAGAGTGTGATGCCATTTGCATAAAGTTTTGGTGTACATAAAAGAGTAGTGTCTGTTTTGGGGATTCATTCAAGTGTAGGATGTAAAAACATGCACAGATGAGTGTTTGGTGGTAGGAAGAAAGAAGGGAATGGAATAAGAAAAGGTACACAGAAGTTCTTCAATTGTAGTTATGATGTTTTATTTCTTACACCTGGTGGCAAGGACTGAAATATTTGTTGTATTTTCCTCTATATTTTTTGTGTCTAAAATATTTCATAAAAATAACCTTTAAAGAGTATTTATCATTTATATTGGAAAAGAACAGATAAGGCTTGGGAAAACATATCAGAATAACTTTATTAATGGCAGTGATTTCAACCTCAGAAGATTTAGAATTGTTATAATTCTAAATTCTATTCCTAAATCGTTTTAAAAATGAATTAATTTGATCATCTGTCAGTTCAACAATACATTTCTGAAACCATCAATCATTTCTAGAATGCAAGAAGTTGTTGGAGAAAATTCCCGCTCCCCATTTGTTTGTTTTTGAGTCATTTGTGAAGTTCTTCACTTATTAGACAATACATTATTAATGGCATCTAGATAGGAAGTAATGTCTTGGAGCTTAACTTGGCAGCAAATAGATCTACACACCTATGCTAAAGGATTAACTTGAGAAGGAAAGATTATTCAAATTATTATTCTTTTATAACTATTGAGTGAAAGTTTAAAAAATCCTGGTTTCTGATGAACAGCTTTGAATTTCTTTAAAATAGATCTATAAATTAGAAGCAAATCATTGTTTTCCCATTAGAAGAAGTGCCCTCAGATACCTAATTAATGTCTTTCTAAATTTCTGTGACTGAAACTTTGTGGCCTCAGTGTATCTATCTTCAGGACAATTTGGGGAATCACAGTATAGATTCTTCCCGTGTCTTGGTCATTCTTTAAGGAAAGAGTGAGGTGGTTATGTGACTAAGGTGGGGTCCACTTAAAATCTGACATATTATCATTTTAAATTACAGGCCTTGATATTGTGATCATTTCCAAGATGTGTATTGGGTTTGGTGATATATCATCACTATTTGCAGAATATATTTTATCCCCTATATTCTAACTTTTACCTCCCCCATGAAATTTCAAAATGCATTCCATGACCCAAAGACAATGGCACCAGTGTCTCCTTACCTTGAGCTTGTAAATAATACAAGTGGTCATTAATTGGACATGATTTGGTTCTTGTATAGAGATAAAGACAAGATTTTGTTCTTATTGTTTTCCCAATCTGACAGTCAGGGGAAAGGACTGAAGGAAGATATATACAAGCTACAAACTGAGCCTTGTGCAAGCTCTCTCTAGGTCCCAGCACTTTGGGAGGCCGAAATGGGTGGATCACCTGAGGTCAGGAGTTCGAGACCAGCCTGGCCAACATGGTGAAACCCCATTTCTACTAAAAATACAAAAAAAAAAAAAATTAGCCGGGCGTGGTGGTGGGCACCTGTAATCCCGGCTATTCGGGAGGCTGAGGCAGGAAAATTACTTGAACCCAGGAGGCAGAGGTTGCGGCGAGCCAAGATCACGCCATTGCACTCCAGCCTGGGCAACAAGAGCAAAACTGCATCTCAAAAAAAAAAAAAAAAAAAAAAAAAAATAGAGTTACTTTGTGTGGGGAAGAAAAGAGGAGAAAGAGTTTTTATGGGAAGGCTCCATTTGTTCTCCTTTTCCATCAAAGATAAAATTTAACAGGAAAGATTTTATTTGAACATAAAGAAGAAATTTTGAATAGTTTTTTAATACTGTAAAAGATTATGGACAAGTATCTTGGTCATATACTTTTTGAAATTAAAGTGACAACCAATCCTCAGCTATGTATTCTAGGTAGGTTCATTGGCTACTTGACTGACTTTGCTTTTCAGCTCGAGGAATTCAAGATTTAATATTATTCTCATTTTACTAATGGCAAAGATAACTCAGAGAAATGGAGTGACTTTGCTAGAAAGAGAGAGTTAATATTAGAGTTCCTATTTGAGTGTAAGCAAAATCAGACTTCTTTATCCCAGGTTCTCTCCTGATGAGCGTGCACCTTTGCTGTGTTTCTACTCTCTAAGGGGCTTGTGGCTCAATTAAACCAGAGCCTTCCTTAACTAACATGAACACAGGTGACTGATTCTATGTGGGATGGTCTTTAAGTAATCACACGAGTGGTTCAGATTTTGTCAGGCATTTTATATCTTGTAGAGTTAAATTTGATTTCACTCCATTAAATTCAGTAAACCTCATTGAAGACCCACTGTGTGCCAGACGCACAATCAAGTGCTAAGGATATACTTTATATATGTATATATATATTTTTAAATTATACTTTAAGTTCTAGGGTACATATGCACAACGCGCCGGTTTGTTACATATCTATACATGTGCCATCTTGGTGTGCTGCACCCATTAACTCGTCATTTACATTAGTTATATCTCCCAATGCTATCCCTCCCCGCTGCCCCCACCCCACAACAGGCCCCGGTGTGTGATGTTCCCCTTCCTGTGTCCAAGTGTTCTCATTGTTCAATTCCCACCTACAAGTGAGAACAGCAGTGTTTGGTTTTTTGTCCTTGCGATAGTTTGCTGAGAATGATGGTTTCCAGCTTCATCCATGTCCCTACAAAGGACATGAATGCATCATTTTTTATGGCTGCATAGTATTCCATGGTGTATATGTGCCACATTTTCTTAATACTAAGGATATACTTTTAAAGGAAGCAAACACAGACTCAACATCACAGTGCTTCAGCCTAGTGGAACAACAAACAATAAGCAAATAATCTCAAACACGATGAACATCATTAAAAGGGAAGTAGATATGGAGAAAAACCCAGGCAAAGTCAACATCGATTTTACTTTAGTCTGGACAAATCTATTTCTGTCTCCAGAGATACAGCAACATTTAAGTTCATTGCTTCTTGGGAAGTAGCTATTCATTGACCTTTATAGATAGGTGCATAGGAAAATGTGTTATTCGCTTGATTTCTTGTATAAATCCAAAAGAAGAATAGAAATTACTAAAGAATAGTTAAAATTTGTGGAATGGTTAATTTTATATACTTAATTATAGAATTGTTTATACACACTTTGCATTTTATGAGAATGTAGACTAAGGCATTACACTCCTTCATTTTATTTGTCATCATAATCAAACCTGAACCTAGTCAAAATACTCACTTAAATAGGCTATTTGGATGGTTTAGTCACACCATGGCTTGGACTTTGCCTGCTTTTTCCCAAAGAGTGAGGCCTGTGACAAGGGCTTGCGAGAAGGTGGTTTCTTTTGGGAAGTAGTTCAAGAGACAAAAGTGAGACAACTGAGAAGACTGAAAGGTAGAAGAAAGACCAGTTCCCGGGTGTGTTATTGCACTGATTACCACTGTAGGAAACTGGGGGTCCTTCTTCTTGGGGACAGCCTGGAAAGCCTTGTGAATGTGCCTTAGAACTGTCAGACAGCCATAATCATCTATTGGCTCTCATATGCCACTGGAAAAGAGTGGCCTTCAGGGAGTATGAACCTCTCCAGCATGCCCAGGGATGGCTGAGTGGGTGTCTCTGGTGGCAGAAAAAATTCCAGGACAGAAAGCCAGATTATATGTAGCAACTGAATCAAGCTGCTGTCAGGTGCCAGTTGGTGGTTGCCACAATGGTCAGAACAAGGCGGGGAGATGGAACGGCAGATATTCCTTAAAAAGAACTATTCAAAATATCTCCTTCCTTTCCATGACTGAAAGGTGGAGGTCAGAGCATCTACAACACAATACAATGAAATTGGAAGTGCATACTTTCTTTGCAGAAAGGTCTCCTTCTGTAGCTGTCCTTAGGTTCTCTGAATTCAGGGTACAAAATGGACCCTGGTGTCTAGAATGGTGATTAGGAATTTCATGAATATTTGTTAGCCAGAGCTTTAGAGAATGAGAGGGGAAGCCCTTCAAAATGCTGAAAAAGACTCTCTTCTTGAACTAACTTTAATCAGGCTCCTCTGAGACCTCTGCTTGACTAGGCCTGGACTTGGGCTTCCCTCTGTCCTTGTAGTATTTAATTTGAGCAATAATCCTAGTATGTCAGTTTAGTGAACTGACTAACTTTCCCACTGTTGGTATCTGACCCCTCTCCACATCTTATTATGTTGGTCCATCTTCAGCAAGAATTCCATTGAGTTGGTCTAGCAAGAGTCCCACCTACCCCTGATGTTTCTTCTCAGTATTTTACATTCGCTGACTCTTACCCTTCTCCTTGGCTATAAATCCCCACTTGTCCTTGAGGGAGTTGGAGTTGAGCTCAATCTCTCCCTGCAAGACCCTATTGCAGTGGTCCCTCTACTTACCATGAATCCTCCCCTTGAATTAAATTCTGCCTTACTGTTCTTTAATAAGCGTCATTGGACAATTTTTTCTTTAACGATGCTAATGTCTGTAGGCTGAAGAGAAACATTAGAGGCTTACTATGTACCAGGCACTATTCTAACACATCAGAACAATGTCCTCAAGCCCCTTCTATGTGCCATGCTTATGCTAGACACTGGGGGGAGTAGGTTGAATAAAATGTGGCTCCTTTTCTCAAAGAGGGATCCATTACTGTTAGCAAAGAGTAAAGAGATAAATGACACCACCACAAATCCTGAGTCATGACATGAATTTGTTGAGAGTGCAACTCTTCCTAGGGTGCTGGGAAGGGTTCACAAAGAAGGGGGCCAGGACTAATGCCCTCCTTTTACAGCAACCGTAGCTTCTAATTCCCCCTCATATAGTTACAACTTGTTTGATATATACAGAAGCACAAGAATTAATGTCCTAATGATATGTATTATGATGTGGTGCTAATATATGTGAAGTCAGTACTGTCTTCAGACAGTTCACATTTCATTTTCTGAACAGAATAGATAAGATTCCATCAAGTTTCTTCTTAGTTGCTAAGGACTTCATAAATTTCTCTTGTAATTGACTTGCTCTCAGACAATAATTGTTAACTGATAAATAGGAGAATTGTCAGGTGTGGAATCAGTGGTGAAAGAAAGATAGTTTCTCTGTTGCACTTATGAAGAATCGCCGATAAGACCTCTGATCCCATTAAGGATATAAACCCTTCAGATGGAGTTGATGACAGCCCCATGGGCTGCCTGAGCCCTCACCAGCTTGGCTGTTCTCAGTGCATGTTCAGCCAAAGGGAGATGAAATCAATGCAAGAATTTCATGGCCTCCAAGAAAATTACTGTTGAGAGATGACCTAGTTCTTTGATTGGTGTCACCAGAAGACAGGCCTCCTTGAGAAATGAATGTAATGACATCCACCAGCTGCTTAAATTCTTTCTATTATATGCATTTGCTTTCAAATGGCTTTAGCATTTTAGCATAAACTACCACTTGCTTTCCTCCCAGGTTTGGGCTCTGGGCATTTTTAAAGCAGCAGGCAGAGGCAGTGCTGGCACAAGCAGCATACTGCTCTGCATCTCCCAGGCTGGATGAAAGCTTCTTTGCTTGGATCCCTTAATGATTAAGGGCTAAGAAAGTGGCATGAGTGGATTAATGATTCCAAATGAAATTCCTCCCTTTCCTTTGTTGTGTTCTCATTCACCAGAATTACTGTGGTGTAAGGATAAATACTGGGACTCTAAGCACTATATTGCCACCTTCCCTTCCGGTACCCACATTTCCAGTACCCACATTGGTTCTTACATGGGTGTGTCCTGGCTTTACTCATTCTTATGTCTGCACTGACTTCTGAAAACTCTTGAAAGTATCTTATTTTGTCCCTATGAAAGACCTAGATGTACATGAAGACAGAAAGTGAGCTACAGGAGTTGAAAAGATAAAATAAAAACTAGAGCGGAAGATACAAACAACATTTGCAAATGAATGAAACCCCATGGACTCTGTTGATCTGCCATGACTGCTATAGCCTGCTCCCTCATCTCACTTTTTCACCAGTCTTCCTTGCTTCTCTCTCCCTTGGCTCCATACAGTGAAAGATGGTGGATAAGGTGCTGCAAAGATATAACAACAGCAGCAGCAACAGCAGCAGCACAGTCTTTTAAACTGAATTTATGTCTGAGTACTTACTATGTACCAGGCACCATTCTAAGCAATTTTTATATATTAACTTGTGTAATCTTCACAACAACCCTATGGATTCATGCTATTATTCTTTTATTTTAGGTGAGGGACTGAGGCACAGATAGCTAAAGTAACTTAAGTTTATACAACCATGTCCCTGCCTCAGTTACCACTCTCTTCTGCTTGTGATAACCATAAAGGATTGAATACAAAAAGTTAATGTTAATGCCTGCCGTTTCTTTGTCAAATGGAAAAGTAGGTGCTGAGAAGTGTTAGAGGGAGAACATCCTGTGTCCCTTCCAAGTGGAAAGATCATCAGGATCTCCTGCCGGATAATGTCCTTTTGGAAAATATGAGTCATCCTCAGGAAGCCCCACGCCCAGGATAGGTCACACTAAATACTTTGCCAACCCAATGTGAATGCATGGCTCCATTAATACTATGAATAGTATCTTTAAGACGGTTTTGAACAGTAAGCTGCTAGCACACACGTTCTTCCTAGGGGCCCACTTGTGGCCTCCTTCATCCACATGTGCCAGTGTATTACTTACTGGTTGCTGCAGGCAGGAATGTTAGATAAGGTGTAATTTCTAACTGACGTTGAGCTTTCATTTCAATCCAAGGTATTTGGGACAGAGAAAATTTGTGGAATAGGTGGTTTCCAGCATGTTTGTCGCTCAGAGGAAAAACATTAAGAATTTAGCTACAGGCCGGGCGTGGTGGCTCATGCCACATCTCTACTAAAAATACAAAAATTAGCCGGGTGTGGTGGTGGGCACCTGTAATCCCAGCTACTCGGGAGGCTGAGATAGGAGAATCACTTGAACCTGGGAGGTGGAGGTTGCAGTAAAAAAAAAGAATTTAGCTACACTGGGGTCTTGTCTTCCTCTATTCACACCTGGAAATCTGCTGTCTATGGAAACCTGTGAGATCTGGAAGAGCTTGAAAGAGCTCCTGGATCTTTATCATTTTTGATGTGTGCCCTTGCAGACTGGTGTGAAAAATGTGGGCAGATGTGGAAGATTTTCCATCCTCAATCTGACTCTGACCATGGGTTCAGGATGGGTTTGCCAAATAACTTACTGGTTTTATAACAGGTAACAGGTGAGTATAACATGGTAGACCATTGGGTGACCTCCCTAAGAGGCAACCAAATAGCTGGTCCCCTCCAGTTCCGTTGGGCAGTTCAACAGAGGGAGTTACTGAGCATAGCTGGCTTGCATGAGGTACTTGGCAATGTGCGTTTGGCCAAGGTGCCCACCTGTTGACCAGCAGCATGAAGAAGAAATGGTGTGAGTTCATGCTCTGGGCCTGTATGCCTCATGCGTGTGCTTCATGCATTTCTAAAGAAGCAGCCCCACACCATAAAACCTCCCTGAAAGCCACTGAGGTACCTCTCTAAAAACCATAATAGACTGTGCTGAAAGCCTAACTTTGACTGATGTGAGGTTTGGGACTCTACCCAGGTAAGAATCCAGGCAGCAAGGAGACCGTAGAAGGCAGATGACCCAGAGTAGGGCCAAACTGTTTACCAGCTAGTGTGTTTTTGAAAATTTTCCTTAACTGGTCATGGCAGCAGAAAATACCCTGCTGTTAAACGCATCTGCAATCTGCTGCTCTCCCAGTCCACCTACAAAAATTTTGACCTTTAAAGAAATGATGGAGAGGCTGGTGATTTTTTCGGTGGCATTGAAGCTCAGTCTATTTTAGGCTCCAAGGCAATTGCAGCCCTCTTTGCTCCCTATTTTGCATCACTTTTAAGTCTTGTTCTGGCCACTGTGAACCCTTGAGCACTTCTCCCGCTACAATCACTCAAGATCTGTGATCTGTGATTTGCAGATGACATGCACATTTCTTGGCTGATGGTTGCTGAAGCAGTTTGCAAACCTAAGGCAGTTAAAGGGGGAGGGGGTGGAAGAGCAGATTACAACTGTAATGCCACCCTAAATTTCAATTTTCATGCAAATGTATAACTGGCTTCTCATTATTTTGAGTGAAGGAACAGTAGCGGTTGGTGTGAATTACCATATTCATATTTTGATGACCAAACAATTGGCTGATTTCTATTGTTTGTCACTCCTGTGAAACTATAGTACTTTAGAAACCCAGGTGGGAGCAAGATGTTATTAACAACACTCCTCCCCCCAAAAATGTCCAAACACAAAGACAAAATCTTAGGATCCTCTCATTATGAAAATCTGTTACAGGGATGTGTCAAAAAACACTCAGCTTCCTGAGTTTTAGAGCAATAATGGCTGTATTTTGGACCAGTTTTCATTTGAATATCTGCAAAATATGTAAATTACCAAATCTTTGAGAAAAGTTATTTAATAAGTGTCATTTATTGAAATATTCACTCATTTAAAAAAGACCATCTTAATGAAACCTAGGCTTATCTGATTTTTAAGCAGACATGATATGTGTGTAAATGTAATGTGATCTGAAAGACACATTAATGAGATTGCCATCAGAAGGATTACTGAGATTCTGTGTTCAGACACCGAGAAAAGCCAAATGGGTGTATCAAGCACCCATTTCTAATCTTCAAAAGCAAATTTATTGAAGTGTCTCAATTTTGCCACACACCCTAACATCTGCATATGGGACCAGATTCCTAATCCTGTCACACTGTGATGCTGCAGATTAAGAGAATGTATAATCAATGCCTCTGTCGCTATACATAAATATAGACTGCTAAATCAAGTGTGGGCTTTACAACAGAGACTCCTTATCCTAAGCAGATTTTGCACTAAACATTGCTGAAATCCTGGAAAATTAAAAACAACAACAACAAAAAACAGTGATAGTCTCTGGTATTTTCTTCCTTTATCTAATTAAAAAAAATTATCTGTAAGTGGAAGCTACCATATAAATGTTTCAACAGCAAACAAGAAGCAAAGAAAAGGAAATTCAGACTTAAAGAACACCCCACCATGTGTCAGACATTGTGTTAGATGCTTAACATACATTATTCCATTTAGTAATAAATCAGTACAAATAAGTATTCATTGAGTTTTCTCAACATGTCAGTGTTCTATGCTGGTTATAATTCTTCAAATATTTCTATGTATTTGTACCATTTACCCCTTTACTACCATTGTTAAGTGTTTCTAACACTGTATTAATTATACAAATGTTTGTGAAGAAATCTCTGAGAACTTTGGAAATTCCCAAATCCACAAAACTACAAGGAAACAAGTAGAGAATTAAAGTCATGATATCCAGTTAAATGACTCATGCCTGCCTCCCAGTTCAGGCAATTGAAATTTGTGCCTCATCAAAATTACAAATTACTCCATCTTATGGACTTTCAGGGTCATTTAAGAACATTCAAAATGATGAATGTTAAATCCACAACTGCCAGGGGCTTATTGTATCATGCATGTCAGCATGACACTCAATTGTTACTTTTAGTGACAATCAAAATAACTTTCATTTAAATTATCTGCCACAACCCTTTACAGTATTTCAGATTTCTGACTAATCTATGTTTCATTTAGCCTTTTGAGTTCCATTTGTTCAAAGTCAATGTAAGGTAAAGCCTAGATGTTATCACAGCTCCTCCAAGAAATTGGAGAAATATCGTTAGAGATGACAATATTCACAAAGCACTGGGGAAAGGTTGAGGTATGTCCCCTTGAAATTTTCCAAAAAAAGAAAAAAACTTATAATGGTAGGAAATATTATTGAACTTTTAAAGTGTATAAAATCATCGATTTAAATTGTGAAATATAAGTCACAGTTCTATTGATTTCGTTACTGGATGAAAAATCACAAATTTCCCATCAATGTAGAGAATGAAAACAAAGAAAGCTATGATCACGTTGGGGTGCCTCTACCACTGATATCATACCTACCTGACTTACGTCATGTTTGCTTTCCTGAAAGGACTTATGTGTTCATATTATCATGTGTTGACTTTAGAATTGCTTGCAACACAGATTTAAAAAATGTGAATCCAATTCTCTCAGTCTATGACTGACTTCTATTTTCGGTAAAAGCAATCATGTAAAGATATGTCCAAATAAAAGCCTTTCATTCCATATCCTTGGAGAACAATTCCTCAGAGACTACCTCTTCGACAGCCCTGTCTATAGTTCCTCCTCCATCTGCATTCTCCCTTCTCTCCTACCACTACCATTTCCTTTATGTGGTTCTGAATTTGTAGGATGGGTCCAAAAGGAGTTCCAAGTATTTCAGGGCTGGGAAAACCAACCAAGTTTCATGCTTCAGAACCAACGACAATGACTCGTGGGCCTTCACCAAAGCCCAATATTTCACTTGCTGCATCTACACTCAGTACCTTTTATCCTGAGACTCAACAACATCCCCAGAGTAGGTGGCAAAAAGACTACACACTTCCTGGTTATAAGGCCCAAGATGGAAAGGATGTCATTTACTTGCCTGAGTTGCTTCATCTGCTACCATAACTGAGATGGGGCTGCTCTGCTCTCCATGTTTGGTTGGATAGTGGGTTGAGATGATCTGGAATACTAGGATTAGCAGGTGAAATAGTTTGGTTAAAACAGCAGAAATGCCTCTGGGACAGAAACACCAACACTAGCCCTGAACACAGGTCAGATCCTAGCAAGATTCTCTTGGGTGGAAGCTATACCAATATAGCAATTTACTTGTTGTCTATAAGAGTTAACATAAGCTGCCTCCAGGGTGCTCAAAGTGCTCAACAGAGTGGCCTGGGCTTTGGGGAATTGGAGAGTTCCCCTCTTCATGTGTTCCTATGTATATATCATTTGCTATAAAAGTCAGAGATCAAGCAGGTCACTTTTACATGAATTAGTTCATGTGCCTGATTCCTAAATTCCACACATCCTTCTTTTTTTTTTTTTTTTTTTTTTTTGCCCTAAGAGAAGCTCAGAGAAATAAAGAGGCTAACCCTGAGTGCCAGGGAGTTGAAAGATTGTAAGTCTCATGTATCCTGGTTTCCTGGGCCAGAAAAATAAGCACAGTCTTGCAGACAGAATATCTTTAGCCTTCAGAAAAATGTTCCTAGCAGGCAAATATGTGACTGTCCTCCTCTATATAAATCAGTATCTACATCATGTCCCAATCATGGGCATTTTGATCTGTTGGTGCCCCAACTTACTTTCAGAGAATGCATTTCACAAAAAAATTCCATCAAATCTATCAGTGAACTATAGGCAAGGAGGACTAATTAATGACCACCTGAATATACCTTTGGTTTTCTTTTTTAATTTCTTTGAACATCAGGGTTATGAGCATGGATTCATTTGCATTACTGGCTTAACTAATTTATCTGATTTTAAGGTCTACCATTACAGAAAATTAGTTCAGAATTGTTCCTGGTTTCAAGTTCCATTTTTCTCTGGAAATAACAAATCACAGAAGAGTTTACACAAGTTAAACAAATGTAACCAAATATACTCGTACTTCCTGAAACTGTGAATGATCTGGTGATACTGAGGAAGCAATTACAATCTTAATTGGCATCAAATTATAGGAAATTAGTTTCATGGTAAATATTCATTCTCTCTGTTATCCAATCTATTATTTGCATTAGAGATATGACATTTAGGCTGCTAGAAGGAACCCAATTTTATTTGTTTTTATAAAGCATTTTAATTGAGGATTAAAGAACAATCCTTAGTGAGGATTGCAGAAGGAGAGTTTTTGTTTTGTTCGGATAACACCAAAACAAATGCCAACCATCATCTATCTTGAATGTTAAAGTCCTCTGAATAAAAATTAGTCTTAGTTGTTCAAGCACCATTTGAGTTAGATTTAAAAGACAACCACAAGAAGAAGCAGGCCTAGTGAAAAATTTGGTAAAGTCTATAAGGGGAGTGTTTGGTTATCTTTTGCTGCATAACTAAGCCCCAAAATTTAGTCACCGAAATTATTATCAATTATTGTTATCTCTCATGGTTCTTTGGGTTGACTGGGCTCAGCTGTGTGGTTTTAACTTGGAATTTCTTGTGAGTTTTCAGCTGGGGCTGGAGTTATCTGAACTGACTGAGTTGGAAATCTAAGATGGATTCTTTATTCTCACGGCTGATGCCTCAGTTGAGATGGCTGGAGCAGCTGGTTGCTGGCTGGGCATCTCTCTCTCTCTCTCCACATGGCTAGCTTGGGTTTTCTCACAGCATGGAGGTTTCAAGACAGTTTGATTTTTACAAGGGGGTTGATACCTCCTAGAGCAAGCATTCCACAAGAGCCAGGCAGAGGTTGGAAGACACCTGTGATCCGGCCCTGGAGTCCAGGCAGCATCAGTCTGCTGTATTCTACCAGTCACAGCAGTCACAGGCTAGCACAGATTCAATAGGGTGAAGAAACATACTCCACCTCCAGATGGAGGAACAGTGTGTATAGAAGGAGGGGAGAAATTGATGGTGGTCATCTTGAGGACAAACTACCACAAGGAGAATAAACAATATTTATACTTATAATGTGTCTATCAGATTACTTTGGAGGCTATTCCCACTTAGATTCTTCATATAGAAGATGTGGATATAGAAACATGCAGATGAATCAGTCAATGCCAAGTGTTGGGGGAAACTTCCATAGTCTGAAGGTTCCCACAGAGAGGATAGCACTTCCACTCCTCTCCCATGAGGGGAAAATAAAGGAAAAAACTTTCAACCTCTCACCATAAGCTCATTCAGTCCTCCCCTTGGGAAGAGAAATGACTTACCTGAGGAATGTGCTTGGAAGTAGTTGTGCTGGTGAAACTCAGCCTCTGTGGCTTTCTCTCTCTTTCAGAGTTAGCTCTTGTCAGGATGCAAATTTATTTCTCCCTTTGGAGGACGCCTCAGTCCAGCTCAGCCAAGGACTGAAGGGCGCATCTGCCTAATTCAGGACTGGGGAATTGGGAAGTCCACTTGGCCCCCAGATCTATGACATGTTCTCGAGTCCTGAGACCTGCTAACTCTGGTGTCTAATTTCTCAGTTGGGTCATATCTTGGGGTTATTTGTGTTCCCCAGCTCTGGCAGTAAGATTCCCAAGCACTCATTCCTTCTTAACCAATTTCTAAAGGTAAAATTTTGGTTGAAGAGTACTCTTTTCTTCCTGCTACCATTAATTGGGTGTTTATTTTGTGTCAGGCACTGTTCAGTATTTTACATTTCTTAGCTGATTTGATCTTTACAGCAACTTTATATGACAGACATTGTTCCCCCATTTTTCAGGCTATAAATCTGAGGCCCAGTGCCCTACAATGGCCATGTGGTGACACAAGGCTTTGAGCACAGATGGTTGACTTCCAAAGCCTATGTTCTTAACCATTATGCCACTCTGTGTTGTGACAGCGCCAAACATACTTTCATTCATGTATATTTTTTAACTGATCATATTCTTGTGTGATTTCTTTCAGAAAGGCTTTTACATCAAATATTGATAACGATAATAATGATTAACACATGTGGAGCACTTACCATCTCTCAAGCACTGCTCTAGAGCTTTCCATGAAAGAATCCCTCTAATCTTCAGAACAATCCTGTGAGGTAGGTGCTACTATTACTCTGTTTTCACAAGTAAAGAAACTAAGCACAGCAGATCCAAAGTCATGCTGCAGGGTGCTGTGTAGAATGGCTCCCAGGACACTGGGAAAGCTCTTCTGCACCCCAGTATCTTCTCTATTGGTTCATTAATGTCTGATATTCCTGCACAAGAAAACACAGCATAGAGAGAAAGCTTAATATGTATATACACTGAGAGATAAGGCATTTACCTAACATCTCATTATAGGTATTAGAAATGCAGTCTCAAGAGCAGGTTCTCGTGGGGTGACAGGCAGGGTATTCTAGGGGAAGGAACACCCCAAGAAAGGTAGCATTACAAAGGAAGAGGAGAAAGAAAGAAGTAAATGAGGAGACACTGATTTTCTTCCATTGCAAATTTTCCCAAGGCTGGCCCCTTTCCTATTACATTCTTACCCAGTAACTCATACTTTCCCTAGAGCTCTTGCAAGCAAGAACTATTGAGAAAGTAGCCCATCTGAAAGTATATTTCCTGCTGTTTATCTGCTTCCAGAACTGGCTGAAGTTTACTTTTTGGTACTCCAGAGACCTAGCTTCTTCTTGCCTTCTTCCAATGTGGTCTATTTAATCTCCTGTCGTGTGGGAAATTATGTTCAAAATCTCCGTGATCCTCTGTCCATAGTAAGTTATGCATGTAGTGACAAGTACATGCCACAAGGTCTTGAGATTATATCTGCAATGTGTTGCTGCTGGCTGTTGATCAAGATAGGCTGGAAGAAAAACATTATTTTCAGGTGTGAAAAAGCGTCACCTTTATCAAATAATTCTTCTTGCATTTTTCCCAAGACGTTGTGGCCTATTTAAACTTGGGAGGTTAAGTTTGTAGCATTCATTATGACTGAAAATTTAGTTCACACAATCATGATGCTCTCTTTATTAGGTGTTACCGTTAAACAATATTAAAATAAACACAATGTGGCTGGTCTTTTGTAAGCTACATGGCATGTTTACTTCTTTGCCTGGCTTCTTAATTGCATTTATTCATCTTTCCGAATACCAGTGTCACTGTCACCCACAATATTTGCTGTTTTGAGTATGTGGTTTACATTTTATTTTGCCCAATGATAGAATATGATGGGGACATCTTATCTGAGTGTTTTGCAGTATGCTGTAGTTTGAATTCTTGGCTGTTGGTTTCCCAGAGTCCCAGCTCCTGCCACTGTATTCTGCTTTTGTAAATGGAGAATAATGGCACTAAAAGAATTTCGCCTAAGAATCTCATGACCGTGGAGAAGAAGGACCATGGAAATGCTAAAGCATACCACTCGGCTTCTGTAAATCATGCAGAGGATCATGAAAATGATTGAAAGTAACGTATCCCAAACAAAGAAGCCAGCTGTACCATTAAAGACCTGTGTCTGGCTGTTAAAAAAAAACACACACACACACAATGGAAAGAATAACCTTGCTATACATCTTGTTCAAAACACTGCAGCAGATTGAGTCATCTAGACCCAGTTTCAGAAGAAATGTTAAATACTGATAGGGGCATATTCAAGACCTTTAAGATTTTTTGGGGGAGGAGGGGGGAACATAAAAAAGCAATAATAAAGATAAATTTGAATGCAGGAAAAATACACATAATCCATGAACTCAACACCTGTTTTTGCATGTTTATCATCTTTGTCCCTATGTAGATCTATGTTTTCTTTCATAGTTGGAGTCACAGAATATATACTATTCTCTAAGCTTTTATTCTTTAACATTATAGAAGAATGTTGTTCCATGTTACCACATAGCCAACTGTTTCAAAACTTGTTTAATAAATTCTGTGTTGTTGTTTTCACAGGAAGAAACAAGCACATATATATTACTTGTTGTTTGTTTTCTTCTGTTGAATCATACTCTTGGAATAAATTGTTTTCAGTGAGGTTATTGGTTCCAAAAAGTATAGACATTTTGGCTATCTTTAGTTAGTTGTATTGCTTTCCAAAGAAGTGATAGAAATTATACTTGCCACCCCAACAGTGAAAGTGTAGTAGTTTAATTTCAATGTAACAGAGGATGCTACTGTTGCTATTATATCTTCTATTACACTGAAAATCTTTAAAATTTAAAGCAAGCTGGATTGTCTTTCAGGAGCTGCTGCCAAATCAACACCTCGATATGTTTGTTCTTGGAGAGAAATGAGCTAAGGAGGAAGACCGTCTAAAAATACCACTGGACAATTTGTACTCACTGGAGTGGTCTCTATGGGGCAAAAGGTTTTTAGAGTGGCTCGTGGATTTTCTGGCAAGTGGCAAACCATACAAGAGCTACGTCAGGCCAGGAAGACAGGTACAGCCCTGTCGGTGTCAAAGAAGAACACCGGTAGCAGAAGAGCTAAGAGTGAATGAAAATGGAATTATCTTTACTTCTAGGACTTGTCTATTGAGAAACAGCAGCGCTGGCAACCATTTACTACCAACAAGAGGCAGTTGCAAGAGAAGAATATAAAATATGCTCTGCTCAACCCCACAAAACTCAGAGTGTCTCACAATGGCCAATTTATTATTTTTACCCTGTCCAGTGACATGGAAGGATGCATCAGGGAGCTGCTAGCCTCTGCGATGAATAACTTAAGTCAGGCTGCAACATGTGAAATAATTCAGCTGACCAGGATTTATAACACTAGCTAGATTTTTTGCTTTCTTTGGGGTTCATGAAGCATGGTGTTGTGAGATACCACAGGAGTCCCGGAGTAAAGTTACATACCTATTGCTCTTCCTTATTTTTATTTTTTGGTATTTTCATATTATTTTATTGCCTAGTCCAAATGTCTTCCTAAGCAGGGTCCAGCCTCCTAGGGGACACGTCTCTTCTGACTTTGAAAATTAGAACCACAGACAGATAAGACTTCTAAATACTCTGTTTTTATACCCTCTTCTTCACATACCTAGTCCCAGGTGGTTTTGACTCCCTGATGCTGTGTTGATTGTGTTGGCCTTCAATTTATTTTGCTCAATTATTTATGTGCATCTGCCCAAATAAGAGGTGTGGCAATGCAGTGGCATGCTTACAATTCAGCCCATCTCACTCCCTGGTTCATATGTCAGTTTGCAGGATGGCTTGCTAGATTTGCAAAGGGGTGTGGGGGACAGTTTCCATCTGCTGCCATTGCAAAACACATCTTTCAGGGGCTACCTGGCAGGGCTGTTTTCTTTCCAGGTAAGGTTCAGGGACATTTCCATGCACTGAGTAGAGTCTGGATCTTTGTTTTCCAGGTGCCTCAGAAGACTAGGACATGGGGCAATTGCAAATCCTGGTCTTTGTACATTACATAGAACTTAGGGTAGGAAGGGACTTCAGAAGATCATCAGGTCAAATTTCCCACTTCCTTGGAATTCTCATTTTTTAGAGGACCAATGGTTGGCAACATCCCTTTTTTGTGTTGTCATTTGGAAATTGTGTTAAAAGCCATTCTTTCACAGTTGCTCTGTGGTCCTTCCAATTTTCACTTTAACTGGGAAATTTTAATGAGATCCTTCAAGCAATTAAAAGAGTAGAAAAAATACTCACAGAAGCAGAATTTGGAGGGTAGCTATGGCTTTTCTCTGTTGACAAACCCCCTTTTGACTTCTTGACATCACTGAATCAAGTCTTAGTGTCTTGAGAGGTTACTGCCTGAATACAGGTTAAATATGTTAATATTCACTGATTGGAGGAAAGTACCATGAGCAAATCTAATGCAGGATCCTGGAATGCTGAGGGCATTAGTGGCTCCATAAAATGTAAATGCATTCTTAATTATCTCAAGTCACTGCACGCCCAAGTAGCTCTTTTGTAAGAAAAACACAGCTTACTGATAATGAGCATGAAAATTACTAAGAGATTGGTGGAGTAAATCTCTTAAACCTCCTTTCTTTTCTTTTCTTTTTTTCTTCTCCAAATTTTGATGTGACTTCGCTAATTTGAGTATGTGTCTCTTTTTAGATTCTACAGATAACCTTAGGGCCCCACAAGGCATTTTGGGTGATTGAAATAATAGCAGTTTGTACCTTACGGGAACCTCTAAAGATGATGATGATTATTATTATTATCATGACTGATTTTATTGAATCTATGAGGCTTATGAGGTCTTAAGTTCAAGATCAGCCTGGCCAACATGGTGAAACCCTGTCTCTACTAAAAACACAAAAATTAGCTGGGCATGGTAGTGGGCCCCTGTAATCCCAGCTACTCAGGAGGCTGAGGCGGGAGAATCACTTGATCCTGGGAGGTGGAGGTTGCAGTGAGCTGAGATTGCACCAGCCTGGGTAATGGCCTGGGCAACAGACAAAAAAAAAAAAAAAAAAAAAAAAAAAAAGAAATTCAGGTTGTACCCACTAGTTGCAGAGTGATTTTATTTTTATTTATTTATTTTGAGATGGAGTCTTGCTCTGTCACCTAGGCTGGAGTGGAGTGGCAGGATCTCGGCTCACTGCAACCTCCACCTCCCGGGTTCAAGCAATTCTCCTGCCTCAGCCTCCTGAGTAGCTGGGATTACAGGAGCCCACCACCACACCCAGCTAATTTTTTGTATTTTTAGTGGAGATGGGGTTTCATCATGTTGTCCAGGCTGGTCTTGAATTCTTGACCTCAGGTGATCCACCCTCCTAGGCCTCCCAAAGTGCTGGGATTACAGGAATGAGCCACCAAGTCCTGCAGTGATGTTCTATTTAAATGTGTGTTTTATAGGTTGCCTCATTTTCTGGTCACAGGGTCCCCACAAAGCAAGCATTATTACTTATTATTGCCATTTTTCAACGGGAAAACAGAAATACAGGAGGACAAATGACTTTCCGTTGGTCATTCAGCCTGTAAGTGGGAATTGAGAGCAGGATCTCAGGTACTCTGACCTGCTCTGTGCTCTCTCTTTCACTTAGCTTTCCAGTTTCTTTAAGCCAAGTATTGGAAGTGATTTGAAAGCTGCATTCTCAGCCTATTGGAAAGTGGTTCACCAGAGGTGTTTCTTCACCACTCTCATTCTTTAATGTTACCTGACACCAAAGATCTCATGATGGGAAATACTGAATGTGGATTTGGCCTGTCTGCTGACACCATCCTGTCACGCATCACAAAATTACCCAAGCTCATCCTTCTGATTGGAAGCACTTGGGTGGTGGAAGGTGGGGCCTTTGTTGATATCCCTACTACCCTCCATGAACTAAGGTATGGCTGGCCAGTGATCCTCATTGACATTTGGGGATTCTGTGTAGAATTAAGAGCATCCATTGTGAGTGCTGAGACCTGAGACAATGCACCAAGTAGGGCAGAAGTGTGTTGCATCAGTACCTTGACAATACAGTCTATTCTCTTATGTTCAAGACGTGAGCCACCACTGCTATCACACTGACCCCAAGTGGCTGCGATTTCAGCAAGATGGGAATACCAGTCACCTACCTTCTTCTTGACTGTGTTCTGCTGGGCTTCCTGATAAAAGATGTTTATTCAGAGAGAAAGAGACAGGAGAGTGAGGTGGCACACAAACTGCTATCCCAGACTTTGCCCAGGTTTTAGAGTTAAGATCTTCTTTGAAGGCTCTGAAATCTGGGACAGTCCTTACCATGACTGAAACCTGGAGAGGAGATGTGGACAGAGGATCATTTTTGTGTTAAGTCCCTAGGTGGCCCTCTTCTCTTCTTCATAACAATTTGTGTTGTGCCTGGGCCCTTGTTAAGTCCTCTTTGCATTATCTCTGGCTGTGACTAGCACAACATGTGCTCTCCTTCCACTTTCAGCCTGGAAGATCCAACTTCTGAGCCCTGAATGACAGACCAGCTTCATAATGGGAAGCTGACACCAGGCTGGCTTCAAGGGCTATGACCTGTGCAGTTGCAGAAAGCCTTGATCTCAGAAGGGTTGTGCGCTTAGTTTACAATGCTCTGCTGTTGCATCTTGAAATTCTTAATTTTTTATCAAGGATCCCTATATTTTCATTTTGCGCTGGGTCCTACTAACTATGTAGCTCATCCTGCCAACATCATTGGCTTCCCTGAGTATGAGAGTTCAGAAGAAACTTAGATGCTATTGTCTGATTCAGTCATGGCAGCTTACAAAAAGGAATGTGGGGAGCAGTCACTGGGTGACTAGCCTGAGGTTACTCAGGAAGTTAGAGGCAGAGCTGCAATCAGGACCACTTCTCTTTACTGCTAGCTGTATGCTCTTTCTACTGCACCCTGGTCATAAAACATCTCCCAACCCAGGAACAAGTTCTACCTCGTAGGTGGGCACAGTAGCGTGATCACTCTCTCAGTCATCTGTACTCCTCCTTTGCTTTGACCAAAGAGATAGGAAGGGACCTTTTGCCCACATAAAACACCTCTCAAAGGCTTGGCAACAACAGATAATGGAGAGTGTTGGCCTAAGACCAATGTTTCAACCATGGTGTCAAACAATATTTTGTGTCAGTAAAGAAAAGCTATATCACAAGTGGATTATTACTAATAATCAGACTAGTGGTACTTGTGAATGATTTGGTTTCATACTCACACTAGGACAACTATGCACACTGAGTATAACTGACCTTATGAGAACATCATTCTCACTAAGATTATGATGTGCTTTCTTGTGTGGGAACTGTACATAATATTGAGTGTACCCTTGGGAGGATGTCCTGCCCTATGATATTGTCTGTTGTGGGAAGAAGAGTGGTTGAGAACTGAGGATATATTAAACATTTACTCATCCAGATTTTTCAAGATTTACGTTAAGCCAGATCAGAAGAAAGCCATCTATTTGAATTGCATCACTCTAACCCCTTAAGTTGAACTGTCTATACGGAATTATAATTTCACAGTATGTCCAGATTACTTACCTGGAGCCAATTTGGGGCACCAACAGGACTAGTAAAACATCTTTGCACTTTGGGTCACATTGCTATCAAAGACCTTGTACATCATGTCATTCAAGAACCTTTATATTAGGATTCTTATGGAAAATCCTTCCCAAAGTTTAACCCTATGATAAAGGGTTTTTTTCTCCTGGTAACATGGTGGACAATTGGGAACTGTTTAACCCAAGGCATTGATTTCATTGTTTTGGTTGCCAAGAAGTATGGATGATGCTCAGAATAGGTTTTCTTGCTTTCAACTGCTAATTCCTTTATTTCTTTGATTTTTCTTTTTAAGAAATTTAATGTATTTAATAATAAATCATAAATTATCAATAGACAAATTAGCATAGAATGGTTTGGAATAATGCTTAAAGATCTCCCATTGAAAAAGATCCCAGTACCGTAGGGTTCACAGCTGAGTGTTAACTGAACTTTAACAAATTCTGATTTCATTTAAAATGATCAAAGCCTAGAAAAAAAATTCCTGCAGATCATATGGGGCACCTAATAACAACAAAAAAAAAGAAACAAAGAGGGGTGACTTTCTCCAATTAATTTTATAGTGTAATATCAAAGCTTGATAGTTAATATATTTCATCTAATGTAGGATGTCAATGTTTAGAAATCAGACATTATTTCATGTACCATTATAGATATACTGCCAATTAAACTGTGACTTCCTTAACAAAAGCAAAAAAGGGAATTTTAAAGATATTAAGAACATGCAAAGAAGAATATAAGCGCTAGACTCCCAACCCCCTCAATTAACTTGTTAATATTTTATTGTATTGGTTTTCAGTAATTATTTTTAATAAAATAAAGCATTATTAGCTAATGTTCCACTCCTGCCACCCCAATCTCATTCTCCTTCTAGGTCCCCAGGGACAATTGCTAAAATGAATTTGTTGTATATTTTAAAGTCAATTTTCTATACTTTTGCACATAAATATGTGCATTCATAAAAAGCATTTTTGTGCTGAGAAGGTAGAATAAGGCCTTCGAAGTTGTTGATGTTCAGATTCCAGTTGGCAAAAGTCTTACACATGTAGCATTAAATATTTTCAGTATTAAATATGCACATTCCACATGTTCAGCAGTTCTGTAATATACATCCAAAGTCTGCTCTGAGAAATGCTTACAACCTTAGCATAAACTCCCACTCACCCCTTTTAGAGAATAAAACTTACCCCTATGTAATGATCAGTCTAATTACAAGGGTGTACTCTAAGAACTTTCATTCATGTATTCAGCAAGTCTTTATTGAGCACCTACACATTTCATGCCAAGGAGGTGACCTGTGTTCTCCCTACACAACAGAAGAAAGAGTGGTGGCATTGGCAAGAAAGTGCAGTGGAAAGGAGGAGCTGAATTTGTCAGGAAAAAGAATGATATTACTTTGAATTTATCAACCCTGATGTGACATCTTAATAAAAAGTGCCATAGCCAAACCACGTTGCAAATTCTCAAAGGACAGTACCAGAGTTGAATAAAAACTAAGTGTCCCAAATAGGAAATGGTATAGAAAGGCCTGAGGCTGGGGTATGGAGCCACACGGGGTGCAGAAAATGAGGGAAGAGAAGAGGGAACAACTGCTCGGGGTGGGCTTGCATTGATGGTGAGAGATGGGTTTAACATGCATGTATAAGGACAGACATGATCAGGTTTAAAGAAAAAGAATTTTTTTTTCCAGCAGTCCCACTATGGGGCATTTATCTACAGGAAAGGAAATCAGCATATTTAGGAGATACCTGCACCCTCATGTTTATAGCAGCACTATTTACAGTAGCCAAGATTAGACTCAACCTAAATGTCCAAAAACAGATAAATAGATTAAAAAGGTAGTATATATTCACAGTGGAGTACTATTTAGCCATAAAAATAATGAAATCCTGTCCTTGGCTGCAACATGGATGAACCTGGAAGACTATGTTAAGTGAAATAAGCTAGGCACAGAAAGATAAATACTGCATGTTCTCACTCATATGTGGGAGTTAAAAAAAAAAACCCGAGCTCATGGAAGTGGAGAGTAGAATTCTGGTTATTACAGGCCGGGGAGAGCAGCAGGGAGGAGGGGACAGAGAGAGGTTAGTTAACAAATACAAACTTACAGCTAGATAGGAGAAATGAGTTCTAGTGTCTACAGCACTGTAGGGTAAAGATGGTTAGCAGTAATTTAGTGTATATTTTGAAAAAGCTAAGAGAGAATATTTTGAATGTTTACAACATGAAGAAATGATAGTTTGATGTAATGGATATGTTAGTTACTCTGATTTGATCATTATATATATAGAAATACATATATTATATACATACATTGAGATGTCACTCTGTATCCTATAAATAGGTACAATTACATTTCAAGTAAAAATGAAAAAAGCAGTAAGACTGAAAAGATAGGTTTAGTATCAATTTATAGATGACTCTTGATTTAGGGAAAGGAGATAGGTAGGGGAGAGAGATTTATGTCTGAGTGCGAAGAGAAGTTTTTATTGTCTTTTGGTGAATATTGCCCAGTGAATTTCTTAGTTTAGGAGAATCACAAGGAGCTGGCAGTGTAGTGTGGGCAAGTAGCTGGAGTGACATCAGAGGTCAGCTCTGTGACTCCAGCACCAGATTATTCTTTTGTCAGGAGCTGAAGCTCACAGTCAGATGCCCATGGCAGGAGCATCAATGTATTGACACTACCACCACCATGGGTCCATCACCCTTCAAAACCATGATAGAAAGACCAAGACATGGATGTGCAGCTAATGTTCCTGAGACGCAATGTCTCTGAAGGGCAAGAGAGCTGGTGTGATATCCAAAATAAGCATGAATAAAACCACATTTGAAGTTGTTTTCATCGGTTGGAAAGCCTGAGAGGAATCAAGATGGCTCTCCAAAAGCTTTGTAACTTCAAACACTTCCCAGGATCCCCACTGCCATCTCTTAA
Organism: Homo sapiens; assembly: GCF_000001405.40. Taxonomy (NCBI): domain Eukaryota; kingdom Metazoa; phylum Chordata; class Mammalia; order Primates; family Hominidae; genus Homo; species Homo sapiens. The sequence goes on from NC_000001.11 coordinate 90,291,452, forward strand.
TGTTATTATCCAAGTTCTTTTTCCTGGACTAGCTGAGTTTATAAGCCATTTTTGAAAGTAACTGTAGCCATATAAAACCATAGTTATAGGAAAATGCAATCTGTTGATCTCTTCATGGTAGAGTCTATATATCATTTACACTTCACTTCTCTGTGGGTGGAAAAGCTTTTTTCATGGTTTATTTAGCGGGAAGTCATTTTGATCAGCAAGATGAGTAATACTTTACAGCTGTTTGCAATTACTGCCTCTGCTCTGCCAGGAGTTTTAACTATTACACAAACTGAAATATCAAATGAGTTGATGCAAGATGGGGAGAAAAGAAATACATATTTCATAGGTCCATTCATGTCACCAGAAATTATCCATCACTTTTTTTTTTTCAATTCTATGTCTCTAAATTCAAAGTTACATCTCAAGGTAATTTTGAATTACATAATTCCAAAGGATTTTTATCAATGAAGGGAAGTGCACCTGCTAACACTAGATTTCCTATTACCATTGGAAGGGCACCATTGCCTAAATTCCACATAGGTCTGAAGCCAGTTTGGCTAGAAGGAACACAGGCCTTGATCTGCATATTTGTTTCTTTCAAACGCCCATTGTGAAAGTACAATGATCAAAATATTTCAGTTCCCATGAGAATAAAGTGACAAACATTGTTTCCCTTCTCATCTAACATAAACTTGATTTAACAAGTCCACATCATGGGAAATTTAGGAGCCCTTTGTACACTGTCAATTAGATTGGCAAGTAACCGATTTATTCAGAGGAAGAGCTGGGCGTTAGTGAAGGACAGATCTAGGTTTAAATCCTGACTCTCTCACTTCCTTGCTGTGTGACTTTGGGCAAGTTGCTTATTGCATAAAATGTTAAAATGTGCATAATAATAGTACAATCTAGCTCACGCAGTTGTGAGAATTAAATGAGATAATTGATATAAAGTATTTAGTACAGCTGCCTAGCACAGATTAAAGTCTTCCATAAATGGTAGCAATGATCTTTCAAGAAATAATTCTTCATAATTTTAAGGAAAGGATCACGCTCATTATTTTCTTCCTTCCCAATCTTTCTAACATGGGCCCACATAAAATGTGTCCCCCTCTGTCAACATCCCTTCACACACACACACACACACATACACACACGCGCACGCACACACACACACTCTCTCTCTCTCTCACTCTCTTTCTCTCAGATGAGGAACCAAGCTCAGGGGGAGGTCTTGGGATTAGTTCTGATTGGTTCTGATTGGGTCACATGCCCATCACTGAACCAGTGGAATGCTGCATGCTAATTGGCTAGTTCTGGGTCAAATGCCCACCTCTGAGGACAGAGGAAGAATCAGTTTGTTTAATTGATCCACGTGGATAGGCTAAGCTCAGGCAGAACTTCCAGCAAAACTTGAGTGCTGTTTTTAGAAAAAAATAGATGGAATAGATTTGAAATGAACAAAAACATTATATCTCCACTCAGGCATTTCTCTTTCCTGGGCAATTGACTGGAGGTTGCATGGGGTAAACTGATCCAGACTGCAATGATTTATTGAAAAATGCCATGCCTATTCAAATTGACAAAAATTTATAAAACTTGACTAGATCCAAAAGCCTCCACTCCAGTGAAAGGGTAATGCAATGTATTATTAATACATATTAATAATTAATACCTACTCTTAGGGATACCCTGCTCTTCACTTAGCAGAAGATGTTAGATGATAGGCGAGCAATTGATCAAAAGGTCAGAGGATCACAGGCATTTCTGTGATGTAGCAAGCACTGAGAATAGCTGTGAATATCCCAGGAATTTTCTGTAGGTATCAATAAAGCAAGATTTTGTTTCCTGAACACTGACCTGAGTTCTAGTTTGGTGAACTTTGTATTTTTTATTCACATTTAGCTTCCAGTATTTTCAAACAGGGGTTAATTCAAGGAGAAGACCCAAAGGATAAGGAGGGGAGACATCTTTTTTTTTTTAACCACATACTTTGTGATATGCATGTAATACAGATGTAGGGGTTTAAAGAATGCTGATAAATGTAACATTTTATTAATTTATGAAGCCTAGGGAAGAACATGTAAAGAGATCAGGATCTGATTTCAGATTTTACTTGCTCTTAAATAGATATCCCAGGGAAATTCAGATAAATTAAGACTCAAACGAAACCAACAAGAACATCATCAGATGACATGCCAGGCACTGTGCCCAGAGCCTTCTCAAGCAGGGTCTCCTTAAATCCTCCTGAGGATTCTTGGAGAAGGGCAATATTCTCCCCTTCCACAGATGAGGAAATTGAGGTCAGAAAGATCAAGATCACAAAAATACTCAATGGTGGAGCTGGTAAATGAATGAAAGTCTTCTAACGCCAACTCTATCCCTCTCTTTCCAGGATAAAATGTACCTTCAACTTAGCTGGTTCATCCAAATACTATAGATAGAATTTTGTTTTGTTTTTCAATTTCTAAAAGACACAACCATGGCTTTACTTAATTGGAACAAAAATTCTGAGAACTAAACATTCTCTTTCCCAGGAAGGCGGGCTGCAAAGGCACAGAGACTGTAGAATCTGGAAAATGTCAACTTCTCTGAGAATCAGGGTTAATGACCAAGGCTCACCACTCAGAACCAAGTATTTTGACTTCTGTGCAGTGCTCCAGGAGAACAAATTAGAAGTTAAGCTAGGGGGAACTGATAAACCAGTGGGCTTTGAGTCACAAGGACCTAGATTTGAAGATCGGTGTAAATAATTATAACTGGAATAACTTTGGATAATTTACCCAACCTCATTGAGCCTCATTTGTGAAATAAAAATAATTATTTCATTTTATTATTATTATTGTGAGAATTAACCATGGTAATACATATAAGGCATTTAGCACCAGGCCTGGCCCATGGTAAGTACATCATAAACGATAGAGATTTTATAGTGTTAAGATTATTAGTATTTCTTAAGATTGATTAGAAGTAAACCTCTTTTGTGGGAGGGGGGAAATGTATTAATTTGTTTCACAGGAACATGATATGCTAAGTTAGTGAATTTATGTGAGGCAGTGGGTGTGACAGACAACGCAATGAGTGGGAGACACGAGTGTGTTTGCCTTTTTGGGACCTCAGGAGTGAGGTGGGTCAAGGGCAAAGCTGATCCAAAAGGAAGCTGTGCCAGATACATGGAGTGGTGAAGGTAATGAAACTCCTTATGTCAATGAAATTACAACAAAGAATGCCTTTTGTAAATGCAGCAAACAAAAATTAAGGGTGGGAAAACACGTGGTTTTTAATGTCCAATTTAGGGGATGGTTAGGTCCAATTTAGGGGAGGATGTAAAGAAGAATTTAGTTTATGCAGCAGGTGAAGAATAGAATTACGGGAATAATAATCTTGAATTATTTAGATCAATTTACTGAGCCCATAATCTCAGGAATTTCTGACATTGTAGTAAAAGTAAATGAGGTGTCTGTAGATCCACATGGCTTAACCTGTGTGGCCACTGCTTGTGATCACCTCTGTATGAAAGAACGCTGATTTGAGGTGGCTCTAATGCATTAACCACATCAATTGCTTCCTGCTCCTTGTTGTCACCAAGGTGGGCCACACTCACCTAAAAATTAGGGCAGGCAGAAGGGGGAACCACTAAGCATTTGCATTAGTTTCCAGGTTCCCTTGTCAGTTTTAACCCCTGCAATAGTAATCTTTTGGCGAAGGAACACACAACCCTGCCATTGTGGGGGAGTAAGGATCCCAAGGGTTTGGGGAGAAGTTTTTCTGTCTTATCTGAGAATGGAGTCATGTTGCCTTTGGATCTCAAGACCTCAGGGAGATAGGGAGCTCCAAGTCCTGAGAAGGAGGAATGGTACCTGGTACCTTGAATATGAGGCACACACTAAAAGGTAAGAAGGAGAAATAGAAAGAAAGAATGAAAGAAAGAAAGGAAGGAAGGAAAGAAGGAAGGAAGAAAGAAAGAAAGAAAGAAGGAAAGAAAGAAAGAGCAAGTGAGAGAGAGAAAGGAAGGAAGGAAGGAAGTTGCTTGGCTTTAGACCTGAGTATTTCAGCTGTAGAAAGAGCAATTTTGCTGACTGGTGAGGTGGGGGTGGGGGAATGTATCTATTTCCTGATAATGTCTTCTGTGCTGAAAGTGCCCTGGATAGCAAGAAGGGGCACTGGGCCAGGAGAAACCACCAGAAAGAGGGCAACCCTCCAGTGCAAGAGGGTGAAGCAGCCTGTTCTTGAGTAGTGTGGACAGAACTGAAGGCATCTTTGTCATGGACTGTAGTGCTCCTTGTGGATGCTGAGGGACTCTGGAGCCCCGTGGGATTTTGCTTTACTGGGCTTCTTGCCCTGCTGCAAACACATCCTTTCATAGTTCTTTCTTGTGACTGCAGGAGATTGTGCTCCAGCATCAAAATGAGAAGCAAAAGATCATGGATCCAGGCCAGGGTTTCCCACTAATTAGCCATGCCCCGTCCCTAAGTCACTTGGCATCTAGGCCTCAGTTTCCTCATCTAGTAAATGAGAGTTAAATAAGATTATTTCATATATCAACTAAATCCCAAACAGGATTTTTCAATATCTTTTGTCCACTGTCTTCCCCCATCAATTCTTTCCAAAAAACATGCCCTTGTTGAGAAGTCTGAGACCTTGAACCCCAAATGCCTAGTGTGGTGAATGGCACACAGTAGGTGCTCAAGAAATACTTATAGAATGAATGTTTCTTTGGAAAGTCTCTGTTGAATGGATGCTGCTTTCTATTATTTCTTCCCAGAGAAAAGAGGCTAAAATCTATGGCAATATAAGAGGGGAAAATCATTCTAATAGTTGATGACACAGAATACATTAAAGCAATGCTCAGTCACCATACATTAAGTCTTTTTAACATGGCTTTTAAACAGCTTTTCTTATTAGCCAAATGAAATACAGTAATCCTTTAACTCTCCTGTGTCAGATTATCAGCTATTTCAAGTAAGTGTTAACATTTCTGTCACTGGCAAAAGTGAATTATGTTTTCCTTCCCAAGCTTGCATCAACATGCCCAACAAGCGGGCTGCACGCGCCTCTCTAATGGGACAGTGTGAGGTGCCACTGCGGTGATTATGAAGCAGCTCGACATCTGGAGGTGGGGGCATGTCAGCCCCACCCTGCAGCCTGAGCAGGGCCAGGCAACCTTTGCAAGATGAGTGAATGAATGAATTGGGATGTCATCCTGGGTGAATAACATAACTCCTATAACTGCTCTGGTTTTGTTCTATAAATAGCCTGAACAGAAAATTCTAGATGCTGTTATTCCTTGTGAATTTCTGTGTCAGGGTTGATGACAATACAGAGGATACCAGCTACTTTATGGTCAAACACCCATTCTTTAGAAATCTGGAAAATCTGTCCACCAGGAAAATTCAGTTGGGTGATACAAAGTTCTTATTTTGCAAACCAGTTGATCATGGTGTATCAGAGAAAGATCATATTTAAGAGACAAACTGCAATAGAAATTCAAATTTCTTACCAGGTGAATGTGATCAGGCCCTGGAGCCCATTTCTTGTTGCCTCTTCCACCTCCTCTTGGCTGTTCAGCGAGCCATGTTGCTGCACCACATCATGTCTTTTCACCGCCCTTCCTGCTGATGGGAACAACTACCCATCTTGTCTACCTGGAGAAACCTCACCCATCCACCAGAATGATGCTTTTCTTTTTTCCCTAGTGTTTTGCACCTACCTCTATTGGCACTTCTACATCTCATTCTAATTATATGTATATAATCTTGTCTCTTCCATTGAATGATGAATTTCTTGAGGTCAGAAACTATATTTTATTTTGAATTTCAAATGCTCTGGCATATATTAGAAGCCAAATAAATGATTGTTGAGATCAATAACTACTACTTAGAGTATCTCAGTTATTCACACTGAAACACTGGAAAGTAAATATTATTACTTTCATTTTAAAGACAGAATATAGGATCACAGATTTTTAGATAACTTGCCCAAAGTAATAAACTAGCGATAGAATATCTTAGATTGAAAATCAAGTGTGCAATGCCCATTTTAAATTAAATATAAGAACATTTAACATGTGTGCAGAATCACTAAAACTTCACAGATTGTATTTGTTAGTTCATGCATACATATATATTTTGTTCTAACCAGAACAGTGGAAACCTAGCACTGAATTAGGTCAACTGTTTTATCTTCTTTCACTTCTTAATATGAGCACATTTTATTAGTGCTTTCTACCTTTGGCTTACTAATGAGTAAGGAAGGGCTGAAAGGAAAATAGGTTGTCCCATCTTTTCCTGTCCTTCCATGTCATTATTTCAGTGTAAGTGGCTGGCTAATACAGGGAAGTGAGAAAGGATCTGGAAAACTCCTGCGGTGAGAGAATTCACTTTTGAGGAAATGAAGACCTTAAGGGGGAAAATAGAATGAAGACAAAGGTCAGAAATATTCATATAAAATCTCCTATAAATATATTTCTAAAAGGAAAATTTAACTGCAGAAATAAACACCAAATATAGTCAGTTGGTGACTTTTCTCACACTAAATTAGTAATAATACATGTACATTTATTTCCCTTGCCATGTTTAGCTTAATTGAAACTTTTCAAGATAGCTCTCCTGAAAACTGGTGGTTGCCAATTTGTTGTACTCCAATATGCATGCTAATAAGCATGTTTAAAGGTAGAGATAAATATTAATTAAAGGTAATATGCATGCTAACAAGAATTTTTATGTGTCTTTCTCATCCTCCAACCAAATGTTTCATGCTTTTTTGATTTTATGGCTGGAGCTCCTCTTCTTTGATGCTCCTTCCAGTCTTTTCAGTGGAGTCAGAAGCAGAGACTTGACTGCCTGAGATGGGAAAGGCATTGGAGACCCTCAATTGTTCTCTGCCGAGGAAGTATTTAGTGCTCTTCTCTCCCGAAACGCCCCTGGAAATAGATTGCTTAGGTCTGCAAATGTTAACTTCTCGCCTAGGCTCCTGTTGCGGCTTTGCCCTCCTCAACACGTTGTGGCTCCCTCCTCAGAGAAAGGCACAGTTCTAAGGTTGGAATGATTTCCCTTCATCTTCCCTTATCTTTCCCAAGGCCACAGTGCAAAATCTTCTCCTTTTTTTGCCATCTGTTTTACCTCCCCTTTCTATTCCCAAACCCCAGTTTCTCTTTTTAAAATTACTCCCAACAGGACTAGCTTGCCATTCATATGTACTGGAAACAAGTTGCTAAAAAGGTTTATATAAGTAAATTTGTGTACAATTGAATTTTTCTTAAGGGAAATTTGCAATTACTCTATGTTACTTCTTTGTGTGGAAAGAGCATGGGTTTGGATTAGTTAGATTAAAATTCAAATTTTAGCTTTTCTCCCTTGGTAGCAAAATGACTGACCTTGGGAAGGTGTGCACAACCTCTCTGAGCCTTAAATTTCTCAACTCCCCTGAATGAAAATAATGATGTCTACCTTGCAAACACCAGGACATGCTGTTGAATTCAAAAGTCAGATAACAAAATGCATAAGAAGTAAGATGCCACTATGTAAACTTATATATGCGTGAGTGTAGAGGAAGAGATGGGTATGCAAGAATCGTCAACAAAATGCTGATGGTGGCTGGTTTTGGGAGACATTTGCTTTTTCCCTTTTTTCTTTCTGTAATGTTTGAATTTTGGGCTAATTACTGTATTAACAGGGAATGAGAAACATGTTTCAGTATTAAATAACAAAGTTGTTGTAACTTTAAAAAAGAAAAGAAAAGAAACACGCATTACCTGATATAAATAAGTAAAATGTATTAAATCTCTGCTAAACATATGTTGTTGTTCTATGTTCTTTATACCCATTGTTTGATTTACTCCTCACAGCAGGCTTGGAGTTACTCTTATCCTAGCATGATGCCTCATGCATAGTAGGTACATGGGAAATGCTGGTTTTCCTTCTTCTATGCTATATGATTAGTTGGGTTTCATTCTTATTATATTCATATCACTAGACACAGAAACAATAGATGATATGTTTTTAGTGCTTTTGGGTACTGAATATTCCATTAAACATGGGGAGAGTGATGAAAAGTTCCAGGCAAGTATTTCATATACAATTTAAGGGAAAGGGGCTTCTCTACCTTAATATACATCTCAACGCTGGTTTCTCTCTAAAAATTTAGTTAGCTCTCTATTTTTCTAGTGGCTGCTCTAGCCAATGGTGTAACAAGGACAAAATAGGAGATTTTCTTAAAACTGATGCACATTATCAATTGTTATCTTTTGACATATAAAAAGTAACTACGTTGTTTTCTTTTTAAAAGAAACATACAGTGGCAAATACTTAAAATGTGACCACATAGATTGGAAACACAAAAATTATCTACTTTCTCCTAAAATGTGTATTTTGCACCCTTCCTAGCATTAACTACCCAATTTCCAGACCCACAGATCAATAATTATTCATGGCTGAGACCCATCAGCGGTTAGTAAGTGCTCTGTGCAATTTTCAGGTCACTTTTGTAGTTTGAAATTTTCCATCTGTCACATGGAAATCCTTTTCTATACAGCATAAGTGAACACTTCTCAGCTGTGCTCCATAAGGGAGAGGCAATTCCATGAAGGGCAGGGAGAGATGGCAGACGAGAGTTTCAACCTTTACAGATGAGAATGTGTATTAATTCTTTAAAAAAAAATTTGAAAAAATATTTACAAAGAAAGAAAGTGTGTACAATGGCTCCCAACAGCTGAGGGCGGCTGAAGACTCCTGGATGACCTGGACAGATGTAATGGGAGGTAAGATTTCCATCCCTGCTGAAGGGCAGAGCAAATCTCAAATGCCAGTGCAACTTTTGCATTTCTCTGACATGCCTATTTCCAACAATCTAAGCACTGAATCGCTCTAAACTTAATGTGGCTGGCTTTAGAAGACAAGGCAGAGGGCCCAAGGGGAGATGTAGTAATTCTTATTGCCATTGAATTGTTCTGTATTGATTACACATAAAAGCTATTTGGCGGCTCTTCTCCTTTTTTGGCTCACACCCTTACTTCAGCCTCTCGCATCCTCAGATGGCCCAGTGGCAAACAAGACAGAAATCCTCTAGGTGTCTTAACTAAACTTCATGGGGATATCTGGATCCTCCATCAGGGCTGCCACTGAAAAGAGTCCTGACAGGGTGGAAGGATGAGCCAATGACCTCTACTGCGAAGATTTCTTCCAACTCGATGGCCTCTGATTTTTTGTTAGTTACATGTTAAACATGAAGATCCATCCTTTTATACTGTGGTCTCACTGATAAATGCTGAGGACATACATATTTAGAAAAAGCTTCTTCCAAAGTGCAAAAGAAGACCGGTCTATATGTCCTATGTCCACATGCACAGAAAGGAGTGCACACGCATACACACACACACACATACACACGCACTGCATTTATGATCTTGAAATTGGGTTTGAAAAAGATATGTTCACTTCCGTTTTGCATATTTGAAATCTGATCTAAAAATAAATTCTGAATGTGAGGGTTGGTATTATTGTTAGAAGCCAATAGACTGGATAAACGTCTTCTGTGGCAGGTCCCATATAGTTTTTCAGCTCAAACTGGGTATTTCCCATTAGCCTCTTTTTCTGTTGTCTCATGATGAGCTCAGTTCAATCTCAGGGGTGCAGTGGGTGGGTGGGGGTGAGGGTGGGTGGTGAGACTGAGAGAAGCCCACTCAGTTAGATTATAAAGTATGACAGTTAAAACAAAATTTAGGCATGACGTAAATACAGTGAAGCGCCTAATCTTAAGTGTCCGTCTTGATAAATTTTCACATACGTACATGCTCATGACCATGCCCAATTTAAGATATAGACTATTTCAAGGACCCTGGAAGGTTCCCTCGTCCTCCTTCTGCCTTAGTACCACTTCCCAGAAAGAGGCCACTATTCTGATTTCTGTCACCAGAGATTAGTTTGGCTTGTTGCTGAACTTCACAGAAGTAGAATCATACAGTATATACTCTTATTTTTCTGTTTTTTTCTCATTCGACATTTATGTCTATGAGATTTATCTATTTTACTGCATATGCGATATAATTTTTTAGAAAAGGTCTCTCTAAAATTAAATATTCAAATATGTATTTGCCTGTGGAATGGTCACATTGGGAGGCTTCACACTTAAGCCAAGGCTGTGGCAATGATCTGGAAGGTCTGGAAACCCACTTCAGAATCTTTGTGCAGCAGTAGGCAAGACAGTCAAGCACACATGTCAGAGTGTTTTGGAGTCACACTTAATTTTTGACTCCAACCTAAACTGGATCATCCTTGCTATGGGTTGAATGTTTTTGTCCCCTCCAAAATTCATGTTGAAACTTAATTTCCAATTCAACAGTGTTGGGAGGTTTTATCTTTAGGTTGTGAATAAATCAGGAGGTTTCTGCCCTCATGAATTATACAAGGGCTTGAAATAGGGGTTTGAAAAATTATAAAAGGGCTCTTATAAAAGGGCTTGATGGAGGGAGTTTGCTCCTTTTTGCCCTTTTGTCCCCTCCACCATATCAGGAAATGGCATTCCTCTCCTCTGAAGGATGCAGCAACAGGGCACCATGTTGGAAGCAGAGGCTGTGCTCTTTCACCAGACGCTGAACCTGCTGAGACCTTGAACCTTCAGAACTGTGGGAAATAAATTTCTATGGTTTACAAATTACCTAGTCTGTATATTTTGTTATAGAAGCACAAACGGACTAACATATTCCTTTTTACTTCATTACACCTGTTTCCAAGTAACTTTTGCGGAATAAAATTTGCTCTCAAAATATAATAATACAAACATGCCACACGTGCTCTATGTGCATAATCTCACTTAATCCTCACAACAACCCTATTATTATCCCCAATATGAAAACACACAAACTGACAATAACTTGTCCAAGATGATACAGCCAGGAAATAGTGGAGCTGGGATCTTAACCCAAACTCATTCAGATTACAGAGCTGGTGGCTTCTATGGGCTTCTATGGGCTCTGAGGACACATCTCCAGAAATGTTCTGAGTGATGGCAACAGTTGGCCAAAATGAAAGAAGTGAATGGAGGCTAAAGGGATTACTCATTTTACATTATGGCTGTACCTACTAAGAGCCAAAACTTCATCATCATACTCTGTGTAAGAGTTGAGCATCAGCAGTGGGGCCCACAGTGGTGGGAGGGCAGGTTGGATAATGTAAGGATGCAGTGTGGAATGCTGAATAGGGCAGGGGATACTAGAACAAGGTGAAAGTACTGGCTCCAACTCTTACTCATTATTGTGATTTGGAGACAAGTATTTCACTTTCCTAAAGCCTTTGTTCCTTCATCTGCAAAATGGAAATTAATAATGACACCTATCTCACTGAATTTAGTCAGCATTCAATGATTCATGTGAAGCACTAGCACTATGCCTGGATATAGTCGGTTCTCAATAATGATTAACTCAGAAACTCTCTTACATTTAATGTGAGCATATGCCCCATCTTGAGTAGAACACTTAGAACAGAACTTTATCAAAGTAACGTAACACGAAGGGAGAGGGTTAAACTAGTTTGGTGGGAATGTTTATGAAAATCAGAAGAGAATTGCATTGGTGGGCCAATATTGGCCACTCATTTAATCAATTCATTTACTTCCCACAGCCAAAACATGGCCATTAAAAGGGTTTACTTGGATGTTTCCCTCTTTCTATATTGATCCCTTTTCAGTGAAAATATTGATGAATTTGTATAGATCGGGACCTTAAAGTTACTTAATTATTGATTGAAAACAGTTGCTCAGGCTGAGCAGGTGGGTTTTTACTTTGTTTAACAACTAGAAGAAACAAGCACGGTTTCTGTGGGATAAAGCTGGCACCGAAGTCCCGCCTGAGTGGGCTAACTCAGCTCTAAGCCTCAGCTGTGAGAGCTGCAACATCAATGTCCCCAGATGTTTGTCTATATGCTTTCTTGTTTATTAACAACTGGGAGTAAATTAGACAAAGCAGTGCCACCTATAGTGATTGGTCCCAACTCTGGGCTAGGCAGAACCATGAATATGGATTTGAAGTTACTTTTGAGCATGTTTAATGAGCTATTGCTCACTTCTATCAGTGCAGAAGCAATCCAGCAAACACCTACCAGCGCCTGAGGTGGCCTGGAGGACCTAAAGATCAAGAAAATATGTCAACTACACTGCCCTCTAAAAGTTGAAAGAATAGGAATACGAAGTGAGCTTTTAAGTCATCGTAATAAAGAGTAGGAAGAGGTTAAATTATTGCTAAAGTATTGTGAATGTTCAGAGAAGGAATTTTTTTTTTTTTTTCTGAAATGGAGTCTTGCTCTGTCACCTAGGCTGGAGTGCAGTGGCTCAATCTCAGTTCACTGCAACCTCCGCCTCCTGGGTTCAAGCAATTATCCTGCCTCGGCTTCCCAAGTAGCTGGAACTATAGGCATGTGCCACCACGCCCAGCTAATTTTTGTATTTTTAGTAGAGATGAGGTTTCACCATGTTGGCCAGGCTGGTCTCAAACTCCCAACCTCGGGAACACATATAATTTGGCTGTGAGAGGCAGAAACCCCAAAATAATGGCTTAAGCAGGAGAAGTATTTATTTTCTCCTGGGTAAACAAAGTCAAGAAGTAAACAGTCCAGGCCTGGACTTGTCTGTGACTCTTCCTATCAAGTTACTCCACCATCTTTGACACAGGGCTTTCTTCTCATGGTCTCACATGTCTGCTTAAGGCTTTCGCCATCATGACTGCATTCTAGAGTTGAAGAAGGGTAAAGGGAAGAAAATTTTCTGCTTTGATCTCTCAGAGTCCTGCCTGTTCAATGCAATGCTTCAAATTCTATGAATCTGTTCATTCCACGTTGGTTTACCTTCAGCCTCTCTGCCCCTGCAACATCATGAGGTCAGAGAATTTGTATGTTTCATTCAACATGTGAAAACATAGTAAGTGTACAATAAATATTTGTTACATGAATGAAATAATTCCACAAGTAATAGTCGTTAAAATGGAACTCAATTTTGACAATCAAAGGATCTGGGTGATGGCAAAGATGGGTAGGGGGACATTTGAGTCTTTTTATGTTGACTTCAGTGGGAGGTCCCATTAAGGAGACAGAGAGAGCCAAGAAGAGTGTGGAAGCTGCACTAGAGAAACTTCTTGTCCCCATTTGGAGCATGCGAGTGAGAACAGGCTGGTTAGACATCACTACAATCCATATAGGTGTTGCCAATAGTAAAATAACTTGTTTTAATACCACATCACATCCTCTGTTATTTTCAGAGCTTGACCAGGCTTAAATAATTGGAGATCTTTGAGAGCATTACAGGTTTTCTTGAGCTTCCCAGGTAAAGATCGCTTTACATTCCATCATTAATGTGTGTGGCTGGAGGACTTCCAGACTGAGAGAGAAAAAGAAGAGGAGCACAATGTAGACAATCTTTAAAACTTTCAAGTATTACAAAGTACTACATGCCCACTGTTTGGATAGCAGTGGAATCAAAAGAGGACAAATATACTTTAGCCGCAGTTCTTATAGTATGATTTTTTTTTAATGTGAAGACTGATATACAGCACCATTTGGCATGAGCAACAAAAGCTTTCCCTCTTAATCTTTTGTTTCAGGTCCCAGAGGTTATTAATAATGATCACTTATTAGTCTAATGCATCATGCTCTCTTCCCGTCATTGAATTTTTAACAGCTTTATTGACTTATAATTGATATATAATAAATTGCACATAAAGTTCATAATTTGATGAGTTTTGACCTATGTATACATCTGTGAAATCATCACCAGAATGACATAATGAACATATCACTCCAAATGTTTCCTTGTGCGCCTTTGTATTTTCTCTCTCCTGCTCCTCCTCCACCCACCTCTTGTCCCCAGGCAACCACTGACCTCTTTTCTGTCACTGAACATCTGTTTGTGTTTTACAGAATTTAAATACGTGGGTTCATACAGGATGTATATTTCTTTGTCTGGCTTCTTTCAGTTAGTATAATTACCTAGAGATTCATACATGTTGTGTATATCACTAGTTCATTCCTTTTTATTGCTGGGTAGTATTCTATTATATGCATATAATATCTTCTGTTTATCTCTTCACTTGTTGACGGACATTTAGGATGTATCTGATTTTTTGGCTATTGCAAACAAGGCTGCTATGTACATTTGTATACAAGTTTTTGTGTGAACATATGATTTTACATTTCTCTTGGGTGCATATCTAGAAGTGGGATGGGTAGATCATTGTATATGTGTGTATGCATGTTTTCAAGAAACTGCCAAGCTGTTTTCCAAAATGGTTGTACTATTTTATATTCTCACTAGCAATGTGGCAATGTAAAATCTCCATATCTCTCACCAGCACTTGGTATGGTTGGTCTTTTTATTTTCCAGCATTCTAAGAGATATGTAGTAGCACTTCCCTAGTGATTAAGGATATCAAGCATTTTTTCATGTGCTCATTTGCCAACAATAAATCTTTGAATGGAAGTTATCTGTTCAAACCTTTGACCTATTTAGTTGTTTCCTTACTATTCAATTTTAAAGAGTTATTTATATATTCTGGATATAAGTATTTTACCAAACATATAATTTGCAGATATTTTCTCCCAGTCTAAGGCTTGTTTTTTTATTCTCCTAACAGAGTCTTTGAAGAGCAGAAGCTTGCAATTTTAACTTTCTATTTATCAATTTGTTCTTTTACACAGCATGGTTTTGGTGTTGTATTCTTTCCTTTGGGAACTTCAGTTGCATATGTATTAGGTAACTTGAAGCTGTCCCACAGCTTATTGATTTTTTAAACATTTAATTTTCTGTGTGTTTCATTTTGGATAGTTACTATTGTCATGTCTTCAAGTTTACTAATCTTTTAAAAAATAATTCTTTTGTTGTTAATTCTATCTTGAGTATTTTTCATCTCAGATATGGTGGTTTTCATCTCTTGTGGTTCAATTTTGGATATACATATATATATATATTCTCTGTAACTCTAGATAAGTTGTACTATTTCTTCCAGCTTGATGAACCTATGGAATACAGGTGATTTTGATGCACAGCCTAGCGAAGAATCACTCACTCTGCTGTAACTCATAGGTAATTTCAAGAGTACAATGACCAAAGTCATTACCTTTCAACTATAAGAAACAGAATAAAAGAGGAAAAAGGACACGTGAGGATTGAGGTCCTATTTCATGACGTAGGGTCTTTCTTGGTGTTAATATTCATCCTCTTTGTTGTTGTTTTACGTCTTCAACTACTAATTTCCATCCCTTGGATTTAGGTTGGGTCAGGAAAGTTAAAGACTGTTGAAATTAATAAGGTAGTGTAGAAAATGGAGAAAAAATACTGAAGCAAAGGGGGTCAGAAGGGATGGCATGAAGAGTAAGAGAATCTCAAAGAGTGAGGTTCAAACTTGAGATCTTTGAGAATCATCTGAAGAATCCATTAACTGTAAATGTCTATAGACCTCACACAGAGCTTTCTTAATAGAGAGCTGGAGTATGGCCCAGGAATCTGCATTTTTATGGACATGCCAAAAAATTCTGTCATGAGAGGCCCACAGCCCATCATGAAAACACTGTTTTTGACCTAACATTTTGCCAGGTTCCTTGGAAATCCTCATGAGAAAAAAGTTCGTGATGTAATCTAAGCCAACAATGAAGCTCTGGCACAATTTTCAGTTTGTACCTAGACAGCTTCTGACCCATCTGTGTTGAATAAAGAAATGAAAAACAAATGCTTGGATGAATGAATGAATTAATATAAATCTTCATTTCTGTGTTTATAAATTGATGTTCATTTATAATAATCATATTAATTATTGATATAAATATGATTAGTACTGCTATGGTTTGAATGTGTTCTCCAAAGATCATGTGTTGGAAAGTCAATCCCTAATGCAACAGTGTTGAGAGGTAGGACCTTTAAGAGGTGATTAGGTCATGAGGGCTTTGCCCCATGAAGGATTAATGTTGTTGCGGGAGTGGGTTCCTGATCAAAGGATGAATTCAGCTCCTTTCACTCTTTCCTGCTCTCTTGCCCTTCTGCCCTTGGCCATGGGATGATGTGACAAGGAGGCCCTTGCCAGATGCTGGCCCCTCGATATTGGACTTCCTAGTCTCCAGAACTGTGAGAAATACATTTCTTTTCTTATAAATTACCCAGTCTGTGGTATTCTGTTGTAGCAACACAAAATGGAGTAAGACAAATACCATAATTCTTTATGTTTGTTTTTTAAAAACACATTTACTTATGCCCAGTAATCTATTTATACTATAAAACAACTCAGCAAATCTTTTCCCGGATAGTGTAAATGCAAACTTCAGTCCAATGCCAGCAACATACTCATAGATTTGGGGTTAGGAATATAGAAAATATAGAAGCTTCCCTAGGTTTATGTGTGTTTTAACAAGAAAAAAAAATAACCAGTTAAAGACAAATTTAACACCTATGGTCAGTTGTAAACAGTTACTCCTTATGATATGTCTTTTTCCTCAAGCATTTCGTTTTGATGTGTAACAAATAATACACAAGTGACAGAATATAAATATGTTAAAGATGTTCAGCTTATATTGACCATGTTATGTATCACTGCAAGTAAAATTAGAGTAAGGAAACATTTCTTGGTTAAGATAGATTTTCCTTCTTTCCACAGCTTGAACTTGTCAATAAATTAATAATTAGTTTAGTACTGTAAAAACTCTTTTCTTATCAAATTTACCTTAAAAACAAACCATTCTGTCTTCTGACAGGTTGTTGGAGCCTGTCAGTAAATGGGAGCATGGATTTGAATTTTGTAAGTGGGTCTCATAAAAGGGTTGTAAATTAAGTCAGTGCTATATAAACAAAAGCAAAGGATTTTAGATGAACAAATGCTTACTTCTTTTTACCACAGAGACGCTGCTATTGTTTGAATGTGGTTTGTCCTTGCCAAAATTCACGTTGGAATTTGATTCCCAATGTGGCAGTGTTGGGAGGTGGGGTCTAGTGGGAGGTGTTTGAGTCATGGGGGCAGATCCTTCATGACTAGATTAATGTCCTTTTGGAATTACATTAGAAGTGAATTCTTGCTCCCACAGGGATGCATTTGCTTCTGCCAGAGCAGGTTGTTGAACAGACTCTGGCTTCCTCGGTTTCTCTCTCTCTTGCTTCCTGTCTCACCATGTGATCTCTTTGCACTTACTTGCTGGCACAGATCATTTATGCAAGCTTGATCCAAGAAAGAGAATCCCTGAGCTCATCCTTTTCTTTCATCACTTCATCCAGCAACACTAGGAGCAGCCAGCAAATGTCTTTATATTCTTTGGTTTTCCACAACTGTTCAAAAGTATCATGTATAGAGTCACAAATTTTTTTGTCTCTTATAAGAATTTGGAATATCAAATGCATTTATTTTGTGTATCTCTATAAACAGTTCACATCATGGGCTATCAGTGCTGTCTGTACTATTAGAAGTACAGTCCTTAGCATTTTTAGGTCTAATCAGATTAAACAGCCAATTCCAGGAAACCTAAAACCAATTATGAAAATTTAACCTTAAAATTCTGTTTCTCTAATGTCAAAATTTGCATTAGTCAGTGTTCTCCAGAGAGACAAAACCAACAGGATATATATCTATATTTATAGATATATATTTATAGATACATATAGTTATAGATATAGATATATGAGAGGAGAGCAATTGGGGAATTGGCTCTTGAGATTATGGAGGCTGAGAAGTCCCACAGCATGCCATCTGCAAGCTGGAAACCCCTGAGATGCTGGCAGTGGTTCAGTCCAAGTCAGAAGGCCTCAGAACCAGGGAAGCCAATGATGCAATTCTGAGTCTGAGGATGACAGCCTGAGAACTTGGGTTGGGGGCACTGGTGTAAGTCCTGGCATCCAGAAGCTGGCGACTCTCAAGTTCTGACATCCAAAGCATCAGAGGAAGAGTCTATCCCAGCTCTTCAAGAGAGATCAATTTGCCTTCTGTATTTGTTCTCTCTGGGCCCCTGGCCGATTAGATGGTTGCCCACCCCCACTGAGCGTGGATCTTCACCTAGCCCACTTAGACTCACATGCTCATCTCCTCTGGAAACACCCTCACAGACACATCCAAAATAGTGGTTTACCAGGTTTCTCTAGGTATTCCTTAATCCAGTCAACACCTAAAATTAAGCACCACAAAGAGTTTCTCAACCTCAGCACTATTAACATTTTGACATTTTGGACCAGATAATTTTTTGTTACAGTAAATGATCCTGCACATTGTAGGATGCTTAGCAGCATCTTTGGCCTCTATCCACTAAATGCCCCTTTCCCATGTATAACCGCCAAAAATGTCCTCCATACATTGGCAAATGTTCTCTAGGAACAAAACTGCCCATGCTGAAAGTGATTCCTTTAGGACTACATTGGGTAGGCACGTTCAGGTGATACTCTTTACTGCCTCCTCTCAACTGTGCCCTAAGTAAGTTGAGGGTCTGCACATTTTCTCATTTGTAACACAGAGCCAATACAATCTACATCAAAGAAATTAAGCTAGATTCTATCTAGCTTAATTATGCACATACCACACAAATATGCACATACCACACACATATCTGTATATATACGGAGAGAGAGCCTACCAAAGTTGGGTGAATGGGAAGCAAGGGCACCATGTGTGATATGCACGCACTCATACAGTGAGTGCACGGTAAGAACTGTGGTGAATCAAGAGCTTGCACCCCTCTAATGACTGTGTCTGCTGCTCTGTATTGTTGCCGTGTAAGAATCTGAGTTCAGTGTTGGTGAATATTCTAATTTTTCAGGAGAAGCCATGAGATCCTTGTGTGTATGCGTGTGAATGTGTGTATAATACATATAAAATATACACTTTAAAAGATAGGTTTATAGTTTGTTAAAGGACTGTGAGAGTAAAACCAAGAAAACCCACATCGGTGGGTTGTGTGTGGGCTGTAGGCCATCGTATTGTAGCCTCTGACTTCCACCAGGCATGTAACTGTTGCTCAATAAATGTTAGTTTTCTGCCGTATCTCTTGGACTCTGGAGGCGTGAGGTTACCTGCAGAGTTTGGAATCCACTAGCTTCCGCAGTTATCCCTGTGTTCCTTAAGGTGTCTAGGAAAACTAAACTCAATGTTCCTGCATTCTACTTGCATCACTATTACCTCTTTTCGTGTGAAGAAACGGTTTCTTTACTGAAGCTCTGTTAGTGTTTAATTGATCTTTAGATCACTCAATACGCATACCCTTTAGATACTGCCTAAGGAAAGATTAATTTTCAGCCCCAGGAAAGATTTAAAATAGGAAATTCTGGGCCATGCTAATGTAACTAAGGCTTTACCTTAGAAGTAGCAAAATCTGGAGAATTAAAAATGAACTTCATTTTGGCAAAAGGAGCACAATAGTGCTATTTCTAAATAGTAGAAATTTCTTAAACAAAAAGGTAGAAATACAAGTGTGTTGTATAAGAGTGAACAATACAAATATTGTTAAAGTAGAAAATTGGGGGGTGGTAGTTAAAGGGGTGTGGATAATACAAAAAAGAATTGGGACTCCACACTGCAAAAGGAAGGTTTATAGTCACACAGGTTTGACTGATACTGTTTAAAAATTTTTTTAATTTTCTTCCTTCTTCTTTCCTTCCTTCCTTCCTTCCTTCCTTCCTTCCTTCCTTCCTTCCTTCCTTCCTTCGTTTCTTTCATCTTTCTTTCTTTTTTTTTTTTCTAGAGATGCAGTCTTGCTGTGCTACTCAGGCTGGTCTTAAACTTGTGGCCTCAAGCAATCCCCTTGCCTCAGCCTCCCAAAGCTCTGGGGCCACAGGCATGAGCCACTATGGCTAGCACTGAGATTTTTCAAAAAGTGAGGAAGGTTAGGAAAACATTTTATGAGTGAGTAGCTAGTGCTGTACATCAGGGACGATACTAGGTGCTTTACTTACCTTAGCTCATAATGCTACTGCTCCCAACTAGTTGCAAGTTGGTGTTATTATTCCTGTGTTTCCAAAGGGAGTCAGAAAGGTTAAGCAATTTGTTGGTGGTCACGTAGCTAGCAGGTAGCAAAGCTCAGAGGGTTAAAGAACAAAAATATTCACATCAGAGCAAAACCTGCCCCTACAATAGGCCTAGAGGGGGATTCCCAACCTGGAAACAGCATAGAAATGCTCCCTCTTACCACCATGAAATAATAGGCAAAATGCTGTACTTATGAGTTCCATCACTGTTCTAGAAAAGGGATTGCAGTTTTCATCAGATTTCTAAAAAAAATTAAAAAGGAGAAGAAAAATAAGATTGAGAACCTCTACCCTAAAAATATGTTGAGTTCTAGTCCTAAAGACTGTCCTACAGTTCTCTACAGGTATAAGAAAACATACTGCAGATTTACTTGGAAATTCAAAGATAACTGTGCTCACTCACAAGTACTTTCCAAAGCTGAAATAATAACAACTTAATAGCAAATCAATCTTTCTTTATCCAGATATGTGAAGTAAGAGGCCACAGAGGCTGCACCCTAACTCAAAGCAAAATAGCACAGTGGAATTTCAGAGTGCTAAATGCCTTTCCTGAGTATCTGGCCCAATCACCTTATTTAACAAACGAGAAATGAGACCCAAAGTGTTGGGTCACTTCCCAGGGCCACTGAAACCTTAACCTAGGCTTCCTAACATGGGTGCAATGTTGTTTCCATGACTCCAGGCTGTGTTCTGGAGATGCTGAAGTAAGATAGATTTCAACTGCATTCATTCATGCTATGAGCCATCATGCCCCCACCATTTAAGGTGACTTGAGTTCCTTAGTCCCACGTATCCTGAAAAAAGTTTAAAGCACACCTACTCTGTGCCAAAATTCAAATTTTTAATTGAAATTTAGAACTCAGCTTCTTGGAAACTGGGTTGTTCTAAGTGGGTCACTACCCTACAACTACCTCAAAAGAAGCTTCGATGATCATTTATTAAGTACCTACTGAATGCAGAAACACAAAAGGATGGGAAGAAAGTTAAAAAAAAACAGACAAAACCTGCAAGTCATGGTCTCTGCACATATAGAATATAAAAGTAACCATGGAAAGAACTATATGTAGGAAGATATATTGTACAACTATGTATTTATGACCTAAACATAAAGAAGACAGGCAAAACACCTTATTAGGACTTCTTTACAAATCTATTCCAAGAAAGGAATTCCATGAAACTCTGTATGTTAAAGATCATCCATGAAGTCTGCTAAATCTGAAAATGATGAACTCTAAGAACAGCTTCTTGCATGTTCCAGGATGAGATTTAAAAATAATTTCTCCTTCCATCCCATTCTCTATACCCAGGATCTGGTAGGTGACTTTGACTTTGTTGCTAGCACAGGATTTGGAAACAAAATCCTATGTCACAATGAAACCGGAGGCTGCTTAGTTCTAAATATTGTCCACACTCAGCTTTTGCCTCCTCAGACTCTTCTACATGCTTTATTGGGGTCCAGGCCAGTCTCCTTCACTAGGCTGTAAACTCCCCTGAGGGCAGGGACTCTGCCTTCCCCACCTTGGTATCCCCAGCATCCTGAATGGTGTTCAGGACATTGGAAAGGCCCTACTCCTCTTTAGCAAACTGAACTGAATTGTAAATGCTGAGAGAACAAGCAGAGTAAGGAAGGAAAAAAATATTCAGAAGAGATAAGATTATTTTTCAAGTAGGAAAAGCAGGCTTAGAGAGATAAATGCCAGTTAAAAGTTACCTTGCATCAGAATTGATAAAATACCCAAGTATACAAAACTAAGTCTATACGCTGAGACTGCAGTGTTTCTGATCTACCTAGAAAACCACACACTAACCACACATTATTTAGGGTAAAAAGTCTTCTTTTGAGTTCTTAAATAGAAATTAACTATAAATATACAATTCTTGATGAGAAAGAGAATGAGACAAAATTATTGATGGAAACAGCATACTAGAATAATAATCAACTATGTGTCAATTTCAGCTGTTCCAATGACAGCTCAATCAATAAATCTGTCATGGCAGATAATTACTTGCTGTATCTTTAGTCCATAAAGTGATCAATAAAGTCAAATGTCCAGTTTAATATTTTACATTTAATGATTATACAATAACAAGCAGCAGAATATATGTTGAGGGAGATTAATGGAAGGATTAGACATGCTGCCAATATTTTTTTCCTTTTAATTAGTGAAACCCTAATGCAAAATTCAAAATATGCTGAGTTGAAGCCTTTCTTTCTTAGCGCTCTGCTAAGCAGCTGAAATTATGTTATTGATCTTCTAATTATCTAGCAATTCAAATGCTTCATGAAATGCTTCAAGAGTCTCTCCCATCCTCCTGGCTGGGAACTGGCTTGGTAAGCCCAAGTGACTATGTTTTTTCAGTACATTTATGTCCCTCAAACCCTGAGAGGAAAAGGACCCTCACAAAGGACACCCAGCTCAGCCGCACTGTTGACCAAATGGCAATGTTCCCAGGGAAACTGCAGGCTGACCGTTCTTGTGGTCAAGTTCCTCTGAGCTTTGCCAGCCCCTGCTCACTTGCTATGAACTTGACGTCACTAAAAATTCACCAGAAATCAATTTTGTCAGCTTCCATTATTTCATTGTTCATGAAGGAATAGCCCTGGCAGGTGTTGAATAATTCATGATGGCAGTGGTGTTGATCCTATTTTCTGGGTAAGAAAATTCTAAAATCCCAGAAGGCCTTGGTCTGTGAGTCAGTCCCCAGGCCCTGGAGTGCCTGCCTAGCCCATGCTCCTGGGTGGGGTAGGATTAAATGCCTGTGCCACTGGGAAACCCACCTTTCTCCCTGGTGCCATGTGAGCCACTTACCCATCAGTAGTGTCAAGGAGGAGGGTTGCCAGGTTTGAACTTAAAGTAACATATAGACTGGGAGAGCAATGAATGACACAGGAAGAGTCTTAATTGGCAAGATGTGAGCAGAATTGGATGAAGAATCTTTATGTGTCAGGAATAGGTGGAAAGAGAAAAAGAAAGAAATAAGAAAATATGTTATATTGGTATATATAATAGATGCATGTGTATATGTTAGACATAATGTTGGCTGCCAGGCAACCTAGAAGGGAAAAGCGGTAACTGCGGTAAAGAATTCACAAATCATGAATAGGCAGGCCATGGACTGTGAGCTCTTATCTCAAAGGCAGATTTCTCTGTTTTTGGGATAAAGGACATAGGCTGCAGTGCTCCCTCAGAGCCAGCCTTCCTCAGTTTTGTCTCAGTTGAAGCCAAATGCCAGGATGGAATGGCAGGGAGCGAGGCTGGCAGGCTGTGCAGAGGAACATGGGGTGGCAGCACGTGGTGAAGGTGCAGCAGTCCAGGCCAGGCCTCTGCTTTGGCTCTGCACCCTAGCTCCACCGGGCACCTGGGAGGCAGCGGGCACAATGGGGCTTCAGCTGTGCTCACAGGGGCTGCTGTGTGAACTACAGTGCCCGATATTTACTTGCAACGAACTCAGAAATGCTAACAAACCTAGACCACTCTGGTCTCCGCAGATTCTCCTCCCTGTGGACAGTGCAGCTGAGGGTCCAATGAACATCAGAAAGCTGCATGGTGAGCGTAGATGGAGAGCAAAGGAAGTGGGATGGTCTTGCAGGGCAATTCACTAAGACTCTGGAAAAGCCTGGCAACATATCCCAGTTTTAATCAAGTATATGCTAGTACATTTTTTCTTTTCTTCCATGTCTGGATAGCTCTGATTAAGCACTAATAAAGTCTGTGGTTGCCCCCACCCTTTTGCCTACTTTTTTCAAACTTTTTTTTTTAATTGTGGTAAAATACATGTAACATAAAGTTTACCATTGGTCTTAGTCAGTTCAGACTGCTGTAACAAGTACCATGGACTGGGTGGCTTATAAACAGAAATTGATTTCTCACAGTTTTAGGGGCCTTGCAAGTCCAAGCTCAGGATGCCAGCATGGTTCAGTTCTTCTTCCAGGTTGCAGACTGCCGACTTCTCATTGTACCCTCACATGGCAGAAAGAGAGTGAGAGAGCTCTCTAGGATCCCTTTTATAAGGGCACTAATCTCGTTCATGAGTGTGGAACCCTCATGACCAAATCACCTCCCAAAGACCCCATCTCCTAATACCCATCACACTGGGGGTTAGGATTTCAACAGGAATTTTGAGGGAACACCTGGATTGCTTTCACATTCTGGCTATTGTGAATATTGTTGCTATGAATGTGGGTGTACAAGATCCTGCTTTCAATTCTTTTGTGTATATACCCAGAAGTGGATTTGCTGAATCATACGCTAATTCTATTTTTAGTTTCTTGGGAGATGGCCATACTGTTTTCTACAGTAGCTGTACCATTTACATTCCCATCAATAGTGCACAAGGGCTCCAAATGCTGTGTGTGTATTTTTTTTTTTTTAACAGTAGCCATTCTAATGGATGTGAAGTGGTGTCTCATAGTTTTGTTTTGTATTTCCCTGATGACTAGTAATGTTGAGCTTATTGTCCATTTTACATATCTTCTTTGGAGAAATGTCTGTTCAGGTTCTTCACTCATCTTTGAATCAGGTTGCTTGCTTTTTGGCTGACGAGTTTCAGGAGTTCGCTATATATTCTGCATATTAGTCCCTTATCAGATATGTAATTTGCAAATATTTTCTCCCATTCTGTGAGTTGCCCTTTCACTATGTTGATAGTGTCTTTTGATGCATACAATTTTTAACTTTCCATGAAGTGTAATTTGTCTATTTTTTCTTTTGTTGCCTATCCGTTTGGTGTTGTATCCAAGAAATTATTGCCAAATCCAATCATATCCTCCTTTTTAACAATTAAACATTTTAATGTCACATAATTGTAGGTTCACACACAGTTATAAAAAATAGTAGAGAGGTTTATAATCCTTTGGGTATACACCCAGTAATGGGATTGTTGGGTCAAATGGTATTTCTGGTTCTAGATCCTTGAGGAATCGCCACACTGTCTTCCACAATGGTTGAACTAATTTACTCTCCCCCCAACAGTGTAAAAGCGTTCCTATTTCTCCACAGCCTTGCCAGCATCTGTTGTTTCCTGACTTTTTAATGATCGGCATTCTAACTGGCATGAAATGGTATCCCATTGTGGTTTTGATTTGCATTTCTCTAATAACCAGTGATGATTAGCTTTTTTTTGTATGTTTGTTGGCCACATAAATGTCTTCTTTTGAGAAGTGTCTGTTCATATCCTTCACCCACTTTTTGATGGGGTTGTTTTTTTCTTGTAAATTTGTTTAAGTTCCTTATAGATCGATTCTGGATATTAGCCCTTTGTCAGATGGGTAGATTGCAAAAATTTTCTCCCATTCTGTAGGTTGCCTGTTCACTCTGATGATAGTTTCTTTTGCCTTGCAGAACCTCTTTAGTTTAATCAGATAAATCACTCTACTATAAAGACACATGCACACGTATATTTATTGCAGCACTATTTAAATAGCAAAGACTTGGAACCAACCCAAATGCCCATCAATGATAGACTGGATAAAGAAAATGTGGCACATATACACCATGGAATACTATGCAGCCATAAAAAGAATGAGTTCGTGTCCTTTGCAGGGACATGGATGAAGCTGGAAGCCATGATTCTCAGCAAACTAACACAGGAACAGAAAACCAAACACTGCATGTTCTCATTCATAAGTGGGAGTTGAACAATGAGAACACATGGACATGGGGAGGGGAACATCACACACTGGGGCCTGTCTGGAGGTTGGGGGCTAGGGGAGGGAGAGCATTAGGACAAATACCTAATGCATGTAGGGCTTAAAACCAAGATGACAGATTGATAGATGAAGCAAACCACCATGGCAAATATATACCTATGTAAAAAATCTGCACATTCTGCACGTGTATCCCAGAACTTAAAGTAAAATAGAATAAAAAAATAGTAGAGGGATCCAGTGTTTTCCCCCAATGGCAACATCTTGCTAAACTGTAGTACAATACACAATCAGGATATCGGCATTGATACAGTAAAGATGCAGAGCGTTTCTACCAGCATGAGGTTCCCCACTGTTGCCCTTTTATAGCCACACCCAGTTTCCTCCTACACCTACCCCTCCTCAGTCCTTGGCAACCACTAATCCATTCTCCCTTTCTATTTTTGTCCTTTCAAGAAGATTATATAAAGTCAATCATACAGTATATAATTTTGGGGATTGGCTTTTGCCACTCAGCATAATTCTCTGAATATCAGTCCCAGTTATGGCATATATTATTAGTTGATTTTTTTATTGCTGAGTTTTGTTCCATGGTATGTCTGTGCTAGGTTCATTAACCATTCATCCGCTGAAGGAAATCTGAGTTGGTTCCAGTTTTTCGCTCTGATGATTATGAGCTGTTATACATATTAATGTACAGGTTTGTGTGAACATAAGTTTTTATTTCTCTGGGATAAATGCCAAGGAGTGTGATTGTTGCATCATATGATAACTGCATGTCTAGCATTTTAAAACATTGCCCGAAGCCTGTACTATTTTGCTTTCCTATTGGCAATGTATGATTAATCCAATATCTCCTCATACTTGCCAACATTTATAACCACCCAGATAGGTGTGCAGTAATACCTCATTGTGAATTTAATTTGTATTTCCCACCTGGCTAATGATATTTAACATCATTTCACGTGCTTATTTGCCATATATATATCAGCTTCAGTGAAATATCTGTGCATGTCTTTTGTCCATTTTCTATTTGAATTTATTTATTTATTTATTTTTACTTTTGATTTCCAGAGTGCCTTCTACAGTATATGCTAGGTACTAGTCCTTTGTTGGATATGTGGTTTGCAAATATCTTCTTCCAATGTATAGCTTGTCTTTTCATCCACTTAACAGGATCTTCCACCGAGCAAACATTTTTAATATCAATGAAGTTAAATTTATCATTTCCTTTTAAGAATCACACTTTTGGTATTAAGTCTAAGAACTCTTTGCCTAGCCCTAGTTTCTGAAAATATTCTATTTTTTCTAAGAGTTTTATAGTTTAAAATTTTACATTTAAGTCAATAATCCATGTTAGTTGATTTTTGTGTAAAGTCCGAGACTCAGTTTGAGGCGTTTTTTTTTTTTTTTGCTTATGGACGTCTAATTGATCCAGTACCATTTTTTGAAAAGACAATCTTCTTTCTCTATTGAATTCTTTTTGCATAGTTCTCAAATATCAGTGGACATATTTTTGTGGATGAGTCTACTTTAAGTCTTCTGTTCTGTCTCATGAGTCTGTGTCTGTCTCTCTGCCAGAACCATAAAACTGATTACTGTAGCTCTACAATGAGTCTTGGAATCGAGTATGGATGATTGCTCCCACTTTATTTTTTTAAAAAATAGTTTTGCGTATTCAAGGTTTTTTTTTTTTTGCCTTTAAACATAAATTTTAGAATAATCTTGTCTGTGACTAGAAAAACTCTTGCTGGTATTTTTATAAAAATTCAGTTAAACTTGTATATCATTTTGGGGAAAATTGATATCTTTACCATGTTGAGTCTTTTAACTCATGAAGAAAAGCATATCTCCATGTATTTTAATCTCCTTTGATTTCTTCAATGAGCATTTTGTAGTTTTTTTGCATACAAATACCGTGCATGTTAAATTTGCATCTAAGTATTTCAATTTTTTTGAGTGAACATAAATGGTATTGTACTTTTAATCTTGTACACACGGTCTTTGCTAGTATATAGGAGTGCAATTGACTTTTGTATGCTTATTTTGTGGCCTGCAGTTTTGCTGAACTTATCAGTCCTAGGAGTTTTCTTTTTTGATAGATTCTTTGGGATTTTTTAGGAAGACACCGTGCCATCTGCAAATATGAACAGTTTTATTTCTTCCTTTCTGACACATATGCCTACGATTTCTTTTTTTTCACTTATTGCACTTTAGACTTATTGCACTTTCCACCAATATTTTAAACAAAAGCAGTGAGATGAACATTCTTGTTCTTGATCATAGAGGGAAAGCATGCAGCCTTTCACCATTGAGTATAATGTTAGCTCTAAAGTTTTTATAGATTCTTCTTTGCAAGTTGAGGAAGTTTCTATCTATTCCTATTTTTCTGAGAGTTTTTATTATGAAAGGGTGTGGAATTTTGTCAAATGCTTTTTCTGTACCAGTTGATATCATCATGTTATTTTTTTCTCTAGACTGTTAATATACTAGTTTACATTGATTGAGTTTCAAATGCTGAACCAGCCTTGCATCCCTAGAATAAACTCCATTGGTCATGGTTTATAACTCTTTTTATGATAAGTATTGCTGAATTTTACTTACTAATTTTTTTTGTGAAGGGTTTTTTAGCCTATATTCATGAGGGATATTACTCTAGAGTTTTCTTTTTAAATACTTTTTGTCTGGTTTTAGTATGGGGGTAATACTAATTTCATAAAATGATTTGGGAAGTCTTCCTTCCTCTTCCATTTTCTGGAAGAGATTACATAGAATTGGTATTAGTCCTCCTTTAAATATTTGGTTAAATTATACAGTGAAATTATCTGGGTTTGAAAATTCATTTTTTTGAGAGTTTTTAAATTATGAATTTAATTTTCTTAACAGTTACAGGGCTATTCAAAGATTTATTTGACATTATTTTGTGTTTGTTTTTGGAGGAATTGGCCCATTTCATCGAAGTTGTTAGACTCTAAAAAGAGTCTGCTTCTGGGACTCTGATGACACAACTGTTAGATTTTTTTGTTATTATCCCACATGTCCCTGAGGCACTGTTCCTTTGTTTTCAGTCAATTCTCTCTCTGTTGTAGTGATTGAGTAATTTCTATTGTTCTGTTTTCCAGTTCACTGACTCTTGTTTCAGTGCAGACTTTTCCCCTCTTGTTTTCATATTTTTATTTCATGTGTGTTAACATCATTGATTAAGCAAACCTTTTTTCATCCTTAGTTATGCCTTGGTTAGACTTTTTGGGACTTTGGGGCCTGCTTTAGTCCCCAAATACTCTGTCTTCTACATTTAGCACTTCTCAACTATGATATTTGGATTTTTGTATTTTTCTAGTCCCTGACTCTAATAGGGTCACATTATCCCTGGAAGCTCTGGAATAGCTTACCCTGCTTCTCTGTGTGCCAAATGTAGTCTCCTTTCTTAGACTACTATGTTGGCCTCTCCCCTTCTTAAAAAGTCATTTGCTAAAGTGCTAATTAGGATCAATTATCCAGTTCTAAAGTGAAGTATCATCGTCATTCCATTCTCCAAGTCTCAAAGTATCCATGAGATGATGTCTAGGCAAAGCTAGAAGTACAGATAAAATGTTTAGGGATGCAATTCTATATCTCAGATGTAAATGGAATCACTACTACAATGTCTGCAAGGAACACGGAACCTGGCTGTGCTGTGTGTGAAACAATCTCCTTCCAGCTACAGGTGCTGACAAGGAGAGTTGTTTCTGATTCCCTAGAGCTTAGCACACTGCCTAACAAATAGAAGCTCAGTTAATATTTGTCTATGTTGACAGCTAAGGACCACAACCCTAAGAGGAAGGGGTGGGGAGAGCAGTGGAAGTAAAATATTGGATATTCCAATTGTTTAATTGTTTTTATTTATTAATTTCCTGTGTACTTTATTCACTCATTCTTTTACCAAATATTAATGACATATCTAGTATGAACTAGAACCATACTAGGGTCTGGAGTGTCTTAAGTTGGTTTCCCTGGGAAACACACTTTGAGATGGAGACTTGTGTGCAGGAGATTTGTTGGAGAGGGCTATCACCTCCCAGAAACACCTGGGAGACAGTGGGAGAAGCAGAGCTGGACCGAAGGGAAGCTAAGCTGCACTGCAGTTGCAAATGTGGACTCAGCTGATAGCACAGAGATCTGGAGCTGGGATGGCCCTTCAGAGCTATCCTGAATTGAGGCAAAGGGGCTGAGCCTTTATACCCTTGCATTGGCCAGTCATTGGAAGAGGGATAACACTTGCCCTTAGCTGTGTGAAATTTCAATAAAGAGATTCAGCTGTGAGCTGACAGCAGGCAGCAATTCTAGCAGCTGGGGAAATGGGATACTTGTTCTGAAAAGGATCTGGGTTGTGCATTATGGCACCCACAACATGAGGCTGCAAAGGGATGAATAGGACAGAATTTCTGCTCCTTGGGAGTTGGCAGTTGGAGAGACAGACATGTAAACAAATAGTTATGATTAACTATGATAAGTTTAACGAGAGCAATAAGTTAAAAGTGCCATAGGAACTCACATCAGGGAGCAGCTAACTCTGGGTGGGTCAGGGAAGACTTCTCTTCAGCATTTGCTTTGCTCTTTTGAGTTTTGAAGAGAGAAAATTTCATGCCATCACATCTCATGGAGTAGATAATGAATTACAAAAGCTAGAATTTGCTTTGAAATATGAGGTCTGTACTTTGCCAAGTAAAGAGAAGTAAATCATGCATTAATGGAGCCGATATTTTCAGTGAGTTAACGCCACAGGCACCCTGTGCGCAGATCCAGCAAAGAGATAGGAAAGGTGAGCATGCGGGTTACGTGTAATGTGGAAAATAACCTTTTAAACTTTTATGCCCCTCTCTAGGGCAAGAATGCTATTCTTTAAAAGGTTAGTCGACTACCAAAAAAAGAAAAAAAGAGGCTACTTCATGTTTCATTCCAGAATCAATTTTTCTATTAAAAATAAATTGCACTTTAAGTAACCTGGGATATGTTCAGCTAGAGCTGGTGGCTAGATGAAACTTTTATGTCTGCAGTCCTGGTGATTTGGAAGGACTGTTGAACTACTAAGAACAGAATGTAAATGTCTCTGATCTTCCAAAACTTGGATTGCCCCATCTAACCTTAATCCTAGTAGAATTTCACTGCGGTTTGATGGGTCCTAGGCCCCCAGTGGTTGCTTTGTGCCCAGTGTTGTATAATCATTAGGAAAATCCAGAGCTCTTCTCCTTTTCATCTCCACTGGCAGAGATTCACTGCCCTTTAGGAGTTTAGAGTTAACTTGGAGAGTCACAGAAACATGAAACAACGGGAGAATGATTTGCAAGCAATATGTAAGCAAGTGTGGGTGTGCTACAGAGAGCCCTTGAGGAGCTTAGAAGAATATGAGAAGCCAGGAAGACTTCTTAGAAGGAGGCTAGCATGGAGCCAGATTTTGAAGGAGATGATGGATTGGTAGAGAGAAGATGGTGGGACATTCTAAAGGGCAGGGGTCGCTGACCACAGGCCCACAGGAAGAAATGACTAAGATTGGTGCAGGGTCTAGAGAAGCCAGCTCATACCTCCTCTTGGGAACTAACTCGTGGTAATGGGAGTAGTCAGGTTCAGGAAAGCTTGATACTCAAAATTACAAAGAAACCTAAATCTATGTCCTTTTATCTATTTTCTTACTTTCTTTAGAAATTATATAAAAAGATTGAATGTGTGCTCCGATAAGATTCATGGCCCTATGACATGGTACAAACTACCAGGAATATGCTTTCTGGTTTAAAGAGAACTTAATGGCACCTGATACAAACATTCATCTGATACTTGAGTCTCCTTAACAGAGAATGGCCCAACCATATATTCATTCATCTAATGCTTGCACAACCCTAGTGCTATGGAATATAGTATCTCCTTTCATTCTTGACAGAGGGATAAAAGGCTAAAATATGTCACTTTGTGCCAGATCCTGTTGTCTGCTTCATCAAACAATACCAAATAAACAATGTCTTCATCTGTTTTGTGTTGCTATAGAGGAATACCTGAGGCTGGGTACTTTATAAAGAAGTTTATTTGGCTCATGGTTTTGTAGGCTATTCAAGAAGTATGGTGTCAGCATCTGCTTCTGGCAAGGGACTCAGGGTGCTTTAATTCATGGTGGAAGTTGAAGGGGAGTCAGCGTGTGCAGGTCACATGGCAGGAGAGAAAGACAGAGAGGAGGAGGTGCCAGGCTCTTCTCAACAACCAGTTCTTGTGGGAACTAAGAGTGAGAATCCACTCCTGCAAGAATGGCACCAAGCCATTCGTGAGGGATCAGCCATCACAATCCAAACACCTCCTACCAGGCCCCACCTCCAACACTGGGGATCACAGTATTTTTTTTTTTTTTTTTTTGAGACGGAGTCTCGCTCTGTCACCAGGCTGGAGTGCAGAGGCGCCATCTTAGCTCACTGCAACCTCCGCCTCCCGGGTTCAAGCGATTCTCCAGCCTCAGCCTCCCGAGTAGCTGGGATTACAGGCATGTGCAACCACGCCTGACTAATTTTTGTATTTTTAGTAGAGACGGGGTTTCACCATATTGGCCAGGATGGTCTCGATCTCCTGACCTCAGGGGATCATATTTTAACACAAGACTTGCTGGACCAAACTAGCCATATCCAAACCATAGCAGGCAGACTAAATTCTAGGCTCCAGGCCATGTATCTACATATTAGGCATATGTACTTCCATTCTTCTGGTAGAAATATTATATTTTGAATGAAATTGAGTCTACCTTCAAATAGAAAGTCCATGGGGTTTTTTTTGTTTGTTTTTTGTCTGTTTTTTTCTCAGAATAGTGTGACCCCCTTGCACCTGGTATTCATTTGAACTCAAATGAAGGACCTTATACTTCTTCCTATACTCATTGTATCATATTAGATTCTATTCATTCTGAAAACCTGTGGAGGTTTTTTGGTCCAAATTCTTTCATTGAACGTGTTTGCCATTTCTCTTGGCTTGGTATACTTTGCAGATTTGATGAACAGTTTCCAAGACTTAATTGATACAACTGACAATCCGGATAGGG
This sequence comes from Homo sapiens, assembly GCF_000001405.40. Classification (NCBI taxonomy): domain Eukaryota; kingdom Metazoa; phylum Chordata; class Mammalia; order Primates; family Hominidae; genus Homo; species Homo sapiens. Next base: position 90,324,103 of record NC_000001.11, read on the forward strand.
TCAAGGAAAGGAGCTTCAGGGTAGTAGGAAGAGTGAGGATGTTACCTGCTTACTAATCCTAAAGCTACAAGGAGCCAAGGGCTAAGTCATTAGCTATACCCCAAAGAGGGATGTGGCCACAAGGAATGAGAGAATTATGAAGAGGTATACTCTGTCACTTCTCAGCAAGGATGTTAGCAGAATAGGATGGCTGCCACTTGCTGGACATGTATTACATACCAGGAAGAACTAAGTGCATTATGTACATTATGAGGTTAGTATTACCATCACCATTTTATATGTGAGGAAATAATGAGTTAGAGAAATTAAATTACCTGTATGGTGTCACAGGTTGGAAGAGGTAGGTGGGGACAAACTTCAAACTCAAGTTTGACTTCAAAGCATGCCCTCGTAATTGCTGAATTACTGGAAGTCACAGTCATATGAAGCCACAACCAGAGAACTCTGCAGGAAGGGGGTTCCCAGGAGTGTGAAGACTCTCGGTCAATCCATTATGAGTATTCTGAGGTGTGGGAATACAGAAGGATCTCTGTCACTTTGTTTAGCCTCTATTTGGCTTGTGTGTTTACTAATTTGTTTTTCCTAGTAGAATTTCTTTGCTCCTCACTGAAAGTCCAAATTGTGTGATTAGAAATAACTCCAAATCAATGAATTGTGATGACACAAAAGATCATTTCACAGGAGGGGTCATAATGGTGACCAAATTAATCCTGAATATCTCAATAAATGACAAAGAAACATGAACCACAGAGAAGTTGCATCCCTGACGTGGTTTCCATCCAAGTGAAGAGTTTGGAAAGAGCAGAGTGTACCAGGGACTTCTCGCTGCCCAAGTCTCCTTACTTGGTTGAGTCCTATCTTCTGTATAGGTACTGACTCCAGGGACACTGGGGATTTTGTCTCAGCTTGACTTTCTTTTTTGGGTCTCATCAGGGCTTTCTGTTGAGGAGACAAATAGCATTTCTTCTGATTCTGAATGCTGAGACAAAGCTCCCTCCAGAACTTAAGCTCACATCACTTGATTGACTATGTAGAGGATAACTCAATTGTATGTGGGCAACATCTGCAGAACAGTGCAGTAAAGAATGCTCCTCACACAGTCACCTTCCCAACCAACTCACCCACCTCTAGGCAGGGCCAACTTCCAGTTGTCATTCTCCCCTTCTTACTCTCATCTCAGCACCCTGCCCTGTAATTTCTCATCAGAGACAGACAGATTGAAAAAAACAAGAAGAATTAGATTTGAGTTCTGCTTTTTTCACTTACTGGTTATGTGACCTTGAACAAATTACTTAATCCGTCTGAGTCTGTTTCCTGATCTGTTAAAAAAGGAACTATAATATTTATCTCTATGAGCTACGTGGAACTAAATGAGATTTAGAGAAGACATTCTATAAGCAAAAAGGGTGAAATGCATTGTGAAATCGGCTGACTATCCAAAGCAGGTCATGTTAGGAGTGGAGAAGGAAAAATGCTGCTGTTCCTGTTGCTAATGATGAAGATGATGGTGATAATGATGATAGCTAATGTTTGCTGAACATATAGCTATGTGCCATGCATTGGGCCAGGGCTTTGCATATACGCTCCTATTTAATCTTTGCAACAGTCATCTGAGATGAATATTAATTTTATTCTCATTTTATAGATGAGGAAATGGGAGTTTTAAAGACATTCAATAACTTTGGCCAAGGTCATTCAGCTATTAAATTTTAAGACCATAAACCAATTGGATTCCTGGATTTTGCTTATCCTGAGAAAATTCTTGGTCTCCTGAATTCAGCTGAAATCATCAGTGAATGTCAGAAATCATCAGATGAAATCATCAGTGAACATCAGAAACTTTACCTCAAGAGAGTACTTGCGCTGTGTCCCCCGACCCCTCCCACTGATCTCTGAGCCCACTGACCTAGTGAAGGCAGCTGCACGATTCATCACAACGGCTGTACTTTATTTCTCCATTCTTGAGAACATTATTTACATTTCTTAAGATTTTGACACATTAAAAATATATAATTTACATTTAGGAGACTTGGGTCCTATTCCCAACTTCTCCATTAACTTGGCCTTAGGCAAGTCAATCTCTTTGAGTCTCAGTTTCTCATTTTCAAAATTACAACAATAGATCCTCTTGAGTCTCTAAGATACTTTAATTCTTTGATTTTTAATCTTGCAGTCATGAACACTTAGCCTTAGCATGTGAAATGTCACAGAATTTTCTAAACCAAAGTGTCGCTTCCAAGGAACAAATGTTATTTCCATTTTTATTTACGAAAGTAAATGACTATTACCTTGTCACTACCATTCAGACATCCTATACCTTATTTGAGTGGCCACATAATTTATCATCCAAATCAGGACACTTTGGGGAGTGAAAGCAATGTTAATAATTAATTGCACCAGGGCAGCAGGCTTAACCAGGACTGTCACCTTTGTCATTGCTCCATTTGTAGCTACTCTTCTTCCTTACCCTTCTCTCTTCTCCCCTTCTCCTTCCGTGGGCTTCAACAAGAGTGAAAGGTGCCACAGACAGAGGTGTGAGCTCCCTCAGCCGCTTAATGGAGTGTTAAGTTCAAAACTGAGGTGTGACCATTTAAATGCTAACACTTTTAAGCAAGTTTGTTTGCAACAGAAACACCCTGTTTAAGGCTTATTTCCTCCCTCTAGTTTCAAAAACATTTTGCATTGTTAATTTCTACTCCATTCAATCAGTACCTTGCTCATTATTTTCTTTCTGTACTTCTTTATTTTAAACAAATTTTGATTTTGTAACTGGCTTGGATAGCACTAGAAGGAAACCAGCGTTGGACTCAAACAAGAAGCAATGCCTTCAGTAATGTCCTGGGATCATTTTCTCCATGTCCATTTTCTGTCTGTTTTCCTGGATACTCTGGAAAATAGTAGGGGCCAACAGATGGGTTTTGTGAAATCCAATGAGCAATTTGAAGTGATTCCTTTTATAAGCCAGCTTATATGAATTTCTGTTGGAGGAGATGATACTGAACTTATTCCCCTCATCTGTGTTCTACCTGATGAAAATCAAACACCACCCCTTCCTGGGGGACAGCAGAATTCACGAGCTTGATTCTTACTATTTTTAAAAACAGACAATGCGCTGGGAGGTAGAGAAGGATTGCCAAATAGAAGCCTCTAGCAAGTGTCCTCCCTGCAGGAACCCCAAATTGAACAACTATCCATATAAAAAAGCACCTTCACAAGAACCAAAAATCAGACCGGGTGTGGTGGCTCATGCCTGTAGTCCTAGCACTTTGGGAGGCCAAGGTGGGCGGATCTCTTGAGCCCAGAATTTGAGACCAGCCTGGGCATCATGGCAAAACCCTGTCTCTACAAAAAATACAAAAATTAGCTGGGCGTGCTGGTGCACGCCTGTAGTCCCAGCTACTTGGGGGGCTGATGCACCAGGATCATTTGAACCTGGGAGGTTGAGGTTGTGGTGAGCTGAGATCGCACCACTGCAACCCAGACTGAGGGAGACCAGTGAGACTGTGTCTCAAAAAAACAAAACAAAACACCAACATCAGTTGAGCAACCAGAATACCCAGTTTTAACATCATATTAAAGAAAGAGGCACTGATGAGGATAGAAAAGACAGTCTCGAATTGCCTACACCACCCCTCCCTCATTCCTGGCAGCAGCCATGTGGTATGGAAAGAGAATCCGTGTGCTTGAGGGAGGGAGAATGCAGTGATTGTGGGACTTTGCATTGGAACTCAGTGCTGTCCTGTCACTGTTGAAAGCAATATAGGGAAGAACTTTGCCAACGCCCATGGAGAAAGCATTTAGACCAGCCCTAGTCAAAGGAGAAGCACCCATCCCAGTGGTTGGAACCTCCTGGATGGCATTTCTAGACACACCCTGGGCCAGAAGGGAACCTGTTGCCTTGAAAAGAAGGACCCAGATCTGGCAGAATTCATCACTGGTTGACTAAGGAACCCTTGAGCCCTAAATAATAAGCAGTGGCAGCCAGGCAGTACTTGCCATGGGTGTTGGGTAAGACTGAGCTGTATTGGCTTCAGGTGTGACCCAGCACATTCTCGGCTGTGGTGGCTGTGGAGGGACACCCCTTATGCTTGAGGAAAGGAGAGGAAGAGTAAAGTAGGCTTTGTCTTGTAGCTTGGGTACCAGCTTGGCCACAAGGGGTAGAGCACCAAGCAAACTCAAGCAAACTTCCTACAGTCCCCATTTCCAGGCCTTGGCTCCTGGATGGCATTTCTGGACCTGCCATAGGTCAGAATGGAGCCTGTGGCTCTGAAGAGAGAGATTCAGGCCTGTCAGCATTCACCACAAGCTGACTGAAGAGCCTTGGGCCTTGAGTGAACATTGGTGATAGCCAGGCAGTTCTCATGCAGGCCTGGGGTGGTGGTGGCCTTTGGGGGAGACTCCTCTGCTTGAGAAAAGGGATTGGAAGAGTAGAAAGGCCTTTGTCTTTTGGCTTGGGTGCCAGCTCAGCTGCAGTAGAATGGAGCACCAGATAGATGCCTGAGGTTTTCAACTCCAGGCCCTGGCTCCTGGATGGCATCCCTAGACCTGCCCAAGGCCAGGGGAGCTCACTGTCCTGAAGGGAAGGACATAAGCCTGGCTGGGTTTGCTGCCTGCTGATTGTAGAGCCCTTGGGCCTTGAGTGAACATAGGCAATAGCCAGGCAGTGGTCATTGTGGATCTTGGGCAAGACTCAGTGCTGTGCCAGCTTTGGGTCTGACCCTCGCACAGTCCCAGTGGTGGTGGCTGCAGGGGTGCTTGTGTCCCCCCTCCAGGCAGCTCAGCACAGAGAGAGGGACTCTACTTGTTTGGGAGTAAGTAAGGGACGAGAACAAGGGTCTCTGCCTGTTACTCCAGGGAATTCTTCCAGACCTTACCCAAGACCACCAAGAAGATACCTCTATGAGTATGCAAAAACCATGGGATTACCGGGCTTGGGGTGCCCCCTAAAGCAGATATGGCTGCAGTAATTGAGACTTAGATCAAAATACCTGTGATGGTTAATATTGAGCGTCAACTTGATTGAAGGATGCAAAGTATTGTTCCTGGGTGTGTCTGTGAGGGGGTTGCCAAAGCAGATGAACATTTGAGTCAGTGGACTGGGAGAGGCAGACGCATCCTCAATATGGGTGGGCACCATCTAATCAGCTGCCAGCACAGCTAGACTAAATCAGCCAGGAGAACGTGTAAGGACTTGACTTGCTGCTGAGTGTTCTGGCCTTAGTCTTTCTCCCGTGCTGGATGCTTCCTGCCCTTGAACATTGGACTCCAAGTTCTTCAACTTTTGGACTCCTGGACCTACACCAGTGGTTTGCCAGGGGCTGTCAGGCCTTCAGCTACAGACTGAAGGCTGCACTGACGGCTTCCCTACTTTTGAGGTTTGGGGACTCAACTGGCTTCCTTACTCCTCAGCTTGCAGACAGCCTATTGTGGGACTTCACCTTGTGATCGTGTGAGTCAGTATTCCTTAATAAACTCCCCTTTATATATACATCTATACTACTAGTTTGGTCCCTCTAGAGACTAATATAATGTCCAAGTCCCTGTGAGTACCCAGAAAGACTTTCTGAGAAGGATGGGTACAAACAAGCTCAGACTGCAAAGACTACAATAAATAACTAACTCTCCAGTGCCCAATAACAGCAAACATGCACAAACATCAACACCATCCAGGAAATCATGACCTCACCAAATGAACTAAACAAGGCACCAGAGACCAAGGATCAATCCCGAAGGAAAAAAGATATGTGATCTTTCATACACAGAATTCAAAATAGCTGTTGATGTGGTTTGTACAGTTGTCCCCACCCACATCTCATGTTGAATTGTAATCCTCAATGCTGGAGGTGGGGGCTGATGGGAAATGTTTGGGTCATGAGGGTGGATTTCTCATGTCCTGGTGCCTTCTTCACAATAGTGAGTGAGTTCTCATGAGATCTGGTTGTTTAAAAGTGTGTGGCACCTCCTCCCCAACTCTCTCTTTTGCTCCTGCCCTGGCCATGTGATATGCCTGTCCCTGCTTTGTCTTCAGTCTGAGTAAAAGCTTCCTGAGGCCTCCACAGAAGCAGATGCGAGAGCTATGCTTCCTGTACAGCCTGCAGAACAGTGAGCCAGTTAAACTTCTTTTCTTATAAATTACCTAGTCTCAAGTATTTATAGCAATGCAAGAATGGCATAATATAAGCAGACAAAGACACATCAAAAAAAGAAAACTGCTGGCCGATATCCCTGATGGACATTGATGCAAAAATCCTCAATGAAATACTAACAAACTGAATTAAACAACACATTAGAAAGACTATTCACTTTGACCAAGTGGGATTTTTCCCAGGGATGCAAGGATGATTCAACATATGCAAATCAACTAATGTGATACATCATATCAACAGAATGAAGGACAAAAACCATATGATCATTTCAATTGACGCTGAAAAACATTGGATAAAATTTAACAACCCTTCAGGAGAAAATCCTGAAAAAAACTGAGTATAGAAGGAACATACGGCAACACAATAAAAACCGCATATGATAGACCCATAGTTAGTATAATACTAAATGGGGAAAAACTGAAAGACTTTCCTCTAAGATCTGGAATAAGATAAGAATGCCCACTTTTCCACTGTTATTAATCATAGTACTGGAAGTCCTAGCTAGAGCAATCAGAAAAGAGAAGGAAACAAATGGCATCCAAATTGGAAAGGAAGAAGTCAAATTATCCTTGTTTGTAGATGATATAATCATACACTTGGAAAAACCTAAAGCTTCCAGAAAAAAACTATTAGAGTTGATAAACACATTCATTAAAGGCAAAGTATACAAAATCAGCATGCAAAAATCAGTAGCACTTCTATATGCCAACAGTGAACAATCTGAAAAAAAAATCAAGAAAGTAATCCCATGTACAACATGTACTATAAAAAGTAGAAGTATACAAAATCAGCATGCAAAAATCAGTAGTATTTCTATGTGCCAATAGTGAACAATCTGAAAAAAAATCAAGAAAGTAATCCCATGTACTATAAATAAAATAAAATATGTAGAAATAAACTTTCCAAAGAAACAAAAGACCTCTATAATGAAAACTATAAAATAGTGATGTAAAAAATGGAAGGGAACACAAAAAATGGAAAGATATTCCATGTTTACAGATTAGAAGACTCAATATTGTTAAAATGATCTTACTACTTCAAGCAATGTACAGATTCAATGCAATCTCTATCAAAATACCAATGACATTCTTCACAGAAATAAAAAAAGATTCTGAAATTTATATAGACCCACAAAGCTGTCCTGAGCAAAAAGAACAAAACTGGAGGCATAAGACTACCTGGCTTCAAATTATACTACAGCTATAGTAACCAAAACAGCATGGTACTGGCATAACAACAGATACATAGACCAATGGCACAGAATAGAGAACCCAGAAGCAAATCCGTAAATCTACAGTGAACTCATTTTCAACAAAGGTGCAAGAACGTACACTGGGGAAAGCACAGTGTCTTCAATAAATGATGCTGGGAAAACTGGATATCCATATGCAGACAAATAAAACTAGACCCCGTATCTTGTTATATACAAAAATCAAAGCAAAATGGATTAAAGACTTAAGTCTAAGACCTCAAACTCTGAAGCCCCTAAAAGAAAACATTCAGGAAACTCTCCAGGACATTGGAGTGGGCAAAGATTTCTTGAGTAATACCCCACAAGCAGAGGCAACCAAAGCAAAAATGGACAAATGGGATCACATCAAGTTAAACATCTTCTGCACAGCAAAGGAAGCAATCAACAAAGTAAAGAGACAACACACAGAATGGGAGAAAATATTTGCAAACTACCCATCCAATAAGGGATTAATAACCAGCACATAGAAGTAGCTCAAACACGATGGGGGAAAATCTAGAACTCTGATTTTTAAAGTGGGAAAAAGAACTGAATAGACATTTCTCAAAAGAAAACTTGCAAATGGAAAACAGATGTATGAAAAGATGTTTAATATCATGGATTAGCAGATAAATTCAAATCAAAACTACAATAAGATGTCAACTTACCCCAGTTAAAATAGCTTTTTAACTTTTTGCCAAAGACAGGCAATCACAAATGCTGGCAAGGATGTGGAGAAAAGGGAACCCTCATATACTGTCGATGGGAATGTTAATTAGTGCAACTACTTTGGAGAACAGTTTGGAGGTTCCTCACGAAACTAAAAATAGAGCTACCATACGATCCAGCAATCCCACTACTGGGTATATACCTAAAAGTAAAGAAAGCAACATATTGAAGATATATCTGCCCTCCCATGTTTATTGCAGTACTATTCACAATAGCCAAGATTTGGAAGCAACCTAAGTGTTCATCAACAGATGAATGGATAAAGAACATGTGGTACATATATACAATGGAGTACTATTGAGGCATAAAAAAAGAATGAGACTCTGTCATTTGCAACAACATGGATGGAACTGGAGGTCACTATGTTAAGTGAAATAAGTCAGGCACAGAAAGAGAAACTTTGCATGTTCTTACTTATTTATGGGAGCCAAAAAATCAAAACAGTTGAACTCAGGGAGATAGAGAGTAGAATGATGGCTACCGAGGCTGTGAAGGATAGTGTGGAGGGTGGAGGAAATGCGGATTGTTAATGGGTACAAAAATACAGTTTAATAAGAGGAATAATATCTAGTATTTAGTAGCACAACAGGTTGATTACGGTCAATAATAATTTACTGAATATTTAAAAATAACTAAAAGGCTATAATTGGATAGTTTGTAACACAAAGAAAGGTTAAGTGCTTGAGGTGATGGATACCCTGTTTACCCTGATGTGATTATTATGCTTTGTAGGCCTGTATCAAAATATTTAATGTACCCCATAAATATATGCAGCTACTATGTACCCGCAAAAATTAAAAATGAGAAAACGTTTTAAAATAGAAGATAGAGCCAGTTAAATTATTGGCTTTTTACAGAGTGTTTGTTAAAATCAACTGTTACATCTAAGTGCCTTATGCTAACTACAACACACTTTGTTGAATTAACTTATCTTTAAAATCAATTCTGTATAGAACTTGGCCATTTTATTTTAGGTAATGAAAGCTTAAAACTTTAGCCAAGAAGTAAAAAGTATGACCTTTTCTATTAAAATGCTTTAGTGAATACAGCTTGATGATTCATATAAAAAAATCTTAAGGAATAATTTGTGTTGCACAATTAAAACCCTTTCATTTAACAATATTTCCTGTCATTAAAATCCTCTCTCCATGGTCATCAATTTTTAAAACTATTATGACTTATCAGTGTTTGAATGAACTGTAAAACTGCCTTTGAGCTCATTGATATTTCCATAATTGTGAACAGGAGATTATTTTTTCCTCTGTTGTATGGAAGGTGATGGGCTTTTGTCTGCCGTTGTGGGAAAAGTCTACTTTTAAAAATGCAGTTTCAGGTTGTGCGCGGTGGCTCATGCCTGTAATCCCAGCACTTTGGGAGGCCAAGGTGGGCAGATCACGAGGTCAGGAGATCAAGACCATCCTGGCCAACGAAGTGAAACCCCATCTCTACTAAAAATACAAAATTTAGCTGGGCATGGTGGCGTGTGCTGGTAATCCCAGATACTCGGGAGGCTGAGGCAGGAGAATCACTTGAACCAGGGAGTCAGAGGTTGCAGTGAGCCGAGATCATGCCACTGCACTCCAGCCTGGTAACAGGGCGAGACTCCATCTCAAAAAAAAAAAAAAAAAAAAAGCAGTTTCTGCCAACTGCCAAAGGTCCACGTGGAGTGTGTGTTGATACAGGATAAAATTAATAAAATAATGTTAAGAACATTCGAGCCCTTCTCTTCTGTACATACTTTACACTCACTGTCTTCTCTGGGGGACTGTGGGGATGGTGGGCCTGGGAAGGTGCAGCCGCATCGGTAGGTCTCCTGTTCTCAGGCCCTGTCACAGTACCAGATGCCTGACCCACAGGACTCTCTCCTCTCTTTACCCCCTCTCTCCTGTCTAACAGAGGACACTACCTTAGTCTCAAAAGGAAGAGGCATTGAGAAAATAATAATAATAATATTTGGCAAGTTATATTTTAAAAACACTTCCTCATTTTTGTTTTTTTTTTAACTGTGGAACTGGTTTAAGAAGAAAAGATGAGTGAAGGTTTCTTCGTAAGAGCAGACATTCATTGACTGCCGGGGTGAGAAGTGGTGCGAGTGGCTTAGCAGTGAAAACCAGTCTGCAATGCGGGTTTTGTCACCTCAGAAGGCTAGGGGGCCACTAGGGCAGGGCACCTGTGGGAAGGAAGCATCAGGAGGCCTGGTCTTCAGCTTTGTCTGTCCAGAAGTTCCTAAGCATCATTGTCCTTGGAAGTGATTGATTTCTTGGGGTTACTCTCCACTGACCAGACACTCCAGAGGTTGCTGTCCACAACAGAATGCAAAATGAGTCGTTTACACTGAGAATTACACCCTACTGGTTGCTTAATGATTGTGAATGGGAAAAACGCAAGGGAAGTGAAAACTTAATAGCTAAGAGGCCAGGTTTGAATTCCAATTCTGTGAATGCCCAGCTGTATGTGTGTATATGTGTGTTTGCATATATATATATAAATATATATATACACACACATACATACATATATATACACACATACATATATATATACACATACATATATATACACACACGTAGTGGTCATACATATTGTATATATACAATATATGTTATATACACGTATTGTACGTGTATATATTACATAATATGTATATATTATACACAAATAATTACATATTATGTAATATATAATTGTATACATCATTAATATATATTATTGCATATAATTATATATAAAATGTATAATATGTATACATAATATATACAATAATATATACACAGTATGTGTATATTATACATACATATTATGTATACATTATATATACATATTATGTATATATTTATATACCTGTTGTATATATGCATATATTATATATACACATATTGTGTATATATAGTGCATATATTATATATACATATTGTGTATATGTTGTATATACATATTGTGTATATGTTGTATATAATTGTATATACACATATATACATATTGTGCATATATTTATATACAGTCAGTGGAATGAATGTATGAATGTATGCGTGTGTGTGTATATATATATATGCACCACACACATGCAGACATAGAGTTAGGCATTCATAGAACTGGAATTTGTGTGTGTATTGTAGATACTTAATAAACAGTTCACTGGAAGATTTGATTCAATAAGAATTATTTTGGAGTTTTATTCAGGACAGTGACTTCAGGGGAAAAAAGATCAATTCATCCTTCTAACCAGGTGCCAATCAATGTGGAGGTCATGACCATTACAAGTCATGACCACCACAAGAACATAAGGCACTCACAGTGTTAATTTACAAAAGTTGAACCCAAGTTTTCTGACTCTGGCTGCCTCTATCAGTGACAATGCTTTAATGGACAGAGAGCTAATGGTGTTGAGAGCAAATGGGGAATTGCCTGATCCTGAAGTTTCCTTCCAACCTTTTTTAGTTTTTTAGCAGTTATCTTCACAAGTTAGAACCACATAAGAATGCCTTGGATTCTTTTTCATGCTTGATTTCACACATGTTCACAAATGTGTCCCAAGAGTTGGGCTTTTCATTCAGAGGCTACGAGACCTCAGAGCTGGTCTCATTACCACGGCATGAAAAGCCTAACATTATCCAGTTACTAACAGGAGAGCTGAGGTACAAGAGAAAAAACAATCAGTGGAATGGATGTTCATTGTCTGGCACCATTAATCAGTCGCACTTTTGTTTATTCAACAAATATTTACTGGATACTTATTGGACATCAGGCTTTGTTCTAGGAGCTGAGGATTTAGCAGTTAACAAGGGGATCTTGTGTTTTGGTCAGGGAGACAGACAAGAAATTAAAAGAGAGAGAAAATGGGAAAGACAAGAGATAGAAATAAACCCAAGCTTGTAAGAGGTACACAGAGAATTAAAAGACGGCCATGCGATGTAAAGTTACTTTGACAGATGAGGGGGTCAGGGGACACCTGTCCATGAGGTGATATCTGAGCTGAGCTCTGAATCAAACAGAGATGGACATGCAAAGTTAGGGGGGAGTGACACTCCTCAGAGGGCCACTGCTATGGAGGCTCCCTGGTGGGCACAAGTATGGTATCTATGAGGACCAGACCAAAGGTCTGGAGAAGCCACAGAAGAAGTAGGCAGGGTCAGGTCAGTGAGGCTTTATGGTCAGAGTAAAGAGTTTGAATGTCTCCTAAATGTGATGGGAAGCCACTGGAGAGTTTTAAGCAGAGGATGAATTTATGTTTAATAAAGAAGTCCCTCTGGATGCTATGTGCAGAAGGATTATAGAGAACAAGACTAGAAGCAGGGGCACTCTAAAAGAATCCCAAGTAGGACTGCCAGTTGCTTGGGTAAGGATAGTGAGGTGGTCAGATTTGGGATAAATTTGGAGGCAGGACTTGCTGATGGGCTGGAAGTAGAGAGTGAGGGAAAGAGATAAATTTAGGCCAACTCCTATGTTTTTGGCCTGCACAGATGAGTGGACAGCACCTTTTTCTGAGATAAAGGAAGACAAGACGAACAGGCTTATAGGGAAAAATACCTCTGGGAGCACTCTTGCAGCTCCCCCGTGTGTCCTGGGGGTAAACGCACCACTGACTCCTCCGCAGTGGGTGCACTCGCATGCACACACACTCTGCCTCATTTTACTTTGAAGCCAGAGAAAACAAGACAATCCCCAGACTGGAAAACCCTCAACAATATTTAGCCTTTAGGTGAAGAAAGAAATAAAAATAAAGCTTTAGTTTTAAAAGCCAATTTCCATCCTTAAAGCCGGCTCAAATGCAGTTCAAAGCACAATTTTAATAAGTCAACCCTAAAAATGTATTTGTGTATATATGTAAATGCATATATTTAGGACAAAAGTATATACACATACACACACATATATGTCAACCCATACCATGTCACCTACTTAATTATTAATTATTAACTCTCATTAATATTAGCAATTGAATTCTTTTGTCTTGAATTTAGTCAAGCTGTGAACAATGGCGGGGAGAATTAGAGTTGCTGAAGTCTTTGCCTCTTTCCTTGATTATCCTTTAAGTCGTGAGATTATGGATGATTTTTACTTTATGTTGTATTTTTAATATTTTTAAATAAATTTTTGAAATCACAGAAATATAGCTATTAATGCCTGTACAAAAGTATAGATTACTAACCAAAGAGGTATGTAATTTAGGATTGAAAACTCTTAAAAGTAGAGGAATCTCTTCTTCAGTATCCCTGCAAAAATCTTCTAATAAAGGGGTACTCACAACATCCCAAGGAAGTCCATTCCATTATTGGGCAGTGCTAACCATTAGGAAGTTCTTTCTTAATGTCATAGAGAAAGCAGTCATGGGACACCTTTCACTACTGATTCCCATTGGGCCTTTGACAAAAACAAAAATAAGTCGACTTCCTTCTCTAAGTGACAATTCTTCAAATATTTAAAGACATATCTCTCCTTTTCTTTTGTCTTTTAGCCAAAGCAGATCCAGTTCTTTCAACATTTCCTTCTGTGATACAGTTTCTTGACCTTTCACCAGCTTAAAGTATGATCCGGCCCAAGGCTTTGTGATTAAACAAAGGTTTTAGTTTAATTTAAAAAGTCATGGTCTCGTGTAGGTAGACTGCAGAAACCAGTCTGTTGGTGCTTCTCCTGAGTTGGGGAGAGAGGGAGAATTGCAGTAGGGCTTTCTTCATATCTCTGCCATTATTCAATGCAACCACAAATCCTGGGTCCTGGTTTCATAGGTGCCCATAGAGAGAAATACAGCAACAGAAAAATCTCAGTGTTGCCTACTTTCCACTTGCTGGAGGATTCTTTCATTAGCGAGTGGGAGGAGTAAGTGCTAAGCACACAGGCTTTGGAGTCGGACTACCTGTATTTGATTTCTGGACCTATTTGGGCCTCACTTTCTTCATCTACAAAATGATGATGGTAGTGGCACCTCCTTTATAGAGTGTTGCACAATGCCTGGCATATAGTAAGCACCTTATCAATGTTAGCCTCTATTATTATTGCTGTTATCATTGTTAATGCAGTATCCCCTAATTGATGCTCATCTAGCCTCTTAGTGCTGGGACGCTCCTTAATCCCAAAGGCTATTCCTCCCCAGTGTTCAACAACTCCTGTACTAGAATGTCATTATTTAAATTCAGTTGAAATTCACATCCTGGTAACTCATGGAACCCAAATTTTTGTATTTTTAGTAGAGATGGGGGTTTCACCATGTTGGCCAGGCTGGTCTCGAACTCCTGATCTCAAGTGATCCACCTGCCTCGGCCTGCCAAAGTGCTGGGATTACAGGTGTGAGCCACCGTGCCTGGCCAGTTTAGCCTCTTCCTTATGAGACAGTCCTTTACATATTTGAAGGTCACTATCATATATTACTCTATCAGCTACCAACATTTACTAAGCACCTATTGAATAAACTAGATTCTAAGTTTCATGAGATCAAATGTCCTGTGGGTTTGCACATCACTGCAAAATTAACGTGTAGTGCATTGCCACTAGTAGTCTTTCAATAGTTAAATAGTAGGTGCTCAAATTGAATACTTAAGAAATGAGTGATTTCTTCACCAATCTATAGTTAGGATATTAGTAAAAATTTCCTGTTAAGGCTGTGCTTCAGTGTTAAATGGTGTTTGTGACAAGCTAAGACTAGAGCAATGATTCAACTCAATTCAAACATTTACTAAGGGCTTTCTATATGCCAGAGGCTGTACTAGGCATTGGAGGTAAAAAGAAGACTGGAATATGGTTCTTTCATTAGTGATCTATTAATCTAGCTCACAAACAGGCCATTCTAAGAAGATCTGCTCCAATGATATCTCTCCAAGTAGGTGCTACACCAGGAAGGAGAAAGTCTTAGTCAAAGTCTAAAAAGTAGAACAGATGGGGTAAAACCTCAGAAGTCTGCTCATTGTGGGGCAGAAGAGGAGAAAAGTGATTGATATATAGTAGGGTTATAAAGCAGAGAGTCAGAGACAAAGACATGGATATATTGAAAACTGGTTCAGCAATGAATTCAATGAACCCAGGGTATCTGCTAGGTTGTTCCTTGCATATGTGGCTTTGATGAGACAGGGGTCGTGTCACTTAAATTATTTTAGCTTCACCAGAGTATGTACTGCAGATTTTCAGTTATATAGTGTAACTTTCGGTGATACAGCCTCACGAGAGACTCTGAACCAGGTCCACCCAAGTAAGTCATTCTCAGATTTGTGACACTCAGACACTGTGAGATAACAAAATCTTATTGTTTTAAGCAGCTAAGTTTTGGAGATATTTGTTATACAGCAATAGAAAACTGATACAAAACTAGAGAAGAGGCAATGGGGGACAATTGTAGACCCCACAGACTTACTCTTCCATGGGCTAAGCCAGACCAGACTGTTACAGAGGCATAAAGCATTCGTGATTGTTTATTTTGTGGAAGATTGGTAATGGATTGGGGAGAAGGTGGGCCAAATGGCTGAAATACGTTGTTCTTGATAAGACTGCTCTTGCAACATAACTACTATCATGGTGATAATGAATCGCTCATCAGGACCTCAGAACGGCCTGTTGTAGGACAGGGTAACTAATGCGCACTTCCCACCATTTCTGAGGGTTGACACAAAAACTCAGTATAACATGGATGGTTGCCTCAAAGGATGCTGTATAAATCTAGTGGGCTATCACTTTCCATTTTTAATGTGAATTGACAGCCACTTTAGTCTGTTAGCACTTCCTTTCCAAGAAAGAACCCCGACGTCTTTTAGTGCCCTCAGCAGCAAATGACTTATGCCAGAGTCTATTCTTCCTCTTTAAACAGAAACCCAACTGACACCTGTTATGTTGTCTATTAGATAAAGACAATTTTATAGAATGTGGGTGAAGTGGGAAGTTTGCCAACCAGAAAGAATGCAGGCTGTAGCCCTTCCTTGTAGTGGTTAAAGAAAAATTGCTGATCAGGAAATCAGTTTTGTATGCCTGTTTTCAGGTAGAGAAAATTGTCTATGCCAACTGAAATGCCAGCTTATTCTTCTTTATTTTCAGCCCTGCAGATACGACTTCATTAGTACTGAGGCCATCTTATGAAGACTTTTTATACCTGCAGGTTGTCATTCTGACTTAGTTACTAATCCTGGTCACACATTAAGGGCTTTGATTAAGCAATTTGCTTTTTTCCTTTTTCTCTTCCATCTCATTGAAAGATTACAGAGTTTGAGCATGAGGTTAAAGGATTACATCTGAATCCGAAGAGTACCCACACTGCTCCAGCTGCCTGTCATTTCCTGGAGTGGTTACTTATCTGTCAATATTTCTTCCCTTTTTTCCCAAGTCCCAGGCCTACTTGATCTTGTCCGTTTGGCTCGGCTGGTGGAGGAATAACAAGGGTCTTCCCATCATGCAACATTCTGGGATACATCATGACAGAGAAATCTCAAAGCCCAGGTCAATTATAACAGAAGATGTGCACCACCTCTTGCCCCTGAATGTCTTCTGGGGCTGCAGTTATTTAAAACTAAGTCACCTGAAAAATGGAAGGAAATGTGGGTCTGGTTCCTGCCTGCCTTTCTGGTTGTTTAGCAGGATACAAATAGCAGAAGACTAACACTTCATGTGTGTGGTTTGCGGTCAGGAAGAGGCAATAAAACTGGCAGCAACCTCATTGTGCCGTAATTACTTTTTAATTAGAATTCATTGAATACAGATGGATTCTTCCTGTTCTTTTGCCCACTGATATTGTTAATATTCCCACATCAGATATTATGAGGCAGTAGCCAGCAGTATACAAAATAACCCTGTAGCTGATAGTGACTTACAGAAAGTAACCAACTTCACCATTTGTCTTAGATGAAAAATAATCTTCCACCCCTTTGTGGATTCTATTGCTGGTTTGTTGATATAGTGTTTGTTTACTCTCATTCCTGCAGGAAAAAATATCATAGTTCTTGTATCAAATTACTGTAACTGACTAGAACATTTTTATTTTAAATAATGTACATCATTATTTTCTTCATGGTGACACTGATAAATTTGCAGTATTTCTCATTTTATCCCCTCCTACCAATGAATAACTTGAACCCAAACGTGAATGGAATGTATGATTTCATGCTGTTATAAAAAATCATTGTTCATCACATTCTAATTGTAACTAAGTTTGAACCTGAATAGCTATTTGCAGTATTTTGATAGAAATAAGAAGTAATTTCCATTTTTTTGCTCCAGGGTCCCTCTACATGAACTGACATATGATGCATTTTTGAAGTCACACTTAATAATTCTCTTTTCATAATAAACAACCGCACCTTTGTTGAACAGCCGATCTAAAATTAGGCTTACAAAGGCCTATGTAACATACCTAAGAAACATGATTTATTCTAATGTAATAATGGCATAGATTTATAAAGCTTGACTACTCCAATGCTCCTCGTTATGGTTGTGAAATATTTGTGGCCACTGTGGGATTTTCTAGATCATTATTTTAAAAAAGGAAAAACCCATTTTGACAGATGAACTGGGGCCATTCTGAGCAAATCACAGATACTTCATATAACAAGGCCTCCAAAGAGGGGAGCATACACTTATTACTATGGCAACCCAGATCAAAACACTATTTTAGTGGAGGGTTTCTAGTTTTACAATGCAATGATGATTGTTTATAGTACCATTGAAACCAGATTCAACAAAGATTTAAGAAATGAGCTGACAAGAGGAAAATCATTATAGATAAACTGGGGATACCTGAATGGGATTGCATGGAATCTGCCATTATTTGATCAAATACTGAAATTTATTGCCCAGGACAATAGAAATAATGGAAAAGGATCCAAATGATGAGAAACCATCCTGAAGTTTCTTCTATTACAATGTTTTGGACTAAGATCAGGCCTATCTTAAGTTAAAACTTTGGAAGCAAATAGTTGTTTGTTTGTTAAGTACACATCTCTCAAATTCCTTATTTTTCTATCTGCAAAATACCTCCTCCTAATTTTAAAGTTATGGACTAACGCTTGCTTCCCTAACATATTCCATCTGACGGAGTGTAACACGGCACAACTCAAGAACTATGCCCATCACACAGGGCTTTGTGCTTGCACATGTCTACATGAAGTGACAGCTGGTTACAGCCCTGCACAGTTATTTTTATATAGATGGAATTTTTACACAGCAAGAAAAAAAAAGGTCTGGATCATGAGTTGTTCATTTTGCTGAGTCTGTCTTCAAGTATCTGAGTACAACTAATAAGTGGACAAAGTGCATTGAAATGAAGCAATGAATAATCATGCATTTGTTTAGTAACTGTTTACTGAGCATCTGCCATGTGCCTATCGATGTGCACATCCATTGTGAACACTGTGCACAATTCAGGCATGCTAATTGCCTCTGGAGTTTATCGTCTAGTGGGAGGGCCATGAAGAAATATGGAAGGGTGCAGAAATAGAGAATAACTAGGTAGGGTTGAGGCTTAGATCCATTTGAATGCTTATTAATATAAAGAGTTTTCTAGTGTTTGAAAGGGGAAAGGAGACTGTATTTATTGAATGCTTTGTGGAAAACTCTGTATGAGGAACTTCATGTACAATTATCTCATTTAAACCACAGAGCAATCTTGAGAAGTTGCAGGTAGTATGATGTTTATTTTGTGGATCAGGAAATCGAGACTCAGAAAGGTGAAATAAAAACTCTCAAGTTTATTAAACAAATACATATATAGCAGCTATTATGTACCAGGCACTGTTGTAAGCATTTTACAATAAGTAAATTCATTTCATCTTGATAATAACCATTTAAAGCAGTACTATTGTTATTTCTATTTTACAGATAAGGAAACTGAAGCACAGAGAGGTTAAATTACCTGATCTAGGTCACACAGCCAGTGAGTGTCAAAAGCAAGATGTGAGCCAGGCAGCCTGCACTGCTACCACTACGCAATGAAAACATGTGTTGTAAGTAATCAACAGTTGTTATCTGTTGTCTGCAATCAACCTATAATCTGTAAGGAACCAACAGCCATAAGTAATCAACAACCTAGCTATGATCTAAAACAGGTCTGCTTACTGACTACATGAATCCTTTGTTCTCAGCTTTTTTGCCTGCATAGTCCCACACTACAACTACCAAATATTTTAAGGAGCAAACATACTTTGCGTTTGTTTTGTAACTATTTCTTACCAAGAATAAAGTGATGCCTCAAAATCATTTCCCAGATGTTGTGCCAAACCCCCATCAACTTCAGTGGAAATGGCACGAGATTCGAGAAGCTGAAGAAGAGACCCAGAGCCAGCAAATAAGTCATGGGGTTTTATTGGGGGTTTACATACACAGGAGAGAGAGTCCAGTATAGCAGACTGGACAGGAGACTTACTTTACATATAGTCCAGGGGCAGCAGGCTGCAGGAGAACCACAACCATTTGCAAAAGGTATGAATTTATGTAGCATTTTCACTTAGCATGCTTTCCCTAACAATCTCCACCTGGTAACTCTCATTCAACCCCAAACTCAGGGCCTTGCTCCCCTGTATTTCATGGGATGGGAGAGAGGCTCAGGTGTTCTTTATAGACAAGTAACTAATCTCTGGATTGGCCACTTCTGGATTCCCTAGCTCAGAACATGCATTCAGGTATGTTTGCAATACAGGGTCATTCTCAGAGTACGCTTAAGTTATTGCTATCAGGTGTGTCTACCACACAAAAGATTTTACTTATTCAGAGCTACAAATAGATTACAAGATTATACTTTGGTTCTGAGCAAGTGATTAAATCCACCAATAATTTCACAATGTCAGACAGTTTGAAAATGTTAAGTAGTCTTGTATTATGTGATGCATTGACCTGGCTATAAACTGTATCAGTTTTTAGTCAAGAGAACATGTGCATGTTTATAACTTAATTTGTGATTTCAAAGAGGGAAGCATCTGTCTAGACTGCTATGGCCTTACTGGAAATGTGTCATGAGTGGCCACTGTGTTTTGGCCACCAGCATCTGTTTCTCCTCGCTTTGATGGTAGTATCCTGAATTTCCTTTGAGAAATTCTCAAAGGAAATAAAGGAATAAAGACTCCCATCCTCTCTCCTGCAACACTTTTCCTGTTGATCCAGGCCTATGTGGGATCTCCTGTGAAGAGAACCTTTCTCTTTGTCTTTGGACTTGTCGATATGGAACTACTGACAGCCACTTTGCCACCACATGGGGTTTCTGAGAATGAAGCTGATGTGGAGGGGAGCAGAGACAAGAACTAGGAAAAGGTGGGATCCTGTAACATTATTTGAGCCCCCAGATCAAGTGGCACATGAATTTAGATCCACCTCTGGACTTTTCAGTTAAAGAAACAAATGTTTCTTTAAACATTTGTGTGCTTTGTTACTTATTAGCAAGGCACACGCAGACATTCTGGTACAGGGATAAATCATAGCCTTTGGGGCCAGACAGGCTTGGATTCAAATTCCAGCTCTGCCAGTATTAGCTATGTATAAGCAAGTTTAAGTTGGACTCTGTCCATTGTAACCTAAAGAGTCCTGATTAATACAGGATGACAAAACTATTCTAATAAAGTCTTATTGATATTTCATCTTTGCCACCTTCTTCTCTCTCACTCTCCATGTCTAATGCCCTGTGAAGCCTTGTCTAATTTCATTGCTTAAATCATTTCTCAAATCTTCCCACTTCCCTCCATCGTCACTAGCATCAATTTAGCCTAACTTGCCATGATCTCTTATCTAGACCGTTTGAGATAACCTTTTCTCTGGTCTCCTGGCATCTAATCTAGCCCTCTTCCAATCCGTTCCCCACATTCTAGCTAGAGCAATCTTCAAAATGCAAATGTGGTTATGTTACCCCTTCTTCTCATTATTCCTCCCTTCCCCTAGGATTAGTAATAGTTTTCTACTGATCTTAGACTGTGCATTAAAATCCTTAACAGTGACTTTGGGGTTCTGCCTGGTCTGCCCCTATCTTTTTGTGGGGCCCAATTCCAGTTCATGGGGCTTTCCTGTTTTCAGACTTTCATACCCCAAAAGGGTTTCGTTTCAATTCTCACTTACAAAGCTCACCTTCAGTTGCTAAATATCTCTTTGTATTTCCTTCATTTTATTTTCTCTCATGGTTCTTACTTTGTTTTCTTAGATATTATTCTCCATTTTTCTTCCATTTTTATGTACTCATTCACAACCTACTTGAGAAATATTTTGTTTACCTTCTTTGTATAGCTCATGGTAAGTTTTCTGCAGATTCTTTATCAACTTTGTGGAGTCACTGGAATGTAATCAGAAGTAATTCTGTGAAGTGTGTCCCACTTCCTGCCTCCACCTGGCCCTATGTGCTGGGAAATGCAAGCACAATGAAGCACATTGGAGTGTCTATCAGCTTTCCCAGAATCCTCTTCTCCAAGGGAAAACTGCATTCCAAAGCAGTGTGCAAATGATTTGGTCATTGTCTTCTCTTTAGGATTTTCTTCTCTGTTGGTGAGTACCAGTGATTGGCTCCATATTTCACTATTCTTGGACTCTTCTGTCTGCTCACCTTTCCTCTTCTTCTTTAGAGTTATCCCTGGTTTTGTTCAGCCCCTCCTTTGTTCCAGTTGTCCATTCTTCATGCCCGTATCCTCTGTTTATTTCACTTACTGCTTGGATCATAACCTCTTTTGGCCATTCTTCTTCACATTGTTACTTCTATTCTTCATGTTGATCTGTCTTTTCCTTTGGGGTTCTCTTTCACTCCTCATTCTTCCCTTCTTGCTGGTTTGTTTACACTAGAAGACTTCCTCAGGGAACATGTGGTCTCACAGCACTTCTGCTGAAGGCTTAGCCAAGGTGCAAAATCAAGCTTTTAGTGATATTACATTTTTATCATATTTGACAGCGCACAGGAATGGCAAGTTTGGTTTCTATTCAAGAATCAACACCACTTGCAGCCAATCCCTGATTCAGGAATATGACATGTAGTCCTGTTAGTCAGGAAAGTATTTAGACAGGTAAGGACTGATTACAGAAGAACAAAGTATATTCTTGTATTATAAAAAAGGATGAAGGTTAGATAATATGTTTTAACACATAGGTAAATTATGAATCTCCTTCTAGACTTTTGCCTCAAAGATCTGAGGATAGGCAGCATAATATGGTGGAAAGAAGACTTGCTCAACACTTAAAATATTTGGCTTTGTTACTTCTTAACAAGGCACACACAGACATTCTGGTACAGGGATAAATCATAGCCTTTGGGGCCAGACAGGCTTGGGTTCAAATTCCAGCTCTGCCAGTATTAGCTATGTGACTTCTATTTCCAGTGTAAGATAAGAAAATATATAAAGCATAAAATCTATTGCCTGGCATATAGTAAGTGTTCATAAACTGTAATTTCCACTTCCTCTTTTCTAACTGGAATAACACATTTAACTTCTCTGAGCCTCAGTAGTTATATCTGGGAAATAGACAGTCCTAACAGTTTCAGTCATTTCTAAAACTCAATTATACCAAAAACTTTTCTGCAGTTTGTAAAATAAGCCAATGAGCTCCCGTATTTTCCTAAGCTGTTTAAAGTAAGTTGAGGTTCTGTAGCTTACAACCAAAAGAGAGCTGAATCTTCAAAACATTGCTTGCCTTGGCTTCTCTCAATATGTTGGCTTCCTTCTCTCCAAGTGGAGTGCCCCATGAGATGAGATACATAACCACAGGCAAATCCAGTGCTTCTTTATTCCAGCTCTACCACCAGATAGAAAATTTCTCTCTTTTCTTATTTCCACGGGAGCCAACCTACAGACGAGCTTTGACTGGCCCATCTTGTATTATGTGCCCTTTTGTGGCCAGGGAGATGAAGTTCTATGTTTGGGAAACCCTCTCAAATCTTAAGATTGGGTGCCAGGGATATTCTATAACATAAGAGAGAACAAATCCCCAAAAGAGGTCAAGGAGGTTGGGCAGACAATGTGATTGGTGGCTACCACCCCTGTACTTGCCTGTCTACTCTTGAGAGTTGCTGCAAAATAATCAAAGTGAAATGCTTGGAAATAATAAAAATATAAAATCCTATTAAAATTTAATGTGTTACATATTGGGACTATATAGATGATAGGTACTCAAATGTACCAATATAACATTTTTTCCCGAATATATTTTTTCAGACCAGAATATTGGCCCAGAAATAAAAATATTTTATTACTCCATTGTCTCCACAGAAAGGCTCTTTCATAGCAGACAACTAGGAATAACTCCAATTCTCCAATCAACCACAGAGCAGTTCTTCTTTTGTTAATCACACACTGATTTTGCCAGATGCCAAGCTCTTTCTTTTTCACTTAGTTTACTTTCTCCTGTCTTATGCAATAGGGTATTAAAGTGATTTCAGTGACTTCCTGTTTGCAAGGCCACCATCCTTGAGAACAACTCAAGGTGCACAGATATCTCACTCTGGGTTGTGCAACACACTCTCAGCCCCACCCAGTGGTGTTTTATTAGGCCGAAAGAAAGAGCTCAAGAGCATTCACTCTTCATTCATTCAACAAATGTCTGTGGAACATTCACTTATAATACTTAGATAAATATGGGAGTGCTTAGAGGGAAAATATACAATCTTAGGCCCTTAAGTGGCTCTAAGTCTGGTAGAGAACATTAACAACTGAGTGCACAATTCAAATTCAACATAATTGTTGCTAGCTTGGAGCAGTATGAGTACTGTGGAAGCCTGCAAAAGGGGCATAGTCTTCTGGGGACTCCAAAAGGGGGCAAGTTGGGAGGGAGGGTGAGGGTTGGAAAATTACCTATTGGGTACAATGGTCACTATTTGGAATATTTGGAATACTGGTACACTAGAAGCCCAAACCTCACAATTACACAATACATCCATGTAACAAATATGCACATGTACCCCAATAATTTAAAATAAAATAAATAATTTTTTTAAAAGATCAGATGGCAAAAAATTTTAATGAAAGGAGCTGTATCTTAGTTTTCTCAGGCTCCCATAACAAGCACCATAGACTGAGTGACTTAAACAACAGAAATTTGTTTTCTCACAGCTCTGGGGGCTGGAAGTCTGAAATCAAGACACCGGTTTATATGGTTTGGGTCTGTGTCCCCACCCAGATCTCATCTCAAATAGTAATCCCCCTGTGTTGAGGGAGGGGCCTGTAATTCCCACATGTGAGGGAAGGGAGTGGATTGAATCACAGGGGCAGTTTCTCCCAATTCTGTTCTTGTGATAGTGAGTGAGTTCTCTTGAGATCTGATGGTTTTATAAGTGTTTGGCAGTTACTCCTTCATATACTCTCTCTCTCCTGCATAGCAGAATGAGACCCCTTGTGAAGAAAGGGTCTGCTTCCCCTTCCACCATGATTGTAAGTTTTCTGAGGCCTCCCCAGCCATGTGGAACCCTGAGTCAATTAAACTTCTTTCCTTTATAAATTACTCAGTCTCAGGGAAGTCCTTTATAGCAGTATGGAAATGGACTAATATAGTAAATTGGTACCAGGAGTGGGGTACTGCTATAAAGATACTTGAAAATGTGGAAATGACTTTGGAACTGGGTAACGGGCAGAGGTTGGAACAGTTTAGAGGGGCTCAGAAGATGAGAAGATGTGGGAAAGTTTGGAGCTTCCTAGAGATTTCTTGAATGGTTTTGACCGAAGTGCTTATAGTGATGTGAACAATGAAGTCCAGGCTGAGGTGGTCTCAGATAAAGAAGATGAACTTATTAGGAACTACAGTAAAGGTCACTCATGCTTTGGTTTAGCAAAGTGACTGGCATTTTGACCGTGCCCTAAATATCTGTGGAACTTTGAACTTGAAAGAGATGATTTAAGGTATCTGGCAGAAGAAATTTCTAGGCAGCAAAGCATTCAAGATGTGACCTGGATTATTCTGAAAGCATTCAGTTTTATGCATTCAGAAAGAGATGGTTTGAAATTGGAATACATGTTTAAAAGGGAAGCAGAGCATAAAAGTTTGGAAAACTTGCAGCCTGATGACGCAATAGAAAAGAAAACCCCATTTTCTAAGCAGCAATTCAAGCCAGCTGCAGAAATTTGTGTAAGTGACAAGGAACCTAATGTTAATTGCCAAGGCAATGGGGAAAATGTCTCCAGGACATGTCAGGGATCTTGGCCACAGCCCCTCCCATCACAGGCCTGGAGGTCTAGGAGGGAAAATGGTTTCATGGGTCAGGCCCAGGGTTCTGGCTACTCTGTGCAGACTCAAGACATGGCACTTTGTGTCCCAGCCACTTCAGCTCCAATTGTGGCTAAAAGGGGTCAAGGTACAGCTCAGGCCATTGCTTCAGAGGTGCAAGCCCCAACCTTGACAGCTTCCATGTGGTGTTAGGCCTGCGGGTACACAGAAGTCAAGAATTGAGGTTTGGGAACCTCTGCCTAGATTTCAGAGGATGTATAGAAATGTCTGGATGTCCAGGCAGACGTTTGCTGCAGGGGTGGTGCCCTTATGGAGAACCTCTGCTAGAGCAGTGCAGAAGGGAAACATGGGGTTGGAGCCCCCGTGCAGAGTCCCCATTGGGGCACTGCCTAGTGGAGCTGTGAGGAGAGGGCCACCATCCTCCAGACCCCAGCAGGGTAGATCCACCGACGGCTTGCACTGTGCATTTGGAGAAGCCACAGACACTCAATGCCAGCCTGTGAAAGCAGATGGGAAGGGGGTTATACCCTGCAAAGCCACAGGGGCAGGGCTGCCCAAGACTGTGGGAGCCAACCTGTTGTATCAGCATGACCTGGATGTGAGACATGGAGTCAAAGGAGATTATTTAGGAGCTTTAACATATAATGACTGCCCTGTTGGATTTTGGGCTTGTATGGGTCCTGTAGCCCCTTTGTTTTGGCCAATTCCTCCCATTTGGAATGGGAGCATTTACCCAATGCCTGTACCTCCATTGTATCTAGGAAGTAACTAACTTGCTTTTTATTCTACAGGCTTATATGCAGAAGAGACTTGCCTTGTCTTAGATGAGACTTTGGACTGTGGACTTTTGAGTTAATGCTGGAATGAGTTAAGATTTTGGAGGACTGTTGGAAAGGCATGATTGGCTTTGAAATGTGAAAAGACATGAGATTTGGGAGGGGCCAGGGCAGAATGATATGGTTTGGCTCAGTATCCCCACCCAAATCTCATCTCAAATTGTAATCCTGTGTGGAGGAAGGGAGGTGATTGGATCATGGGGGTGGTTCCCCCCATGCTGTTTTCGTGATAGTGACTTCTCACAAGGTATGGTTTTAGAAGTGTTTGACAGTTTCTCCTTCACAAGCCCACTCTCTCCTGCCACATTGTGAAGAAGATGCCTGCTTCCCCTTCCACCATGATTGTAAGTTTCCTGAGGCCTCCCCAGCCATGAGGAATTGTGAGTCAGTTAAACCTCCTTTGTTTATAAATTACCACGTTAAGGTATCTTTATAGCAGTGAGACTAATACAGACGGTTTAGGATAACATCTAATAATCATAATATAATAGAATCACAGGGACAAAGGAGAAGAATAATGAAGGTTAAATGTGTATTGAGTATTTACTATGTGCTAAACCTTGTTATAAGCCATTTACATATATTATATCATTTAATCCTTACAAGAATCATATAAGGCAGGTTATATTAATAACTTTAGGTTATAAAAAACAGAAGCTGAGGTAGAAAATTTCAGAGGCTAACAAAACAAAGTTATATGTCTCACTTTAAAAAATCTACTGTGGGTCTAAGGGACTCTCAGGGGCAACTGTCTTACATGCAGTGATTTAGCAATGAGGTTGGCATAGCCATCAACATCTTGGAGTGATACTGTATGGGACAAAGGGCTTCCTTGATTAATAAGTGGAGAGAGGGTCTCATATCAACAATGAAGTGTTTTGAACCAGAAGATACATGTTATTTTTGCTCTCAGAACTAGTCACACGAGCCTGCCCAAATGCAAGGGGATTGGAAAGCACAATTCTCCACATGCCCAGGACAGAAGCAGCTCTAATGCACACTAATTTTGTCTGACTCATCAAGGGCACTTGCTTCGTAAGTGGTGGGCCAGGATTGAAACATGGCAGTGTCTTGCCAGAGCCAAGAGTACCTGAGTTAATTGATTCCAGTCCCCTCATTTTATAGGTAGGGGCATTCAGCTGGCTTGCCCAAGGTCAGAAAGTCAGAGTTGATCCTTCTCAAGTTCTGCTAGCATCATCACTGGTGCTCTTAACAACTTCCCTGGGTACTTGGAATAAGTAGTATAATGCCATTTTCCAGAGAGTGACACTGAGCATCATGGTACCCCAGCCACTTCCCATTCCAAGATCGCTACAACAGATGACAGTCAGTCAGCTCAGCTCACTCCCCATTCCCTGCTCCTTTAAGGCCTTGAGCTCTTGAAAAATGAGCATACGCCCAGAGAAGCAACCAAGAAGGAAGTTCCTTCAGCTGGTACTAAAGAGAGAATGTCTCTGGTGCTATTAGACCCTGCTCAGCCCCTGTGGTCTCTACTGGTAAAGCAGGTAATCTTTCTTTTCCATGCATTCACCCACCCACCCCACCCATATGAGGTCTCAGGCTGTCCTTTGGGGCTAATTTTCTTCTTCAAGGTTGTACATGATCTCCTCTGTAATACTATTTCATGTAGTTAACAATGTTGTGAGTGAAAATGGGGAAAGAGCAGAAAAAAGGAAGCACACACTCATTTGCCTCAATCTAGTGCTCTTTCCCTCATCAAAAGAAGCACCCTACTTATTAAAGCAGGTATCCTGGAACCACAAATTTTACCTAACAGGCTTCTTTCGCGCCATTGAGAGTGGCTAACTGAAGAGCCTCTGCATTAATTGCATACCCCAAAATGAAGAGGCACAACCATTGCTAAAAATCTGTTCAAGGTTGCAGCTTCCAGGTGTGCAGACTGTGCACCTGTGCATTCTCTGGCTCTAGAGAGTTGCCATGAAGGTTGACTGGCATTGTAGATTTGTATATTTATTTATTTATTTATATATTTTTTACTGGCAGCAAAGGGTTTTGAGTGGTGGGTACATTTTTCAAAATTGCTCATTTGGCTGGCAGCAGGACTGAACATATTCATATTCAGGGCTGTTAATAATTCCACTACAAATAATTTCCAGTGTTTATCATGTTACTGTGTGCCAGGGCCTATGCAAGAGGCTTCCCATACTTTATTGTGTTCCACACAATGTGAGATAGGTATATCCCCATTTTACAGCTGAAGAAACTGAGGCTTAAGGGAACCAGGTACACAGCTAGTAGTGTGTACCTGGCTCCCTTAAGAATATAATGACTGAGTAGGAGTTTGCATGTAATAGCCCTGCCTCTGAAGAGAACATCTCAGCCACTCTGCTATGTTACTAGTGCCTCTCTCACCAGCTGACAAGCCTCTCACTCATCCCTGCACTAGGCCTTAAATCTGAAACGCAGACCTGGGCCCCAATCCCTGCTGCTAGCCCAAATTTTCTACTACAGATGCCAAATATCTGTTCAGGTCCTTGTGACTAGGTCAGAGATAATGCATTATTGCATACTGCCCTGTTGCTGAGTCCCTCGGAGCTGTCAGCATCCCAGGAAATGTTTAGCAGGGGGTGGGAAGAAAGGAACGGAAAAAAGCACAGTGTGGATGTGTGTTGCCAGTTATTTAAAATAAGACAATTTTCTTCAACTGTAAAAACATACTTAAGTTTAAATACCTATGCATCACTTTAACAAATTTGGTAACAGTCAATTGTCACTACTTGTTCCATTTGTGCTGTATTAAATGTAGCTTGTTTCAGACGTGTCTGGTTGACTAGCTGTGGGTTACGTTAGCAGCTGCCTCTCTCTCTTACTCTTGTAATCATAAATTCTGGAAATAGACAAAAGTAGTTAAGTTTGTGCAACCTGAATGCTGCTACCCTGGGAAGACTAAAAATAAACACCACCTGATTTCCTGGACCCTTTTTGGGGGATGGTATAGGTTTGGCCCTTTGTGACCTATAGAAGGCCTATAGGTGCAGAGGGGAGTTTATCAATGAATCCGTGGCGCTGCTATGTCATAGGTCAGGAGAGTGGCCTAACTGCAGGCCATAGTGACACCCGTGCAATGGGAGCCAGTTGGGAAGATGAATGGGGGAACACATGGCAAAGACCATGCAGAAGTCAAGAAGGAAGTGGCAAACCCAAAGCAGACAGTTCATCTCCTATTGTAACCAGAGGGGTGTCAATGAGAAGGAAGGACGAGCTTCAAAACAATTATGCAGTGTTCATTCTACAGCAATTATTCCACTTGGGGGTTAATTGTTGTAGTATGAACCCAGACACTGTCTAATTAGGAATACGCCTGTATTCATGAAAAATTACCCAGCTAATTGGCCTGGTGTATATATAGCTCTAATGACTGGGCAGTAAGAAAAAATGGTGATAGAAAAAGTTCTTCCAAATCTGGAGCGTTTCAAAAAAAAGGCAAAGCATGTCAGAGTTACAAGAGATTTCAAGGATCATTTGGGCCATGGGATCATTTTGCAAAAGAGGTACAAGGTTTGGAAGGGATTTGGTTCAGGCTCACATAAGGGCAGCACAGAGCCAGCACTAGAATGTGGTTCTCTTCCATCTCTTGTCTACTCTTGATTGATACCCACACTGTCTGATCATCAGGATCCAAATAACTGGAAGCTAGAAGCCAGGTGCTGACTATGAGAAGGGTTCAGAGGAGGAAGAATGGTTGCATGTTGGTATACCACCCACAGCGTCCATTTGATTACAAATTTTCTGAAATAAATGCAAATG
The DNA here is from genome assembly GCF_000001405.40 of Homo sapiens. Lineage (NCBI taxonomy): Eukaryota > Metazoa > Chordata > Mammalia > Primates > Hominidae > Homo > Homo sapiens. Next base: position 90,353,898 of record NC_000001.11, read on the forward strand.
AAAAGTGGCCCCAAGTCTTTAAGCAAACGTTGATTGAGCCTCCATCACATGCTAGGCACTAAGCTAGGTGCTAGGGACTCAAATATAAACAAGACGTGGTCCCTACTCTCATCTTCAGAGACAAGGTTTACACTGGAAGCCTCTAGGGCAAATGGCTTTTATGATATATAGTGAAAAGGGACAGATCACTTAGACTGTCTTCAAAGGAGAACATAATTCTTCTGTTCATATGTCCTCTACTACTTAGGGTCTTTAGCAAAATCCTTTATAAGGCAAAAAACGTGCCTGTGTATCCACCTGTAGAATTTAGAGATAGTTTAAATACAGGAAGAATAGCTTCTGCTATAGAGAAAGCCAACACATTTCCTTATAGTTACAAAATGTGTTCGGTAATATCTTCCCATTATATGTGTGTTTTATTTCAGCTTGCCTGAATGGAGAGCAAACAGCCTCAGAGGTGTCATAGGTTCTTTTAAGTCCCTTGACCATTTGGGGACCAGCTACTCTTTATTGGAAGGAAGATATTTAAGAGAATTCTTTGTTTTTTTTCCAAGGAAACTAAATAGTTGTAAAGGGACTTTTCTCCTAGGAATTAAATCTTACATAGCAACTGCATACGAATTAAAAGCAGAGTCAAAATTATGTGTCTGCTGGGAGATGGAGTAAGGTGAGTCTAGGGGTAGTGCATACAGTGAAAGGTGAGAGCTGATTAACTTACAAAAAGCTAATCACTCAGTATCATAAACAACACATGCCAAAAGGTAGTCCTCTAAAGCTGGTTTATGTGCATATCCATTACACGTTTATTCCTTCAACTAACGTTTGTTGAGTGCTTCAATGTGCCAAGCCTTGTGCTAGATGCAGAGTAAAGTGCAGAAAATAAAACAGATGCAATCCCTGGCTTCATGAAATGCACAGCCTAGTGGGGAGATAACTATGAAGCAGGCTCACAGAACAGTCAGCCTTGGCTAAGTTACAACGCAGTAACAATTTCCAAATCCTAGAGAGTTACTACAACAAAGATTTATTCCTTGCTCATGTTGGGTCTATCACAGCTCTGCCTGTCACTCTCTCCCTTTTGGACCAGGGCTAAAGGAGCAGCCCCATACAATGGCTTTAGAATTTTGTTTCTCAGAGCACATTTCCTTGCCCAAAGCAAGTCATGTGACCAAACCAGATGTCAAGGGGGTGGGGAAGTGTAATGGCCCCCAACAGAGATGGACCTGGTAGGAAAGCACAGCAAATATTTCTGAACATGGAATATGAATATATCAAAACTTACAAATAATAATTTATGTTAATAGGTTGTAAGAACAGTCACGGGGAAAGGAATAGAGGGCTATGACCAAGAATAACAATGGAGAGCGATTTCCGCTGCTGTTACTGGAGGTGGCAGGTCTGGAAAGGTTTTTCTGAGGAGGTAACATCTCAGCTCAAATCTAAAAGATGAACAGATGTTATCCAGTGGAGGGGTTGGGAGAGGAGTCTAACAGACAGGTACAGCATGTCCCAAAGCCCTGAGGTAGGGAAGAGCTTGGTATGCTTGACATGTTGGAGACAGGCAGCTCCATGCAGTGGTCTGGAGCTGGACAGCCTGGATTTAAATCCTACACCAGCCCCTTACTAGTCATGTGTCACTTACCCTCTGTGCCTCAGTTTCCTCATGTGTGAAGCAGGGATAACTGCTCTGGCCTCATAGGGTCATTGTGAGGATTAGGCATGCTTGGCTAATGACAGCTGTCATTATGAATGAAGGAAGCCCCTGGTGGCTGGGATGCGGTGAGCCACAGAGCAAAAGAGGTGAGGCTGGAGGCTGACACACAGCTCGGTCTTGAAAGGCTGGGTAGACTTGGATTTTAATCTGGAACACAGTGAGTCCTAAGCAGAGGTGGGACTTTATAAAAATCTCTTGTCATACTCTGAGGAATAAGGTATTCTCCATTTAGACAACTATCCATTGTTGAAACAAAATGAAATCCTGGAGAGAAACTGAGGAAGGAAGGAGAAAGAGAGGAAGGGGGAGAAAGAGAGAGGGAGAGAAATGAGTTTCAGACTGGGAAATATAATTGGGAGAGGGGTGAGAGATGGGAAGAGGGTGCTTTCCCCTCACCATTCTGCCCAATATTAGAAAGAAGATATTTGTTTAAATAAGCATGGGGAGAAGACAGAAAGGAGGTGAGGGCTATTCTTGGTAAGGTCTCAGCAGCCAGGCAGCATACAATGAAAGGCAGGTGACTGATTGGGTTGAGCTGCATCCTGACTCAAAGAAGGGTCCTCTGACCTCCATAAAAGTGGTGGAGGGGGGCAGCGGGAGTGCACCATGGCTCTGATGATACCAATACGGAAACGACTTTTACACACAGGGAGATTCTTATGGATAGGGGTGTAATCCTTTGGCTTCCACTAAACTAGCACATCCTCACAGAGTCCACCTCTGGTCCTCCTTTGCCTCCCCCCACCTGGGAGCAGAGGGAGTTGCTGGAACACAGGGGTGAGGGGTTGTATGAGGCTCCAGGTAGTCTTGTGATGTGATGCTTTTGGGGAGATGGCACCACTTCATCAGCTGGATGACAAAACACTGTTAATGGCATCAATAAAGAAGTGTGAATGTAATTTTCTCCTCCTTGTTATTTCCTCAGTATTTGGCATATTATTTAACAGATCAACTGGCCAGTCATGATCCCTTCTGAAGTCAAGTCTTTCTTTTTGTGCTAGAAGATTCCTAAAATGCAGTGTAGTGCAGATATAAACTCATCGGTCAGAAAAAGGCCATACATCTAGAGCACGTGAGAGATACCAAATGAAAAAGTGATTGAGTTCAGTCCAAATTCTGAAAGCTTTTGGGAATAGTTGTTACAGCCTTTGAAGTACTGGTGCTTCGGTGGAAAGAGCAGCTAGGGAGAAAATGCATAACCTTACTTCTTATACTACATTAAAATATATGTGTATGTTGAATCGGAGGAGATACAAACCTGAGAATATATGCAATCAGAAAAAAAGACAATATCTTGGAGCTTTGGAGTGACCAGATCTGGCTATGATAATAGCTACCCTTTATTCAGGAGTTACTCTGAACCAGAGTTTGGACACTTTGCTATGTTAACTCACTTAATTCTCACAACAAGCTCACATGGTAGCATTATTATCATTCCACATTATGGATGATGAAGGAGAGACATAGCTACGTTAGATAATTTACCCAGAGTCATTCAGTTGATACGCTTGGGCAATCTGGCTTCAACAACTGATCGAGTAACCATTGTGCACATGGCCTCTCTGATGATATACAGAGAGACAGAGGGGAAACTCAGATCCTGCCACTCACATTTGACTATACCCTCTAAACGCAAGAAGGCATGAAGAACCTACACATATAATCTTACAGAGGTGTGGGCATTTTCAGGAAGGAAAAGCAAAACACTCTAATCTTTGCAAAGTAGTACTGAATGAGGATTGCAGAGGTAAGCTTTTCCCCTGACATTTTTCTTGCCAAGTTACAATTTTTGACTATGGCTGTGTCTTAAGCATTGTGATAAAAATATTTTTGTTTCATTTTTAGACAGATCGAACTTATTTTTCTTACCCATTTACTGAGCCATAAATAACTGGAGGGTTGTTGATTAATTTTCAACAGGAAAAAAAAACTTGAAAAGATATGCTGATGCATCATTTCCATGTGTGCTCATTTTTAAACAACCAAGATGGAGGTTGTAATTCCCAAAGCAGGGCATTACTGCTTTGAAGTTTCAGGGTTGTCTGTTCATTAATTTCTTAGGGAGCAAGAGAAAGAAGATATTCAAACATCAGTTCTCAAAGCTTTAGGATATTTTCTCCTTTGCTGTTTTCTATGTTCTGTGTCAACCCTTTGGCTCTGGTCTCACCTACTACAATGTTTTCATTTTTTAAAAATTCAAGATACTTGAAGCTAATTTAGGGGTAAATTTATTGGAAAGGATTATATTTGACAATTTTATGAGTATTATTAAAAACAAGGATGCATGTATAATCAAATACCCTGAAAAACAAGCCCATCCAAAACAACTTTCCAAAAATGCCAGGAAAAGCAGTATAAAAATGGACCTGGTAAAAACATACTGTGATTCATGTTGTCATGTATAATTTCACTCAGGCCACCATTGGGTCTCATTTGTTTGTATCTTCCTTTTACTTTTGAGGTCCATCCCCTCCTCCCTACTTGTGATTGACTTGCTGGAGACCAGAGCAATTAGCCAGCCTAATTTGACAGTTATTTTTAAAATTGGTTCTTAAATTATGAGACGGTTCTGACTAGGCATGTGGTTACTTCACAAGGGAATTTCCCCCAACTGTTCACTTGTCTATCTGGATTCCTGCTGTGAAACGAGTTGTTGTTATGTTGAGTTTGGCCAGATGATAAGTGAGATTTGTTTTGTGTGAAGAAAACTGCTGCTAGATTTGGATCATCCTAAGCCAATCTATGAGTTAAATGCACAAATTACCATGTAATTTTGTTCCAATATGAATACAACTGGCAAATTCACTCCTATGTTCCCAATTATGAAGGGAGGTGAGTGGACAGTGCCAAATATTATAATTAATTCTTCAAACCAAACAAGTGCTTCTAAATTTTTGTCCCTAATCTATATATTCATTCATAGCCACAATATTTATTGAGTTCTGGTAATGTAGCAGACACAGTGACAGATGCTGCGTGTTCAAGAATGAGTAAGATGTGCAACTCCCTTCCAGGGTCTCAGAGTCTGTGTGCAGTAAGTGGGGGGTGTGGCGTACCAAGAAGAAAGGAACTAATACCCCATAGTCACCTCCCTTGTGCCAGGTGCTCTGCTAGGAGCTTAAAACATACTCTTATTTAATCTTTCTCACAACCCTGCCCAATGGGTTTTGCCTCCCCATTTTATCCAGACTCAGGGGGGTTAAATAACTTGCCCAAGAGCATAGAAGTGTAACCAGGATTTGAACCCAGCCCACTAGCTTTTCACTATTTTATGATCCCTTTAGATAGGAAGTCACACTTTCTTCTAGTAATTTCAAAACTTTTCAAGATTATAATCTCATTTGTTTCTCATAATATCTTCGTGAGGTTGGCAGATAAGGCATTATAATTTGCATCTGACTTCTGATGAAGCTAGGCCTTGGAGAGGCTGAGCACCAACTTCAAGGCCCCATGGCCAGTCAGAGGTAGAGCTGGAGCTAAAACGAAGACCTCATAACTATCGGACCAGGCTTTCCTTAGCACACAGATCTGGATATTATGCTGAGCTGAGCCTGGATTTGAGTTCCCAGAAAGCAAAAATAAAAACACACAACCCTGAATTGAGAAATATCCACAGGGAGTAAGAGTTAACAGCACTCTTGTTAGCTAAAAGCTACCGTTTGTAAGTGATATTCGGAATTGCAGTGGCATTTCTAGTGTGCATTACACATTTACTCAGCTGAAAAGGAGGTGAGGTGGTGGATGATCAGAGGTCAGGGAGAAGGACTAAGAACGAAAAGCACTGGGCAGCATGCTGTATGCCCTGTGTAAATGACTTGGCTTCCTTGCCCCTCTGTGTGACCTTGAACAAGTCCCTTAACTTCCTTACTCATCTCAGTCAGAAAATGTGTTTTTGAGGGGTGCGTGTATGTGTGTGTGCACACACATGCGTGCGCATGTGTGCATGTCAGGGCGCAGGGAGATGTCACCATACATCAAACGCTGTGGCTGGAGTGAGCTCCTTAGGGAAAATGTATCGTAGTCTCCTTGCCCCCACTGGAAAGATTTTCTCACAGCGCGCGAAAGGTGCCACTTTTTAATAACATCATTGGAATATCAGCTTTTTGCAAGATACAGTGGGACAAACTGCAGTGTGCCACCGTGTGACATGATAAAAGAAGAGACTCCTGTGTGAGCTCCCCGGCAAAACCCCTTCAGGGAAGAGGTCCTGGTCCATTTGGGGTCATATGAGCAGGGTGTAGGTAAGCTGGCGAAAGAGTGGAGCTAGGAAGTTTGCTGTATCACAGAACACACGCACAGACCTCTTGCGGTATGAAATGCCTTCACTCTCCATACCTTGGGGTGAGTTTTTACTCTTTCTCTTTGAATTATCCCAGTGGTCATCAGAAAGGCAGGGGGAGCACGCCTGTGAACTGCTGAAGCCAGCCGGCTCCTTTCCTCGCTCAGAGCGCTGCCACTGCAATTCAAACAGAGAGGCAGCCCAAAATGGAGGAGGGCAAGGGCTTTGTTTACTTTTCCTCCTGCCTTTGGGCAACAGCAGTATCTGACATCTGAGCTGCTAGGTATGCATTGTCACCGAGGCGATCATCCACAGTTGCAGCCCACATGCCAGATACCCACACAGGCCCAGACTGTGGGGATATGAGCTGGGGAGGAAGAATGGAGAGGCAGCAGCATCTCTAGGGCATCTGCCCCTGATGGCCAAGGAAAATCCCATATTCTTGTGGGAAGTGTGGAATGGGAGGTACATAGCATGAAACCTGATAGAGAAGGCATGCTTTCAAGCTGTCGCCTGGAGGGGAAGGGCCGGAGGATTGTGCTATTGTCTCTTCACACTGGACTTTCAGGGTTGGTTTGGCTCAGGTGATGGGAGGGTGAGCGACCCTTCGTTACCTTCATCAGTAACTGGCCTCCCCAAGGAGGCAGACATAAGAGAAGGAGTCTTCTAATGGAGGAGGACCACTCTGACAATCAGGAACTCTTTGCCTCCCAGAACCCTAGAGCTCATACCAGCTCTTCCACTTCATTTATAGGAATTCTGGCTCTGCCACTACGGGATCTTGAACAATTCCATTAAATTCTCTGAGCCCCTGTTTCCTCATTGTAAGATAAGTACACTTCTCCTACCCAGTTGTAGTGAAACGATCACTTGAGATGATGTAGGTGACAATACCTGACAAACTCTAAAACTACGCAAAAGTAAAGGATTCTTATGTTTTTAATATGCGAGGAACCGGAAGGGAATGGAGATCCTATGAACCAGTTATTATTCCTGCTCCCGGCTGAAGCCCCAGGAGGCATTTCTTGGCCTGCGCTGAAATCCTTGGGGCCCTGTATAGATCTCAGCACTTCCCAGAGCTTCCACTTCTCTGTCTACTGGATGGTGAGTAAATGCCTTAGAATCACAGGCAATCCAACTTGCAAGGGACTTTAAAGGTCATCTGAAACAAGTCCTCCTTGAAGCTTCAGTTCTCTCAACAAGTCAAAAAACATGTATATTCTTTACTCTCCACAGACTGTGGCATGGTGTTTGGCAACAGGCCAGCCATTCAATACTATTCCTTGAATGAATGAATGAATGAATGAATGATTAAATGAATGAATAAATGAAATAGGGTAAAGAGTTATGCTGTCCAGAAATTCTCTACACATACTCATACAGCATGTGGCTATTAGCTGTGCCAAAACATGATACTTTCAACAATAATCATGATGATACTCATTTCAAGCATTGAGTGCCTGTCATGTTCTAGGAACCACGCTAAGAGCTGTATGTAGAGATCTCATCTAATCCTTGTCAGATCCCATTGAATTAAGCCCTTTTATCATCCTCTGCATCTGAAGAAACTGAGGCAGAGTGAAGTTAAGTAGTTAATTCAAAGATCACTCAGCTGATAAGTAGAGAAACCAATATTTAAATCTAACTGGCTCTTATGCTCTTTCTACAGGTCTTCTTTCATCAAAACTTACCTTTTACAATGATCCTCCGTTAGAAAAGGACATTAGAATTCCTTTTCTTTCTTGGTTCCTGGTTTATTTGGGTAAACTACAGCCTATGCTTTGTTGCCTGGAGAGCAAAGGGGAACGAGAGGAGAGGACTCTATTTAACCAACCTCCAAGTGAGTTCTTGAGAATTTCAGCTGAGCTGATCCTTGGCCATGTAGTCAATTATGAATTTGACAGAAATGTCTAAATTGACACAGCTTTGATTGCACAGACAAGAAAAAGTGTGATAATTCAGCAAAAGTCCATGATTGTGAGGAAGAAATGGAAATTGGGATTTGAAGGAATTCATTCTCTTCAACATCACGCTTTCAGAGGCCTCCCCTAACCGCCTGTATAAAATAGCACACTATCGATTTGCTCTACTTTATTTTTACTATGCCTTATTTTTCTCCACAGCACTTGTCACCATCTAAGAGGAGATACATTCTTTGGTTTGTATACTATCTATTGTTCTCCTCGAGAAGGTAGACTTAGTGAGAGTTGGACCTCTGTTTTGGTTGCTACTACATCCGTAACACCTAGAATGGTGTCTGGCCCATAGGAGACACTCTGGAAATGCCTGTTGAATGAATGTACTTAATTGTTTTTGAAGAAATATATAAACACCTAGAGTAGCAACTCTGTTCTTTATGAATTGGATTGTGAAATGATTGAAACAAAGGTTCTTTTGGCTCTTTGCATTTCCTGGGTGCCGGATGATTAGGCTTTCATCCGGCACCCAGGAAACCTTCAAAACCAACTTCAGTCTAAGTTTTCTCACACTCTGGTTTGTCTCAACATGTGCAGTGCCCCATGATACCCACAACTTGACATTTAGATTATTTCTTGCAAATGGTTTAGAGCAGCATCACACACCATGGGGTGACATGACTTCTCCCAGAGTAGATGGAATATGGGAGAAACAGTCAGCAAATGCTCTTTTGATCAGTTTCATGCTTCTCACTCCTTGAGATGTACCACCACGTGCCCTGGAATCAGTCACACAAAGGTTTGCTTCCCATTTGTAGGCATAAGGCCAGCCAAAGACAGGACCAGTGTTCACACATGCCTCCCCTGGAAGACACTGCTTTAGGCTAAGTTAAGGGTTACACATGCTTTGCCTGAAAAGCTGAAAACCAGGGTTTTACTCTCCATGGTGACATTCTCCCCAGAAATGAACTGGTGATGTTCATTAATCTGAAGCCTCATTAATGAGATACAAATATAAAATATAGCTTCTCTACCAGTAACTGTCTTGTACCACTTGGACCTAATTACAGAGAATCTTGTTAAAAACAACTTGAAACCCTTAGAAAGCTAAATAGTCAGATAGTCAATTAAATATATTGCTAAGGTGTAATGGAAAAAGTGATGTGTTTCCTCCCAATGTTGAACTAATCTCACATTCCTATGCTTTGCTCACTACTGGCAACACCTTTTCTAAAAATCAGTGTATGTCTCTTCCCCTTCTGTTGATCAAATACCATGTATAGAATCATTTTCTCTCAAATAGAACACAAAAAAACAAATTGTGAAAGTATTATTTTCCATATTTCTCCCTTCATTATCTTACCTTTTCTCCTCCAACATTGCATAGATGGCACCTTCCCTTTTTAATTGAAACTGATCGATTGCAGCATTTGCAGAAATCGACATATCCTTTTGGATTAACTTTTTCCCCCATCACCCTCACCTAAGATCTCTTAATTTCTGAGCTCTTTAAGAAGCAGACCATTACAAAATAAAAAGGCCAATGTCTTTGGTCTGGATCAAAATTTTTGTCCTAAGAAAATAGGTTATTTTGCCCAAAATCAATCACTCAAGTACTTTCAGAGTGCCCAGCACCAAGCTAGACGCTGCTGAGATGCAGAGGAAGGTATGAAGTGTGGCCCCTGCTTTCAGCCTATTGTAAAGACTATTAGTCACCCTTCCAGAGCTAAGCTGTGCAGGACTAATAATGCCATTAGTTAAAAGCTCATGGAACCATGGAAGTGTGACCCAGAACAGACTTAAAATAATAAGGACACTAAAAAAAAAATAAAGTAGTTCTTGTAAATTGTAGTTAACAGTTGCCTGGTGCATACTTAAAAACACCGATAAGCAAAAATTTTTAAAGCCTCAGTGAGGTTGTGTGGTTTTCATCTTCCCCATCAGCTCGGATATACAGGGATCCCACAGAGGGTTGCAGAAGGAGCAGCCACAGAAATAAACAGGAGCCTTTGCTATCACATGGCAAGCAAGTGTCGCATCTCCTGAGCATCCCAGGTATCTGGGGCAGCCCCCTGACAATGGATGAAACGATATCACATCCAGCCAGAAAACAACCCAGCAGAAACAGTGAGATGACACATAAACCCACAAGCTTGGCTCATAATGTGGAGCAGCAATACATGAGCATACTGTACTTCTGCAGCCACTCTAGAGAAAGAAAAAGAGTAAAATGTGTGAGAAAACACCATTAAATTACTCACTATTAGCCCCTAAAGTGTGCTTCCAACCTATGTGGACACACATACACACATGTACACACACACACTCTCACACACACACATACATGCAGGAGTAGAGAATGTCACAGTTAAATTTTTTACTAGTATAATGAGGAAAGGGACCAACTGAAGAAGCTCCCTGGGCTAATTTTCTAGCCAGCAGCCACTGCAATGTTCCCACTAGGAGAGTGAGAAGGAGGGAGAGCAAAGTATAATAAATAATGACTGGCTTTGCTGGTCAGGAGAAATTATCACTATGCTTGAGGGATCTAAGCATATGTTCACCCAGGAATATATCAGGGGTGAAAACTGAGGCGAGGGAGAAATGAAAGCCCAGAATGGGTTGGACATATCTCCAGGACATATTTATTTAAATTTTTAAAAACGAAAAAACAAATAGCATCACCCAAAGTTACATATTGCTAAACCTAAAAATGGCCAGTCACCCTTCTTCCCCTAAATTTAAATTGCTTTTTAACTTGTAGTTTTTTATGGCTTTGTAGGGGGAAGTCTAGCTATTTTACATTTCTTGTAGACATTTGCTCCAGTCTACTATATTTATTTTGTGTCAGCTTTGTGTGTTAGCAGAGCAAAAGGCTCAGAATGCTTACTCTGTGCTCACCTTCGGAGATCTGCTCTATATAGTAGGAAAATAGGACCTAGAAAATTCAGGGATATGCAGAGGCAAAATATTACCCAGATCAGGAAAGTCAGTGTTGCCCATGTTTCAGAGCTAAAATTTACTTTGATGTGTCATAAACAAATAAGTCAGGATCAAACCAGGGTGGGTTTGAATGATTACAGGATAAACAGAAAGGCTAGGCCTTATTCATCTTTTATGGCTTTTCTAAAAAATTAAGGAAACAAAATCTATATGTTGAAGGCTTTTCACTTAATTGATAGTCTGTGCCCAGTGTGTGAGCATGTCTCTTACATATAAAGAAACTCAGACAGACTGGCAATATATTCCTCAATAAGCAGCAGAGTAACAGAGTCTGGTATCTTCCTTCCTGAAACAACAATGATGACAAAAACACAAGAAACAAACAATAACAGAAACCAAAAACAAGAAAAAGAAAAAAGACAAGACATTGGACATCAAACAATGAAGAAAGTCATACCTAAGAGATGTGAAACAAATGAAACAAGCCCTGTAATTGACCCAATAACAGGTTGGAGAGGATTTTCTGGCTACAGTGCAGAGAGAGGGAGAGAACCTCAGGTGGAGCTTGATGGCCTCCCCACGTTGACAATACAAGGCTGGGAGTCTAAGGAGGCCAAGAGAGCTATTGCTTACAGGGAAGAGTAACATAGAGAAGTGAGCTGCACAGAAAGAAAGCCCAGGAGATCTTTAGACCAAGATCTCTCTTGATTATTTGGTTGAGTAATAAGGAATGCATGCATGTAAGGAAACCACCCAAAGCTACAGAAAGAGTCACCTCTTAAAAGGAATAATATCTGTAGCTCATATACAGGCAGGAATGAAGCCTGTTGCCAACAACCATAATGGAAAACTTCATTATTTGGGGCACTGGATAGAGCAATCCGAATAATTTTGCAACAATAATGGGAGAAAAAAATTAACACTAGATTGAGTCTATCTAACAGAGCTTAAAAGCAAGACATGATAGGGTCAAACTATCTCCAAGTAACTTAGTCACATCAAAAAAAAGTTCAAGAAGATTTATAGGAGTACAAAAATGTTCAGAACCCAAAAGAGTAAAATTGACAATGTCTGGCATCCAATCAAAAGTTACTAGACATGTAAAAAAAAAAAAAAAAAAGGCACACAATGAGAAGAATATGCAGTGAATCAAAACTGTCCTAGAAATGACAATATGAAAAAATTAATAGTCAGAACATTAAAATAATTATTATATCTATGTTCATATATATATACATTCATGAAGCCGAGAAATGATTGAACATAATAAGTACAGTTGTGAGGGATACAGAAAGTTTCATCTCAAACTTTCAGAGATTAAAACTACCATGTCTAAGATTTTAAAAAAACAACCTGGATGGGATTAACAATGAATCCGATGCTGCAAATGATTAAGGAACTTGAATGCACAGCAACAGAAAATACCAAAAAATGAAACACAGAGAGAAAAGAAACTGAAGAATATAAAATAAGCAGAGCATCAGGGAGCTGTGGTACACCTTTAAAGTCACAGTATTCATTTTATTAGGGTCTCTAAAGGAGAGGAGAAGCAGCAGGAACAGAACAAATAATTGAAGATGAAGTAGTCAAAAATCTTCCAAATTTGATGAAAACTATAAACTCACAGTTCCAAGAAGTTCAGTGAATCAGAAGCACAAGAAACATGAAGAAACCACTTAAGGGCATATCATAATCATAATCAAATTGCTTAAAACTAATGATACAGAGAAGAACTTCAAAGTAACGAGAAAAAGTACAGTAGGTATGAAGAAATAAAGAGAACAATGACAGAACATTTCTTATCAGAAACAACTCAAAACAGAAGACAGTAGAAGAACATCTTTAAAGCATTGAAAGAAAAACTCTAAACCTAGAAGTCTTTACTTGCTAAAAATATCTTTCAAAAATGAATGTGGAAGAAAAAGTTTTTGAGGTATATAAAAGCTAACAGAATTCATCAAGTTTTCCAGGTAGAACAAAAATGATGCCAGATGAAAATTTCTATCTAAACAAAAGAATGATGAGCATCAAAAAATGGTAACTATGTGGGTAAATACAAATAGTTTCATTACTTAAATCTCCTTCAAACAGAATCAACTCTTTAAAGCAAAAATAAAACAATCTATTGTGTGATGAATAGCATATTGCTATGGTTTCAATATTTGTACTCTCCAAAACTCTTGTTGAAATTTAATTGCCATTGTAATAGTATTATGAGGTGGGACAGTTAAGAGGTGATTAGACCATGAGGACTCCACCCTCACAGATGGATTAATGTTGTTATCTTGGGAGTGAGTTCACTATAAAAGGGCACATTTAGGCCCCTTTTTGCTCTTTCGCTCTTTTGCCTTTTGACATGTGATGATCAATAAGAAAGCCCTTACCATGTGATGCTGGCACCTTGATATTGGACTTCCCAGCCTCCAGAACTGTGAGCCATTACATTTCTATTCATTGTAAATTACCTAGGCTCAGGTATTCTGTTATAGTGGCAGAAACAGACTAAGACACATAAATAGAAATAAAATGTGTAATAACAATAGCAAAAACCCCAATTACCTTTGCACCAACCTAATAACCTGTCCAGGATTGAGTCTTTCATACTTAATGGTAACTGACCAGTCTATCCATGTATTTTCCAAGGTGTGACCTGCAGATCACTAGCTATTTTAAATTTTCCTTGAAAAGAGGAACTATATGGTCAAACATATTTAAGAAATGCTATGAACTACTTTCTCCTCTTACTGAATTTCACTGAGTAAAAAAATATTAAGGACTCTGAGAAGTCTTGTATTAGAGAAAGATGTCTGTGTGCAATCTAGCAGTTCCTAAATTATTTGTCTGAAGCAAATAATATTGTGCTATTCCACAGGATAAATGTGTGTGAACTTTTTCTATTTAATCAATCTACAGAAGCAAAGCTTTTTACTTTATAGTCAAAAGATTATCTCACAATAATGATGGTCATTATGGTGGCTTCCTTCTCTTCCCCCAACCCCCACTGCCTGGTTTATTGAAGTAAAATTGACTTACAATAAGCTGTACATATTTAAAGTGTGCAATTCGATAAGGTTTGATTTATGTATATACACCCATGAAACTGTCATCAGAATTAAGATATTGAAAATATCTATCATCCCTAAGTTTTGTTACGGTCCTTTGTAATCCCTCTCTCCTAGATAATCTTGAATACAAAGCAATAAGAGCAGACAACATTGTCCACTCTTTTTTGAGGGTTGGACCCTCAAACTTTAATGTGCATGTGACTCACCCAGGATTCTTGTTCAAATGCAGACTCAGATTCAGTAAGTCTGTGGGTAGGGTCTGAGTGTCTACATTTCTAACAAGCTCTCCAGTGATGCTCCAGTGGTACTAATGGTGCTCACACATCAAAACCAGCACCAAGTTCAGTATTCACATATAAATTGCTGCCTTGGAAACAGTTTCCACTTTAAAAATATTTAAAAACAATATTAAGTTTGTCCTAGTTATTACTCATGGAAAATACCATAGATAGAGTTAGATAAAAATCAGTCTAACAATAACACAACTCCTTCCAAAGCCCATGAGGAAACTAAATATCCTACTAATAAAGGGCATGAAAAATCTTAGAAGAGAAATGTTGCAAGTAATTTCTTCATCTTATATCTTAAAATGAATATTGAAGACAAGCTCTTTTAATTATTCACAAGAAATCTTCCACAATGGAATAGTGAGAAAATATCTGACAAATATCATCATCATCATCATCATCATCAAATTGCTGTATCATACCTTGTGTTTAAAACTATCTTCCTAATTTAATAAAACTTGCTTAACTTTGGTCAAAATACCTTATCTATGCTTAAATTACACAAAACTCCTAAACATTATTTTCTTTAATTGCACAATTTGTCTGCATAGCAAAAAAGCTTAAAAGGCAATACCAGAATGGAATTGGTTTGGTCATAATCAATAGCATCTTAATGGAGGATTTAAGTACTATAATTCCCCTGAATGTAGAAGAAAACCTGGTATGAAATAAAAACCCTTTGAAGAGCTATTTTGCATGGCATAAAGAGTTCTCACCAACAACCTTATCTGAATGTATTAGATAATTTTGGACTTTTAATGTTGATTTCTACTAGGTAGATTACATTTGCATGAATTTATAATGAAAATACCTCTAGGCCTAAGTCTTCCTATTCATAAATGCATGGCCTGGATCCTGTAAGTGCCAGTTTACTGGGTCACTAGCATAGCACTCTCAGCATCAAGATCTTTCTCCATTTTAAGCCTTTCAGTAACCAGTGTGCTCTGCTCTCCCTGCTGTGCCATCAATAGGAGGAGAGACAGGGCAGCTTTGCAGAACACAGACTATGCCCTACCTGCAACAGAAACAAAACATGATCTGAGCTAGCACTAACAATGTCCAGAGTTACCATCATCTAAGGAAAAGTTTCATACAATAAAAATGACTGCATAAAATTTCACCAGTGTGGAGTGTCCTTATTTAAAATATTGACTATGTGACATATGTTTGAATTTCTTTATGAAGAGCCAAAACTGAGGTACAATGGAAGGTAGGGGTACCTCCCAACCTGAAAGGACCTTGATATAGTCAAGTTCCTTGCCATACAAATTAAGATGTCATAATCAGAGAGCAATCACAGTGTCTAAATCAAAAATCAAAAAAGGAGCTGAAGAATAAGAATACAGTGGTAAAGCTGTTAGAATTCCAAACCAATTCTAGAGAAAGGACCAGTGATCTTCTCATGGTAACATCATGATTAGAAATACATCCCCTAAGTGTGGCATTTGCTGTGGACAGACTACTATAACAAAATACTATAAATTGGATGGCTTACTACATTTTCTGAAGGTCTTTTAGGCAAAATATATTTCCAAAATTTCAATTTTAGGACAAAAAACACAGTTCTCTTAAGTCAAGGAAAATGATCTTCACAGACTACTTATAATTCCTAACCCCAAGATTTATGAAAAGCAGTATCTCTTAACAGGGTCTCACTGTGTTGCCCAGGTTGGAGTGCAGTGATGTGATCATGGCTCACTGCAGCCTTGAACTCCCAGGCTCAAGTCATCTTCCCACATCAGTTTCCCAAGTAGCTAGAACTACAGCCATGTGCCACCATGCCTGGCTAATTTTTATATTTTTTGTAGAGATGGGTCTTGAACTCTTAAAATAGCTTGCCAGCATCAGTCTTACGTGGTAAGCTGCCTTTCTTAGCTAGATCTATTGATATTCTCATCTGTAGACCCAGACTCTATCTTAAGTTGCAGACCAACTTTGAGATAAGACCTACTGTTAATAGGCCTCAAATCTTTCTCCTTATTAGTCTGAAACCAGTCTGATTTGAGTCCTTCTCATCCCCTTTTCTCCATCCCCTTTGCTGACCACTGCGCTTGATTTTTTCTCTTCTGACTTCCCTCCACTTTCACTCCATCAGTCTGCCCAGTCCTGCATTGCTACAGACTCAGCCCTGTTGCTGAACGCATGTAAGCCACAGGCCAGAGCTGCCATTGAGTGCTGTGATTCTCCCTAGATATGGTACTTGCATGTGCCCTGTTCACGGACCTAAGCTTCTACTTTGACTCTGCCTTGAGATTCTGTTTTAGCTACTGCCTAGGCTGATCTGTTCACAAACCTCAAGCTAGTAGCTGGGGTCTACTGCTGTATTATTTTCATATTGCTGCTGTAACAAATTACCACAAACTCAATGACTTAAAACAGTCCAAGTTTATTCCCGTATAGTCCTGGAGGTCAGAAGTCCAAAATGAGTCTTAACGGATCTTAAAACAAGGAGTCAGCAGGACTAGATCCTGTTGGGCCAAAGAATATTGGCAGCCACAGAAGTTGGAAAAGGCCATGGAATGGCTTCTCCTCTAGAGCCTCTAGTGGAAGGGAGGCCCTGCTGACACTGTCATTTTGGCCCAATTATATTGATTTTGGACTTCTGGACTTCAGAACTATAATAGAAGAAATGTCTGTATTTTTAAGCCAGGAAGTTTGTGACTGTTCATTACAGCAGCCATAGGAAACTAACACACTTTCCAGTTGGAAGGAATTCAGATGTGCGGTTGGATGTGTGGGCACGATCAGCATCACTGGAGAGCTTGTTAGAAATGTGGATGCTCACGCCCTACTCTCAGACCTACTAAAATTGAATCTGCATTTGAACAAAAATCCTGGGTGAGTCACATGCACATTAAAGTTTGAGGGAATGACAGAGCAACCAGACAGGAGGAACTTGAACATACCAAGGTCCTTATTGAGCCACCCAGACTTTGGAGCATGGGAGAAATAAATGTCATATTTTGTTTAGGTTATTTTTAATTTAGTTTGCTAAAATAGCTGAACCAATACCCTAATACATCATCTGCATGTAAAACATGCCTGGCAATGCACCAATGACTTGAATAGAGTCTGTAACCTTCAAACATGTACATAGAAGGCAGGCAAGACTTTAATTTCATATGCACATGGAAGCATCATATTACTCGCCACAGAATGTTGCTGCTGTTGAACCAGCAGCTATGATTTGGCTGTTGAGAAGAGCTACATTGATTCTTTCCTTGGGGGAATGTGGCTTTACTATTTACTGTAGCCTAACCACAGAAACCACATCTTCAGTCACAACAGCCATTGAAGGCTTTTTATTCTTCATACAGTTAGACTTGGAGGCAACATTTTAAAACATTTTACTCATTTAGGTTGGATTAATTAAGGGGAAAAGGTTGCCTATGGGCTCTATAATGCTACCTTTGTCATGAAGCAGGGGTCCATATATACGTAGGATTTTTGTGGACTTTTATTCCATTGACCTATTTTGCATCAATACCAGGCTATCCCCATACTGTAATTTTACATGTGTTGTTATCCTGCAGTTCAAGTTCTCCAACTTTGTTCTTCTTTTTCAAGATTGTCTTGACCAGGAGACAACAAACTGTGGGTGGCTTATGACCAGACAGCTGAAGTGATAAATAAAGCTTTTTGAAATGAAAGGGAATACAGCCATTCCCTTTTATTTACATATTATCTGAGTGCTCTCTGACTACAATGGCCAAATTAGGTAGCTGTGACAGGGACAGTCTGGCCAAAAAAACCTGAGATAATTACCATCTGGCTCTTACAGAAAAAGTTTGCTGACCTGTGGTCTTGCTGATTCTTGATCCTTTACATTTCCATATAAATTTTAAAATTAGTTTAAAATTAGTTTTTCCTTTTCTTTCTTTCTTTCTTTCTTTTTTTTTTTTTATTTCTGAGACAGAGCTTGCTCTGTCACCAGGCTGGAGGCAGTGGCACTATCTCAGCTCACTGCAACCTCTGCCTCCCGGATTCAAGTGATTCTCCTGCCTCAGCCTCCCGAGTAGATGGGACTACAGGTGCATGCCACCACGCCAGGCTAATTTTTTTTTTGTACTTTTATAAGGCAATTTGGGGGAATATTTGCCGTGTTGCATTGTTGAGTCTTCCAGTTCATGAATATAGTACATCTTTCCATTTTTATTTTAGATCATTAATTTTCTTTAGTAATATGTTACCTTTTTCTTTATCAACATTCTGCAAATCTTTTGTTAGAGTTCTGTCTTGGTATTTCATCTGTAATCCTACTGAACATGTATTCAAATTTTTTATTTTCAATTTTTTGGTTGCTTGTACATAGAAATGTAATTGAATTTTGTATGTAGACCTTGCCTTGCCAAACCCACTTATTAATTTAAATAGTTTTTCTTTTAAACATTTTTATCAAAATAGGTATTGATTTTATCAAATGCTTTTTCTACATGTATTGAGATAATCATGACTTTTCTCCTTTACTCACTTAATGTAGTGAATTATATCAGTTACATTTTCAAATGTTAATTCAATTTTTCATTCTTGGAATAAATCCCACTTAGTCATTAGATATCTCCTTTTTATATATGGCTGGATTTTATATGCTAACACTTAGTTTGGAATTTTTGATTCTATGTTCATAAGGGCTATTGTCCTATAATTTTGCTTTCTCCTAATGTCCTAATCAGATTGTTTTCAAGATTATGCTAGCTTCATAAAATGAGTTGTAAGTTATTCTTTCATTTTTCAATCTCTAGAAGAGCTTGCATAAGATTGATATACCTATATTCCTTAAATATTTGGAAAGATCACAAATGAAGCCATCTGAGCCTGGAATTTTCTTTATGAGACAGTTTTAAATTATACTTAAAATTTTTAAACATATGTAGGACTGTTCAGATTTTCTCTTTCTTCTTGTGAGTGTTTTGGCAAATTGTGTTTTCCAAGGATTTTACTCCTTTCATTTATATTTTCAAATGTATTACCTTAAAGTTGTCCATAATATCTTTTTGTTATCTTTGTAAACTATAAAATCTGTAGTGTTATTCCCTTTTAAAATCTCTGATATTAGTAATCTATGCTTTCTCTCACTTTATGAAACAGCCTTTCCAGGTTTTCATAATTTTATTAGTCTTTTCCATAAGCCAACTTTTAGTTTTATGAGTCCTCTTATTAAATATTTCTTTTCTATTTAGTTGGTATCTGCTTTTATTTTTATTATTTCATTCTTCCTACTTTCTTTGGATTTAATCTTCTCTTATGTTTGGAATGTCCTGAGGTAGATTATTAAATTACTATTGTTACATCTAAAAATGGCTTTACCTGTACCCCACTTGGTTTGATGTTATATTATTATTATTATCATTCATTTAAGATCATTTGATACTTATGATTTCTTCTTGATCTTTGGGTTGTTAAAATATGTTTTCCTTAATTTTCAAACTTTGGGAGATTTATTAGTTACTTTTATATTACTGATTTCTAGTTAACTCTTCTGTGATGAGAAAACATATTCTGAATGATATTAATTCTTTGAAGTTCATAGATCTACTGTATGGCCTAGAAAATTATAAATTTTAGAAAATGTCATATGTTCATTTAAAAGAATATGTATTCCTTAGTTCTGGCGTATGATGTTCTGTATATATTCATGAGAAAATGTTTGAGTTCAAATCTTGTATGTCTTTACTGATGTTTTGTCAACTTTTTGTAATAGATATTGAAATAAGTTTCAAATACTTCTACTATGATTATAGACACTTCTCTTTTTAATTCAATTTTGCTTTATACATTTTGATTCTATAATATTAGGGGCAATTAATTTATAACAATTATATATTTCTGATACACAAAAGAAGTACATTATCAATGAAATATTCCAATTTATCTCTAGTAAAGAATCTTGCCTTAAACTATGCTTTGTCTAATATTACTGTAATCATAACAGGTTTCTGTTAGTGTTTGGATGTGGAAGATATTTTTCTATCCTTTTATTTTCTCATATTTAATTTATGTTTTTAATAAATTGCATATAACTTTTTAATCCAGAAAATTACTATTCTTTAATTCTAGTATTTTGTCTTTTTACATTTAATTTAATTACTGACACATTTGTCTTTAAATCTATAGTTTTGTTTTTTGTCCTTTATTTGACCTACCTTGTTCTATGTTCTTATTTCTCCTTTCTTGCCTTCTTCTGAGTTAAGTATTTTTATTATTCATTTATACTCCTTTATTATCTCGTTAGGTATGGATTCTTTTATTATTCCTTTAGTGGTTACCCTAGAAATTACAAGACATTTTTCACTTAATTTTGTTTATTTATTTCTGACTTTTGTTTTTTATTGCCATGTATTTCCATACTTTAAATAGTAAACATATCTTAAACTGCACAAGACATTTATAATATTTTTATAAAGCCAATATTCATTTATCCACTTTCCATTGCTTTTTTTCCTTGTTGCGTTTTATGGCTTCTGTGTAGTGTTATATATTTCCTTCTACCAAAATAATATTACTAGCATTTAAAAAAGTGCAGGCCTCCTAATGACTAATTATCTCTATTTTGGTTTGTCTGAATATATATCTATTTCGTGTTCATGTTTTTCTCTTTTTTGGGCGGGAGGAAGAGAGGAAGAGAGCTTGTGTTCACTTTCAAAATGCATTTTTGTTAGGTATAGAATTCTAGGTAGACTATTATTTTCTTTCAATATATTTAGGAAGTCCTAGTGACTTCTGGCTTCAGTTTTCCTATTGAGACATCATCTGTAAGCCTTTTGTCATTCTTTTGAAGGTTATGAGTCTTTCCGAATTTTTTTTTTGTTTTGTGTGTGTATGTATGTGTGAGTATGTATTGTTGTTTAGCAGTTTTACTATGACCTGTCCAGTTGTTTTCTCTGTTTACCTTGTTTGGCATTTATAGAGCTCCTTGAATCTGGCTTGATATCTTTCATCAATTTTGTAAAATCCTGGGAACTATTTCCTTTAATATTGCTTCTATTCAATATTATCTCTCTTCTCCTGTTAGGATTCCAATTACATGTCTGATAGATCTTTTTGAGTCCCATTAGTACTTTATGTTTTTCCTATAATTACCATTCTTATTTTCTCCATGTTTTAGTCTGTATTTTTTTAACTGACATTATATTCCAGTTCACTAATCCTTTCTTCAACTCTGTTTGATCTTCTTTTAAGCCCATACATTTCTATCTTAATTTCAGCTTTTGTATTTTTCAGCTATAAAACATCCAGTTATTTGTATAGATTTCTCTGCAGTTTTAATTTTTTAAAATTTCTTTACAACATACCAATTATAATTATTTCAGAATCCTTGTCTAATAGCTTCAATATCTCGATTTCTTGGGATATTTTTATTTTTTCCCCTTTGTTTCTAGTCATTTGTTTTTTGTCTTCTATTATTCCTGGGTTGGTTTGTTTAATTAAATCATGAATATTGTGTATGAAAACTTATACAGAAAATTTCAAGTTCTTGGAAACATTATTTTCCTCCAGAATTAATGTACATTTGTTTCTGGCAGTGGGGAGAATCTTTTAAATCCAGGTAGGGATTCAAGGCTAGGTTGCAAACTTTGTGAGACAGGTCTGTTTCAAGTTTGCCCTTATTCCTAGGATATAGGCCTTGAGGGGTCTGAATTGTACATGAAGCCCTTCATCTTGTTAGACTCTAAACTTAGATTTTGTCTCTCCAGCCCCATAAGATGGCAGCCTCTTGGTTGCCCCTTGTAAATTAAAGAGAAAAGCAGTGCTGCATGTGTCTTACCAGTTTGCACTTTCCTTCTATCAGTCCTTTAAATCTTGGTTGTCTTGGTAGCTCTGTTATATCTTCAAATCAATCTTTGTAAATGTTTTATACTGCTCTGCTCCTCTGGCTGCTCCCAATGAAACAAGGTAATCAGCCAGAGCCAGAAGAGAAATACTCACCCACAAACTTCTTAGACCTGTACCTCACCTTCACTCTTTACTGATGTGGGGTTTTTTTGTGCCTACAAATTCAGTTTCTTTGGTACAATTTATCCAGAAAACATCCTTTTGATCTCCTGTGTGAAAGGAAGTTGTCTGGCACAAGGTACAGAGAGAAGCTTCAGGTCCTATAATACTCTATGAGGAATTTTAACTCGTTAGCCTGATGTCAACACCACTCATCAATACCCTACACCCATCTCCCACACCACATACACACACATACATGTTTGTGATAACCGTATCTCCAAGTCTGAGCATTTCTAGGGCCCTGCAAGATGCACCAGCTTGCTTCTCATAGTTCTTTCCTTCTGCATAGGCTTTTCTGCTGTAACTTCTACTCTGATAAGGCAGTTAGGACTGAAGTGAGGGAAAATGCTGGATCTGAGATTTGAAAGTTAGAACACAGCCACGTTATAGTGAAAAGGTATCAGGGATTTATAGTTGGGAAGCTTCTGAGGGAAATGTTCCCAAACCTACTGCAATATTTAGTCAAGATTTTTCAAACTCTATTTAGTAAGTTATGGATAATAGGCAATGCTTGAATCATGAAATGTTAGAAGTGGAAGGAATTTAGAAGTCATCTGGTTTGAATTCCTTGTGTTAAGCTTCACTAAACTAGACCCTAGAAATAGTAAGTGATTTGTCCAAGGTCACTCTGTTAGCAATGTGGCACAGTAGATAAAAGTCCTGGTTTCAGGTCAGACAGAATTGGACTTGATTCACAGCTTTACCACTTAGTAGCTCTGAGACGAATAACAGTTAGTTTCTTGGTTGTCTGGATAGCTTTGTTACATCTCCAAATCAATCTTTAATGTTAATTTCGGCAACTAACATTCCTTCTTAGAGCCTCAACATTCTCATTTATAAAACTGAAATAATAATAGTACATAGGATAGCTGTAAAATTTAAATGAGGCAGTACATTTTAAAATAGTTAATGTGCTATTTGGCGTATTGTAGTAACACCAAATCAATATTGCTTATTATTGATCATTATAGTTGACCAGTGGCAGAACTAAAAGTCAGACTGCAATGGCTCCTGACTCTTGATTCGAAACTGTTCTCAATGTCATTAGTATTTTCCTCAGGAGGTTATCACTGGGGTACCTGTTCTATCTAAATTTGAGCAATTTCTGTCACTTTCTGTTTCCCTACTTCTCTTTAACTATGATATAATAATGAGGTCAATATCTGACACCTAGTGAGTTCTCATTATGTGTTTGTTGAAATGAATTCTTTTAAGAGTCAATTGGTAGCATTTTTTCTATATAGCAAAATACAGTTTCCAAGAAACTGTGTCTGTCTTTATATTATTGTATGCTTAAGACCTAGCACAAAAGGAAATTTAAAAATATTTGTTGAATTAATAAATGAATAAATAAATGAGGGAATTAATCCTTGCCCACTGCCACAGTGACATCCTTGCTGTTTTAGGAGTAGCTTCTAAGCTACGGGGGTGGCAATAAGCAAAGCAGATTTATCCTCCAATATTATGCTCAGTGATAGTTAACAGATGCCACCTGAATTAGTACATATTCCTGAGCAAGCCTTAGTGGTTCTTTAGAATGAACTATGCTACTCATCCAATGTTTTGTTTTGCCTTAGCTATTCCTTGCTATAATTCACATGGTGTATCAGTAGGCTATTGCTGCATAACAAACCACTTCAAAAATTATTGACCAATTGCCCTATTTTATAGCATGGGTTGCCATTTTTCTAGGTTGCTATGGCAGCTTCCTTGCCATTTTTCTAGCCTCTACCCATTGCCCAATCCCAAAACCAATGCCAGAATTTTTTGTTTTTTGTTACAGAAGTTTTCCACTCCTTGGGAACAGTATCAATTAGCTTTTGCTATGTAGCAAACACCCAAAACTTAGTACTTAAGACATTTATTTAGTTCATCATTCTCAGGGAGGGGGCTGGGTGTTTATTTGACCTGGGGTGGCTGATCTCTGCTGGACTCTTTCAAGTACCTGCAATTAGTTGGCAGGCCAGCTGGCAGCCAGGTGATCAAGCATGGCCTTACTCATATGTCTACAAGTCAGCAGGCTTTCACTTAGCTGCACCACTCATCTTTGACCATCCAGCAGGCTAACTCAGGCTCTCTCTCACATGATGGCAGAGATCTAAGGACAAGAGAGGACAAATATCAATGTACAAGCAGTTTTTAAATTTCTGCTTACGTCACATTTGCTGTTACCCACTGGCCAAAACAAGTCACAGTCATATGGCCAAGCCCAGACCAGTGTGAGAGAGGAAGACCTAAAGGCAGGCAAAGCATGGACAAAGTGGGGTATTTACCGTAAGAATATATCACATTGTTTTATACTGTTGCAGTAATATATCACATAAACAATGTGGAATGTAATATATTATATTACAAATAATGTGATATATGTGACATACATATATGTATATTATATATACATACATATATGTATGTATATATAATACACATATATGTATGTATATATACACATACATATATGTGTGTATATATACACATACACTTATATGTGTGTGTATATATACACATACACTTATATGTGTGTGTATATATACACATACACTTATATGTGTGTGTATATATACACATACACTTATATGTGTGTGTATATATACACATACACTTATATGTGTGTGTATATATACACATACACTTATATGTGTGTGTATATATACACATACACTTATATGTGTGTGTATATATACACATACACTTATATGTGTGTGTATATATACACATACACTTATGTGTGTGTATATATACACATACACTTATATGTGTGTGTATATATACACATACACTTATATGTGTGTGTATATATACACATACACTTATATGTGTGTGTATATATACACATACACTTATATGTGTGTGTATATATACACATACACTTATATGTGTGTGTATATATACACATACACTTATATGATGTATTGTATATATACACATACACTTATATGATGTATTGTATATATACACATACACTTATATGATGTATGTGTATATATACACATACACTTATATGATGTATGTGTATATATACACATATATATGTATGTATGTATACATATACACGTATACATATATGTATGTATGTATACATATACACGTATACATATATGTATGTATGTATACATATACACGTATACATATATGTATGTATATATACATATACACACATGCATGTACATATGTGTATACATGACGTGTATGATATACATGTGTATGATATGTATATATACATATCATATATGTGTATATACAAACATATATGTATGTCACTGCTATGATATGTGTATATATACAAACATTTATGTATGTCACTGCTATATGTGTATATATACATACAAATATGTATAGCACATATATATACGTATGTATACAATGTGATGCTGATACAAATATCACATTATTTGTAATGTAATATATTACATTCTTTGTAAGCCTGGTAGCTGAGTCAATAATGTTTCTCACTTCAGTAACTCACTGTGTAGAAACCAGATTTTTCCTTTTTCCTTCTGCTTTATCCCAGTCCAGATGGTCTAGCTTTGAACAAAAGTCATGAATATAGACTTCCTTCATGGTGAGAATATCCTCTGGGGACTTTGGGTATGTTTTTTTTCCAACAGAAAGATTTAACCTGAGACATCTTTGTCTATCAGAGTAGTTCTGATACATGTTGAGCATCCATAATATGAAAATCCAAAGTAAAATGTTCCAAGATCTGAAAGTTTTTGAGCTCTGACATGATGCCACAAGTAGATTCCACACATAAGTACATAACACAAACTTTGTTTCATGCACAATATTATTTAAAATATTGTGTAAAATTACCTCCAGGCTATGTGTATAAAGCACATATGAAACATAAATGAATTTTGTGTTTAGACTTGGATCCTATCCCTAAGATATCTCATTCAGTACATGCAAATTTTCCAAAATCCAAAAAAAATTCTGAACACTTCGGGTCCTAAATGTTTTGGATAAGACATACTCAAACTGTAATGGTGACTCTTAAAAATTAAAAGGTCTATATTTTAATTTATTTCTTCCTTGAAGGAAGAAAATTTGTCCTCATGCAAATTTGTCCACTCCTTGAAACTTCTTCTACAAAAAGAATTTCAAGTTGTGCTTCCTTGGGCACCTTTGAAGTAAACACACACACACATGCACACATGCACACACACACACATACACTTTCTAATTATCCCTACCTCTACACCAGGACTCACTAGAACTCAAGTAAAATTCAGTTTGAATTTTCCGAGCAATCTCACACAGACACCTACAAAAAGACAGCAGAGTGTGGTGATTAATGACATCTGGGTTGAGTCCTGACTTCATCTTTTACCAGCTCTAAGACCTTAGGCAAATTAATTGCTTGGCACCTTAGTTTCTTCTTTTGTAAAATGGTGATTATAATGCCTTCCTCATGGAGATGTTGTGAGGAATAGAATAATAATTTGATAATGCTCATTTTGAAAGAGCACTTTCAAAAAGCAGGTTTACCATTAGCAACAGCTAATATTGTTGGTCATCTAATCAGGGACCGAGAAGGGCACAGGCTCTCAGCAACGCAGTTAAGAGGTGACACCAGCTTCCTCTGCTGGGGTAAATGACTGAGAAACTCCTATTTTCTAAATATTGAGACAAGTTTCCCAATAACTGCACTGTTTTTTAGGATTTTGGGGAACCCATCCTAAGCCCTGAGCCAGGAACTCAGCCCCTGTAGTTCTTTGTATAATATATAACCCACTGACTTCTAAAAGGTTTCAAATGTAGTGACACAGGATGCTCCTGGGTCCCTTCTGAAGCACAGCCCATTTGCCTCACACAGAGTTACAAAAGTTACACCCTGTTTTCAGAAAAACTTTCCCAATACAGGCAGAGAGTTCATGTTTATTTCATAAACCTTGTTTGCTTACATGTTCCAACCATTTTACAAATACTAACTCATTAAATCCTCATAACAACTCAATGGGGTAGGTTGTATTATTACCTTCATTTTACAGGTAGAAAAACTGACGCACACGTAGGTCAAATAACCTGTCCAAGGTCATCTAGGGGAGTGGTAGAGCCAGGACTCAAACCCAGGCAGTCTGGGCCAGAATCTCTGCTCTGAACTACTAATGTGTGCTGCCTTTCTTGATGAAAGGCTATTTTTTATTAAGCAATTCCTATGTGTGTACCAAGTGAAGGATTTGTCATTTATTTCTTAGGTAAAAGCAGGATTATCCCCATTTTATAGATGTGAAAGCTGAAATTGATTGAGGCTCAGTGACTTCACCAAACTCCTATAGATGACTAGTAGCAAAGCAGTGCCTATTCTTGTAAGGACTATACTATCTCACCTCTCAAAGAAGTATTTGATAACTAAAAAACAGTGATACATGCTCTTATTTAAAGAAAAAAATATGCCACTTTTCCCCTTCTTTTTCATGGATTTACTAAATCAAGCTAAATTCAGTTTCCAGGAAAATTCATTTAATGAAAACATTAACGTATTAGAATAGGTGCATCATTTTATATTTATTATTCACTGATTAATTCATTCATTTCACAAATATTTACTTGGAACTGACTCTGTGCCAGGCACTGCATGTGTTTGATCAGATCGGTGTGCCAAAAATACACAAATCTCAGGGCTCTTTTGTTTAATGGTGATTGCAAATGTGGCTCCTAAGACACATGACTCTGGGTATCACGCCCTAGTTAATTCTTTTCCAACACATTTATTTGCAGTTGTGCAGACTTATCCAGGACAGAGTCACTGGCTTTGGACTCCTAAAGGACAAACATCAGATAGGGTGAGTGAAGTTCTCACTAGATTTTCAAGTGCTTTGTTTGACACCCGCTCGAAAGGTTTACCTTGCCCACTCAGGCCACTATGCTATAAATCCCTATCCTGTAGCCAATTGCATAGATCGTAGACATTTAAATTTGCTGTCCACTCCTGGAGAATAATTACAGCTATTTAATTATATTCATAATTTAGCGTACACCTGAAAAATATGCTGTGAAATATCGGGGGGATCCTTTAATACTGGTGTTCCATTTACAGACTGTCACATTTATAATGCGTCTTTAATCGTCTAGGGTCTGCTAGAATTTTTTATTACAGTCTGCCTTGTGCTTTAAATATTAAAGATTCGGCAATACTTCAAAAGGTGATAATGCCTGATGCTCTGATGGTGCTTAAACCTCAACGGCTAAATATATTGAGGAATGTTCAGTGGGCCTGGCTTAATTAAACATGCATGTGTATTTTCAAATGCAATCTTTTTCTGCTTGTTAGGTTTTTGACAAACCTCCAAACAGGTCCAGGTGGAACAAAGCATGTAAACAGCCTTGTGAATGGAGCTTAAAACACTCAAATTAGCACCTTCCTGCAATTAATATGCAAACCTTGGAATCTCTGCAATTGATAATGCCATTGAATACTATTTGCGGCTTAACAGTGTATCTTTGCCATTTCATTTTTTAAAAACGTGTCCAGTTTAATTATGCAAGAAGACATTGGTGACGGCTTCTTAGCCAATGAGATAGTATTTGTTTTCCGCAACTTATTCTTCTCTCTGGAACCCAGCATGCATTACAAGGCAGTGGCAGGCTTTAAATGTATCATTTATTTTCATTATATAGCACTTAAAAGGTAGCCTTCTTCTAATTCAGCATGCCGTGTCAAAGCAGCCAGACTTCTCATAAGCCCTGATACCAAATTACCTGTGGCTGTGGATACTTGAAAACTACTTAAGCAGCTTTCACAATTAAAAAAAAAATGGCATGAATGCAAAATTCCTCAATATTACTTTGGAAAAAAGATCTCTATTTGGCATTTGCCACATTTTAGACTTCTCTGAAAAGTGTGTTTCAAAGAAATTGTATTTTGTTTTTGAACATGTACATTTAAATTTTTGTCACAAGAAATGAAATATTAAGCTCAGATTTCCAATCCAAGACTTCTGGACATCTTTTCATAGAGCCATATAATATTGCCTAATATTAAAATCCCCATATAAATAACACTTTGAATAGCTGCTCATCTATCTGGAAATATTACTTACTAAAGCTACCCAAATAGAGATTGGCTGTAGTTTGAAAAGGGAACAATATGTTTTACAGATGAGCCAAAGAGACTAGATTTGAATGATTCAATCTGCTATAGAATCAACATGTAACAATTGCTGGACTAGATAAAAACTGTAATAAAAATATATACGGTAGCCTCCAATAAAAGTTCAATTATTATACTGTAATAGGTAAACTTGTGCAAAAAAAATTAAAAAAATAAAAAAGGTCTATGAGATCCGAGGCAGTATTAGAGCAATTTTCTAGGTGAGGCAGTGCTAGTGGGATATGACAGGTGAGGTATTGTTATTATAATACCTAAGGCAAAGCAGCAACCACACAAAATGATAGACAAATCTGAATTAATATGATATGATCGGCGAGGTGGCATTTGAATATAATCTTCCTGTATTGTGCAGAAGGCTGCATGCATATTATACAACAAATGAATTGTGTGGAAGGGTGTAGACAGAAGACTCAGTGGGAGGAAAGACAAATTACAGGCAAGATTTCAGAAGATATTTCTGTTTTGCTGGGTAAGAAGCACACTTGGAAATTGGATTTGTAAACAAATTAAAAACTGAGATTTTTTTCTAAAGCAGCCTTCAGTGAGTGTTGACAATAAGCACTTAACCTTGGCAATTGAAGGACTTTGAAACAAATAATTAGGGAAAGATAGGGGGGTGATGGGGAGCACATTTTAATTTTGTTTCCTGTGTTAATAATCCATAGTTAGTATTTCTATCCTGGATCTGTGAGGCCAGTAGCCATTTTAGATCCCCGATGGGAAAATGCTGACTTCCTGAGAATTTCAGCCATCTTTTGCTTTCTTGATCTACGATGACCACCTCTAATTAAAAGTCTTAATCATATCCGAACCCTGAAAGCACATAGGAGACCACAGCCCACTGAAAGGGCCCATTTTATTAAGCGACAGAAACTCTCAGAAATTTGAGCCTGCAGAAACTGTCTGCGTGATCTTTAATGGATTTTTAAAGATGACAAGAAAGGAAATGGGAAAGTAAAGCAATGGAAGGCAGAAATTCCCTGAAGGAGCATTCTGAAGTAAATCAGTGCAACTGAAAAAGTGAACTCCTAGGGCCTGGGGATATCTCCCAGGTTTTTCAGCTGGACACTTACGGCCTGTTGGGTCCCTGAACACCTCTGCTCTGGGCGGACTTTGACAGAGCAAGTCACAGAAAGATGAACGACAGCACCTGAAGTGCTGTTTGCGGGGCAGAAAATTGCTCCCTTTGCACGCTGGGCTGCCTTTGCTCTCTATCACATGACTTATTACAGCCTCTCCATATAACAGGGCCATTTATGTATGTTAACTTGGCCAGCCGTAATGGTATTCTTTGCCTCCTTTTTCACTGCTGCTTGGGCAATTAAAAACAAAGGAAGCAAATGAGGTCAGCACTCATAAAATCTGAGTCTATAGGTGACAGACATCCTGAGACCAAATAGCCTTGGATGCAGCCAGAGTGTAAGGAAACCGTGAGCAAGAAAACATCCCTGCTTCCAAGGGCTTTTGCTTAGATGCTGATTTTCTTGGGTGAAATGCTGATTTCCCAGGCTGATTTTAGTTTTTTTTTTTTTAATCAAACTAAATAAGGTACATCTTTTAAGGAGTTTGGTAAATGCTACTAATACAATTATGTGCCCATATGGAAAAGGGACATGAGTGTTCTCTTTAATCTTCTAGCACAAAGACCAATATTTTAACCTCAGAGTAGAATTTAATCTCTAGCAGCTCTTGAAATAGCAGCTCTATTGATGTCGCACAATTACAGTAAGTGTTTGAAATGTCCCATACACAGGTATACAAGGATATCTCATTCTATTTTTCTGATCCCAGGCTTGTGATCACAATGATTTTGAAAAGCTAATTAGAAGAATCTTCTTTCTTCCCCTAGACCTGATTTAAATAGCACACTGGCTCTTATTCCACATCCTTCTGCTTCTACGGTATGTATACTATACACCTTGGTACATGACATAAACACTTAAGAAGAAAAACAATTCTCAACATCAGAGTTGACTTATACAATGTCCTGACTTTACTGCTTTGCTCCCATCCCTGAAGCTGGCAATAGCCCCCACACCCTTCCCACGCCTGAGGCCTCCTGGTTATAAGAAGCACTGAGAAGGCAGCATGGGGAAGGTGATTGTTAGCCATTCTCCACCAGTGGCTGCAGGAATTCAACAAGGAAGACCTCAAGTTGACCTAATTACTTATATTTTCTTCATGTCTTGGAATATTACTCCATAGATCTTAAATGTAAAAGTACACATAGCAATTATCCCAAACATAACTCCAATTGCACAAATATTCCTAAAACTCCTGGAATACATAACCATCGGGTCCCTCTTAAGCAGAATTCATACAGGACCACTGCAGGGCTCAACAATGGCCAAGAAAACAGAATGGGACAGAATCATAATATAACATCTGGGTGTAGCTTTCTGCCTCTAGAATTAAACTGTGCCTGCCCTTCAAACACCCATACTTGAGAAGTTTAAGAAATAGCCTTAATTTTCACATATCAGGAGAGGGATATCTTTACGTTTATTACTAAATTTCTGGCCATATTTCATGTAATATATTAATTAACTTAATGACAGATTGCTTTCTGTTTTCCTATATTTTATTTCATAGTGATTTAGTTCCATACTAGATTATAAGCTTTTTGAAAGAAGGACTAAATCTTACATGGCTCTTGTCTTATGTTCAGCCAGGGTTAAGAACAACTGCTATAGACCAGAACATGATTGCACGGAGATGGGCCTGAAAAAGACCTGTCAGAATCAGATTCTGAGGGCCTTGAATAGTATGCTCATGAGCTTGGACTTAATTCTGTAAAAAATGAAGGGCCATAAAGGGCTTTTAAAATTCATGGGTGTCATGATCAGGTCTGTTTTAAAAAGAAAGTATGGTGACCAAATGGAGGATAAACTGGAGGAAGAAGAGATCATAGACAGGGAAATTCTGACAATACTTGAAACAGTCCTAGTGAGAGATAATTAAGCCTGAACAGAGCCTGTGGCAACACAGAGGAGGGGCCAAAACTGTTTAGAGAAACACTGGTTATCTACCCATGAATTATCTGTGGCAAATGCTGACACTAAATGCAAGGGTTTGAGAAATAAGGAATCAAAATTGGTTCTAGGTTTCTAACTTGGATGATTGGCTAAGGATGACACCATCAACCAGGGGTAGAGATTCTTATTAAGGATGCTCAATTGTGGTTGATTGAGTAGTCATAGGAGTATCATAGAAAAGATTAAAGCTCTGAAGAGAAGCATTAAACTAAATGATTCTAAAGAACCTTTTCAAGTTTGAAATTCTACAGCTCTCCTGCATAAAGTTATTAACTCATTGAAGGCAGGGTTTGCATTTTCATTTTTGTATTCTCCACAATGCATAGCGTTTTATAGGGGCTCAAACATATCTGATGAATGAAAAGGTATGAGATTAAAAGGACGTTTCTAAGAGGCTTCCTCACAAGCAGGGCTGTTTAAGTTTCCATCCTACTGTCGTTCTTACCTTTATTTCACATTATTCTGAACAATGCCTACAATTTCCATGTAACACAATTGCTTTTATGATCCAGTGCACAAACCAAGGTCCTTTTTCTTTATCTATAAATTTGAGCAGCTGCTGTTGCTGCTGCTGCTAATAATAATAAGAAAATAATTCCATCTTTATAGGGTTATGTGAGTCCATACAGTTGTCACCACCCAAAGGGCATGAAGGCAAGGAGACAACTGAGCACATTTCATACAAATTACTGTGGATGATGTGGACATGGCCACATTCAGCTTTCATTCAATCTTGCATAGCCAGATAAGCTCAGATGTTTGGTATTTGCTGCTCTGAATGTACTGCCAGTAACCTAGTAGGCCAAGTTAATATTAGCTCGCACTGGGTATATGTGGGTATTTTGTTGCTGTTTGGAGAAATGACCACTTTACTTGGTTATACTGACAGCTCTACTGTAAAATTTGCTGGCATTAAAGGTCAAAAAAAACCCAGTTTTCCTCTGGTTGCTTCCACCCAAAAGAGAATAAATCTGGGAGCTGAATCACTTCTCTGACAATAATTTATGAATCATGCATTGACTATGTTTGAATTGAGAAAGGCTTTCATATCCTTTCCATTAGCTCAGATTAAGTTTTCATATAGATGCTGAGAAGCATGCTAGCAATATCCTTAGCTCATTTTTATGAAAATTTTATCAGTGCTTTTTTCTGTACTACACTCCAATTGGGATGTCTCAGAATCTAAAGCTCAGCTTTGGACATGAACTTCTCTCAACCTGGCTGGCTGCTGCTCTAAAGGTTTCAATATTTTATGGGCTCTGGCTAACTCAGCCGTGAGATTCAAGCTGCAGAGATTTAACTCTAATGTAAAATCATGAACGGATGAAAACTGGGATGTCATAAGTAATACATCTACAAGAGCAGGATGCAGTTACCATTTTTAAAAGGGCTTTAAAAAGAAAACAACATTCTCTGTTCTGTCTTTATGCCCCAAAATGAAAAGCCCCTGAGCTATTGTACTAACACAGGGCCATCTTTTCTTCCCTGCTTTTCTTCAATTGTTGCTTAATTGTTGTGGTGGGCTGGGGTTTTTTCCCCTTAAGGTCCTCCCATCCACATGAAAGCCCCTAATGTCTGCATTCCAGAGAAATGGACACTGCGTGGTCGAATGTGTATAGGCCAAACCCATTTCTTAGCATCTTCCTCTTTTTGTCTCAAAACTGATTTAAAACATTTGGAAAATCTGTCTATTCAGCTGAAGTGTTCCAGTGCATTCTTTCCTGGAAACAGTGGGGTCACATGTGATCTGTCTGATGGACTTTTCTGCTGCAATCTGTAGCCATTTCCCTCGAGCCCCGCAGAGCCTAGCAAAGCCGAGGAGCTCTGTAATGGCTCCAATAACAACGTGTTCTTTGTGTGAAAGAATCCAGGGGGAAGAGCTGGAGTAGACTGGCCAGCAACAACAACAAAAAAATCATTTTTTGTACTCATTTATTTCTTCATTATGTGCTTTGCCATTAAACATTCTTCACAGTAAATACACCTTTCCGTAAAACACTGCCCGAGCACGAAAAAATACAGAAAGTTCTGTTTTTTAAAAAAGGCTGTAGTCATCATCGCTAGTTATTAATCTGCTTCTAATAAGATGGTTGATGGCAGGAACTGCATTGCATTTGTCTGTACTTGTAACAGGAGAGATGGTTTCTAGACAGAGCTTAATTTATCTGTTCGAAAATGTCACCTGATGGATGCATTGGAATAAATCCATCTTTTCTAGTTTCAAAAATATCACAAAATCAACACTTCACTAAATTAACTATAGAATCACAGAACTGGAAGAGACCAAATAAATCAGGTGGTGTGCCCATTCCCTTCAGGGAGCTGGATGTCCCACCAAAGGCAAAAAAGTGACCGTGCTGGTCATTACAGCTTCAGGGACCCCAAGATCTTTCTCAGAACCTTCCTAGTACTCTGTCATGTTGAAAGTGGCAGTTCTGCCCTTGCATTCAAGAGAAGTTTAAACTATTTTAATCATAGCCCAGCTTCTCTTGTTTAGTTAACTACTTATAACATGGAAAACAATGCTTTCACATAAACCTCCTTATATCCTTGAAGATAGTCATGAAGTTTCGCCTCTGATCTTATCTTCTGTAGGATAAAACCAGCTTCTTTAGCATATTATATAATGGGCACTTCTCATCTATTTAATCAGTCCCAGAGGGTTGTGGCTTCAAATGACACTATAATATTTATAAATTATTAAATAAATTAAAATAAGGGTATTTTGCCGACTAAATTGGCAAGATATCTATATATCTATATCTATATATGCCCATTGTTGGTATGGGTGAGAAGTGAGACTTCTCATATGAAGCCAGAGGGTGGATGAATTGGTACAGCCTATTTGGAGGACAATTCAGTACTAGGTATCAAGAATCGTCAAATATACATGCCCTTTGACCTAGTAACTCCACTTCCAGCAATTCATCCTAAGAAAATAATCAAGGATATGGGAGAGATTAAACTACAGAAACACACACACACACACACACACACACACACACACACACACACACACACAGAGAGAGCATAAAATTCGTTTTGTTAAAATAAAAAAAAACTACCTAACTTTTATTATGTACTTAGTCTATGCTCTAGGCACCAAGCTTAGCACTCTATGCATGTTATCTTATTTAATCTTAAAAACAAACCTATGGATTACTTTTTATTATTATTACCATCATCTTCATCTTCATTTTACTGGGAAAAATTGAGGCTTTAATATTTTAAATAACCTTTCAATAGGAAGTGGCTATACTGGAACTTGACACTATGTCTATTAAATGACAGAGGCTTGTAGTCTTTAACAGTATGTTATACTAGTTACACAACCATACAAAAAGACTGGAAGTTAATAATCCAAAACATTAACATTTGTTATTCTGAATGTTGGGATTACTATTTGATTTTTTTCTTTAAATTTATTTTAAGATATCTAAAATAAACATAAATTTCTTTTATTTATTTCAAGATCTCTAACATGAACATGTATTTCTTTTATAATGGGTGAAAAAAGATACTGTAACTTGGTACATCCCTCACTGACCATTTCCCATTCTGTCTCTTTCCCTCACACACACACACACACACACACACATATATGTTCTATGTAATTTATTCTTCAAACACAATTTTTTTCCAACATTCAAAATTTTTGTCTTCATCATCCTCTCTAGGGTGTGTGCCCCTCTAAAGAGGCTCTGAAAGATTCCACTAAATGTAGACGAGCCCCAGTTCTTGCCTCTGAGGGCCATATTAATTTTTCTTTTCTAACCCAGATGCCAATTAACATAGCTCCATTAGGGACCACTACTACCAAAGCAATCATATAGCCCTCAGTCTAAAAACAAATCATTCATGTAAACTCAGTCTTGTTTTTAAGCCTTGTTTATAACTGCTAAGGATGTGAGTGCAACCTTCTGTCTGAAGGTGAGATACATTTTTTCCTGTTCTATACATTTATTCATCATCAGCAGTAAGTGCACAACTGGACGTTTGCTGCAATTGCGGGGATGAGGATGATGAGGATGATGATACACGAGATCAGCAAAGCCATAGTTGATTGTGCTGCAGTCATGTTGCCTGCAACAAAACACACCATGGACTATTTTAACTTGAAAGGAAGTAAATACATATATGGGAAGGTGCCACATTTCTAGCCCTATTCTTTCAGCAAACATTTATTGAGCAAGTATTATGTGTTATGCACTGTGCTAGACAGTCTACAAAGATGAATAAAGCATAGCCTCTGCCCTAGGGGAGCTCACAGTCCGGGGGAGAGAGACTATAAACATAATTTGGGGTCTGACTGTGAAGAACCTTGTTAAAAAGTTTTGACTTTATATTTTGGGTGTGGAGACTTTATGCTTTGGGTGTGGTTTTCAGTTATGACATAATGTAAGCTGCTTACTGAAGAAGTACTGTGATGAGAGTGTAGGAAACGAAGTAGGCTCTGAGAGACCATTCTACAACTGTGGCATGTTCAGGGAAAAATTTGTGCCATTTTGAACTAGGGCAGTGGGGATATTAATATATATTTTGTATATTGACTTGGCAAGTCTTCCTGCCCAAGTTGAAATTGAGAAGGGGTGTGTACAGTGAGGGAGCAGAAATTATGGTTGTCTTTGAAGCTTTTAACTTGAGTGACAATAGATGGTAACACTATTCACCAAGAATGGGAATACAGAAGAAAAGTTCATAAGATGTTTTTGGAAATGCTAAGTTTGATGTATCTAAAGAACATAATATCAAGATTTTTAGAAAGAAATTGGGAATGTGTATCTAGAACTCCTAGGAAAATTTGCTAGCAAGATGTTTTGTGATACTGTCATACAAATGTGAATTCAACCATCAGGAATGTTTCATTTTGCATTAAGGTATTTTTTCCTACCTTTCTTCTGAACATGGAAGCCAAAGTAAGTTTCAGAGCATGCAAACCCTTTAGATTCTCCATGCTTCTGCCCTAAAATGTTGATGTAATCTGGTATGGTTTTCTAATCACTTGTTTAATTGTCTGCAAGCTTCTCAAAGGCATAGACTACAGACAATGAATTGGCTGAATGAGTCACGGTAGCATGGAGTGAGGGAATGGGAAACAAATAGATTACACAGTCTGTTTTTCCAAGAGTTGCTTAAAACTCTGCAAGCAGCAAACAAAAGAAGTGTGGCCTGCAGACATCTTCAGGGTAGGGAACAGTGAGCCCTCTTCACAGCCTCACTATACCATAGTTCCATCCTTGACCCTTGGTTTCTCCCTGTTTCTAATCCCCCAAAGCAATTCATTACCAAGCTATTTTGTTATTTCAGGCTAATATCTTCTCATATCTATATTACCACTGCAACATACCAATGACGCTTCTCTAGTCTTACATCCTCTAAGTCAGGGGTATCCAATCTTTTGGCTTCCCTGGGCCACACTGGAAGAAGAAGAATTGTCTTGGGCCAAACATAAACTACACTAACACTAATAGTAGCTGATGAGCTTTAAAAGTTGCAAAAAAAATCTTGTAATGTTTTAAGAAAGTTTACAAATTTGTGTTGGGCCACATTCAAAGCTGTCCCAGGCCACAGGCAGCCCAGAGGCCCCAGGTTGGACAAACTTGCTCTAAGTCATTATCCATACCAATACAGTATTTCTACAATGCACATCTGATCTTGTCATTCCCTTGCTCAAAACATTTTAATGGTTCCTATCTCAATCAGAGTAAAAAGCAAACTCCTTAGGCTTATGATAGGGCCTGTCATCCAAAACCCTTCTGTTTACCTCTCCTGCCCATCTATCTTACCACCTAGACTCCTTTTTCCTTCTTCCCTACTCACACTTTCTAGGCACATTAAGCCATGTATGACCGCTGGGCCTTCCCTCTTCTAGCCTCAAGACTTTAGTACATGCTGTTTTCATAGATTGGAGCCCTGTACCTTTCCTCTTATCCCCCTCAGCCTGACTAACTTCTGCTTAGCCTTCAGGTCTCTGCCTCGTTATCACACCTGTCTGCAGGAAGCTTTCCCTGATACTCCAAATCTTAGTTTTATGCCCCTATATGTCTCTTCATGGAACCCTATGGTTACTCTCATTGCAGTACTTTCCACATGGCACTGCAACAGCCTGTGGACCTGTCTTCCTCGATAGATAGTGAGCTTTTCTTCTTTGTCATTTCCCCAGCACTAAAACAGTAACTGGCCTATAATATGCTGCCTGCAAAGATCTGGTGAATGAATAAATGTCCTGCAGGGATGGAGAAAACATGAGCATGTGGCCTGGAAAAAGAGGCTTCATGCTTTCTCTATATCCTGTCTGGGTTGAGCCAGCAAATGAGGTCAATATTTAATCAATTGATCAACTAAGTGCAGTTAAACTATAGCTTCTCATACAGAGTCAGAGATGAAAGAAAATTGAAGTTGGAATTTTCCTCAGAAAAAGAGTAAGCACTGATATTTCAAAGAGAAGATTCTTAGATGAAACATACCCATCTCCCGGTTGTACTGGCAGGTGGGATGTTATTAGCATCCCTGATAAGCAACAAGATGGAGCCCAGGGCTTATGTATGTGTCTCTCTCTCTCTCTCTCTCTCTCTCTCTCTCTCTCTCTCTCTCTCTCTCTCTCTCTCTCTCTCTCTCTCTCTCTCTCTCTCCCTCCCTCCCCCCCTCCCTCCCTCCCTCTCTCTCTCTCTCTCTCTCTCCCTCCCTCTTACCCTCCACTCTCCTCTTGCCCAAGCAAAACAATCTTAAGAGAAGGGAAGTGCAATTACACAGTATCTGTTTAAAATTTAAGAGGACAAAAATGAGTTGAGGGGTTTTTTTTTTATTTTTGCAGGAAACAAATTAGCCCACAGTAGACTTGTGCCTGCAAGCAGCCCATTTAATTTGGTTATTTCCTACACCTTGAGGCTAGCTTTTTCTCACTAATTCTGCCAACCTTTTTCCATATCAGGGCTTATCTCCTTGTTGTATCCAGAATCATATGACAAGCAAGAGTCCTAGAATATTTTATCTACCTAATCATCCCACTGCCTTATTCCAGAAAGAATCTAAGGTAATGAGTCATTTTTTATAAGCACAGTCTCTCCCCTCCATTGATGCCCAATGGTTTCAGCCAGTGCTTATTAA
Source organism: Homo sapiens (assembly GCF_000001405.40). Classification (NCBI taxonomy): domain Eukaryota; kingdom Metazoa; phylum Chordata; class Mammalia; order Primates; family Hominidae; genus Homo; species Homo sapiens. The sequence goes on from NC_000001.11 coordinate 90,393,353, forward strand.
AATTTCATTAAGCATCTAGTTAAAAATCAGTTGTTAAAGTTCATGCTTCTAATATGCTTGGGATATTAAGGACATGAACCCTAAAATGACCATACAGGAAGTGCCTGCTTGTGGCTGTCTTGTTGCAGAAGATCGTTGTGCCAGTTTGAGCTGGCAGAGGAATTTGGATCTCCATCCTGAGCTCCAGGATTATGTGCCCAACTGCCTACAGAAAATTGCCATTTGATGTCTCCATGGTCGTCTAAAATTTGAGATGCTCGAAATTTAGCTCACTATCTTACTCTCATCACAATACAGGGACTAAGAGCACAGAATCTGGTGCCAGACTGCCTGAGTTCAAATCCTTGTTCTACCACCTTACCAGCTACAAATGGGAAAATGACTTAATCTCTCTGGGCCTCTCTTTCTTCACCTATAAAATATGAATACTAATACTGCCTAGGTCTATCTTCTTTTCTCTGCATTCTTCGTGGGACAATTCTCCTCACTTTCTCCCTAGGTCTTGCTTTTCTCCAAACTCCACAGTGCCTTGTGTATGCCTCAATCATGGTCCTTACTACTCTGCATGGCATTTGTCTGTTCACTTGGCTATCTCCTCTTTCCTTTGATTTTCTTGATGATGGATCTGAACGGTATGGTTAAGATGAAAAACTCTGGAGTCATTCTGCCAGATTTCAATTCCAGCTCTATCACTTCCTAGCTGTGTGGTTTTAGGTAAGTTACCTAAACTCTCTGTGCTTCCATTTTCTTACCTACAAGGGTAATAGAAATACCTACTTCATAGGACTGCTGTGAAAATAAAGTGAGTTACTTCATGAAATGTGCTTGATTCTCTTCCTGCCACAAAATAACATAAGTAAATAGAGGTCATTATTACTATTATTATTATTAAACTGGACCTATTATTAATTGGGACCTCAAACTGTGCCTAGCAAAAAGCTGGCAACTTAAAAATAGGTATAAAGCTAAAAAAAGACACAATACCCCTACTTGGGACAGATTTAGCTCCTCCTCACTGGGCAGCAAATGTTTGCAGAGCACTTAGGCCTTGCTGTTCCACTGCTACTGCATCCTCAGGAAGGGAGGCCCTCAAGGACTGTTGCGTAAGACACTGTGCCACTTGTTGCAGAAGGAAGAGTGTGCACTTTGAACTCAGAAGTCCTAAGTCTGCCAGCAAAAACCTCCGATACTCTGGACAAATTACTTAACATCTCCAAGTTTCCTCATCTGTAAAATGGAAAATAATCATATCTACTTTGCAATCAGCATCTATTAAAGTTAGGAAAAAAAGACAATTTCTCAGCTTTATTGCAAAACCATTCTAACTAATCAAAACTTACACAAAACTCAACAGAAGAAGGTAGTAATAGTGAATGTTGGCACAATGTTAATAGGGAGGGAAACAAGGTCATTAAAGAGAGCTCCAAGTGTACATTGGAGATGAGGAATTGATATAAATCTTTTTTGATATTTTTCTGAGATCCTGGAAAGAAGGAACTTGAACAAGAAGTGTCAAGTGGAAGAGTGTTGATCATTTACAGCCTGTTCTGGTGTCTGTCTTCGATTCATTCTGGGTCGGCCTCATACAGTAGATGAACTACACATATGACCATGATTGTTCCACCTACCTTTACCCTAGGTTAGTTAAAGGGGTTGGTTTCCTGCTAGACCCAATGCTGAGCCCAGCACCTGGCATGTGGAAATAGTCAATAAGTATTTGTTGAATTGTTGCAACTTCTTTTAAAAGAAGTCTTATTTAATACAAAACATCTTTAAAATGTATTGACATCTACTATCTCTTTTATCCACTGCTGAATTTTTTAGCCTTCTAAAATTCATTCCCTTCTAGGCTACTAATGTAACTCTATAGGTTCTGTTCAAAATCGATTCTCCTTCCCTATATTCCAGATTCAACAAAAAGGTACCAGCAAATGACCAGTTGAACAGGTTTAAAACTTTGGTTAGCCCTCTCCTCTGAATTCTGGTTTCAAATATTTCAGTGTCTACTCAATATTGCTGTTTGGATATTATACCAGTCAAGCTCCCTGGAGGTAAAGCCCTTATTCTCTCCATCCTGGAAACTCCAGCTTACCTGTTGGAGGGGCTTCCACCCTCAAAGTATAGGCTTCTCTCTCTTTGCATCTCCTAGGCAAATTCTCCTCAATGACACTAAAATAAGTATAAAAATATGTGTTGGTTTTCCCCCACTAAATTAAAATATAAGCCTTATTGCTTTTTCTGAATATATAAATAATACATTCTTATTATTAGAAAGTTGAGCAAATTCATGTAATTATAAGGAAGAAAGTTAAAAAAAATTACTTAAGTCCCACCACTCAGAGACTATCATCATTAGTAGCACTATGTGACCAAATTTTCATATCCTTCTTTAGACACATACATACCATACTTTTTTATATATAAATAAGTTTGTATTATACATACCTTTTAAAAATTCAAAACACCTCTTCCGTGATCTTAATCTTTCTGTTTACTCATCTCTCCTCCTTTCTCCTCACCCCTCTCCCTCACATTATTCCTGACCCAAGAGCCAAAGTTAACATGTTGGTATACAGCCTTCCACCCTTCTTTTCATGCTCATTAGTTATGTATGAATATATAAGTACATATATTGGGCTTTGTGGTCATTTATGTTACAAAACTTAGATTACCTAACAGTTACTTCTCTTTAGCTCATAAGAAAAACTTTGTGAGTCAATCAGTATTGGTAGAACTCGTTCTTTATCAACAGCTGCATAATATCAATGCACAGCAATTTATTCAACCAATCTGCTACTGATGAACATTCAGAATGTTTCTGATTTTGTCATTATAAATAATGTTGTAATGTTCTTTTTCAAACTGCTGTATTTATTTCTAAGGGAGAAATTCTCCAAAAGTGAACTGATATTAAAATGTATGTGCATTTTCAAGTTATTATAGATATTTCCAGACTATAAGGCTCTAAGGTTGTAATACTTCAATTTCACCAGCATTGTACATTAATGGTACTCACTGATTAAAATTTTTAATTGCAGCATAATAGAAAAATGGATAAAAAAATTTACTGAAGGGCAAATACAAATAAATACAATCAGTGTTTTTCCTTCTAGTTTTCTTCTGTTTTTCTACTAGAATTAGGCTTCTAATACTCTGTCTTGCACTTACCCTTATTCTCTCCTAATTTTTCTTCTAAAATTTTTATAACCTTATACTTTATACTTAAATTTGTAACACTTTTGGGATTTATTTTTATATATAATGAAAGGTAAGAGTACAATTTGTATTTTTTATTTCTAAATAAAATAAAGTCATGCCAACATCATTTATTAAATAAATGATTCTTTTCCCCAAAAATTGAAATATTACTTTTGGCATATGACAACTTCCCATAGCCATTGGGATATATTTATTTGCTCTCTATTCTATTCCATTGGCATTTTATGCCAATACTATATTATTCTAATTACAGTGGCTCTAGGGGATTATTTAATCTATAGAAAAATATCACTGCTTTTCTTTTTAATAATTTTGTTGACTATTTTCATTTAATCTTCCATACATTCTTTTTTATAAAATTATTATTTTTACTTTGAGATAATTGTAGATTCACTTGCTGTTGTAGAAATAATAGAGAAATTCCATAATTCTTCCCATGGTAACACACTGAAAAACTGTAGTGCAATATCACAATCAGCATACTGACATTGATACAGTCAAGATATAGAACATTTCCTTCCTCACAAGGAATGCTTGTGTTGCTCTATTATAGTCATATCCGCTTCTCTCCTGCCCTCATCTGCTCCTTAGCCACTCATACATTCTAAATTTATATAATTTTGTCATTTCAAGAATGTTATATGAATGCAATCATGCAGTGTATAACCTTTTGAGATGGGACTTTTTCATTCAGCTTAATTCCGTTAAGACTTATCCAAGTCGTTGCCTAAATCAATGGTTCATTCTTTTAAATTGATAAGTAGTATTTCATGGTTTCAGTGTACCAAAATTTGCTTAATCATTCATTGTTGAAAAACATCTGGATCATTCTCATTTACAGGATATTACAAATAAAGCTGATATCAACATTTACATACAGGTTTCTTTGTGAATGTATGTTTTCATTTCTCTAGAATAAATGCTCAAGAGTGTAATTTCTAGGTTGTATGCTAGTTGCATGTATAGCTTTATAAGAAATGAGCAAACTATATTCCAGAATGCCTATACCAGTTTACATGCCCACCAGCAATATATGAGTGACTCAGTTTCTCTCCATTCTTGTCAGCATTTGTGTTGTCACTATTTTTTGTTGCAGCCATTTGGATAGATGTGTAGTAATATCTTATTATGGTTTTAATTTGCAGTTCTCAAATGGCAATAATATTTAACATCTTTTCATTTGCTGTTTTCCATCGACATATCTTCTTCGACATATAGTGACATATATGTGCACATCTTTTGTTCATATATTTTGTCCACTTGCTTCAGCAACATAGTTGAAAAAGCTATCTTCCTCCACTAAATTGCTTTGGGACCTCTGTCAAACATCAGTTGGGCATATTGGTTTGGGTTATTTATTTCTGGTTTCTCTATTCTGTATTAATTAATCTCCAGGTCTAGCCCTCTGCCTAAATATCACACAGACTTGATTACTGTAGCTATATAATAAGTCTTGAAATCATGTAGGCTGATTTCTCCCACTTTACTCTTTATTTTCAATTTTGTTTTACCAATTCTGGTTCCTTTATCTTTTCATATATGTTTTAAAATAATCTTTCTCACATTTAGAAAAAATCTTAGGTTAAACCTGTTATCAACTGCGGAGGACCAACACCTTTACTATGTTGAATTTTCCAATCCATGAATATGACATGTCTCTTCACATATTTGTATCTTCTTTAATATCTTTCATCAATGTTTTATATTTTTCAGCACACAAGTTCTTTACATATTTTGTTAGAATTATGTCTAAGTATCTAATTTTTAAGTGACCCTAAGTGGTATCATTTTTAATTTCAGTAATTATTTTAATTTCAGTGTCCATGTGCTCATTGCCAGTACCTAGAAATACAGTTAACTTTTGTATATTTATACTATATTCTGTGACCTATCTAAACTCATGTAAACTTTCGGTTCTACATGGTTTTTTTGTAGATTCTTTGGGATTTTTCTATTAAGACAATCATGTTATTTGCAAATAAGGACTGATTTATTTCTTCTTTTCTGATACTATATTAGTCCATTCTCACACTGCTATAAAGAACTATCTGAGACTGGGTAATTTATGAAAAAAAGAGATTTAATTGACTCATAATTCTGGAGGCTTAAATGGAATCATGACTAGGAGGCCTCAGGAAACTTACAATCATGGTGGAAGGCAAAAGGGAAGCAAGCAGGTCTTACCATGGTGGAGCAGGAGAGAGAGAGGGAGCAAGGTGGAAAATGCCACACTTAAAACCACCAGATCTCATCACAACTCACTTACTATCATGAGAACAGCAAGGGTGAAATCTGCCCCCATGATACAATCACCTCCCACCAGGCTCCTCCTTTGACACATGGGGGTTACAATTTGAGATGAGATTTGAGTGGAGACACAGAGCCAAACAATATCAGATACATATATCTTTTGTTTTCTTTTCTTGCCTTGCTGCCCTGGCTAGAATTTCTAGTACTATGGAGTAAGAGTAGACATTCTTTCCCTGTTGCCAATTTTAGAGGAAAAGCCATTCAGCCTTTTACCATTAAGTAGAAGTTAACTATAGGGTTTTTATAGATCTTCTCAGTCAAGTTGAGAAATTTCCCTTTATTCCTATTTTTCTTAAGAGGTTTTACTATGAATGGGTATTGAATTTTGTCAACTTTTTGCATCAATTGATATGCTTATGTGATTTTTCTTCTTTAGCCTATTAATATGGTATATTACACAATTGATTTCAAAAGTTGAACCAGAATTATATCTGTGGAATAAACTCCACTAGGTCACAATATAAACTTTATTTGATATATTGTCTAATTCCATTTGCTTTTTTTTTTTTTTTTTTTTTTTTTTTGAGATGCTGTCTTGCTCTGTTGCCCAGGCTGGAGTGCAATGGCGCAATCTCAGCTCACTGCAACCCCCGCCTCCCGGGTTCAAGTGCTCCTGCCTCAGCCTCCTGAGTAGCTAGGATTACAGGCATGCACCACCATGCCTGGCTAATTTTTATATTTTTAATAGAGACAGGGTTTCACCATGTTGGTCAGACTGGTCTTGAACTCCTGACCTCAGGTGATCCACCCACCTTGGCCTCCCAAAGTGCTGAGATTATAGGCGTGAGCCACCACGCCCGGCCCTATTTGCTAATTTTTGTCAAAGATTTTTATGTCCATGCTTCAAGATGGCTGATCAGGGGAATTTCATGCTCTCACCCTCCAGTAACAAGAACTAAGATAATGAGTAGATAATCATGCTTCAAATAGAGTATCCAAGAGAGAACACCAGAATTCAACAGAAAAGTGACAGGCAATACCTAAACAAAAAAGGAGAAGGTAATGAGGCAGCATGCTCGGCTGGGACCAGCTGGGAGCCGAGAAAGACTCCCCAGCACAGGGAAAGGGTAAGTGAGAGGCCCTCAGTGGCTCACATTCTCACTGTGGACTCCTGCAATCCTAGCTACGAGAGAGTCCCTCTAACCTTCATGTGACCTGAAACTAACATAGGGACCTTCTGGGGAATTGTACAGTGGCACTGACCCAGGGAGGAGGCTCACACTTAATTCCTCACATTCCCTGAGACCTTAGCAGCTATCACAAGGTGCCCATTTTAGAACTCTGCCCCAACAAGCTGAGATGTTTCCTTACATACTGGCAAGGGTGGAAGTCTAGGCTCCTTACTTAGCCTTTGCTGGTATGGATGTGGGTGGTGCCACAGTTTTTTCTGTGGCATTTGGCTGAAGCAGTTGTGATGATTAATTTTATATGTTGACTTCACTAGGCCAAGAGGTATCTACAGATTTCGTCAGATATCATTCTGGGTGTGTTATGTTTGGATTAGTAGAGTACAGAAAGCAGATTTCCCTCCATGGTGTGAGTGTGCCCCTCCAACCAGCTGGAGGCCTACGTAGAAAAACAAAAAAAAAGCTGACCCTCTAGAGTAAATAGAAATTCCTCTTGCCTGACTGCCTTCAAAGTAGGACATAGTATTTTTCACTATCTTAGACTTGAATTGAAACATTGACTTTACCTGGGTCTGAAGCTTGCCAATGGAAGGTCATGGAACTTGTCAGCCCTGAATGAGCCAAAACCATACATATACACATATATGTGTGTGTGTGTGTGTGTGTGTGTCTGTGTGTCTGTGTATACATTCTCTGGGTTCTGTTTGTTTGGATAATCTTGGGTAATAGAGTAGTTGTTATCTAAACATACCTTGTCCTGCTATCTTGCTCTTTTCTGGCCCCTTTGGCTAAAGAACAGGCTTTCACTGGGACTTTTTCCATCTGGGTCTGTTGGAAATTTCTTGGTTGATGGCTTCTTCAGTTACAAGTCTGGAATAAAGGAGGCAAAAGAAAACCCATTCTTGCCTTTCAGAGTCTTCTTATGTTTGTTTTATATATAGTGTCACGGTTTTCAGTTGTACTTAGTGGAAGGAATAGAGAAGTATGTATCTACTTCATTTTTCTGGGAGTTGAAGTTTCCCATATCTTCTTTAAAGTCATGTTATTCAATTTAAAACATTGGGACATCCATTGAAATTGCATTTAATTCATGTATTTAACTCTGGAGACATCTTGTTCCTGTTAGGAAGAAGAAATGCATGCTATTTGAACACAAAACACCACAAATGTTCTGTACACTCCCACAGTGCTTAATACATTGCTGAGAACATAAGAGGCACCCCATGAATCCTTGCAGTTTCATGTGTTCATCCCTGTCTATTCAATTATCATTCTGATCATGCTTCTTTAATCACTTGTCTACATTAACATTTACTAAGGCAATCATTTGGAAACAAGTTCCTGGAAAGCTTCATCCAGTGGGGTTTTACACAGTTTCTTTTCATACATACTCAGAACAAAAAATCACAATGAAAACAGTAGAACCAGAAACATGGAAATTTTCTACAGACAGTCAGCAATAAAATAACCTCCCATCCAGGGAGGCTTGATAGTGTAGTTACCTCTGCTTAACTTCCAGGCAGGGTCCCCAGAGGTCTCAAGGGATACAAAGATGTAAGAGTATTGACTAGAAACGAACAGAATAATTTGGGGACAACTGCTACAACATGGAAGTCAGTGAGTAGACTTTAACTCTCACTTTTATAAGTAGTTCTGTAATAACACTTCACTCTCTCACTCCTTAAAGGCAGGGCTCCAGCTTATTCTCCTTTTTTACATTTTCTGTGTGTCTTCCAATGAAATGATCTGACACATGTAGTTTGGGTTCCTGAGCAAAGATCCTTCTGCAGAGGCCTAGTATGTACTAGTTTGTCTCTTCTAGAGATAGAAAATGAAACTCTCATGTATCTATTCCCTAGAACATGAAAACCACCACTTGATTGCTAATCTTGTCACTTGGAAAGTGTTAATTTGTATTAGTTGAAGGCAGATCATCTTGGTCTTTGTTAATATTGTGTTTCTATTCATTTTTGCAATAGAGAAAACACTACTCTAATTGAAAGGCAGCTCCACAGATTCCCAGGTAAGGATAAGAGAAGTATTGCTAATTTGCTCAGTGTCACACCTGCTTTGTTCTTCATTATACCAAGAGAAAAGTCAAAGCTCTCAGATATCCTGCAGGGAGAAAGAGGTGTGTCTGGTTCCAGTTGTTGCCTAGGAACCCAGGCAATCCCAGAGGGCAAAGGATAGCCCTCTCCTTACCCAAAACCTTCATACTAAAATGTAATAATTCCCTCCTTGCAATAATAAACTGTTATTCCAAACTTATTTATTCATTCACTCATAAAAATATTATTGAGGACCCAATAATATTCTTAGGCACCAGATATATATCTCAATAATACCTCTAGGCACCAGAGATATAGCCATGAAAAGAGAGACAAGGTTTCGTTCTTCAGATAACTTGCACATGGTGAGGGAGACAGATATGTAATGTAATTTCAGCAATTAATAAGGGCTACGAAGAAATGCAAAACACGGCAAGGTAATGATGGCAGCAGGAGTACTATTTTACTTATTTTTAAGTTTTATTTTATTTTTAGTGGACACATAATAATTGGACATATTTATGGGACACAGTGTGATGTTTGAATATATTTATACATAGTGTAATGATCAAATCAGGGTAATTATCATATCCATCACCTCAAACACTTACAATTTCTTTGTGAAAAGATCATTCAAAATCCTCTCTTCTAGCTATCTTGAAATATATAATACAGGAATTAGACTCCCTCCCCTCCACCAGGAATTAGAGGTCTACCTCCCCGAGAAATGCATCCCTCAAGAACCTAGGACACTGTCAATCCATTTCAGTCACTTTTTTTCCCTGTAATGTGTCTTGCGTAGTGTTTACGAGCTTTTTCTTTCCTTTTTCTGCATTAGTAAAGCTAATAATAAATGCATAGAGCAATATTTTTAAAGGAGTGCTATTTTAGATAGAGTGGCCATGGTGGCACCTGGAAGGGAAGATATTTGAGCAGAGACCTGATGAAGTAAGAGAGCAAAATGATGCGAAGTTATGGCGGCAGGGCTTTCACAATGAAGTGAGCAAGTACAAAGGCCTGAAAGCAGGGTACTCCTGCATGTGTTTGAAAAACAGTGAGGACAGAGCAATGTCCCCTTTACACTAGGCAAAAGGGGCTCCTGCCTTTGGCCTCTGTTTTAAAAAGACTTGTAGATCACAAACATATACATACACAAATGGCAGGCACATGGGTGTCTATCATGCAGAAGCTGGCGATTTGCTCTGGTTACATCACAACCTGCAGTTTTAAACAGCTGCCCTCATGACTCACTCTCTCCAGGTTCCAGGGAATTGTCCATATGTCTTGACTTACATGCTCAAAACAAAAGGCAACTGTGTCTGAATGCCAGGGTTGGAGGTTCGCTGTGCTGACACACAGGTTTGGAATGCAGTGAGTGAGGTTTATAGACATGAAAGCACTTTAGCTTAAAAAAAAGACAAACTAATTAACTTGTCAAATCCTAAGAAAGCATAAATACAATTGATTTTTGCATAATGAAAATTGTTTCTCAGATTGTTGATGTTCTTGCTTCTCTTTCCATTCCATTTCCCAGCGCTAGCAGTGTTCACAAATTAGGGTGGTATTGGCAACAGTTACATATGGAAGCTGAGGAACATTTTACAATACTAAACAGTACATATTTATCTCAAGTTTGTCTGTATATAGGTCTGGATGTGATAGGTATGAAGTGCAATACTGAGACAACTAGATAAACACTAAGCTCTAGAATTGTGCATATTTTACATTATAAAAATATTAAAAATATTTAATTGAGTTTTCTTTTTTTAACTTTTAGGTTCAGGGGTACATCTGCAACTTTGTTATATAGGTAAACTGAGTGTCACAGAGGTTTGGTGTGTAAATTATTTTGTCACCCAGGTAATAAGTATAGTACCCAATAGATATTTTTTCTGATCATCTCTCTCCTCCCACCCTCCACCCTCAAGTAGGCCCCAGTGTCTATTGTTCCCCTCATAGTGTCCATGTATTCTCATTGTTTAGATCCCACTTAAAAGTGAGAACATGTGCTATTTGGTTTTCTGTCCCTTTGTTGGTTTGCCTAGGATAATGACCTCTAACTCCACCCATGTTGCTCCAAAGGACATGATCTCATTCCTTTGTATGGCTGCATAGTATTCCATGGTATATATGTACCACATTTTCTTTATCTAGTCTACCATAGATGGGCATTTAGGTTAATTCCATGTCTTCACTATTGTGCATAGTGCTGCAATGAACATATATAGGCATGTGTCTTTTCAGTCGAATGATTTGTATTCCTTTGGGTATATACCCAATAATACGGTTGCTGGGTTGAATGATAATTCTGTTTTAAGTTCTTTGAGAAATCACCACAGTACTTTCCGCAATGGCTGAATTAATTTACACAGCCACCAGCAGTGTATAAGTGTTCTCTTTTCTCCACTATCTCACTAGCATCTGTTATTTTTGAATTTTCAAAAGATTAAATAATATTTCAGCTTTCTTTTCTAATTTTATTTAAAATTTGGATAGTCAATTATAATTTGCATTTGCCTTTTAATTGTAATAAACAATATTGACTATTTTAGAAAAAACTAACCCTTGAAATATAGAAAAGTACTTTAATCCTTTAATTTTATTAAACACCTAGACATGTGCAATAATCATTAAATTCAGTTATCTGATATTTTGCAGCCCTTCAGTTACATAAAAACCAAAAATCATAGCTTCACATGTGCTTTTTCTGTTTTTGTTATTAGAAAGGTACATTTTCCTGAGTAGGAGAATAGAACATATTTAACAGTTTATTAGCTTAATTTATAATTTTTAGTATTTAGATATATGATTTTCAACTTTTACCTCTCGTCTGGGTCCCACAGATGTTATGGATGTCTGGGTCAATGAACCTGGAGACTTGTCTAGTTCATGTAGGGTCCTGTAGACCATGATAAGGAATTTGGATTTGATTCGAAGTTTAATGGTAATCAATGGATTGTTCTGAGCTGGGTACTGGCCAACTGGAAGCCCATTTCTATTTTGCAGGATCAGTGCAACTTTAATTAACTGGAAACCAAAAGATCAGATCAAGGATTTCTCCCCCTCCCATCACTCCTAACTAGAAAACTCTAGAACTGTCCTAGGGTTTCCAACACCATTTCAGACCACAAAGTCTAATTTAGTGAGTGGTCTGACTTACCCAACACATGATGGACAGCTGAAGTAAAAAAGAGATTTCCCTTAAGTAAGACATAATTTCCCCTTGGGTGGCCTTGACTTTCCGCATGCAAACAATGGATAAAATAGATTGATTTTCTAGGATGACCATATGCCATATTCAGACAGTATATTCTCTGCAGTCAGGCTGTCTGCTTTGAATCTTGGCTTCTCCACTCTCTAGAGCTATATGCCCTTGGAACAATTTACTTGACCTTTCTCTCTCCCTGTGTGTGCGGATGAGGGGTGTTAATGATAATATCTGCCTTATAAGATTGTTGTGAAGATTAAATGAAATAAACTACACAAAATTTACAACAGGACCTAGTGTATTTTAAGCACTTAAAATATTTTTTATGTATCATTATTTCTCATCTTCTTGGCTACCAATGAAAAAAATGAGAAAAGCCAGCTTTCAATTCTGTGAGTTTGGGTTTTTTAAATTAAGCAATTCATAAAGAAGTGAGCTTTCCAGAATTGGCACTATTCGGGCAGGGGACTGGATAATTATTTTTGTTGAGAATTGTAGACATAATTTCAGCCTAAGAGAGAAATTGAATTTCATGAGCTTTTTCTAACGTCAAGGTTTTATGCTTCTTACCATTAATTCAGCTTCCTGTGAGTGCCCCAGCCTTGCAGAGTTTATAATCTCATTGGAGAAATTAGAATGACTCACATAAAGCAGGTAACAATAAAGGAGAAAGTAGTCATGATGAAGGGCCCTGAGGGTAAATGGATAGTGGCGGGTCCAGGTAGGAAGCAGGCAGGAAGATTTCCTGGATCAGGTGGGATTTTTTTCAACACACAGCAGAGGTACACTGGTTGGGTAGAGAGGGAGGAGAATGATCCAAGAATGCTTACGTCGAGACCCCCAACTTGTCCCACTAAGACAGAGCTTCACATGCCTCCCTCACTACTGCTCATGCCCCACTCAGAACTGCTCTATCCTCCAGCTCTCATGGGAACAGAGGACTGGGTTCTGAGGAACCTCTGTGAACACTAGACAGACAGCAGAGGTGGGATGAATTGCCCTTCTCCATACTTCTGTACTGGGATTTGAACTGTTTCTCATTGCCCATATCCCAGTGAGCTGGCCCAGTTCCGTTATTGACACTGAGGCATGGAACCTTTCTACTAAGACTGTGGCCAAGGACCAGCAGCTCTGGCTTATTAGAAACAGAGCACTGGCAGCCTAAGACCTACTGAATTTAAATTTGCATTTTAACAAGAGCCCCAGGTGAGTTTTATGTGCCTTAAAGTGTGAGAAGTACTTTTAAAACAGTGGTTCTCAAATCTGGGAGAGCTGGGTGAGAGTCTACCTGGAGGAGCTAGATACCCAGGTCTCTCCCCATATCTGTTGAACCAGAATTTCTGAGATGGGGTCTTGGTATCTATATTTTTTAAATGTGTAATTTTAAAAATTGGGAGCAAATGTGTTCAATCAGGCTTGGAAACTATTACTTTAGGGGAAAATACAGGTATAGCCTAGACTCCTGAGGCTCACAGAATTACCAATTAGCATCAGATTGTACCAATTGTGAAAAAAAATGCTAAGCCCTAAACGAAGACCTGGAGAAGTCACCCTAGTTACCCTATGACCCTGGACAAGGCTCTTGATAGGACTTAGCAAGTTATTTTTCTCATCTGTAAAGTGGGGATATTAAAGTATCCACTTTGTGGAATTGTTAAATACACACACACACTCTCTCTCTCTCTCTGAAACACAGCTCTTTAATTCTTGCTAATGTTGAAAAACTGGACAGAGTCAACTTCTACCTGGAATGATCTTCTCCCAGACACCCACATGACTCTCCATGATACTCCTTCAGCTCTCTCCCCAAACATCATCTCGTCCTAGTCAGGCTTTCCATATCTACTCAACACAAGAAAGCAAAATGTGCCGCCACCATCATCATTGTTCTTTATCCTTTGCTCTGCTTCTTATTCTTCTTTATAGTGTTTATCCTTGCCTGACACTTTAGATATTTATTTGCTAATTGACTGTCTCCTCAACTAAAATTTAAGGTCCACAACATAGAGACTTGGTCTTTCTCTTCACTGTGACAACCCTATTGCTAGAATGGTGACAAGCATACAGTAGACATCAATAACTATTTATTGGGTACTTGAATTAATAAATAAAATTTGATACTAATATTCCTTGACTCCTTAAGTATTCCCAATTAAAAGGCAGTAGGTCTCTTCAATAACTCGCTCCTGTATCACCTTCTATGTGAAGCCTTCCCAACAGACTCTTCTTGCCTTAGAGAGAATCAATGCTCCCCTCCTTGTGCTTTATATATTCTTTCCTCTAATTACTCACTATCAAGATATCTTCCTCAACTTCTCTATAGACTATGAGCTCCTCAACAGCAAGGACCATTTCTAGTTCATCTTGGGGCCGCCGATTCTTGTGTTTATTGAATGAAAAATGAGTGAATTTTCCCATCACAAAAGATGAAACCATACTCATATGCAACAAGAGTCTTTCTGATTTCAGAGTTGTAGCTTAGGGGGAAAAGTGGGGGTGGGGGGGAATTTTTTTTTTTTTAAAGCAGATATTCTTAAACAGCTATTGGTTTCCATTCCTGAATTCAGTCTCCTATATCTCATCCCTCTATCAAGATAAAAATGCAAGCCCATTGCTTGAATCATGAAGAGTTATGCCAATAAGCTTAGACTAAGGCAGGGGAGACCAGATGCTGCCGAGATAATGTCAAGTCCAGAATTAAAGAGAAGCCAGTGGACGGTTCCTAAAGCAATATTGCAGCATCTCAGTTTCCAGTACCAGAGGCCCATTGCGTCAATCTTTCAGCATACCTACTGTTCAATCTGTTAGGAGAAGCATGCAAAGCACATTTATTTCCAAGTGCCCAAGCTACTATACTAAATAATACAGGAAAAAGGTGAAAGGAGATAGAGAATTTAATTGCTCTTTGCCTGCAAAGCTCTTCAGTGCTTGCAGGAAAGACTGTCTGTAAGGATCCCATCTTAGGTACTCTTGCAGGCTCAGGAAGACTGTTTTCCATAGGGATACCAGGATTTGGCAAGATGGTAGGTACAGTGTACCCTCACCTTCCGACATTCATGAGTGTCAATTCAAAGACTTATATGTCAACTGTTGGAAGGATTGATGAAAACCTGCTTATGCCATTCTAAAATTTGACTTTACTAAATCTTTTTGTTTAAAAAATACTATTGTCTTTCCTATCTTTTTAAAAGTTTGCTTTTAGTAATTGAAAAATTCCTTCACACCAGTTTCCTCAATTTTTTTCATGCAGTCAGTATTTACTGAGTACCTAGATGTTGGACACCGCTGTGGGCACCAAGTGGGACTTCTAAGTTGGGAAGTGGGGGGAGACATTCAAATGCAGGGAAGGAAAGATATGCCAATACAGCTGTAATAGGGAATTTAATACTGATAAAAATTAAAGAAAGAAATGCACATTGGTAATTGATTCCAAAACTGCACCCAATTTCTGTGCTTCTGTTATTTATATACTTGCCACATGGAAACATTTTCTATCTGGTCATCACTAAACATGTCCCATGTGCAAGCACAAAATAAGCCAGTCTCAAGTCTGAGTAGAGAGATATAGCCTCTGCCCCGATTGCTTAAGAATGATCTGATGAACATTCAGTTGCTGTTCCCTGTTTAATTAATTCTGATGGGCTATTGATGTACCACAACTGTTTGTCCTAATAATGAGCTCCAAAATTAGAATGACTGCAACTCACTTAGACAGCTGCCACAAAAAATAAGTATTTGAAAGTGCTCTTGGTCAAGGCAATGGGGTAGAAATGGCTGTAGTTCAGCATCAAATTCACATGATTATGTCACATGAGTTTTATTTTTTCTTTTCAAGCATAGTTAACATACCAGCAGTGATGACTGCAAGAACTGTTACTAGCTGTAGAGTTGAGACTGCTACTTCATATCAGTATAGCAAGGATAAGCATGTAGCCAGACGTGTGCTAATGTGGAGTCAATATAGCAACAGGCATTGAACAATTTAGGTCAGTTCCTTGCAATGTTTAATTAGACTAATATATCTGTTTGCAATTAATAGCAGATGTGACAAGCTAATGTGTCCATGCACAGACAAATTAACCTCTGCCCATCAGCTGCTAGGATCTGTGAGAAAGCTGCCATGTTTTGCTTCTATCCATCCAAGTCTAAATAAAATTGCAGAAGAATTATAAACATGAATATTAGTAGAAAATACGCTGCACATGAAGCACTGTCCATAGGAAACTATTTTTCAGGCAGGCTGTCAGATTTTAACAATCACAACAAGAATTAACATTTGTGTTACCCTTTACTTTGTAAAAATCATTGTAATAGACTTTACTTTTTAGAGCAGTTTTAGGTTTACCACAAAATTGAGCGGCAGGTAGAAAGACTTCCCACAGATCCCCTGTCCCCACACATACATAGCCTTTTCCATCAACATCCCCCACCAGAGTGGTACCTTTGCTATAATTGAACCTATATTGTTACATCATTATCACAGAAAGTCCATCATTTTCATTAGAGTTCATTCTTGGTGTTGCAGTTCTATGGGTTTGGACAAATGTAAAATGACATGTATTCACCATTATAGTATCATACATAGTAGTTTCACTGCCCTAAAATCCCCTGTGCTCCTCCTATTCTTCCCTCCTCCCCCCAGCCAATCCCTGGCAACCACTTATCTTTTTATTGTCTCCATACTTTTTCCTTTTACAGAATGTCATGTAGTTGGAATAATATGATATATAGCCTTTTTCCAGACTTGTTTCTTTTACTTAATAATATGCATTTAAGTTTCCTCCATGTCTTTTCATGACTTGCTAGTTCACTTCTTCTTAGCACTGAGTAATATTCCATTGCTGGACGTACCATAGCTTATTTATCCATTCACCTGCTAAAGGACATCTTGGTCATTCCCAAGTGTTGGCAATTATAAACAAATCTTCTATAAACACCTGTGTGCAGGTTTTTGTGCAGATATAAGTTTTCAACTCCTTTGGGTAAATACCAAAGAGTGTGACTATTAGATAGTATGGTAAGAATATGTTTAGTTTTGTAAGAAACCACCAAACTGGCTTTTGAAGTGGCTGTAACACTTTGCATTCCCAACAGCAATGAATGAGAGTTTCTCTTGCTCCACATCCTCACCAATATTTGGTGTTGTCAGTGTTCTGGATTTTGACAATTTTAGTAGATGTATAGTAATATGCAATTATTGTTTTAGTTTGCATTTCCCTGATGACATACAATGTGGAGCAACTTTTCATATGCTTATGTGCCACCTGTATATATTCTTTGGTGAGATGCTTGTTAAGATCTTTAGCCCATTTTTTAATCAAGTGTTTTCTTGTTGTTAGGTTTCTTTACATTTTATAAAATATGGTCACATACATTGCACTTTTAGTTACTTAGTAATAAAAATAGTTTTGTAACTTTTCAACTATTGTAAAAGAGGCCTATCTGCTCCTAACATAGTTAGGGCTTAAGTCACTGAAATTTGGTATTATCTCCTCAAAATAAAGATTTCTGTAATGTACCTGGAAGCAATGCCCATTTCCCTGCTTTAATTAATTGCTATTATCCAATTCCACAGTGAGAACTTAGGGAAGAAGACAAATTTTCACAGGGCAGGATTTTTGAAAGGCAGATATTAGAAATGTCTTAATCCATTTTCTGTTGCTATAATAGATTACCACAGACTGGGTAATTTATAAAGAAAGGAAATTCATTTGGCCCATGGTTCTGCAGGCTGGGAAGTCCAAGAGTATGGCCCCAGCATCTGGAAAGAACACGGAGGAAGGCATTGTTACTGCCTGACCAGGTTCTTGCTTGCTGCCCAGACAGAGCTGAACACTGAGACAACAAGTATTGCAATGAAGAAATAGTTTAACTATTGCAAGGCAACTCAGCAAGGAGGATAGGAGATATTTCTCAAAATCACCTGCCAGAGACTTCAGAGGCTAGAGATTTTAAAGATGATTTGGCAGGCAGAAAGGTAGGGGATGTGTAATGCTGATTGGTCTGAGATGAAATCATAGGGGTGTTGAAGCTGTCTTCATGCATTGAATTGGTTCCTGAGAAAGGAGGTGAGTCACAAGACCAGCCAAGTCTGTTTCTTGGTTAACATCACAGGACACCGGTTCAGTTGGTGTCAGTTGGTTTACTTGCGGGCAAAGTCTAAAAAATATCTCAAAGACCAGTCTTCGGTTTTACAATAGTGTTTAAAACTGCCAGTTACTATGGAAAACAAGCTGGGAAACAATGGTGGGTTATTGTGTAACTATGCCTATAGCTTAGCAGGAAAGTTTGCAGAAGGTGAGATCCCTGGTAGTCAAAGCTGACTGGCACTCTCTTGACTAGTCCAACTTCTGGAAGCCATCAAGGGGGTCTTCATGATCTAAGGATCATTGTTCTTTAAAAGAAAAAACAAGTTCATCAATCTTGTAGGCAGCCTGCTCAGGGGCTAAGACAGGAAGATAATCAATTATTAGTGACTATCATTTGTTGAAATGACTATATGCAAGCAATCATGCATGGAGGAGGAAAAAGAGAGAAAGGAAAATATCTTACCAAAAATTTAAGCCCCGTGACAATTTTAATCTTGTGACTTTTTTTAATTTGTGAAGGTGGTTTCAGCATCACATAGTGAGTGTGTATGGGTAAGAGAAAGCTTGCTTTTATAACAAAGCCACTCCCACAATAACTAACCCACTCCAGGGATAACAGCATTAATCCATTCATGAGGGCAGAACCCTCATGACCCAATCGCCTCCCAAAGGCACTGCCTCTCAACACCACCCCAATGGCAACCAAGTTTCCAACATTTGAACTTTTGGAGGACATTCTCAAACCTTAGCACTGAGTGTTGGCTTTGTTTGGTTGGGAAGAATGTCAGGGGCAGGATTCAACTTCCTGTCTCTGCTATTCCTCCAAACCTCCTTTCAGAAGAGTCATGGGCTGCCCAGAACCCATGGGGGCAATGTCCAAATCTTCCTAGAGCTGTAGCCTTTTGGGGGAAGCAAAGAATTAGGCCTTTATTCTTAGTCTCTGGGCTGATAGTCATCAAGGAGCTCAAAATGGTTGCCGGGTTTGCAAATGATCATCTCAGGGGCATTTGGGCTGGGGTCATAGAGGCTCTTAAAGATGTGACATCAAGAAATTAAACTTTCCTCCTACCTTGTGAGCTGAGGCCAGCTCCCACAGTCCTTCCAACATCTCTCATGATCCTAGTTTGCTTTCTGCCAGGGAAATTCAGGGACCCTTGAATTCACTAGGAAACGGGTGGCATGGAAAATGCTCGGTTACATTTCTACAGAATCCAGTGACACATTCTCACTCTATTGTACAGTGTTTATGTGGATGAGTCTTGAAAGTCAATCATGTAGAAGTAGTACTGAAAAAGTATTTCCGCATTGGAAACCCCCACAAAGAAAACTCCTGCCAAGAAAAGAAGCCCAGCTTGAGACTCAAAAACTTCACAGGGACACGGAAAATGAGTGAATGCAAAAAGGATAAAGCCTCTGGGAGTATTTAGTCTCAAGAAGAGAAAGAAATGGTTCACTTAATGTCTCTTTAAACATAGGAAAGATTATTATTCAGAAGCTGTATCCAGATGTATGAACATTTCTCTACTAAGGATAGAACAGGAAACAATGGGCTTTAGCTAGAGAAGAAAAGGATATATATGTATAGGAGGGGGCTTCCTGACACTTGTGGTTATAAAGCATTATAATGGGATACTAGAGAGGCTGTCAAATGCACTTCCCCACAGAATTTTAAGAACATGACAGATACCTCTCTGTATAAAATGGTTTAGACAAAACCTCCCTGGAGGTTGGGGGAAGGAGCAGATGACTTCTTGGGGGCCCTTTCAGCCCTATGTGTTTATCATTTTAAAACTGGACTACAATACTTTTTCAGATAGGCCCTATCTAGTAAACTAGAAACTATATCATTTCTTTTTCTCATCCTCCTACACCCTGCGCAATCTCATTTTCTCTGTTTATACCTTGCTTTGCTGATGCCTACTTGACACTTGCTCTTTGGATATTGTGCTCACACTGTTAGGGCACCCTATGAGGTGTACAGACACTATTAAAGATGAATGGGACATTTGCAGAGACAAAAAGTTCTCATGCATGTACAAGGACACTGGAGATTTCCGCACTTGGAGACATAATCTTCTATAAAGCAAGCCTTACTTTAACAACATTTTTGCATTGATGTAAATCTCAGTTCAAGATTTTGAAATATTTTACTTGCATGGTGGTGGGGGGACCCTCATATTATATTATATATGGTTTGATATATATGAGGAAACTCATATATGATATATATGCGGAAACTCAGACATGGCATTCCTTTGAAGTCACATATCCCATTTATGTCTAGTGTCATCTCGACTGCTTTGTGCTAGAGGAGACCAAGGTGGCTGTCATTGGCTTTGTCCTCTATAGCACAAGGCAAACCTGAGAGCACATGAATGATGCTTCACAATGTGAAGGGCTCTTCTGAAACCCTTCACGTCTCCAGTTCCAGATGGTTGCCTGTCTTCTGTAATTCAGAATTTAACAAATGCATGTTGGCTTTCCAGGACATATCTTAACAAGAGAAGGTTGAAAATTAAGAGTCTGAGATTTACAAGGCCAATAAATTAGTTTAGGTCACCTGAGAATTACCCAGTTAAAGTCTTTTGAGAAATAATTCAATATCTAAACTGACTGCCAGCAGGAGAAACTGTTATATTAAGTAGAAGGAGCAAAACCATGAGCTTTAAATTTAAATAAAACCACTAACATGCAAGATGCATAGTTCTTACATAAATAGCAATGCATGCACAAATAAACCAGTTGTAAAATAAGTCACACTTTACCTATGAAATAATAAGTTAAAACTATAGTCCATACATTCATGCATGCAAGAAATGTCATTTTTATTAAATTTATTTTGAGCCCCAATTGGATAGGGTGTGGGAAACAAAAATCTCAGGCTATTTTAGTTCTCCCCCCATATTTCCCTGGAAGACCAGGAGTTCCGGGACACTTATGAGATGTCCAGTCATCAACTAGGAGCATCTGGTCCTCAGTACTGTGTAGTATCCATGCTGGCATTCACCTACATGTCTGCTGTGCCAACTGGCTTGTGGTCATCAGTCCATGCTGTTACCATAGCATCCTCCTTGTCTCCACTGCACAGATTCTTCAGGTCTGTTAGCTGTCTCCCAGCTACCTCTCCCTCTCAGTAGGTGGGGACATTATAATAACTGATCTCATTCTATGCTGAGGATTCAACCCTTTTCAGGCACCTTTCTGCAGGCAGGACAAGCTACATCAATTGTGAGGTCAAGTACAAAATGAGCACAATGGGTTCCTTATTAAAAAAGTATTAGGAGTCTTAAGGTGGTGACAGGAGAGTATTAGATCAAGAGTGAGGCCTGGGTGACTGAACATGCCACTTGGTCATGAAGTCTGCCCTGTATGTAGATACCCTGCTCCTGCTCACATGCCACACAGCATGTCAGCAATACCAAGATGCTTGCTCCTAAGCAGAGCATGCAGTCCTCTCTTCTCAGAAACTCAGACCTTTCTGGAGATTCTATCTCTGTACCAGAATTCACCAGGGGTGGAGATGTTTGGTGCATAGGACACAAGCCTTTCTCTCAGGCTAACAGATTCCGAGCTGCCTTCTTTCTTTCTCTAATTTTTCTCCCTCCACACAAACAGACCAGTGGACTCCACCAAGTCCAAGAGTGTGACAAGCTGACTTTTTTCTATTCTCAATATACAGCACACCTCATTTTATTGTGCTTTGCTTTATTGTGCTTCTCGGATTCAACACAAATTCAAGATTTGTGACAATCCTACTTTGAGCAAGTCTATCAGCGCCATTTTCCCAACAGCATGTGCTCACTTCATGTCTCTGTGTTATATTTTGGTAGTTCTCACATTATTTCAGACTTTTTATTATTATTAAATCTGTTACAGTAATCAGTGATATTTGATGTTACTGTCATCATTGTTTTAGGGTGGCATGAACCATGCCCATAGAAGACAGTGCAGTTAATTGATGAATGTGGTGTGTGTTCTGATTACTCCACTCACTGGCCATTCCCCCATCTCTCTTCCACTTCTCAGGACTCCCTATTCCCTAAGATACAATAATATTGAGATTAGGCCAATTAATAATCTTACAATGGCCTCTAAGTGTTCAAATGAAGAATTGCACATCTCTCATTTTAAATCAAAAGCTAGCAATGAATGATGAAGCTTAGTGAGGAAGGCATGTTGAAAGCCAAGACAGGCTGAAAGCCAGGCTTCTTGCACCAACTGGTTAGCCAAGATGTGAATGCAAAGGAAGTTTTTGAAGGAGATTAAAAGCACTACTTTAGTGAACACACAAATGATAAGAAAGCAAAACAGGCTTATTGCTGATACAGAGAAAGTTTTAGTGGTCTGAATAGAAAATCCAACCAGCCACAACATTCCCTTAAGTCAAAGCCTAATCCAGAGCAAGGCCTTAACTCTCCTCAGCTCACAAAGGCTGAGAGAGGTAAGAAAACTGCAGAAGAAAAGTTGGAAGCTAGCAGAGATTGGTTCATGAAGTTTAAGGAAAAAGCTATCTCTATAACATAAAAGTGCAAGGTGAAGCAGCAAGTGCTGATATAGGAACCGCAGCAAGTTATCCAGAAAATCTATCTAGCCAAGACAGTTTATGAAGACGGCTACACTAAACAACATATTTTCAGTGTAGATGAAACAGCCTTATATTGGAAGAAAATGACATCTAAAATTTCCATAGCTAGAGAGGAAAAGTCAATGCCTGGCTTCAAAGCTTTAGAAGACAGGCTGACTCTCTTGTTAGGGGTTAATGTAGCTGGTGACTTTAAATTGAAGCCAATGATCATTTACCACTCTGAAAGTTTCAGGGCCCTTACAAATTATGCTAAATCAACCCTGACTATACTATAGAAGTGAAACAACAATATCTGGATGACAGCACACCTGTTTAGAGCATGGTTTACCAAATATTTTAAGCCCACTGTTGAGACCTACTGCTCAGAAAAAAGAAATGTTCCTTTCAAAACATTACTGTTCATGTACAATGTACCTCATCAAAGCTCTGATGGAGTTGTGTAAGGAGATGGATGTTGTTTTCACACAATATCCATTCTATAGTTCATAAATCCAGGATTAATTTTGATTTTTATGTCTTATTTAAAAACTACATTTTATAAGGCTAGTAACTCCTCTGATGGATCTGGGCAAAATATATTGAAAATTTTCTAGAAATAATTCACCATTCTAGAAGCTATTAAGAACATTTGCCATTCATGGGAGGAGGTTAAAATATCAACATTAATAGGAGTTTGGATGAAGTCGATTTCAACCCTTATGGATAACTTCGAGGGGTTCAAGATTTCTGTGGAGGAAGTCACTGCAGATGTGGTAGAAATACCATGAGAGCTAGAATTAGTAGTGGATCCCAAATATGTAACAGAAGTCACGAGATTGCTGTAATCTCATGAGAAAATTTTAATGGTTAGGGAGTTGCTTCTTATGGATGAACAAAGTGATTTCTTGAGATTGAATGTACTCCTGATGAAGATGCTGTGAACATTATCGAAATGGCAACAAACAATTTAGATATTACATGAACTTAGCTGATAAAGCAGTGTCAGGGTTTGAGAGGATTGACTCCAATTGTAGAAGAAGTTTTACTATGGGTAAAATGCTGTCAAACAACATCACATGCTACAGAGCAATCTTTTGTGAAAGAAGGATAAATAGATGTGGCAAACTTCATCATTGTCTTATTTTAAGAAATTACCACAGCCACCCCAACCTTAAGCAACCACCACCCTGATCAGTCAGCAGCCATCAACATCAAGGCAAGAGCCTCCACCAGCAAAAAGGTTATGACTTGCTGAAAGCTCAAATGCTATTAGCATATTTTAGCAATATAATATTTGTCATTGAGGTATATAAACATACAGTATAATATGTTTACACTATACTGTAGTCCATTAAGTGGGCAATAGCATTACTCACTATTGTCCACTTAATGGACTACAGTATAGTGGAAACATAACTATTATGTGCACTGGGAAACCAAAAAAATGTGCATGACTCACTTCATTGTGATATTTGCTTTATTGCAATGGCCTGGACCCACAATATCTCTGAGGTTGAGATATGCCTGTTTTGTTTATGAGGAGAAAATTCATTATGCTCTGAGACCTGTGAAACTTAGACTTTTGAAATTAAACTAAAAGAACAGGCTATCTCAACTCAAAGGCCTTTTCTTTTGATACTATCATATATGCCATTTGCTATATAACGTATTTTAAAACACAAATCCTGTTTCAACTTCCTCTTCCCTCTTTCTACTATGGCATCCCTTCTTGGAATAAGTAAGCATCTAAATAATCCAGTTGCTAACAGAATTGGGGAAAAACCAATGGGTAACAGAAATGAAGGAAAAAACAACGAGTGGTTCTCAGTTTATCAATGAGAGAGGTTACGTATGTTGACCAACGTCACACGACTAAGTTGTAGAACTGGGACTTCAGCCTATGTGATTTGGTCCCTGAGTCTGAAATGTTTATCATAATGTTATACTGCCTTCTGTAGTAAGAACTAATACATGGAAGCTTCAATATTTATTTTGATGATAAAGTAGCAACGACTGGTTCCTTACATTTCCCCAAAACGAAAGCATGTGCAGACTATCAAACAAATTTATTTAAGATACAAAAAAGACAAAAGTTGCTTAGTGTGACATTCATTAGCTCTTTACCAAATTTTGACAAAATGTTAAAATAATAATAGAAACTAGTGACTAACAGGAGCTAACATAGGTTCTCTCATTTCTCTTTTGACAGGGAGAGGTAGATCACAGGTTATTGATAATAGATATAGGCTATTATATTCAAACATGTTCCTGCATCTATAATTTTTTTTCAGTTACTTGGTTAATGTATAACAGTCTAGAAGTAATCTTCAAGTTTCATGATATTTCAAAGCTACAAACCTTAAAGTAGAATCTTCCTCTGTATGTAGACCTCTGCCTGGGTCACTTCAGGGATCATAGTAAAAGAACATGAGCTTCCCTAGTTGAATCACTTTGTTTTACCTATATGACCATAAATGAGTAACTTAGCTTCTCTGAGCCTCAGTGGTAATATCTACCACATAATACACTGAACACAAGCTCCTGTGTTAATGTCAGAACATTATAAGTGTTCACAATGTAATAGATACATTTCTTTTTCCCACTCCTTAGATTCAGGAAGTAATACCACCAATGCATATTTTTAGCTAACACTTAAACATTGTTTTTTATGTGTCAAACATTATTCAAAGCACTTGACATCTATTAACTCATTTATTTCTCACAACAATTCCATGAAATGGGTACTATCATTAACCTCATCTTACAGATGGAGAAACTGAAGCATAGAAAGTTTAAGTAACTTGCCCAAGGTCATACAGCTGGAAAGAAACTCAGAGAGCCTAGCTCTAGAACCTACTTTCTCAAAAAACAACTAAAAAATCATTTTATTTGACATGTGACTTTTTATTTTGGATGACTTTTTATGTTCCTAATCTTTAAAGCAATGAATACTACTGGGTAAAAATATAAAGAATACTTTAGAAATTTTAGGGTGGGTTGTTCTTCCTAAGTAAGACAAGAAAGCTATAACTCATAAAGTAAAAGATGGACAGACTACCTAAAAATTTAAAACTTCTAAATAATCATAAGCCAATGTATTAGATAAGGGACAAACAAGGAGACAACACTTTCATCACAAATAATAGGCAAATTGTTAAAATCCATAAAATATAAACAGCTTCTATAAATTAACAAGAAAATCTATAAATTAATAAGATAAAGACAAACAACACAATAGAAAAATTGGCAAATAATGCAAAAAGGAAAATCACAAAAAAGAGAAAGAAATTACCAGTGTACATGAAAATATGTTCAATCTCATTAACAACCAATGAAATAATAATTAAAACAATAAGATACTACTTATCGTCCATTAGATTGTCAAAAAGAGAAAAAAAAATACCCAGAGTAACAAATGTTTAGACAAAAGAACATTCTCATATGGTATTGCAGAAGTATAAATTAGAATAGCATTTTTTAAAAAAAACCTTGACTGTACCTATCAAAATTTAAAATGTGCATATCCTTTGACATGGTAATCCACTTCCAGGAATCTAAAGTATAGGATATTGTGCATGTACCCAAAACTACAGATAACAGGATGTTCCTGCAACACTGATGATTATAGCAAAAAACAACAACAACAACAACAACAAAAAGAGCAAAACAAGCAAATTACAATTCAACAAAAGGGACTGGCAAAATAAATTATGTAATCAAATACAGTTGACAACTCAGGGGTTGGGGCATCAATCTCCTGCACATTCCAAAAGCCACATGCAATTTTTGATGCCCACAAAAACCTATTGACTGGAAGCCTTACCAATAACATAAACAGTTGATAACACTTAACATATTTTGTATGTTATGTATACTATATATTGTATTCTGACCATAAAGTAAGCTAGAAACCAGAAAATATTACTAAGGCAGATGCGGTGGAACAAGGTGGTAAAATGGAAGCCTCCACTGATCATCCCTCCTTCAAGGACACCAATTTAACCACACACAACAAAAGCACCTTTGTAAGAACCAAAAATGAGATGAGCACTCACAGTACCTGATTTTCACTTCATTTTGCCGAAAGAGACACTGAAGAGGTAGGAAAAACAGTCTTGAATTGCTGACACCATGCCTTCTCCATCCCCTGGCAGTAGGAGTATGGTCTGAAGAGCGTTTCTGTGCCCTGGGGAGAGGGAGAGCCAGCAACTGTGAGGCATTGAACTCAGTGCTGCCCTTGTTATAGCAGAAAGAAAAACTGGACCAAACTCAGCTGACGCCAGACCACAGAGGATGCATTTCAACCACCCTTAGCCAGAGGGAAACTGCCAATGCCAGCAGTCAGAACTTGAGTTTTTGCAAGCCTCACCACTGTGGGCTAAAGTGCTCTGGGGCTCAAAATAAATTGAAAGCTGGTCTACACCACAAGAACTACAACACCTAGGCAAGTTCTAGGGCTAAAATGGACCCAGAGACAGTGGACTGGGGCAGGGGGAATGTGACCTACTGAGACACTAGCCAGGATGACTGAGTGCTGGCATAACCTTTCGCCTAACTCCAGGCTGCACAACTTGTGGCTCCAAAAGAGACCCACTTTTTTTCTGCTTGAGGAGAGGAGATGAAAGAGTGGGGAGGACTTTGTCTTGTATCTTGGATACCAGCTCAGCCACAGCAGGATAGGGCACTGATCAGAGTCATGAAGTCCCCTTTCCAGGCCCTAGTCCCTGGACATTTCTAGACACACCCTGGGCCAGAAGAGAACTCTGCCTTGAAGGGAATGACCCAGTCCTGGCAGAATTCATCACCTGCTAACTGAAGAACCCTTCAGTCCTGAATAACCAGCAGTGATACCCAGGTACTACATCGTCGGCCTTGGGTGAGATTCTGAGACTTGCTAGCTACAGGTGAGACTCAGCACATTCCAAGATGTGGTGGCTATGGGCTGAGACTCCTTCTGCTGGAGAAAAGCAGAGGGAAAGTAAAGGGGAATTAGTCTTGCATTTTAGGCAGCAGCTTGGCCACAGGGCGGTAGAGCACCAAGCAGGCTCTTGAGGTCCCTGATTCCATGACTTGATTCTTGGATGGCATTTCTGGGCCCTGGGCCAGAAGGGAACCCTGAATGGAGAGATTCAGGACTGGTAGCATTCACAACAAGCTGACTGAGAGCCCTTGGACCTTAAGGAAATATGGGTAGTAGTCTGACAGGGTTCCTCATGGGCATGAGGTGGCAATGGTCATGGAGTTAGGCTCCTCTGCCTTTGGAAAAGGGAGGAAAGAGTGGGAAAGACTGCATCTTCTGGTTCGAGTGCCAGCTCAGCCACAGTAAAATAGAAAACCAGGTGAACTTCTAAGGTTTTTGACTCTAGTCCTTGGTGCCCAGATGGCACCTTTGGACCCACCTGGGGCCTGGGGAAACTTTCTGCCCTGAAGGGAAGGTTATAGGCCCAGCTGGCTTTGCCATCTACTGATTGTAGAGCCCTAGGGCTTTGAGCAAACACAGGTAGTAGCCAAGGTGGTTACAGCACACCTTGAGCAAGACCCAGTACTGTGCTTGCTTCAGGTCTGACCCATTACAGTCCTGGGCTGGTGGCCACAGGGGTACTTGTGTCACTCTACCCTCAGCTCCATGTGGATCAGAGCAGAGAAAGAGACTCTGTTTGGAAGAAAGTAAGGGAAGAGAACAATTGTCTCTGTCTGGTAATCTACAGAATTCTTCTGGATATTGTCCAAGACCATCAAGGTGCTATACCTCTACAAGTCTGCAAGAACCACAGTGCTAATGGGCTTGGGGTCCCCATAAAGCAGATCCAGCTTAGATCTCAACACCAAAGTCCTTTTAAATATCTTCAAGATATTCTCAAGAAGGATGGGTAAAAACAAGCCCAGATTAGGAAATCTATAATAAATGCCTAACTCTTCAGTGCCCATATGCAGACGAAAATCTATAAGTATCAAGATGATCAAGGAAAACATGACCTCACTGACTGAACTAAATAAGTCACCAGTGATCAAGCCTGGAGAAACAGAGATATGTGACTTTTCAGACAAAGAATTCAAAACAGCTGTGTTGAGAAAACTCAAAGGAAAGATAACACAAAGAAGAAATTCAGAATTCTAACAGATAAATTTAACAAAAAGGTTAAAATAATTTTTTAAAATCAAGCAGAAATTCTGGAGCTGAAAAATGCAACTGGCATACTGAAATTGCACCACAGTCTTTTAGTAGCAAAATTGATCAAGCAGAAGAAAGAATTAGTAAGCTTGAAGACAAACTATTTGAAGATACAGGGTCAGAGAAGACAGAAGAAAAATAAATAAATAACAGTGAGGCACAGAATTCAGAAAATAGCCTCAAAAGGGCAAATATAAGAGTTATTGGCCTTAAAGAGGAGCTAGAGAAAGCGATAAGGGTAGAAAATTTACTCAAAAGTATAATAACAGAGAAGTTCCCAAACCTAAAGAAAGATATCAATATTCAAGTACAAGAAGGCTATAGAACACAGAGCGATTTAACCCAAAAAAGGCTACCTCAAGGCATTTAATAATCAAACTTCCAAAGGTCAAGGATAAAGAAAGGATCCTAAAAGCAGCAAGAGAAAAGAAATACATAACATACAATGGAGTTCCAATACATCTGGCAGAAGACCTCTCAAAGGAAACCTTACAGGCCAGGAGAGAGTGGCATAATATATTTTAAGTCCTAAGGGAAAAATCTATTACTCTAGAATAATATATCCAGTGAAAATATTCTTCAAACGTGAAGGAGAAATAAAGTCTTTCTCAGACAAACAAAAGCTGAGGGATTTCATCAACACCAGACAAGTCCTGCAAGAAATGTTAAAGGGAGTACTTCAATCAGAAAGAAAAGGATGTTAATGAACAGGAAGAAATCATGTGATGGTACAAAATACACTGGTAATAGTAGGTACACAGGAAAACCACAGAATATTACAACACTGTAACTGTGGTGTGTAAACTACTCTTACCTTAAATTGAAAGACAAAATGATAAACCAATCAAAAATAATAACTACAACAACTTTTCAAGATATAGACAGTATGATAAGATATAAATATAAACCACAAGTTAAAAGTAGGGGGACAAAGTTAAGGCATAGAGTCTTTACCAGTTTTCTTTTTCTTTATGCAAAATGCTAAGTTGTTATCAGCTTAAAATAATGGGTTATGCAAGATCATGTCCTTTGCAGGGACATGGATGGAGTTGGAGGCCATTATCCTTAGCAAACTAACACAGGAACAGAAAACCAAATACCACATGATCTCACTAGGAGCTAAATAATGAGAACACACGGACACATACAGGAGAACACACACACTGGGGTCTATCAGAGGGTGGATGGTGGCAGGAAGGAGAGGATCAGGAAAAATAACTAATGGATACTAGGCTTAATACCTGGGTGATGAAATAATATGTACAATGAACCTCCATGACACAAGTTTACCTATGTAACAAACCTGCATATGTACCCCTGAATTAAAAGTTTAAAAAAAAGTGCTATCACATAGTTTGTGCAAGTCTCATGGAAACTTCAAACCAAAAAACATAAAATGGATACACAAAAAATAAAAGCAAGAAACTAAATCACCACAGAAAATCACCCTCACTAAAAGGAAGACAGGAGGAAAAGAAAGAAGGAAGAGAAGACCACAAAACAACCAGAAAACATAACAAAATGGCAGGGGTAAGTCCTTACTTATTAATAATAACATTGAACATAAATGGAATGAACTCTCCAATCAAAAGACATAGACTGGCTGAATGAATTTAAAAAACAAGACTCATTGATCTGTTGCTTACAAGAAACACACTTCACCTATAAAGATACACATAGACTAAAAATAAAAGGATGAAAAAAGATATTCCATGCCAGTGGAAACCAAAAACCAGCAGGAGTAGCTATACTCATATCAGATGAAATCACTTTTAAGACAAAAACTAAAAGAAGAGACAAAGAAAGTCACTATATAATGACAAAAGGGTCAATTCAACGAGAGGATATAACAATTTTAAATATATATGTTCCCAATACTGGATCACCCAGATATATAAAGCAAATATTATTATAGCTACAGAGAGAAATGGACTCCAATACAATAATAGCTGGAGACTTCAACACCCCATTTTCAACATTGTACAGATCTTCCAGACAGAAAATTAACAAAGAAACATCAGACTTAATCTGCACGATAGACTGAATGGATCTAATAGATATTTACAGAACATTTCATCCAACAGCTACAGAATACACATTCTTTTCCTCAGCATATGAATAATTCTCAAGGATAGACCATATTAGATCACAAAACAAGTCTTAAAACATTCAAATAATTGAAATAATAAGCATCTTTTCTGACCACAATGGAATAAAACTAGAAATCAATAACAAGAGAATTTTGGAAACTATACAAATACATGGAAACTGAACAATACATTCCTGAATGACCAGTGGGTCATTCCTGAATGATCAGTGAAGAACATAGAAGGAAATTGAAAAATTTCTTGAAGCATGAACATGGAAACACAACATACCAGAACCTATGTATTAGAGTGAAAGCAGTACTAATGGAGAAGTTTATAGCTATAAATGTTACATCAAAAAAGAAGAGCAACTTCTAAAGATGCATCTTAAAGAAGTAGAAAAGCAGGGGCAAATGAAATCCAAAAATAGTAGAAGAAAAGAAATAATAAAAGATTAGAGCATAAATAAATAAAATTCAAATGAAGAAATAATACAAAATATCAACGAAACAAAGTTGGTCTTTAAAAAGTTAAAAAATAGACAAACCTTTAGCCAGACTAAGAGAAAGAGAAAAAATTCAAATAAATAAAGTCAGAGATGAAAAAGGATACTGATACTGCAGAAATTCAAAGGATCATTAGTGGCTACCATAAGGAACTAGATGCCAACAAATTGGAAAATCTAGGAGAAACAGACCAATTCCTAGACACATACAACCTACCTAGATTGAAATCCAAAACCTGAAGGACCAATTACAAGTAATGAGATAAAAACTATAATAAAAGTATCCCAGTAAAGAAAAGCCTGGAACCCAAAAGACTTCACTGCTAAATTCTAACAGACATTTAAAGAAGAAATAATACTAATTCTATTCAAACTACTCCAAAAAATAGAGGATGGGGAAATTCTTCCAAACTCATTCTATGAAGCCAGTAATATCCTGACACCAAAACTAAAGACATATTAAACACACATACACACACACACACGAAAACCACAGGCCAATAACCCTGATGAATATAAGTGCAAAAATCCTTCACAAAATATTAGCAAACTGAATTCAACAAAACATTAAAAAGATTGTTCATTATGACCAAGTGGGATTTATTCCTGGGATGCAAGGATGGTTCAACACATGCAAATCAATCAGTGTGATACATCACACCAGCAGAATGAATGACAAAAACATATGATTATTTCAATTAATGCTAAAAAGCATTTGATAACATTCAACATCCCATTATGATAAAAACCTTCAAAAGAACTAGGTATAGAAGGAACATACCTC
This sequence comes from Homo sapiens, assembly GCF_000001405.40. NCBI lineage: Eukaryota > Metazoa > Chordata > Mammalia > Primates > Hominidae > Homo > Homo sapiens. Next base: position 90,425,466 of record NC_000001.11, read on the forward strand.
AAAATAATACAAGACACGTAAGACAGTCCCAGGACTAGTATCATACTGAATGGGGAAAAACTGAAAACCTTTCCTCCAAGATCTGGAACACAACAAGGTTGCCCACTTTCACCACTGTTATTCAACATAGTACTGGAAGTCCTAGCTAGAGCAATCAGACAAGAGAAAGATATAAGTGGCATCCAAATTGGAAAGAAAGAAGTCAAATTATCCTTTTTTGCAGGTGATTTGATCTTACATTTGGAAAAACCTAAAGACTCTACCAAAAAACCATTATAACTGATAAACAAATTCAGTAAAGTTATAGGATACAAAATCAACATATGAAAATCAGTAGCATTTCTATATGCCAACAATGAACAAACTGAAAAAGAAATTTAAAAAATAATCCCATTTACAAGAGTTACAAATAACATTAAATACCTAGGAGTTAATTAATCAAAGAAGTGAAAGATCTCTACAATGAAAACTATAAAATACTGATGAAAGAAATTGAAGAAGACACCAAAAAATGGAAAGATATTTCATGCTCATGAATTGGAAGAATCAATATTGTCAAAATGTCCATACTACCCAAAGCGATATACATATTTAATGCAATCTCTATCAAAATACCAATGACATTCTTCACAGAAATAGGAAAAAAATCCTAAAATTTATATGGAACCACAAAATACCCAGAATAGCCAAAACTATCCTAAGCAAAAAACAAAACAAAACAAAAAAACTGGAGGAATCATGTTTCCTGGCTTCAAGTTATAAAAAACAGCATGGTACTGGCATAACAACAGACACATAGACCAATGGAACAGAATAGAGAACCAGAAACGAATCCACACACCTACAGTGAACTCATTTTCAACAAAGGTGCTAAGAACACACACTGGGGAAAAGACAGTCTCTTTAATAAATGGTGCTGGGAAAATTGGGTATCTATATACAGATGAATGAAACTAGGCCCCTATCTCTCACCATGCACAAAAATAAATCAAAATGAATTAAAGACTTAAAGACCTCAAACTATGAAACTACTACAAGAAAACATTGGAGAAAATCTCCAGGACGATTGGTCTGGGCAAAGATCTCTTGCATAATACCCCACAGGCACAGGCAACCAAAGCAAAAATTGACAAGTGAGATCGTATCAAGTGTAAAATCTTCTGCAAAGCAAAGAAAACAATCAACAAAGTGAAGAGATAACCCACAGAATGAGAGAAAATATTTCTAAACTGCCCATCTGACAAGGGATTGATAACCAGAATATATATGAAACTCAAACAACTCTACAGGAAAAAATCTAATAATCCAATTAAAAATGGGCAAAAGATTTGAATAAGCATTTCTTTTAAAAAGACATAAAAACAGACATATGAAAAGGTACTTAACATCACTGATCTTCAGAGAAATACAAATCAAAACTACGAGATATCATCTCACGCCAGTTAAAATGGCTTATATCCATAAGGCAGACAATGAAATATGCTGACAAGAATGTGGAGAAAAGGGAACCTTCTTACACTGTTGACGGGAATGTAAATTAGTGCAACTACTATGGAGAAAAGTTTGGAGGTTCCTCAAAAGAGTAAAAATTGAGCTACCATACAATCCAGCTATCCCACTGCTGGGTATATGCCCAAAAGAAAAGAAAGCAACATATGGAAGGGATATATGCACCCCTATGTTTGTTGCAGTACTATACACAATGGCCAAGATTTGGAAGCAACCTAAATGTCCAACCTAAATCAACAGATGAATGGATAAAGAAAATGTGGTACTTATACACGATGGACTACTACTCAGCCATAAAGAAGAATGAGATTCTGTCATTTGCAACAAATGGATGGAACTGGAGGTCATTATGTTAAGTGAAATAATCCAGGCACAGAAAGACAAACTTTGCAAATTCTCATTTATTTGTGGGATCTAAAAATCAAAACAATTGAATCCATGGAGATAAGTAGAATGATGGTTACCAGAAGCTGGGAAGGATAGTAGGGGAGTCAAGTGGAGTTGGGGATGGTTAATGGGTACAAAAAAATAATTAGAATGAATGAATAAGGACTAATATTTGATAGCACAACAGGGTGACTATAGTCAATAATAATTTAATTGAACATTTCAAAATAACTGAAAGAGTATAATTAGATTGTTTGTAACACAAAGGATAAATGCTTGAAGGGAGGGATACCCCATCTTCTATGATGTGATTATTTCAGATTGCATGCCTGTATCAAAACATCTCATATACCCCATAAGTATATACACCATGTACCCAGAAAAATTGAAAATTAAAAAAATATTACTAAGAAAACCACAAGGAGAGAAATATATTTACTATTTAATAAATGGAAGTGGATCATTATAAAAGTCTTCATTTTCGTCATCTTCACATTGAGTAGGCTGAAAAGGAGGTAGGAAAGGAGGGGTTGGACTTGGTGTCTAGGGTGGCAGAGGTGAAAGAAAGTCCGCATATAACTGGAACCCTGCATTTCAATCCTGTGTTGTTCAAGGGTCAACTGTTATGCAAAGGTGGTAGAATCTTATGCATTGACACAAAAATATCTCCAAGAACACTGTTAAGGAAAAGAGCAAATTGCAGAACAAAATGAATAGTATTTTTCTCATTTCTAAAAGCTGAAACCCATACACACATTTACACACACATATAGTACGTAACTATATAATACTACAAATATACCTTATAAAATTTACAGTAAGGGATCTGGAAGGATGAACACTAAATTATTAAGACTAGTTATTGTGAATTAAATTATGCTCCTGTGTGGGTCTCACAAGTCTAGTGCTTGGAGTTGAATTTGCCTGAATTGGTTATCTGTAAAGGAGGTCTATTTTCACATGGTGTTGGCCATTATCACAGTGGACTTCGATTTCTATTTTGTAACATTTTATAATGTCTGAATTTTTAATGATGAAAATATACTCATTTATTATTTATGCAATTTCAAGATACTTAGAGAATCAAACACAAAGAAAATAAAACACAAAAATATCGCAACAAACAAGATGTATGCTGTGGGTGTTGAATAATGTTCCCTAAAGATAGCTCCTAATCCCTGGAACCTGTAAAAGTTACCTAATTTGGAAAAGAGTCTTTGCAGATGTGATTAAGTTAAGGATTTTGAGATGTGGGGAAAATCCTGCATTATCCAGGTGGGCCCTAAATGCAACCAGATGTATCCTTTTGAGAGGGAGGCAGAGGGAGGTTTGACACACACACACAGGAGAGAAGGTGATATAAGGACAGAGCAGAGAGAGATTTGAAGATGTTTGCTTTGAAGATTGGAGTGATGTGGCCCCAAGCCAAGGAATGCTGGCAGCTACCAGAAGCTGGAAGAGACAAGAAATAAATTCTCCCCTACAGCCTCTGAGAGAGTACAGCCTTGCTGACAGCTTGATTTCAGCTCAGTGATACTAATTTCAGAATTCTGGCTTCCAAAACTATGAGATAATAAATTTCACTTGTTTTATTCGACCCAATTTGTAGTGATTGATTGGTTATAGCACCACAGGAAACTAGAAAATTCAGAAAATTGCAGAAAATTACACAGAAAAAAATAAATATCGGCCGGTCACGGTGGCTCACGCCTGTAATCCCCAGCACTTTGGGAGTCCAAGGCAGGTGGATCACCTGAGGTCAGGAGTTTGAGACCAGCCTGGCCAAGATGGTGAAACCTTGTCTCTACTAAAAATACAAAAATTAGCCAGGAGCAGTGGCGGGCACCTGTAATCCCAGCTACTCGGGAAGCTGAAGCAGGACAATTGCTTGAACCCAGGAGGTGGAGGTTGCAGTGAGCCCAGATCGTGCTACTGCACTCCAGCCTGGGCGACAGAGCCAGACTCTGTCTCTAAATAAATAAATAAAATACATAAAAATCACTTATAAACTCTGCTCTCCAGAAATAATTGTTACATTTTTTGGTGTGTTTCAAATATTTTAGTTTTAAAATCTGAGTATGTGCATCATCACTTTTGCAAATCTTCAACTTTATTGAAGAATAATTGATGTACAACAAACTGCACATAACGTTTAGACAATTTAGTAAGTTTTGCATGTGCACACACCTATGAAACAACCACCACAATAAATATACAAACATTTCCATTATCCCCAAAATATCCCTGTGTAGCCCCTCTCTCCCTAGACCTCCATGCTGTTTTCTGACACTATAGATTAGATTGCATTTTCTAGAATTCTATGTATTATTCCTTTTTATCTGTCTTATTTCACCCGCATAATGATTTTGAGACTCATGCAGGTTGTTCCATATATCAAACGCATGTCATTCCATTTTATTGCTAAGAAGTATTCTATAATATGGATGTGCCACAATTTGCTAATCCATTCACCTTTTGATGGACATTTGGGTTTCCAGGTTTTGATTATTACAGGTAAAGTTATTTGCATCTGTGTACAAGTTTTTGTGGGGACAAATACTTTCATTTCACTTTAGGTAAATACCTAAGAGTAAAATGTTTGGATCATATGGTGGATGTGTATCTTAATATTTTAAGAAACTGTCAAATGAATTTACAGACCACTTGTACCATTTTACATTTCTACAAACAGTTCCAGTTCATAAACATTTGCATGGTCAGTCTTTTTAATGTTACTTATCCTAGCATATGTAAACTGGTATCTCACTGTGACTTTAATCTGGATATCTCTAGTGACTAATAATGTGGAATATTTTTGATGTGCTTACTGGCCATGTTTATATCTTATATAAAATATCTGTTTAATATGTTGACCATTTATAATTGAGGTGCTTATCTTGTTATTCAGTTGTAAGAGTTTTTTATATTCTTTGGATACAAGTTATCTGATATATATGCTACAAATATTTCCTCACTCTGTGGCTTACTTTTTTGTTTTCTTAATGGTGTCATCTGAAAAGCAGAGGTTTTAGATTCTGATGAAGTTCAATTTATAATTTTTTTTTATATCATTTAAGCTTTTCATGTATACGAAAACTTTGCCATCACTGATGCTGTAAAATTTTCTCCTATATTTTCTTCCAGAAGTTTTATTGTTTTAAGTATTACATTTAGGTCTATCATCCATTTTGAGATAATTTTTTGTGTATAATGTGAGGTAAGAGTTAATGCTAATTTTTTTCTGTATGGATATTCATTTGATCCAACACCATTTGTTGAAAAGACTTTTCTTTCCCCCATTAAATTGCTTTGACACTCTTGTTAAAAATGAATTTACCAAATGTATATACCTATGATATACTCACAAAAAATAAAAGTAAAAAATTTTATTTACAAAAAACAATTTACCATATACATGTTGATCTATTTCTGAATTCTCTACTCTGTTCCAATGATCTATATGTATATTTTTTGCCAATATTAATCTACCTTGGTTAATGAAGCTTTATAATAAGTCTTTAAATCAGGAAGATAAGTCCTCCATCTTCGTTCTTTAGAAAAATTGTTTTGTTTTTCTAGGTCCTTCATATTTCCATACACATTTTAGAATCAACTTATCCATTTCTATAAAAAAGCCTACTGGAATTTTGACTGGAATTGTGTTATGTCTGTGGATCAATTTGGGAAGAATTGACATCTTAACAATATTACATTTTCTAATCTATAAACCACATTACTTTTTAAACAATACTGGCTATATATGCAACTTGTTTCCTAAACCGACTAACTTGTACAACCTGTGTATAAAATTTCATGTATCCAACTATTCATTTATTTACTTATTGAGTAGAGTTTAAAGTACTTATCTGGCTCCCTTCTAGATCCTTGAGGTACAGCATTAAACAAAGCGATAAATTCTTGCTGTCTTGGAGTTTACAGAGTTACCTTAATAATCACAATCCTGAATTTTGTCTAATTCTTTTCCTGCATCTATTGAAATGATCATGTGATTTTTGTTTTTAATTCTGTTTGTGCAACCCTTTATTATTAAAACTCTCAGCAAAACTGGCATACAAAGGACATACCTCAATGTAATAAAAGCCATCTATGACAAACCCACAGTCAACATTATACTCAATGGGGAAAAGTTGAAAGCATTCCCTCTGAGAACTGGATATCAAGACAAGGATCCCCACTGTCACCACTCCTCTTCAACACAGTACTGGAATTCCCAACCAGAGCAAACAGATGAGAGAAAGAAATAAAGGGCATCCAAATTGGTAAAGAGGAAGTCAAACTGTCACTGTTTGCTGGCGATATGTTTGCTTACCTTGAAAACCCTAAAGATTCCTCCAGAAAGTTCCTAGAACTGACAAAAGAATTCAGCAAAGTTTCTGGATACAAGATTAATGTACACAGATCAGTAGCTCTTCTAAACACCAACAGCGACCAAGCAGAAAACCAAATCAAGAATTCAACCCCTTTTACAACAGCTGCAAAAAAAAAAAAAAAAAACTTAGGAATATGCCTAACCAAGGAAGCAAAAGACCTCCACAAGGAAAACTACAAAGCACTGATGAACTAACTCATAGACGACACAAACAAATAGAAACACATCCCATGCTCATGGATGGGTAGAATCAATATTGTGAAAATGACAATACTGCCAAAAGTAATCTACAAATTTAATGCAATCCATATAAAAATACCACGATTATCCTTCACAGAATTAAATAAAACAATTCTAAAATTCATATGGAACCAAAAAGACCCCTCAAATACAAAGCAAGACTAAGCAAAAAGAACAAATCTGGAGGCATCACACTACTGATTTCAAACTATACTATAAGGCCATACTCACCAAAACAGCACAGTACTGGTATAAAAATAGGCGCATAGACCAATGGAACAGAACAGAACAGAGAACCCAGAAATAAATCCAAATCCAAATACAGCCAACTGATCTTCAACAAAGCAAACAATAACATAAAGTGGGAAAAAGACACCCTTTTCAACAAATGGTGCTGGGATAATTGGCTAGCCACATGTAGGAGAATGAAAGTGAATCCTCATCTCTCACCTTACACAAAAATCAACTCAAGGCGGATTAAGGACTTAAATCTAAGACCTGAAACTACAAAAATTCTAGGAGATAACATTGGAAAAACCCTTCTAGATATTGGCTTAGGCAAGGATTTCATGACCAAGAACCCAAAAGCAAATGCAATAAAAAAGATAAAAAGCTGGGCCTTAATTAAACTAAAGAGCTTTTGTACGGCAAAAGGAACAGGCAGCAGAGTAAATAGACAACCCACAGAATGGGAAAAAAATCTTTACAATCTATACATCTGACAAAGGACTAATATCTAGAATCTACAATGAACTCAAACAAATCAGTAAGAAAAAAACAAACAAACAATCCCATCAAAAAGTGGGCTAACAACATGAATAGATAATTCTCAAAAGAAGATATACAAATGACCAACAAACATATAAAAAATGCTGAACATCACTAATAATCAGGGAAATGAAAATCAAAACCAGAATGCAATACACCTTACTCCTGCAAGAATGACCATAATCAAAAAATAAAAAAACAGTAGATGTTGGTGTGGATGCGGTGATTGGGGAACCCTTCTACACTGCGGGTGGGAATGTAAGCTAGTACAGCCACTATGGAAAACAGTGTGGAGATTCCTTAAAGAACTAAAAGTAGAACTACCATTTGATCCAGCAATACTATTACTGGGTATTTACCCAGAGGAAAAGAAGTCATTATTTGATAAAGATACTTGCACACGCATGTTCATAGCCGCACAATTCCCAATTGCAAAATCGTGGAACCAACCCAAATGCTCATCAATCAACGAGTGGATAAAGAAACTGTGTGGCATATGTCTATATGATGGAATACTACTCAGCCATAAAAAGGAAGGAATTAACAGCATTTGCAGCGATCTGGTTGAGACTGGAGACGATTATTCCAAGTGAAGTAATTCAGGAACAGAAAAACATCATATATTCTCACTGATATGTAGGAACTAAGCTATGAGGACGCAAAAGCATAAGAATGATACCATGGACTTTGGGGACTTGGGGGGAAGGGTAGGAGGGGGGCGAGGGATAAAAGACTACAAAAAGGGTGCAGTGTATACTGCTCAGGCGATGGGTGCACCAAAATCTCACAAATCGCCACTAAAGTACTCGCGTAACCAAATACCACCTGTACCCCAATAACTTATGGAAAAATAAATTTTAAAATAAATTTTAAAAAAAGGAAAACAGAAAAAAAATCACGATCCCAATTTTTATATCTGCTGATGAATAGCTTTGCCACTGCTGTGCTTCTGGGAGCCCTCTGGGGTGTTCTATTACATGTATGATCAGGAACAAATCTTATCAGCTCCCAGAGAAAATCCTGAGGGTACCACTGTTGTTTTGACCAGGTGTTTTGTCCAGTATTACTTTGCTTCACTGTTCACTCCATGTTCTGCCATTACTAAGCCTGTCCAGTCCTAACAATTTCTGCCCAGGGATCGTGTTCAGGATCCCCTCTTGCTCAGGAAGAGATTAAGACAGAGCTAACTGTATTTACAACTCTGTCTGAGATAAGAAAACTAAAGTCCATTGTGGAATGATCAAATTGGGATACATAGCATACCCATTACCTCAAATATTTATCATTTATTTGTGGTGAGAACATCTAAAATCCTTTCTTTTAGCTGTTTTGAAATATGCAATACATTATAATTAACTATAGTCACCACACTGTGCAATAGGTCAACTTATTCCTCCTATCTAACTGAAATTTTTTACCCTTTGACCAACATCTCTCCTTTCCTCTTCAACCCACCCATAAATACATACAATTAAAGATAAAAAATTAAAAATAAAATTTAAATGAAGGTTAATTAAAATTAAGGTCAATTAATATAAAAAGGAGAAAAAGAAAGAAAAGAATAGGGAAAAAAAACTAAGACCCAAAGATGTTAAGTGGCTTGGCATAGTTACATAGTTACAAAGGCAGTAAGTGGTAGAAACTGGATTCAAATTCAGACCCAATTTGTGTAAATTCAGTTGTTCTTTTTACTATATATTGTTGCCTCACAAGCTTGTAGATAAAAATGTTTACATCAAAGTGCATAACCTTAGAGCCTTACAGAAAATGTACATTTGTGAATTGAGCAGGCTGTTTTTTGCCTGCTATGAAGGAAGCCGGTGGGTGGCCCCTTCCTTGCTCCCAAGAGTCCTCGCAGGCCTCTGACACTGAACAATGTCTGCTTACAGCTAGGCTCTTAACCAAGGTTCCTTAGACAGCCTTCAGGGGGAGTCAGAGAACCCTCTGAAACTATATTCACAGATTTTTGTGTATGTATATATGTGCACTTTTTGGCACAAAGGTTTGCAATTTGCATTTTTCTTAAAGTGTCTCTGTCCCCTCCAAAAGATTAAGAACTACCATTCCACCAACAAAACCTACCTTTAGGCCACCCTGCCTGGGACTAGCTATTTAATTAATCAGCAAATACTTATATATTGTGCACAAACAGGGAAAGCATTGGCCAGCATTTATTGTCAGTTAAGAAAGCAGTACAAAATATTAAGTGGTGAATGTGTAGTAGAAAGAGAACTAGAGAGCTACAGTCATTGAGGGGAGAGAGGGAACATCATAGGGTCCTTAGGGTAGCTTTAAGGAGGCCGGATGGAAGCTGAAACTTGAAGGATGAATGTTTCCAGGATTTTTCTCTCTGGTATAATAAGAATGAAAACTTTTGCTCCGGGGGCTTGGTTCAGTATCAGTGGGTAACCACGCAGCTGTGGCCACCAGATTACCATTAAATGCAACTTGGCTGTTATTGTACTATTGGGTCATCAGCATTCAGCTAGTACCATGGCATAAAGGGGAAAGGAAAGCTACATTGAAGAGAAGATAAAAAGAACACAGCAAGCAGAAAATAAAATGCCTTGAGTCTATTTTGCAGACTCAAACCCACTAATCGATCTTTCTGACTCTAAGTTGAGCAAACATAGGACATAATATACACCCAGATCGGTAGTAGCACATACACATTTTGACATAATCTGGCCATGGAAAGAAAGGAATTTTGAAGAAATCATTAAGTCTTTTGGCTAAAGGAACTGTCCACCAGTTCACATCTCAACTGCCAAATCTGAGTCAGACCCTGGCCTCAAATCTGAATTCCATTTTGTACAGATGCTAGATATATTCTTTCACTCAGAATCAAACAGGCACACTTGATATTTAAAGCAGGTTTTCTATTTTTAGTTGCTTGCCAAACATCTGTCGGCCTTTCTTCTTAATGGTCTGCTCAGTAGAAGAGAAGGAGAAAAGCAGTATAAAATCATTTTGTTGTTCAATACCATGATTAGTTTTCTCAAGTTGACAGCCAGCCTTAACAAGATTCTCCTCTTCAGGAAAGGTTCTTTTGATGGATGGTGTCCCTGTGGCTCTAAACTGAATAGCAGAAGCAAGAAGGAGGTGAATTCTGTAGTTGGAGAGAGTCTTTTTTTCCTGCTAACTCAGGTGTAATTGATAAAACTCCACACTTCCTATAGCCCCAAAGTGCAAGTCCAAGAGAAAGGACAGGCAGGGTTTTTTGCTTTGTTTTAATTGAATTATCCCTGGTTCTACCTATTCTGAATCTAAACTTGGTTACAAATAATAGCCTGGGACAGCAGCCAAGTTTAATAAGTCACAGTATATTTTAGAAGAAAATAAACACCCTCCAAATCTCAATTAAAAAGCAAGGAAAAAAAATGCATGTTGTCTACCAAAACAAAGGAATGGAGCACTTGAGAAATCCAGAGATTCAGGTAGGTAGATGGTTGACAAATTGTAAAAATCTCATCACTCATCAAATTGTCTCAAGAAATATCTTGTTTTTTTCTCATTCACAAACCTAGAAAGAATTAAGCCTGGTTGAAATTCACATTTCTCTATAAAAATTTGCTCAGCTCTTGCCAGCATGGTGAATAATTTTTCCTCCGTAGATTGCTCCTTTGGCCTTTGAGTCACCTGGCTAGGATAAGTGACAGCCTCCCTTTGTTGGGCTGTTGGAGGCAAAATGTGTGGACAGGTCTTTGAGAGAAATATGGGAAACTCACCTAAGATACAAGCCTGGCAAGATTTCACTTTGGATTTTAATGACAAGAATGACCCATAGGCTGAAAGACAGAGCTTTGAAAATAAGAAGAAAGGAAATCCTATTTATTTACATCCACGTAATCATACTTAATATATGAATATATTTACACAAGTATAAATTTTATGTATAAATTTTATGCATTTCGTTATTTATATTTATTTGTATACATTATATATATCTTGTGGAATCTATAATCATATCTATGAAACAGTTCAGGTATAACATCTGAAAGTCTCCCATCGCCTGGACTAGAACATTGCAAATTATGAAATATAAATTTTTTATAATTTTCTATTTTAAAAGGAGCATGAATTTAAAGGCATAGCTTCACCAAAAATAACCATAAAAAAGGTTTAAAAACCTGAAATTAGAAACAGAAAAATAAACCACAGAAGTTTCTTAATAAGGACAGCACATTTAGTTATAATGCAAATTGAGCATGGGGTGGAAATGGTTACTGAGATATTAAAAGGAATCTGTGGTTAGGTTATCTCACATAAAGGTGCTCATGCAATGGCTTCCAGGGGAATCCATCTGACAATCCTATCTCATCACATCACATCCAATCACATCAATGAGCATTTACAGAATCCCTACTATGTGCCAAAGAGTATTCTATCCATTGGAAATGTAAAGAGGTGTGATGTGTGCAGCTCTGCTTTATTATGTCAGGTCATTCTCAGTCCATTGATAGTGAAACATTTTCCCCTGAAAAGTGAAGCAAGCCCTTTCCTCTGTAGCCTCTAAAACTCAGAATCAGAGTACATCTTCTGGCACCATGCAAATCACCAAAGGCGAACACACCTTGGAGTCATCAAAAATTACTTTAACTGAATAATACATTTAGAGTAGCAAGTATTATCACCAATATAGATTAAAATATTATTATACTAAATTGTGCTTACTCTTGTCATCCTAGGTGCAGTATCCGTTCAGGCTACCCTTCAATTTTTAGCCACTTGTGTTACGTTTTCACATTTTGACGCACAACTTAATGATAGCTACTGTTGTTTGCCATTCGTGGGCTATGGACTGAGCACATTAAATATATTGTCTCATTTGACTTCATAACAACCATCTACAGTAAATAGTATCATAATCATCTTGGATAAAAAGAGCCACACAGAAGCCATAAAGGGATAAGTAATGGTGCCAAAGGCTGCACGGCCAGTGAGTGGCAGAGCTGGGACTCAACTGCGGTATAAGTGATTGCAAAACTCTGGTCCTTCCATTCTATGCTATTGTTGCAAGTGTTGGCTTAATCTTGGCTTTCCAAATGATCTGAATGTCTGAGGCACAGGCACCCATCTTTGCCAATTCATGTCATTACTTTCCCGTCAGTCATTTCACATAGTCTTTCCTGAGGATTACCCATCTTCCATTATGACAGCTATTTTCAGGCTAATCCAGAATCCACACAAATGGAAACACTGGCCGGTCAAGACAGCTATCAGGGTTAACAACTATCAGGTTAATGGGGGAGAGATGTTTAATGGGTTGGAAATGCAGATTCTTGATAAAGGTCACTCACATCTGTAGTGGGTAAAATGCAATAAACAAACTTTAAATGGCATGTGACTTCTTTATTGGCTTTCAGCCCAAGCTTCCAAGGAAACTTTATTTTTAAAATTTTTTTACAGCTTTATGAGTGTATAATTGATAGATAAAAACTGCGCATATTTATTGTACACAATTTGATGAGTTTAGACCCATGATGAGTGTGGAGCCATGGGCCCATCACCACAATCAAGGTAATAACAACTATTACCTCTAAATGTTTCATGCCCCCACCCCCCACTTTTTGTGGTAAGAACACTTAACACGAGATCTACTCTCTTAACAAAGTTTTAGAATCACTAAATGTTATATCTTGACAAAAACAAAACTAAACAAAATATCTACTTAATAAAATATTTATGTGCTGGCTGAAAAAAAGTCTTTGTAAGTAGGGTAGGTAATTCAAAATAGATAAGGTAAATTGGTTGGGGAACATACTGCATATACTCTGACTAGCAGGGAATTTTTAAAAATGACTGATGATGAATTGTATAACACCTCATGGTGGTACACATTCAGGAGTTATTATTGATACCACTGGTTATCAATTCCAACTTTGAAAACAGACCAGGAACTGGGTTATAGACAATATGGATAGAGAAAAATCTCTCATGTAGATGGAAAGCAAAAAGCTGATCAGAGTTGGTTCACTTAATTTTTCTGTCAGTGGGTATAAATAACAAATTAACTTGAAGATAGTTAAGGTTTGATGAAATACCATTTTTTATTATTACAAAAGGTAGTTATTTTAAATAGAAATGCCATCATTATTTGACTTTATTTAATCCACAGTGCTGTTGAGGGTCAAGGAGGTGGTTACTAAAGCTCTTTAGAGGGAAAAAAATGATATGTTTCTTATCAGTAGATGTAGAATTGAAAGTATCCAACTGTGCTGACTACATGTTTTTATCACCAATGAATGTGAACTTCTCTACTTCACAATTTCTTACACAAAGGCTAAATTACAAAACAAAGTGATTAATGAAAAGACATCTATTAATATTCTCTTGAAATTAACTACATATAATTTAAAGGGAAGAATAAAATTCTAGCCTGTTAAAGTTTGCTGTTCCACTTTAAAAAGCAGGGAAGGCTTTAAAATGTTTCTTTTTATGCCCCTCAACTTTCACATCTTGCACTGAAGAAGTTTTTTTGTTCATTTTCTCTGTGGTGATATAATCAAAGGAGAAATATATGAGATGCCTGATAATTTCAGAGTCTTCATTTCAAACCATTAAAGCTGAATTGCATAATTTTCTTTCTAAAGATTGAAGCTCTCGGAAAATGAGCAGATGAAAGGTCTCAGCTTTCAAGGACAATTGTTCATCCACTTATACAAATAACATATAATAACATGCATTCTAAGACTAGTTATTTTTTCTTTAGTATCTCAAAACAGTATGAATTGATGCAGTCTAGATCAGTTATTAAGCCCCTCCACGGCTTGCCCATCAATCGCCGGGTCAGCACTAGAGGTTTATAGAGCTGCATTACAGAACCACAGTATTACCAAACAATGATCATCATATGAAATTAGATTCTCCATCAAAAACAAAATTTTTGTGGCTGAAATTATGATTCTGGGTGCAGACCTGCAGCTCAAGCATCAACATTGATGCAAAATTGATGAAACTTCCAAGTGAAATTGCATTGTTTGATCTTCACAGCCCTGGAATAACATAGCCTAAAGCTACAGTTTCTGTAAACTTACTTTGCACAAATGACTTACCCAGTACGGATGTATTGACATAGAGTGCCCATGAATGACATTAGGGCTACTTAGAAAAGAGACAAAATAACAGCAAAAGAATGCAGCAATTGGTTCTGAAAATTACCTTTTTCCAGTGAACCTCTCTGAAAAATTACCTTTTTCTGCTGAATCTCACTCAAAAATTACCTTTTCCAACTGAAGCTCTCTCAAAGTGCCTTGATGTTAAGCAATATAGTTTTAAGTTGAAAATGTCACAAGGCCATGAAAAGAAATTGATAGAAAATTTCAGAGTTCCTTGTTGATATTTTGAAGCAGCCTGTGGATTTTTGTTCTTTAACACAGATATGCTCTGCTGTGCTACCACTTTGATTTCTGTATTGCCAAAAACAGCATGTTTCTAGGCTTAATGGCTTCACAGAGAAGAGTACGAAGGTGATTTAGTTATTGCTGCCGAGGTTCTGTTACCAGTAGGAAATTGGTAAACAGATGTTTTCAAAACCCTCTCCATTCACTGTGGAACTTTAAAAAAGTGCAGTAAATAAAATTTTGAAATTTATTTATCCTTTAAAAGAAACTATATTTCTATTTACTACAGTATCTTTTTAGAAATTATGCACTTGAGCTGAGATTTTTTTTTTCTGACAGGAGGAATTTTTATTTCTTCAGTCAAAAGATGCAGGAAAGACATCCTACCTCTTGGAAGAATCATTGGACTGGACATCCAAACACCTGAGTCCTAGCCTTGAGTCTGCCTCTCACAGCAGTATGACCCTGGGCAAGTCCTTGTGGAATAAGGGCATGGACAGAATGATGTCAGAGGTTCCTTCTAGCTCTAATATTCTACAGTTTCCTTTTAGTTCAAATTTAAAGACAAAATGTCTAACAGTGGTTCTTGTTTGTTATGACCAGTATTGTCAAAAGAGAAGTTGTACAAGTTTTTTTTGCCTGTTTTTCATGTATGTGTGAGTGTGTGTATCCTTTAAAAAGCAAAGAAATGCTCTCTGGTCTAAAATGCTTTGGGTATGATCTCTTTCAAAGACAGAGGGATGACCGAAGTGGGATAGAGCCAATTACAATACTTGGGAAATTGTCAAAGTAACTGACTCCTTCTTGCCTATAGATGAATATTTTCTTCTTCTTGCTTACCTTTTCTTCGTTCCTCCTCCTCCTTTACCAGCCTCTCTAGCCTGAGTTCTCACTCTCTCACTATCTCCTTCCCTCTTCTCCCTTTTCTTTTTATCTTAACTCATAAGCCTTTTAATTTCTCCCAAAAGGACCCACTAATAGAACTCAAGATTAAGAAATATATCAGTTGCTATAGTAGAGCAATCTTTCATTTTTTTCAAATTCATAAAATAATTAAAATTACAGGGCATATCAAATGGCCATTTTGGCTAAATGCTTAATCATCAGTATTGATTAAAATCAACATTCTGCCAAACCTGAGGTTAAAGCAGAGGTTAAATAAATTTTGGAATATGAGAGTGCCTGAACTTTTCTATTTAAAAATTAATTATAATTAGAATCTTATTAACATTTTTAATAGTCAAAAATTAAAGTTTTGACATTATAATATAGAAATAATAATTTCTTTATTTGCTCAGTTGCTAAATTGCCCTTGTAGTCCTCATCCTGAACATTTGTGATACTAAGAAAATGCACACTTTCAAGTGGAACCTTTAATATTTGATTAACTGTTTTGTGTAAAACAGAATAAAAAATTTTTGCTAGGCACAGTGGCTCACACCTGTAATCCCAGCACTTTGGAAGGCTGAGGTGGGCGGATGACGAGGTCAGGAGATGGAGACCATCCTGGCCAACATGGTGAAACCCTGTCTCTACTAAAAATACAAAAATTATTAGCTGGGCGTGGTGGCACATGCCTATAATCCCAGCTACTGGTGAGGCTGAAGCAGGAGAATTGCTTGAACCAGGGAGTCGGAGGTTGCAGTGAGCCAGCCTGGTTACAGAGCAACACTCCGTCTCAAAAAAAATTTTTTTTAAAATATTTTTTCAGTGCATTTTTTTTCTTTTTTATTTTTTTGAGACAGAGTCCCAATCTGTCAGGCTGGAGTGCAATGGTGCGATCTTGGCTCACTGCAACTTCCGCCTCCTGGGTTCAAGTGATTCTCCTGACTCAGCCTCCCAAGTAGCTGGGATTACAGATGTGCACCACCATGCCCTGCTAATTTTTTTTTTTTTTTGGTATTTTTAGTAGAGATGGGGTTTCACCATCTGCAAATGCACTTGCCCTTTGTCCCATCAATCTTACCTGTAGGAATTTATCCTTAAGATACACCTCCAACAATATGGAAACACATATCCACAAGGTTTATTCTTTGTGGCTTTATTTGTAATTGCAATATAATGGCAATTTCCTAAATGTCCAAACATAGGATATTGGTTGAATAAACTTTGCTACATATACACAATCGAATATTACTCAACTGTTAAAAAAAAATGAGGAAAGTCTCTATGAACTGATACGGAGTGATTTCCAGGAGATATTTTTAAATGAAATATGCAAAGTACAAAACAGCTTGTGTGTGTGTGTGTGTGTGTGTGTGTGTGTGTGTGTGTGTGTGCATGTTGAGGGGGAGCTAGAGAAAAAAGGAAAGAGGGAGGAGCGATACATTAGAAGGAAGGAGAGATACATTAGAACTGACAGATCATAATTTCTAAAATATGTACTTATATGTGCATATATCTGTGCCATGCATATGCATATATATATATTCATGTGTATCTTTATACATATGTCTGTGCATATTATTTTCATTCCCTGCCTATTGAATCAAGAGCCAAGAGCCACACACACACATATTACCTTTTGTGTAAGAAAACAGGGAAGATGGGGGGGAAATGCAATCTCTGCTTATCTTTACAAGAAGAAACAAGGAAGGGTAAACCAGAAAACAGTGAAGTTGGTTACCTACAAGGGTAGGGATGGGGGTGAAATGGGGTGAAACGACACAGGAAGGAGTGACATTTCCCTGAGCATACTTTTTGCATAGTTTGACTGGAAACATGTTGATAGTCTACACATTGAACAAAGTAAAATAAAATCAGTGAGAATGTGAAAGTGGGGTGAGGACTCAAACACTGAAAGCAAGCTGACAATAAACACAAATATATGTCAAAGGAATGCCATAATCACACAGAAGGAAAGGAGGGAGGGAGGCAGAGAGGGAGATTGAGAAAAAAGGAAGGAGGGAGGATAGAAAGAAGAAAAGAAAGAGAGAGAGAAAAAAAAATAGAGGGAGAAAAGGACACTAATCCAAATAACTTACGGACCAGAATTTTGACTATATACCCTCAGTCATGAGTGGATAGATAGGTGTGTAGGAGGGGTAAGAATTGCAAAGAAATCATGAACTCTTTTGAATAAAGCGTTGTTTATTTTACTTGTTACTGGTAGAGGGTCTTGAGTCATCCAGGTTCTTGGTGTTTTGAACAAATAATTGGACAAATTACACAAACAAAACAATGAAAGAATGAAACAACAACAACACAGATTTATTGAAACAAAAGTACACTCCACAGAGTGGGAGCAGTCTCCAGCAAGCAACTCAAGAGAGCTGGTTACAGAATTTTCTGGAGTTTAAATACTCTCTAGAGATTTCCCATTGGTTACATGGTCACACCCTGTGTAAATGAAGGAGTGGCCCGCCACCAGTCTGATCGGTTGTAGAAGGTGACCAATCAGAGGCTGAAGTGAAGTTATAAAGTTACATGTCTATGCAAATGAAGGCTAGGCTCCTGACCAGTCTGGTTGTGGGAGGGGACCAGTCAGAGGTACTTTCCATTTTTCATCTGCCACAGCAGTGCAAAGAAAGTAGCCTCTGATACTTTTGTTACTTGGGTGTGGAAGGGTGGAGTTTTCCTTCAATTCAGTTCTCCGAAGTCAGTACAAACTGGCCTTAAGTTCCTTGCCTCCAGGCCCTATTCTCCCGCCTCACAGTAGCATAGGTGAAGCAATTCTGAAACTATTTTAGATGTTTTATAGGATTGAGAAAAGGACTAAATGAATTGTTGGAAACCAGGTTTCCCATGTGGAAGACATAACATACAAATATGGAATGGAAAGCAAGAAATAACCTGAAAGATCCATTAGAACTGGCAGATCATAATTTCTAAAATATGTACTTATATGTGCATGCATATGCATATATATAGTTCATATACATATTTGTATGTATGTCTGTGTATATTATTTTCAGGCCCTGCCTATTGAATCAAGAGCCAAGAATTAAACACACCCCAATAGCTTCAAGCACACTTAGTACCCAGATCTTGGAACTAGGGCTCTTCAGTCCTGGCTGATTCTAGGACTGGGCAGAGTTAGATACAAGAGGAACCTGGAACATCTTGTTATGCAGAGAGTAGCAAAGTGAAGAAAGAAAGAAAGAGAAAGAAACAAAGAAAGAAAGAAGAAAGAAAGAAAGAAAGAAAGAAAGAAAGAAAGAAAGAAAGAAAGAAAGAAAGAAGGAAAGAAAGAAGGAAAGAAAGAAAGAAAGAGAAAGAGAGAGAAAGGAAGGAAGGAACGGGAGAAAGGAAGGAAGGAAGGAGAGAAAGAGGAAGGAAGGAAGGAAGGAAGGAATTCATTGGAGGAACTGAGGGCTCCTGTTTACAGTAGAAAGCCAAATGACAACTAGTAAATGTGGGAGGGAGTGCTAGAATTAGAAAAAGTTAACATTCTGCAACTGTTGTAGTCAAGATTATATCAAGAAATAATCATTAATTGATACTACCTCTCGGGAGAAATGTTAATAAGGAGCAGGATATTATCATGCCCTTAAAGTATCTCTCTGCAGACTGCTTTTTAGTTGCAAAAGAGACAGTCAGTGGTAATGTACTGGAGAAGTTAGAAACACCTTGACTGAATGATCAAAACTCACATCACCCATGAGAGCCAGATGGACATTGTGTGCTTCTAGATATGATACCCCAAAAAGGAAACATTATCACTTACTGAATATTCTGACTGAGAATGGAGAGAGTGAATTTATTCATGACAAAACATCTAACAAACCAAAAATGAAGAATATTCTATTTGAAGGAAAAAAGGGGAAACATTCTTCAAAAAGTCAATGTCATTTTTTCCAGTTACCTGGAGCTTCCCTTTTCATTCCTCTAGCCAGAAACCTGGGGTATTAGTTACCCCACTAGGCTGCACACCTGTAACTGTGTCCCCATCTTGGGCCAAGTGGCAGAAGGGAAGAGAAAGAAGAAAAACATCAGGGTTTGCCCCATCTTATTGGGATCACAGATATACTTACCAGAGGGGAAGGCTCTCCACTCTCAGAGTTTTGGCCCCTGTGAACTCTCACTGCAGTTTCTACAGCAGCTGCCATGAGATTGCTTGAGGGCTGAGGGGTGAGAGAGCAGGAGGAAAAGGGAGAAAAAAAGGAAATTTCTGCACTCTTTCTGATAATTAGGAGCTCTTTCCTGCTCTTTGAGACAGAACTAAAGGGCTGCTTCTGAAGCTTGCTATTGTTTACTGATAACCACTTCTGGGTTTTAGAAGGCATTGTTGAGTTCAGGCAGGGAGATATCAAAGGAAAAATTGATAAAATGACCAGAGGTTGGGTGATATTTCAAATTCTGGTCTTCTTCTCCATTCTACCTGCTATTTTTAACTTTTCTGATTCCTAAAATAGTTGCTCCAGGCAACTATTCTGTTCAGGTTTTATACTTGTATGGACATAGTGGAGTATGCTTATTTCACCTTGTCTTTAACCAGAAGTGCTTAAGATATTTTAATATTGATTTTTAATTTAATTCAGTTGTGATCAGAGAAAATACTATGTAATATTTTAGGTTTTAAAGTTCATTGATTATATTTTGTGGGCCAGCATATGGTCTCTCTTGGTAAACATTTACTGTGCATATAAAAATGTATTCTAAGGTTGTTGGGTCTAGTGTTCTATATAAATGCTTATAAGGTCAAGTTGATGAATAGTGTCATTCATATATTTCTACATCTTCACTGATTTTTTTGATCTACTGTCATTAGGTGAATTCATATATACAATTGTCCTGTCTTCTTGATGTATGGACATTTTTGTTCCTATAAAATGTTCTTTTTTATCTTTAATAACACTCTATTCCTTGAAACATATTTTCTAATATTTTCATTATTTGTATGATATATTTTTTCTGTTTGTTTTGTTTTGTTTTGTTTTAAGAGATTGGGTTTCATCATGTTGCCCAGGCTGTTCTCTTAACTCCTGGGCTCAAGCAATCCACTTGCCTCGGCCTCCCAAAGTGCTAGGATTACAGGCATGAGCCACTGCATCTGGCCTTATATTTCCTTCCCTTTTATTTTCTACCTATTTGGTTTTATTTAATTTAAAGTTCATCTCTAATATACATCATATATTTGGGTCTTGATTTTTTATCTAGTCTGACAATTTTTTTTAATTTGGAATATTTAGGCCATTTACATTTAAAATAGTAAGTTTATTTAAACCATTATATTGAATGGTTCTATTTGTCTCACCTATCTTGTTCTTTGTTCTTCCTTTCCTATTTTCTTTTGATTAATCAAATATATTTTGGTACTCCAATTTAAGATATTGCTTTGCATTTCTATAGCAAAGATTGATTGACACAAGACATAGCCCCCTTCAAAATCTGTCATTAATTCCCTTTCTGGCCTCATGTTCTATCCACCTTCTCAGGCTCCTTCTATGCCCTCTGTACTTTATCCACTTTAACTTCTCATTATGCCATTTTATCTTTTTCTCTGGTTAGTCATGCCTTCTAGGTACCATAATGTCCTTATAAACATAAATGAAATTATTAAAAGTGAACTCCAGCCATTGCACCTGGCATGGAACATTTGATAATATGACATAGGAAGCAAATGTGGAGCAAGGATTTTAAACCTTTCCTTCTTCCCTCCTCACCTTATTCACTCCCAGATGTCAGTAGGACAGCATTCTTATGCTACTGTGGCACAATGTTTTGCAGTGTATACATAATGGAAAAGCATACCTTCAGTATTGCATGGATTCATGTAATAATAAAAATCAAAATAGCTAGTTGATACTTTAGGGTGAATATAGTTAACAAGCATTTATTGTATATTTTCAAAAAGCTAGAAGAGAGGATTTTGAATGTTTCCAATACACACACACACAAAATCTTTGAGGTGATGAATATGCTAAATATCCTCACTGGATCCTCATGGATTGTATATATGTATGGAAATATCACTCTGTATCCTATAAATATGTACAGTTATTACATGTCAACTAAAAATAAAATGAAATGATACAAAAAAGTACGCAGAAAAAAGAAATAGGTAGTTAAGGAGGGTTTTCATTTTGTTTCGAGACAAGGTCTCGCTCTGTCACCCAGGCTAGAGTGCAGTGGTGCAAGCAATCCTCCTACCTCAGCCTCCTGAGTAGCTGGGACTACAGACGTGCACCATCATGCCTGGCTAGTTTTTGTATTTTTTGTAGAGATGAGGCTCCACCATGTTGCTCAGGCTGGTCTCAAACTTCGAGGCTCAAGTGACCCTTCCAATCATTTTTCCCCTTTTTTTGGCCTCCCCCCAAAATTTTTCCCCATTTTTTTTGAAGAACTTTTCCCCCATTTTTGGCCTCCCAAAGTGATTGGACTACAGGCATGAGCCACGGCACCCAGCCTAGTTAAGGCTTTTAAAATTAATTTGGTTAAGGCGTTTTACCTTTAAGTATAAATTTTGATCATAACGAGAACTTGAATTTCTTTATGGTTAGTATACTAGCCATAATTTAAGGAAGTCACCAATCCAAGATGAATTTTTGTGGATCAAGAGATACAGAAGAAGAGGATTACCCAGGATGAGAGTTAAAAAATAATAATAGTAATCCAGAAATGACCAAGACAGAGACATTTCCCATAGCTACTTCTGAATACAGCTTACACTGATTCTCTAGTAAAAAGGTTAAGAGAAGAAGCAAACTGTGGTTATGGCATTCCTTAATTATAGATTGATATCTGTAGATATACTTATATCCATATATATCCATTTAACCATATATTAAATTGTATATAATTCTTTTCATATTTTGCAATGTGATCTTCTCATCTAATATGTTTAATCATCTTAAGTCTCAAGTTAAAAGAATCTTCTTAGGTATTATTAAACTGACACACCTAAATCAAGTGGTCTCAGTTATTAACATATTCGAGACCATATTACTCCGTGTCACTACTTTCATTACTAAACATGTAACTATCTAGGTGTACACACTGTATATTTCCTTATGGTGTTCTCCCTGCCTAGACAGTTTTTCTCTTCTCCTGTGGTTGGATAGCCTCTATTCACTTTCAAGACCCACCTTTAAATCATTGCCTGCATTAGGCCATTCACAGAGAGTGTTAAGTAATTTCTCTTGCCTATTCTCACAGTACTGTGCTCTTACTTGTATCAAAGCTCTGATAACTTACATTTATTCATTTTTGTGTCTGTTTTCCCCTAATCCCCTAATGCTATGAACACCCTCATGGCGTTTATTGCAGAACAGGGAAGGAGAAGATAAAGAAGAGACAAAGGGCAGACAACAGGGAGGGAGGAAGCATATCATATTTTGTTCAATTGAAAATAAATTTTCTTTTTACATTTTAACATCTCTGAAATAGGGCTGTACCTTACAACCCTTTATCTCTTACAGCTGAAATCTAGGTAGCAATCATGATGTAGTTGTCACTGCCTGCATGTACATGAACTTGATCATTTCAGGTAACATGCCTAAATGACTGCAAGCCTATTTGCAACCAATTTTACAAAGGAATGCAAATCCTGGTTATTGTCTGAAACCCTCTATTGTCACTTTCTGGTAAATTTAAGAAAGTTTCAGCATCAAAACTTGCAGAATTTGTGTCAGCACCCTGGAAGAATCCCGGAGATAAAAATAAAGCATTCTCTTAAGAAATGCTGTGTCACCAATGCTCTCAAATATGTGGATACACTCTAAAAATTGATTTTTAAAAAGTTAAAAAGGCACTTAAATGAGTCTAACTCTCATATAAAGACATATGAAGAAGTTTAAGACTACCTTAGCCAATCTATTTTACTTATATTTTTCACTTTGGATATCCCAAGAGTAATCTGTCCTTGTTAAAAATATGCTGTATGTCCAAATAAGAATCAAAAAGCTCTTTCAGGATGCATAGAACAAAAATTCTGTACATCAGGAAGACATATATTTAGTTGACAATATATTTTTTCATCTTACAATCAATAGCATGATAGGTTAAATAAAATGTGTAAATTTGTATCAGCTTTTGAGTATTGGTAAACAGAATTAATACTAAGAGGAATTTTGCAAAGTCATCTGTAATGTCTGGGACCTCTACACATTTCAGAGACAATAAATTTAAGCAAGTGTTGTTAAATAGAGGAAATTATCCTGTGTAAAATAATTTCTATTATTTTCAGTGCCAAATTTTATTGAGCCGAGTGAGGAGTCAGAAAATAATTTCAGAGAATGGATAAATGGTCTAAAGAGCTCCAGTGAGTGACAAACATCTCAGGATCACCTAACATTGTTGAATTCTCAAGAGGGCAGCATGACAACTAAGAAAATAGATAATGCTTTCATTTCAACTATTAGATAAATTGAATTGTTCTTATTTTATGTTAAAAGTCACACAAACATCATAGCACCTATTTTACTGAATGTCTCCCATTTTAATTTAGTGAGAAAAATACATGACAAACACCTTTCCACAGCAGACACTCAAATTAGTAGAATGGACAAATACTCGAGTTAAACCAGCAATGTTCATAAATATAACCACTCTGAGTTATAATAGAAAGAAATGTATTAAAATGGCAAATTAAGGAGTCTTTCAAACAAGAATAAAAATCCAGATACCACTTATATTCAACATGACTATTTGAGTACTATTTTAAGGAAAGGCATATGGGCCTAGGTGCTCAGAAAAGATCTTTGTTAGAGTAATTAATTATATTTTGTGAAATTACTTTTCTCTGCAACCTTAGCTATCCATGATTCTCCAAATCATGCCTTATAGGCATTGTTAAAAGTTCAAATATAGAATTCTGCTTCTTTTCATGGTGGTATAAGAAATGCCCTAATTCAACCTCACAACATAAACAACTAGAAAACTGTACAAAATGATTGCAATCATTGGATAACAGATAGTTGAAGAGTGTGATCCCCAAGAAAGAAACAAACAAAGCAAGCCACATAATCACTCTGATTGACTACTTGGAGCCAATTTTTAGACTATAGGTACTGGAAGAAGAAACCCAACTAGAGCTCAATGGCATCACTGAATTGAGGAAATTGAGACTGGAATTCAGGAAGGCTAAAGTGGCCAGGTGTTTCAAGGCAGAGTTCCAGAAACAAGAGAGCTACATAGAAAAACAGCTTCAGAAATCAGCATAAGGACCCCCTTGACTCTTGGTGATTACTGGGTTATGCATGTAAACAGTACAACTCCACAAGACTAGTCAAGGCACCAGCAGAGAGGTGTAAGCTGAAAAATTCCTAGAACTCACATAAGGTACGGAAGGTAGGGAGATGTTCCAAACCAAGTAGAATCCTTGATGATCGCCTGTGATATTTACAGGAGACTCCATTGGAGTCACACTTTAGTAGTGAGGGTGAAT
This sequence comes from Homo sapiens, assembly GCF_000001405.40. Lineage (NCBI taxonomy): Eukaryota > Metazoa > Chordata > Mammalia > Primates > Hominidae > Homo > Homo sapiens. Next base: position 90,450,430 of record NC_000001.11, read on the forward strand.
TATCCCTGAAGTGAGGAATATCTCATATCTGTCATAGCAAAGCTTAAAAAAATTTTTAAACCTAAAAGAAATTAAATACATCTGCAAGTAACTTAATTAATAGGTCAGCAAGTAACTTCACTTGCTAAAACAAAGCTCAAAACTTTGAAAGACAACAACAAAATGAAACACTCAACAATGCAATATTTACAATGTCTAGTATTTAAACAAAAATTAATAGAACACACCAAAAAGCAGGAAAATGTGACCAACATTCAGAAGAAAAACATCAATAGTGGAAACAGAAGTAGAACTGACAGGCATTATGGAATTTATAGACTATGCTCAAAGATTTAAAGGAAAGCATTAACACAGCTAGAACAGAAAAGGTAGATTTTAAAAGAGCCAAAAAACTTTGAGAGAGAAAAACATAACATTTTAAATAAAAATTTTATGGTTTAGATATCAAAAAAGAAATAATTGTTGAACTTTAAGACAGAAATAGGAACTATCCAAAATGAAGCACAGAAAGAAAAAAATATTGAGAATAAAACAAACAGATCCTCAGTGATTTATGAGACAATACAAAGTGGTTCAGCATGCATGAAATTGGAATCCCAGGAAAAAACAAGGAAGAGAAAAATATTTGAGGAAATAGTAACAAAATTTTTTCTATACTTTATAAAAATTATAATCCAAACATCCAAGAAGTTGAACATCTTAAGCACAAGAAACACACACAAAAAAAGAAGGCAAATTAATAATAATAATAATAATGATATAATGAATGCCAAAGAAAAGAATATTGAAGGTAATCAGAGAAAAAAGTCATATTACATACAGAGGAAGAAAGATAGAAATTAACACAGACTTCTTGAATGTAACTATACAAGACAAAACACAATAGATAAACATCTTTAAAGTGATTACATACAGATATACTACCAATAAGCAATAATTATGACAAAATAAAATATTAAAATGCCCAGTTAATCATGAAAAGGTAGAAGAGGCAAAAGGAAACAAAAAACAGATGGAAATAAAATAAAACAAATAGCAAAATAGTAGAGGCAAACCCAATTAAGTAGAAATTGTTTAAACACTGTGAGTATTGTCAGATTGGATCAGAAAGTAAGATCCAGTTATATGCTGTCTATAAGAAATTTACTTAGCTACGAGAGCACAGATAATTTAAAAGTAAAGGGTGGACAAGTTCTCCCATGCAAACAGTAAGCATAAGAAAGCTGTATTGGAAACATTATCAAAGTAGACTTTAGAAAAATAAATATTACTAGAGATAAAGAGAGACATTTCATAATGATAAAGGAGACAATTCACCAAATAACACAATTCTAAATGTATATGTATGTAATAACAGAACTTCAAAATACATGAAAAATTTACAGAACTAAACAAAAATAGACAAATCTGCAATTATAACTGAAGGTGTTGACAGTACTTTCTCAGTCATAGACAACACAGTAAGGATAGAACACTTAAACAACACTGTCAACCAACTAGACCTAACGGCCATGTATTAGACACACCACCCAAAATCAGAACACAATCTTCTTAAGTAGTAGTCATGGAATATTCCTCACAATAGACTATATACTAGGTCATAGAACAAACCCCAATAAAGATAAATGATTTAAATCATACAGAATATGTTCTGTGAGCCAAGAAAATAAATTTGAAATCTATAATGGAAAGATAATTTGAGAAATTCCAACTACTTGAAAATTAATTCATTAATCTACATGTCTAAGAAGAAATTACAGGGAAATTAAATGATACTTTTAACTGAATGAAAATAAGATAGAAGGTATCAAAATTTGTATGATGCAGCTAAAACAATACATAGTGAGAATTTTACAGCTTCAAAGTCTTATATTAAAAAAAGAAAGTACTAAATCATTAACCTAAGCTTCCATCTCAAAAAGCTGGGAAAAGAACAAATTAAACCCAAAGTAAGTAGAAAGAAAGACTAAAATAACAGAAGAACTCAATGAAATAAAAAATAAATTGTAAATACCAAAGACAAATCAAAAGTTGTTTATTTAAAAAAAAACAGGAAAATTGAACATCTGGCAAGCATCTACAAAAAACCTGCAACTAACATTTTCTGTCTTACTTATACTGTCCTTACTAAGATCAGAAATAAGGAGACTCACTTACTACTTCTATTTAACACTGTTCTGGATATACTAGCCAGTACAAGGCAAGAAAAATAAATAAAAGTTATTTCCATTAGAAAGGAAGTAGAACATTTTATTCACAGATGACGCAATCAGGTATATTAAAAATCCTAGAGAATACAAAAATAAATCGTAAACTACTAAAACTAAGAAGTAAGTTTAGCAAGGTCACAGGATAAGAATTCAATCTATAAAAATCAAAATTATTTTGATTTAATAAAATAATTATTTTTATATATGAGTGTCAGATCATTAGAACATGAAATTTTTAAAATATCTCTTATAATAGCATCAAAACTATGAAATATATGAGGATACATTTAACAAAATATTTGTAATACCTGTGATTAAAGAATAGCTAAGTAAATGGAGAGGTATATTGTATTTGTGTATTGAAAGATTTAGCATTTTTAAGCTATTAGCTCTCCCCAGATTTTTCTGTCGATTCAATGAATCCCAATCATGATGGCCAAAACCTTCTTTTGTAGAAACAAGCTTTTATGGAAAATTTATATAAAAATGCAAAGAAACTAAAATAGCCTATTTTTAAAAATAAAAACAGAAGTAAATAATATGTTACCTCAATCCATATCATTACTTATGATAATGCTACAGGAGTTAAGACACTGTGGTATTGGCATAGGACAGACAAGATCAAGGGAGCAGAATAGAATGTCAGAAGTAAAACTTCACATTTATGGTAATTTCATTTTCCAACAAAGGCACCAAGATAATTTCATGGGGGAAAAGATAGTCTTTAAACAAATTGTGATGGAAATCTGGATATCTATATAGAAAAAAATATACCTCCACTTTTACACCATACACAAATATTGACATAAAATGAATCATAGTCCTAAACATAAAAGCTAAAACTATAAAATTTCTGGAAAAATATCACTGGAAAGGTCTTCATGACCTTGTGATACGTAAAGATTTCCTAAGTCATAAACATACACAAATTAAAACATAAAAGAAAAATTCAGGCTGGGCACTTTGAGAGGATGAGGCGGGCAGATCACTTGAGCACAGGAGTTTGAGACCAGCCTGGCCAACATGGCAAAACCCCATCTTTACCAAAAAGACAAAAATTAATTGGGCGCAGTGGCATGCATCTGTAATCTCAGCTACTCAGGAGGCTGAGGCAGGAGAATTGCTTGAATCCAGGAGGTGGAGGATGCAGTGAGCCAAGATCACACCACTGCACTCCAGCCTGGGGAACAGAATGAGATTCTGTCCCCCCCAAAAAAAAGAAAAAAAAGAAAAATTAAATAAACCCAACATCATAAAAATGTAAAACTTTTGCTCTTCAAAAGATACTGTTAAGAAAATTGTAAGCTAGGCCATCGACTAAGTCAAAGTATTTATAATATGTTTATCTTACAAAGGATTTCTATTTAAAATATTGTAAAATAATATTGTACAATTTTAAAATAACCAAAAATGATAGAAAGGGGCAAAATATTTGAACAGAAACTTTACAAAATAAGATGTATAAATGTCCAACTAATATATTTTAAAGGATTCAACATCATTTAGGGAAGTGAAAATTAAACTGTAGTGAGATACTACTATATACCTATTACAACAGCTTAAATGAGAAAGATTGACAACATCAATGTTGGTGAAGACGTAGAACAACTGAAACTCTCTTACATATTACTCCTTGGAATGTAAAATGGTACAGCCATGATGGAGAAATTTTTGGAAGTTTCTTATAAGAAGAAATATGAATGTATCACGTAACCCACAATTCTACTCGAGATGTTTACCTAAGAGAAATGAAAACATATGCCCACACAAATACCTATAGAAAACTGTTTATAGCATCTTTACTTTTAAATAGCCCCAACCTGAAGCATTCCAAATGGATAAACACATTCTATTCTATCCATAAAATAGAATGCTACCCATACAGCATAAAGAAATGAACTATAGATATACTCCATAAGATAGACAAATCTCAAAAACATGCTGACTCAAAAAAGATTCAGAAGGAGTTTATACTGCATTATTACATTCATATGAACCTTTAGAAAAGACTATTCTAATTTATTGACAAAACATAGATCAACGTCTGGGGCTGATCATGTCGGGGTGCTTGTGAGAGACGCAAACAAATTTTTTGGGATGATGAAAATGTAGATCTTGATTGTGGTGGTGATTACATGGGAGTGTAAATTTGTGAAATTCCTTTCTACTTATGTCTGTTATTTCAAATGGACACTAACTAAGAGATTCTTAGAGAAAGAACAAGAGGCTGCCTGACACACTGGTAGAGACAGACTTTCTCGGGAAAAGAACAGCATATACAAAATCATGGAAGTATGAAGAAGTATGATACATGTGAGAGGCATTGCTAATTACTGTTACAGATTCCATGAATCACAGAAAACATACATTTTTACATAAAGACTGTTATTTAAGTATGCCTAGAATAACTTTAGATTTTGTAATACTATAGGGAAAAGGCAACACTTGCCAAAATTTCTCCCCACTTCAACATGAGGGAAAAATAGAAATTACTTCCTAGAATGTCTTAATTTTTTTCTTTTTTGTTACCAAATATAAATCCAAAAGTACAAACTGTTGCCAATCACTCCCCACCACCAATGCCATATCAGTGTTTGAATAAAGAAGATCTTTAAGAACATAATTCCATGCTAGCAAAGGTTCATATCAAACCTAGAAATACATGCATTAGACATCCCTGGTGCATTTGAGTATCCACATAGGAATATCTACAACCTAGGGAGCTCACTTCTGGAAGTTTATCCTAAAGATATGCTTGGTTGAAGGAAAAACTTTTTTATTATAAGTTTTTACTATTGTATATAATGACAAAATAATATAATAATATATTCACTATTGTTTATAATGGTGAAAAATTAGAAGCCACCCAAAGTCCAACAATATGGAAATGATTACATTGTATTATATACGGAATGTGCTATGAATGTACAACAGTATAGAAATATATTTATGCTAAAAGTGAAAAGCAGAATACAAAATTAAATTATACTGTAATTACAATTGTGTTTACAAACTTGTGTTTATGAACAAAGACTGGAAAGGGATGAAGAAAATACTTAGTTTAGGTAAAGGACTTACGAATAATTTTTTCTAGTCTCTAAGCTCTTTGTAATATTTTATTATTTTATAATAAAATAAATAAATGAAAGTGCTGAATTTTCTGTTATGGAAGGCAAAAAAAAAAAAAACTAAATAAAGCACTAAAAGTTAAAAGCTTCAGAAGAAATCTTCTATCTCTTTAGAAGAAAACCATAACTTGACCAGCAGAAGAGCATCAAAATTGATTAACCTAGTAGAAATTTTTTTAAATGTTTTGTTTACTGCATATATTTAAAGCATACAACATGGTGCTTTGATATACATATACATAGAAAAATGATTACTATAGTCCAGAACATTAACTCTAGTTAATAATATTGTATTGCATGATGGAGCTGTGCTGAGAGAGTAGATTTTAGGTATTTTTACCATAAAAGGGAACTATGTGAGATGATGGATATGTTAATGTTCATACAGGTATTGGCCATTTTTTATGTTCTCTTTGGAAAAATGTCCATTCAGTGTCCTTATTTTAATGCCACATCCAAAAATCAAGTCAAAATGGATTAAAGACCTAAACATAAGACCTGAAAGCCTAAAACTCCTAGATGAAAACGCAGGGGAAAGGTTTCTTAATATTGGTGTTGACAAGGACTTTTTGGATATCTCACCAAAAGCACAGGCTACAAAAGCAAAAATACACAGGTGGTACTACATCAAACTATAAAGCTTCTGTACAGCAAATGAAATAACAAAATGAAAAGACAGTCATTGGGCTGGGAGAAAATATTCATGAACCATACATCAGTTAAGGAGTTATTATCCAAAATATATAAGGAACTGTCTGGGCACAGTGGCCCATGCCTGTAATCCCAGCACTTGAGAGGCCGAGGCAGGAGCATCACTTGAGCTCAGGAGTTTGAGACCAGGTCTCTACAAAAATAAAAATAAAAAATTAGCCAGATGTGGTGATGCATGCCTGTAGACCTAGATACTGAGGTGGTTGAGGTGGGAGAATCACCTGAGCCTGGGAAGTCAAGGCTGCAGTGAGCCATGATCACACCACTCCATTCCAGCCTGGACGATGAGAAGCTGTCTCAAAAAGAAACTATGTGTATATACAGATACACACACACACACACACACACACACACACACATACATATATATATGGAACCCAACATAACTCGGTAGCAAAAAAAATTACTTGATTAATCTAGCAGAAATTTGTAAATACAATCTATCTTTCCAGACATCAAATTCAACCCTAAGAAGGAGAAAAAGCTTATAACTTTCATTCAAGAGTTCTGAATTGGAGTTCTAGCTCTACCGCTTAATATATGTATAATATTGGGCAAATCGCTTAAGGATATGTTTAGTTATGTGCATGAGAAAAATAATGGTAATGATGCCTCAACTCAGCACTTGGTATAGTTGTAAGAGTTAAAGAGGATAACATAAGTCTTTTGTAAACAAAGCATTAGCTATAGGCATTTGTCAGCCTTCATTGTTTGGAATAAGTTTCTACCATACCTCCTTAGGAAGTCGAGTCCTCAATAGAGTCAATCAGACATTCTATGACTTTAGAGGAATGTCTAGGAATACTGATTCAGTACAATCATAATTTCAAATTGATCTGTCACCTATAGGACATTGAGATTTCCATAAGTGATCATCTGGAATGGGAAAAAGAAGGCCTAAAAAAGTAATTTCTCAATTTTCTTTGAGGAAAAAGATAAAGAAAACAAAACAAATGCCATGAAATTCTTGGAAGTCAAGAGGGAGATCGTTAGGAGAAAGAAGCATCTGTAATATTAATAGCCAAATTTCCCTCTGAAGTGGATAACTATATGACAGTGATCAAGAAGTAGAGTATAACATAGCTTCCTATGGAAAAAAGTGGTCCTTCTTGGTGCCAGGTAGTCTGATCGCTTTGAATTGCCCGGTCAATGGTGCTGATGGCATGCAGATGTGTTTCGCAGCTGAGCAGAAGCAGAGCAACTAAAGGTTCATGGTCAACAGTTAACTCTCCACAAGTGCTGAGTGAATGTTTAATGAAAAAGATGAAAGGGACTTGGTATCCTAGAGACTCTCATAATAATACTTTTTCAGATCAGAAATCATGTAAAACCTGGTGTAGCTTTCTTTCAAACACTTTTTGCTTTGCCTGCTACCTGAGGCCAGGGCTTCTACAAGTTGATCTTCAGCCCCAGTAATATACATTGCTTCCAGAAGAATTTTCTTGGCTTGATTTCATAACCTAGTGCCTCTTATTTGGCAAGAAGATTCCATCATCCCCGAAGCAAGACTAATGATTCCTGATTTGGTTGCCAACTATCTTCAAAAACTCTAAATTCATTTATTTAGCAAACATTTACATAGCATTAAACTTATGCCATGCACTATTCTAAGCACTATGCAAATATGAATTCTTTTAATCCAACAGGCATTCTTTCTATGGAGTCACAGTGGCACCCCCACAAAGGGATTGCTGCAATTTTAGCTGGCTCCACACTAACGGGAAACATTGCTTTGTCTCGCTCACACCAATTGCAGACGATTTCCCACAGTGTGTTCTCCAGGGCTTTGTCCTGATGGGATGTAAATGGCTTCTATTGCATCCTCAGGGAACCTGGCCATTAGAAATGTTTTTCTTTATTTGAATTGATCCCATTACAGGCAGGGAGAGGACATTTGCCCACCTTACTCTTTTATCTCATCCCCTTCCCTGATGTTTCTATCTTTCCGATCCACATGCCTGACAAGCATATTGTAAGACAGATACTCCTCTCAGTGATACAGATGTCTAGTTCTCAAAAATCTTCAATCAAATTTTGGTCCCTCGAGCCCTTTTTTTCTACTTTCCATTCTTTCTTGTTGGTTAACACCTTTCTAATAATCAGGTGTCCAGAACCGTATCATCTTATCACTTTGCAGGTTCAGTTTCCAGGTGCTGTTTACTGTGACTCTAGGGCTTTTGAGGCATTTCTGCCTTTCACTGGATATCTGTTTCCCATCTTTATCTCCAGGCACTTAGCTCTTTCCTATTTTAAACTTTGGTTTTTTCAGTCTCAAATTTCTAGTTTTCCTGGGTTTCTTTCTATCATTGTTTGTCAATCTATAACGTGACAACACTTCCAGGTTGGTAATTACCGGATACTTCCCATGTTACTTAATTCTATAAAATCATTTTTAAAAGATAAGAAATGCCAACAACGGTTAACAGTATATTAATAATGATAAAAGAGCTAACATGTATTGAATACTCTCCACATGCCAGACTCCATGCTAAGCAATTTTATATATACTCTTATAGGAAATCAGGATCTGTAGGAACTATTGTGATCCTCTTTTTACAGATAAAGAGACCCGAGGTTTAGAAAAATTAAGTAGCTTTCTCTAGGTCACAAAGCTCCTAAGTGAGCGGACTGAAATCTGAACCCAGGTTGTGGGCTTAACTGTTAGTTTACATTAGTTTTCACCTGTGCTTCTAAGGCTCATATATAAGAAAAAAAAAGATGTTAAGATGTTATTTCATTTTGATTACTGTTTTGAATAATAGAAATATAGAGAAAAAGCCTTGTTAGTTGGCTTAATCTCTAAAAAGTGTATTATAGTTGTAGAGGGTGAAGACAGGATTCCTTCACAGAGATACACACAAAAACCTGAGAACTGAAGGAGACTCCAGTGTTAACTAGCTCCAATACCTCATTTGAAAGGAGAAAATCCTGGGGCACTGGAGGGTACAAAATGAGTTGGCAGCAAAGTTCAGGTTCCAAAGTATCTTCACCCCAAGATTGTGCCTCCATGCTGGGGGAACAGCTCCCTGGGAGCCACACAGACGCTGCTCTCTGAGCTTGTGTGGCTCTCTCTGAGCACAGGACCAGAGCCCAGTGCTGCTGCATCTAAATGGCAAATAAGTCTTGTATTTTACCCTTCCAGGGTTACCTTTGCCATCATCCACCTGCCTATCTTCAATTAAGGCATAGGTCAGTTCTTTGTCTTGTGCATGGCGTGACACCATGGCAGGCTACAGAGGCTGCTCCTGCTTCTCTGGATGGGTACCAGCACCGCTCTATCACTCTTCATTCCATTTCCTCTGCCTGGTGTACTCTCCCCTCCTCTACTTACTTGTCTCAACCCATCAATCCTCTAAGGTCCAGGTCATCTCCCACACATCCCTGGAGGCTTCTCTAATCTCCTCAGGCCAAAATGGTTTCTCCCACTTCTAAAACACTAGAATTCTTATTTCTCAGGCCACTCATTTTCCACTTATCATATGCTGCCCTGTATTGTCTGTTTGGTAATTTTTTTTTTTTTGTCTAAGAGTCTGGCTTGCCTTGAGGGCAGAGATCATATCTTATTCATCATTGTACCCAGCACATTGCTTAGCCTAAGGCCCAGAACAAAATAGGTGTTCTATAAATGTTGATTGATTTATTGTAAGTGGGAATGAAAATGACTTCCTTGCTTCTATGGTGACTCAAGAAAACAAAGTAACTTTTCTGAGAACCATGAAATCATCTGAGAAAATACTTTTAGAGCTCTCAAAAGTAATTGCAAATACTTATAATTATATGAGCAAGACTATGTCTCTGAGTAGTTAAAATAGCTAAAAATGTTCTACTTGTTATCTAGTATCAGCAGGCAGACGAAAGCAAATTAATAATCACTCCACAGATTTGGACATTTAAAGGTATTTTTCATTGAGTTTTTCAAACGAGTTATACGTATAACTTTACGTGGCTTGTAAATTAGACTGGCTACCCACCATCAGATTATTAAAACTGGAAAACCAAAAATCACAATCCTGAAATTCTCGAAATGTGGTGTTCTTATTTCATTGAGTTTGAAAATTCTGTTGGGATAAGCCAACATATTTATTATGGCCTTCTGCATTAAGGTAACATCTTAAAAGCCGAAACTGAATTGTACTGATAGAAGAACTAATCTAACCTCTATTAATAAGACTTTAACTCAGAAAGAGATAGAATTTTTCACTTACTTTCTTCCAATGGCTTTATCTGGCTTATTTTCATCCTCCTAAGATTGATTAAAGGCTGTTGACTATCTTTTTCTGATATCTTCATATCATTTATCAACAGACTGAAGCCAATTTGGTCAGTATACTGCACTATAATTTTGGCAGGCAACTATTGAATAAATTGGATCTTGTCATTGTCTAATACATGTTACTCTCTGTATCACAGAAGAGTAGAAACCTAGAACTAGAAGAGATTTTAGAAACCAACTCACCTAGTTCTTTCATTTTTTAGGGCGATATGGAAGCCCAGAAAGATTAAACGACTTGTTCACATTCTTACAACAATCAATAAGGTAGTAATTTTTATTATAGAATGGTCTCCTTGTCATCTGACAATTAGCTTGATTGGAAATAAACTTTAGAAATGTTTTTAAGATTGTTCTCTGGTAGAATTACCCATTGCTGTCAGGGTAGAATAGGGAAATAATCTCAGTCTATGGATAGTGATACTCTTAATAACAAAGACAGGCTTTAAAACATATGATTGGAGGGGTGGGGCAGAGCCACATGCCAAGCTGCCCCTGTGTAAAAGAAAGTACCAACTTGTGGCATCAGTTTGGTTTGTCTTTAGTAGTCCCAATCTTCCTTTCTGTGGTCCTTCCCCCTCCTTGGTGGCTTCTCCCTCCTTAGCCCCTATTTCAGGTGTTCTGAGCTGGCCTCTTACCTCCCTCAAAGCAGGAACTAAGCGTCCACTTCTTTAGTGTGAATAAATTTCAATTTATTATTTTTTTAACTTTTATTTTAGGTTTGGGGGTACATGTGCAGGTTTGTTATATAGACAAATTGTGTGTCACAGGGGGTTGGTGTACAAATTATTTTATCACTGAGGTAATAATCCTAGTACCTGATGGGTAGTTTTTCCATCCTCACCCTCCTCCCTCCCTCTGCCCTCAAGTAGGCCTTGGGGTCTATTGTTCCCTGCTTTGTGTCCATATGTACTCAATGTTTAGCTCCCACTTATAAATGAGAATATGTGGTATTTGGTTTTCTGTTTCTGTGTTAGTTCACTTAAGATAGTAACCTCCAGCTCCATTCATGTTGATGCAAAGGGCATGATTTCATTATTTTGTAGGCTGTGTAGTGTTCCATAGTGTATATGTACCACATTTTCTTTATCCAGTGTACCATTGATGGGCATTTAGATTCATTCCATGTCTGTGATTCATCACGTAAGCAGAAATAAAACAAAAACCATGTAATTATCTGAATGGATGTAGAAAAGTCTTTCCATAAAATTCAACATCCCTTCATGTTAAACGCCCTTAAAAAAAATAGGCATTGCAGGAACATACTTTCAAATAACAAAAGCCTTCTATGACAAACCCATAACCAACATCATACTGAATGGGCAAAAGCTGGAAGCATTCTCCCTGAAAACTGGGACAAGACGAGAATGTCCTCTCTCATCACTCCTATTCAACACAGTACTGGAAGTTCTAGTCAGAGCAATCAGACAAGAGAAAGAAATAAAAGGCGTCCAAATAGGAAGAAAGAAAGTCAACTGTCCCTGTTTGCAGATGATATGATTCTATACCTAGGAAACCCCAAAGTCTTTGCCCAAATGCTTCTTGATCTGATAAATAACTTCACCAAAGTTTCAGAATACAAAATCAGTGTATGAAAATCAGTAGCATTCCTATACACCAACAACATTTAAGCTAAGAGCCAAATCAAGAATGCAATCCCATTCACAATAGCCACAAAAAGAGTAAAATACCTAGGAATACAGCTAACCAGGGAGGTAAAAGATCCCTACAATGAGAATAACAAAACAATGCTCAAAGAAATCAGAGATAACACAAACAAATGGAAAAACATGTTCATGAATAGGAATAATCAATATTGTTAAAATGGCCATACTTCTCAAAGCAATTTGCAGATTCAATGTTATTCCTATCAAACTACCAAAGACATTCTTCATAGAATTAGAAAAAACTATTTTAAAAGCCATATGGAGCAAAAAAGAGCACAAATAGCCAAGGCAAATTTAAGAAAAAAGAACAAAGCTGGAGGCGTCACACTTCCCCACTTCAAACTATACTACAAGGCTCCAGTAATCAAAACAACATGGTACTGGTACAAAAATAACTTATTATCTTAACAAAACCTTTCCATTTTAAGTGAGTCTGACAATTCTTACATCATCAATCAGGTGAAAGGACACCTTTGGACTTCCTGAAATCACACTATTCATAAAGCCAGTTGAGGGATCAAAGAGTGATTTGGTTACATTAGGTAATGAGTAGGGATTTGTCAGAGGAATGCTCTCTTTTCCTCACTCCCACCCTTCAGATAGCAACTGTTCCCCTTAGAAGGATAAAACAGGGTCTGTTGACCATTCCTAGGAGTGGACTGAGAGAAAAGAATTCATATTCCAGTTCACAAACATCTCCTCAATATGAGTTCAGTCTTTTATTGACCTGGGTCGGCTTAGCCAGCAGATTTTTCCCTATTACTTCCCCACCAATTAAGCTGGGGAATCCTCATTATTCCCCACCAAATCTCATTATTAACTTCTCATCTATTTCCCAAATCATATTTTGCATCTTATAGCATATATTACAGTAACAATATTAATAGTTTCATGACATGACCACCATACTTTTTCCATCATTCTGGAATAAAATACATGCCACTTGTATTATCTCCACCTTGGTAACACTTTCTGACAAGGTATTATATTGGAGAATATATCTTTGCTCACCGATACTACTGAACTGTATCTTCTAATTAAGAGCATGAAATTTACATGACTACTATATAATGTAGACTTGTAATAACTTATATTTCTCTAGCACTTTAAAATTTACACTGATTATAGTGTCACATTGATTATTTTACAACAATAGCTATTTTAAAGTAGATCCTTGAGATTGAACAGGAAGGGCAATTGTCATTATCATGCCCATTTTACAGATAAAGAAACTAATATTTTGATTATGTCATTTGCTCAAGGTCACACAGCTAGTAAGTTGGTGGTGCTGACTTCTCTACATTTTTACTTCTCTTAGAAGGGAAAAAAGGAAGGAAACTAACATTTTTTGAGTATCTGTAATGTGCCAGGCACCATATTAGAAATATTAATAGAATATATATTTCCACAAACAATATCATTAGCAATTTGCCCAGATTCCTGCTGCTAGTAAATAGTTAAACTAAACTTTCTTCTTTTTCTCCCCCATACTGAACCTCACGACTGGTCATCTGAACAACTATATCATCAACACCTTTGATTCTCCTTACAGTCCTGTAATTCCATCATTTCCACATAGCAAAACCCAACTTATATCACTGTATAATTTACTTTCTCTGCTTCTCCACCCAAGCATCAGTTCATTCCTTTAGAAAGAACCATAAAACCAAATTCAAATTCTCTAAATGCAGCTCTGCCCTGTCTTTTTTTTATTTATTTTCTCTTTGTTCCTCCTTAGTTCTCGTCCATATTTATTCTACTCTTCAGGACATTCATTGTTCTCACTCTTAGCAGATTATCAGAATCCCTTCTCATCACAAAAATTAAGCCATTAGTCATGATCTTCCTCAGCCTTCAGAATGGTAACTATAAATTTAAATAGAATAATGACATATGTCTCTTCTCCAGTCTCAGAAGACATGTCCCTCCTCTTATTCCAGAACACACTCATTTGTTCTTTTCACCTTTCCTATTCTCAAGATTCTTGGGATTCCCTATTTTTTCCCACCATATACCCTAATCCCTTAGTTCCCAAACAAGCTCAAATCTCTCATACTTTGAGAAAAATATACTCCTCAAGAGTTCCCTTGTTACCATAAAACCCCTTTTCTCCTCTTCCCAACCAAACCTGTAAAAAGAAATAAACAATAAAAATAAACCTAGTCTACAGTTACTGTAGCTTGAGTTTACACTGAACTCACCTCACTGCTATTTCATTTTTTTCCCCGCTTTACTCCTGAAAAATCTCTCCCTACAGCAACCAAATGCATCACTACGGCTTAAATCAGAAGGCTCATGCAATACATCTTTCTCTTCTGTTCTCTAGGGCTGGGCAATTTCATAGCCTCTATAAGCTAATATTTCCTCATGTTAAACAGAGCTACTCATTCATTCTCTCCCTCTCCCCTTACCCCAGTAATTTCCCCTCACCTTTAGTTGATATAAAAGTCTTATAAAATTTTGATATTTGTCAGACTTACTGATGCTGAACATAAGAACTTCAGTGACATCCTTGTTGTCAAAATATTGAAAGAGAATACTCACTTCGACGCCCATCCTTTTTTATTCTACATCTCAGTTGGAGACATAACCATTCACTCAGTCAACAAAGCCAGAACTCTGTGAGTCATTCTTCACTTTTCCCTATGTTTTCTCTCCAATAAATCTATCACTTAGAACTGTCCATTTTACCTCCTAAACTCTTCAAGAGTCAGCCATCTATTCTCTAATGCCATTACCAATTACCAAGTGCTAAAGTGTTTCTTCACAACTTTGTCCCAGACCAGTAGCTCTCCACCAGGGTGACTGTGCCCCCCAAGGAGGCATTTGGGAAAAACTGCGGACATTTTTTGTTGTCACATCTGGAGGTGGAAGGTACTACTAACATTGAATGAGTAGAGACCTGGGATGCAAAACATCCTACAATGCACAGACCAGCTCCCTCCAAGCCCTGAACAAAAACTATCCAGCCCAAAATGTAAATAATTCAAAGGCTGAGAAACCTTGACTCATTCTATGAGGAGAGCCCCTTAGCAGGTCTCTCTCCCTTCAGTCTTATCCTCCCTTAAGTCTATCACACACATAGTGCTACAGTGATTTATCTAAAATGGAAATCTGTCCACGCAACTCTCCTGCCTGCAACCCTTCAATGGTTTTCATTCTTCCCTGGAATAAGCTCATCCTGAGCAGCTCCTTACTTTTCTTACCACTTCCTGATGCTCTTTACTGTTTACTACCCAACAATAATGAAATATTGATGATTCCCTACGTAGTTTGTGCCTTCCTTTTCTGTGCTCATGCTGTTTCTCTGTTTGAAATGGCTTTTGTTCTCTGATTCTTCCTACGTTGCCCCTTTAACTCCTCACTCTTGAAGACTGAGCCCAGGCAACGTCTCTTCAAGAAACTTTCTTCTGGTCCTCCTTCTCCCCACACACTGAGCTATAAGCCACTTCTCTGTATTTCCTAAATAACTTATACTGATATGAATTTAATATCAGGCTTATCATATGGCATATAAAGTTTCTACCTGACCATTCCCCTCAGCTCCCACACCCATTTAGGGTAATTTAATTGAAGACAGTCTGTGAGGGCTGTGTCTTGTACATATTTTAAGTATGGCACATCATAGCTGCTTTAGAAAATGTCAGTCAACGTTAACATACATTGAACAAGTGCTTTACACCTGACAAATCATGGATTTTTCACATGTAAAATCCCATTCGATTCTTATAATTCTGTCAGAGAGTGTAGCTAGGATAAATATAAAAACACTGTTTTAACATACCATTAAACTGGAGCTCAGAACTTGAAGGCATTTATCCAGCGTGACCTGGTTTATAAGTGGCAGAAGTGAGATTGGAATCCAGATCTTTGGTGTCATGTCCTATGTCCTTTCCAGCATTCCAAACTAGTTGGCCTCACCTACACACACACATTGCTGTGTATACATGCATATATTTATGACAATATATATGTATGTCTATATAAATGGCATATATATGCCTTTTCTAATTATCTAAGCATATAATATATAGATGTATATATACATTAGCTCTCCCATTGTAATTATTACAATTCTTCTCTATGCCATTCATTGCATTAATCGCAGGATGCCTTGTAATATAGTTAGGTAGGTACTCTTAAGGAAAGAAGAGATGAAAACTACTAGATGATGAAAACTGGCAATGTCATCCGTATTTGATTCGGCTTCTTCAGAGTCACATTCTCATATTCCACTTACCCTCCTGGAAACAGTGTAACCACATGACCTGAGATGCAAACAGACAAGAAGGAGGCCCATGGACCTCATGGACACTGTCCAGGCCTCTCAGAGGGAACTAAACATTGCTTCCATGGAAGTCCAATGTCTTTAATACAGTACAATATCTGTACTTTCTGTACTGAATTGCTAAAAAAAAAAAAAAAAAAAACCCACAACTTCCATTCAAGTATCAAGCCTAGAATATGATGCGTAGTCCCTAAACACTGCAGACCTATTCCTCTATGAAAAGATGTATAAAGTAGATTTTTTTCCTTGTTGTGCGAACTCATCATTGGTATTCATTAGATTCAAAAGTGCAACTATACAAAGGCAAGATGCTGGAGAGGAACTGTCAGATCTTTCTGGTTGTGGAAATAGACCCATGTACAATATTTGAAAAGGGTAGTTTGATTTTTTAAAGCCTGGTTAGGTCAGTAGACTCAAAGAACAGCTTTACAAGTTTACACTAATGAATGTATTAAGCATGATCATTTGCTAGAATCCTCTGTAATAAAACCATGTTACTGAACACAAACTCTTAATTTTTTTTTATGTAATTCAATAGTACATATAATAGCAAAGGAGTTAATTTACTTAAGACAAATGCTGGGTAATTAAGGCAAAATACTTCATTTTCAAATAAATTTGTTTAATTATTATATCTACGTGGAATGCTCAATGCTGTTTAATATCTATGTGCTGCGTTTTTAATTCTTCTTGGAGCCTAAGGAATGAAGCAATCATTAGTTGTTGTTTTTTTTTATGTGGGTCAACTAATCAAAATTAAAATATTTTCCTATAGGTGGCCAGGCACGGTGGCTCATGCCTGTAATCCCAGCCCTTTGGGAGGCTGAGGCGGGTGGATCATTTGAGGTCAGATGTTTGAGACCAGCCTGGCCAACATGGTGAAACTGTGTCTCTACTAAACATACAATAATTAGCCGGGTCTGGTGCTGAGGGCCTATAATCCCAGCTATTCAGAAGGCTAAGGCAGGAGAATTGCTTGAACCTGGGAGGCAGACATTGCAGTGAGCCAAGATCATGCCATTGCACTCCAGCCTGGGCGACAGAGTAAGACTCTGACTCAAATAAATAAATAAATACATAAATAAATAAAAATAAAATAAAATATTGCCCTATAGGTAACAACTGTAGGTTTCTGGGTTTTAAAGATGCAACTTAAATCTTAAATTTGTCAGAAGAATTAATATCATTAAAATGACCATATTGCCCAAAGCAATCTACAGATTTGATGCAACCCCTATCAAAATACCAACATTATTTTTCAAATATTAGGAAAAACAATTCTAAAATGAATATGGAACCCCTGTAAAAGCCCAAACAACCAAAGCAAGGCAGAAAGAACAAAGTTTCAGGCATCAGATTACCTGACCTCAAATACACTACAAGGCTATATTAACCAAAACAGAAAGGTACTGGTATAAAAATGGACACATAGATCAATGGAACAGTATAGAGAATCCAAAAATAAAGCCAATATATCTACAGCCGACTGATGTTTGACAAAGTTGACAGAAATATATACTGAGAAAAGGACACCCTTTTCAATAAACAGTGCCAGGAAAAGGAATTGTCATATGCAGAAGAATAAAACTGTACCCCTGTCTCTCACCATATAAAAAAATTAACTCAAGAAGAATTGAAGACTTAAATGTAAGATGTGAAACTAAAAAAATACTAGAAAAAAAACAGGGAAAACTCTTCTGGATATTGGTCTAGGCAAAGAATTCATGACTGAGATCTAAAAAGAAGAAGCAACAAAACCAAAAATAGACAAATGGGACCAAATTCAATTAAATTAAAAGGCTTCTGTGAGCAAAACAAATAATCAACATAGTGAACAGACAACCTTCAGAATGGGAGGAAATATTTGCAAACTATGCATTTGATAGGAGATTGATATCCAGAATCTACAAGGAACTCAAACAACTCAACACAAACAAAAACAAATAGCCCCATTAAAAAGTAGACAAAAAAAACTCAATAGACATTTTTCAAAAGAGGACATACAAATGGCCAACAAGCATATGAAAAAAATTCTCCATGTCACTAATCATCACAATAATGTGAATTAAAACCACAGTGGGATATTGTCTTATATCAGTCAGAATGGCTGCTATTTAAAAATAAAAAAATAACAGATATTGGTGAGGATGTAGAGAAAAGGGAATGCTTACACATTGTTGATGGGAATGTAAATTAGTTCAACCTTTCTGGAAAATAGTATAAAGATTTCTCAAAGAACTGAAAGTAGAACTACCATTTGACCCAGCAAGCCCACTACAAAGGAAAATAAGTCATTATATCAAAAAGATACCTG
Source organism: Homo sapiens (assembly GCF_000001405.40). NCBI lineage: Eukaryota > Metazoa > Chordata > Mammalia > Primates > Hominidae > Homo > Homo sapiens. Next base: position 90,469,018 of record NC_000001.11, read on the forward strand.
CACTCTTATGTTTATCACAGCACAATTCAAAATAGTAAAGACATGGAATCAACCTAAGTGTCTATCAGTGGATGACTCATAAAAAAAAATGTGGTCTATATATACAATGGGATATATTCTGTCATAAAAAGAGTGAAATCATGTCTTTTGCAGCAACATGAATGAAATTGGAGGCCATTATCTTAAGTGAAACAATGCAGAAAGTCAAATACCACATATTCTCACAAGTGGGAGTTAAATAATGTGTACATATGGAAGTAGAATGTGGAATAATAGAGAGTGGAGACTCAGGAGAGTGGGAAAACGATGAGGGATGAGAAATTAGTTAATGGGTACCATGTATATTATTTGGATGGTGGTTACACTAAAAGCCCAGACTATATATCCATGTAATAAAACTGTACTTGTATCCGTTGAATTTACAAAAAAAAAAATGTTAAATTTGTCTCCAGTGAAATAATTTGAAGTTTAAGTTTCCCAATTATCTAAATGTTTTAAAATATCATTCATTGTTCTCATGAGAATTCCCCTATATAATTATTTTTACATCTAGAAACATCAAATAATATTTTCTAAATTGAAAGGAGAGCTTATTTTAAGAAAACCTAGAATATTAAATCTCATATATTAAACTCAGATATATTGAAGATTATCTGAACTAGAATTTTTTTTCACTTAGCAAAATAGCACTCCTTAGAGAAGATTCAAAATGATTTAAATGTGCAATTATAAAACTTTAAAGTTAGAACAGGACATTTTCATGACACAACTATTTTATAAAATAAAGTACACATATTTATTGACTTACTTTTTCCCATACTCAGAAGTTGAAGTATTAAATACAGCAACAGATTTAATACCACCCAGAATTGTTTTAAAAGGAAAATGAAACATTTTTGGCACCCTCAATATGCTACGATCCTGAATCCTATTCTAAGTATTACAACATTGGTGGCTAACTAGATATTCAATTCAACCATTTCCAGAACTAACATTCAATAACAGGAATAAATCTTCTCAATGATGTAACTACCATGGTCTAAAACAAAGCACTTCATACCAAAAACGGTGATGCGTGATGTTGGCAATTCATGGAAGTATAATGAAATACGGTCTTGAAAAGAAAGAAGTGGGAATATTTGTGAAAATGTTTTATTATTCGACTGTGCATTCATTCAACACACATTTACCAAGCACCTGCTCTGTTCCAGATGCAGTTCCCGCTAGAGACAGAGGCATAATACTGTGTAAGACAGAGCCAGGGTCCTCAGTGAGGTTTCAATGCAATGGAGGAGGCAACTATGAGAGGAGACAGGTTAATTGGCATCTGCATGGTAAGATCTAAAACAGATGCCCACATAAAGAACCACAGGAGCACTGGGACAGAAAACTAGAACGTGTTTCAGGGAGTTGATGGTTTCTTCCAAGAGGTGGTGATTTTTAAGATGGGTTTTAAAGGATGAGAAGAAATTTCCCAAAGATATGTTGAAAAGCATTCCAGATAGCGGGAATGGCATGTACAGAGGTATGGAAATGTGTTGAATCTGGAAAATTAAGTTTCATTTGCCTAGAATGAGATGGGGTGTGGAATTTAAAGAAGAAAATAAAAAATAGGGACAAAGAGGTAGCTTCAGTCAGGTTATGAAAATTTATACGAAAAGTTAATTTACTTTGTTGTACTTTCATGCATAAATAAACACTCAAAATTTACCCTTGAGGAAAATGGTAAGTGAGAAGAAGGTATGAGGAAGGATATTCTTTCTTTGTTTTGTTCAGGAAATACAGTATTCATCTTATAATTTTCTTCCAGGTCAGAGTAGCATGTGAAACAGGCCTTTGCTGAACAGGTCCTTGGTGGTCAGCTCTTGGCAGGATGCACAGAGGCCTTCTCCCCATCCTTAGTGCTTGAACACTTACTGCCTCATTGGGTTATGAAATGCAGATTGTCTCTTGCTGTGCTACTGTACAAATGCAATATCATTGTATCTTTTTGGGTGTCTTTCTCTTTCCCCAATTATTATACTAACTCATTGAAGGCATAGACTACCTTGTACTATTTTTATTTTTCAAAGTAACTAACACATTTACTTCACAACCTGTTAGCCACATAATTTCAAGCCTAAGTCTAATATTATAGTAGTTCCCCCTTATCTGCAGATGATACATCCCAAGATCCCCAGTGGATGCCTGAAACCACAGATATTACGGAGCCCCTTATACACTGTGTTTTTTTCCTATACATACATAACTATGATAAAGTTTAATTATAAATTAGGCACAGTAAGAGATAAATAACAAACTAACAATAAAATAGAACAATTATAAGAATATACTGTAATAAAAGTTATGTGAATGTGGTCTCTCTCTCTCTCTATCCTATTGTACTTAACTTATATTCTGACCACAGCTGGGTACAGGTAACTGAAACTATAAAAAAAAGGAGGAGCTACTGTAATTGGTTTTAGAAGAGTGACTTTATTGACATTTAGAATTTGTATATTTAAACTTTTCTATGCTTTTATAATGGGCTCCTGCAACAAAATAAATGATGGTATTGAATTACAATAAACAAGCAGAAAAAAGAAATATTCATGAATCCTTATTTATATGTTTATATCCATAATAGAGATAAAATAAATGAGAGAAGAGGCTGCTGTTTCTTCCTGTAGTATCGCAATTAATAAAGTAACAGGAATGATGAAACTTAAAAATTACCATTAGGCAAACACCATAGAAATAAGTGTTACAGGCAAGAATCATCAATAGATGCTAAAATAGGAAGATACTTATTGATTAAAAAGAGGGAAAGAGTAACTTCACAATGAAGAAACCTGGCAGAAACCACCTTTACCAAATATTCCAAGTTACTATCACAGGTAATAAGTTATATCGACATCACACCTGGTATGATACACTGAGAATGTCACCTTACTTTCAGTGTTCTAGCCAAAAATGCTTAATGTAAATCCAATCGTGAGAAAACTGAAAACAGAAATTGCGGGATATTCTACAGAATGATCCACCAGCACTCTTCCAACGCATCAAGGTCATGAAAGATCATGCCACAATTAGGGGAAACAGAGGACAACTAAGTGCAAGATGGTAAATGTCCGGAAGAAGGACACTAGTGGAACAATGGGTCAACATCTAATAAGGTCTGGAGCCTCATTAATAGATTGTATCAATATTAATTTCCCTGTTTCTGTAATTACACTATGGCTATATAGTATGTGGACAATAGGGTAATCCGGTGACGGGAATATGAAAACTGCACTGTTTTCGCAACTTTTAAAAATATCTAAATACATTTGAAAATAGAAAATTGTTTAAAAATGCTAAATAGGCTCCAGTTACACATTGAACACAAACCCACAAGCAACTATATCTTCTTGGTAACTGTAATTAGATTATCTAACTTTCACGTTGCAATTCTTTTAGCAAAAAACTTTGCATTGGATAAAGGTGATATAATGTAAATTCACAATAATTAACTTCCTCCCTTAGAAGCAAAGCTTTCTAGCAGGAGATTTAGTTCTCTTCCACTACTAATGAAGATGGTCACAGGTAGTGTAATACATAGTTTTTAGGGAAAAGAAAATAACAAAATTTAAAAGGCAGAAAACTCTATAAAGGCAAAAACATTATTAATCTTGAAGTATTTACTGAGTACATATGTGCTAATTAACTTGGCCAAGATAAAGAAGCAGAATACATAGTCTTTGAACTTGAGACCTTCATAATCTAGTCCAGGAGACAGGATGGACATCTGTGAACAATAGCTTATGTCAGAATAAAACTTATTCCCCAGTCCTAATAATTCTACATGGAGGCACCTCCTCTGGAGTAATACTCTTGGCTACTATATTAGTCTACTATAGCTACCACAACAAAATACCACAGACATTGATTTTCTTACAGCTCTGGAGGCTGGAACCACAAGATCAAGGTACCCACAGGAATGATTTCTCCTGGGGCCTCTCACCTTGGCATGCAGATGGCTGCCTTCTCGCTGTGTCCTCACATGGCCTTTTCCCTGTGTGTGAGCATCCCTGGTGTCTCCTCCACTTCTTATAAGAAAACCAGACCTATAGAATTAGAGCCCCACCCAAGTGACTTCTTTTACCCTTAATTACCACTTTAAGGGTTCTGTTTCCAAATATAGTCACATTGCAGGTCAGGGCTTCAATATATGAATTTTTTTTTTTTCTGAGATGGAATTTCGCTCTTGTTGCCCATGCTGGAGTGCAATGGCATGATCTTGGCTCACTGCAACCTCCACCCACTGGGTTCAAATGATTCTCCTGCCTCAGCCTCTGAAGTAGCTGGGATTACAGGCCTGTGCCACCATGCTTGGCTAATTTTTTTGTATTTTTAGTAGAGACGGGGTTTCACCATATTGATCAGGATGATCTTGAACTCCTGACCTCAAATGATCCACCTGCCTTGGCCTCCCAAACTGCTGGAATTACAGGCATGAGCCACAGCGCCCAGCCTTCAATATATGAATTTGGAAGGAGGGTCAGGGGACATGATTTGGTTGGTAACAGCTACCTTGAAAGAAGACTGACTGGTGAGTTTCAGAGAGGTACTGAGCAAGTGCAGCTCTGCTCAGCCCCACCCTTCTCTATTGTACACATGAGTTCTGCCTATCCATAGCAAAGGTGCACTCTCACCCGATCTTTTGGCCAAATGATAAACTTAGCAAAACAGTCTCTGCTTCATTAGACGCAGAGGAAGTAGGACCTCTGTGACCAGGTAGATAAGCCAGATTAATCAGGGTGAACGATTAGCAAGCCCACTTTGCCAAAAGCTTTCCCCAGTGAAGTTTTATCAGTTAAAATACACCAAAAAGCTAAGGTTTTGAATTCAATCTGCCTGATCCTTGTGCCTATGTCTCAACTGGTTCTGAATGAGTGGGGGAAAAGAGTTACTTTTGCTTGGGCCTCCTAGTGCCACAAAGTCATACTCATATATCTCACTTGTCGGTCATATTACATAATATATACAAGACAGCATAATAAAATATTTCTTAGAAACCAGTCTGCTACAAAGTGTTTAAATACCATCTCACAAACATGAGTTTGTGAACCTCAGTGCCTTATCTATACAAAACAGATGATTAAGTAATTATTTCATCTCCAGCGAACAAAATTGTTTCACATAATTGCTTCCTATTTGGCTATTCATTTCAAATTCGAGTCACAAATAATGAAGCAAATAATCTCATTTTTAGTATAGTTTTTGTAGTAAAATTTTTTGCTTTGTTTTGCCCCTTGGCTAGCTTGCTCTCACTATGGCACCCTTAACTGTCTCTCCAGTAGCCACAGGAAGTAACAAAAGAAAAAGAGTGATGAACTACAAACTTTCTCAGTTTCATGAGAAGTACCTCAGGAACAAGAGGGTAATCCTCCTGTAGTGTAACCCAAAGCTGACATAAATTGGATGCTTCCATGGGGATTTATAGATGTGAATGATACCAAAACATCATGAAAATTAGACACTACTTCAGTAATTGTATTTGCACACTTAATTTAATCTGTCATAAGTTAGTACTATTTCTGCAAACCAACATCAGTAGTTAATTACCACTATTAATTTCAAAAGCAATTGATCTTCAGTGCTGATAAAATATCTTCAATGATGATACAATAGGAATTGAGAAGGCAAAATAATAATAAATATATACTTTGATACACAGATTTGAATGCTTTTCACTTTAAGTTTAAAACTGAAAATAATATCAACACCATTTATTTAAAACATTAGTATTCCATATTATAATCTTTAAAGCTGGCTTGTTATGCTGTATGTAGTATTTATACTAACATGCTAAATGATTTTTACATCTTTTAGACTTTGTCAAACTAATCTGCATGTACAGATTACAAAACGTGATCTGTTTCTGAATGACTCATTTGTTAGTGCTCAGAAGTAGAAAGAATCCTTTGGCAATAATTAACAAGGTATGCTTTGTGCATATTAGCACATAAAGATTAAATTTTTAACACAACTTCATTTCATGCTGAAACAAATCCCATTGTGCTAACTCTATGCTAAGCTATGGCATCTTATTCATTATTACCTAATTAACCTACTAATAGCCACATCATAAGAGTTTGTGTCCATAATTATGTTAGATATTGGTTTAAAATGCAATTAAAGGAATGCAATCACATAGATTTCTGAAATCGATTTGGGAAACCAAATTCTTGCAATTCATGCAGAAGAAAATGCCCTGCCTTTTGGATATTGTTCATTGCAGCACGTTATTCATTTCTTAGAGTTTCCATTTTCATCTACATATTCCATAATGGAAGGCAATATTCATGGATATTTAAGGGCAAACACTAAATAATCAGTAATGAATACATAAAACATATTTATTGTTTTATATTATCTTTAAAAATAACCCTGCCTAAGTAGAAGTAGAAAGTTTTGAAAGCAAAACTCTGAGAACAACAAAAAATTGGATTACTTATAAAGTTCATCACAATGTTCAGGAAAGAGAAGTTATCCATGAGAATGCTGTAGTATTATTAAAGCTCAAAATTTGTTGCTTTAATAATAATCTATAGTTTATATCTAAATTTCTTTTGAAGTCATCTTTCCACTAAAATTACAGAGATGCCAATTGATTTTTTAAATCTGACTGATGAGCTTGTACTTATTTTCCATAAAACATTTTACAATTGGGACAGATGGTCAGTTTTCTGTTTCCCCAGCAGTATAATAAAGGATTGCCAGCCCGAAAGTACTAGCAACAGTAAAAACTAACAGAAGCCTCAGCTAGTTGCTGCTACTGCATAGCTTACCACTAGATGTCCTGTGGACTAAGCAAGAAGAAAAGTGGTGCATATATTTGCATTTTTATCCTAGCAGTGGATGTTTCTGATTTTAATAACGTAGCTCTGGACTTCCAAAGTAGCTGGCCAACCATTTTCTGCTACATTTCCTATTGACACAGGCAAAATAAAACACAGCAATGCAGGTTATGTAATGAAGCCCAGCATGGCATTTGTCGTGCTTGCAAATAATTATAAAAGTATGATTGAAGTATTTATCCCAGAATCTTTCATAATGAGGAAGGAATACACACACACACACACACACACACACACACACACACACACACACACACACACACAATTCCCTTATTGCAAAGACAGATCTTTTAATTAAGCTTCATTTTTCTCATTTAGCAGGCTCAACAGGCTGTCTTGTTATAGATTCCTTCCTTTTCTGAGAAGGGTAATACATGGGTATAACAAAACAATTATAGCTTGTTCAGAGGAACCATTCACACTGTGTTATCTTCCATGACTGCTAAGCAAATTAAGGTTGAAATTTTTCTGTCAATTTGGGTGATTATTATGATGAATCTGTGAAGCACAGAAGGTATTTAAAAGCAGTGTGATGCCTTTCTAAAATTCCACCTACTAACAAGGCATAAAACTACCTGCAGATACCAATAATGTGTGCCAAAGTATAATGTGGAATGGTGTCTTTAGCTCCAATTGTTTCAGTATGGCACTCGGTCTGGGGAAATCTGGCAATGCATCCACTCAAATCCCCAGAGTTGTCAGGAAAGGAAATAGAGGAATAAGCTGTTCACAGTGGTGCTTGGTGAGAATCCCACAGAGATGAGGGCAAACAACAAATGCCATCCCTGGCAGCATTGTGACATGCTGGCAGGACAGGAACCTTGACATGAATGCCAAGGCTAGGGGTAACCATCACCAACATCTACAACTCCCCAAATCTACTCTTTTTGGAATTTGATTAAATGTGGTGAAAAACATTTTTGAGTGAAAAAATACAAGCAAATAGAGATGATTTAAAATTTTTAGAAACGTTGCAGCGTCTTACAAAAATATTTTTTAATGCCATTGGCCTTCCTGGACATATGTGTTGGCTGTGTTAGGATAGTGCAGAATTATCCTATCAGACATAGGGAAGTCATGAAACCAAGCTGACTAAATGAGATTCCGGGTGAAAGTAACCCTGGAAGCCCACAAACCAAAGGGTCTCTTTTTTCTTAAATGAGTGGATTAGAGCTCTCCCAAGACAATTGACTTTGTTTTGCCCCTTGGCTAGCTAGCTGTCACTGTAGCACCCTTAACTATCACTCCACTAGCCACAGGAAGTAACAAAAGAAAAAGTGATGAACTACAAACTTTCTCAGTTTTACTGAGAAGTACCTCAGGAACAGGAGGGTAATCCTCCCGTAGTGTAAACCAAAGCTGACATAAATTAGGTTGCTTCCATGGGGACTGACCGCTAAGAGGACCTGCTTGAAAATGACTTTTCTGAATCACTTTTCTGCTTCTAAGATCTTTGAGCTGTTGATTTCTCAGGGCCAAAGAGAAAAAGTTGGAAGGAAAGAAAAGAGGGGATGGGGAACAGAGACTCATTCTTTTATTCATTTATTGAACAAATATTTATTGTGCACCTATGTGTGGTGCATTTTGTCAAAGCTGATTTTGTATTCCCTTGCACTGGTGCAGAACAATTAGAGAAGAATTCAAAATGCAACTTTACATTCAATAACACACGAAGTAAAAGGGAATACTGAAATACTAGGGGAGAAGAGAGGTAGAAAATGTTTTATTCTACAGTATGTAGTTTTGAGTCACTGAAATTGACATACACTTTCCTGCCTCCATTCCTTTGTTCATGGTAAGCTATCTCTCTAGAAACCTGCATTTATCCATCTTTGCTTATTGAAATTTTGTCTACTTTCAGGGCCTATTTTGCAAGCTAGCTCCTGTGTGGAGCTTTTTCAGATTTTCTCATCTATATATGATTTATATATCATTTGAAGAATGATAATTCCTAGTTGATACTTCTTTATTACTGTGACTTTATTTCATCATATACTATTAATAAAATAGTTTTTTCCTCATAAGCAAATAGTATTAATGTCCTTAAGGACAGGTCACTTTTTGTAAAGATTTGAACGGCCTATATGAAATAAACCATTGACTTGAATGAATTTACCTATGGTTTCTCAGAGTTGTTGCACGATCAATACTAGAAACCAAGGCTCGAGACATCCTGCCCCTTTCTAGGCCCACTCTGTCCCTCTGTTTCGGGGTTGATTTGTAAATTAGCTATTTAACATTACGACCAAAACACTTTTCCAAATGGAGATTTAAATCTATCTCAATATACTAGATGAAATCCAAACTATTTATTCATAGCTCTGTCTTTGGGGAAGAATTAGAAGACTAATTGTTGTAACACGTTATTACCTCAAAGGGATTTTTGAGATTAATTCTGAAATAATGAATAGCCTAAGTTCTAATTTTTGAATAAAAATTTTATTTACAGGCAAATTGTTTAAAATGGTGAAGCAAAAATACTAATAAAGTACTGATTTAAGCTAGAAACAGTCATACAACCTCTTTTTAAAAGATCTGTTTAACCAGACCAGTAGTTCTTAGATCAATAATTCATTGATCAGATTACTCCGTAGTTGTTTACTTGATATACTTAGATAATGGAAATAATTAGAATCATGAAAAATACTTGAGTTGTTTGGTCAATTGCAATTGTGTGATCATTCACTTGACTGCTCAGTCAAGTCCTTATGATATTAGCATAAGTCACCCTATTTTGATTGATTTGAAGAAATTCCAAGTTTTTAATAACAGCACTGCTTTCTTCATAGAATGTATTGTAAACTTTTTGTTTTTGCTTTTTGTTGTCTCCTTAATTAGACTGTAAATTCCAATAATGCAGAGACCTTACCTGTTTTTCTAACTGCTATTCCCCATAGGACATGCACAATAGGTATTCAGTTATTGTTCTGTGAATAAATATGAATGAATTGAGCAAAAATTTGGAAGCTAAAATTTCTAGATAAATTCATTATGTGGTCTAAATCTACTAAACGTGGAGGACAGTTAAAAAGCAAAAAATTCAGCCCATCAGTTAATTGGTATGCCATCCCTCTCCCAAGTAAATCACTGAATTATTTTATTGGATTTTATTTTTTTAGTTCATATCAACCAAGTCCAAGGAGAAATGACCTTCTAGTAAGCCAGGCTGTATCTAATAACATAAATGGCAAGACCTTTTAGAAATTTTAACACAAGCAAGCTGTTTATATAGTCATATAGGAATTTTATGCTTAAAACAAAATCAATATTTCTGTACTTTCAAAATACCATCTTTACCTAGTGTGTGAATCTCCATTACAAGGATTAAGTAAACCAGAATCAATAAACATAAGTAATCACTTATACTGCAAATTGATACTGCAAAGCTATTAAATAGAGAGTTGTTTTACATATATATATGCATATATATATGCATATATATATATATATGCATATATATATGCATATATATATATATATGCATATATATATATATACATAGAGAGAGAGAGAGAGAGAGGATAGTATCATAATAATGAAATGAAAATGGCAACTATCTTCCTTCCTTCCCCCTCCAATCCACACACACACAAAGAATGAACATTAGCTTGGTACATACAGGCTGCTAGGTGAGAAACGTCCCTTTTTTAAAATTAAAATGACATCCTAGATTCTATAGTAGAGGAAAAAATTAGAATATATTTTAAGAAGACAAAATTTCAGACATCTCTGTGATTGTTTATTATCATGCTCTTTCATATGTATGGACTCAGAAAAGTTCATTAAGACAATATTTATATAGGATATCATAAAATAGATACACCAGGCTGGGCCTGATGGCTCACACCTGTAATCCCAGCCCTTTGGGAGGCCGAGATGGGTGGATCACTTGTGCTCAGGAGTTCGAGACCAGCCTGGGCAACATGGTGAAATCCCGTCTCTATAAAAGTGCAAAAATTAGCTGGGCATGGTTGCTCATACTTGTGGTCCCAGCTATTTGGGAAGCTGAGGTGGGAGGATCACTTAAGCCCAGGCGGCAGAGGTTGCAGTGAGCTGAGATTGTGCCACTGCACTCCAGCCCGGGCAATACAGTGAGACCACATCTCAAAAAAAAAAAAAAAAGATACAGCACATTTAATCATTTAATTCCACACTTCAAAATTGTCATCTAATTCTACATGTATAGTGGTGTAGTTTGAATACTATCAATAGAAAATCTAATGAAGAAATTATTAGTAAGCAAGGATTGCATATTTTCTGTTTCTCCAGAACAGAAATTTTTTCTCTTTCTCTTACAGAGAAGAAAAAGAAAGTAAAGCATGAAACTAAAGCATATTCTTTGTTAACAAGAAGGGTACTTCTCAGTATTTCTTTTATGCTGTCTGAATTTCCAAATGTGCCCTTATCATTTTTAGCAAGTGAAAATTGGGAAGAAAAATAGAAATGTAATATGTAATATTATATTTTAATGTGATGTTCTACTTTTCTGTTTGTAGTTATTGAAGTTTTTGTCTTACTTCATTAAACATTTAATAAATCACCACCAGTTTTGTGACAGGTTTTAACCATAACACAAACAGCAGGAGGTGTACACCCAGCTCAGTTCATATAAGCATATAATATCAGTGTCTACATCATCATGCCCTGCAGGCATATTGGCAGAACAACCAATGGGAGGTAAGCTTTTTCTGACAAAGCTTCGAAAATAAAGTTTTCTTCTTTTATCTTACTACAAATCAATTGGAGCCCTTACAGCAAAATCCTATAAAATAACTTCAAACACCACTTCTTAGTCTAAAAATTTGTATTATGGCTATAACTCTTTGAAGTACTATGACTGAACTTTGGAGAAAAATGATTTAAGTGCTATCTGCTAGACATCAGAGCTTCAAAAATTCTCTCAGTTTTTCTTGACACATAAACTGCTACCCACTGTATGTTTTTAGGACTTTTTTTTCTTGCTTTTAACCACCTAACCCAGTTTGCTTGATAAAAGTTATTTAACTGCAGTTTATCCAATTGAATTAATGCTCTTTAAAGGTTCACCAACTTGCAATTGATTATTTTACTTTGTCAAGCTGTTTTTTCTACTCTTACAAGAGTTTGGGATTTGTTTTTGTTTTTTAAAGAACTTTCAGAATTTCAAGCATGTTGACTATAAGTTTAAAAAAAATCACTGGCGAAAATATAAAACTTGGGGTTAAGGGTACATGTGATTCCTGCTTGGAAGTTAAATGTTAGAAAGAGAAAACTAAAAAGTCTTCTGATGAGAAAGTCTCCCTTACACTGAGAGACTGATGAAACCAAAGATGCCTCTTGCAAAGGGCACAAGACTCATCAGGCCTCCACCGGCGAGGGGTGAGAAGGTGTTGTCCAGGATCAAAGTCACTGCATGCTCACCAATGTTCTTCAGAAACTTCAGTCATTTAATTTCTTCAAACAAGACACAGAAAATGCTTAGTTTAAAAAAAAAAAAAAAGAGGATTACATTCAACAAGCTCTTAGTGAATATCTGCCTAATGCAGTTAACTCTAATAGATGCTATGTTGGGTGGGATGTGCTAAAGTGGGAAAAAAAAAAAAAAAAAAAGGCCCTGACCTCAGCAGGTGGACTTTGACTCAAAATCTTTAGTCAACACACAGATTCCTTTGGCTTGTTATCCCATTCTCCCTGAGGGGTATTTTGAGTTGAGTCTCTTTTAAAAGAAATGATACTTTCTGGAGTCCAAAATAAATTAATATAATTAATATAGATTTAAAATTGTCATTTCATATTCATAGAGGAAACAACAACTTTTACTACATTGGTGCTCAAATGCCAGTTGGCAACAAGACAACCAGCTGATACCACTCCTTCCTTCATTGAGAAAGTTGCCGCCAGAAAAATAAATGTCAGCTGAGTTAAGCAACATGCATAGTGATATAGCTGGGTTAAATTCTGGAGCAAGCTCTATATCCCACCTCAGATCAGCAACAAACCGTTTAAGGACTGGCAGCTTGTCTGTGAATCATATCTTAAATAATTCTGCTTTTCACAACCCAGTTTTAATGTATAATCATCTAAACCAAAAGAAAGTGCAAAATCAGAAAATAGACACAAAAGCATAAATTACAGAAGACTAGATGTTGGGGGAAAATTTTAATGAAATATAAGAACTTGAGAAGGAATAGGAAGAACTCTATTTTACACATCCCGGGTAATGAAATAGTACATTTTATCAGTCCTCAGTGGGATGTTACTTAAGAAGGGCATCTTTTGTGATTTACCTAAAGAACAGGCCCAGCACAAAACAGATTCTCCGTTGCTAATTCCTCATGGCACATCTGCTGTCTTCCCTTTCCTCATTGCTCTCCTTGCACACTAAGGCTCAGCTATCCCAAACACCATGGAACAGGGGGTGAAGTCCACACTGCCGCCATTGTTCTACACGTGACCAGCTAAAGGGTCCATGTAGAAAGTCACAAAGAACTGGATAAATATGCTGCAAAATCTGAAAAAAGAGTGCTAAGGAGTGACTGATGTGCAATAAGATCATGCTGTCTTCCATCTCATCAGATGGCAAGACTGAATACACACAAATGTCTCAAAGCCCAGGGAAGCCCAAGCCCACAGAGCTGCTTCAATGGGAGTCTGCGGAAAATATTCATCACATATTAATGTCACCCCTCTTCACTGCTTGAGAACTCATTCCCTGCAGGATTGAGCAACTCGATCAGTTCTCAGAGAGGATCGGCAATATGGATGCTTCTGAGAAATTTAAAAGAGCTAGGCTGCCCTTAAGCCTTCCTGCTGCCCCAGCCTTTGCCCACTTTGCCTTATGGACCAAGTGCTCTGTTGGCCCAACCCTACAGCTACAGCCTTCTTCTTCTGGGGCCCCACATCTGTCATGGAGAGCATTACTAAAAGCAGTGTACTCTGTTAGGGCAAGAGAAAACCTCCAAGCATTAGTATCCTCTTTATGGAGCCTCCTTACCTTTATTAAATAGTTTACTACTGCCTAAATAAATCATGAGGAGTAGTAGGTGGACCTCCTATTACCAGTCTATAATCTACCCAAAATGCTACACTAGGCATTGAACAAAACAAGAATACCAACTGTGGCCTAATACTGGGGTCAGCAAACTTCTTCCTTAAAAAGCAAGATAGAGCCAGGCACAGTGGCTCACACCTATAATCCCAACACTTTGGGAGGCCAAGGCAGGAGAATCACTTGAGGCCAGGAGTTTGAGACCAGCCTGAGCAACATAGCAAGACCTTGGCTCTACTAAATAAAATAAAATAAAATAAAATAAAATAAAATAAAAAAATTAGCCAGGCATGGTGGCATGCACCTGTAGTCCCAGCTACTCAAGAGGCTGAGGCAGGAAGATCACTTAAGTCCAGGTGTTCAAGGTTGCAGCAAGCTATGATTGCCACTGCACTCCAGCCTGAGTGACAGAGCAAGACCCTATCTCAAAAAAAAAAAAATAAATAAAAAGCAAGACAGAAAATGTTTTAAGCTTTGTGTGCCAGACAGTCTCTGACCCAACTACTCAACTCTGCCCTTGTAGCATGCAGGCAATCACAGATAATACTTATGTATGTATTTATATGAATCATATGGCTGTGTTCCAATAATCTTTATTTATGGACTTTGAATTTCATATAATTTTCATGTGTCACAAAACATTAGTTTTCTTTTTATTTTTTCCCACCATTAAAAAATGCACACAGTTCAAAGAGGTAAGTTGGACTACAAAAAATTTTAAAACTTTGGTACATCAAAAGACAAAAATCAACAAAATGAAAGGAAACCTATGGAATGGGAGAAAATATTTGCAAATCATATATCTGATAAGAAATCAATAGACAGAATATATGAAAAATTCCTACAACTCAACAACAACGAACAAAACCCAACAAAAATGGGAGAAAAAAGTTGAATACACATTTCTCCAAAGAAGATACACAAATGGCCAAAAAGCACAGGAGAAGATGCTCAACCTCCCTAGTCACTAAGGAAATGCAAATTTAAAACCACAATGAGATACCACCTTACACCTGTTAATTAAGATCTCTATCAGAAAATCATAAGTATTGGTGAGGATGTGGAGAAACTGAAACACTTCTACACTGTTGGTAGGGATGTAAAATGGTACAGCCACTATGAAAAACGGTATGAGGGTTACTCAAAAAATAAAAATATGCCCCAAAAAATTGAAAGCAAGATCTCAAAGAGGTATTTTTGTACACAGATGTTCAGAGCAGCATTATCCACAATAGCCAAAATGTGGAAACACCCCAAATATCTATCAATAAAGATTACAAATGGATAAACAAAATGTGGTATATACATACAATAGAATATTATTGAGCCTTAAAAAGGAGTAAAATTCTGAAATATGCTAAAACATGTATGTACTCTGAGCACATTTTGCTAAGTGAAATAAGCCAAACACAAAAAGACAAATGCTGTGTGATTCCACTTATATGACGTACCTAGAATAATCAAATTCATAAAGACAGTAAGTAGAATGGCGGTTACTAGGGGCTAGGAGAAAGAGAGAATAGAGAGTTGTTATTTAATGGTGACAGAATTTGGATATTTGTTTCTGCCCAATTCTCATGCTCAAAGGTAATCCTCAATGTTGGAGGTGGGGCCTGGTGGGAGGTGTTTGAGTCTTGAGGGTGTATCCCTCATGGCTTGGTGCTGTCCTCGAGGTCATGAGTGAGTTCTCATGAGATCTGGTTGTTTATAGGGCACCTCTGCCACTCTCTCTTGCTCCTGCTTTTGCCATGTGATGTGCCTGCTCCTCCTTCACCTTCTGCTATGTGTAAAAACTCCCTGAGGCCTCCCTAGAAGCTGAGCAGATGCTGATGCCATGCTTGTACAGCCTGCAGAACTGTGAGCCAATTATCTTTTTTTAATATAAACTATCCAGCCTCAGGTATTTCTTTATAGCAATGCAAGAATGGCTTAACACAAATGGGCATAGAGTTTCAATTCTGCAAGATGAAAAGAGTTCTGGGGATTGGTTGCACAACAATGTGAATGTACTTAACACTACTGAAATGTACACTTGAAATGGTTAAGATGGTAACTTTTATATGTCACGTATGTCTCACTGTAATTAAATACATTTTTTAACGTAAAAGTCATTCTTAGTTCATGAACTATCCAAAAACAGGCGGTGAGCCCACAGGTCATAGTTTGCCAACTCCAGCCTAATGTCTACATAGGTAGCAATTGAGTCCCTAGTTCTTAGTATCTCAACTTTCACACCCACAACTTTATACATATAAATTCATTCACTGATTTTTCATGAATGATGTATGGCATGCTATAAAATAGACACAGATAAAGTACTACAAGAGTTTAGGAGAAGAAAAGATTACACCTCACTAGAGGGGTCGGTAAAGCTGTTGTTGACTTTTGTGGTTCTCCCAAGTGGAAGATCCATTTGAGCTGAGCTTTTGAACAGGTAGTGTTTCGACAGACATAAGTGGAGAGGGAAGGGCAGCATAGACCAAAGAGTCAGCCCAAAGAGAGAAGCATGTGGAGGACCATCAACAATTCAGTGTGAATGGAGCAATACAAGAAATTGGAGATAAAATTAGAAATTTGACTTGGGGTCAGATCAAGAAATACATTAAACAGTCTGGACTCCTTAGGCAATAAAGAAAAAGAAAAGTTTTTTTGCATAGAGACATGGTTGACAAGACGAACATTATATGGTAATACAACTTGTTTATTTCTGTGCACGTTAAATGGAGTAAGAGGAAAGTAGCGAAAGCAGAAGACTAGCTCAATGCCTACTAAAATAGCAGTGACCATGGAGGCCTATAACAGGATAATGACAGGTAAATGGGAAAGAAGTTAAGAGGTTTGAGATATATCAGTTGAAATCTATAGGATTTCACCACTGGCTGGATGTGAGGGATAAAAGAGAAGAAAGAGCAAAGACAATATTAAGATTTTTAACTGTGGAGTTAGGAAGATGATAGTGTTACTAACAAAAATAAGAGACAGAGGTGGAACGCAAGTTTAGGAGGAAAGATGTCAGTTGATTTGGACACACTAATTGTGAGGTAAAGGGAATATCCACATAAAAGTTCACAATGAATAGCAAGAAAGAAAGTTGAGTCAAGATTGGAGGGTCAAGCATAGAAGTAATACTTACAGCAATGCGTATTTGGTGAGGATCTTAAGGAAAGGAATATAGAAAAGAAGGCCAACAATAGAACTTTGTGGAATACTACATTAAAGTGTAGGAAGAAAAGGATCCAGAGAATGAGCTAGAGAAGTGGTTCAGAAAGATGGGCAGGGGGTGGGGGGGGACTAGTATCTGTTGAGTGTCACTACTGTACTGAGGATATTACATGGGATGCCTCACTTTAATCTTTGAGCTAATTCTATCAGGTAGATATTATCCCTTCCTCCTTTTAGAGTGAGAACTGAGACTCAGAAAAGTTAAATATTAATAAAATGCCCCAAGTAACACAATAAGTGGCAGACCTGGTGTTCCCACCCAAGTCCTTAGAAGGAAAAACAGGGGTATATATGTCACTAAAGCAAAAGGGTAGAGATTTTAAAGAATACTATAGTATCAGTGCCACCAAATGCGTGAACACATTAAGTAGAATAAACACTGAAAATAAAAAAACTAAATGGCTATCAGATTTGCTTACTAGGAAGCCAATGAGAGTCTTTGAGAGAGCTGTTTCCTTACCATGTTGGAAACTAAAACTGTATTGAAAATGTTTAAAGAATGAGTGGGTGGTTTGAAAGTGGTGAGCAATGAACAAAAACCTCCTTTAGCCAGAAGTGTAGTGATGAAAAACAGAGGAGATTATATGGAAACTCAAAAGGATTCTTGGATCAGGGAAAGATGTTCTTATTGTTTTCTATTTTGTTTTTTGGTTTTTTTTTTTTCCATTTTCCCCCAATAGAGGAGCTCTGGACACATTTTTAGGCAAAAGAATATGATCAAATAGAGCATTTGGACATAAGAGAGAAGGAGGATAACTCGGCTACATATAACTAAAAAGGCCTAAGATATAGTCAAATAATAGATTTGGAGATTTATAAGCACTAAGTGTAAAAAAAATTTTAATGTAGAAAATCATAGCTTGGTTCAGACCACAAAGTAGTAATCTGTACTTTCCCAGTATGTTTTACTCAACAAAGACTCTCTTTTTAGCAGCTTAATATATGCTGCATAAACTGGTTATTATGAAGCAAGTCACAAGGCTGGAGGGCTCCCACTCCAATTTGACAACACCATCTTGTCTTCACACCACCTGTCACATCTATCAACATTTTAACTAATGTCAGAGTTCTTCTTTTGCTAATGAGCTGCTACACAGAGAAACATTTCTCCTCTCAGTCCGCCAGCTATACAGTATAATGAGGTAGAGTGAAAGGCGTGATCTTCCTCTCAGAAGCCTCTCTTTGCTTGAGAAGACCATCACTGCTCTTTTTCTCTTTTGTCACAGACCCACACGTAGTTATTTGAGGCACTTTTAGATGTATTTTGTTTTGATGTGATTTAAAAAAAACTCTCCTCTATCTAAAGGTCACCCCCAAGGTTGATATTGGTGGTGGCCTGAGAGCTCTCTACGTGGGTGAATAAGTGGCTGTGCTGTATCCAAGCACGTTAGCAGCCTTCCGTCTTCCCAAATACTGCAGTCTCTTTTTCCAAAGTGGTGCCTTTGTAATATTCCTCTCTCTGTAATATTAAAAGTCACATGTTGGTAGTTCTCCAATTACCCTCACCTATATTACCTTATAATTTTGATGTCCTACCTGGAAGCCACCTCTCCCCACCTTCTGCAAAGTTAACTCCTACTTTTTCTTTAAGAGTCAGTTAGGCATTACCTTTTCCAGAAAGTCTTCCCTACGTGCCTAGGCTTAGCTAAGTTTCCCTTCTCTAGGCTTCCATTCTATCTGTGTATGCCTCTATCCCAGCAATTACATCATTATATGGAAATGATTTGGTTTTGCATTTTTTCCTAAACTAGATGGTAATCTCTTTATATGTGAGAATGTATCTCGTATCTTTTATCTTCAGGGTTTTATACCTCAGAAACAACTATAAGTAATAAACATAATGTAAATACATTTCCTTACAGTAACGAATGTCTGGCATTTCCTTCATCAGCTGATATTTCCTGTTAAGTCCCCAGCTACAACAAATTCAGATGAAATGGCAGTTATCATAGATATAAGAAATGGAAAAGACCTACTACATTAGTCTTTCCCAAAATGTGCCCTCAGAACACTGACACTATGATATGGTCACAGGATTCCATCTTCCTACGTGTCCGGGAAACGCTTTATACTCTCCAAATGCTTAGAGATTCACAAGGCACATTGGATTTAAAAGCCTCTAAGCAGTCATACAGTAAAAAAATTTGTTTTACTTTAATTCAGTGTTTCTAAAATTGATTAATTTGACCAATGAATCCTTATTGGGGGCATAGCACCTATTAATATCCCAGAGACTTACTATTCCTTAAAAAATATTATACTTTGAGAAACACTGCATTATTTATCAAAGTCATTATAATTGAGTCATTCACATGAGATGCTGGGAAAGTCAGAGATAGATTCTTCTCGAGAGATGATTTGAGTTCCTCTAACTTGTTTGTTTAGCTATTGCTCATAAAGATTATTTCTGAAACAGACTTGTGGATTTGACTATGAATGTATGAAAGAATGATGACTCTAAAAGACAAAAACTTCAATTTCAGAGAAGAAAACATTTTTGTGGTTAAAGGTTCCTACCACCACATCCCAGGCGTTGTCCAAGTGTTCTGAGAACCCCTGGAAAATGCCTGTATTCTTAATGAAAGCTCTTAACTCTCATCGTTCGTGGTAAGACATCTGGAAACATATCCGTTCTTGGGGATTGTTTATAGATTTGGAGTATTCTCAAGTGCATCCACTACAGACATCCATAATTTCCATGAGGAAATGTTCTACATGATACCAATCCCTGACTCATGAACACATGTGTATACAAATATACATACACATACATGCATTTACATGGTTGCAAATTAGTTATCAAAATTAATATATGCACCTAATGGTATTTAATTTGGCATATCCAAGCATTTTCTCTTTTTTAAATCTAAAATTAGTATCTTCTGTTGAAATCATTCTTTTTTTTCCTTAGGTTATTGGGGTACAGATGGTTTTGGGTTACATGAGTAAGTTCTTTATTGGTGATTTGTGAGATTTTGGTGCACCCACCACCAGAGCAATATACATTGCACCCTATTTGTAGTCTTTTATCCCTGACACCCCTACCCCTCCTCCCTCCAAGTCTCCAAAGTCTACTGTATCATTCTTATTCCTTTGTGTCCTCATAGCTTAGCTCCCATGTATCAATGAGAACGTACAATGTTTGATTTTCCATTCCTGAGTTACTTAAAATAATAGTCTCCAGTCTCATCCAGGTCCCTGCAAATGCCATTAATTCATTCCTTTTTATGTTTAAGTAGTATTCCATTGTATATATACACCACAGTTTCTTTATCCACTTGTTAACTGATCAGCATTTGCGTTGGTTCCACAATTTTGCAATTGTGAATTATGCTGCTATAAACATGCGTGTGCAAGTACGTTTTTCGTATGATGACTTCTTTTCCTCTGGGTAAACAGCCAGTAATGGGATTGCTGGATCAAATGGTAGTTCTACTTTTCATTCTTTAAGGAATCTCCATGTTGTTTTCCATAGTGGCTGTACTAGTTTATGTTCCCACCAGCAGTGTAGAAGTGTTCCCTGATCACTGCATCCATGCCATCTACTGTTTTTTAAATTTTTTGATTATGGCCATTCTTGCAGGAGTAAGATGGTATCACATTGTGGCTTTGATTTGCACCCCTGATCATTAGTGACGTAAACTTCTTTTATATGTTTGTTGGCCATTTGTGTATGTTGTTTTGAGAATTGTCATTCATGTACCTAGCCCACTTTTTGATGGAATTGTTTGTTTTTCTTAGTGATTTCAGTTCATTGTAGATTCTGGATATTAGTCCTTTGTCAGATGTATAGATTGTGAAGATTTTCTCCCACTCTGTGGGTTGTCTATTTACTCTGCTGACTGTTCCTTTTGCCATGCAAAAGCTCTTTAAATAAGGCCCAGCTTTTTATCTTTGTTTTTATTGCATTTGCTTTTGGGTTCTTGGTCATGAAATCCTTGCCTAAGCCAATGTCTAGAAGGGTTTTTCCAATGTTATCTTCTAGAATTTTTGTAGTTTCAGGTCTTAGATTTAAGTCCTTAGTCCATCTTGAGTTGATTTTTGTATAAGGTGAGAGATGAGGATCCACTTTCATTCCCCTATATGTGGCTAACCAATTATCCTAGCACCATTTGTTAAAAAGGGTGTCCCTTCCCCACTTTATGTTTTTGTTTGCTTTGTCGAAGATCATTTGGCTGTATTTGGGCTTCTTTCTGGTTTCACTGTTCTGTTCCATTGTTCTATATGCCTATTTTTATACCAGTACCGTGCTGCTTTGGTGACTATGGCCTTATAGTATAGTTTGAAATCAGGTAGTGTGATGCCTCCAGATTTCTTTTTGCTTAGCCTTGCTTTGTCTATGAGGGTTCTTTTTTGGTTCCATGTGAATTTTAGAATTGTTTTTTCTATTTCTGTGAAGAATGATGGCAGTATTTTGATAGGGATTGTGTTAAATTTGTAGATTACTTTTGGCAGTATGGTCATTTTCACAATATTGATTCTACCTATCCACGAGCACGAGATGTGTTTCCATCTGTTTGTGTCGTCTATGATTTCTTTCAGCAGTGTTTTGTAGTTTTCCTTGTAGAGGTCTTTTGCCTCCTTGGTTAGGTGTATTCCTAAGTATTTTATTTTATTTTATATTTTCTTGCAGCTATTGTAAAAGGGATTGAGTTCTTGATTTGATTCTTCGCTTGGTTGCTGTTGGTGTATAAAAGAGCTACTGATTTGTGTACATTAATCTTGTATCTGGAAACTTTGCTGAATTCTTTCATCAGTTCTAGGAGCTTTCTGGAGGAGTCTTTAGGGTTTTCCAGGTAAACAATCAAATCGCCAGCAAACAGTGACAGTTTGACTTCCTCTTTACCAATTTGGATGCCTTTTATTTCTTTCTCATCTCTGATTGCTCTGGCTAGGACTTCCAGTACTATGTTGAAGAGGAGTGGTGAGAGTGGGCATCCTTGTCTTGATCCAGTTCTCAGAGGGAATGCTTTCAACTTTTCCCCATTGAGTATAATGTTGGCTGTGGGTTTGTCATAGACGGCTTTTATTACATTAAGGTACGTCCCTTGTATGCCAATTTTGCTGAGAGTTTTAATCATAAAAGGATGCTGCATTTTGTTAAATGCTTTTTCTGCATCTATTGAGATGATCAAGTGATTTTTGTTTTTATTTCTGTTTATGTGGTGTATCACATTTATTGACTTGTGTATTTTAAACCATCCCTGCATCCTTGGTATGAAACCAACTTGATCCAGCTGGATTATCTTTTTGGTATGTTGTTGGATTTGGTTAGCTAGTATTTTGTTAAAGATTTTAGCATCTGTGTTCATCAGGGATATCAGTCTGTAGTTTTCTTGTTTGGTTATGTCCTTTCCTGGTTTTGGTATTAGGGTGATGCTGGCTTCATCGAATGAATTAGGGAGATTCCCTCATTCTCTGCCTTGTGGAATAGTGTCAAAAGGATTGGTACCAATTCTTCTTTGAATGTCTGGTAGAATTCTGCTGTGAATCCGTCTGGTCCTGAGCTTTTGTTTCTTGGTAACTTTTTCAATTACCATTTCAATCTCACTGCTTGTTATTGGTCTGTTCAGGATGTCTAATTCTTCCTGATTTAAGCTAGGAGGGTTGTATTTTTCTAGGAATTTATCCACCTTTTCTAGGTTTCCTAGTTTATGTGCATAAAGGTGCTCACAGTAGCCTTGAATGATCTTTTGTATTTCAGTGGTGTCAACTGTAATTTTCTCTCTGCTTTTCTTGGTTAATCTTGCTAATGATCTATCAATTTTATTTATCTCTTCAAAGAACCAGCTTTTTGTTTCATTTATCTTTTGTATTTTTTTTTGTTTCAATTTCATTTAGTTCTGCTCTGATCTTGGTTATGTCCTTTCTTCTGCTGGGTTTGGGTTCGGTTTGTTCCTGTTTCTCTGGTTCCTTGAGGTGTGACCTTAGAATGTCAGTTTGTGCTCGTTCAGTCTTTTTGATGTAGGGATTTAGGGCTATGAACTTTCCTCTTAGCACCGTGTTTCCTGTGTCTCAGAGGTTTTGATAGCTTGTATCATTATTGTCATTCAGTTCGAAGAATTTTTTAATTTCCATCTTGATTTTGTTTTTGACCCCATGCTCATTCAGGAGCAGGTTATTTAATTGCCATGTATTTGCGTGGTTTTGCGAGTTCCTTTGAAGTTAATTTTCAGTTTTATTCCACTGTGGTCTGAGAGAGTGCTTGATATTTCAATTTTCTTAAATTTATTGAGGCTTGTTTTATGTCCTATCACATGGTCTATCTTGGAGAAAGTTCCATGCGCTGTTGAATAGAATGGGTACCCTGCAGTTGTTGGATGGAATGTACTGTATATATCTGTGAAGTCCATTTGTTCCAAGGGATAGTTTAAACCATTGTTTCTTTGTTGACTTTCTGTCTTGATGACCTGTCTAGTGCTGTCAGTGGAGTATTGAAGTCCCTCCCCCACTATTATTTTGTTGCTGTCTATCTCATTTCTTAGGTCCATTAGTAATTGTTTTACAAATTTGGGAGCTCCAGTGTTAGGTGCATATATGTTTAGGATTGTGATATTTTCCTGTTGGACAAGGCCTTTTACCATTATATAGTGTCCCTCTTTGTCTCTTTTAACTGCTGTAGCTTTAAAGTTTGTTTTGTCTGATATAAGAATAGCTATCCCTGCTGACTTTTGGTGTCCATTTGCATGAAATGCCTTTTTCCACCCCTTACTTTAAGTTTATGTGAGTCCTTACGTGTTAGGTGAGTCTCCTGAAGACAGTAGACAGTTGATTGGTGAGTTCTTATCCATTCTGCAGTTCTGAATGTTTTATGTGGAGCACTTAGGCCATTTACATTCAATGTTAGTATTGAGATGTGAGGTACTGTTTGCTACATTGTGCTATTTGTTGCCCATGTAGCTTGCTTTTTTAGTTTTAGTTTTTGCTTTTTAACTTGTATTTTTGTTTTACAGGTCCTGTGTGATTTATGCTTTAAAGAGATTCTGCTTTGATTGTTTCCAGGATTTGTTTCAAGATTTAGAGCTCCTTTTAGCAGTTCTTGTAGTGGTGGTTTGGTGGTGGCAAATTCTCTCAGCATTTGTTTGTCTGGAAAAGACTGTATCTTTCCTTCATATATGATGTTTGGTTTCACTGGATACAAAATTCTTGGCTGATAATTGTTTTGTTTGAGGAGGCAGAGGATAGGGCCCCAATCCCTTCCAGCTTGTAAGGTTTCTGCTGAGAAATCTGCTGTTAATCTGATAAGTTTTCCTTTATAGGTTACACGGTTCTTTTGTCTCACAGCTCTTAAGATTCTTTCCTTCGTCTTAACTTTAGATAACCTGATGACAATATGCCAAGGTGATGATCTTTTGCAATGAATTTCCCGGAGTGTTCTTTGTGCTTCTTGTATTTGGATGTCTAGGTCTCTAGCAAGGACAGGGAATTTTTCCTCAATTATTACCTCAAACATGCTTTCCAAACTTTTAGACTTCTCTTCTTCCTTAGGAATACTGATTATTCTTAGGTTTGGTCATTTAACATAATCCCAGACTTCTTGGAGGCTTTGTTCATATTTTCTTATTCTTTTTTCTTTGTCTTTGTTGGACTGGGTTAATTCTAAGGCCTTGTCTTCGAGCTCTGAATTTCTTTCTTCTACTTGTTCAATTCTATTGCTGAGTCTTACCACAGTATTTTACATTTCTATAAGTGTGTCCAATGTTTCCTGAAGTTTTGATTGTTTTTTCTTTATGCTATCTATTTCCTTGAATATTTCTCCCTTCACTTCTTGTATTTTTTTTCTTTTTTTTTTTTTTGGATTTCCTTGCATTGGGCTTCGCCTTTCTCTGGTGCCTTCCTGATTAGCTTAACAGCTAACCTCCTGAATTCTTTTTCAGGTAAATCAGGGATTTCCTCTTGGTTTGGATCCATTGCTGGTGAGCTAATGTGATTTTGGGGCGGTGGTAAAGAGCACTGTTTTGTCATATTACTAGAGTTGGTTTTCTGGTTCCTTCTTATTTGGTAGGCTCTGTTAGAGGGAAGGTCTAGGGCTGAAGGCTGTTGTTCAGATTCCTTTGTCCCTTAGGGCATTCCCTTGATGTAATCTCCCCCTTTTCCTATGGATGTGGCTTCCTGTGAGCTGAGCTGCAGTGATTATTGTCTTTCTTCTGGGTCTAGCCACCCAGCAAGTCTACCAGGCTCCGGGCTGGTACTGGGGCTTGTCTGCACAGAGTCCTGTGATGTGAACTGTCTATGGGTCTCTCAGCTGTGGATACCAGCACCTATTCCAGTGGGGGTGGCAGGGAGTGAAATGGACTCTGTGAGGGTTCTTAGCTTTGGTGGTTTAATGTTCTATTTTTGTGCTGGTTGGCCTCTTGCTGGGAGGTGGCATTTTCCAGAGAGCATCAGCTGTGGTAATATGGAGAGGAACTGGCAATGGGCAGAGCCCTAGAATTCCCAAGAGCATATGCCTTTTGTCTTCAGCTACCAGGGTGGGTAGGGAAGGTCCATCAGGTGGCAGCAGGTCTAGGCATGTCTGAGCTCCTACTCTCCTTGGGAGGGTCTTGCTGCAGCTGCTGGGGGGATGGAGGTGAGGTTCCCAGGTCAATGATGTTGTGTACCTAGGAGGATTATGGCTGCCTCTGCTGAGTCATGCAGGTTGTCAGGGAAGTGGGGGAAAGCTGGTGGTCCCAGGCCTCACCCAGCTCTCACACAATCCAAAGGGCCGGTCTCACTCCCACCGTGCCCCCCTAACAGCCCCAAGTCTGTTTCCAAGCAGTGAGTGAGCGGGGCTTGAGAACTTGCCCCAGGCCACCTGCCTCCCAGCTGCAAAAGAAAAGGGCTTGGTTCTTCCCCCACCTGTGGAGTCTGCACACTGGATTTGCGCCCTCCCCCGAGTTCTGGCCAGGAGGCTTCTCACCGGTTCCAACTGTTATAAAGTTCAGCTGGAGACTTCCTTCTCCCTGTGGTGTTTCCCCTCTCCCCGATACCCGCAGCTCTGACCACCCTCCTGATGGATCCCTGTGGTGCTAGGCAGGAATGGCCTGCCTGGGGACAGAGCGAGCTCCCAGGGCCTTTCCCACTGCTTTCTCTGCCCCTGTATTTCGTTCAGCTCTCTAAATTGACTCAGCTCCAGGTAAGGTCGGAATCTTCTCTGGCACACAGACCTTCAGTTTCCCCAGTGGAAGTGTGTGTTCGGGAGAGGAGAATCTCCCTTTCCCACTTCCATAGTTTGGGCACTCACAGTATTTGGGGTGTCTTCTTTGACTTCTTTCTTGAGTTAAACTGTGAGCCCCTTCAGGGGAGAGATTTTTGCTTACTTAAACTTTTAACCAAATCTCAGTGTGTATTTCATTAAACTGACATTTAAAATTTCACATCTATGTTCTATCTGCCCTCCTGGAATAACTTTTTTTGAGATCAGTGATTGTGCCTTACCCGACTTTTTGTCCCCATCACTTACTACAATGTCTGATTCTGAGAAGATGAATAAATACTTTTGAATGAATAAATGAGTGAATGAACGAATGGAGTGAAATTTACAATCTAGTGCAGTAGCTTCTCACTTCACTATGCTTGTGAAGGATAGTTCAGTAGATAGACACACAAATAAATCTAATATAAAGAAGACTACAACAATACCACTATATTGTTAATAAAGGGAACCATTGAATGTGATAATAGAAAGAAAAAGTGCTAAACAAAAAGCAAGTATTAGGACAGGTGAGATTTAATTAGATCAGGCAGATCTCAGAAGACTTCATGGAGAAGGTAACAAGACCTTTGGGAAGAGTCAAATTTCAACAAGCAAAGATGGTGCAGAGGCATTAAGACAGAAAAGAATGGAACATTTGCATTTGGAAGAAGAGGAGGAGAGGTAAAAGGGAAGTTATGGCTAAATCACACTAGGGGAGAATATGAAAAGAGGCAGAAGTGTGCTCAGATACAGTAAAAAGCAATATTCTGATTTGATTATTAAGGACTTTAAATGCCAGTGGATTAAAAGCAGAATGGAATTTTTCCTGATGTCTGTGAGTTTCAGCTAACAGCCTAAAGCTAAGAATAACAGGTAATAAACATGCCACATTTTAAAGTGTGGTGCTAGATGTGTTGACGTAAAACTTATTCAGAGCCAGCCAAACTTTGTCGCCATCATCAGTCTATATATAACAGCTAGATATTTATTGAGAAGAAGCTTCTTCAAAGGGAAGAAATTAACATAAGTAGGGAATGCTGTGGCATAATCTCTCCCCATCCACACCAATCTCAAGCCAGGTGAAGGAGACCCCAAGAGAACACTTGCAAGGCCTGGAATTACTTGCTAGAGAAAAGATTTTATTCTCAAACTCAAGCCTGATGCTTGCTTTAGAGACAGAAATTGGTAGGCCTTCCCAGTGCTACTACCAGAGCAGGACTCAAAAAGTTCCTGGGCAAGTCTCATGCATGTGTTCAGGAGTAAAGGGATCAAATGACGAAGACAGATGCTGGTGCCTAGCAATGTAGGCAGGACAAGAAGGGAGGACTCAGTGGCTAACCTCCCTCAAATAAGCCCATCTGGTAGGGAAAGAATGGGTGTATTTTGTCATGGGCCACATGGATGCTAAAGAAGGTAACCTACCTCCAGTCATCTCTAATGGACCATTCCCCAAAAGAGGTCCCTGCTAGGGAGAGGAGTCCCAGGTAAAAGTGACAGAAAATCTATCATGGAAAGACAGGAACTGAGGTGGATGAGCATTTCCTGAGTCATGGAACAGAGCAAAGCAGAGGGCCACACAGCATGTCCCAAAGAGCACATCTAGAGATCGAGTTAACATTAGGATTATTCCATAGAGAGCTACAAATACTGCACTTTTTCTCTCTCCCTTCTTTTCTGACCACAACTTGAAGGATCTAAAGGGGAAGGGAAAAATCTGAAAAAAAAAAAAAAAAAAAAAAAAAAAAAAAAAAAAAAAAAAAAAAAGAAAGGCTATGACCCCACCTCCACCTTCCTCCCAGACCTTAGCTTTGAATTAAACAGGAAACAGAAATTTTGTTATGCTGGACTGGAATTATTAATACTGAAAAAAATCTCTTTTCTAATACCTAAAAGTGACAGAAAGCAATGGAATCGTCCCAAAATATCATCAAGGATAATATTGATGGTAGAAAAAAATAAAGCTATTTTCTCGTTATGGTTCCAGCTCATGTAAAATGCTAGTTATATCAGGGTGAGTAGTTTGGAATTGTTCTGCTTGTGAAGGATAGGTTTTTTTTAAGGGAAAAAAAAAAATGCTATGACCTGATTTGTGCATTAGAGACACCCTTCATGACCATGCGAAGATGACTGAAAGAATGACCAATCGCTACTATGTCAGGGCTTCATAGACTTCAATTGTACCATGAAATTTCCCCATATGGTAAAAGTAGGATGGCTTTGGGAAAAAGGAATATATTTTTCCTCTTCATACTAATTCCCCAAACAGAGTAGGATGAAAAGTCACTGTTAAACCATTGTAAATACCCAGAAAAAAATATTAAACCTGACTATTGAACTTTAGTGGACTCATGAGCATATCTGCTTAAGATGTGGAAATCCTATCTTTCAGACTGAGTGTCTCTTTTTTTAATCATTTGTTTGTGCATCCTGAAAGTACTTTGTACTTGAAAGTATCTTTTTCAAAAGATACTTTCAAGAGAAAATGGTTTAGTTGACACATATTAGCAAAGACCAGATGCATCCACAGGTTTACCTATAGAGCTACTCCCTTCACCACAAGGCCTCTGTTCTCCTGTTTAAGGGCCTAATGTGCAGAATAGAGTAATGCAGATAGTAAGTAGACTCTTTGGTCCTTTTCACCAACGTTACTAAGATATAAAAATAAGACTTAGACAATGCAATAGGGAATTTGATATATTTAGATGGTCACAAGCCGAATTTTGCTCGTCACTGCTATAAAGAGGTGAGGAAAAGCTTTTTAAAAAACTGTTTTTAAGATGCAAGGTGTAGGGAGTTAAGATCATCCCTATAACTTGCTAAAACTGATTCTAACAATACACAGTGCCACTTTCAACCTGTTGGGCTCTTATGCAACCTTATCATCACTGACAATGAGAGCTGGGTCAGGACCAATAAACTTTATTCCAAACCTATATTTGCAGTGCCTTCCCAAGTTCTCCAGGGCCCATTAGCCCCAACCTTCTTCCTAAAAACTAGATCATGTGGGCCTGGTGGTTAGTTGGTACCCACACTTAGTGGTCTCTCTCTTTTTTTTTCTTCTCTCCATCAGTCCTCTTTTGATCTAAATTGCAGAATCTCTCCTTTTTATCTTACAACCCCAATGCCACAAGGAACAAATTTTCTGGATAACATTACGTAAAATATAATAGAATTTATATTTGTCTTCAAAATACACAATCAAGGAGATTAGAGGCAGACGTTCATAATGATTGCTTTAAAAATTGAGAAATGAAGAAAAAATAAATGACTGTTTACTGCTGTACCATTTCAGAATAGACTAGACGTGACAAATTGAGGTACTGCACCAGACCTGTGTTAGGAATTATCAGGTGAGGTGAGTTTTTCTATGGCAGCCTGGCAATTGTTGGTGTTGGTTATGAAACAAGAAGCTTATATGAAGCTTACATAGAAGCTTAATTTGCTATACAGTACTCTTGTTGTCTTGTGCTATTCTGGCCTTGGCTATCATTTCTGCTACGAACTGGTTTTTGCTTGCCTCACTTCTGACTTGAAAAGCCTGATGCATTCAGGGTGTTATTGGTTAGAAGCAAGGCAGCAAACTAGAAACCAGGCAAGTATTCAGACAGACGTGAGTACCAGTTCCTACTGTGTTCTTCCTCTAGGTTGTAGTGCTGTTTGTGTTATTAATATTTTAAAAGTTCAGGATATTAAAATAAAATCCAGAATCCTGGTTTTGGGTTGGCCCTGTTTTGAATCATTTGAGCCATAACTTTCCGTTGAACTGTCCACTGTCAGTTGTGAATGGAGCATGATTTTCAGAGATAAGATAAACCAATTAATATCTATGAGATGCTCAGAGGTACAAAAGAAGGACTTTAGAGATTTTATTCTAGCATTAAGTAAAATAAAAAAATAAAATTAGATACCAGCATCATTTCCTTTGGTATTGGCCTTAAACTCTGCATAACTACTTAACCAGAGAATCAGAGGAAATTTTAGATTTTGATAGTCTTTTGATCCTTGATCATATGGGCACATTTTTATAAAGCAGATAACACAAAAAATTCAAACATCAGTAAATCTTCTTAACACATCATCCCTCCAAACAAGTAAAAGTAGAGTTTTGAAATCTAGCACAACAGTGTGGCTAAAGAAAGTGGTCATGTCATGCTACCATGACATTCAATTAAGGACCAGCAGTTCTTAAAGAACTGTCAGTGATCAGTAAATATTATTTCCCTTTCCATACTTTCCACCACTGTTGTCTAATTTTCTAGTCTGATTTGCTATTTTTGTCTTTCCTGTATATTTGGTCATTCAGTATTGAGAGTGCCAGGTGCTGTCCTAATTCCTGGAGATACAGTGCCAAATATGAGGGGCATCACCCTCACCAGCACAGTGTTTTTATTTTAGAGGGGAAGCAGACAACAAACATGTAATAATTAAATATGACAACTTCCGGGTGTGACACCTGCTATGAAACTAATAAAAGAGGCCAATGTAATAGGGAGGAAATATGCTCTGAAATGGTGCCATCAGGAGCGACAATGAAAGAAGGGGTTTGGACTCTCTTGTTTCCTGATAAACCCATGGTGCCTAGAACTGGTAACTAGTAAATCCTCCGTAAATATTTGTTGAGTGAATGAGTGAAAGAACAGAGGGAAGAGTGCACAGGTATTAAATGTATACGAGAGCAGAGGAGCCGGCAAAGGCAAGAACACTGAATTGGATGTTAGAGAAATGGAAGGCCAATATGGCTTTAGTAGAATGAGCAAAGAAAGAAATGGCAGGAGATAATGTAGGAGAGGGAGGCAGGGGCCAGATCATGGTTTTTGTCAGATACTAACCCCTAGGTTAATTAGCAAATCATCTCATGAAGAAGGTTCCCTCTGCAGAGGGCTGACCTGAACCTGTTTCCAAATTCTCAGAGAGTATCTTCTCCTTTGTGCTGTCTCCAACACAGAGATTCCTTCAACTTCAGGGTCTTCACACAAGCTCCAGTCTCTGCCTTCAAGCCCTTCCCCCAAATGTACCTTACTACCTCTCACTCATCCCTCAAGTTCTCTCTTACCCATGTCTTATCCCCCAACCTCAATCCCATCCCTCTCTGATAACTCCTCCCTGTACCCATTGCTTTCCCTTCAATACACTTGTCAATTTTTAACTTGTACGATATTGTCTGTCTCCCCACTAAACTGAAAGCACAACGAGGGCAGAAACTGTGTCTATTTGTTCATGGTAGGAACTCCGTACATATTTCCTGAATGAATAAATTAATTCCCACCTGACTTCAAGTAAAAGGACTGGAGGAAACCTGCTTAAAATTTTCTTATTTTTGGATTCAGTAACAGTTAACTTCATAGTCTCTGACCTTACGATGAATGTTGTCTAGAATAAGGCAAAAGAAGGCAAATGTGCTCGGCTGTCTTCCTGACTTTGGGCAAATCATTTAACCTGGCTTGTGCCTGGGTGTGGGAGGGGAAAAATAGCCTCAATCCTGCAACACATGTTTCAGGGGAAGGAAGGACAGGGAATAAGGAGGGAGGCAGAGAGAAAGAAAAGCCTACAGTTCTCTAGGATTTGTAAGTAGCATGTCCGCTATATCTCAAAATAATAACCACAAATTATACAGGCTTATTTGTATCTAGAGGCCATTTTAGGAAGCTGGTTTTATTTCCCTTTTCAGAGCAAATCTAAAAGAGCAAATGCATGTGAAGGAAGGTGCCTTTAGTTGAAATAAAGGTCAGCCACAAACAGAAAGATGCATTGACAACTTAATCATTGCTTTTTAGGATAACGGTTTTTAATTAAATATTTAAAATTGAGAGGGAGTCATAGGGAAGCAGTTTACATGTGTATTTTTTTCTGACATCAATACTGCCATTGATGAGCAGATCCAATTTAGTTTCACTGTGAGAGAGCAGACAATGGTCAGTTTTCCTCCAGCTGGCTTATTTTACAAGCATTAATGAACAATTAACCAACACTGGCACTCTTTCCATCTGTAATCCTGTAGTAGGATCACTAATCTCTACCACTAGCAGCTAATGATGAAGGTCTCTTAAGCTTTACTTCTTATCTCAGCCAGTTCTTAATACTTGCATAAGTATGCTTTCTGAGGAGGGGGCCCCCTACTGCTATGCAACTGGAGAACAAAAGCCCAGAGACATTTCTGAAGGGGTTTCTGTTCAATAACACTTCTATGCTTATGTTTGCCTTCCTCCTACAACAAACACCAGTGATCAGCAGAGGGCTCTGGAGGTCACGGAGGGCTCTGTGTTTCCATACTTCTAATACTTATAAGAATGTATTCAGACTGCATTATACACACCCCCACCCGCAACTGCACCGGCAGACTCCCCAAAAGTGGGGAGGGAAATGTGGACTAAATAGAATCAAACAGTATTTTTCTCCATGAGTCAGCTTTGATTTGGTATTGAATAATACTGAGTTTGAAACCACATTGTCATTAAAAATGTATATACGAGAGGCAGATTTATCTAGAAAACCCCACACAGGATGGGTCTTCATTTTTCTGAATTTAATGCAACTTATATTCAATTGTCTCTCTCTGGTGGGGCAGAAACCAATCCACCATTTCATTAGAGCTCCTCTGTAGGGTCAAGATTTAAAGAAAATGCAGGGTCAAGATTAAAAAAAAATTCAACCGTAGAGGGGCATGACTGTAGGATAATAGCGTAGGCTGAAATGACACCGTTTTCATTCAAAACTACTTTTGAGACTCTTACAACTTGCTGGGAAAGTTATTATTTTAAGGAAAATTGTGCGCAAAATTTGATTCCAAGACTAAAATATTAGAAAAGGTTGCACAAGCACAAATTCTGCTGGATTTGAGTATTGGGATAGAAGGAAGCAGTGGCGAAGGCGACAGTCGGGGCCTGAATAGGAGGCTTTTGCATCCAAATACTATAGCAAAGCAAACAGCACAGGCTCAAACAGGGCCCAAATCTCAGACATGGCATTTTCTGCAGTTTGTGGTCCTCAGAACGTTTTAGCACATTGTAAACGATGTTGATCTGGAAGCAGCAAAACGACCAGGGTTAGGTTGAAAGTGCTGTGGGTTCCAAGTGACTGAGCACTGCAGGGGGCGTCTGAATGGAATAAGTGCTAGGACATCTACTACCTTGACAGAGGAGTAGGAGTATGAGAGCGGAGGTGGACAGCAATCTGACGCTAGACACCATTTCTTGAACTTTACCCTTCCAAAGTTTCTAACTACTCTCATCACCTTCAATGTACTGCAATTTGGGGACTTGAAGATGTCTGATGCTCTAAATAAATAAATAAAA
This sequence comes from Homo sapiens, assembly GCF_000001405.40. Lineage (NCBI taxonomy): Eukaryota > Metazoa > Chordata > Mammalia > Primates > Hominidae > Homo > Homo sapiens. Next base: position 90,502,615 of record NC_000001.11, read on the forward strand.
TGTTAAACTATTCTGCAACATTTACCCAAAGTGAAATGAATCTTTCCCACAAATCACCTCAGTTTTTTATTTATCCATTTAGAATACTGAAATACTGTTTTTTTCTTCTAACATTCAGAGCTTCCTGCAATGGAAAAATGGCTTAGTAGACAGAGCCTTGGACTAAAGGTTTGGAAGTTGAGTCCTATTCACACACAGCTACTGACCCCTTGTGTGATCTTATACAAGTCACTTAACCTCTCTGCCCTTCTGCTTCCTCATTCATTCCACAGAGACAATGCTACCTGCCCCTCCCTACCTCTGTGGAGCTGTGAGAGTGAATGAGCTGTGTCTGCAAAGCATTTGAAAATGCCATTGGTTAGCGCTAGGCTCAAATGGTGTAAAATGTTGTAAAAGACCTGCAGTGAGATAACACACACAATGAAAATAAGGATAGATTATAAGACAGGGAAACATGGAGGTCAGGAGCATTTGCCACTAAAAATTTAGTCAACATGAGCTTTGAAAGTGATTCTCAGTGACAGGTTATTTACTTTATTTGCTCTTTATGAATCACCGGGCTGATCTAATTAATTTAAGTGAGGGTTTGGGCAGGAGGAGTGAAGTTTAAAAGGGGATAAATAAAATTGTGATATCCTGTGAATCTCAGATTGTTGCTTATTAACTCCCAATTAGGAATAATTCATTCAAGGTTATCTACTATTTTCATTCTCAGAAATGTTTTCTCCTTTTTTTCACATTCCAATTAAAGTCTCACCCACCTGCCCTTTCAAGGAATCTATAACAATCTCAGCCTATACACACGCACACACACACACACACATTTATATATATCACACATTTCCTAGAACAACACTGGACACAGGGAAAAAGTTTAATAAGCAGTTATGACAATGTGGTAAAAAGAACTTTGCATAAAAAGTCAGTTCCTTGAACACACCAACTATTTTCTGCCTCAGGACCTTTGCAGATGCTGTTCCTTATGCCCAGCACTGGCTCTGTCCCCACCCTACCCTCACCCCATCCCACCTCCTCCGTTTCAATAGCTGTCTGTTTCTAGTCTTCTGGTCTCATCGTGAATACAACCTAGTCACTGAGACCTACTCTGACCACCCAATATAAAGCAGCCCCTCAGCTCCACTGTTCTCTCACACATGCTATTCTTCCTTTTTATTAGCAATCATTACAGTTCTTAATTTTGTATTTATTTTATTATTTCATTATTATCTCTTCACTACTACAGCATACGCACCTTTCTCCTTTAATACTAGAGGCTTGCTTTGCTCACCACTTTTCAGTAAGTATTTGTTGAACTAATTAATTAATGATGTCACCTAATGCGTAAGACACCAATACACCAATATTGCCCAGCACTTTTTTGGCTGCCCTCATTGTTCTCCCTGAGGTAAAAAGGGTCTTTTCTTTTTTTAACCAATGTTGCAACTCTTTTATCAAGATCCGCCAAAAGGGGCCCAATATGTTTGATATTTTACAGTACTTTCTATGTTGACTTATTTTTTAATCAAACATACTCAGTTTCTTATCTCCCCTTCTCTCAAATTTGGGGCAAAGGCCTACAGGCTGGAGGGAAAACAATGAAGTAATGCATATATTGTGTCCAGAGGATCCCACCCCATAGAAATGCAACCAGTGTTCTAGGACAGAGCCCAGGCACTTCATTGTCCTGAGTCTGTTTGTCCCTTAACCACCAAGACCTTCCTGAGAAACTGAAAGTGGTCTTTCCTCCCAGCCCCTTGTTTCCCATGCCTTGGTATGAGGGACAAATTGATAGTTCCACTCTAACTTTTTCTTGACTTTTTGGAGATCTATTAGGTTTTCAATAAATGGCACCCTCTTCACCTCAGATTCCCCAAGATAAGCATGAGATTAGTATCTGTTCTGGGACCCTTGATATTTGGTAATAAAGTAACACATCCACCTCACAAGGTTTAATAACCAAATGAAATAATAGCATTCTGTAAACTGGTAAGTGCTACACAAATGTTACCTTTTATTACTATGACACAATACCACAAGCATGGTAGAAACATTAGACATGCATGGCTTACGACTGCTGTGGGCTGGCAAACATAAACAAGATTTATAAAAAGATAAGGAGATGGGATCAGACAGGGTATTTAGTGCTGTAAGTAACAGAAAACTTAGCTAAAGGATGTGTAAACATAACATAAAGTCCTGAGGTAGGGGGAGGCTCCAAGGTTGATTAATTTGTGGCTAAATTATACCATCAAGGACCCATGTTTTTCTTTCTGCTCTGCCATCCTTGGCATGTGGGCAAGCAATCCTCAAGACCACGTTTGCAGGTATTACATCTTCACACAGAATATCCAGAATTCCTCAACAGATTTTCTTTCATATTCCATTGTCTAGAACTAGATTAAATAGGCAGCCCTAAACAAATCACTTGCTTGGAAGTAGATTTATCATGGCTAGCCTGGACCAATCAAGATAAATCCCACTGCAACTGGAGGTGAAAGCCACTTCAGCCAGGGCACAGAGAAAGTGGACACCTACACGAAAAGTGAAAAAGTGCATTTTGAGTAGTCAGCCTGCTGAACTTTTATCTAGTTTCCAAATTTTCCACATTGAATTTATTTGACAGTCACAAAGAAGTTACTTTTTTAAAAAAAGTTCAAACACATAAATGCATAAGTGACTACAACTGGAAAAATGTGCAAATAAATATTTCTATCTTTCTTCAGTCTCACCATCATCCTTAGTCTACCCTGGTTAGCTGGCCACACTCACATTCAAAGAGCTTTAGCAGCATTTAACCTCTACATAGCTATTGCTTTTTTGTATGTAGTGCCATATACAATACCAGCTTAAGAAAACACAGGGCCTGGAATTTAACCAGAATCCATATTTCCAAATTTGATGGAGAAGACTGTGGACTCCTTGTTGCATCTTTCTTATGGTACACATCACACTTTTCTTTGAATTATATAGCTACTAGATTATAGCAACTCTTAAGTCAGAGTCTACAATTTAGTCATCTTTGTATTTGCTGAGGCATTTAGCACAATGCCTTGGACATAATATCTCATAATTTTCTCAACAAATATCTCTTTAAGTGAAAGTAATCCACCAATTAATAAATTAATGTATTAATAAATCAACTGATTTTTTGATTGTACACATGCCCTAGGAAAAGTGCTAGGCCATGTTTTAATACATACACACACAAGGAAGGTAAAGTGTCCCTGCTTTCAAGAAACTTTCAACCTCACGGTGAAGGAAAAGCTATCGCACATAAGCCAAATAAGTGCTACACTGTGTCATATTGCTATAACTAAAATAGAAATTCAGAGAAGAGAAAGACAAGCACAGACCATGCTGCAAAGCAATTCCAGCAAAGCATCTGCTCTCTAACCACAGACCATGACCTCATAGGCTACCCACCAGGCTTCTCCCATCCAATCTGACATGTTCTGCTCCAGTTCAATCCACTTAGTCAACCAATCTATTGAGCCCATATACTTAATTGTTCCCATACAAGAAAACCTGTAATTGTCTACTAAAATTTTAAAAATAAGCAAAACATATGCCTATATCTATACTTATTTAAGTCTACTGAGTCTAGGGGTGGTTCTTGAGAGAAGACTGGATACATTCCAGGTTATTCCAAAAGTTCAAATCTACTGTTACCTAGACAAATCTCCTCCCTTTAATTTGAGAATTTCTCCTTATCTCATCCTTTCATTGATCTAGCTAACCACTCATAAATTCCATAAATAGGAGATTTCAGTTTAGAAAGAGAAACAAAATATGTGTATCCATAATCAAAATAAAGAAGGAAGGTGTTAATTGCCTTAGGAGAGGGCAGATGAAGTGCTATGAAATCGCTTCTAGGCAGAAGAGGTCAACAAGTGCTCCATCAACAAGAAAGAAATGAGCTGGCCCTTCAAGGTAGATGGGAATGAGACATATAGACATGATGGGGAAACAGCATTATCAAAGCCATAGAGAAGATTTTTTAAATTATATATATATATATATACACATACATATACAAAAGCATACACACAGAAGAGTTAGGATAGCTTAATCTGATGGGAGGACAGGATGCTGGAGTTAAAGATATAAATGTAAACTTGAAACATAGTATAGAGGGAATTGGATCTAATTGTGGGGATAGGAGAGAGCCAGTGAAAGTTTCTGAGAAGGGGAAGTGCCTTGCTATCACCCAGACATCAGCTACTTTTGTTGAGTAAGAGGACTGCCTACTAACTAAGTCTCTTAGTTAACAGTTTTATTAATTCTGACTATTCAGAATAGGTATATCCACTAAGTACACCTACAAGGGATACCTTCCATTTTTATTTCCAACATCTACCTTTCCCTTAGAAAAGAGTTTTATTGCTTGTGCTATGGTAGTCCTGGAATGTTCCCACTCTGTCTTGGCTGTGTCATGCCATCAACCTAAAAATAGATGTTAATTAACAAGGTTATTTCTAACTTGCATTGTTAAAAGAGAGAAAAACAGTGATGAAACACAGAAAGAGTATCAAATTAACCAAGGCTGGAACCAAATTCTAATTCAAAATTCCCACCTCAAAGATATTCAATTCACTAAATAGTCTCTTTTTTTCTGAATCAGATAGTCATTATCCAAATTTCCTATCCCCAATGTGATAATATAGTGTGATGAGACATGCCCCAACAGAACATAAATTGACTTTTGGAGCATAGATGCTACATAGAGTGTGTGGGTGGTAACGCAAATATCTCACTCTATTATCTGTTGTCTCTGAACCAACAGATTACATGGTTCACTGAGTAGCTGAATAACTTTTAGACAGTTTGCTCATGTCTATTTACACATATTCCACAGAAATATATTAACGACTAAGAAACCATTGTAAAAACTATATGGCGAGATGGATAGACGAGAACATCAATCACTCCGTGTACATTTCTGTAGAGAAGACAAAAGTTTTACATGGCAAAGGTAATGGGGAAAAACATACATATGCATATTTGTATGTTGTGGCCACTACAAGGTGTAAATTCCATACAGTAATAGAGGCAGTCCAAGAAAACATGTCACATAATCTTCTAGAGACTTTCATCTATCTGGGATATGTGTTATATATTTTTACAGTGACGGGTTTAAGATTTATGTTTGTGCTCTAAAATAATTTACTGGGCAAATGTATTTTTAATAAGAAAGGCATGATTCATGTTCATTTAATAATCATAGAAATAATAGAAGTTTTCTGATTTACACTTTTTAAATATTTGATTTGATTTGATTTGAAGTTCTTGGGTACATGTGCAGGATGTGCAGGTTTGTTACATAGGTAAACATGTGCCATGGTGGTTTGCTGCACCTATCAACCCATCACCTAGGTATTAAGCCTCAGATGCATTAGCTATTTATCCTGATGCTCTCCCTCCCTCACTCCCCAACAGGCCCCAGTGTGTGTTGTTCCCTTCCCTGGGTCCATGTGTTCTCATTGTTCAGCTCCACTTATAAATGAGAACATGTGGTGTTTCATTTGATTTACACTTTTTTTGAGACAGAGTCTTTATATGTTGCCCAGGCTGGTCTGGAACTTTTGGGTTCAAGCAATCCTTATACCTCAGGCTCCTGAGTCGCTGGAACTACAGGCATGTGCCATAGCACCCAGCTACACTTTTTCTGTACTGGGGTGCACTGAGTAACGTAAGGGACTGCACTGTGATGCAGTAAGTAAGAGGGAACTGTACTGTGATACAGTAGGTAAGATAGGGGATGGCACTATGATGCAGGAGGTAAGATTAGGGAATTGCACTATGATACAGTAGGTAAGATAGGGGACTGCGCTATGAGGCAGCAGGTAAGGGGGACTACATTGTGATGCAGAAGGTAAGATAAAGGACTACACTCTAATACAGTGGATAAGATAGGGGACTGCACTGTGATGTACTGAGAAAGACAGAAGACTGCACTGTGATGCAGAGGGTAAGGTAGTGGACTGCACTGTGATGCACTGGGGTAAGATAGGGGACTGCATTGTGATACAGTGGGTAACATAGGAGACTGCACTGTGATGCAGGGGGTAAGATAAAGGATTGTATAGTGTTGCAGAGGGTAAGGTAGGGGACTGCACTGTGATGCAGTGGGGAAGATAGGGGACTGCACTGTGATGCAGGGAGTAAGATAGGGGACTGCACTTTAATACAGTGGGTAAGCTAAGGTACTGTCATTTGCCATAGTAAGACAGAGTACTATCCTATGATATAACAAGTATGACTGGGTATGTTTAACTGTGCTAAAGCAGGTAAGGCAGAGAACTACATTGTGTATAATCGGTAAGAAGGGTGCTATACTATTTACTCTGTTCCTCAGACATAATCAGTCTCTATACCTTTGTTCCTTCTGTTATCTCAGCCATAACACCTTATCTTTGCCAAGGTATAGCACACAATTCACTTCCTCTACTTTGTTTTCTAGTTTGTATTAAACAGATTTGTTACATATATTTTCTTCCTCCTCTGTCACACTATAAATTTCTTTAGGGATATTTTAAATACTAGATTTTATTCATCTTTGTACTCCCACATTGCCTAATACACTGCTGGGCAGAGAAATGACCCTCTTAGATGAGGTGACCTAAAGTCATCACTGAAATGAACTAAGTCCTGAATAACTGTGCTCTGGAAAGCAAAAGACGGTAAATAGAATGTAGAAAACCTAGGACCCAAGAAGAGAAACCTGGAGACCTAGCTGTATTACTAAAAGTGCCCAAGGCTAAAAGTTTACATATTAAACTAGCCTCAACCTTCCAGAGTCCAGGTCAAATTACATCAGCCTCTCCTGTTGATTTTCAGATTCTATACTCAATGTATCTTCAACCATTTCTAAAGTTCAAATGTTATCTTTGTGCCTAGAAACATGTCCTCAGAACCACAAATGAGAACATTTCTAAGGACTTAATGAAATTCTACTGAAATTGTGGTTGAATGAATTACATTTCTGTATCACTAAACCAACCAACAAACAACGAAAGTCACAAGATTATCATTGTAAGGTTAACTCCTAGAAAGTTCAAAACCAGATCATTCAACTCATCTGTGTCTCCCACTGAGGTTTCTTTGTCATTTGAATCAGACTTTCTTAGGCTTACTCAGACTCTTAAAAACACAATTGCAATCTACCCTCTTGGAGACACTTCACTTAAATTCATGGACTGAGGTGTCTGAACTATTGTTTAAATGTCATAAGTCAATTTGGGGAAAAGAGGAAGTAGGATAACTTTAACAACCTGTAGAAGTTCCACTTTTCCCATTAAGGTCAACTAAATTAAACTGAACAATTAAAGGAAAGATGGCTTTTCTTCTTTTTATTTATTTATTTGTTTATTTTTTACTAGTCAGCTCTCTCCTCATACCACCCATAATTTAGATCATTTAGGGTATAATCAATAAAAAGCACCATTGTTTACAGCTCAATTGCCTTAAGTTGTTCTTTGTTCAAAAGGACATAAGTTACTAGCAGGCAGAAATGGATGATTCTAACTTGGACAAATATTTGATATGTCCAAATTAAAATCTCCCCTGATATGGTTTGGCTGTGCCCCCACCCAAATCTCATTTTGAATTGTGACTGTCATAATCCCTACATGTCATGGTAAGGGCCCAGTGGAAGGTAATTGAATCATGGGGGCAGGTTTTTCCCACGCTGTTCTCATGACAGTGAATGAGTCTCATGAGATCTGATGGTTTTATAAAGGGGAGTTTCCCTGCACATGCTGACTTAACTGCCACCAAAGTCGTGTCTTGCTCTTCCTTTGCCTTCTGCCATGATTGTGAGGCCTTCCCAGCCATGCTGAACTGTAAGTCAATTAAACCTGTTTCCTTTATAAATCACTCAGTCTCTGGTATGTCTTTATTAGCAGCCTGAGAACGGATTAATATACACCCCAACTTCATGCCTACTTCCTTTAATACCCAGTAACCTGGCATTTATAGCTACTTTTATATTTGGGCTGAATACCAGTAAAATTTTTCTTCCTGTAAACAGAAATCATAAGAAGAACATTTCTTGGATTCCAATTGAAAATTAACATGATTCCAAACTTTATTTCAACACAATTAAATATTGCTATCTGCTGCTGGTGTCCTCACTTAAAGCCAAGTGTAAAAAGCAAAGTTCCAAGACTAATTACCTTTCCCTTTTGCTGCTCTGCTGCCAGAGCTGCAGTCGCTGAGAATAATCTTCAGAAGCTTGGCTTTATTTCTAGAGCAATGAATCCAATTTTAAGCATTTTTCGATATCTCTTTTTGGAGCCTTCCAAATAACAATAAGATATATCTCATCTAGTCCACTCTAGCAAGCACGAAGCTCATTTTTTACAATTCTGATCTAGATGTAAGAAAATTAAGAACTTAGTCAAATAGGACCCTGAAGCAACACTCACTCTGTGTAAAAACGGCATGGCATGTGCAACCTTCAGGCCAGTATCCGTTTCCACAGGGTGAGTGGTCACAATAAAATAGAAAAGAGTGACTAGAAAATTCCTGCTTCTTCCAGCTCAGACCCTCCAGCTAGCTCAAGATTTAAATGTACCACTGACCAATTTTACAATGTCCTATATTTCTGTTTACTTGTGCTGATCAGAAAATAAGCAGATTTGGGGCCGGGTGTGGTGGCTCACGCCTATAATCTCAGCACTTTGGGAGGCCAAGGTGGGCGGATCATGAAGTCAGGAGATCGAAACCATCCTGGCTAACACGGTGAAACCCCATCTCTACTAAAAATACAAAAAATCAGCCGGGCATGGTGGCAGGTGCCTGTAGTCCCAGCTACTCGGGAGGCTGAGACAGAAGAATGGCATGAACCTGGGAAGCAGAGCTTGCAGTGAGCCAAGATTGCGCCACGGCACTCCAGCCTGGGCGACAGAGTGAGACTCTGTCTCAAAAAAAAAAAAATAAAATAAAATAAAATAAAAGATAAGCAGATTTGGAATCTCTCCTTGAATGTTAAGAAACTAGAACATTTCAATCCAAATGTCCTACCGAATTACTAATATCAAGCTCACTGCTACCATCCACTAGTTTTTAGTTTATTTTGATTAAAAATGTTCTGTATACATTTTTATATACATTATAAATTTATACATTTGTATATATGTATACATATATTTATGTATACATAATGTAATATATACATTACAATACAATTCTGTATTGTAATAAGAAGCTTGACATATTTTTCAGAAATAGGAATTCTAAATATTAACAAATACATCAGACATAAAACAGACAGCCCCTACATAATTTACAATTTCAGTAACAGTAACCACCTTGTTTTGAAATTATCTACTTTCTACAAAGAGAACAAACAATGTCCAGAAGAACAGTTACCTGTGTACAGCTGTAGCCTCCACTGAAAAAGGGCAAAAGAGAGGAGGGTTTTTGGTTAATTGGTCAGCAAAGGTATTTATCAGTTTGTACCTATACAGTGTACAACACATAAGAATAAAACACATTTCTGCTTCAAATGACTAACAACAATCTAATTATTTGGAGTGAAGGCACTGAATAAAGTAGAGAAAAAAATTGTGTATTGGGCTTTGGAAAAACTGAGGAAAACAGGTTTATATTATCAGTAGTCCATTATAAAGATAAGGAAATATATTATAAGACGTGAACTAACTTGCATGGCTACCACTTGAACACACCCTAAAGCAAATGCAATTGTTCTTACTAAACCATTTTTCCAAGGCTAGGGTACACATTTACCAACTTTTGATCCATAGAATGTGAGTGAGATAAAGTATTCTGAGATTATTAACAATACATTACGATTACTAGAAAACTATTAGTTTTAAATGTTCATTGAGTAAGCTTCCATTTACTTAAAACCCAATGAGTGAATTAAAAATTCCCTTCCAGGAGGCTCTTGAATGATGTGTTTCAATGATTTTTTCCTTTAAGGACATTCTGTGTTTTTGAGATGCAAATTGCAGCTGCCCTCAGTGACTGACATGTGATTGTAAATGTACTATGAATCACTAAAGACAATATACACCTATTTTTTAGTGGTAGGTTTTAAATGCATAGCTCTCAAATAGTTCTCACTACGATGAGTCAGTTTTTCTGAATATAAAATTTGGCCTCTGACACTTTACCTCTTTTTACCTTCTGTGAACGTTTGCTCACTTGTTTCCCTCGCCTGAGACTGTTTTACTTTAAAATCAAATGGAAAATCTGTATTAAATGCTAAACTTAATTTAATAAATATATCATAAAATTCCAACTTTTTGCAAATTTATTCCTAAGAAACCATCTCACAATGATCTTTCCCCTTAGAGATCATTTTGTATGTAGTAAGATTTGTTCTGTTTTGTCATTTAGGAGTTTTACCTAAGGATATGTCTTGTTTCTCTAACTAAATGCCATGCTTCTAAAGCAAAGGGATCCTTTTTATTTCATTTATATCTGAATTGCCTATGATATGTTTGGCAACAGATTAGGTATGTTATAAATGTTATTTGAGAAGATAAAATCAAAGATGAAAGTCGTTGTGAGATGTGACATCTATAGTTAAATTTTATATTTGTGGGTTTTTTTAAATCTTGATATTTTCAGATAAGACTTTTACATAATTAAGCAGGTAAAGCAGTCATTCATTAAATATTTATTAAACATCTACTATGGGTCTAACACCATGCTAGGTGCTACAAATAATATAAAATTATAAATAATGGACTTTGCCTGCGCCCACCCGGAACCAGCAGTTCTCCAAGCACCCAGCATCCAGCAAGATGCACTGTGCACCAACGGAGTCATGTTCTTCTCTTACTTTAAAGTCTTCAGGGCACTGCCTTGCCCACAGGACCGATATGGTTTGAATCTGTGTCCCCACCCAAATCTCATGTGGAATTGTAATCTCCAGTGTTGGAGGTGGGGCCTGGTAGAAGGTGATTTGATCACGGGGCAGATTTCTCACAAATGGCTTAGCACCATCCCCTTGGTACTATCCTCACGATAGTGAGTGAGTCTTGGGAGATGTGGATGTTTAACGTGTAGCACCTCCTCCTCCTCTTTTGCTCCTGCTCTGGCCACGTGACATGCCTGTGCCCCCTTCGCCTTCCGCCATGATTGTTAAGTTTCCTGAGGCCTCCCCAGAAGCCAAGCAGACAACAGCATCATGCTTCCTGTACAGCATGCAGGATCATGAGCCAATTAAATCTCTTTTCTTTATAAATGACCCAGTCTCAGGTATTTCTTTATAGCAGTGTGAGAATAGACTAATACAAAGACCATCTGTAATCCAGTCCCAGTTGTTACATCTTCTACTACTCATCCTATACTCCATCTTTAGTCCAGGCACAAGAAACTTGCTGGTGTACTTACTTCTTAATCATTTATTAGTTCATCCATTCTGTCAAGAAAAAAAAAAACCCTTATCAGGCAATTGCGCAAAACCTTTTGCTAGGTGATAAGAATATAGATGAGCTTGTAATCTAGTGACAGACACATTGCATTGGGCAAACAGTGACTGCGTAGCAGCAATGACTACTCAGCTAGGTTGGCTTGCTCATTTTCCTAGATTTCTGTGGTAAGGTGGCAACAAGCTTAGAGATTCAGACACTGTGCTACTTAGCCAGACAGCCAAAGCACTATCAGCATGGTGTCAGCGCCCCCTCCCCTAACCCCGAAAGCAGCTGACCCACGGGACAGCACTAAGCTGGTGAGCCAGGAAGCAGATGGCATGAGTGGTGTGTTACTCTGTCATGAAGGAGCCAACTCTAACATACAGGCAAGTAGTTTAGTAGACACACACAGAAGCCTGCAGCTGTCCTCTAAAGGGAGGTGGCAAGAAATGAAGCAGAAAGTCCTGCTCTCAGTCACAACCAGGGAGATGAATGAGGAAGCCCCTCATAGCAACCTCCCACGAGATATGATAAACTGTCTCGTGGTGGCTTCTTTCCAGGTTCATCTCCCATTACTCCAGGAGATATCTCAGGGCACTGTACCAGACTCAGGTCAGGTCATGACCACGCCTTGCCTACTTAGCCCATGTGGAAATATGCAAGGTCACCAGGGCACCACAAGTGAGCCATTCCCCTACGCAAGTAAAGAGAAATGCAGTGCCATATGTGTGATGGCAGAAAAATGCTCTGAGAACTGTGGGAACATATAGGAGGGTGCCCTAGCCTAATAATGCAATATGCCTTTTCAGATGCTTGATCTGCCTAAATGTCTCTACCTCATAAAGATTTGTCCAAATCAAGTCCAGGGTAAAAAGTTCCCACCACCTCCTTTGGTCGCCTTCTCCTAGCATTCTAGGCTGAGTAAATTGCTCTTTCCTTTGTATATTCAGAGTCCTTAATTCACATCTGTGTTTATTATTTGCCATAAACCATGTATTTATTTATAGGCCAGGCACTGCCTAAGGCACTGTAGACACTGCAATGAACAAAATGGAAAGAGCCTTTCCCTCACGGGGCTTACATTTGTCCTGTTCTATTCTGTCCTTTCAGTCTATCTCTAAAACTCTTGAAATTGTCTAATAGCCGAGATCCCCTGAAAGATCAAAAGCATCACTTCCTTTCATAAAGTGTATTTAATTCACAGTAGGAGAAACAAATCTATAATGCAGTTTCAAATTTATATAACAATGCAATAAAATTTCACAAAACTTCTTTTTGCCATACAGCTCCTAAGAGGAAAAATATTATACTGGTGAAAGGTGTGCTTATAATTATCATAATGCAGGCATTCAAGTCTAATAGAAGGCTTGTTAAATTCAACTTATGGCTTACATTGTTTTAAAAAGCACTGGAAAAGTTTTCCTATCCAAATTAATAATACTATCTGGCATAGCCAAGTTCTTTCCATTTACTTTTCCCCTTCTCTTATTGTAGTGGTTTTTAATTCCTGTCTGAATTTTGGAGGAAGGAAGGCTTTTTCCTAAGTTGTCTTTTACTCAAAAGCCCTTTTTTCTCCTGATTAGCAAGAGCAATTTAACCATCTTGTAAATTTCATGTCAATATGTAACCCCACGGAAATAAGTCACATATCAATTCTTTAAAGATGTAGGATTTCTTCTTAACGGATTTTTGCAATTCTGCAAAAAAAAAATTATAGAGCTGTGAGATGACTGCTCTCCTTGTTAGAACATCTATCCCCAGCCTAGTGCTATGCACTTAGCTGTACAGAAGAATACAAAGAATGGACTCTGTCTCTCTGAGGATAAAGGCTATGTCTGCCATGTTCACCACTACAGCTCAAAGTCTAGCACGTGGTACAATGCAGTAACTAGGAGAATGTGCTCTACAGTTAGAAGCCCTATGCTTCAACCCTGGCTTTCAAGCTGAGATCTGGAAAAATGTCTATTTGAGATCTCCATGCCTCTGTTTTCTTTTTGTAAAGAGGGGATAATAAGATCATTGTGGGGATTAAATCAATAAAGTGCTCAGTAAAGTACATGATACAAAGCATGAGCTCAATCAATAGTAACTATTATATTAAATTATCAATAAGCATTTGTTGACTGAATGACCCTCAATGAATTACTCAGTATCATAACCGATTTCTGAGCTTAACTGACATCCATCTATCCATACCTCATCTGTGTCCTACTATTTCCAACCATTGGTTCATTCTCTTCCTTTGTCCTTAAGACCACCTTTCAGCCTGTCTTTCAGTCCTTCAGGCTTTTTCTTCAACCTATCTATCTATTCTTCCTGCAACCTCTTAGATACTGACTAAGCAACTCACCTCCAAATATGGACTGACAGACTGATAACTACTCCAGTTTTTAAAGAGGTGTGCAGACACACACACACACATACACACACACACACACACACAACACACACACACTCCTACTTGACCACAGGGTGCAACCCATCTCTGGGAACCCTAGCCCTATTCTTGAGAAGTTCTGAGAACTGTCACAGACAATGGCTTCAAGTTGGAAAACACAATAAACTAGATGCAACACAGAAAGAACAGGGAGTATTGTATTTTGAGGATGATAAAACGAACAAAGAGGTAAGAAAAAATAGTGATGGGAGACTATATAAGGACATTTGCTGAAAGTCCTCCCAATTGAAAAGCAATGATTCTGTAAGTTCTTAGCTCACCTTGTTGACAACTTCCTTTCTCAGAACACAGAGCTAGTGACAAGTTAAACAGTCCATCTGTTGTAATTGTAATCCACAAGAATTGAATTGTAATCTACAAGAACTGGGTGAAGCGTAACTAGGGCCCATGATAGAGAAAGGGAGGACGGTTGGACAAAACAACAAAAATACTCCATGTTTTAAGGGGGTAAATGTAAGTCCCAGAGAAAATAAACAATTCCATTGCTTGATCCCCAGAGCAGGTAATTTGGAGACTATAAAAAGAAGATAATAGAAGAGAGTTGGCAAGATTTTCAAAGTGAACCCTTCATCCTAATGAAAAATAACAAGGGAAGAAGGTCACAAGGAATATTTGCTGGTTTCCTCTTCAGTATCCATTCTATCCTTCTTATGTCAAAAATAAATTTTGTGAAGGTTAATATTAGGTGTCAACTTGACTTGATTGAGGGATGCCTAGATGGCTGATGAAGCATTGTTCCTGGGTGTGTCTGTGAGTGTGCTTCCAGAGAAGACTGACATTGGAGTCAGTGAACTGGGAGATGAAGACCCACCCTCACTGTAGGTGGGCACCATCCAACTAGCTGCTAGCACAGCTAGAATAATGCAAGTGAAAGAAGGTGGATAAGTAGCTTGCTTGCTGAGTTTGCTTGCTCTCTCACTTTTGGTACCATGCTAGACACTTAGCTGTCCTTGGACATCAGATTCCAGGTTCTTCAACCTTTGGACTCTGGGACTTGCACGAGCAGCATCCCAGGGGCTCTGGGGCCTTCAGCCTCAGACCGAGGGCCACACTGTTGGGCTTCCCTGGTTTTGAGGCTTTCAGACTTGGACTGAACCATGGTACTGGCTTCTCTGTTTCCCCAGCTTGCAGACAGCCTAACGTGGGACTTCGCTTTGTAATCATGTGAGCCAATTCTCCCTAATAAACTCATATATGTTTTATATATATATATATATAAAAAATTGGGTCTGTTCCTATGGAGAGCTCTGACCAATATACCTTTGTTTTCAATTGTGGAATTCATCTCTTCCTTCATTCATAGATCAGTGAATTAAGATTCCCAAATGCCATGGTCAGCCCTTCATAGTTCCCCAGTCACACAGATTGGTTTACAGGTGAGCATTAGCTCAAGTAGAAGAAATAAGACTTTAAAAGTTGTTTTCTAAGATTTTTGCCTAAGAAACTCCTCTTTATTCTTCTGCAAAGTAATCAGAAAAGACTTTTTCCTTCCTCTGTATAAATAGCCACATGAATAGGGAAGAATGTAGAACCAGGATTTACTGGAAATCATATTCCAACTATGAGGGGAAATATGTCTCTTTCTTGAGACTTAGAAATAACATTAAATAAATAGAGCCAAGATATAGAGAGAAAGGAAATAAGTCCTAGTTTTAAGCTGTACCTGAAGCTTTACCTCAATACATGTTACTTACATAAGCTAATGAGTTTGCCTTATTGTTTAAATAAGTCTGAGTTGAGTTGTCTGTTTCTTACAACATAAGGAATCCTTGTGAATACAGGCTATAAGAGCTGCACAGGAAAGAGATCAAATTTTTGGTGACATCAGATTTTTAAAAGATAGGGGGAGAGGACACATAGACAAGGACAAAGACAAAAGTAGATCTTTTTAGTAAAAAGGTATTAAAATGTTTAATGCTTAAATAGAGAGAAGCCTGAAAATGATAATGTTAACAAAATACTCTTAAAATTATGTTTAGAACAAAAAGAGAAAATAGGCTGCAGTTTACTATTAATAAATGGCAAATAAATGGCAAAAAATGATTCTGATAAAACCTTCAAAGCAGCTATAATAAATACATTGAAAGAACTTAAAGAATCTGTGTTAAAAGAATTAAAGTAAAACATAACAATGACTCAACAAATAGGAAATCTCAACAGAGAAGTAGAAACTATAAAAGAGAACCAAATAAAAATTCTAGAGTTGAAAAGTACAATAGCTGAAATGAAAAATTCATTAAGCTCAGCAGCATATTTGAAATGTAAGAAGAAAAATCAGTAAACTCAAAGATAGATCAATAGAAACTATCCAGTCCAAGGAACCTATCTTTTCTGTTCAAAAGCTTAAAGAAAAATGAGCAGAGTTTCAGAGATCTGTGAAACAATATCAAGCTTATTAATATATGTGTAATGGGAATTCTAGAAAGATAAAAAAAGGACAGAAAAGTATGTGAAGAAATAATGGCTGAAAACTTCTCAAATTTGAAGAAAATCATTAATTTACATACTTAAGAAACTCAACAAGTTTCGAAAAGAAAAAAATACAAAGAGATCCACACCTAGAAACATTATATTCGAATTACTGAAAATCATCAAAAGACAAAGGAAAAATCTTTAAAGCAGTGCAGTAAAAGAAAAACACCTTATGTACACAGCATCAACAACTTCATTAATAACATACATCATTAGAAATAATGTAGGTCAGGAGCCATTAGAAAGACATATTCAAATTCCTGAAAGAAAAAAAATTCAACAAAGATCTTTATATCCAATAAAGCTATTCTTCAAAATAAAGATACTTCAAGGTAAAATAACTGATGTAAGTTATTGCTAACAGACCTATCCCATATGAAATACTAAAGAAAGTCTTTCAGGCTGAAAAGAAATAGCAACCTACAATAAATGAAATAACACACAGAAAAGGAAATATTAATTATCAAAACAGAAATCAATAAAATAGGAAAGAGAATAAGAAATAATAAAACCAAAAGTTCGTTATTTGAAAAAAATCAACCAAACTGATAAATCCTTAGCTACAGCAGAAAAATAAGACAGAAGACACAAATTACTAAAATTGGAATAAAAAATGGGAGATCATTATAGACATGACAAATAAAAAAGGATTATAAGAGAACAATTTTATTCCAACAAATTAGACAAACTAAATAAAATAGACAATTTCCTAGAAGAACACAAATTACCAAAACTGTCTTCAGAAGAAATAGAATATCTGAGTCCACATATATCAAACAAAGAACATGAAAAAGGAATTTTGAAGTCTTCTCAACACTCCATCACACACACATATAAACTTCAGATTACACTGATTAAATTCCAAAAATATTGAAGGAAGAAATAATATCAATCCTTTCAGAAAATAGAGAATTTCTCAACTTGTTTTATGAGGCCAGTATTGCCCTGATACCAAAGCCAGACAGAGACATCACAAAAAATTCAACTACAGACCAATAGCCCTAATGGATATAGATGCAAAAATTCTTCAGAAAATATTAGCACATCAAATCCAGCAACACATTAAAAAAAAGTTATGCACTAAAGCCAAGCAGGAGTTATCAAGAAAAGATTGGCTTAAGATCCAAGATCAATTAATGTTAACATACCATATTAATAAAATAAAGAACAAAAACCATGATTATTTAAATTGACACAGAAAAAGTATTTGACAAAACTCAACACCCAGTAATAATTAAAAAGGAAAAAGAAATACTTTAAACAAAATAGGAATAGGATGTTTCTACAACCCTACAAAAGTTATCTATGAAAAACGTACAGTTAAATCATACTTAATGGTGAAAGACTGAATACTTTCCCCCCTAACTAAGATCAGGAACATGGCAAGAATGTTTACTCTCACCACTTCTATTTAAAGTTGTATGGAAGGTTCTAGCCAGTACAGTTAGGCAAGAAAAATAAATTAAAGGACTCATTGGAATGGAAGAAGTAAAATTACCTTTCCTGGATAACACAATTTTGTATAGAAAATCCTAAGAAACTTATTTTTAAAATCTGCTTAAACCAATCAGCAAGTTTTGCAAGGTCACAGGATACAAGTTTTTATACAAGATATACAAAAAACAATTGTGTCCTATATAACAATTCTAAAACATAAGAAAATAATTCTATTAACAATAGCATCAAAAAGAATAAAGTACTTAGAAATATATTTAATAAAAGAAGTGGAACTCCTGAAAACTAAAAAATATTGCTAACAAATTTTTAATAGACCTAAATAAATGAAGAGATATATCATTTTCATAGATCGGAAAATCAATATTGCTAAGATGGCAATTCTCCCCAAATTAATCTATAAATCAATGTAATCCCTATCAAAATCCCCACAGGAACCCTTGTAGAAATTAACTATCTTAATTTAGGTAGAAATATAGAGAACCAAGATTAGACACAACAACTTTGAACAAGCAGAACAAAGCTGGGGGACTTAAACTGCCTGGTTTCAAAACTTATAAAGTTATGGTAATCACATCAATGTGGTATTGGCAAAATGATGCTAATACCATATTGACAAATGGATCAGTAGAAAAGAATAGAGTCTTGATATAAAACCTTCACATTTATGGTAAGTAAGACAATTCAATAAAGAAAGGATAGTCTTTTCAACAAATGGTGCTGAACAATTGGCTATCCATATGTAAAAAAGGAACTTTTATCTCTTGGAAGAAAAGGAGGAGGAGGAGAAAGAACTTACACCTTTACCTAGCACCATACACAAAAATTAATTTAAAATGAATTTCAGTCCTGAATGTAATAACTAAAACTAAAACCTTATAAAGAAAATATAGGGGCAAATTTTTGTGACCTTAAGGCAGATAAAGCTTTCATAAATATAATACCAAAGGCAAAACCCATTCAAAAAAATTGACAAATCTGACCTCATCAAAACTGAAAACTTTTGTTCTCCAAAAGACATCATTAATGAAATGAAAAGCCAAGCCACAAATAGGCAGATAATATTCGCAAATGCTATAGCTGATAAAGGACTTTCACCTGGAATATATAAAGAACTTTAGCAACTCAATAACAAGAAGACAGACAAACCAATTTTAAAAGAGGGGAAAAAACTGAACAGACATTTTATTAAAGAGAAATATAAATGGCTAATAAATACATGAAAAATGTTCAACATCATTAGTTACTAGGCAAATACAAATTTAAACCACAATGAATACCACTAAACATCCATTAAAAATGGCTGTAATCAAAAACTGTGACAATGCCAAATGTTAGCAAGGATGTGAAGAAACTGCACCCCATACATTGCTGCTGGGAATGTAAAATGATATCGCCATTTTGGAAAACAGTTTGGCAGTTGTTGTTTTTTTAAGGTAAACATAAATCTATCATAGGACCCAGTAATTCCATTGCTCTGCATCTACAGAAAAGAAATCAAAATCTATGTGCACACAAAGCCTTCTACATGAGTGGTCCTCAATAGCAAAAACAAATGTAGTACTGTGCTATTACACTTAAAAACACAGATGGACCTCAAAATCATTATGTTGAGAGAAAAATAAATGTTTTCAACAGAATGAAGGACAAAAAAATATGATCATCTCAGTAGATGCATAAAACGCATTTGATAAAATTCAAACCCCTTCGTGATAAAAACTCTCAACAAACTAGGCAGAGAAAGAACATACCTCAACATAATAAAGACCATATATCACAAACCCATAGTTAACATCACACTGTGTGGTGAAAAGTTGAAAGCCTTTTCTCTAAGAACTGGAACTAGGCAAGAATGCTCGCTTCACCACCCTTATTTGTCATAGTACTGGAAGTCCTAGCCAGAGCAATCGGGCAAGAGAAAGAAAAGAGAAAGTCAAATTGTTCATCTTTGTAGATTACATAATTTTATTATATTTAGAAAATCTTATATAATCCACCAAAAACTCTTTGATCTAATCAATAAATTCAGTAAAGTTGCAGGATATAAAATCAGCATACTCAACATACAAAAATCAGTAGGGTTCTAAATACAAATAACAAACTATCTGAAAAAGGTGTTAGGAAGGCAATCTCATTTAAAATAACTACCAAAAAAATGCCTAGGAATAAATTTAACCAAAGAGGTAGAAGACCTCTACAAGAAAACCTACAAAACTCTGATAGATAAATAAATAAATAAATAAATAAATAAATAAATAAATACATACATACATACATACATACATAGGACACAAACAAATCAAAAGACAGCCTATGCTCATGGATTGGAAGAATCATTATTGTTAAAATGACCATACTACCCAAAGCAATCTATAGATTAAATGCAATCCCTATCAAAATGCCAATGACATTTTTAACAGAAATAGGAAAAATAATCCTAAAATTTATATGGATCCAAAAAGAGCCCAGATAGCCAAAGCAATTCTGAGCAAAAAGAACAAAAGTGGAGGTATCACACTACCTGACTTCAAAATATATTTCCAGGCTATAGTAACCAAACAATATGATATTGGTATAAAAACAGACACATAGCCCAATGGGACAAAATAGAGAACCCAGAAATAAACACATGGATTTATGGCTAACTAATTTTCGACAAAGGCACCAAGAACCTATATTAGGGATAGGACACAGTCTTCAATAAAGAGTGCTTGGAAAACTGAATATCCATATGCAGAAGAATGAAACTAGAGCCCTATCTCTCACCATATACAAAAATCAACTCAAAATAGATTAAAGACTTAAATGTAGAAACCAAAACTATAAAACTACTAGAAGAAAACAGAAAAACTCTTCAGGATGCTGGTCTGGCCATGGCTAAGACCCCAAAAGCACAAGGAACAAAAAACAAAATAGACAAATGGGACTATATTAAACTAAAGGAAATAATCAACAGGGCGAAGAGGCAACCTGATGAATGGGAGAAAATATCTGCAACATATTCATCTGAGAAGGGACTAATTTCTAGAATACACAGGGAACTCAAGCAACTCAACAGCAAAAAAAACAAAAAAAATTCTGCTAAAAAGTAGGCAAAGAATCTCAATAAACATTTCTTACAAGAAGACATACAAATGGTAAACCGGCATATGAAAAAATGCTCAGCATCACTAATCATCAGGGAAATGCAAATTAAAAACACAATGAGATATCATCTTATCCCAGTTAGAATGCCTATTATCAGAAAGACAAAAAAAAAATAGATGCAGAGAAAAGGGAATTCTTATACACTGTTAGTGGGAATGTAAATTAATACAGCCATTATAGAAAACAGTATGTAGATTTCTCAAAAAACTACAAATAGAACTACCATACAATTCAGGAACCTGACTACTGAGTATTTATCCAAAGGAAAAGAAATTAGTACATCAAAAAGATACATACACTCCCATGTTTATTGCAGCATTATTCAGAATAGCAAATATATGGAATTAACCTAAGTGTTCATATAAAAAAGATTAAAATACCTAGGAATATAGCTAATCAGGAAGGTGAAAGTTCTCTACAATGAGAATTACAAAACATGACTCAAGGAAATCAGAGATGACACAAACAAATGGAAGAATATTCCATGCTCCTGAATAGGAAGAATCAATATCATTAAAATGGCCATACTGCTCAAAGCAATTTACAGATTCAATGCTATTCCTATCAAACTACCAATGATGTTCTCCACAGAACTAAAAATAACTATTTTTAAATTCATATAGAACCAAAAAAGAGCCCAAATAGCCAAGGCAATCCTAAGCGAAAAGAACAAAGCTGGAGGCATCACACTACCCAACTTCAAACTATACTACAGGGCTACAGTAACCAAAACAGCATGGTACTGGTACAAAAACAGACACATAGACCAATGGAACAGAATAGAAAGCCCAGAAAGAAGGCTACATGTCTATGATCATCTGATCTTTGACAAACCTGACAAAAATAAGCAGTGAAGAAAGGACTCCCTATTCAGTAAATGGTGCTGGGATAACTGGCTAGCCAAGTGCAGAAGACTGAAACTGGACCCCTTCTTTACACCATATATGAAAATCAACTCAAGATGAATAAAGACTTAAATGTGAAACTCAAAACTATAAAAACCCCGGAAGACAACCTAGATTATACCATTTTGGACACAGGAATGGGCAAAGATTTCATGACAAAGATGCCAAAAGCAATGGCAACAAAGGCAAAAATTGATAAATGGGATCTAATTAAACTTAAGAGCTTCTGCACAGCAAAAGAAACCATCAACAGACTAAATAGACAACCAACAAAATGGGGGAAAATATTTGCAAACTATGCATCTGACAAAGTTCTAATATCCAGCATCTATAAGGAATTTAAACAAATTTACAAGAAAAAAAACCCCATTGAAAAGTGGACAAAGGACATAAACAGACACTTTTCAAAAGAAGACATACACATGGCCAACAAGCATATATTAAAAAGCTCAATATCACTGATCATTAGAGAAATGCAAATCAAATGAGATACCATTTCACATCAGTCAGAATGGCCATTATTAAAAAATCAAAAAATAACAGATGCTGGTGAGGTTGCAGAGAAAAGGGAACATTTATACACCGTTGGTGGGAGTGTAAATTAGTTAAACCTTTGTGGAAAGCAGTGTGGTAATTCCTCAAAGAGCTAAAAACAGAACTACCATTTGACCCAGCAATCCCGTTACTTATACTGAGAAGAATATAAGTCATTCTACTATAAAGACACATATACAAATGTTCATTGCAGCACTATTCACAATGGCAAAGACATGGAATCAACCTAAATGCCCATCAGTGACAGACTGGATAAAGAAAATGTGGTACATGTACACCATGGAATACTATGAAGCCATAAAAAAGAACAAGATTGTGTCTTTTGTGAGAAGATAAATAGAGCTGGAGGCCATTATCCTTAGCAAACTAGTGCAGGAACAGAAAACCAAATACCACATGTTCTCACTTGTAAATGGGAGCTAAATGATGAGAACTCATGGACACAATGAACGGAACAACAGAAATTGGGGCCTAATTGAGGGTGGAGGGTGGGAGGAGGAAGGGAAGGAGAGGAGCAGGGAAAATACCTATTGGGTGCTAGGCTCAGTACCTGGGTGATGAAATAATCTGTAAAACAAACCCCCATGACATGAGTTTACTTATATAACAAACCTATACATGTACCCCTGAACCTAAAATAAAAAATAAAAACAGAAAATGTGGAATATATACACAATGGAATATTATTCAGCCATTAAAAGAATGAAATTCTGTCATTTGCAGCAACATAGATGGAACTTGAGGCCATTATGTCAATTGAAATAAACTAGACATGGAAAGACAAATAGTTCATGTTTTGTCTCATATGTGGGAGAAAAAAAAAAGCTGATCGCATGGAGGAAAGAGAGTAGAATGTCAGCTACCAAACACTGGGAATGGTGTAGGTGTGGGGAGCCAGGGGCAGGGCAGTGGAGAGATAATGAGAGTTTGGTTAATGGGTATAAACATACAGTTAGATAGAAGAAATGAGTTCTAATGTTTGATAGTATGGTAGTGTGACTATAGTTAACAGCAATGCATTTTGCATTTCAAAATAGCTAAAAGAGAGGACTTTAAATATTCCCAACATATAGAAATGATACATGATCAAGGTGATAAATACTCTAAATATCAACTTGACCATTACACATTCTATGCATGTAACAAAATAGCATACGTACCCCATAAATATGTGCAAACATTTTGTATTCATTTAAAATTAAAAAAAAACACTATGCTGAGTGAAAAAGAAAAACAGATACAAACAACTATATGAGTGGAAAAGCCAGAGGTAGGAAAAAGGATTTAACTGAACAAGGCAGCTGTCAGAGTCACTGAGACCTCAGTCCATGCCCTCTGCAATCAGCACAGACTCCCAGAAAACGAAGTTCCTGTAGATAACACTGTCAGGGCAATGGTGAAGAGCTCAAATTAAGACTGAGAAAATGCAGGAGGCTAGAATTATTTATTTATTTGTGATTATGATGGTACAGATGATGGCAATAAGTTGCCATTTATTGAGTGCTGACTCTGACAAGCAGGAATTTATCAAAGCCCTTTACCAATGTCACATTTAACTCTCACAACAGCCATAAATGGTAGGCCTTATGTGGCTTCCTCAATAAAATGGAAATCGTAAACTCAAAGAGGTGAAATGACTTTTCCAGAGTCATGCAACAAGCAAATGGCAAAACCAGGATTTAAATCTGGGTCTGTTTGACTCTCAAGCCCTTGCTTTTACCCACTATCCATATTGTCTGTCCCATGACACAAACATTTGCAGAGTACCTACTATCTAAAATTCAGAAAATTTATGTACACAGTTATAGTCAGGACCCCTGTTCTTATTTCACAGAGCATAAGATAGGTACACAAACTGCTATTTGGAAAAATTCTGAAGACTCCCCACATTTAGTCAACAGTGCCCCAGAGCCCAGCTTCCCTTCTTACTTCAAGCCCAGTAGGAATCTTCACTTCAGGATTTAATCCCTCTTCTCCCTAAAAAGATAAGAAATGTCCAAGAAATCTACCCAGTTCCAGCACTCAAAGGAAAATTTGTCACAGAGACAATATCTAGGGAGTGGAGAGATGACTAAATTTAGGTGTTGTTAACTTCCTCTTAAACAATGTTAAGCTGGAGGAAAGTGGGGTTTGAGTTGGCAGATCTAACAATGTTTCAGAGGGAGGAAGGCATGGGCATATTAAAGCTCACAACATTAAACTCACAACCTTGTCTATATAAGTAGGATGTGCAAAAAATCCAATAGGCTCTGATTACCAGGAGATGGTAGTGCACTAGTCTCATGTGCATCCTGATTGAAAATTCAGCTGCATAACCTTCCATGAACTGTTTATCTTATGTACTTATTTAACTAACATTCAAACTGACAAGACTCCTACTTCTGGGCCTTCTTTTTATACTTTCATGTACGAACGATCAGATGAAGCTCAGATACCACAAACTTTGCATGTTTTTGATTTTGCACATAAACTGAAGGTTAGAATTCTAGTCTGTGTCCTCAGTCATTCAATTTTTTTAGATCTTTGAACATGACTTCAAACCCTGCCAAAACACAACCCAAATACAGGCTTGCTTCTATGTCTGTACAAATACGTAAAAGAAATGGGTATGTCAACTTTCAATGGATACCAGCCTAATTGAAGCTTTAACTACTGTCAGGGAACAAAGGCAGCCAGAGCTAACTAAGTCTGCTTTGTTCAAGGGTAAGGAGACATTCAGAAAGATGAGGAATGAATAAGTGCAGGTAGCACAATGGAAACAAATCCAAAACTTCACTGGCCACTACAATATACACCAACTTCTCCTTATTCTGATCTCCTACTGCACTTACAACCATACCCAACTGCAGCAAAATATTTAATCACACACACTGTATGAAAAGTATTGGTTATTGTTTCGTGCATATGTCTTACAAATAAAAAATACTATAGTTGTATATTTCATCATTTTAATACTATCTCATTTTATCTCTAAAATGGCCTATTGAGGTAGATATATCATATAGAACCCTTGATTTCACAGATGAAGAAATCGAGCCTGGAGATTTCATTTATGCATCAGTATTCATTAAGCAGAGAGCTGAGAATCTACGCCCATCTTGGGCTCCAGGTCTGTTGCTCTTTCCCTGTTATCACACCACCTTAACATGAGAGCAGTGAGACACCTGCATTTCCCCGTAACACAAAGCTGCAGAGATGCTCAATGAATACTTTCTCACATGACTCCTACTTCTACCCCTCCGCAGGTAAAGCAATCTGTGGCAGAGGAAGCACTCACTTTTTAATTTGTCTGTACAAGTCCATTAGACCTCAAGAGTAGTGTGAGTTGGGAGAAAACATAATCTTTCAGCTTTCAGGCTGATTATGACTGACTCCAGAATTCTTTAAATGTTCAGAGAATATATGGTCTTAACTGTCCATGTCTCAGGGCCAAGCCATATCCTCCCCTGCTGCCGCTTGCACAGGGTGGTGGACTACTAAATGGTGACAATTCATCCAGAGTAGGAAATCTGAAGTCCAATAGAGGCACTAGGATTTTCATATAATTGATATAGTTAGCTCCTTTTCCCCCATTTTTCCACGACCCTTCTTAGACCCAGCTATTTTGTCTCTACATTCCAATCTTTCTCTCCTGAGTGGTTTTCCTCCTGCTGGGTCACTCTGGAAACATTGTAATAGGTGTTACAACAGCTTTTTTCCATTATATTTCACCAAAACAAAAAGACATAGTTCACCGAGAACAACACACAATCAATTTGACTGGAATCGTGTTGACTGGCCACTGGTCTTAACTCCTCCACCATTACTCTATCCGAAAAGCCAAAATTATTGAATGTTATACAAACAAGATAAAAAGTGGTAGATTATTAGGAACAACTCTGTTAGGTTCCGAGAATTCATGTTACAAGGCCAACATCACAGTTGTGCAGCATCAAAAAGAGAAAACAGAACCTGAGGGCCATGATCTCCAAGGTATCCCTTTTGCTATCTAGTTCTGTATCCTGGTTGCTTAATGCCACAGCTTATAAGATGGATGGTACCTTACATTTCATGTCTCCTTCCCGCACCCATAGCCTCCGAACAAAACTGACTTGGGTCCTGCTCAAGCAAGGAATTGCCCTCTGCTTCTTAATCTGACAATTGCTAAGGCATTTTTATGTACAGCGTATGCACAGGTTAATTTGTTTCCCATTCTAGGTAACATATGTGCATTTTAATAAAAGCTTTCTAAAATCTATGCCTTATCTCAAAGGCATGGATTTAAAGGTGAGAATTTCAAACAATAGGGCAGGGGACCCTCTGATCACGTCATGCTTTCAAGACAACTGCCTCTTCCACCCTCACTGGACATAAGCTCCAAATGATTCAAATGCTAATAAGCACTGGGTAACACTTGTTTACCATACTTTTCACCAAAGCAAATAGACTACAGGTCAGATCACTTTTCCTCTCAGTGTTTTTGTGCAGCAAGTCTGTGAAGCAAGGCCTGGTGTTGCAGAACATCTCCTGAAGGTTTCAGCACAGCTTCACCGAGTTCTCAAACCAGCCAGGGAATTTGGAAGCAGTTGTGCTAGATATTTGTTCCCCTCCTTTCCTCAAAGATGTTCACTGTTTGAGACCTCAGATTACTTTCCTCTCAGTATTTTTCCTTTAAATTCAAGGTGGACAGATTTGATGTAAATCATTGAGCATGTATTTGGACACCTTTTTTGTGTTGGCCTGTGTTCCATGCTAGGAGTACAAAAATCAGGGATAGCCCCTGCCCTCAGAGATCAATGTTTTGAACTAACCATTCACTCAGTTTGCTTAATAAGTCTGTTTTTTTTTTAAGTTAGAATATTGTTTGAGTTTTTCATTAAAATTTTAAAAAACATCCTCCATCACCACCATCAATTTACTTTAGAATCCCTTAATACAATGAAGTTAATAAACTCACCCACATTTTGAGGATAAACTTAACCCCTAGGGATTGTGTGAGGCAAAACTTAAATCCCAAAAGACAATGTGTGGCAGAGGCACAGCTGACAATGTACACAGGTTTATAACATCACCTCCCTGAGCAGTTCCAAAAAGCCAGATTTCCACATTGGCTTTTGGGTTTCTACGCAAAGCAGATAAGTAGAAATTGCTTATCATCTATTATAGGGTGGTGTTTTGATCCTTCTGGCTTTCGCTTCTTTTTAATAGTATCGAAAATTCCTGTGGTTCAGTCCCCATTGCCTCTAGGCCAAGAACAGTAGTCCCCTAGTGCCCTGTAGACACTTTATATTCCTAGACACCCACCTCATTAATGACTCTATGAAGGTTTTTCAGGAATGTCTGTGCTCTCCCATGGTCCTCTTTTTACAGCATTATTTCTTTTCTCTCTTCCTTTGTCTATTGCATAACTCTGCTTTTCTTTCTCACAAACAAACATCACCCTACCATCCTATTTGGACTTCAGAACTACTTTCTACTTACCCTGCAGTGAGTCTGTGAAGTGAGGCCTGGAGCTGCAGAACATCTCCAGGGGGTTCCATCACAGCTTCACACAGTTCTCAGACCAGCCAGGGAATTCGGAAGCAGCTGTGCTAGATATTTCTTCCCCTCCCTTCTGCAAAGATGTTCACTGTTTGAGACCTCAATAACCATTATTTAGCACTGATATTAACATATAGCATTGGCAGCTTAGAACTTTCCAGAAAATAAAATCTGATAAAAGACAGTGTCCTAGACACAAGATAACAGACATACAAAGAGAGACATTTTTATATTAGTGGGATAACAAAGGGTGAGATGAAGCCAACTTTGTTGGAGCAGAGCAGTGGCACTCAAAGAAAAGTGTTATTGAGCTCCAAGTGAACAGCCACCACAGGCCACTGACTGGCATGAATTGTTTACATTAGTCATTCCCAGCCTGCCATTCTGTTTCAGCTTGGTCATGCGGAGTAACCCAAAGGAGTAAATAAATAGGAGAATAACAAACCATCTCAACAAACCATTCCAAAATAATTCTAGAAGATACTATGCCATTAACATGCCATCTACACCTGCAATATTCCAGCAACTTCCCATTCACAAATAAAAAGAACATTATAGTATTGTCAATTGCTCATACTGCCCATGCCATAGTATATTTCAAGCAAAAAAGGAACCAGACAAAATTATCAAACTTTTCAAGCTACAATCATGTCATTAGTTTAACATTCTCAAAATGTTCAGAAAGAATTATTAAATGACTCAGTTTATTATCAATACACATTTATTAAATTTCTAGCTGCACTAAGCACTGAGCTTATGTTATCATAAGTAAATTGCATGGGCCAGTGACTGCCTTCTAAGAACTTGGAATCTCCAGGCAACACACTGTATAGACAAAAAGCTCTAAGATGGAGACATTGGTCCATTACAAAAATATCTAGGCCCATAAGTGAACTATAATCAGAAGCATCCTGAACTACGAGCTTCATCTTAAACAACTGATAGTATCAGTGCCCACAGGTTATTCAGGGGTGCCTGCTTTATCAATCACACTGACAAGCAGAGTGCAAGACAAGAAATCAATCTTCGGAGAAGCCATCTCTCAACAGAAGACAGAAGAGTTACCCCATTTATTCAGTTATTAAATAGATAATTATTGTAAACTTACTATGAGATAGGCCCTTGGGATACAGTGGTGAGCAAAGTAGACAAAAATCCTTGCCCTATGGAGCTCACTTTCTAGAGCAGGAGATAGAAAATGAACCAAATAAATAAATAAATTAAATTGCTTATTGAAAGTGATAAGTGCTGTGGAGATAAATAAAGCAAATAAAGGGAATACAGAGATTATTTTTTAAATAAGTCATCAGGAAAGGTCTCACTGAGACACTAATATTTAACTAACAACTTGAAGTTTGAAGTTGGAAGACCCATAGGTGTGTGGAGCTCTAGACAGAGGGACCAAGAATTGGGAATTTCAACTCTGATTTAAACTTTAGGCTGAGGCCTCAGTCATTTTGATTAAATAAAAAGTGAATCAGCATAAAAAAAATATCTAGTTAGGCAAAGTAAATAAATTCTAAAATTATTTTAGAGATGAAACTAGGAAAAGTAGATTATTAGAATAGAGGTTAGAGATAATAACCTCAGAAGAATTTTCTTGGAGAATAGGAAAACAGAAAAAGCAACAGAACTAGTTTCTTGTTGCTTTCTATGGGGATTGGGTAGGGATAGGAAAGAGAGGGATATGAGCACTTTCCTAAATCCAGGGACAAAGGTTTCACTGAGGAGTGGGATTTTAAAAGATTTTAAAATACTGTGGGCAAGGCATTTGACTAGGCTGGGAAGAGAAAGATGTTCCAGGTGTATTCATTCAAAATTCATGTGCTTACTCATTCAACACCACTGGATACACTGAGAGATACAGAGGCAAACCAGAAATTATTTGGGGGTATGCAAACAGAAATACAATAGCCAGTATCCCTACCAGCGCACTATTAAATCACCCCTCTAACCTATATTCATTCACTGAACAAATATTATTTGTGTTTCCACTCTGTGCTAGGCATTTCCTAAGTATTATGGAAGATTAAAAAAGAAAGAATAAGATAAGGACCTGCTTTCGGGAGCTTACTAGGAGCAGTAATAATGATAATAGTTATTACAATAATATACGGTAGACAGAGGTAAATGCCTTAAGGAGATAAAAATGAAGTCTTATGGAAGGTCAAAGAGTTCTCATACTCAAATCTTATCTTCTCTAGGAATTATGGCTTTCTCCTTTGAATTTATTATGCACGTTGTTCATTTGGCACTTATCTTTTATTGTCTCATATTAGCAGGTAGACGAGTTCATTTTATGTCTTATGTTTCCAAACAGATTATCATACTTCTCAGTAGTTCACCACCCCCACCAAAATATTCAGCATAGTGCAGTGTACAGCACACTCAGTCTAATATGTACACTGCACTGTCTTCAACTTGTTGGAAGGGACAGAGTTTCCAACTGTCTTCAACTTGTTGGAAGGGATAGAGTTTCTTAAACTTATTGTAGTCTCTGTTACAAGTGTTTGGGTTTTTTTTTTTCCTACCTCCAGCTAAAATGTGACTTCCTTAAGGACAAGAACTATGTATTGTTGGCAATCCCCTAAGGCCCACAGTCTTGAACATAGTGTTCAATACATGTTTGCTGAATGAATAAATGCTTAATGGGAAACTTTCTGAAAGTGTCATAATGATACCTCACATAGATATCGGGATTTACAGTTCTCAAATTGCTCTAAAATACACAACTGCCTTGAATCCTCTCAATAGAACGGTAGAGTTGCCACTGAGATGGTTATTGCACAGATGAAAGAACAATGATCATGGAAGATCAACCACCAAGTCACTAAGAGGCAGAGCGGGGACTTACCAGGTGTGTCAGGCTCCACATCAAATGCTTCTTTCTCCACCAAGGAATCATTGAATCTCACAGTGGGGCTTGACTTGGCCTTTGTCTCCAAGTCATAGCTTAGTGTCATGAGACAATAACTATCAAGTGACAAGTAAAATTCCTTTCTTCTTCAATGTCATACTGTGGAAATATGGTGAACTCAGACCACAAATCCAGGCCAGTTTACCTCGGATGCAACAAATGGCTGATCTTCGTTTGTATTATAGACTGAAGTGGAGGGAGCTATCTCTCTGGAAGAAAATGAGATGTATTCAAGTCATTTGTATTAGGGAAGAAAATCTTAGGTAAGTCTGATGTAAACACCAATTTTCTGCATGACCTGGGCAGTACAACAAGTAGGCAGTCTAGATCGGGAATGAAATCTATGTCAAAATTGGCAGTAGTAGAACTTGGGAAAGGTCAACAAATCGTCTGACACAGGCTTTTAAGATATCCATAGTAATAGGCTCTCCAGGCCTTTAAAAACCACTGGAGAATCCCCAAATTCATCTGGTATAATAAATAAACTCTGGGGTTTTCACCCAAATTCAAAACTCAGCCATTCTAACCCTTCTTCAGCCATCAATAGACATACGCTGCTTTTCAATGCGTTTCTTGTACTCACCTTGTCTCCTGTCAGCAGCCAGAAGTTGGGGTTTTTTTTGTTATCAAGAGTAAGATTCAAACAGCCTGCCCTGCAGCAATCCCATACTGCAGTTCTTTGTCAGAATCCTAATGACGAATTCTAAATACATAAGAGACCATCTCCAGCTGTAAAAGTGAAGAGCTTCCAGGGCCTGTTGAGTTCCCTGACCCCAGACCTATTTTTATATTTTGATCTTGGGGACCGTGCCTCATGACTTTCAGAACCCTCAAGTTATCCCCGGGGTTACAGAGCACTAGCTTAACCAGTCATAGCAAGACTTAAAACAGGGCAGCCAGGATCAAAGTGGCCAACAAACTAGTGCATTAGCCACCAGACCAGCCCCCGAGAGAACTGCAATAAGCTGCATTGTACAAGTGGTTAAATTCTTCTCATGAAAAACCTCAACACTCACGGCTTTCAGTTGCATATATCTGAATAACCATTTTAACAGCTACTCGCATTTTGACATAAAATGTAACAACAGCAGTTTAATGTTCTGACTGAAGTACAGAGACAACAATACAATTTGATTTTGTTTTTTAATTTAAAGCTGCCTAAACCTCAAAGTTCAGTGTTACTTGCTCTACATTTTCCTCAGGCTGATATTAAAGGGACTTTCCTCTATTCAGAGAGCATGGATGAGAGAATGTTTAAAAAAAAAAAAAAAGAAAGAAAAGAAAAGAAAAAAACCCTGAAGAGTCTGGATTAAGAATAACATAGCACAGAGAGGTTTTGTCAATGAACTGACACTTCATTTTTCCTTCCATTGTCTGCCTCCCCGAAGAGCAGGAGACTAGCAACTGGGATGATCACATGAAGGCGGGAAAAACACAACTGTCAGGCTCCAAGGACAAAGCCTGCTCTTAACAATACCATTCCTTAAATCCAGACATTAGAGCCGAAGGAATGAGAAAAAAGCAACTCACTCATGGATAGCTTACTGAGGATACTGCAGAAGATTATGCTAATCTTCACTTCATTGTCCTCTGCAAAATGTTTTCATATCAAGCCTTTTATCTGGGGAAGAAGAGATGCCCAACCTCTCAACTCAGTAACAGCCAGCACTTTCTGTGTGGTTTCTGCGTAATTAACACCAGCACTAGACCTTTTCATTTGTGCTACTCAAGCTTAGGGCCTTTTGAGGGTGTCCACAGGGGAGCAGCCCTCACCCTTTGCCTGTGGCCCGGGAGCCACAGCTTATGCTTAGATCTGCGTGCCATCTGTTAATGGCAGAGGGAGCAAAACTTGAGCTAACTTTTCCTTGACTGCCAGAGAATGCAAGAGACCAAATCCACCAGCATGAGATGAGCAAATTATTATTAAAAAAAAAAAAAAATCTAACAGAGGAATTCAAGCCAACTGCCTCATTTTCCCTATCAGATTTTTGCCTCATTATAACTACTTTTCATTTGGGACTTAAAGGGCATGAAAGCCCTAGCTTAGGTGGTAACTTGAATGGACCAAAGGGACACTTTTCTTTCTTTCTTAGGAATTGAGCTTCTGCATTCGCCTCATTTTATTTCAGAATTGTGTCACAGATGAGCCACATACACACTCCTGACTGACGAGAGGCTATAGGCAGCCCACAGGAACGTAAGATTTAAGGCTGAATTTTCCTCTCTAATCGATTTCCCTGGCTTTTGTTGGCTCAGGTCAAACTCATATGAATATCATAAAAGCCAATCTTCATAATGATGAAAGTCATGTGAAAGTGTTAAAGAGAGGCGATCGCCCGTAATGCTTTTGTTTGTTGTAATTGTTGGTGTGAGAATTTAGTTCTTAGGAGTTTCCCAACAACATGTAAAAGGAAAGGTTAATTGTATATAAAAACACATTTCCCTCAGACGATTCTACTACTCCAGAGGTGAAGAACTATTGCCACACTTTTCACTTGTTCTCTAAAAAACTTTCTTTAGACTTATTAGCCAATTCAGTTTTACCCAGAACCTGGTTTCAAATCTGCTTCAAACTAACTCTATGTTGTTGGGGAGGCAAAACTCAGGTAAGCTCAGCTCCTTCATTAACATAATGAGAACACACAGGATCATAGGTTCCCAAACTGAAGCCAAAAAAATCTCTAGGAATCTCCCCCAGATAGATTACTATTCTGGAATTATTTGGACTTATTTTGTAAACTAATGGAAACCAGACTCATGGGTAAATATACCATACAGAAAAAATAATAAAAAGAAGTCTTGATGGATAAAAATTTGGGAACCACAAAATCAGAGGGTCTTTAGGATTTCTTGAAGTTTTGTAATTATCTGGTTTAATATGCCTTGGCCCAAATGAGGTGATGTTCTTTGAAAGAAGCTCACGATTTGGTTTCCGTGTGTGGGCAGTACATATTGTTTGATAGTGCTGTGATCTCAATGAATTTTTGTGAATTAAGTCAAACTAATGTATTAATAGGGGTCCAATTAATTGGGAAAGGAGTAGTATGAACCAGCACTGTTTGCCTCCAAAACATACTACCAGCTCTGGAAAGCTAAAATGTGCCACTCTCCTTGTTCGTCCTGCTCCACTGAATGAGCCTGCTTTATGACAGCAACTACACACCTTACGGGCATTGGGTAAACATGGATGTGCCCCTTCCTGCAGCGACAGTCCTAAGTCAGTGCCAGAGGGCTTGCTCTTGGTCCATGCAACAGGCTCAGATGTGGGACATACACTGGTGAGGCCAGATGTTCTATATTTTTAAAATGGGCTTTTCCTGTTTTTGGTTTATGCATTACCCTCTATAACAAACAGGGATCACTGTACAATGCCATCATGGCTTCCTATTCCAAGGTTTTGCAGGAAAAGTAGGTGAAAAAAATAAAAAAGGAAAGACTACAAGGAATATACAGAATTCTCTCCCATCAAAATGTTGAAGTTTCTGGTGAACTGCACTTTGAATTTTAGAAATTTACAAATTCCATATGTAATTATAATACATCTTTCTTTGTAATCACATTATAAACAAAAAGAAAATTTTTTAAAAACTCTCAACCCTAGGTAAATTCTAAACATTTTCTCTTGAGATTTTGGTGAAAGATGAAATGATGACAAAGGACTAAACAGAAGTATTTTATTGTATTGCCTACTTTTATGTGAAAAAGTATTCTTTATATATATACATACATTTAATATATATTTTGTACATGTATGTGTATATATCTGACTTTCTATTCTATCTAACCTCATAACTTACCAAAAAATACTGTCATTGTATATATCATATATAAATCAGACTTTCTATAATATCTAACTTTGTAACTTGCTGGTGCTCTAAAGAATTAAAAAGGCATTGTCTAATAATCTAAATTTACTAGAGTGAACATGTAAATCTTCATAGAGTAAGAAAGAACTCTCTAAAGTTAGAATACCCTTTAACAGATAAAGCATCTAAATATAAGAGGCCACCTGCTTCATTCAGCAACCACACAATTTGGTGAAATTAAACTCTTCCAGAGCAGTTAAAATTGCATGGCTGTGAAAACACCATTTACTGACTACCG
This sequence comes from Homo sapiens, assembly GCF_000001405.40. Taxonomy (NCBI): domain Eukaryota; kingdom Metazoa; phylum Chordata; class Mammalia; order Primates; family Hominidae; genus Homo; species Homo sapiens. Next base: position 90,537,535 of record NC_000001.11, read on the forward strand.
AGAGTTTTACTTAGTATAAGCTGTTTAGACCACATGAAATCTGCAATACACTGTTAGATCTTTACAAATTTCATGAAATCTTTTTCGGATATCCAAAAAATCCTGAACTGCTTGAATCTATTGTATCCCAGCACTGGGGACTGACCCATAATCTCTTTCCCAGCCAGGATACCAAATCTGTACCCAACCTTGTCACTGATTCCGGCAGCTGCTTATATTCACCAGAGGGGATGGCAGCAATCCTACTTCTAAAAGAACACCACAAGGGCTTACGTTCACGATGCCTTGAAGAGGGCCTGAAAGGAAGGTCAAAGGTGAAGAAAAGATAAAGTGCCAAACAAGGAGATCAGTAACATAGGGTCTTCTTGATGAAATCCTAACGTCTGATTCTTCAGGATGCAAGCGTCATAACTGCATTTCCAAAAAGTCTGTTTTGTTGGTGTTTGTGTGTATGTGTGTGTGTGTCTGTGGATTTGTGTGTGTGTGCAAGTGTGTGTGCAAAGTGGGTTTTGTTTTGTTTTTAGGTCGGATCACTGTGCATCTAAAAGCCTTATTCAGTTGTCCTTGTCCCAAGTACTTTGTCTTACACAGGCTGCATTACTCTTGTAAACAGAGGCTTCATCAAAGTGAGAGCAGAGAGAGTCACATCAGTGGATTAAGGCCTTCTGCATGATAAAGTAGCTACCTAGGGGGGGATAAACTTAATATGTGAAAGAATGTTATTGAGAGGAATAAAGTACCAAAACTCCGTCATTCTCTTCGTAATGTCCTAATCTAATGCCTGACACTGGGGCCTTAGGCCAGGGTTAGTGTTAATCAATGAAATACCCATCTGTGTTCCCTGTCCTTATCGCTATTTAAAACTAACCTAAACTCAATTATTGTCTCTTAGAGACCAAGATGGGATACTAAGTTGATTGAAAGGAATTGTGTCCCACAAAGAAATCCCAGTGTTAAAATGCAGAGGTGTCAACATCACTAACTAAATTTCAGCCAAAAAGAGATTAAATGCTAATTCTTAGAACATGAAAAAGTTGCATAGATGACATCTGGCTAAAAATCCTTATTTGAAAACAGCTAAATTCTGGTAAACAGAGAAATCAATCCAGAGAACATTGTGCTCTTTAGAATAAAATGGATTGTTTATGTCTCCTGTATCATTTATAGCACAATAAATATACAAGGGGAATATTAAGTTCAAACGAGGATTCAGGTTTTAGGCCAAATAAGAGATAACATTCTTGAATTCATAATTGCTAGAATCATGATGACTATTTGAAGGATATATAATTTATCCCTTAATAACTGAAAGGTGTCATCCAAAACTGTTGTATTCATAATTAAATTTAAAGGTATTCTTTAAAGAGGCAAGGAGCAAAGAAGAGAAGGTGAGAAAAATGGTCTTATTGCTCAGTAATATTCATTATTTCCTTATTAATACTTGGGCAAAAAACGTCACACTTTTCCATTTTTATTCTTTTTGTTTTGTACCCAAGTTTATGGAAGATTGCTTTTAGAACTGAGCAAATTCTCTAAAACCAGGTTTCATGGCATGGTCACATATGTATCAAACATTACTTTGAGAAGTTTTGAAATAAAGCAAAAAGCAATTATTTAAATCTGTAGGAAAGTTAATCTAAAATGGTGTAAATATGTTTTTATTGTGCTTCTTGAGCCTGCATATATGTTTAAATACAAATGGGTTTATATAAATACCATTTCATAAGTTAATAATAAAATTATAATTAAGAAGCTTTTTTCTGATAAATTGTTTAGTGGAAAAGCAACATTCACAATGTAGGCATCTTATAATTATAATTCTAAAAATATATGCATACAAGGAAAAAGACTGAAAGGAATATTTAAAAATAAATTCTGGGATGACTGATTCTTCATGTTTAAAATCTGTAATATACACAATACAGGTTGCATTTTTTTAATGATGGTAAAATACACGTAATATAAAATTTACAATCTTAATGCTTCTTAAGTGTTTAATTCAGTACTGTTTAGTACATTCATATTGTGCAAATAATCTCCAGAACTCTTGCCATCTTGCAAAACTGAAACTCTACATCCATCAAATGCCCTATTTCCTTCTCCACTCAGTCTCTGATAAGGAGAAATCTACATTCTGTCTTTATGAGTTGACTATTCTAGGTATCTTATAGAAGTAGAATTATATATCCCATTTGTCTTTCTGTGTCTGGATTATTTCGCTTAGCATAGTGACCTCAAGGTTCACTCATATTATACAATATATAGAGATTTCCTTTCTTTTGAAGGCTGAATAATATTCCATTGTCTGTATATACCACATTGTTCTCATCCATTGATCTGTCAATGGGCATTTGGGTTGCTTCCACCTTTTGGCTTTTGTGAATAGTGCTGCTATGAACATAGATGTACAAATATCTCCTTGAGATACTGATTTTAATTCTTTTGGGTATATATCCAGAAAGAGAATTGCTGGATTACACAGTAATTCAATTTTTAATTTTTTGAATAATCACCATACTCTTTTCCACAGCAGCTGCATCATCCTACAGTTCTACCAGCAGTACTCAAGGATTCTACTTTCTCCACATCCTTGCCAACTCTTGTTATTTTCTGTTTTTTTGATAGTAGCCACTCTAATGAGTGAAAGGTGGTTTGCATTTCTCTAATGATTAGTGACATTGAGCATCTTTTCACGTGCTTGTTGGTCACTTGTATAATTTCTTTGGAAAATTCTCTCTTTAAGTCCTTTGACAATTTTTTAAAAATTTTATTGATACAAATAGATGTATATATTTTTCAGGCACATGTGATAACTTAATACATTCATATAATTTGTAAAGCTCAAACAAGTGTAACTGGGATATTCACCACCTCAAAAAAATGCTACATCAAATGTAGCATCAAATGTGGCATCAAATGCCACCTCAAAAAAATACCTACAAAAAAGAAATGCTCATCCCTTGTTAGAATACTAGCCCTACTGATACTAATTTAATACTAATTACTAATACCAATTAAAACAGACATGATTATAGCACAAGAATACACTGAAAAGTCTATGGAACAGAATAGATGGCTCGGAAATTATATCATATGAATATGCAATATATGACGAAGGAGAAAGCCTAAGTCAGTAGAGGAGAGAAATACTGACTCAGTCAATACTGCTATACCCAATAGGAAAAGAAGCCACTTTATCTTCTCCTAATATCTTATGTTATCTTATCTTAATGTTAAGATAATATCATTATCTTATAACGGAACATAAATTCTAGATGAGTTTTAAAAGTTAGGTTATTTAAAAAAATTATCTAGCAGAATAGAAAGATAGTTTCCAGAGGCTGAGAAGGGCCAGTCTAGGGACTGGGGATTAGGTGGGGATATTTAATGAATACCAAAAAAATAGAAAGAATGAATAAGACCTAGTATTTGATAGCACAATAGGGTGACTATAGTCAATAATAATTTAATTGTACATTTTAAAATAACTGAAAAAGTACAACTGGATTATTTAAAGCATAAAAGATGAATGCTTCAGGGGAGGGATATCCAATTTTCCATAATGTGATTACTATGCATTGCATGCCTGTATCAAAACATCTCATGTACCCCATAATACATACACTTACTATGTACCCATAAAACTTAAAAATAAAATTAAGAAAAATAATCTGGCCAGGCACGGTGGCTCATACCTGTAATCCCAGCACTTTGGGAGGCCGAGGTGGGTGGATCACCCGAGGTCAAGAGTTCGAGACCTGCAGGGCCAACATGGTGAAACCCGTCTCTACTAAAAATACAAATATTAGCTGGGCGTAGTGGCAGGTGCCTGTAGTCTCAGCTACTCGGGAGGCTGAGGCAGGGAGAATCACTTAAACCTGAGAGCTGGAGGTGAGCTGAGATCATGCCATTGCACTCCAGCCTGGGAGACAGAGCGAGACTCCTTCTCAAAAAAAAAAATTAATCTATCAAGAGCTAGAAGAAAATACATAGTATAAAACACCGAAATTATAGAAAGAGAACATTCTAAGCTAAAACAGTGAGATAAGTCACACAATAAAAGCTGTTTGATTGAAATTACAAGTAAACTGTCTGATTTAACTACAAATACAAAGTATTTGAAAGAATTAAAATTGAAAGGTAAAGAGCAAACTAGGAAAAATATTTATAGTAAGTATTATACAAAAAGGGCTAATATCCTATTCATCGAGGTGAAAGAACTATAACTTTCTATAGAACACAAGTCAGTGAGATCATTTTTCATATCACAGTAATCACCACCACCTTGAGAAGCTACGGAAGATGTCGCTAGGATATTTCTAAGTTAAAGATGTAGAAGACAAAGGGGTTAAGTACGGAGAGCAAACATTTTGGGCACAGCCAGGAGAATTTGTGAATTGGCACAATTTACTTTCACCCCAAACTCACCCATTCTGTACAACACAGGGGACCAGAAAATGCTGCTAATGCTAATGCATATTTTCATGATATAAAGTCAACATGACATGGCCAGATTTGCACATTTCCAGATAATGATTAATTCTTCCAGCATGTGCAAACTCTTGCTTCCAAATACTTACAAAATGAAGCTTCTAATCTTTAATTTAGGGGTGTGAGTATAGTGGTTTTGATGTTTGGCATTCAACAATTCACTTGTTGTGTTAAAAAAAATTACAAGTCATATTAAATAATAACAGAACAAAACAAAACATTATTTCAACCATTATTCCCCAAATCTAGCAATAAGAAAACAGCAAGGGGAATGCATAAGTAATTCTTAAATAAGAATTTCATATGGAAAGTCTTGAAAACTCAAAGAATCTAAGGTGCATTATTAATTTTTTCAGTTCAAATTTTACTTAGCGATCTTGCTAGTCAAGGCCCAAATTCATGTAATTAAGTATCAGCACCTTGTGCAGACACAGAGTAATTTTTAAAAGCTTTGACTTTGCATGATCTCATAGACTGGTTTTATCAGACAATGGTTCTCTAGGTTAGATACTAAATATTAATAGATCATATATTTGTTTTCAACAGTTCCAAAACATTTATCCTCAGTTATCGACTTTTAACTTTGAATAATGGTAACTAGTATTTGACTACTTAGTGCAGCAGCTGGCTGATGGAGTAACTTTTTACAGTTTTTCAGAGGGAGATGGAGTAAGAAGAGAAAGAGAGTTAAAAGACACTTGGAAATTTTGCCTAACAGCTTTGGTCATAAAGTTTTAGGAAGTTCAACCAAGTCTTCTCAACCCCCTTCTCCAAATAAAAATTTCTTGTTCATAGCCACTCAAATGGTCAAACACTCAGAAAGCCAAGAAGAATAAGTAGGAAACACATTTCAATGTGCTGATGCTAATATACAAAATTTTAACTTCAATCATCTTACCATAATTCCAGAGAACAGTACATAATAGTGTGATTCTATTTACATATAACAAATAGGGAAATGGCCTTTCTAAAACCCAGTTATTCAAGCACAGCTAATATGAGGGCAGAGTACCTTATGTCAGCGTCAGAGAGGGAAATGGTTCTGAAGTCAAGAGCATCTGAATCAGCCTCCAAATGTCAGATTGAAAAAATGAAAGAAAACGATTGTTATCTTTCAGGGACTGAAGTGGGAGCTGAAGTGCTCTCCCTCAATTAGGCAAAGTGTGGTACAGCTGATTAACCTGAATGTTACCTTGGTAACCCAAGAATTACACTGTAAATGAAATATGTTCAATGATGGGTACCTTTAATCAGCCAAGAGCCACATGAGCATTTTGAGCAAGAAAGTCATAAATCTTAGGTTTCTAGCACTTTAATCATTCATGAAATAACAGTCTTTTTTGACAAAAGGCAAGCATGGCCACTAGTTATTAAATAAATAGTAACAGAACATGGGTTTTAGTGTAACCATGAAACACCTAAGGCTTTGACTCCGGGCTTGATAATTGTAAAACAGTGCCTATGGAATAGAGGTATTAACATATTGACTGACATATATAAAGCAGAGATTACTAAAAATACCTTGTGATTTTTTCAGTGGGGCCTAGTTTACAAAAGGCTATGTTACTACAATATGTCAAAAAAAGTACTGCTTTCCTTACTGCTTTCCTTTTTTAAAATCCTGCATATGAAGGAATAGAAAATACTGATATTTTTTGCATTAACATTCTTTTTCTTTATATTATCCATCCCTTAAAGAGGTTCCATAGAACAGATAAAGTATAAATCCTGCTGTGTGTACATGTGTTACAGTTTTTCCTCTATAACCAAGCCAGTATAGTATAAAAATAATAGTAATAATTAGGTCCTGGGCCCCATTCCTTTTGTGCACTTCTATTGAATTCTGAAAGCCTCTCTTGGCCTTCCAGGGTGCTGGGAGCACAGATAAACATTTGAAAACTAAATGAAGCTTTTAAAGTGCTGAAAACTGCCTCCAGGACATGCTTGTGACCATCATCTTGAACTTGAGTCTAAAGAGTAAAGTCCTAGGGCCATACTTAGAGCTTTAAAGACACATTTTAAAATTGATGGTGAGTCTTTTAAAACCTGTGATCAGGTGTGGGGGAAGAGGTCAGTCATTCATTCCTCTTTGTGGCTATGTCTTTGCTAAGGGACACTTCTTCCAAAGATCTCATTGCCTTTAGTTCTGCTAGATGGAGAAAGATATGCAGACAGACAGACAGACGCAGAGACTTATACCAGTTCTCTCCTCCCTTTAGAATTTTTATCTTATTCATTTAACTCTGAATCCCACATCACCCTAGCAAAGTTTTTCTCAAAGGGTATTCTAGAAAATACTCTGTGAGACATTTACAGGATATCTTCATCAAAAGGGTTCAGGGCCAAATGAAATACTGGGTTAAACAAAATTTAACATGTTTCTTTACTAAGGACTTTGTGGATCCTTTTGTGTTAAAATTCATTAGCCTTCTTCCACACACTGGGTATACGGGGGCAGGGAATAAAACAGCCATGGTCCCTGTCACCAGGGAGGAGCATTGCAGACAGCCCACCGGATGTGTAAGTTAAAATGTCATCTCGCGTTTCATTTGGCACTTTGTTTTCCAAGGTCCTTTGATATCCTTTGCACAATAGCTGTGGGAGGTAGTGGCTATTAATATCTCCAGTTACATACACAAGTTAACTTATGTTTTTTATCTTGATTAATGCTATCACCTTTTCAGGAATACAGGCTTGAAAACTGACAATCCTAGTCTCTCTCTCTCACCCTCGAAGCCAGTTGTTATCAAATTCTCATAATCTTTGTGCCACATCCATACTTATGCCCGAGTCCTAATTTATACTCTTAATTCTTCTCATTTAAACCAGTAATATCACCTCTCAATTAGTCCCTCTTTTGCAAAAACCCCACATCCTCCAAACACACACACGTACACTTCTGCCCTGGTATATAGCAATACAAGCTATCCCACACATTGCTCCCAGAGTTTTCTTAGCTGCTTCTTCCTTTGGTATGCAAAGACCTCCATGATTTGACTCCAAAATTAATGTATACAAACTTATTTCACAACAGTCTTCTCTTCCCCTCCCCTGGCTTTTACCCACTAAGTTCCAGCAACATCAGTCTACTTAAGTGTAAGCTTGCCAGGAAGAGCTTTTGTCCCACTCATGCCAAATAAAATGCCATCCGTTTTTCCAGTTTAAATCTCACAGCCTCATGAAGTCTCCTCTGCCTCTCATATTCAGAACTGCCTTTTGTTCCTGTGTTCCTGTAGCACTTCATTTGTGTTTCTAGCACAGTACTTGTCACAGTCCACCCTGTATTCAAAGCTTTTTATGTTTTTGTCAGTCTGACCTCCTACCTTGTGAGACTCTGAAAAAGAGAGTGAACCTTTTTATATCACCACCTGATACCGGACACATAGTAGGCACTCATTATATATTTGTTGAAAGGGCTTGAAACAAATTAGATGAGAATGACTTTGATTCCATAGCAGGGTATAAGCAATCATCATTATGAAAACAGCTCTGGTCAATAGGCTGACCAGAGGTGCCTAACTAGACATATACAGATAAATTCAAGGGAATAGTAAGACATTTCAGGTGCGCTCAACAAAATAAAACCACTTCTTAAAGAGGTAATGTGCCAAATTTCAGCTGGAATTGATGTTTTTAGTGACCAGGTATTCCTCAGAAAACATTGAATGGAAGTAATATATTGGCAGCCAATTGAAACATAATCGGTTTTTAACCACTTACAATGAAATATTGCATTACAGGGTCATTGTTTCTGTTTTAATCACCTCTGAGTTCAGATAGTCCATATACCCCTTCCCTTCTGAAAGATTCTACACATACATTGAGGCAGAGGTGCTAATTTTCCCTAATATTCACTCTCGTCTTCTTTTTGTTAATGAAAGTTCTCTCTGGAGTTTTAGCTAGGCATATAATTGCCCAGCTAGGGACTATATTTTCCAGTATTTGAATAAAACACCTGTGACCTTGGTGTTTATTCTGGCCAATAAGATTTAAGCAAAAGTGATTTGTACAACTTCCAGGTCATGCCCTTGATGGAAACTGCTTACTGTCCATGTCTTCTTTTCCACTCCTTGTGGGATGAAACCCTGGTATGACAGCAGCCATTGAGATGAGGTCAACACCTTTGAGGACAGAGACACAGCATGATAGAGAGGATCCAAACCTCTGGATCAGCTCATGGAACAAAGCTACCCTACTGCCCTGAGACTAGCTCAGACTTTCACATAAGAGGGAAATGATTTTACTATTTTGTTTAAGCATGAATTGTTTCAGTTGCTAATAAAGCAGCCTAACCAACATCTGACCTAAAAAATGCTGTTTTATATGTCCATAGCACCTTAAAAACTTTACCCCCTCAAAAGTCACATCTGGCACCTGGAAGTGTATGGCATGAACACACTAATATAAGTTTATTTATCAGATTATTAGTCCATTTTCCCCAAAAAAAGAAAACAGAGCCCAAGAGAAAGGAGCACAGACAGTTACATTTTGGTTTGAGAAAAGCCATAGAATGAGGTTATAGTGTAGGTCTCTCTGTATGACACTATTCCCTCAAAGAAAGACATGGAAGAAAAGAAAGAAGCAGCAGGGATGGAAAAGTTGGAGGGAAAGTGACCTATTCCAGAGGTTTATCAAACAGATGACCATGTCGTTGTTCATTATACTGAGAGCTCCTTGAGGGAAGTGGCACTTCTTTTTCCCTAAATCTTATGATACATTAAAGGCAAATGATAAATGTTTTTCAAATAGAATAAATAAATGAATAACCAACTGACAGTAACTGATCAGTTTTCTACTTAAATACCTAATTGCCTATTAATCACTCGTCCATCATAATTATTCTAATAGGAGTTTAAAAAAACTATTAAACAATTTTGAATTTGCTACAACTGAGTAGCAATGAAATCCTCAAGAGTCTACCTGACAGAGTGATATCAGGAAGCGACAGGCAGCAGCCAGAAAGGCAGGTAGCAGATGCCAAAATTAGGAGGCACTTTACACTCATCCAGATGAAGAACTGTAAAAGGAGTGATGGATTGCTGCACAAAGAGAAACCTTTAACTAGGTTTTGCTCAGCGTGGCATCAAGTAAGTACTATTGGCTGCATTCAGCAAAGTAGAAGTGTCTGTATGCTGAGATGTCAGCTTGTAAAAGTGTCAGTCTCCAAAATAAATCGAGTAGCAAATGAAAATATGTAAATAACTATACTTGATGCTAAAAACACCGAGTAAGAAAAAAGCCATTTTAAAGGAATTTTCCTTGTTAACCACACAGCAAGTTGGGCTTAGAAGGAGGGTTTTCTAGATTAGCACATGAAGTTTTCTGGTTTAATATAAAGTAGATGGTGGTTTCAGGGGCTGGTGGAAAGGGCACTGATAGGAGAGGCCAAAATCTGGGGCTTTGCCTTAACTCTTTTTTAATGACACTACCTGTGTCAAGAATTTTTATCCCTCTCACTTTGTTCCATCCTCATAAAATGGAGACTGAGAACTTACTTCTTTCCTTTGCTGCACCTCATCTGCTCACAAAGTTTAAAAATCTGATAATGACACCACAATTATATGCTCAAATTTGGGGGTGGGGGTGGTAGGGCCACACTGTTACCCAGAGAATAAAGTATGTGTCTTCAGGGAAGTTAGGCAGGATCCATCACCCCACAAACACAACCAATCATCTGCTCAATGGTGCTAACATGAATCAAAACCTTACCTTGTGTGGCATAAAGGGATACAGCACAGGCCTGAGGCAGCTGCATGATGGAACAAATGAGACCATCAGCCTTAAGATCAAGAGATTCAGTTCAAATCCTAGTTTAACCCTTCATTAAATACATGACTTCAGTAAGTCCCAGTTTCCTCATCTGTAAAATGGGGCTGGGGCTGGGGCTGGGGCTGGATTATCCATAGGTCAGCTGAAATAAATAAATGATAGAAACAGGTTGTCTACCACACAAATAAAAACATGTTTTTTCCAAGTACGAGTAGAAACACAGCCTTGTCAATCAAAACAGAAATCCTGCTTCTCTGCAGGTGGATGAGAAGAGAGATAATCTTATCTTCATTGCATAATCAGAAGAGCTTGTGCCTCTCAACATCTGGAATCCTGCGCCCAAAGTTGGAGCTCCTGGGGGCCCTCCATAATCAACAGAAAGACTTAATAAATTTCTATTTATAAGTGAATTTTATTACATTGGGCCCCAACTTTTGCCCACATTTCTATCCAGTTGATTCCCTCAGCTCTGAAATACTTCAGAAATTGTGTGGCTGCCATATTTTAAAGGGTGAGGATAGGGGATCAAGAATTGAAAATGTTTATCTCCCATCTTCACTTTCTCACCCTCCTCAATGATTCACAATTGCTACAAGTTCTCCAAGTGCCTACATTACATAAGGCCAACTGAAATGCCCACTTTATGATATTAACTCATGAGGATATTTCCCCCTTAGGTGATCTGAATCCTGATTTTTCATCTGCATTTGAAAGAAGCATTTAGGATCAAATTCATTATATGGCTATTTCTGAAAGACATACCTATATTTACATCCGCCTTCTTACTAAAAGACATATACTTCCACAAAATTATCACCTCCAGTGATCTGATCTAATTCTGTCAAATGGCTTCTGTTATAAAGTTTTCCCTTAAGGATCCCTTAATTATGACTTCACTCTCTTCCTTGGGCATTTTATTAAACTACTAATCCAAATGATTATAATTAGGAAGTTCCCTATGTTGGAGGAGTTGAGTTGGTTACAAGGCCACCTGTTGCATCTGAAGTAATTACTTAATGGTGAATAATTCGGCGGGCTCAGGCCAAGAGTTTCCTCAGGATCATTCCTAATTTTCTACTAGATTAATGTCTTCTTTCCTACACATATAGATTTTCTGTCATGTAAATGTTCTTCCACTAGTACTGCCTCTATCTTGCTATCACTGAGCAATTCTCTACAGGTAACAAGAGTCCAATGTATTATGCATGTCCTATTGCTCTAATAAATAAAAGGATTAGCTTGTTTACAGCTGCCAGTGAGGTCTGTTAATTTGGCATTTCATCTGGCTATGTTTGACTGCAGAGACTAAAATGAAGCCTGCCTTCATTTTTCATCTCTCCAGAAACATAAAATGCACAGGCTAATTGCTCAACTATCCAACTTTGGTGCTTGAAGTGAAAAATATGAATCTATATCTTTACTTTTTCTTCCCAGTCCTTTTCAATATCATTGTTGGGTTTTTTCAAGGCTGAACAATCTCTTGGTTAGCTACATGATTATTTATTCTTGTGATTCTCACAACTTGCAGCTAAATACTTTACTTAGGAAAAAATCAGATAAAATATACATTCCCTAAATTATACTTTCAGAAACAAAGCCTTGATTATAATATTCACAACCTTAACAGCTTCCTGGAAGGGGAAAACTCCTTTCACTGGGCCGTCTAAAAAGCAGAGACTGCTTAAGCTGATTTCAAAATATACTTCATGAAACTTGGTAATATTATGATACTGAAACTTCCAGAAAATTTCCTGTTGCAATATAATTCAAACATATACTTTATTATTGTATATTCTAATTTCTCAAATAATTTCCTTTAATTTTTTTCTTCATCTGTTGTTTTCTTTCTTTACTCCTTTAAAAATCTATTTTGGACTTTCTTATTCTTTTCCTCATATAATGCCTTCTTAACTCTTCTCCCATAAGATCTTTTCAGAACCTCTAGAGGACACCCAAAACAGGAAAAAAGAACAAGCTACCACCTGCAACAAAAATGAATGACTTTTCAAGTCACTTTCAACCAAGTATCAATTATTCTTTGATTCAATTTATGTTCCTAGACCTTGAACTAGGGCTGTAGCCAGTGGGAACAGAAGAGATGAAACAAATTTGTTAAAATTAAATTCACCAATAGAAAACTAAAAATAACCCCAAATGAGATACTTATGACACAGAGAATTATGATCACATTGCCTTCATGTCTCATATGCCTATAGTATTTTCTGAAAGGCACAGCCACCAACAAAGGCCAGCATTTATACTCCTTTGAACTGTTTTGGATCTGGCATGAATCTTGCAAAGCTTGGTTTCCTAAAATATTTAAACAAAAAAGTAGAAAATAAGTCTTATGTCATTTCTACAAGCTACCTAACACTTTGAACATTGCAAACAAGTAAGGTGCAAGAGAAAAGAAGTGTCCAGTTGCTCATATCTGACACAAGCTAAAAGAGTAAATATTTATTGACTGCTCATTATGCAGCAGACATAAGGCCAAGGGCTCCCTTTATCCTCAAAACAACCCTGTCAGATGAATACTGCTTTATCCTTATTTTACAAAAGGGGAAACTGAGACTTGGAGAAACTAGGCAATTTGCTACAGACCAAACCATAACAGAAGTTGAGCCTGAATCTAAACCCATGCCTGTCCATGCCAGAACCCAAGTGCTTACCCATGCTTAAAGCCAGAAGACTAAGGTTTGAAGCTAATAGCCAAGGTATTTATTATGATTCTATTCTAATAGATTAGTTGTCAGGCAATATTAATCACACTAATAGGCCCCCAATCTTTCAGCCTACATTGGAACCCAGTGGATATTCAATAAATTAGAGCATAATGACGATGCCTTCCTCTTACAATTGCCAAAGCAAGTCCAGCCCAGCTGCCAGGAATATTACACCATCAAATAAATCCAACGCCAAACACGATTCTTATGTTTTGCCAGCCAGGTGGCCCTGTACATATGGCAGCCCTGCTCCCTAGCAGGAGAAACATAGGGGGAAACAACCTGAATGATGAAAAACAGCAGGCATTTAAATACTTCCACTCAGACAGCAGGTAGCTTGTTACCTGAAATGCCCGGGATCCATCATTTGGCAACGAGAGCATGAATACCAGACGCTGATTTCAGGAACACAGCAGGAGAATACCACTGTGAACAAATTCATGATGGAAAGAGATGTTTTCTGTTTCAGATCTGGGTTATCTAAAGTATGCCATAGCCCTTCCCATATTATACCCTCCTCAGAACTTTTCTCAAGAAATCTGAACAGGTCCAGATCCGTCTCTCTCTGCTGCCACTTTGGAGAGCTGCAACACAGCAGGGTCTAACCGAGTCTAGCAAGCAACAGAGGCACTTAATGCATTGACCTTATGTGGGGCTATTGGAAACCTCTGACTCAGCACACCAGCTCCCCAAGGGACGGAAGGAGGCATTGCTAGGTGCGACAATCTACCTGCACAGCAAGATATTTTCTTAGCAAGGGGTTTTATCCGATGACTTGTGGCTAAGAAACACCATAACTCAGTTGTTTATTCTATTCCCTTCTCTTCTTCCCCGCCTTATTCTTTTGTCCCATCCTCCTGCCTTCTTGCAAACAGCAGTGGCCTAATCAATAAAGTTCTCTTAGTTTTACAAGGAAATTTGACAGGATTATTAGAAACCACTAAGACCCCAGACAACACTGTCAATTCAGGCTCCACTTTTGAGGTTTTTCAGAAACATCATTTGCAGATTACTCACTTGAATAGAGGCTAGTTGAGGACTACGAGTTGAGATGATCTGATCTATACCAGAGTTACCAAAAGGCATCAAACAGCAATAAATTGGTAGACTAAAACAAGATGGCTCTTGCCAACTGTCTATGTTTTTCTCACGTAGAGGTAAATGCAACTCTGATTTGCAATCCATGCTGAGGAATGTTGTTGTTTCTTTGAAGGAAGGAGGGGTGTTGTTTTTGTAAAAGGTGTTTATGTCTGGTTGATTTGATTGCAACGAGCAGAACCTCACTCAAACTGACTCAAGAAAATGTTAGGCAAGTGACAATTAAGTTAATGCAAAGATACATTGGAGTAATAAAAAAAAGATAGTGACATTAAAGGAATTAGATAACTGAAACAGGATTCAGCAATTCTACCTTCCGAGTCCTCTGGGAAACAATGCATCTCTCCATCTCTCTTAGGGTCTTTGTGTTCTGTCTATGATTCATGCTGGCTGCTGGTTCCTCCCCCGTCTCATCTATCTGCAGCTTCTTTGGCTTTCCTTAGCCTGCATATGGTCCATCGTGGTCTTTCTCCACTCCAAGACATTTCTTAGTATAACCTGTCCTGTCCCACCTCCTCAATTTCACCTCCTCAACTCAACCTGTTCAATTTCCCAGAAGAATCCAACTGACCCAGTTCATCTTCTCAGACCTGGTTCCAAGTCTCTCCAACGATCTTCTCCTGATGTCAGGCTGAAATAAATCTGTCTCCACAGAAAAAGATGCAAAATAATTATTAGCCAGACACTTACTTGGGAGGTGAGGGCACTGGAAAAGCAAGGGGGCCTTATGTGCATTTCATTGCCACTGTAAATATATTTTTTTATTTATATGATTTTATACTCCTAGCTGATCTCTTAAGTTGTTAAATTACCTACAGGATAAATTCAGAATTAGGTTACATTATTGACCCCAATCTACAACTTGGGACAAATAACTTTAGTAAGCCTATCTGTAAAATGGGAGTATGTTACTTGGCTGCCTCTTTCTCTTTCATGAAATAGACAACAGATGCAATGAATCAGCCCTTGGATAATCTCAGGTGAGAGTCTCTTTGTAGACAGGAGGAATTGCTGTTTCCCCATATCACTGACGTGCGGATTTCCTGGGATCACAGCTGCTGTTCACCTCCTCTAAGACCACTGGCAAAGCTTCACATCCAGGTATATACATACTGAAAATCTACTTCCTGACAGTTTCCTAGAATGGGCTCCCAAGATAAGAGATTAGCATGGAAAATGATATGAGCCCCAAATCTAGCTTCCCATTTTCCTAACAACTCCTCCTTTTGCCTGCGTAGTTTTGATGCAGACAATCATTTGGAAAAACTATGCACAGGGGATTTTGAAATTTCTGAGTTCAAATGAATTAGACATACATAATTAGAACATTAGGTAGTATTTTCCAGGAGTATAAACTGTACTTGAATCTCAGTGACAAGCTCATGAAGATAAAACTTAAACCTACCCAGTCCCATGAATATTGGTATCTTGGGCTAAGGAAAGTGCATGCTGATGAACTGTTAATGCTAAATGATGATAAAGATAATAACACCTCTCACTGATTTAGAACTATATCCCATTCAACATTCTTTCAGGACCATTAACACATAGATTCTCTGAAAAGAAAGAGACATGAACAGTTGGTGCTCCAAGATAAGCTTGTATTTTTTTATGTACTCCTCTACCATCTTCCTAAATATTGCAGACTTTATATAGTCGTGTGTTCTGTAAAGGAAAAGTTTATTGATGGAGAACATTAATTTAAAATATATGTTGCTACTCAGTCTAATTGTTGTCCTTATAGAAAGCCAGTCTCTCACACATAGGATAAAAATAAAGGGATGGAGGAAGATCTACCAAGCAAATGGAAAACAAAAAAAGGCAGGGGTTGCAATCCTAGTCACTGATAAAACAGACTTTAAACCAACAAAGATCCAAAGAGACAAAGAAGGCCATTACATAATGGTAAAGGGATCAATTCAACAAGAAGAGCTAACTATCCTTAATCTATATGCACCCAATACAGGGGCACCCAGATTCATAAAGCAAGTCCTTAGAGACCTACAAAGAGACTTAGACTCCCACACAATAATAAAGGGAGACTTTGACACCCCACTGTCAACATTAGACAGATCAACAAGACAGAAAGTTAAGAAGGATATCCAGGAATTGAATGCATCTCTGCACCAAGTGGACCTAATAGACATATACAGAACTCTCCACCCCAAATCAACAGAATATACATTCTTCTCAGCACCACATCACACTTATTCCAAAATTGACCACATAGTTGGAAGTAAAGCAATCCTCAGCAAATGTAAAAAAATAGAAATTATAACAAACTGTCTCTCAGACCACAGCACAATCGAACTAGAACTCAGGATTAAGGAACTCACTCAAAACTGCTCAACTACATGGAAACTGAACAACCTGCTCCTGAACGACTACTGGGTACATAACAAAATGAAGGCAGAAATAAAGATGTTCTTTGAAACCAATGAGAACAAAGACACAACATACCAGAATCTCTGGGACACATTTAAAGCAGTGTGTAGGGGGAAATTTATAGCACTAAATGCCCACAAGAGAAAGCAGGAAAGATCTAAAATTGACACCCTAACATCACAGTTAAAAGAACTAGAGAAGCAAGAGCAAACACATTCAAAAGCTAGCAGAAGGCAAGAAATAACTAAGATCAGAGCAGAAATGAAGGAAATAGAGACACAAAAAACCCTTCAAAAAATCAATGAATCCAGGAGCTGGTTTTTTGAGAGGATCAACAAAATTGATAGACCACTAGCAAGAGTAATAAAGAAGAAAAGAGAGAAGAATCAAATAGACACAACAGAAAATGGTAAAGGGGATATCACCACCGATCCCACAGAAATACAAACTACCATCAGAGAATACTTAAACACCTCTATGCAAATAAACTAGAAAATCTAGAAGAAATGGATAAATTCCTCGACACAAACACCCTCCCGACTAAACCAGGAAGAACTTGAATCCCTGAATAGACCAATAACAGGCTCTGAAATTGAGGCAATAATTAATAGCCTACCAACCAAAAAAAGTCCAGGACCAGACGGATTCACAGCCAAATTCTACCAGAGGTACAAGGAGGAGCTGGTACCATTACTTCTGAAACTATTCCAATCAACAGAAAAAGAGAAAATCCTCCCTAACTCATTTTATGAGGACAGCATCATCCTGATACCAAAGCCTGGCAGAGACACAACAAAAAAAGAGAATTTTAGACCAATATCCCTGACGAACATTGATGCAAAAATCATCAGTAAAATACTGGCAAACCGAATCCAGCAGCACATCAAAAGCTTATCCACCATGATCAAGTGGGCTTCATCCCTGGGATGCAAGGCTGCTTCAACATACGCAAATCAATAAACGTAATCCAGCATATAAACAGAACCAAAGACAAAAACCACATGATTATCTCAACATATGCAGAAAAGGCCTTTGACAAAATTCAACAGCCCTTCGCTTGTTTTTCTCAGGTTTGTCAAAGATCAGATAGTTGTAGATATGCGGCGTTATTTCTGAGGGCTCCGTTCTGTTCCATTGATCTATATCTCTGTTTTGGTACCAGTATCATGCTGTTTTGGTTACTGTAGCCTTGCAGTATAGTTTGAAGTCAGGTAATGTGATGCCTCCAGCTTTGTTCTTTTTGCTTAGGATTGACTTGGCAATGCGGGCTCTTTTTTGGTTCCATATGAAATTTAAAGTAGTTTTTTCCAATTCTGTGAAGAAAGTCATTGGTAGCTTGATGGGGATGGCATTGAATCTATAAATTACCTTGAGCGGTATGGCCATTTTCACGATATTGATTCTTCCTACCCATGAGCATGGAATGTTCTTCCATTTCTTTGTATCCTCTTTTATTTCATTGAGCAGTGGTTTGTAGTTCTCCTTGAAGAGGTCCTTCACGTCCCTTGTAAGTTGGATTCCTAAGTATTTTATTCTCTTTGAAGCAATTGTGAATGGGAGTTCACTCATGATTTGGCTCTCTGTTTGTCTGTTATTGGTGTATAAGAATGCTTGTGATTTTTGTACATTGATTTTGTATCCTGAGACTTTGCTGAAGTTGCTTATCAGCTTAAGGAGATTTTGGGCTGAGACAATGGGGTTTTCTAGATATACAATCATGTCGTTTGCAAACAGGGACAATTTGACTTCTTCTTTTCCTAACTGAATACCCTTTATTTCCTTCTCCTGCCTAATTGCCCTGGCCAGAACTTCCAACACTATGTTGAATAGGAGTGGTGAGAGAGGGCATCCCTGTCTTGTGCCAGTTTTCAAAGGGAATGCTTCCAGTTTTTGCCCATTCACTATGATATTGCCTGTGGGTTTGTCATAGATAGCTCTTATTATTTTGAGATACGTCCCATCAATACCTAATTTATTGAGAGTTTTTAGCATGAAGTGTTGTTGAATTTTGTCAAAGGCCTTTTCTGCATCTATTGAGATAATCATGGGGAAAGGATTCCCTATTTAATAAATGGTGCTGAGAAAACTGGCTAGCCATATGTAGAAAGCTGAAACTGGATCCCTTCCTTACACCTTATACAAAAATTAATTCAAGATGGATTAAACACTTACATGTTAGACCTAAAACCATAAAAACTCTAGAAGAAAACCTAGGCAATACCATTCAGGACATAGGCATGGGCAAGGACTTCATGTCTAAAACACCAAAAGCAATGGCAACAAAAGCCAAAATTGACAAATGGGATCTAATTAAACTAAAGAGCTTCTGCACAGCAAAAGAAACTACCATCAGAGTGAACAGGAAACATACAGAATGGGAGAAAATTTTTGCAATCTACTCATCTGACAAAGGGCTAATATCCAGAATCTACAAAGAACTCAAATTTGCAAGAAAAAAACAAACAACCCCATCAAAAAGTGGGTGAAGGATATGAACAGACACTTCTCAAAAGAAGACATTTATGTAGCCAAAAGACACATGAAAAAATGCTCATCATCACTGGCCATCAGAGAAACGCAAATCAAAACCACAATGAGATACCATCTCACACGAGTTAGAATGGTGATCATTAAAAAGTCAACAACAGGTGCTGGAGAGGATGTGGAGAAATAGGAACACTTTTACACTGTTGGTGGGACTGTAAACTAGTTCAACCATTGTGGGAGACAGTGTGGCGATTCCTCAAGGATCTAGAACTAGAAATACCATTTGACCCAGCCATCCCATTACTGGGTCTATACCCAAAGGGTTATAAATCATGCTGCTATAAAGACACATGCACACGTATGTTTATTGCGGCACTATTCACAATAGCAAAGACTTGGAACCAACCCAAATGTCCATCAATGATAGACTGGATTAAGAAAATGTGGCACATATACACCATGGAATACTATGCAACCATAAAAAAGGATGAGTTCATGTCCTTTGCAGGGACATGGATGAAGCTGGAAACCATCATTCTCAGCAAAGTATTGCAAGGACAAAAAACCAAATGCCGCGTGTTCTCACTCATAGGTGGGAATTGAACAATGAGAACACATGGACACAGTAAGGGGAACATAAAGGGGAACATCACACACCGGGACCTGTCGTGGGGTGAGGGGAGGGGGGAGGGATAGCATTAGGAGATATACCTGATGTAAATGACAAGTTAATGGATGCAGCACACCAACATGGCACATGTATACATATGTAACAAACCTGCAGTTGTGCACATGTACCCTAAAACTTAAAGTATAACAAAAAAAAAAAAAGAAAGCCAGTCTCCATTATTCAAGCTCAAACCACTTTTTCTTCTATAACAAAGGGCAAGGTGAAGGCTGATAAGGGGTTGTTTGAAATCATACAGGAAGAGTATTTCAGAATTTAAAATACTGAAATACAAATCATTATTTTCAGGACCAGAGATTAGGAGAAAGCTTGAAGTTAGTAAATAAAAAAATAATAGATCAGCAAGGAAGGATTTATTGAGTTTACGTAAATGAGATGAGCTACATGAAAATTACAAAAGAGAGGAAAAGTGTGTGATCTCAAAGAACAGGTTTTCCTTATCACATTAAAACACCCTAATCAGTAAGCTATAATTTCTTTATGCATGCACATGTGCACACACATATAATCATAGAGACTCAGGATAAGTACCCAAAGTTACTGTTTTTATTTTCAGTCCATAAATTCACCTACCTGAAGTGAAAAGTTGAAAATTTTGGACAAAGGTAATCCAAAGGTAACCACGTAGCTTTCCTCATTGACAAAAGATTTGTAAATATTTTTCTAGGTCACATTTGCAACCCCAGAGCCTAACAGTCTCTGGCACAGTGCCAAATAGCTGTACTACAAGAAACGTAATGAAGAAATATGGTGACGGAAGGAGGGGCGATAGAGAGAGATAAGGAAATGAAAGGAGGAGAGGAAAGAAGGAAGAAAAAAAGAGATGGCCTGGAAATTCCTAGGGGTAATGACATTTAGATTTCCAACCCATAACATGTATTCAAATGTTTCTTCACTTTCTTGTCTGTATCTCCCCTCAATGTCATTCCTAAGACTTAACTCAGTGTTCCCAAATTCATGATCTGACATCTGAGGCTGCTCCACCCTACCCATGGTCAAGGCTACAATACTCTACACAAAGCACCTGCAGCTATTTCTCAATGACTAAGAGATTCCCACCAAGCTCCAACTCCTTATCTTTAATCTAAACCCTTGCATCCTGGTGTGGGGGCACAGGTTTTGTCCTGTAACCTCCTCCCCTGCTCTGCTTAGTCATGCGGCTTTCTCAGAATGACAGCTGTATTCACCTTCTGCCTGGATTTTAGTTGGGCTTCTTATCCCTGTGTCAAATCTCCCTAGAGTATCTGGTCTGGAACCCTCAGGCCAGCTCTTTCCCAGGCTTTGGAAACCAGTCCCCATCTAATGCTCCAGGTTCTCATTAGTCTGAGCATGCAGCTCCAAGTCCTGATGTTTCTGAGAGCCACTGTTGGCAGGACTGTAACCACTACACGGTGCTCCATGGCTTCTACTACTTAACTTGTGGGACTTTGCTGCCTCAGTTTCATCATCAGAAAAATATAAATAATAATAACACCAGGTGTACAGGGATGCTCTATTAAACATTAAAATTGTGTGGGAAGTGCTTTGTAAGTTGTAAATAACTATAAAAATACTAGTGATTTTTTAGAGATTTCTCATAGGACAATATCAGACACAGGAAAAAACAAAAATAAACAACAAAAAACAACTTAGCCCTGTGCTCAGTTACATCCCATACCAAAGCCAGAACCTCTCCTTTTGCCAGTGCTATGACATAATGTAATATTACACCAGTGGTGTTTGTGGTGAATGACTATTTCTTGTTTAGTTATTTATCTCATCCCCAAAAGAAAGTGTGTGCTTCCCGGTTTTATGTTTCCTACTGCAGTTTGACAAGTGGCCAGAGGGAAGTTTCGAAAGAAAAGAACAAATGCCATGAAAAGGGAGACAATGCTGTAAATAACATGGAAATGCCTCCTCCCAGAGAGCATCTGAGACACAGGTGGAACTCTCACCATAACTCAGTGGCCGCAGCACAAAGCTCAGAACTGGCTCACAAGCGGGGTGCTGGCAGTAGGAACATGTGGCCCCAACAAGGCCCACTGTCCATCATGTTAAAATCTACTGTGTGGTCAGTGA
The DNA here is from genome assembly GCF_000001405.40 of Homo sapiens. Classification (NCBI taxonomy): domain Eukaryota; kingdom Metazoa; phylum Chordata; class Mammalia; order Primates; family Hominidae; genus Homo; species Homo sapiens. Next base: position 90,559,234 of record NC_000001.11, read on the forward strand.
GGTTTCCCAGTTTCTTATATGTATTCACGTAAGTGGGCGGGGGATTTTTTTTTTTTCTTTAACATCACAAGGTACTTAAAGCCACTCTTCAGGAAGGCTCTACAGCATCTTGGACCTAATTTTAGGGAAAGAAGGAACTCAAGAGTCCATTATTTCAGAGAGAAAACCCACATCTGAGAGCACTCAGCTCCATCACTACAGTTATTTCTGAGGTTAAGCCAAATAAAACCTTCAAAAGTGTGAGTAACTGCCCTGAAATTTCTTTTCCTGTCAGGAGCACTAATACTAAATTAGATTTAGGATTGCAGATGCAAGAAATCACTGTGAAAACTTTTCCCTCCTTTTCTTCCTTTATCCAATAAATTACTAACTGTAGACACTTAGATTAGCAGCACTGTGTCATTTCTATTAGTAGATCTCCAAATTAGTTAAACTATCAAAATGTATAGTCTTTAAAAGCAAGTGTGTAGTTTCCATTGTTCACAGTTTTCAAAGAGGTAGATGCTAGTGCAATCATAGGATACTTACCTGACTCATTATTTTTCAAATGAAATCTTACTAGGTCTGTAGTGTACATTATGATGTCAGTTCATGAAATGATTTATATGTGAAGAGAATATTCCGTATCTGTAAGACAAGCAATACTTTGCCTTTCAGCATTTCCAGGCAGTAAAGAATATGCATATGAACAACAACAACAAAAAATCCACAACATAAGCTCATGCATTCAACAAGCATTGACAGAGGTGAGACACAAAGAAGTTAGGCAGCTTGTCTAAGCTCCTACAGTTCATAAACGGCCAAGCAGAGACTCCAGCCCCAGTTTTTGACCCCGAGACTCAGTCTCTGCTACATCACACTGCTGCCTCCTCAGGGTCGTCACAAACTCTAAGGGGAGATGACAGAGATGCACATTCATTCAACATTCTTTCATTTGTTCAGTAAATAAAATTTGTTCTATTGCATACCTATCCAAGCGATCAGCATTACCTGGAATTGTAGGGAAAGTGGGATGTTGGCCAAAAAGAGGACAAAATGCAAAAGGCAGGCACACAAAGAAATCACAGGGATGCATTTGAGTAGGCTTCCAACCGCAGGTGACAGCTAAGATACTTCCTGAAGAGTGGGTCAGAAAGTGGGGATGGACCACAGAAAGAATTTCACTGCAAGTGAAGTAAATGGTGTTTAGGAGTTTATAGAGAAAAGGACCTATACATTGTGTGGTGTAAATGGAGTGTAGGTAATTTAAAATGTTGGAAAATTCAGCTTGGGGCCAGATTCCAGAGAGTTTTAAATGTCTGAATAAGAAGCTTGTGTTTTGTTTATTAAGCAATGGAAAATCATTGAGGTGTTTAGCTGAGGAGTGATATAGTCAGAGCTATGTTTTAGAAGAATGGATCTAGAAGAAGTGTGTATGCATATAACTGAATGGGGGGAAAGAGCCTAGAGACCAGAGGAATGCAGCTGTGTCCCAGATGAGAGATGCAGAACAATGTTCAGGCAGACAGTAAACTGGGGGGGAAAGGAAGGTAAGATGGGTTGCTTTGTATGAATAAGGTAAAAAAAAAAAAAATCTACTACGACAACTTGCAAGCAATGTTCTCTGGTGAATAACATTCTCTAGAAATATAACTAAGAATAAATATAAGCATCCAATTTGATGAGTGTATGGCATCTCCAGCAGCTCAGCAGCCACTCAAAGCATAAAGCTGCATGAATACAGAAAATACCAAATATCCAGGTATCGGGGTCACCTCAGAATTCATCCCTAGCCATGACTCACTCTCAGCCACATAAATGCCCCCTGCTTCTCTGAGACAGGCAAGAACAATGATTCACTCACTCAATTATAAGTGAGATATGATTGGAGGGTCATGATTAGGGAAAGATTATTTCCCAAAGCCATATTGGCATATGTATACCAAATCAACCAGCTAAAGTAAAGAAGGCTGGGTTCAGGGAGGGAGAACACTCGTAGAAAGGAAAGAGACAAAGAAAGGACAGTCACGTGTGAGCTTTGAGTTTTTCTCCAGTGGGGATGGCTGCACTAAATCATCCACACTCCCTCACACGGATACCCTCCTGACCACATCATGCACTGAGAGGCAAGCAGATTTTATTTTCATTTATTCAGTCAAGCATTCAATCATCCCACAAACATATATGGAACACTACTGTGCCAACATGCTGGGATTTGGTCCGCATCCTGAGAGTCACATAGTGATATCTGCCAGTGTACAGAATTAAGAGTGCAGCCACAAAAACAGAGTGAGGCTACCTGACTCAAATGGAGATGAAACCTGTGACTGGGCCCTAATAGCCCAAACCAGCCTATGACTCCCACCAGACTGAGGCTCCAAGACCAGCCCTGGCAGACCCGCCTCACTATCCCTTAGGGCTTCATTGACCGTTGCATTTCTATCCCAGGGAGAGGAAAAGAGCAGAGGTAAAAAATTAAAACCCTGCTTCTTTTAACAGCAAATTTCTCGAGTGGGCCCAACAGTGGTGTGCAGAGAGTCTTAAGCAATAAAGCAGTCAATAGGGACTCTAACGAGCCAACAGCAATTTTATCCTGAGGAAAGACATTAGCTTACATAATAAAGTTGGGGCAGAATTGTTCTGAGTGGTGTGAGTAGAAATGTTTTGTTGACTGCTGTTGAAATGGGTAACAGACTTTGCATATTATATCACCATTTTTTGTTGTATTTCACATGCAGTGTTTTTCTGCTCTTGACTTTGAGGTGTGAGGGAGAGGCTCTAATCATATGGCCTTGTGCAGATGCTCCATTTGCATTTCTATTAATCCAGGCCCTCCTGGAGATGCTCGAGCAGGGACACAGCATGCTTTGTGTTTGAACTTGTGAGAACCCATACCACCGCTTAATAACTTAATACATATGTATAGCCTCCCTCAGACAGCCCACTAGGAGGCAGAAGCAGGAGGAGGTGCTACCAGCTTGCAGACTGCAGGGCTCTACAGAAATGTGTTCTGACAGGAAGGAGCACCTTGCTTGGTAAAGAGTCCCTGTGCCTTAATCCTATCTAGCCAACCCACCCGCCTGGCTGGGAAAGCCTATTTTTTAAGCACATAACCAAAGTATTAGTTCTTAGTAGTCAGAAATAACTGACAACTAAGAAGGAGGCTGGCAGGCCCCTTGCAACTCTTAGTTTGGTAATATGGCATGGCTGTCCTTTTGTTTCTGGCAGGAATTGGGCAGTACAGAATTTTTTAATGCAGGTAATGTAAGGAAGCAGAAAAGTGTCGTGTTGAAAGCATTGGGTTTACAATCCAGCAGACATTGTTTTGAACCCCAGCTCCACCTCCTATCAGTTGGGACACCTTAGCAGATCACTTAACTTATTCTGAGTCTTGACTTTCTCATCCAACTAATAGGGATAGTATCTGTCTTGCAAGGTTGCCATGAGAATGTTAAAAAAAAAAAAAGTACAGGTGAAGCACCTGTTGTTGATTGTGCATTTAATATTTAATAAATTGTAGCTATTAATATTATGACATCATTTGTTGCATTGCATGGCTTCCTAATGTTGCCAGTTGATTCATTCATGGACTGTTTTGCAGGATAAATGAAAGAAGGGCAGGATGGGGAAAATGAATGAATGGTGGTGTGTGGGCCTTTGGCCCTGTCAGTGTGACCCAAGAACCAAACAGATTCTGAGAAAACTACACTCTGAAAATGTTGTGAAGAAAATACACACCATTATTTTTAAGTGGACTTAGGTTTCCTTCTGCCTTTTGAATTTTATGTTGGGAAAATCTATGAAATTGGCACACATGAATGAAAACCACACAAAGTTCTTCTAAGAACTCTCCAAAGGAAGCCCAGCAGAGCAGCCTCCATGGCAATGCTCATTTCCGCTAAACATCACAAGAATTACTTTCAACTGAGGAGAGTACGTTGCATTCTAGGAAGAAATCTCACCACCTGTTAAGATTTTCCTAAGATTACATGAATAAGAAATGTTCCTTTCTTTGCCTTTCTTTTTTTCCCTTAAATAAACTGGAGATATATTTGAGAAGTCAGAATTACAGATTCTCATTTTCTTTATCAATTTTGTTCAAGTTCTTATTTCATATTTTTAGGCACATTATGTACATTTATTTTATAAATAGCCAATGAGCAGAATGATGAATGGTAAAGATAATAATGTAACTGTGCAAACTAGCTCCTACCTAGGGCCTTTTAGTGCATGCCTGAAAGGTGGCAGAAAATAATTTAAACAAAATTAAATAGATAGCATGTGGCTCTTGTCCAGGCAACCCTCAACTACATCAACATGGCTAATATTAGGAGGAATGAGTAGGGCTAAAAGAAATTTTTAAAAATCTAAAAATTTTAAAATTCTAAAAAATTTAAATTCTAAAAAAAATTTAAAATCCCATAATTTAAAAAATCTATCTACAAGGGTTATTATGTTCATCTTATGATTCTACACAAGACCTCATATATATTGAATGTTGAAGAACTATGAAAAGGACATTAATCTATTTCAAAATGGTAATTTGTTAGAATCAGTTCAAAACATAGTGAAGGCCCTTGAAAGCAAGTGGTTATTTCAGGGCCACAATTAGCTGTGTCAAATGATCAGCAGAGGCAACCAATGGCAGACCTCCTCTGCCCCGGTGCCTGCCATCACCATTACACTAGGTTGTTTGCGTGCCTACTTGCACCTTCTAGTTTCATCTGCATTACTTCTTCCACAACCCCTATCCAACCAGTTGGTGGCTCCTAACCCAGCTCCACACCTAGTGCCAGCCTCTATTCGCACAAACTCTAATTTTGGTCACTCACCTCCTCTGATGTCTGTAAAAATCTTCATGCCATCCAATAAGTAACTAGTAATTGTATTTCTTACCCCAACACTCAATCACAAAAGGAATAAGAGAAGTTGGTAATAAAGTATTATCCTACGTTTATGTCCAGTTTTATCCAAAAGTCAGAGATTTGATGATGCTTTTCTGAATTATTTTTATTCTGATTTCCTGGAAGTCAGCACCATTAGGTTGATAAAAATGAATTCTCTTTGGGCAATATTCCCATAATCTGTCAGTCTCCAGAAGCTTCTATTTTTACCCTACTCTGTAGCATCATTTTTTCTGCCAAAAGAACTTGGCTCATGGGGCAGTGACTGTACCTACATAGCTCCTTTCTTAGATTAAGTTCAAGAATGCTAAGAGAAAAACACAGCACTCTAACTTTTGGGAACTGCAACCAAAGAACACATGGGCTATAGAGTCAGGATTCAATTCCCAACTCTGTCATCTACTAGCTATTTGAGCAAGTCATTTGCTATCTTCGTAACTCAGTGTCTTTATTCATAAAATAGGGATAGTAATAGTAGCTACCCCTACAGTTTTTTAGTATGGAAAGACTTAACATACGTAAAATTCTTGGAATAGTACCTATCTCATAGTAAGTGTTTAATTAATATTTTCTATCATCATCATCATCACTATTATTATTACTTTACAGACATATATAATTCATCCTTTTTTTCCCATTTTTGAAGGATATTTTCTAACCACTTTTTGGTGTACCACTTAAGTTTATTTTGTGTTTTTTCTTGCACAAATCTAGAGTCGTTTATTGTTTCAATATTTATTCTTCATGTCGGCCACATGTCAAGTCCTTAAATTTATTTTCTTTATACTAAGGCAGCAGTTCAATTTCTGAAGTTGTTCTGAAAGGTCCCAGTTTCTCCCTGTGACCTTTACCCTCACACACGCATTGAATTACTGGTGGTCCTTATTACATACCACCAAGAATGAGTGCTTGTCTGCTGTTTTTTTAGTTAAGACATTTAGTCAACTCTGCTAGATAGAGGTCTGTGACTAAAAGCTGTCAATTAAGCAGAATCTAGCTTTAATGCTTTACTTGGGGAGTGCAGGGAGGAGAGAGCTACGTGTATCTTAATTCCATGGTAGGACCCGGGATACGAGCGAGCTGGTAACGAGGAAGGCAGCATGGAAACGTCAGAGGATAAGACAAAGCTGAATAGGACAGAAGATAAACAGAGAATAGAAAAGCAGAATGAGGCTAAAGTTCAAAGTAGATGGTTCCTAAGACAAAGCCAAATGGACCACACTTTAGGATCACCTGGACATTTTAGAAGGACTGTGTTCTGTCTTTCCTCTAAGTCATGCTTTGGGAAACTTAAATTATATCTTGGATTTCTGATCGAATCCCCAATGAATCAAAAATTTGTTAGAAAGAAGGGAAGGAAAGAAAGAGGGGAAGAAAGAAGACAGGGAAGAACGGGAATATTCTAGTACATATCCTAAGTTTGGTTCAATTTCATTCTAATCTGTTATACTTTCTACATATATAATTCATTGGGAAAATAATATTCATTATAATAATGACAGTATAGAATCAAAACAAAATCTTCAGGAAATGAAAATTTAATGAATAATGATGTGACAATGAAAATGTGTTCATCATACTCTAATAAGGCAGGAAGTGACCTAAAATGTTTCAGCCAAAGATTTCCTAACTAAATCTAAAAAAAAAAAAAAAAATCACTAATTATAATAGAGATGACAAACAAGGCTTCCTCTCACAAAACACCTGCAATCTATTGGTAGGAACTGCCTGGGCTACTGTATTGAGAAGAATTCTGAAGCTAATGTAGGTTGAGCAGGAAAGAGCACTGTGAACCATCAGTTACATCTGCCACGGTGGATATTTATGGTATACATTCCTTTGCTTTCACCATTCTGGGCTGTGAGGATGACATGTTCTAAGAATTCTAGTTAAAATCAAGACTTCGCTGTATATGTTACCAATAATGTTAAACAAATACTTAATATGCACTCTTTGTCCAAGGAACTACATAATTTTCAATGAAAAGTAAAGTTCCAAAAAATTCCTTTAAAATGGAACTGCATCCACAATTGCATGACGTGTTTTTCATAATTTATAATTTTTTCTTGATTTCACTATATTTTAAACAGTTGCTCAGACTTCATGAGCATTAAGATGTCTGTGACTGTAATCAAATAACCACAACCACCACATACAGATATTCCACTAACTCTATCAACAACCACAGGCCGGGTGCGGTGGCTCACGCCTGTAATTCCAGTGCTTTGGGAGGCCAAGATGGGTGAATCACCTGAGGTCAGGAGTTAGAGACCAGCCTGGCCAACATGGCAAAACCTCGTCTCTACTAAAAATACAAAAGTTAGCCGGGCATGGTGGTGGGCCCCTGTAATCACAGCTACTCCAGTGGCTGAGGCAGGAGAATCGCTTGAACCCGGGAGGCGGAGGTTGTAGTGGCGAGATCACAGCACTGCACTCCAGCCTGGGTGACAGAGCAAGACTCTGTCTGAAAAAAAAAAAACAAAAACAAAAACAAAAAAAAAAAACCACAAAGTCGAAGTCATAGCAGCCTCACTTTCCTAACAATATTCTCCAAAGGAGTTTGCAGTTTAGGCACATTATACTTTAGTTAATAAAGGTCCTAAAAATTTAAATGCTGGGATCCCCAATTATTCTAACTTGCTCATGGGCATCTAATTCTGCAAATCAGAGCTAAATCATCTTATCATTTAGATTAGTAGCCCTTAGCTTTTTGACTTTCTGTGCATGTTTAAGTGTCTTTTCAGTTTGGTTTCTCTTTAATTAGGAGAAACAGCCTTGTGTTTTAAGAATGTCACTGTTTAAAACAATGTGAATTTTACATAACACATTTGCCTTGAAGCATCTGCAATGAACTCAGTTTTATAAATCAAAACAAATATGAATTTAAAACCAACCATTAGGTTCTATAGCCAAAATTATGTTCTTGACCCTGTTGGTATAAAAATTAAAATTCCTTTGTTCAAGATTGGTCCCTCCAATAATACTTGATTTTCATAAATCTCTTTATTTCTGGGAAGTTCAAAAGGAGCAAACACAAAATTTGCAGAAAAGCACCAAACTAGCAATTAAAGTCTCTAATGTAATACCTAAACTGCAATGCTCCATTCCAACAGATTAAATATTAAGCTTTTCAAACAATTTATTCAATTCCATAGAACAGAAAGGGCAGCAGAGAAAAAGTGCAAACTTTGACATTAGTTGCTGAGTTTAGTGTTGCTTACAGTTTTCTTCTTTACTCTCAATCCTGTTACAAATAATGCAAACCTGTTTTTATTAATTTACATTAAGTTCATTTAACACTGATGAAACAGACCAGAAATGTATAATGAGGAACATTTAACAAGCTCCCGCATTAGGGCTAATCATGCTCTGTTTACGAGAGCTTATTTCGTTCTTGGAAAATAACTTAGTAGAAAGCTCCATCCTTATTTAACAAGTAAAAAGGAGAGAGCCACCAGCTACTGATAACAAAGAAATGAACAAGCTTAATAATCTCCAATTTGGTTTTCCACTCCACTTAATGATGGAGGCAATGCGAGCTCTGTGGCCAGAGTACATGAGGAAGCATCCACAAGTACTGAAAATTTAATTAAAAGTCAGAAAGCCACCGCAATGAAGACTCAGCAGAAAGCCATTTATTTTTAAAATCTAATATATTCTTCATGACTAAAGGCTAAAGCACATGCTGACTTACACATTTAGCTGTAACTGATTTAAGCTACTTGATGATTTTTTTCTTTTCTTTTTTTTTTTTTTTTGCTCACAGGGTGGTGCTCAATTTGCAATGAAGTAAATTGGCAGAATTTAATTTGGTGGATTTTTTTAACTCTGTAAAAAGAATCCTCATTAAAGCCACATGATCAGCTGTATACTTTTTTCATCATTAACTAGCCTAACTGCAGGTAAAAGAGATACAATTACGGATTTATATAAACCCTATTGTCAATTTATAGCTGAAAGACAAGTGAGTTACCTCATTTTATATAGGTTATTTTTTTCCCTTAACCTTTCTTTGTTTTAATGAGGATTCAGTTTGTCACTGTCTGAGAAGTCTGCTGGCAGGAAAGTTTCTCAGAAATTATAAGGAATAAAAAGTAGGAATGGGAGAAGATACTTGTCTAAGTTTCAAATCTGCTGGAAGACTCAGCATCTGAAATTCATCCCCAGAGCAGTGTATTTATTGTCTATCAGCTGCCACACTGGAGTACAGAAAGCCAAAACAATGAGAGCACTTAAAGAAGGGCTTGAGAAGAAAGGGGGTAGAGAGGAATAACCCTAGGTATGCTAGAGTTGCGAGAAACATCACTGGACACAATTGTGCCTTCCAGATGACCTTGGTATGGATATATTTTGCCTAGTTATTTTACCTTGCCTTGTTCAAAAAGGGAAGGGGGGGTGCTTTGAAGCAGCTGGGAGATCAGCGCAGAGCAGTACACTTATTCTGAGGCCTCATAGTGAGACTTCAGAAAGCAACATTTCCCACCACCCCAAGAGATGTGACTGGACCTCTCCACTCCAGCCGAGAGCTTAACACCTTGCTGGCATTGCTGTTAAAACCTACATTCCTTCTGGGTGAACTTCATTCTGTGGAACTCAGTCACCACCTTCCCACTCCTCTTTCTGAGATCAGTTTTGGGGCCTTCTGAAACCCAAAGCATTCTTGGCCTTTTTCTTTCTCCTGCTCTCCAGTCTAGATTGAATAGAAACAAGATCCCCCAGGTAACTAATACTAATCCACTACCGCTGATTAAATTGAGGTGACTCCTGGGGCTGGTCATCTCATTTTACCTCTGATACTCCCTGCAGAAGAGGCAAAAAAACAAACAAACAAACAAAAAAAAGAAGTGAGAATTTTCTCATAGGGGCAGCATAAATCTCCAGTCTTTGCCCTGTCACGCAGAAACAAGATTATAATATCTGCTGATTATGCTTATTGGTCAATGGGAAGATGTTGCATGTTTTAAAGGATAAGATCAGGTCAAATACTTCTAGACCTTCCATTTTCTTAATACCTTCAGTAGTTCTCTGCTTCCATTATTTAGGCATTAGCCCAGGAGAGACAGAAAATCCGATACTATCATTAGCTCCCACTTTTTCTGGTGCCCCTAAATGTGAAGATTAAGCAATTTTTTTTTTTTTTGCATATGGCTCATTTGTTTTACTGTATGACCTTGAGGCTAAGGCTTATGAAAGCATAATGTGTAGGTGTATAACTGACCCAAAAAAACTAGTCTTCTGCTTCTGCAGAAAGAATCATGTTTGATTCTTTTTCCATTTTAATTTCCAAATCATCTAAATCCTACTAATATTTGGAATCAACAGCCTTCTTCCATAACTTTCAGAACTTTCTTGGTACCAATCCCTCCCTGGGAGCACTGAAAGCCAAATCACTTCTCTCATTGTATGTTGGATCCAATCTCCCTTATCAGAAAGCAACCCCCATGGGACCTAACAGCTTAGGCTTTTATATAACACCGATCATATTCAAAGAGTCTCCAACACCTGTATGAGCTACATGGGTAGGCCTAAACCAGACAAAATCTCTGTGCTGTGACCCTGTCTTCAGGCCAGTGAAATGTTTTTTGAGCTTTTCACAAAGCAACATGGAACTTTTGGTAGCTTGGTGTCCAGAATGAAGTGCAATAGTCTACTCCTAACTACTTGTGAAGCATAACAAAAACCACAAGGAGATAACTGAGGGGCTTATAGAGAGCCTTCAGTACCTACTGACCCAGCAGTGCCCTTGGTAACTGACATTAATGAACTTCATCCTGATCTCGCCACATCCAATATAAAAATCCTGATAACATAAGATTCACTTTCATAAAAGCTGCCAAAACTACCAAAACAGTCTTCAAGGAGGCTTAGCAGCTATGACAAATGAGAACCAGGGCTCTTTGAATTTTAAGTTCCTCTTCCTTCCCATTTCAGTTTCACTACCACACTGCCATCTACACTTCTTCCAAATGCTTTGTTCCATTCTTTTTTTTTTTTTTTTTGAGACGGAGTCTGACTCTGTCGCCCAGGCTGGAGTGCAGTGGCGCAATCTCAGCTCACCGCAAGCTCCGCCTCCCGGGTTCACACCATTCTCCTGCCTCAGCCTCCCAAGTAGCTGGGACTACAGGCGCCCGCCACTACACCCGGCTAGTTTTTTGTATTTTTAGTAGAGACGGGGTTTCACCGTGTTAGCAAGGATGGTCTCGATCTCCTGACCTCATGATCCGCCCGCCTCGGCATCCCAAAGTGCTGGGATTACAGGCATGAGCCACTGAGCCCGGCCTGTTCCATTCTATCTAGTTACAGTGTTTCCTAACTCCTGCTTCCTAGCCTCTGTCTCTCCAGTAGATAACTGTCTAATAGAGCCTCAGGGAGCTACCTATGACATTTATTCTAGCTTTTAGTGGCCAAAGGAGATCATAGATTAGGTATTCTGATCAACAGCACAGTCTAGAAGGAATCTATCTCATGAGCGATTTGGTAGGATACCTCCAAAAAGCCTCAGACAGTCTTATCAGCTTGTTCCCCATCACCCACAACATGAACTCAATTATTTTCTGCTGACAGCTGTGCCCATCACTCAAGGTCTTTGTTTCATCTGTTGTTCTTCTGCCTGGTTAAATTTGAACCAACCCTAGCCCATAAAGTCAGCTCTATTAATCAAGGTGCCATAATGCTCCTAGCACCCAAAAGTGACACAAAGACCAAATTTGTGTTTTACATAGCTCACTCTGACTGCAGAACACATATGAAAACAATGACGTAGGAATTATTTATCTAAAATGGAAGGCACAGCATGAGTGAGAAAAGGAGTTGGAAGTAGGGGAGGAACATATGCTTCCCATGTTGCTGGAGTATCAGTGCTTGCTAGGATATTTCTTGCTTTTCCTAGCGTTAGTACTCTTGTCCAACTTCTCTTTCTGGTCATGGTTTTTCTCTGCTTTTCTTTTATACCTTAATAAATGTTTCACACTTCTACCCCAGAAAAAAAATGAAAAAACGTTAATATGGATAGTTCTATCATGCTTCCGACCTTACCAAAAACAATAAAATGTTTTCTTTGATGGATTGGAAGCCATAGAAACCTAGTAACTCACTAGGTTATGGGATCCAAATGAAAGAAAAAGTTGAAAGATTTTTGCAATAATATATATGAGGCTGAATGAATACCTTAACTGGTGTACTAATGAGAGAAATGGGGAGGAGAGAATAAATTCAAGAACTATTTAAGAGATAAGCTGGCAGAACTTGGTGACCGATTGTTAAGTGGTAGGTTCCTAGCTTGACATCTAGATGATGGTGGTAGCACCAATTGCAATAAATAATACAGGCTGCAAAGGGGAGAAAAAGAAGGGTGAAGTTGGAGCACATTCAATTTGAGATGCCTATGGAAAAATTAGATGAAAACATCCAGCAGCAAGTTGAATATAGGGACCAAAGAGGTCTAAATTCGGAATGTAGATTTGGACATCAACAGCAAGGATGATAATTAAAATCATTAAATGGATAAGACCACCTACATGGATTACGTAGAAAAGTAAGAGTCATGAGCTGAGGTCAGTAGCATTGACAACCTTTGTGATTTCAGGCAAGGGGACTGCTTATGGCCAGCAGTTCAAGACCAGCTTGAGCAACACACCAAGACCATGTTTAAAAACAAATTAAAACTAAGAAACTTTATGAGATGAGATCAAAGAAAGAGGAGCCCAGAACAGAGATTAAGAAAGGTCACCTTTTCCAATCTCAACTCAAAGCACATTGTAGGCTTACAACACAGAGTGAAATCTGTGTGTGTGTGTGTGGGGGGGGGGTGTTGTGTGTGTGCGCACGCGTGCATGTGAATGGCTATGCATAAGGATTATATGAGAATGGAGAAAGGTAGTGAAGGATGTATACCATACTGTACATGTAGGCTACAGGACAGAGACAGAAAAGAATGGAATGGGAAAAAGGGAGAAAGGAAAGAAGGTAAGGCAAAGAAAGAAAAAAATCAATGCGTAAAAATAATTTCTATTAATGATTCCATTTAGGTAAGTGTGTGTGTGTGTGTGTGTTCACACATAAAGAAAGTAAGAAAAAAATGAAAAAGGATAGCGTTAGATCTATGTCTCTTCTCTGATTTCCCAGGATATATTCTCAAGTGAAAAAAGCAAAGATTAATGTGCAATAATTTGGTCCTGTTTTGATACAATTATTTTTAAATTACTCATGAGAATATATTTTTGTATATGTATCTACAAAAAAGTGCAAAGTGTGGAAGGTCCTCACTAGTCAACTAATACTGAATCCTTCCAAAGCATGGGATTGGAAATAGAAGGAGCAGCAATAATTAGTGTTCTCTTATACATTTTTATATTGTTTCACTCATAACAACTAGATTGAATTATTTTGTAATTTATAAAACATCCAATAAAAAATTTAAAAATCAGAGCAGTGGTTGCTTGAATTCAAATTCAATTGCAGCAGGCAGTCCCTCATCAGAGAGACCACCACCACATCTCTCTTGACTGCCCTATGACTCACTGCTGAGCCAGAGGCTACAGTCTATTAACGTGTCATCGGGCTACTATTTTTTGAACTCCTACTCACCGTTATCCTGCTGCCTTTTATCCCTTTACTGTTTATGAATCTTTTTTCTTCCTAAATTTTTAAATGCAGGCCATTTCTTATATACCTTTGACATCTCAAATATTCACTCCCCTTGGAATTTTTCAATTTATATGAGAAAGGCTAGGCATTCCTATATAATCCTTGGAAGAATAAATAAGTTAATTATCTGAAAATGTTAACCTTTGTTAAGTTAATCATATCCATTTTATCAATGTAATTAAAATGTTTTCAAATTCCATGTGATGTGGTATTTTTTTTCAATCTGTAGTTTGGATTACAGAAATGGATAGCTAAAAATTTAAAGACCATTTGACTGTACATTCATGATAAATTAGAAATTAAAGAATATTCCCTAGATATTTCCAGGATCAAGTACTCCAAGGAAAATACCACCTAAATAGCTAGAGAATATTGCACAGGGGACGACACGTCTATATATCACATGGCAACTGCTTGGACTGAGCTCAAAAGCAAGATTAACAAATGACTTAGATTCCATGGTAAAGACAGACATATATTCTGCCTGAATGTTTCATGTTTTTCTCTTCTGCAATGAGTGACATCGTATTTTGCATTCATTACATTAGAAATAATAATTCAAGATAAAATCAGTTTTAATTAGGAACAAAACCAAAGCTTTTAGATTTTACACGGCATTCTAAAAAGTGACCAAGAATCACTGCACCCTTCTAGGATCTCGACAAGGATTTAACCCTGTGGAATATCAGCTCAGTTCAAGAAAGTTTTGATGTTCTGGTTCCAGCTCAGAGACTGAGAAAACATACAGTTTAGGCTCCAGTTTTCACTGGTCCATTGTTGAGAAAACAAAATACATTGTTTTGGTTCATGGTTTGAGAAAATACACTGACTGGGTTCAAAATGAAGTCCAGAAGAGGTAGAAATGTTTCATACTTTGTATAACTGAAAAAAAAAATACAGGTAATTACTCACAATCTAGTTTTTCAAGTAAATTTTTCTACTGAGCAACATGGTTAGTATTTTTGTGCTAATCAAGCAAAGGGTAGTTGGTGTACTTTCCCAAATAAAGAAGGACTTCACTGCCACCAACTGAATCTTTGAACTAGAGAAGATATGAGTAGAAAACAAAGGATGACACTGAGGTGCATGACCTCTTCTGCCTGTGAGGCACCTCAGCGTACAGCTTGGTGGATGGTCTTGCTGGGGAGAGTAGACTTTGGATAGGCAGGGCAAGGCAGTGTGGAAGACGGGAGATAATCAGTCAAAATGGCTCCTGTCATACAACTGGGAGAGTTCAGGAGTCCATGCCAAGTTCAAAGTTGTACTGCTCTCTGGAGCTAGTTTCATAAATAAGGTTTAATCTGCAACCATTCAAGTATGTAGAAATTTTTGTTGATATGTGTCCTAAAACCGTAGGACCTTTTTCCTTTATTAACATACTTGCCTTGTATGTTAATACATTAATCCTGCCTTGATCACCACTCAGCTCTGAATAGCCAGGGTTAGAGAAATCTACATCATACTTCTAATTATTGAGTGTTAGATTTTTTCTTCTTCTTCTCCTCTGGTTTTAATTGTGCAGAAGTAAAGCCAACATAAGCAATGTAAAAATCAAGTCTTGCTAGTTAAATATAAGAACACAGAGCAAAATATCTGAGAAAGGTTACACCTCTTTAAAGATGCAAATTGATAATGGAGCTCAATATCAAAACAACAGAGTGCTGTTAATTTTTAAAAAGGTGCAAATTGCTAATCTTACTTAAGGTTTTTTTTTTAATTGCTTATTAAGAGTCCTAGCACAAAAAAATTAAACAAAATAAACTCTTAAAAATAGAGGCCAAAGGGCTAAATATGAGCTGCACTATAATCTTTTGCTTCATTTTGGATTTCAGGGAGAGTTGCTAAATTTTGGAGACCTTATATTTACCCCAGGGTTGGTCTAGAAGTTCCCACACTTGGTTTTTCAGTTATCTATTGCCACAGCATTTCCACATACCAACACCAAAAATCTGGTGGTGTACAACAATTACCATATATTTAATTCACAAGTTTGAGGATTCAGCTGATCTTGATCGGCCTTGGCTGATCTTGCCTGGCTCACTCATACATCTGCAGTTAGCTGTGGATTGACTAAGAGTCTCTGCTAATCTTAGCTGGGCTTGCTGACATGTCTGGGGTCAGCTATTCATTGACTGATTTGCTAACTGAGGTGATAAGGCAATGGGATGCTACTCCATTTGTTTCACTCTCTAGCAGGCTAGCCTAGACATAGTCTCATGGCCATAACAGAGGAGAAATAGTTGAAGCAGAGACATGCAAGCATTTCTTCCAACTGTCTGCAAGTATCACATACACATAGATTAATATTTGTTTTGTAGTCACCCTGTGAAGGTGGAATAGACCCTCTGACCCCAATTAGTAGGTTGGATATCTAGACTGATAACACTTCACACACCAAGAGAATTTGAAAGAAAGGTTATTAGTCACACAAGGGACTTTTTTGGGGGGGTTGGGGGCAGGTTAGACATAAGACAATCTAGAATGACAAGACAGGAAAGTGACTTGAGCCTTTATAGTGGCCAGGGGGTGGGGAGGGGGAAGGGATTGTCATGTGCATGAGGGTTTTCAAACTTCTCTATGATGCAAAGAAGCCAGGGGGTATATGTGTGTTTTCTTGTCTAAAGTACCAGATGTATGGTGGTGGGAAAGAGAAAGGTGGAAGTGGCTGGGTTCAGTGGCTCACGCCTGTAATCCCAGCACTTTGGGAGGCTGAGGCGGGTGGATCACCTGAGGTCAGGAGTTCAAGACCAGCCTGAACAACAAGGTGAAACCCCATCTCTACTAAAAATACAAAACTATCCAGGTATGGTGGCAAGTGCCTGTAATCCCAGCTAATTGGGAGGCTGAGGCAGGAGAATCACTTGAACTTGGGAAGCAGAGGTTGCAGTGAGCCAAGATCACGCCATTACACTCCAGCCTGGGCAACAAGAGCGAAATTCTGTCTCAAAAAAGAAAAAGAAAAGTGGGGGAAGTGTGGAAGTCTAAATCCTATCAAACAGTCTAACCTCAAAACTGGAGTCAGACTCTTTATTACAACATTCTGTTGGCCAAAGACAGTCATGTGGCCAAACTCAGAATCAAAGGACAGAGAAATCAACTCCAGTGAAAGAAATTACAAAGTAATATGCCAAAGGAGCATGGAAAAAAGAAGGGTATAGAATTGAGAAAATTAATGCAATCCAACACCTAATGAAGATGGATATTCAGGACCAAGGTATTGTCTCCAGAAAATGTTTTGTATTTGTATGATGATAACAATGGGTTATATACACAAGACATTGAAGATATGTAGCAAGGAATGATGAATCCAGAGTTAATGAGTTTATGTGACCCTCCAAAAAGGAAAAAGAAACACCAAACTTAAAAATCTTTTACTGAATCTGACATGTTGAGGGTAAGCTGGTGGGGACCTAGGAGTGCAGGGTAAGTGCTGCTAGATCCCAAATTTGATGTCTCTTATTTCTCAAGCTATGACATTAGGTCCTGCTAATTCAGGATAATTACCCCTTAGTGAATCCTCCCAAGAAAGAAAAACCCTAACCTGGTCCTAAGTCTCCACAACATTTATTACAGTTTAACTTCTCCTTCCCCTACCCCATTATTTGAACTTGAGAAATATATCTCAATTTCAATATTGGTCTACATAAAATACAGCAAGAAGAGAAAGCCTGCTGACCTCCAGTTTCCCATTCAAGTTCTCCTCCCCACCACATACGATAATTTAATATAAAGACACTATAAGTACTCTTTATGTTACTCATCATTCAGTTATTCCTCCCTCCATCCTACCAACATATATAGGGCACCTAGTCTGTAAGAAGAGTAAAGATCTTGCTACTTCCCCTTCAACAGCACTACCCAACGCACACCATAGCATGCTGTGCTCACCCTCTGCCTCCTTCTAGAAGCTGAGCTTGGAACTACTGATTCCTCAGAACCAGCAGTGCTGCACAGGCAAGTCAGCCAAACCCAGCAAAGTAAGAAAACAGAATTTTATTGCCAAAATTTACAATAATTATCTGAGTAGTGAGCTAGAAACTTCAAATTTTAGATTCCTTAGGTAAAGATCCCACTAGAAAAAGATAAGAATCCCATGAATAGAAAGGGATAATAACTCTTAAGGGAATTTGAAATCCTCAGGAGAAAATATGCCAATGAAAACAAACTTATTTTAAATGCCCACTCTCTTTCACCTCTCACATCCAATCAATCACGTGTTCTGTCCACTTGACCTCTAAAAATATCCATTAAATCCATCCACTTTTATCTGTCTCCTTAACCTGCAGATAACCTAGATACTTATGTGCCTTCTGTCCATGGCTCACCAATATTTTCAGAAAGAATCCCTAACCCCATTACACAGCCTATAAGACTTTCCATGACACTGTCTCTTTCCCACCTCTTCAGTCTCATCTTTTTCCTGTACATACCCTGTATCTCCCATATGCATTTCCCTGGGCCCACCACATTTATTAAAGGCTTCAATCTTTGCCTCTGCCTAGAATGCCCTTTAGTGACCCAAACAACCTCCAAATGATAATCTCCAAACTATTCTTCACATCCCAGTCCAAAAGCCTTATGCACTGTGAATTCTTTCCCACCTCTTCACAGTTAATCATTTCAGGCCTCTGCATGCTAAATACCTTCTACCTATCTCTATTGCAGCCCACGTCAGAGCTTCATCGTAAGAATTTGTTGACCTATTTGTTTCTGATTAGAATATGAGCTCATCGCAAGTGGACACCATCTCATTCTTCTTTGTATCTGTCCCTACCTGGCTCTTAGTATAATGCCTGGTACCTAGCAGTCACACAACACGTCTGACAAATGAATAAATGAATATATTATTCCTTCCTGACAGATCTGTTACCTCTCTCACACCAACAGAATGATATGCCCATGGTGGTGACTGGGACAAACTAAACATGGAATCGGTAGTGACAGCCTACAAACTTCTGAGAAGTACAACCTAAAAGATCAAGATAGTAAAAAAACAAAAACAAACAAACAAATACAATGAGAGACACATGGAGAAGTGGAAAAGAGAATGAGAGGGAAGGATTGAATGAGAAGAACCAGAAAAGATCATAGAAGTAACAGACAGAAAGAGTTTGGATAGGCAAGAAGAAAAAAAAAAAAGCAAGATGAGAGTTATGACAGTAAAGGATGGCTTGGACACCAAGAGAAGGAGAGAGATGGAAAGCACTCTTCATAGAGAAAACAGAGCAAGGAAGAAGAAGAAAGCTAAGGAAACTAAGAAGAACCAATTACAAGGAAAGCAAAAAAGACTTATTCAAGGAGTATGGTGTTAAAAAGTAAATGAAGTGAAAATTTTTAAGTGCTAAACTCTACCAAAAAAAAAAAAGTATGACGGCTAATTTTTACAAAGTAAAACTTAAGACAAGTGAAGAAAAAGCATAACAAGTCTTTTGCTCGTGTTTACATGTCATAAAATATTGAACAAGAATTAAAACAGTTTACCAATAACTCTGTCTCTGTGCAATACAATCTACACTGTCCTTTTCTGGAGAAATGTACTCACTGTGTGGCCCTGTTCAGGCACCAAATCTTTCTAGCTCCAAGAGTTGTTTCCTCATAAAAACCAGGCCAGTAATATTGACCTACCTAGGTAGAATGCCCTTTAGTAACATAAACTTCTGCCAACTGATAATCTCCAAACCATTCTTCACATCCCGGTCCAAATGCCTCATGCACTGTGAATTCTTTCCCACATCTTCAGAGTTCATCATTTCAAGCCTCTGCATGCTCAGCACCTAGGTAGGTCAATATTACTGGTCTGGTTTTTAAGAGGAAACAACTCTTGGAACTAGAAAGATTAGGTGCCTGAACAAGATCTCACAATGAGCACATTTCTCCAAAAAAGAACAGTATAGATTGTATTGTACAGAGACAGAGTTATGTGAAGAAGAGAAGGTCTTATGCAAACCTCTCGTGGCAGAAGAAAAGGGAAATATAAACGAGCAGAGGGCAGAGAAGGCATGTAAAAATTTGTTAATAGGTTCCGGTAAAATGTCCAGGGCTTTAAACATACCACCCTGTGTCCAACAATTTATGTCCTAGAATGACCAAGAATCAAGCCCATGAAAGAGAAAGAGAGCTCCACTGGGCAGCAAACCACAAGTTCATTCAGTTCCTTGATTTAGGAGTAGGGCCAGAGATACAAGGAGAACCCAAAAGAGAGGTCTGGCAGGGTGGGGAATCTCACACAAGCAGCAAGTTGAGGAAGTATCCAACAGCTTGTCCCTTCCTTGACTCCATGCTTCCTGCAAGTTATGTCCTTATACACATGGGAGGGCCTTCCAGCAGCAGCAATGAAACTGCGTGTGACATTTGAATCTCCTGGGCTTCCAACGCACTTCTCAAATAGCCATTATCTCTGGATTGCAATCACGGGCAGTCTCACCCACTGGACTACAACTTGAGGTCAGTGCTTGTGTCTTCCTCGTCTCTTCATACGCAACACCCATCAAGATGCTCAGCATGTAGTAAATGATAAGTAAACTAAGTGAAAGAATAGATGGATAAATAAACAAGAAAATTATAAATGCTGCTTAATCTTTAAGCCAAGTCCCCTGAGGGTTTGACAGCTCTCTGGGCACCTAGCTACAATTCAAAACATTTACCACTAGATGGCACTATTTTAATGAAGCAGTAAAGCCCTTATTCTGGCATCCTTACTATCAGATACAGGTAAGTGCTTTAATCAGAGTATAAAATGTGTTACTACAAAGGTGGAATCTTCTAACTCTGTAATTTCTTACATTTCCATAATACTCTAATTCTCTACTTGTCAAGAGGAAAATACTTTCCAACAATTTTTCTAAATTCTCACTTTCCCCCATGCCACTGGTACGGCCACATAGATCACTATTAGTAAGTTGAATCCTTTCAAGACCCCCTCTGTAAAACTGGAGAACCTCCCTTGTTAGGATTGGCTATTGTTATAGGTGTTCTCAACCTCATATACCAGGGCTTTAAAATCACATCCCTGTGGACACAGTCAGCCCTAGACAATAACCACATAAGCGGCCACCCATCTCATGGCACTTGTGAAGTCTCTCAAAGTTGAAACTCCTAGGCCATTGTCACCATGGCCAGTCAGAACAAGGCTTAGCAGCAGTAACAGGCAGTCAGGCACTGGGTGATCTCTACACACTGCTATCAGACTCAAGGAGACAGAGGACCCAAAATATGTCTCTGAAAAAAGTGGGAGAGAAAGTAGCAGGAAAAGAGAAGGGCAATTTTCCAAGGCTTCCAAGCCCGCAGCAGTAATGGTAATCCTAGGGCCAAGCCATTAACTCCCCTTCATTTGGGCTCAAAAAAGTCATTTTCCTCACAGAAAGATAAAATAAACCAATTCATGATTTTGCCTCCTCTCTGTATACCAATAAGGTAATTACTGTAAAAAGGTATACCTGTTACATTGGTTTTATTCCTTTTCAAATAAACCTGGTATTGAGAAGTCATGTCTTCATTTTTGATAGCTTCCTTCAAAAGGTCCAAAGGGGCATGCTGATCTTTGGATTCTCAGAACGCCCTCCCCCTGCAGCTGCTGCAGGTTCCAGCTTGTCACACCCAAGCCACTCCTTCTTCTGTTCCTTCTGCACGCCGCTACTTGCCTGGCACTGTTGAGCACATACTGCCTCACTCAGGAACTCTGGGAGAGCAAATATCATGCCTCTTGTACCTTTTTAAATCCCTTTTTATTGCCTAGCACAAAGCCCTGTTGAATAAGAGAATAAAATAGCCTAAGTTTGAGGCTACTCTAGAACTCAGCAATTAACTCATCTTCGTCATAGGTTATAGGGCAGCTGCACATCTTAACTGGCACTCAAATCTACGTCATCCAAACCTCGTATGTTTAGATCCAAACTCATCATGTCCTCCTTCTATCCTTTTTCCCCAGACCTGCTCCTCCTCCTGACTTCCTCCTCTCTCTTGATGGCACTATGGCCCTGCCAGGCATCCAAGCTCAAAACCACAGAGTAACATTTGCCTTTTTCCCCTTCCTTGCTCCCTCTTTGCTTTCACCCTATCTCCCCCTTTGCATCTCAACAGCGTATTCAGGCCTTCAGTCTCTCCTGCCTTAGAACTTGTCTCTCTGCTACAGGATAAGATTTTCGAGGATGGAGAGCCTTTATTTACTGACTTTCTCATTGTCCTTAGGGCCTTTCCCAATAGGAGTACTCAGTTTATTAATTCATTTACTTGAGAATGTATTAGATGCTGGCCATAAAGCAATGAATAAGATAGGAGATATACATATGCACAGATAGTCTATAGTGAATATCAGGGAAATTTAAGTAAAAATGAAAGATTGAGCTTGAACTAACCCATCCCTAGAAGCTTCTCAAAGTATCTCTTATTTAAGAATAAAAACGTGTTTTCTTGTATTATAAAATGTGCAACATTCTATGGAGTAGGACATGAACTACTTTCACTCAACTATAAAACCAGTGAAAAGAAAATGAAATTGTCCAGATTTGGGCACAGAAGAGGCAATTTAGAAGAATGACAATTTAGTATTGAACTATTTTTAGAGGTGAGTGATACCCTATGCTCTGAACCTTCCCTGGTGTCCTGCCCAAATAAGAGACTTGCAAATCTGATTTATAATTTTTACAAAAGATGATAAAGGAATGGTGCACAATGCCTTTCAGATTACATTTGCATTTTAATAGAAAATGTCAGTGCCCCTGTCTCCAAGGGTGATGCATACTGGAACCTTCAGGTGCTCTGGCATTTAGCTCATGAGGGCTATTCCTGGCCCACCTGATGATATCACACAGGCTTTCACCCCATCATAGGCAGGAACAACCCTGGTACTACTGCACCCATCAGAGTGTCTCAGGCCATGGAATAATAATACTGGCTCCCTCTTCTATTAAAGGACGACTCTCAGTGTCTCAGAGAAATAAAAACAGTCAAGAGCACAAGCTCTGGAGTCAGAAAGATCTGGTAATGGTTATTACTGTTGTTGTTGCTGCTGCTGTTACTACCTTTATCATTTTCAGTACTGAGGATTTCCCCGGGCTATACCAATCCCAGCCTATATCCAGGGCACGTGGGATACACCACTACCACCTAAAAGCTGACTCTGAGTTCTGGGGCATACCAACTAGAGATATGCAGAAGCTGGAATATTTGCTAAATAAGAAAGCATGAGGTCTCCCCAAGACTTCACTTAGCACCCATCCCCTCCCAGTCCCTACGGTTCCATTCCGTAATCCATGGCTAATACTTATTGGGTTATTTATTGCATGCCAGACACTATGCTAAGACCTTCACACACCTGACCTTATCTAATCTTCACACAACCCTATGAAGTATATTATATTAGTATCTCTGCTTCCAGAGGAGAAAACTGAAAATTAGATAGGACAATCGTGCCTCAGGTCATACAGTCAGTAAGAAGAGGGAGCTTTCTGAATACTTTTATTTTTTTTCCCTCCAACTTTTTACAAAAACAACTTCTATTTGGTTTCCAATTACTGTTTTAAATCCCTACTTTGATATTAGACCATATTGTATCAGTAAATTAAGCCCTGACATTTAAGGAGAAGTCATTCATTTAGGTGCCTAAGTATAATTCTTTTTGGGGAGGCATCAGGGGGCAAGATGCAGTCTCGCTCTGTCACCCGGGCTGGATTGCAGTGGCACGATCTCGGCTTACTGCAACCTCTGCCCCCCGGGTTCAAGTAATTCTCATGCCTCAGCCTCCCTAGTAGATGGGACTACAGGCGCACACCACCATGCCAAGCTAATTTTTGTATTTTTAGTAGACATGGGGTTTTGCCATGTTGGCCAGGCTGGTCATGAGCTCCTGACCTCAAGTGGTCCACCTGCCTCAGCTCCCAAAGTACTGAGATTACAGGTGTAAGTCACCACCCCCAGCCCTAGGTATAATTCTGTATCCATGAGCTAACCTTGGCCAATATTCCTGGAATATCTTTTAAAATATGTATATTGATAGAATTAAAAATATCCTGTAATTATCTATAAGACCAAGGTTGTCATTTTACAGATGAGAAAAATAAAGCCCACAGGTAACACATGTCTTGCTCTAAGTGTCATAGCAGGAAGAGAGCTAGAACCCAGGGCTCTTCTCTTCCCAAAGGGCTCAGCTCACCAACTGAGACTAACTCTGAACAGCATGAAATTATAAATAATGGGCTCTTCCTTATAAGTAGAATTGCATGGTGGTAAGAGCAAAGGCTCTGAAATCAGCCCAAACAGGCTTTTTCCCATTTCCATTACTATATGACCTTGGTCAGCTAGTGATATGGTTGGGCTGTGTCCCTACCCAAATCTCAACTTAAATTGTATCTCCCAGAATTCCCCCATGTTGTGGGAGGGAACCAGGGGGAGGTAACTGAATCATGAGGGCCGGTCTTTCCTGTACCACTCTTGTGATAGTGAATAAGGCTCTCAAGATCTGATGGGTTTAGCAGGGTTTTCTGCTTTTGCTTCTTCTCTCATTTTCTCTTGCCACCACCATGTAAGAAGTGCCTTTTGCCTCCCGCCATGATTCTGAGGCCTCCCCCAGCCATGTGAAACTGTAAGTCCAGTGAAACCTCTTTTTCTTCCCAGTCTTTGGTATGTCTTTATCAACAGAATGAAAACAAACTAATACAGCTAGTGAGGTCTCAGAAGAGCTTGGAAAGATGACTTCACCAGGCTGTCAGACAGGAAAGGGAACAAGAAGAACCATTAAAGAGAGAGTCATGGAGGCATGAAATAGCATGGGGTACTCAGAGAGGGATAAGAGTAAGATATCGCTAGAGCATAAGAACCAAGGCATAAGGTGGGGGATGAGGAGGCTGGAGGGGTAAGCAGAGGCCAGCGATATGTCCAGGTACGGAGCTTACACTTTACTCTGCAGGTGATGAAGAACCAGTGTCAGGTTTTAATAGGATAGCAACAAGGTCAGATAGGTGTTTTGGATAGCTCTGATGATCTATTTCCAACACCTCGTCTTTCTACCTGACTGAAACAACCTTGCACCTTCTCTTCTTCAAATCAAATTCCAAATGAATTTCAAGGTCCTGCTCATAATTCATCACCATTGGAAGGCCTTGTCTGGTGCTCCTACCCCATGGGGCTCCTTCCCTTTCTCTGCATTCCCTCAGCAGGTCTGATCAGCTCCATCATGGCTCCCTGCATCAGCCTTGGAACAGTCGTCAAGACCTCCAGAGGCAAATGTGTATGGAGCCACCAGATGATGGGTTCTTTCAGGGTAGGACATTGTGTACTACTTTGGGACCCCCTCCAGTAGCCCACACCCAGCGACTGCTCTGACGGGGCTGCTGCAGCTGGAAGAGAGGTAACAGACTGCTTATCCTGCACACATTTCACATGTTCAGAAAACAAAAAAATTTCCTCAGAAATCCTGTGTTTCTCCAGAATGCAAGGGTTCCCAGGGAAATTTCGGTCACCTGATTCTTGGATCTCCAGGGGCCTTCTTTCCACTAGCAGAAACACAAGTGCCTGCTACAAGGGCAAAGCTATTCAATTAGCTCTCATTGAAGTTTCTTCTTTTCCCCACAGGTGTAAATTGGGCGCCTGGCATGTTGTTTTGAACTTGACTCAACATAAAAAGATATTTATTTCCAGACTGTCCTTGGCTCCAAAGAAGGAGGCAAAGACACACTTGAGGCCTGCAAAGTTTACCCTACAAGCCCCAGTCCTCTACCTGGGGGAAATCAAGCACAGGGAAGATTTTGCTAAGCAAGTTATAGGGTAATTCATTCTTCCTGGGCCTGCAGAGAAGAGTGTAGCAAGCAGTATCTAAGGTATCCTAAAAGTGGTTAAATATGTAGACAGCATATGATTGCCATGCACCACAGTAAATTTTTTCTTAGGAAAAAAAATAATTGTAAACTCAGAATTATAGAAGCCTGCACTCTTCAAAACAAGTTTGGTCTAAGAATGCATCAAATCTATTGTCACAATTCTTACATTTGACAGCAGAAACAGAACATATTTTCTACAATTGCTGCTTTTAAATAATTTCAGCCATATTCATACCATTGTCCTTCAATGTCTCTCCTTTCATGAACAGCACATAATGCACTTCATGACCTAACCTCTGTCTCCCAGGTGGGTTTTACCTCTTGCCATTCTCACAACATATACCTTCTACTCCAGCCAAACTGATCCAATGCATTTTCTCATATGGGCTGCATTCTATCTCAACTCTATTCATTTCCCATGCTATTCCTTCTCCTTATGATATATCCACACTCACACCCCTATCTTTTCAATTTTCTGTTTAGTTCCAATTTTTAAATACAACAACCAAAATTTATTAATGCCTCAAGTACTTCTGACATTGCATTAGGCATTACTACATTAAATGCAAGTAAGACCTGCTTTCAAAGTCCATCTCAGGCAGCATCTTCTCCAGAAACCAGCCTTACCACTTACTCTTTCGGGATCCATGAAGGTTCCTTTATTTTGCAAGAGAGCTTATCATGCTCCATAACAGCCAGTTGTTTATTGACTATGTCTCCTACCAGGCTGTGAGCTTTTTGACATCAGAAACAATGTCTTATATTTCTGTCCTCACCTTCTCCACCCATAAAGCCTGGCCCTTCGCATTTGCTCAATACATGCTTATCCAATGAATGAAGAAATGAATGAATTCCACTGACAGACTTTGCATGGCAACAAACAGACCTTTGTCTGTGGAGACCATCATGCTGGTTTAAAATCTCAGGCATATTTTGCTGCCTATGGTTTAGAAAATTTAATTAAACTATATCTTCATCTAGTCAACAAATAGGGCAATGATATAGCAATGAACTAGGCTAACTCAACTCTTGCTCTTATGGAATTTATATTTTAGGGGGGAAGAAAAACAGAAAACCAGTCAACAAACAAGTAAAAACAATTGTAAGTTGTAATAAATACTATAGAGAAAAGAAACAAGATACAGAGATGGAAAATGACAGAGAAAGATCTTTATTAGTCAGGCCAGAACTCTCTGATACAATGACATTGAAGTGAGACCTACTAAAAGCTGAGGCACTAGTCAGAAGGAAACAGAATTCTAGGGAATGGGAAAGGCATATGCAAAGGCCCTAAGATAAGGAAGAACTGGAGACTTCAAGACTTTAAAGATCTTTAGTGGAATTAAAGCACAGTGAACAAGGAGAATAGTAGACAGTGGGCTGGAACGACCAGCAAAAGACAGGTCTCATATGGCCTTGTATGCAGGCCCCAGGAAGGAATTGGGATTTTTTTCCCCCAAGTATGATAGAAAAGCATTGAAAGATTTTAGAAGAAAAGTTACTTAATCAGACTTGGATTTCAGAAGATCACCTTTCCTGCTAAATGAAAGATGGAATTAATAATATTTAGGATGACGTACATCCCTGAATTGCTCCTACCTTTTGATGGAGATAACTTCAAGATTTAACTCTTTAGAACATGGGTCAACAAACTTTGTCTAGAGAAGGTCATATCATAAATATTTCAGGCTTTGTGGTCTGTATGGTCTCTGTCACAATTACTCAACTCTGCCATGAAACTCTGAATAAAAGCAGAAAATATATAAATGGATGAGTGTAGTTGTATTTCAATGAAACTGCATTACAAAAATAGGCAGTGGGCTGGATTTGGCCTACAAGCAATAGTTTGCTGACTCCTGCTGCAGTTTTCTTATGCAGTTTTTATTATAGTTAAGCAGTTTCCATTCATTCCTATTTTGCTTAGGGTGCCTATTAAGGATGGCTGCTAAATTTTATCATCTGCCCCTTCAGCATCTATTTAACCATGTAATGTCACGCTTTTAATTTAGGATTACATTGATAAATCTCATTTTGTTGAATTGTGTTCCTGAAATAAACTCTACTTAATCTTGTTGTTCTTTACACCCCTGGATTAAACTTACGGATTTTTAGAATTTTTATCTCTACATGCGTAATAAAGTTGTTCTATAATCCTATTGTTTAGGCACTGTCCTTATCGGGTGTTTGTCCTAAGGATATGGGTATTAGTCTGTTCTCACACTGTTAATAAATACATACCTGAGACTGGGTAATTTATAAATGAAAGAGGTTTCATTGACTCACAGTTCCACATGGCTGGGGAGGCCTCACAATCATGGTTGAAGGCGAATGAGGAGCAAAGACATGTCTTATGTGGTGGCAGGCAAGACATCTTGTGTAGGGGAACTGCCCTTTATAAACCCATCAGATCTCATGAGATTTACTATCATAAGAACAGCATGGGAAAGATGCACCCCCATGATTCAATTACCTCCCACCAGGTCCCTCCCATGACACGTGAGAATTTTGGGAGCTACAATTCAAGATGAGATTTGGGCGGGGACACAGCCAAACCATATCAATATGGTAGCACTATAGTATTGAATGAGTGGCTTCTGGTTAAACACCTTGGATTAGAATCTGCTCCTCTACAAAGAACAAGAGGAAATGACAACTAAGAAAGCTTACTACTTTTTTGAAAGATGAAAATAAGATGGACTGGTGGTAACTAGTCTAGCAGAGCGGAGAAAAGGCTACAATCTAAACCTCTGCCATAGAGGATACATTGAAGAGGTAAATTTACTCAATCTTGACCAGACTGAATAACTGAAAGCACTATCTCTGCCCTGATTCAATGATGAGAGGTTGGATAGAAAGCAAGTGAATTGGTCAAGTTTGTTTAAGGAGCAGTTAGGTGGCAGGCTGTAGATCTGGTCAGATAGAGTTGTCTCTGAAGGTCAGAAGAAAATGGAACTACATTTTCAAAGTACTCGAGGAAAAATATCAACCTAGAATTCTATATTCAGGAAAAACACCATTTTTAAAATAGACCTTAAAAAGGAAGAAAATTCTGACACATGCTGAAGCATGGATGAACCTTGAAAACATTATGCTGAGTGAAATAAGGCAGGGCAAAAGGAAAAATACCATATGATTCCATTTATGTGAGGTACTTAGAACAATCAAATTCATGGAGATAGAAAATACAATGATGGGGCTGGGGCCGGTGGCTCACGCCTGTAATCCCAGCACTTTGGGAGGCCAAGGTGGATGGATAACCTGAGGTGAGGAGTTTGGGACCAGCCTGACCAATATCGTGAAACCCCATCTCTACTAAAAATACAAAAATTAGCCAGGCGTGGTGGTGCCTGCCTGGAATCCCAGATACTTGGGAGGCTGAGGCAGGAGAATTGCTGAAACTCGGGAGGTGGAGGTTGCAGTGAGCCGAGATCACACCACTGCACTCCAGCCTGGGTGACAGAGGGAGACTCCATCTCAATTTAAAAAAAGAAAAAAAAAAAAAAGGAAAATTCAATCGTGGTTACCAGGGATTGCGGGAGAGGCGAAATGGGGAATGTGTTTAACGGGTATTGAGCTTCAGCTGGGGAAGATGAAAACATTCTGGAGATGGATAGTGGTGATGTTAATGTACTTAATGCCACTGAACTATACACATTAAAATAATAAGTTTTGCATTATGTATATTTTACTACAATAAAAAATAGTTTCCAATTTTTAGATGGAGTGAGATTTGAGATTTCTGGTCCCCATTAAGTACAACTATAAACCCTGGAAACATTTCAGGAGGCAACCAAATGAAAGCTCCAAAAGATGAAAAGGGAAAGGTGACTCCTAGACTGGAGGAATACTATAGTGGCAGGGCATCTTATGTCTCCACTCAAGTAAAGACCTAGGTCTATTTTCCTCTTCCCCAACTTAACAACAGAAGGTACCCAGGTAGGCGAATTCCTCCCACACACAAACATGAAACAACACCAAGGTGATTCCAGCAGTACCAGAAAGGTTAGGGGTATCAATAAGAAGCCCCATCATCAGTAAGCAGATAGAAGTATTCTTCCCACCAGGACTGAAACGATGCTACTCCACCTAGAGATACCAATAGCAGGGGCAAGGAGCAGCACAGTCAAAGAGAATCCCACCATAACATTTCCTGTCCCCAACAAGCAGAGGATGTAAAGCCACAAAAAGTGCCTGGCATAGAATATACTCTTCTTCGCTGTCGCAGAATCTTCTACCCCACAGAGAGACCCCAAGTGACCAGACAGCACTGCCACAACAGGCGCCCAGCCCAGGAAGACTCTTCCTCCCCAAGCTGACTGTCTGCCCCCACCCAGGGACACCAGTTGGTCAGCCTGCAGAAAATCCTCTGACCCTCAGGCTGACTCTATTTCTCACAAACCACCAGCAGGGACCCATGGGAACCCCAGCAGCAGAAAATAGATTAACTCTCCAAAATAGCACCATAATGCTCTGAAAATCAAATTGTCACTGGAACCCAGTCCACAAAAGTAACCAAGATCTTCATACTGAAATTAAACAAGTTGGCTCCTGTTAAAATCGAATATAGAATTGAGTCATATAATACAGTAGTGAAAATATTCAAGACACAGTAAAAAATAACCCATAACACCAAGAACAGGGAAAATTACAAATTGAATGAGGAAAGATAATCATCTGATATTAAATAGATCTTGGAACTGACAAGGATTTTAAAGCAGCCACCAGAAAAATGCTTCAGCAACAATTACAACTTGTCTTAGAAAAAATAAAAAACCATAAAATCTCACCAAAGAAATAGAAGTTATAAATAAGAATCAAATGGAAATTGTATTGGTCCATTTTCGTGCTGCTGATAAAGACATACTGGAGACTGGGAAGAAAAGGAGGCTTAATTGGACTTATAGTTCGAACCATTTCTTACATGGTGGCAGCAAGAGAAAATGAGGAAGAAGAAAAAGCAAAAACACCTGAGAAACCCATCAAATCTCATGAGACTTATTCTCACAAGACCATCAAATCTCACATTTGATGAGATTTGAGATTCTCATCAAATCTCACAAGACCAGCACGGGAAAGACTGGCCCCCATGATTCAATTACCTCCCCTTGGGTACCTCCCACAACATATGGGAATTCTGGGAGATTCAATTCAAGTTGAGATTTGGTGGGGACACAGCCAAATCTTATCAGAAATCATAGAACTGAAAAATACAATAACAGAATTTTAAAATCTCTAGGTAGGCTCAATAATAGAGTGAAAATCGCAGAAGATAAAATTAGTAACCTTGAGGAAAGATCCATAGAATTTACCCAATCTGAACAACAGAAAGAAAAAAAAAAAAACAATAGAACAGAGCTTCAGGGACCTGTGTGATAATAATAAAAGATCCAACAATCATACAATCAGAGGTCCAAAAACAGTGGAGAAAGAAAATAGGCATAAAAGAGCATAAAAGAGTATTTGAAGATAAAATGTCTAAAAACTTCCCAAATTTGGCAAAATAATTGAAACTACATATTTAACAAACTGAGCAAACTTCAACATGATAAACACAAAAAAAATCATACCAAGACACATCATAATTAAATTTCTGAAAACTAAAAGAAAAGAAAAAAATCTTTAAAACAGCTAGACAGAAATGATAGGTTACCTATAAGGGAATACAAATTCAAGTAACAGTGGATTTTTCACTGGAAACTATGGAGGCCAGGAAAAAGTGGCAAAGCATTTTTCAAGTGCTGAAAAACAAGAACCATCAACCATGGATTCTATACCTGGAAAAACTATCCTTTAGAAATGAAGGAAAAATCAAGACATTCTCAGACAAGAAAATTTACAGTATTTGTCACTAGCAGACCTATCCTTAAAGAATGGCTAAAGGAAACTGGCTTTCCAAGGTGGCCAACTACAGACATTGGATGCCAAGTCTCCTCAGAAAGAAGATCAAAGTTACTGGTGAATGGAGAAGTTCTGAACAGAAAACTGAGGGAAGAGAGCCAGGACCCATTGGGATGCACACAGGAAGAATCTGGGGTGCAAAAAAAGTAAAACAACAAGAGTCTGGCAGAGACCAATACCTCAGGAATTCAGAGCACCACGGAAAGAGTAGAGGGAAGTACTCCTCTGCTCACCCCTCAGACAATCAGCTCATCACTAAACTGTAGAGGATTCCCTGTGCCCTCATGGCCCAAGGCAACAATATTGGTAGCAATCTGAGAATTTCCCAAGGTCAGAGAACTGTGCAGCCAGCTTGCATAGGTGTACCCAGACTCCCCTCAGACCCCAACTAAGACAATAGGAGTCATACTTGTTGTGCACCCATAGTGGGACACTGCCCTGCCCAGGGATTCTCCACCCTTAAGATACCATACCACCAGATTCCCCACAAACATACCCCACAACCCACTCTGACTTTAGCATGCACAGTAGATTGGCGGGTCCCTGGGGACCTGCGGGACCTCTGGAGATCTAGCCCTCTGCATGGGCTAACCCTAAGGGAAGGAGGAGCACAGCCTGCCAAAGTCTCTCTTGGGACAAAGGAAAAATAGGCATGGCACCAACTGCTGAAGGAGACAGCACCAACATCCAGGAACAGATATGAAAAGTGGGTCATTGTATTAATCCATTCTTAAACTTCTATAAAGAAATACCCGAGACTGGGCAATATATGAAGAAAAAAAGGCTTAACTGGCTCACAATTCCACAGGCTACACAGTAAGCATGATGCTGGCTTCTGAGGAGGCCTCAGGAGACTTTTGCTC
This sequence comes from Homo sapiens, assembly GCF_000001405.40. Classification (NCBI taxonomy): domain Eukaryota; kingdom Metazoa; phylum Chordata; class Mammalia; order Primates; family Hominidae; genus Homo; species Homo sapiens. The sequence continues at coordinate 90,591,337 of NC_000001.11, forward strand.
ATGGAAGAAGCAAAAGGGAAGCCAGCACTTCACATGGCCATAGCAGGAGGAAGAGAGTGAGTGGGGAGGTGCTTCACACTTTTAAACAACCAGATGTCACGAGAACTCACCAGCATGAGAACAGTAGCCAGGGAAACAGTGTTAGACCCTTCATGAGAAACCACCCCCATGAGCCAAGCGCCTCCCACCAGGCCCCACCTCCAACACTGGGGATTACACTTCAACATGAGGTGTGGGCAGGGACACAGATCCAAACCATATCAGTCATCTCCACACACTCCCCGCCCCCTACCTACACTACTGTGAATGCAGCAGTCATTATTCGCACCGGGAGCTAGTGAGTGTGCACTGGGAGAAAGCATTTGTTGTGCTCTCATGACGGCTCCACCCCCACTGAAAGTGAGACCAAGCCACTCAGGTTTTCACAAAGGGCAAGGCCAACTCCCTCTCCCTACACAGAGTGGCAACAGTGTCTGAGCTACAGAGGACAGACTGTAGAGTTGCCTGCCTCGGACTAGGGTGAAGAAGCTCTGCCCCGAGGCCCATTTTTTTTTTAAATAGTAGTAGCCACCAGAGAGGCATATCCATGGTCTGCAGCTGGGAACCAAAAGTCAAATCCTTTATAAACTGAATGAGCCATGCAAAAGGGCCGTGATAGGGAAAAAGATCATATCCCCGCCGACTTAGAAGGAGGAGCTGATGCACACCCTTTCTCCCAAGATCACAGCGCACCCATCACTCTTTCTTACCACCACCCACCCCATTCGGGGAGAGCTTCCCCTGGGCACCAGCCTACTTGGCGGCTCTTACTCTTAAGCGCCATCGACTGGACTGCATCCTGAACTGCATCATCAAGTAAAAAACCTGCTATGAGAGCTTGCTGCTAGTTCATGAGATAAGCTCCCTGAGATCTCTGCACCCTCAGCCCCACAGGAGATAGTATATCGGCTATTAAGTCCAACACATTACTACAACAAGCAGCATCTGAGAAAGCTATCGTGCAGAAGCTATCTACAACCAAGGAACTCATACAGACCCTTAGCTCCCTGAAAGCACTCAGAAACAAAGACAATTATACAAAACTTACACTACTTTCAAGCAATATTTTCAAGGGAAAAAATAATTTAAAAATGAAAAAGCCTCATCGAAACAATAGCAAATTTTAAAATAAGCAATGGCTCCCTCAGATGAGAAGGAATCAGCTCAGGTCCAGTGCAAAAAGCCAGTGTTTTCACACCTTCAAAGGATAACACTAGCTAGGATCTAGCAATTGATCCTAATCGGATTGAAATGTCTGAAGTGACAGATAAAAAATTCAAAATATGAATTGCAAGGAAACTCAATGAGATCCAAGAAAAAAGTTGAAATCTAATGCAAAGAAATTAGAAAAAAATTATGCAGCATCTGAAAGACGAGATGGCTATATTTTTTTAAAAACACAAATAGAACTTCTGGAATTGAAAATTTTACTAAAGGAATTTCAAAATACAATTGGAAACTTTAACAATAGACTAGATGAAGCAGAAGAAAGAATTTCAGAGGTTGAAGACCAGTCTTCTGAATAACCTAGTCAGACAAAAATAAAGAAAAAAGATTTTAAAATAAATTAACAAAGACTTTGAGAAATATGGGATTACGTAAAGTGACCAAACCTACGACTTATGAGTGTTCCTGAGAGAGAAGAAAAAGTTAGCAACTTAGACAACATATTTGAGGGAATAATTCAGGAAAAAAATCCTTAATCTTATTAGAGAGGATGACATCCAGATACAAAAAATTCAGAATACACCTGCCAAATAATATATGACCATCCCCAAGGCATACACTCATCAGATTACATAAGGTCAATCCAAAAGAAAAAATCTTAAAGGCATCTAGAGAAAAGGACCATATTGCCTATAAAGAAAATGACATCAGATTAACAGTAGATTTCTCAGCAGAAACCTTACAAGCCAGAAAAGTTTAGGGGCCTATTTTTAGCCTTCTAAAAAGGAAGCCAGTAATTTTATATACCATGAAATGATGTTTCATAAACAAAGGAGAAATAAAATCTTTCCCAGACAAGCAAGCACTAAGGGAATTACCAGACCAGACCTACAAGAAATGCTCAAAGGAGTTCTAAACATAGAAATGAAAGAATGATACTTGCCACCAGCTCACAGGCCCTATAAAGCAATTACACAATTGAGGCTATAAAACAACTAGCTAACAACACTATGAGTGAAACAAAACCACACATAACAATGTTAACCTTGAACATAAATCACCTAAGTGCTCTACTTCAAACACATAGAGTGGCAAATTGAATAAGAAAACAAGACCCAAGCTTTTTCTGCTTTCAAGAGAACCATCTCACATGTAATGACACCAATAGGCTTAAAGAAATGGAGTGCCTCTCCATCTCTTCATCATGGAAAACAAAAAAAGCAGCAGTTGCTATTCTTGTATCAGATAAAACAGACTTTAAATCAGTAACAGTTTTGAAAAAAGATAAAGCATCATATAATGATCAGTTATTTGATACAATAAGAAAATTTAACTATCCTAAATATGTACACACCCAACATCAGAGCACCCAGATTTATAAAATGAATACTACTAGACTTAAGAGATATACAGCCATACCATAATAAGTGGAGGACTTCAATACCCCACTAATAGCACTATAAAGATCATCAGGGTAGAAAACTAACAAAGAGACTCTGGACTTAAATCTGACTCTGGACCAAATGGACCAAGTAGACATTTATAGAATACTCCACCCCAAACCCACAGAATATACATTATTCTTATCTGTGCATGAACCATTCTTTAAAATTGACCCATGCTCAGTCATAAAGCAAATGTCAACAAATTTTTAAAAATTGAAATCACATCAAGCACCAACTTGGACCACAGTGGAATAAAATTAGAAATCAATACAAAGAGGAACTCTCAAAACCACACAAATACATAGAAACAAACAAACAAACAAAAAAACTTGTCCCTGAATGACTTTTGGATAAACAGCAAAATTAAGAAAGAATCAAAAAATTATTTAAAACAAATTAAAATAGAGACCCAACATACCAAAACCTCTGAGATACAGCAAAAGCAGTGTTAAGTGGAAAGTTTAGAGCACTAAATACCTACATCAAAAAGATATGTAATCCCAGCACTTTGGGAGGCCAAGGCGGGTGGATCACGAGGACAGGAGATCAAGACCATCCTGGCTAGCACAGTGAAACCCCATCTCTACTAAAAATACAAAAAATTAGCCGGGCATGGTGGCGGGTGCCTGTAGTCCGAGCTACTCAGGAGGCTGAGGCAGGAGAATGGCGTGAACCCGGGAGGTGGAGCTTGCAGTGAGCCAAGATTGCACCACTGCACTCCGGCCTGGGCAAAAGAGTGAGACTCTGTCTCAAAAAAAAAAAAAAAAAAAAAAAAAAAAAAAAAAAGACAGTAAGATCTCAAATTAACAACCTAATGTCACACCTAAAGGAATTAGAAAAATAAGAACAGACTAAATGCAAAGCTAGTAGGAGAAAAGAAATAACTAAAATCAAAGTACAACTAAATGAAATTGAGACCCAATAAACCATACAAAGGATCAATGAAAGGAAAAGTTCGTTATTTGAAATAATAAACAAGATTGATAAATCACTAGCTAGATTAACTGAGAGGGAGAGAGAAAAGATCCAAATAAGCACAATCAGAAATTACAAAGATGACATTACAACTGATATCACAGAAATATAAAAGGTCCTCAGAGATTACTACGAACATGTCTATGCACACAAAATAGAAAACCTAGAGGAAATGGATAAATTCCTGGAAACACACAAACTCCCAAGATTGATCCAGGAAGAAATCAAAATCCTGAACAGACCAATAACTAGTTACAAAATTAAATCAGTAATAAAAAACCTACTAACCAAAAGCCCTGGGCTACACAGATCCCTAGCCAAATTCTATCAGATGCAAAAAGAGCTGGTACCACTCTTACTAAAACTATTTCAAAAGATTGAGGAGAAGGGATTTCTTCCTAACTCATTCTACAAAATCAGTATCATTTTGATACCAAAATCTGGCAAGGACCAACGGAAAAAAAAAAACAACTTCAGACCAATATTCTTGAGGAACACAGACACAAAAATCTTCAACAAAATACAGCAAATGTATGATGCCAACAAAAAAGTTGCTACCATTGTTTCACCTTACTGCCTAAAGAGTTTCCACATACAGCACAAAAAATGAAACCAGGCAGTGACCAACAGTACGCCTACACTGAGGAATAAGAATTGGGTGGAGATTAAGGTGGCTAGAATTCACATGACAGAACAGTAGAGTGGAAAAAGCAGAAGAGAGAGAGGAAGAGAGAGAGAGAGAGAAAGAAAGAGAGAGAGGGAATTCTGGAGAGCTGCAAAGGGTCCTACTTGACTATCTGCTGAATACTGATCAGCAAACTCAGAGAAAAAGAAGAAACCACTGAAAGGGATTCACAGGAACAACACCTAGGGTTCACACAGGGCCAGGTACAGTTCGTATTTCATCCGCCAAAGTGAAAAACCAAACAACTCACTGAACATCAGCTACTGTGTTCACAAGGCTTTTGCCTCAGCAGTACGAAAAACATGTTTCTAAAGAAATGCTGCTCTGATCATAACTAACAAAGATCAAAAGCAAGACACATTATATACTACAGGAAGACAAAAACAGCACACAAAAAGGAAAAATCACAAAGTCTGGCATCAAATAAAAAATTATTATGTATTCAAAGAGGAAGAAAAATGTGACCCATAATGAGCAGAAGCAATTAACCAAAACCAGCCAAAAAGTGACACAAAGACAGAATTAGTAGACAAAGCTATTAAAACTTATTATAAACTGTATTTTATGTGGTCAGGAGGCTAGTAGAAATATTGAGCATGTTAATTTGAGATTTTGAAGTTAAAAAAATCCATATCAAACTTTTAAAAATACAAACTACAGTCTCTGAGATGAAAAATATATTGGATTGAATAAAAGCAGATTAGACATTGCAGAAGAAAAAGTTAGTGAACTTGAAAATATACAAGAGAAATTATCCAAAATAAAATACAAAGAGAAAAAAAGAGACAACTTCAAGTGACCTAATTTATGTGTAACTGGATTGCCTAATGGGAGTGAGAGATAGGAACACAAGAAAATATTTGAAGAAATAATGGCTGAACATTTTCTAAATTAATGAAAACTATAAGCCCAAAGATTGAAGAGGCTCAATGCACTCCAAGAAACATGAATAAGGCTATACCAAGTTACATTAAAATCAAACTGTTTGGCTGGGCACAGTGGCTCATGCCTGTAATCCCAGCACTCTGGAAGGCTGAGGCAGGTGGATCATGAGGTCAGGAGATCGAGACCATCCTAGCTAACACAGTGAAACCCCGTCTCTACTAAAAACACAAAAAAAATTAGCCAGGCATGGTGGCAGGTGCCTGTAGTCCCAGCGACTCAGGAGGCTGAGGCAGGAGAATGGCATGAACCCAGGAGGCGGAGGTTGCAGTGAGCCGAGATCGCGCCACTGCACTCTAGCCTGGGCAACAGGGCGAGATTCTGTCTCAAAAAAAAAAAAAAACTGTTTAAAACTAGCAATAAAATCTTTAAAATAATCAGAAAAAGACAAGTTACATGAATAATCATAAGAATGACAGCAGACTTCTTATTCAAACCAATGCAAGCCAAGACAATGGAGAAACATTTTATAAAATAAAACTTTTTTTAAACCAATATGTTACTTGGAAATCTAGGATTTAACAACTAAAAGCATTACTTTTCACAGAAGAGTGCTGAAAAACCTTAAATTTACAACATTTTCTCACTATAAAATGATCAATAGATGTAATGAAGATGCTTTAATAAGCTAAAAATCTGAAACTGGCAGATTGTAGTGTATGGCCTAAATTTCATGTCTGCCTTGGCATCTTTAAGGTCATAGGGCCCTAAACTCTTAAGTTACCCTGCTCTTACCAGATATGTTCCTCACCCTGTGGAAAAGGCTTCCCACTGGCTAGTTCCTCTATCAGCTGGGCCAGCTGCACTCCACTTAGTTTCAACCTAATGAGTTTCACCTCCCTACCAACGGCAAAATTATTTGCACAAGTCAATCGCATTCTCACAGGAGCCAGGAGTCACCTCATTCTCTTGTTTCCACAAAGCTTGCCTCTCAGAGCCCCTACTGCTTAGTTGGCTTCCAAGTGTGACCCCTGTGGTATGGCCCCCTCTAGCATGCTGTACCCTCCTTCCCAGGACTCTGAGTCTAGGTGACTAATAAACTGCTGTCAGTTTCTTCTGTCCAGTGTCAGGCATCATGTTTCTGGTCATCTTATATTATTTAGGTTGGGGAATCCTTCCTTGCTGACAGAGTGAATAGGAGATGATCAGAACATCAGTATAGATTGCAGCTATAATCAAATTAAACTAACTTTCCATTTATTTCTAAATGTGGGTTTTTTTTCCACAGTGTGTACAAAATCTTTGCCTGCTATAATAAGAAATTGCAAATAGTAAAGTGTTTATACCGGTTTCCCTTATAATATCAGAAAGTTTTGATTCAAGGCTTAATAGTATTTAACAATATTCCCAATTATAAATATTTTAAAAACTGAATTTTTCTGTAATCAATACATAATAGCATTGCACATTCACTTGTCATTTACATTCACTTGTACAAATTACTATTATACCATTATAAAAGCATATTTATTTATTATAAACTACTTACAAAATTTTGTTCAGGTAAATGTGTACATGTTTGAACTCTTTAAAAGATCAGTGTAACACAGGCTCAAAATAAGGCCATGGTGGAAGACTTACCAAGCAAATGGAAAGCAAAAAAAAGCAGGGATTGCAATCCTACTCTCTGATAAAACAGACTTTAAACCAACAAAGATCAAAAGAGACAAAGAAGGGCATTACATAATGGTAAAAGGATCAATGCAACAACAAGAGCTAACTATCTTAAATATATATGCACCCAATGCAGGAGCACCCAGATTCATAAAGCAAGTACTTAGAGACCTACAAAGAGACTTAGACTCCCACACAATAATAGTAGGAGACTCTATAACACCCTACAGTTAATATTAGATCAACAAGACAGAAAATTTACAAAGATATTCAGGACTTGAACTCACCTCTGGACCAAGCGGACCTAATAGACAGAACTCTCCACCCCCAATCAACAGAAGATACATTGTTCTCAGCACCACATAGCACTTATTCTAAAATCCACCACATAATTGGAAGTAAACACTCCTCAGCAAATGCAAAGGTATGGAAATCATAAACAGTCTCTCAGACCACAGTGGAATCAAATTAGAACTCAGGATTAAGAAACTCACTCAAAACCACACAACTACATGGAAACTGAACAATCTGCTCCTGAGTGACCACTGGGTAAATAACCGAAATAAGGAAGAAATAAATAAGTTCTTTGAAATCAATGAGAACAAAGACACAACGTACCAGAATCTCTGGGACACAGCTAAAGCAGTGTGTACAGGGAAATTTATAGCACTAAATGCCCAGAAGAGAAAGTGGGAAATATCTAAAATCAACACCTTAACATCACAATTAAAAGAATTAGACAACCAAGAGCAAACAAATTCAAAAGCTAGCAGAAGACAGGAAATAACTAAGATCAGAGCAGAACTGAAGGGGATAGAGACATGAAAAACCCTTCAAAACAATCAATGAATCCAGGAGCTGGTTTTTTGAAAAGATTAACAAAATAGATAGACTGCTAGCCAGGCTAATAAAGAAGAAAGGAGGGAAGAAAAAAACAGACACAATAAAAAATGATAAAGGGGAGATCACCACCGATCCCACAGAAATACAAACTACCATCAGAGAATACTATAAACACCTCTATGCAAATAAACTAGAAAATCTAGAAGAAATTGATATATTCCTGGACTCATACACCCTCCCAAGATGAAACCAGGAAGAAGTCGAATCCCTGAATAGACCAATAATAAGTTCTGAAACTGAGGCAATAATTAATAGCCTACCAACCAAAAAAAAGCCCAGGACCAGATGGATTCACAGCCAAATTCTACCAGAGGTACAAAGAGGAGCTGGTACCATTCCTTCTGAAAGTATTCCAAACAATAGAAAAGAGGGACTCCTCACTAACTCATTTTATGAGGCCAGCATCATCTGATACCAAAACCTGGCAGAGACACAACACAAAAAGAAAATTTCAGGCCAATATCCCTGATGAACATTGATGTGAAAATCCTCAGTAAAATACTGGCAAACAGAATCCAGCAGCACAATAAAAGCTTATCCACCACGATTAAGTCGGCTTCACCCTTGGGATGCAAGGCTGGTTCAACATACGCAAATTAATAAACGTCAACCATCACATAAACAGAACCAATGACAAATACCATATGATTATCTCAATAGATGCAGAAAAGGCATTCAATAAAATTTAACATGCCTTCATGCTAAGAACACTCAATAAACTAGGTATTGATGGAACATATCTCAAAATAATAAGATCTATTTATGACAAACCCACAGCCAATATCATACTGAATTGGCAAAAGCTGGAAGCATTCCCTTTAAAAACCAGCACAAGACAAGGAGGCCCACTCTTACCACTCCTATTCAACATAGTATTGGAAGTTCTGGCCAAGGCAATCAGACAAGAGAAAGAAAGAAAAGGTATTCAAATAGGAAAAGAGGAAGTCAAATTATCTCTGTTTGCAGAGGACATGATTGTATATTTAGAAAATCCCATCACCTGAGCCCAAAAACTTCTTAAGCTGATAAGCAGCTTCCACAAAGTCTCAGGATACAAAATCAATGTGTAAAAATCACAAGCATTCCTATATGCCAATAATAGACGAACAGAGAGCCAAATCATGGGCAAACTCCAATTCACAATTGCTACAAAGAGAATAAAATACCTAGGAATACAATTTACAAGGGATGTGAAGGACCTCTTCAAGGAGAACTACAAACCACGGCTCAAGGAAATAAGAGAGGGCACGAATAAATGGAAAAACATTCCTTGCTCATGGATAGGAAAAATCAATATCATGAAAATGGCCGTACTGCCCAAAGTAATTTATAGATTCAATGCTATTCCCATCAAGCTACCAATGACTTTCTTCACAGAATTGGAAAAAACTACTTTAAAGTTCATATGGAACCAAAAAAGAGCCCACATTGCCAAGACAATCCCAAGCAAAAAGAACAAAGCTGGAGGCATCATACTACCTGACTTCAAACTATACTACAAGGCTACAGTAACCAAAACAGCATGGTACTGGTACCAGAATAGATATATAGACCAATGGAACAGAACAGAGGCCTCAGAAATAACACCACACATCTACAACCATCTGATCTTTGACAAACCTGACCAAAACAAGCAATTGGGAAAGGATTCCCTATTTAATAAATGATTTGGGAAAACTGGCTACACGTATGGAGAAAACTGAAACTGGACCCCTTCCTTACACCTTATACAAAAATTCCCTCAAGATGAATTAAAAATTTAAACATAAGACCTAAAACCATAAAAACCCTAGAAGAAAACCTAGGCAATACCATTCAGGACATAGGCATGGGCAAAGACTTCATGACGAAAACACCAAAAACAATGGCAACAAAAGCCAAAATAGACAAATGGGATCTAATTAAACGAAAGAGCTTCTGCACAGCAAAAGAAACTATCATCAGAGTGAACAGGCAACCTACAGAATGGGAGAAAAGTTTTGCAATCTATCTATCTGACAAAGGACTAATATCCAGAATCTACAAGGAACTTAAACAAATTTACAAGAAAAAAAAACCCATCAAAAAGTGGGTGAAGGATATAAACAGACACTTTTCAAAATAAGACATTTATGCAGCCAACAATCATATGAAAAAAGCTCATTATAACCGGTTATCAGAAAAATGCAAATCAAAACCACAATGAGATACCATCTCACGCCAGTTAGAATGGCAATCATTAAAAAGTCAGGAAACAACAGATGCTGGAGAGGATGTGGAGAAATAACGTTTTTACACTGCTGGTGGGCGTGTAAATTAGTTCAACCATTATGGAAGACAGCGTGGCAATTCCTCAAGGATCTAAAACCAGAAATACCATTTGACCCAGCAATCCCATTACTGGGTATATACCCAAATGATTAAAAATAATTCTATTATAAAGACACATGCACACATATGTTTATTGCAGCACTATTCACAATAGCAAAGACTTGGAACCAACTCAAATGCCCATCAGTTTAGACTGGATAAAGAAAATGTGGCACATATACACTTTCTTTATGCAGCCATAAAAAAAGAATGAGTTTATGTCCTTTGCAGGGACATGGATGAAGCTGGAAACCATCATTCTCAGCAAAATAACACAGGAACAGAAAACCAAACACTGCATGTTCTCACTCAAAAGTGGGAGCTGAACAATGAGAATATATGGGCACAGGGAGGGGACCATCACACACCGGGGCCTGTCAGGGGGTGGTGGGGCTAGGGGAGGGATAGCATTAGGAGAAATACCTAATGTAGATGATGGGTTGATGGGTTCAGCAAACCACCATCGCATATGTATACCTATGTAACAAACCTCTATGTTCTGCATGTGTATCCCAGAACTTAAAGTATAATAAAAACAAAAACAAACAAAAAGATCAGTATAGAACTACAACCTTTCTAATCATTTGAACTAATGGAACATTTTAATTTTAATTTTAAATATGTGTATCAAAATAATAGGAGTTTTCTTCTAAGTCTACATAAAGATGGGCAAAGCTGGCATCATAAATTAGTGAAACATTGGTTGTCTCCATTATGTTGAATTTGTTATGATAAATATTTAAATGAGCCTAATTACATTAAAATTTTTAATAGTACAAAATGTTATTTGATGTGAATATCCCATTATTTATTTATCTTTTCTCCTATTGATGGGGATTTGGATTATTTCTAGAGTTTTGCTATTACAAACATGCTGCTATTAACATTCTTGTACTTATCTCTGGTAGGCATTGCAAGAGTCTCTGTGGGATATATAAATGAGAGTGAAATTTATCAGTTGTAAAGAATGTGTAGACTCAACTGTATAAGATAATGCTGACGGTTTTCCAAATTATCAGTAACAATTTAACTGTAATAAGAATATGGATGAATTTTAGAAATATGACATTGAGTTAAAAAAAAAAAAAGCTAAAAACTAAGTCCCAAAATGTTACATACAACTTCTTGCCTCTTTTATAAAGTTAAAAATAACTAACACTAAATTACATTATTTTTAGGAAGGATAGCATTATTTTTCTTATAATAACATACCAGAAGTAACGTATTTCCCATATTTAAAAAAAGAGATAAATCAATACAAGATTTAGAATAGGGAAACTCAAGTAGGAAAGACAAGGAACTAGAAAGGAAAAAAACCATATTCATCAATGTTCATTTCCAGGTTGAGTGGTGGGCATATGGCTGTTTATTTATATTAAAAATAAATAATTAACTTAAAAGTCATGCCTGGACCAACGAGGAGAGTATGGCATGAATTGAGGATCTGAGTTTCAAAGTAATAAATAAAATCCAAATCTAAATTAAGATGACACATTTTAAAATAACTTAAAGAGTGTAATTGAATTGTTTGTAACTTAAAGTGTAAATGCTTGAAGGGATAGATACCTCATTCCCCATAATGTGCTATTTCAGACCACATGCCTGTATCAAGACGTCTCATGTACCCCATAAATATATACACCTACTATGTACCCACAAAAACTAAAAAAAAAAAAAAAAAAAAAAAGCAAATTTGAAAAGATGATAAACATGCCTCTCCTCAGTATCAATCCAAAACACTGAAGTGAGAAAAGGTCAGACCTTAGCTTTAAATTAACAAGGAATCAAATTCTGGCTCTGCCACTATCTTTGTTAGTGTAGCTTCTCATATGTGAGCTGGAGATACTAACATGATAAAAGAGGCATTTCAAAGCAGGGGTAAGAATGGAGTATGCAGTAACCAGAATTAGGACATGTAGCTAGCCAATGACAAAGGGAGAGAGAGAGGGAAGAAGAAAGGGTGAAGGGCTGGAAAGAGGATGGATCATTATATTGCTTCTTATGCCACGAAAAAGTTTTAATTCCAGATGAATCAAAGTTTTTCAAAATAAACCTATAAAAACACTAGAATAAGGCCCAGGCAAATTTATTTACAATCTTGGAATTGGAAGGGCTTTTGTAAACAGGACATAAAACCTAGATGCAATTTTAAAAGAATGATAAATTGTCTACACAGAAATATAACATTTTGTACATAAAAATGCATAAAGTCAAAAGACAAAATACTTAGAAAACTATGTGCAATGTGGATGCAAAAAGCCAATTTCTTAATTTTAAAAGACCTAATATAAATCCATTTTTAAAATATGGTGCAATAGAAAATAGTCAAAGGCTGTGAACAGGAAGCTTTTAGGAAAACTAATAAAAAGGTCCTGTAAACATGAAAATATGCTCAACTTCTAAAATTTAAAGAAACATAAAAAAATGAAATATCATTTTGCCAAAATAACCAATATTGGCGATAGTGTGTGGAAAAAGAAACTAAAATTTTGTTTTCAACTTCTATTATTGATGGAAAAGTGTACATTTACATAATATTTTTTGATAGCAAGTCAGCTATGTCTATCAAATTTCTAAATACCAATATACTTTAACCCAGTCATTTCATGTTAGAAAGTTTTCTATGGAGATGTATAGTCAAAAATATCTGCCAAGACACAGATATTAATACATTCTTATAACTACTTATAATTATAAAAACAAGAAACAATCTAAATGTCCACCAATAGGAACCAGGTAATATACTCTGGTACGCTCATACTACGGAATGCCACACAGTCAAATACAGTAATGAGCTTGGTCTGTATGTGCTTTTGAGGAAACAGCTCCCATATGTATTTATGTTTTAAAAGCTACATAGGCAGTGGTGTGGATCATATGACTCTATTTGTGTTAATTAAAGTTATACATATATAATAAAAAGTATATACATATATGCACATATCCATTGTATTTCTAAACATACAGGTATATGCATAAAACCTTTTTTCTGGATATATATACAAAGGGAAGAGAGATGATGGAGTGAAGATACGTTATTTTTTATTTTATACCTTTTTATGGGATTAATATATTACTTGTATAAATATATTACATATATAAATATATACTTCATACCTATATATATTAAGGTGAAATGAGATTATAGTATATGAGGTGATAGGCATAAAGTAGAAATACCCCATAAAATGTTAATGCTATTCTCCCTAACACTGACAGCTAATAATTCTCTGGATCTACCAAACCCTTTTTTAATTTAATCTCATGACTTTGGTTCTTTTGGATGTAAAGAGTAACTCAGGGTCTTAAAGTATAAAATTTCTAGATAGAAATAAAGATAATTATATGATCTTCCTAACTTTTATTCTTTACTAAATAGATCTGATTGATTTACATTTTATACTTTAAAACATTTAAAATTTTTCCTCCTAAGTCCTAAATACTGGTATTGTTGTGATTTTTGTTTCTAACTGGCTTCCCTTTACCACCAGATTGTCTTGGCACAAAAAAGAAAACTCAGGAGAAATTTTTTATTACAAAAAAAATAGACATTTTCATTCAGAAGGGTTCATATTTTCCTTATTTTTCTACTTTAGATCTGTTCATTCCTTAAAAGACAAATAGGGTTTGAGGCATGAGGAGAAATAGCTTATATCATAAAAGAATTAAGAATTAAAAAAATAAACAAAAATCATCTTACTTAAAGAAACACTGCATTTAGATTCAAATGGCCCAGGCCCACCTGGGCTTTCAGCAGGACTCACTGCTTGGACCAGGCTCCTCCTATTATTAGAACTGTCAGTGCCAGAATTCGGGCCAAATTCCAAGAAAGAATCCTACCTCCAAGTGCTGTTATCATTTTTTAATTGCATATGTCTGCAGTGCCTTACTGTCTGCCACTTAGTATTCCTGCATGTTGCTAAACAGCTGCCATGTTGTTTCCCTAGAGATATGTTCCTGTATATCCTTACCTATTTCACAGAGCTGTTGTAAAGCTTAATTAATTAATGTTTCCTGAATGCCTTGAGGTTTTCAGACAAAAAGTGTTAGGTAGAAAGTGTAGAGAGTCTTATTAAATCTCCAGTTTTCTCCTGGAGATTGAAGTCTCCCACCTGGTCTTGATTTCTAACAGACAGGGCATGTGCCAGTCCCCTGTGCCTTGTCCTGAGGTCACAGTGAAATTTTGGTCTGGCCATCGCATCAACCCAGCCTTCTGAGAGGTGAAAGATTACTCAAAATCTCACATAGGGCTATAGGCCAAGACCACTCCAACCAGTCTGGGTATGATTAAGATGGAATGAATTTTCTCATAGTAGACCACAAAATAACCCTGTAAGATTCTAGAATAAACCTAAAGTTGTTTGATTTTTGTTTTTATGTTTTTTGGTTTTAGCAAAGGATTTTTTTTTAAGTGAAGATTTTCCGATGAGCAAAAAAGAGGCATTTCAAAGAATAAGAAACCAAAGGGCAAAAAAACATATAAAAAGGTACCCAACATTACTAATAAACAATAAAATTCAAATTAAAATCATATTAAAATTCTATTTTCCACCTGTTCTATTGGCCAAACCTTACCATTCTGAGTGTTGACAAGGATGTAGAGCCAAGAGAAATCCTGTAAACTGTTGTTGGGAATACAATTGATACAAGCAATGTTATGAAGTTGAACATGTGACCACTCTGAGGCACATGTAAGGAAATTCTTGCACATGTGCATAGGGAAAACTTTAAAATGTTGATAGCAGCTTCATTTGTTATTGCAAAAAGTAAAAAAAAAGTAAATGCTCATCAATAGTAGAATTTAAAAGTTACGGTATAATCAAATAAGAGAATAATAGCAGAGAAAATAAATGAACTGGAGGTATTGAATAAACATGAAAATATTTCACAAACACAATATTGAACAAAAAACGAAAGTTTCTCTGGAGTACCTAAAGATGATGCCACTTTTGTGATAAGAACATGCCAAACAGTACCATATTGTTTAGGTAGACAAAACGTAAAAGACAAACACATTCTAAGTAGTGCTGCTAGAGCACTGTATTAGTCCTTCCCGTGCTGCTATGAAGAAATACCCGAGACTGGGTAATTTGTAAAGGAATTTATGGTATTTAGGTAGGTAAGAATATGTGTAGGAATGACAAACTCCCAATTCAGGAAACGGGTACTGGTGGGCATTTAGGATTAAGAATACACAAAAGGCTTCAAACGAGTGGTAGCTGGACAGGGGTTAATTATATTATTCTTTATACATTTTTATCTTTATACCTTTTATATACCTGAATTATTTCTTAATAAAAACTACTCACATCAATCAGCAAAAGTATCAAACGATATTGATGGCAGGGGAGTTTACACCTCTGTGAGGTTGGAGGTATATAGGAACTCTCTGCACTTTACATTTAATTTTTCTGTGAACCCAAAACTGCTCTAAAAATAAAATTTTATTAATCAACTAAAGGAAAAACTATTTGTCATTAGCCTTTATATGTTCTGTATAGCCCATGGATTTCATAATAATTTAATATTAAAGAAACGACGGTAGGAGAATCAGCCTAAAAGGCACAATATGGAGAGTTGAAAGAAAGGGACTTGAGAAAGAAAACTAAGTTGTAAGTTCAGCACATCAAGGCCACACCTCCGTGATGTCTGTATGTATGGTGGGAGTCTGTATGCACGTATGTGGGCATGGCATGTGTGGAAGCTTGCTTTAATATGCCTGCCACATTCTAAGTAGTGCTGCTAGAGCACTGTATTAGTCTGCTCTCACGCTGCTATGAAGAAATTCTCGCAACCGGGTAATTTATAAAAGAAAGAGGATTCATTGACTTACAGTTCCGCATGGCTGGAGAGGCCTTAAGAAACTTACAATCATGGCGGAAGGCACGTCTTCACGGGGCAGCAGCGGAGAGAATGAGTGCTGAGCAAACGGGGAAGCCCCTTATAAAACCATCAGATCACGTGAGAACTCACTATCACGAGAACAGCATGAGGGAAACCGCCCCCATGATTCAATTATCTCCACCTGGTCTCGCCCTTGACATGCGGGAATTTTTACAATTTAAGATGAGATTTTGGGTGGGGACACAGCCAAACCATGTCAAGTATGCTTTTATGAAATCTATTATTGTACAGCTGATGTTACAGCTACTTTAGAGTAATTTTCCCCCAGCTCTGGAGCAGTGATTTGCAAAAATTTTTTAGGAGTCCATATAAAATGTCATATAGAATTCAAATATATAAATTGATAAAACTACATTTTCTCTGGCTACAGATATGGTGGGAGTCTGTTTGCCTATTATTCTTGCCACCTCACCCCAAGCACCTGTGCAGAATCCTAGTACTTAATAATTGGAATATAATTGCTCTAAGATAGCACGTTCTCATGTATGTTTTGCAGAGACACCAGTCCTGAGAAATGTTCTATATTAGCGGGATTCCATGATCATACACATTTGAGCTGTGCTACTTGTTCACGGTGCATTCTAAAGGCTCTGAGAAGCCCTGCAACAAAGACACTGATTTCCTCTGTTGAAACTAGTATTTCTCAAGCATAAGTAACCACAGAACATTCTTTCACACGAAATATCTATTAATGTCCCTAAGCACTCTTTTAGAAATGTATGCTTTAGCCCATAAAACAAATGTCTCCTATTAAGATCATTGGTATTTGGTTCATTTCAATATAATAAACTTACAGTTACTAATGAGTCTTAATACTGCCTAAAGCCTTATCTTTCTCAAATGCATTTCTCTAGTACCCTCTCTAGCACTTTTCCTATTAAAGATATACACATTGTAAGTTGGCCATCTACTGTTTTCAACAAATAGATACTGAGTGCTTGTCGTATAGAAGGAATTTTAAATGCAAAGAAACACAAGACCCACACTTCATGTACTTCAATGCCAAGGAGTTCGAAAAGGCTTGTGTTGGATTTTTAAAAAGGCAGGCATTATTGAAAAAATAATGCAGATTCTTCAAGTGTACATTGAACTTAAATAAGTTTGATGTTTCTGCAATGTATCAAGTCCCAAAAACTTTTCAAGTTTATCTTGGATGGCATGCTTAATGGTATGAACATCTGTGACTATAAGTGCTTAAGATAAGCAGATACTTAATAAATATTTATTGAATTAATAAATGAACAAACACACAAACTGTATAGAATAAACACATTTAGAGGCCAGGACAAGACTGAGCCAGACACAGAGAGTAGAAGCAGGGGAAAAGTCTAACGAAGTGGGGAAGATTGGCAATATTCACGAAACATTTTAATGAATCACAGGCCAAGTTTCCATCTAAGCTATATATTTTAATTACCCCTCTCTTTAAAAGAAAAAAAAAGGCTTATTTATTTAAAAAAAAAAAAAAAACTACAATTCCCTTGAAATCGCCCAAGTTTACTATATCCAAATAGGGACTTGAGTGATTTGCAAATGTTTTAGTCTCCTTTATTTGCAAGAACTTATTGCCAAAATTATAGGACATTGGTTTCAGAATTTGTTTCTATAAAAAACTGAAATGTAAAAATAAGATTATTATACAATTTGCCTCTGGAATATGGGAATTTCCCCTCATTTTTGAAAGAAGAAAAATAATTCAAGAAGGTCCTTAACACCATCTCCCCAACTGACCAAAAAACATGCATTTCTCCAGATGTGGGAATTAATGGTCCTCATTTGACTGTATACCCTTGCAAGTTACATGAATAAATGTCATATGAGCAGGATGGTCATTTAACACTAATATATAACATTAATGACCTCAATTGTCCAACTTAAATTGGCCAATTAAAGAAGATAATACTGCAGACCTAAAAAAATCTTTTTGTGCTTTCCTACTTTGACATCTTTATCTGAGCCTTTTTGACATACTATGCACTAACCTCTTCATCCATAACATATAGGCATTTATATATTTTATGCTCCTAGATTCTTCAGCCACTCATTCATTCAATCAATCAAAAAAGTATACAAGGCTGGGCACGGTGGTGCATGCCTGTAATCCCAGTGCTTTCAGAAGCTGAGGCAGAAGAATCAATTGAGGCTAGGAGTTCGAGACCAGCCTGGATAGATCTCGTCTCTACAAAAAATTTAAAATTATCCAGGCATGGTGGTACGTGCCTATAGTCCTAGCTACTCGGGAGGCTGAAGCGGGAGATTCACTTGACCCAGGAGTTCCAGGCTGCAATGAGCTATGATCACACCACTGTACTCCAGCCTGGGCAACAAAGTGAGACCTTGTCTCTAAAAAAATAAGTAAATAAATAAGTGTACGCATAATGAAGAAAACTAAAAGAAATATAAAATTAGTTATTTGCCCTTAGAGAGCTTACAGTCTCATTGCAGATACAAGAGATGTTAACATGTAAAGTTTAATAACAAAACAACTCTGTAACCCATGTGATGTAACAAGAAAATAAATAGTAAGTGTCAAACTTCTAGGATAGAAAAATGCATGGTATGAGCATTCATTTGCCTTCAAATTTAGAAAAGGATGAAGATGCTGGGAGATAAAATAGTCATGAAAATTTTATAGTGAAGAAAACTTGACCTAGTCTGAAGGAAAAGAAAGATTTGGGGAAATTAAACAGAGGTGGTAGAACATTCCCAAGATGGAAATCTTGTGAATAAAGTTTCATAAACTGTCTGAAAATGATTCATACAATTTTGTGGTCACTATGCCACTTTACTGGATTGTATGCAAACATCCAAAATGAGGTGGCTAAACAAAAAAATTTACTAGTAGAAGTCCAAGCAAGAAAGAATGCCAAAAGTGTCAGAAATGGCTCAGCATCTGAGCATAGCTTCCTTTTTGAATTTCATCCTTATCCCTGAGTCCCTAAATATCTAATATTTGTTAATATGTGTTAATGACTTTTTGAAAGAAATGGGTGAGAAAACTGGGAAAGCTGAACCAATTGACAGTGTCCAAAGTTGCATTACATTCCAAAGCATTCATATTATAGAAGTGTCTTCATCCTTCAGCCCCTAGCTAAAAAGTTTTTTTTTTTTACCCTAGGCTTGGAGCATTGGCAAAATTATTTGCCAAAGATAGCGGGATTGGGATATTGGAAGGGATTAGCTCCAAAGCAGATAATTCTTTAGATGAATGTGTAGAAAACTGTAAGAGAATTTCTATTTCTATAATAAAAATACAAGAAATGACATCCTAGACAGACTTGTTGAGTTAGATTTCACTGGGTACCATTTGCTTATAATTTTTAATCACTATTTTCCAAAGTATCTTTCTGAAATAAGCAAAGTAGTCTGCCAAGTTCCTAGCTCAAGTTAGGAGAGCAGAATATAGGTTAAAAAAATAAATTAAGTTGTGTTTATTTTGTAGTATCTAATTATATTGTATTAGCACAAGTTAGGAATACAGGAAAAGTGCTTACCTTAGAGATGATAAGACAATATATGAAGCAATTATAAAGTAATACCTTGTATTTATTTCACATAGTTATATCATGTACTTGGTGTGGTTCGGACTAGAAAACAGTCAGACAGCAGGGGTAATAACGAGAGTGTGAGAACAGGTGAAAGAAGAGCTTTCTAAGTTCTGTTGTTATAGAAGCAAAGACAGAGAAAAAAATTATATGTCATATGTTTATGATAGCAAGAAGACCAGCCCACGTGGAAGAGACAGGAAGTGCTAGGAAATGGGAAAGAGAAAAAAGAACTGGCAAAGTAAAGCAGTAGAGTGGAACAGGGCTTGGAAACCATGGCCTGTAGCCTATTTCTTATAAATAAAATTTTATTGGCCAGGCCTGGTGGTTCACAATTATAATCCCAGCATTTTGAGAGGCCAAGACAGGAAGATTGCTTTAGCCTAGGAGTTCAAGACCAGCCCTGGCAACGTAGCCAGACTCCGTCTCTACCTAAAAAAAAAAAAAAAAGTTTAATTGGAACAAAGCCACATTCATTTGTTTACAGATAGTCTATGGCTGCTTTCACACTACCATGGTAGAGTTGAGTAGTTGGAATAGAGATAGAGAGCCTATGGACCACAAAACCTGAAATATTTATTATCTGGCCCTTTCTAGGAAAAGTTTGCCAATCATTGTAGAAGAACACTCAAATATTTGGGAAGAAGGGAGGGAACAAATGTGGAGCTCTGAAATTGTAACACATAAGTTATTTTTCTTTATACTGCCCCAGCCATACAAATTTTCTTACACTTCCTCAGGCTTCTTAGGTCTTCTGACAAAGGACAGATTAAAGACCTTGGAAAATAGGCAGAAGGATTTCGAGTTCATGCAGAAGATGGTGGAAATTCTAGGACAGAAAAATGATCAACTTGGAAGGTTGAGAATGAGAACAGATAAAGAAAACCCAAAGGAAAGGCACCAGGTAAAATATTGCATAAATCCAAGCAGTGGTCTTCATAAGGAATGGAGGTAAAATAACAATTCAGAGAAACATTTCAAATGATGACTCAAGTCCTGTTGACAAATTGGCATGGGAAAAGTAGTATAAGGTAAAGAACATCAAACTAGGAGTAATAGAATTGGGTTCTAGTTCCCACTGTGCCATTTACTAACTTGGTGTCTTTAGCAAAGACACCTTATGTATCTCTGTTCACTCACTTATAACCCTAGGAAGTTGGTAGAAATATTAATATTTACCATTTTTGAGTATCTACTTGGTTGGCAAGTACTAAACAAAGGCATCTCACACATTTATCCCTAAACCTTACAAAAAGCTCTAAGACATGCATTGCCTAGCCCATTTCACAGATGAGGAAACTGAGTCTCAGAAAGGTTAGTAAATTGCCTGATATGAAACAGCTAGTCAAGTGACGAAATGAGTTCTGAATTCAGTATTGGTCTCTACGTGCACATGGATCATATGTGTAAATGCTCATTATTACATAAAGGATAGTCACTGCTTCATTCTAGGAAATCCTGTATCATCTTTCTATAAAGAATTTAGGTAGTTAAGACTTGCCATCCCTCCACCCCTCTAAAACAGAGTTTATTAGTGCTCACTAAATACCCATGTGCTCCTTTGCTTTCCCAAATGCCCTTGTAGTTTACGTGCCTATGTGCTAGCCAGGAAGATGTGGTTAGAAGTAATGTAAGCCAGTTCCATACTTGGCCCCTGAAAACAAAATAATAAACAACATGGATAATGCTTCACAGTTCCCAGTCAACAGGCTTTCATATATAAATTATTTCATTTGGCTCTCACAACAAAGAACTAGAATTATTAGGATCAGAGACATGGTTACAGATAGAGAATCTTAATCTCAACAAGATTAGATACTTTGAATATTCTGTAGGTAAGAGG
The DNA here is from genome assembly GCF_000001405.40 of Homo sapiens. Classification (NCBI taxonomy): domain Eukaryota; kingdom Metazoa; phylum Chordata; class Mammalia; order Primates; family Hominidae; genus Homo; species Homo sapiens. Next base: position 90,612,748 of record NC_000001.11, read on the forward strand.
ATGCCTCTTAAGGATAATGTGTCTTTCATTTCTGCTTCCCAATATCTAACCAGTGCCTGGAACATATACTTGATGTGGATAGAAGCCATCCAGAGCCCATTCGTCAAGTGAAGTAAAAACTTTTGTATACAAACAGGGTTCAAACTGGACACAAATAGGCAGTTCTTGTAAATAATAAAAGTGAGAAATAAAAGGTTAGCAATTATATTACTTTTTCATAGTTAAAACATATTTTATGAGTTGTCCTCCTCTTAATCGTTCTTCAGTTTATAACCAATGTCAACTTTAATAGTTTTACATAGCAGGGCATAGCTTCTTTCTCTTCTGATCCCAACCCATTCTCTTTTTTCCATTCAGTGACAACTTCAAGTAGATGGTGAACCAGTCTTAGACTCTCACACTCTCCTTGGCAAGTCTGAGATAGCACCTTGTAGGGTCCCCTTATCCTGGGGGTGGTTTCTTTCTGGGGCCACGTGGACATTTAGGAGTGTTAAGGGAACTTAATTGGATTCAAACCTGGATTGCATCTTTTTAGTAGTAAGCTGCTCAGTCCTTGTTTTTTTCCACTTCCACTGAAATTTAGTGAGAAAATGGCTTCAACTGAATCAGCCTCGATATGATAACAAAAACGAAAATGAATGGTGAAGAAAAAAAATCAAAAGGTTTGCTCTTTGAGATATAATTTAGTGTCTGGCAGGAATAATTCAAGAAAATTGTGTCCACTTCCTGATCACATAGCTAAACAAACAATGAGGGGGGAAGTCCTGCTGAGAGACATTTTCACATTAAAAGGTGCTAAAAATGGGCTAGATCTCCTCACAGCCCTGTTGGAAGCCTCCGTTCAATTTTTAGTCATTTCCTCCCTGTCCCCAGACTCGGTGAGACAGAGGAAAAAGGAGAGGCTGTACTTCCACGCTCATCCACCCAGCAATTCGAGGAAAGATTGGAAAGGGAAGTAAATCTTGTCCCTCCCAGACATTTTCAGATGATTGCAGAGAGGGAAGTTGAGATAGAGAAGGGAACAATAAAAAAGATTAGAAGCCTTCTTAGGACTCTCCTTAGGCAAAGACCTAAAATAAGTTAAAAATCACACGAAGCAATTCTGCTTCCGAAGAGCTATGTGGATTAGGCCTTTGCTGATGCTCGGATACTAGAAAAAAAATTGAAATTAAGCATGCATAAAGATACAGCATTAGATATATCCTCTCCTACAAAGCTATCAGTACCGTCTTTTTAGTCTCATAAATAGACATTCACTAAACATGGGAATATCGGAGTCCACAGTCAAGAGCCTTCTATTAGTACTTACGGAGTCAGAACTTCCCATGGAAGTATCATGGCCTCTGCATCAATAATTTTCATGCAAGAAGTGATTTAACAAACAGTTTGATTGCCTCCCATGAACCAGGCATTATACTAGATGCTGAATACGTGAAAATGAAGGAGATATCACCTTTTAGATTTCACAGTGTGCAGCAGGGTTCCTCAACTACAACATTATTGACATTGAACTGAATAATTATTTGTTGCGGGCTGCCTTGTGCATTGTAGGATGTTTAGCGGCATCCCTGGCCTGTACCCACTAGATGCCAGTAGCATCCCACCCCAGTTGTGCTTTTCAAATGTTGTGACAATCAAAAACATCCCCATGCATTGCCAAATGACCCCTGGGAGAAGGGGCAAAATCTCACAGCCAGTTAAGAACCATGGGTTTAAAAGGAGAGACAAGGTTTTGTTAGCCAATAATTACAGTGAGATGAAATGGGCTAGAGTTTGCATAAAGTACTATGAGAGCACTCAGAAGAGAGTAGCTAGAGTAAGAAGTCAGGAGATAAGTGCCCCTGCATGTATTAAGCACACCCTGATGACCAAGTATATTTTTAAAATTCAGACAATAACAATAATAGATAATAGATGACGCTTATCTATGTACCATGTACTGTTCTAAGCATTTTGCAGACTTTAAATCATTTCATCCTCACAACAGCCCTATGCACTAGATTCTATGATTACCCTCATTGTAAAATAAAGAAACTGAGACATAGAGAGGTTAAGTAGTTTTCCCAGGGCACAGAGCCAGTAAATGGTAGAGCTGAGATTCAAAACTCAAGCAGTGTATCTCAGTAAAGCTCAATAAAGGGCATAAATGCTTTAGATAAATATAGCACATTCTTAAGTGTTCACTTTTTTGAAGATTTAATATTTTACAAAAATAGAACAGGCATGTTTATACTAGTTGTTAGGATAAACTCAAAGCATTCAGGAAACTTCAAGTGTGCAATGTCACTGCAGGCCCCTAGGGGTCTATACGCACTTTCTCTATTTAGGACCTCTGATAGAAAGAAATCAGGAATGCTGTCCTAGAGCATGGTAAACATGGGGTGTCCCATTGTCATATTTTAGTTTAAAACCAACCCAGCCCAGAGGGACTGTGCCATCAAAAACAGGCTTAGTAAGTAAAAGCTATGTGGCAGTTTTTGTGGCCAGTTTATGGTGCTGACTTGATAAGAGTACCAGCCTACCCAACCCAGAGCTGGCTGCTTGGGAAGAGCATTCTGCATTCTAAGAGGAACTCAGAGCCAGGTCTTGAACAAAGACTTTCCCTTCAGAGCCTTGCCTGACTTAAGAAGTTCATGACCCAGCCATGACTGTGATCAACTCTCACCTCAGGCCTTCAAACTTTCTCTTCCTTCTGCCTCAAAAGCTTTTACCCTCACACAGCCTTTTGACTTTCTTCTCTCTCTCACCTCCTCCGGGTCACTGCACAAAGCCCATCTTCCCAATAAGGCTTTCCCTGACCACCTGACATAAAATTCTTCCCCTCCACTCAATCCTCATCCATAACACTTAGCTAACATGCTAAGTATTTTACTTATCAATTTATTTTTTTATTTTCTATCTTTCACCACTAGAATGTAAGCCCCATGAAGGTAGAAATTTGTGTCTTCTTTGTTCCCTACTGATATTCTCTAGCACATAGGATGTATTAGTAAAGATTTGTGAAGTGAATCAACCATGTCACTTAATCCTCACAGATGACACATCTTCTTTTAGCTGTGAATTCTGCCATTAGTGTTGTGCCATAATGATGATAAATAACCTTAGTCCAAGTATTCAATCACATGCATTGGCTCCCTTTATAAAATCTGTAGTGTGGCCCATTTTATAGATGACAAAATTGAGGCTCAGAAAGGTAAGTAGTTTGCTCAAGGTCATAGAATTAGAATTTAAACATAGGTCTGTCTGACTCCAAATTTATGTGCTTATAAACTCAATAAATATTTTGCTGTAAAATATTTATAGGACTATTGTTATTATCACACTTTTCATTGGAAAGAAATGATTTCCCATCCATTAACTCATTGGATCCTTACACAGCCCCATGAGGGAATAATCAGCAAACTTATGATGCCCCTTCCCACACAAATGAGTAAACTGAGAGTCTGAGAGATTAAACAAATTGTCCATGATCACATTCCTAGAAATGGAGACTGAGGATACTGCAAACGCTCACTCCTGTCAACAGCTGTGGCCAAATCATCCATGTGGATACCCAAATGAAATGGTGGCTTTCACTATCCATCAATCCTGGAAAAATTCAGGCTAAGTTCATGGGAGTTTTCATACACATTGATTTCTCCAATGATAATACAAATATGCACATCTGATTTTTATGTGAGCTGTAGATTCGGTCAGAAAATCTCTAAGTGACCGGACAGTTCCATCTTTGAGTAAATACAACCAGGCCAGGAACACAGTGAGTGCTTCAAACACAGAAGATGGTGGTGATGAGCTCCAGCTCCAGGGGGTGGCAGCAGTGAGAAACAGATCAAACTCAAGTTGGACATGGCCATTCTCTGGAGCAGTTGCTGGGAGCAACTACGGAATATTCTACACAAGCCCAGCTGTAATGGTGAGATAAGGGCAAACATTTCGTACATGAGTAAAACCCTGAAGAAGTCCTGAACATGTTAGGGGAACCAGACACTAAGAAAGACTGAGGCTGGATTTATTGCCAATATGGGCCTTTGGGGCCTTGGGTATTGTTCTTGGATATCGTCCTCTGGAAAGCAACTTGGGAGACAGTGCAGTATGCAAGTCTGAAACTGTAACTTAGGAACAATTCACCCCAGATTACATGGTACTTTGATTGCCTGCTTGCCTATATTCTTTGATCACCCCATCCTCACCTCACTAATGTGTAAATTCCTTAAAGGCAGTAATTGGGCCATGTTTCTCTTTGTACCTCAAGTACCTGGCACAATACCAAATACACACTACACATATGATAAATAAAATTAAACAAACAACGTTTTATCATGGCATTTGTGTAGATGTCTAAGCTTTTGCTACTAGCCAACTGTGAATTTCATATCAACAAAGATTACTCTTTATTTTTTTATTCCAGGTGTCCAGCACTTCACCTGGTACACTCCAAACTTTCAAAAAAAATTGCAGTGAAAGTGTGGATGGATTGATGGATGAATGAATGGATGTTACTAGATTTAGGATTTCCTACTACAATTCTTCTCCTTAGCAGTTTGTAACATTTTGAAAAGATCTAGCATCTTGTCTCCTTAGCATCCTTAGCACCCAGATCTTAGGTTCTAATACCATTCTCCAATAAAAGGAAACAGAGATTTTTAGAGAAATTATTCTAGACTAATTGGAGGCCTGGGGCAGGGAATATACAAGGTGAGCTTGGGGTATCTTGTAGTGTCAGAAAGTAAGGAAGTGCTAAAAACAAATGACGGAATTTTGTCAAAAGGACACAGAAACCAACGGAAAGAGCTCCCAATGGCAAAATCTGGAACAATTTAAGCAAAACAATAAATAAAATAGTATCAGATTATAATCCAAAGTATAAAGTAAATATTAATGAGTCTATAATGACATAAATGAATGAATAAATAAATAAATAAATTGGAGAAAATAGACAAATCTCCCATGCTGAATAATTCTAAATAACTTATATAGATATTAGGTTGGTGCAAAAGTAATTGCAGTTTTGGACCATGAATTTTAAATCATTATAACTAGGCTCAAACACATCTTTATTAATCAAAATAGGAACTGTTACAATCAACACATGTTTGCCAACAAAAAATAAATTTGTTTACTCCTGCCCCATAAAATCTGTGCTTCATGATTCAACAAACTCTTGGAAAGCATTTTCTGCATCTTGCTGGTTGTGGAAGCATTTTTTTCTGCAAAAAGTTGTTGAGATGCTTGAAGAAGTGGTAGTCAGCTGGCAAGAGGTCCAGTGAATATGGCAGATAAGGAAAAACTTTGTAGCCCAATTCATTCAAGTTTTTTTTGATTGTTTGTTTGCTTGTTTCTTTTTTTTTTTTTTTTTTTTTTGAGATGGAGTCTCACTCTGTCGCCAGGCTGGAGTGCAATGGCGCGATCTCAGCTCACTGCAACCTCTGCCTCCCGAGTTCAAGCGATTCTCCTGCCTCAGCCTCCTGAGTAGCTGGGACTATAGCCGCGCACCACCACGTCCGCTAATTTTTTTTTTTTTTTTTTGTATTTTTAGTAGAGACAGGGTTTCACCATGTTGGCCAGGATGGTCTCGATCTCTTGACCTCGTGATCCACCTGCCTCGGCCTCTCAAAGTACTGGGACTGGCTTAAGCCACTGCACCCGGCCTCATTCAACTTTGGAAGTGTTGGTGTGATGTGCAGTCAGGTGTTGTGGAGAAGAATTGGACCCTTTCTGTTGACCAATGCCAGGTGCAGGGATTGCAGTTTTCGGTGCATCTCATCAATTTGCTGAGCATACTTCTCAGATGTAATGGTTTCACTGCAATTCAGAAAGCTGTAGTGGATCAGACCAGCAGCAGACCACCAAACAGAGACTATGACCTTCTTTATGGTGCAAGTTTGGCTTTGGAAAGTGCTTTGGAGTTTCTTCTTGGTACAACCACTGAGCTGGACATCGCCGGTTGTCATATAAAATCCACTTTTCATTGCACATCACAATCCGATGAGAAATGGTTCATTGTTGTTGTGCAGAATAAGAGAAGATGACACAAAACGATGATTTGTTTTATTTTTGGTCAGCTCATGAGGCACCCACTTATCGAGCTTTTTCACCTTTCCAATTTGCTTCAGATGCCCAATGACTGTAGAATGGTTGACATTGAGTTCTTCAGCAACTTCTCATGTAGTTATAAGAGGATCAGCTTCAATGGTCATTGTCAACTTCCGATGGCTGGCCACAATGCTCCTCATCTTCAAGGCTCTCGTCTCCTTTGCAAAACTTCTTGAACCACCACTGCACTGTACGTTTGTTAGCAGTTCCCGGGCCAAATGTGTTGTTGTTGTGAGTTGACTCTGCTGCTTTACAACCCATTTTGAACTCGAATAAAAAAATTGCTCGAATTTGCTTTTTGTCTAACATTATTTCCATAGCCTAAAATAAATATAAAATAAGCAGCAAGTAATAAGCCATTAGCAAAATAACATAAAGTGAGAAATGCTCACTAAAATGATGTATAACATAACCACATTTGTTTAAGAATGTATTCCAATAACAAATGGCAAATTCCAACAGTGCAAAAACTGCAATTACTTTTGCATCTCAGGGAGGTGGAGCATAACTCTTAAGTGTAGGGTCGACACAGTGATTTCCTCCCAAAAAGTACAGTACAGAAAAGGGGAAAAGTAACTTTATATAGAGAATCATAAGCACTACCTCAGCCAGGTGGTCAGGGCTAACATCAATACTGTTATCATGTTGACAGTATGTACCCTTGACGCAACGTGATGAGAAAGACACTTTACCTCTGTGGTCTTCCTCCCTAAAACCCATCACCCCAGTCTAATCGTGAGAAGAACATCAAACAAATTGACGGACATTCTTTAAAAACAAAACAAAACAAAACAGGCCAGGCATGGTGGTTCACGCCTGTAATCCCAGCACTGTGGGAGGCCAAGGCGGGCGGACCACAAGGTCAGAAGATCAAGACCATCTCGGCTAACACAGTGAAACCCCGTCTCTACTAAAAAAAAAAAAAAAAAAAAATTAGCCTGGCGTGGTGGTGGGCGCCTGTAGTCCCAGCTACTCGGGAGGCTGAGGCAGGAGAATGGCGTGAACCTGCGGGGCGGAGCTTGCAGTGGGCCGAGATTGCGCCACTGCACTCCAGCCTGGAAGATAGCAAGACTCCATCTCAAAAAAACAAAACAAACAAAAAAAAAACAGTACTCCTCCAAACTGTCAAGGTCGTCAAAAACAAGAAACTTCTCACATCCAAGGAAACAAATAAATAAATGCAATGTGTTATACCGGATGGGATCCTGGAACAGAAAAAAGGCATTAGGTAAAAAGAAAGATATATGAATAAATTACGGACTTTAGTTAACAATAATGTGTCAATACTGGTTAATTAATTATGATAAATGTAATGTACAAATGTTAAGATGTTAATAGGGGAAATTAGGTACGATGTATACAGGAACTCTCTGTACTATCTTCACAACTAAAACTATTCTAAAGTAAAAAGGTTTTTTTAAGTATAGAAATAAGTTATAGCACACAGGGTGATATCCTATCCTTGTGCTCCTTCACAAGAGGTTTCGGTGAATTTAACCTCCAAAAATGAGTCACTAAGGACATCTTTTCTGATGCCTCTAAAATAAAGTCCTCTACCGGGCATGGTGGCTCACACCTGTAATCCCAGCACTTTGGGAGGCTGAAGCGGGCAGATCACCTGAGGTCTGGAGTTCGAGACCAGCGTGACCAACATGGAGAAACCCCATCTCTACTAAAAATACAAAATTAGCCGGGCGTGGTGGCGCATGCCTGTAAACCCAGCTACTCGGGAGGCTGAGGCAGTAGAATTGCTTGAACCCAGAAGGCGGAGGTTGTGGTGAGCCAAGATCTTGCCATTGCACTCCAGCCTGGGCAACAAGTGAAACTCCATCTCCAAAAAAAAAAAATAAATAAAAATAAAAAATAAAATAAAGTCCTCTTATTAGAGCAATTGGATGACACTAGTTCCTACTATGCTGACCATTTCTAGGTCCTCAAATAATTTTCTGGGGTTTTTTTCCTACAGTCAGATTTCTTACCCCACCATGGGCTTTGCATGTTAATAAACATTGAGGAATACATTCAAATATGCTTCACTGATACCTGCTTCCATTCAATTAATGATTTGCATGGCCTCTTCTACAAAGCTACTTCTCTATAATTGATGTGGATACTAAAATTCTTCCTACTTTGTTTTTTTGTTTGTTTGTTCTTTTGTTATTGTTTTGAGTTGTTTTTTGTTTGTTTGTTTGTTTGTTTTTTCATAGCCAGGGAAGATCTTCTAGCAACTACTCTGACCACTGCTGGTCTATGCTATCATTCCCTTCTCTTCCCAATGACTGCCTCCCTCTCCCTTCAAAGCTCCACTCTCTGAATATGCCCTGAGTAACCAAAATAATAGCTGAGCCTGGGGGTTGGCCAGTCACGGAAAGGAGGGCTGGACAGGTGCAGAAACCCAGCTGCTAGGCCTACCTCAGACTTGGCCTTTTCTTTCAATGATCTGAGTCATTTCCTCTGCCCCCTTTTTATCCAATTGAGATTAAAATTTGCCTTTCTATGTGAGTCTCAGTGCTCCTTTGGTGTCCAAAGTCTACCTTTATCCTTTTGGACTTGTCACTGATTCTGAAGGGAAAGATAAAGTTAAGCTCATGGAGCTGCCTAAGGCCTCAAACCACTCAGCATGGCAGGAGGCCACAGCAAAACCCTTTCTCCCTCTTCTTCTTGAGTAAGCCTGTCCATCAACAATTACCCACCATTTGCAGAGATAGTGGTGCAAACACCTTCCCAAACCCCCGTACTGAAAAGCAGCCCCCTCAGAAGCACAGATATTTACAAACACCATCAGAGAGTAGACTTAATTGAATGGAAGCAGGTATCAGTTAGGCATATTTTAATGCATTCCTCAATGTTCATTAACATGCAAAGCCCATTTGTTTCATGACCAGCCATTTTTCAAATTCTCAACCTCAATTCTTGTTTTATTTCACTCTGCACACAACTCTAAATTAGATTGTAAACAAGGACCTGTGAGGAAACAGAATCAAACACAACTTTCATAATTATTAGAAGTGTTCACTCTCATTAACAAGGGGTAATTGTTTCTGTTTTGTAAATTGATCTAAGATGAAAGGAGTTAGTTAATAATTTACACTGTACTATGGAAAAGGGGCTGTGAAAAGACTCTACGGAAGGATTTGAATTAAACAGCCTTTCACCCTTTTAATATCTCACAAGAGATTCTTCTGCACTGGTTCATTTAATTTAGTGGACACCGCAGTGTGGCTCATTGATTGTGGACAAAACTTCTGAAGAGCCTGGTGTGCACCCCTGTTAAAACGTGGGAAGAGAGTAAAGTTGGATGTGAATTAATTTGATTCTGTACATAATTCTTTTTCAATGGGATTCTGTGTCCCATTGCAAAGGCATGAAAAAAGGAGACACTGAGTTTGATTGCTCAATATTCATCTACATTTTCCTCTCTATGGGCACAATATGCTTGGCTTAATTAACTTTTCTCAAAGGTGAAGCAGTGCGCACCATCTGCTGTGAGACAATCACATTTGTATGCCTCTCAGAATAATCCCTTTACTACTGAAAACAGCTATCATATAGTAGCCAAAACCAAAACTTTCAAACATTTTTGGCCTGGGAGAGAAAGACCAAATCCATTCTGGTCCAGAGGCACAGTGCTGGGAAACAACATTCAGCAGACGCAAAGGTTGTTTTTGTTACAGCCCAACTCCTTGCTCGCGGATGATTTTGAATTTACCTTGTCTTCCCTACACCACCAAATTAAAAATTCTACATGCTTCATTTAAAGCCCAGCTCAAGAACAACTGCACAGCGGGAGCATCCTCCTTTTCTCCTACCTCTTAATTTCAAACCAACAGAAGAATAGGAAAGTGCACCTTGAAAAGAATCATCAAGTCACTCAAAATCCCAATGCAAAATATTGAGGCAAAGTTTAGCCATTTAATTTTTTAATCAAGCCTCAAGGACCACACAGTGTTATCAAGGGCCTGCTGAACTTGCTCGAAAGCTGGGTCATTATTTGATCTTTGTGGCTGGTAATCTGATTATCTCATTGTGGAGGTAAACTTCAGACCCAATCTTGTTAGCAGCTGGCGAAGCTGGATTACTACAGCTACTGAACTGGAAAATGAACTGAGCAGTCCAGCTTTGGCCTTGCTCTCTTTGAGCCCACAGTTGGCTACTTCAGGGTATACACTTTTGCGTCTGAATCAGCACTTTATTCTAGAATTTCGCACCGCAGTGTAAACATATTCTCTAATGATAATGTCGAGCTAGGACTCTGATACACAGCACATCCTCACATACATACACCTATATTCCAGTGTGTATTCATATGCATACCAGCTCCAGAGCATCCAATACAGGTAATGCTCTGGTCAGAAAGGGATATGGCCCAAGATACTTAATGAAGGAAATTAATGAGCAGCATTCTTTGCTTTGAGATTCACACTCAACAGAGTTGCTAAATTATGCAAATACTCACAAGAGTTGTGTGGTCTCTGCTTAAGACACTTACAGTTTTGCTTGTGGTCTCACTGAGGCATTGACTGCTTTTACAGTGAATGCCCAGCCCCGTCAAAGCCCAGAAAGTCTTGAAACATAGCTTGAAAGAGTTCAAAGGATCTAAAAGACAAAAAAGGACTAAGCTGGGATTTTTATGTACACTGAAAAGAAGAATAAAATATAAGTTCCTTAATGCAGGCTGTTATGGCAATGTTACCCATATCAAAGCATTACGGTGCTCCGACGGAAGAGTGTTGAAAATTTTCTTGCGCACCATATGCAAAAGAGAAATAGGAACAATTTAGGCCGGCGGTGATTTTGTGACATGAAACATTGAATGCTCTTTTTTGACACACTATTGAGTGAACAAGGAATTCAAAGAGTTTGAACTCGAAGAAGTTTTCTGCCTCAATAAGCCATAATCAGCCCCGAAGAACTGAGTACTCCTCAGAGTAGTGGGGCTGCTCTCAAGGCTGCACAGGGTGGGTTTTGCTGGCTATTATTACGTGCATCAAAGCAAGGGCTCTTATGTGGCTTTCCTCTTATCAATTCCGCTAAAACCTCAAGTCTTTGGTGCGATTTCTGAAAACAGAAAGCTGATCAGCAGCATTCCCAAATATCAACATCTCACACAATCATCTCAGAACCACATTAGTATACAGAGCAAGTTAGACAGCAAAGCAGCTGAAAAAGAAGGCATCTTTGCTGAGTGTGTGATATCACGGACATTATTTAGTAGCACGGACAAAGGTCCTTGATTTATTTCCACAGTCTGGCGAATGAGGAAATCTTGCTATATGATTCGGGTAGAAGCTGCAAAGTGAATTTTACAAGAGATTGCTTGCTTGAAAAAGAATACCACCACCCCCCGCTTTTTTTCTCCTTGGAAAAGAATAGCCCCATTTAAAGTGCATTTTTGTATTTTCATTTATTTTTATTCTTCTCAGAACGTTTAATTCCTTTTTACAATTGTCTCTCTCAACATTTAAATTTAGATTTAACCAGAAAATGTGCAGAAATTCTTAATGTTGATATTTACCATGAAAGCTGGTTGTTTTTCAGCATCTAGTGATTAAAATTTCAATAGCCCAGTAAAGAAAATCAATTATCACTACTCCTTTTTGACATTTCTTTTAAGACAAATATATATACTTAAAATATATTTTTCAGCTTGTTAAATGATAAGCAAATTTATTACTACTAAAGTACTATAATCAAAATGCTTAATAAACCATGCTAATGTGACCATAGACAAAATAATAATCAACTATTTCTACACAAATTTACTCTAGTGTTTTATGCAACTAATTGCATCTATGTTTAAAAGCAATAACCAGTTTCTAGAATAATAACATGTCAATTTCTTAGCCATCAGGGACTGTGGCTATAGGATATGTTTCAACAGTGCAATCCAGCAAATGTTAAGAAGGGAAATTGAGCGGGAGAAAAAACATATTTTTTCAATAAGAGGTGAATGAATTTTTCTGCTGAGTTGTTTCGTCAAGCCCCAAAACTGTAATGTATGATTTTCCAAGAATGACAGGGGAGGGAGGATAAATTCTTATGTCTAAATTTAGATCTGAATTTGCAAGGAACACGTTTTAATTAAGCATGACATTTGACACAATCAGGTTTGAAGTTACCTGCCTATGCACCTTCACACCTGTGAAAATTGTTGTAAGTTCTCAGTGCAACTTAACATACAGCATCTTACATGCACAGCAGTCTACCTGTGATAGACCATTCAAGAGAGAATTTGTTCTTAAAGAATATGGATATGATTTATTTTCCTAATTGTCATTTTTTCACCTGTTCATAAAATGCTCTAAATTTTTCTTTGTTAGTATGTAGGTATATTTTAAATTTCCTGTATCCTTTTCACCAAGGTCTTTTACAGAGACCTTATCATCAAATGTTAGAATTAAACTTACTCACCTACTACTAAAAGTGACAAAATACATAAAAATAAAGGTGAAAAGACAAATTTATAGGAAATTTTAAAATCACCAAAACGTCATGCTCAATGTATAAATTTTTTCAATGTGTAATTTAACAATTAAGTTGTAAATTTAAAATAATTTAATATGAAATTTGTTTTTCTATTTGTTACCAGTATCTGGATAATATTACATGCACTTAAAATGAAGAAATATATTATGGAAACTCAGAATATAGCTTCCATTTGCTAAGGAATGGTAACATAATTCAAGATTCCAAAGATAAAGTATATGGAAATAAGCCTATCAGAACCTTATGTGACAAAATAGACTGAGCAAAGCAAATTTGACTTAAGAGTAGGAAATGAGTAAAGTTGCTCTTTAAGGAAACATACCTTCCCATTTAAAAAAACAACATAATATTTCCTCTCCACTTTTCTGTCTGTGTACGAAGCAGAAAAAATTTAATTAATGGTTTGTAATCCAAATAAGTGTCAATCTTTACGTACTTATCTTAAGAGGTCACTGTCATTCTAACAATGCTGTCATTGCTTCAGCTGTATTTTGAGAACTGCTTTAGAGTTGATTTCCAAACTTCCAACAAAATTAGGACTACTACTGCTTAATAGTCAAAAACCCAACTCTCTTTTATTTTAAAGAACTAAAATTACATTACCTATTTTGAATATCTTTCCAAATTATTCATCAAATTGGGCCCTGGATGACTTTGACTGTTTTCAAAATACGAAATCCTCTTGTGAAGAATGAAGGTGTACCATATTTTAGGACTTCACAGTTATGTTCCACGGTCTCCAACAGCAATCCACAAATAAGAGCGACGACATTGTTTAAATTACAGTAGTCAACATCATTGTATTAAGTACGGAACCACGAAGGTGGCAACTTTGACCAGGGTCACATTTTCTTGTCATCACTCCTTCACATGCATACAAGGGTATATAAGGAGGTAGTGTTTTATAAAGCACTTAGCACCACAAACATTCAATAAATCGTTGCTATTATCATTGTATTATATAATAAGAGATAGTTTTAGCAGTGGTGACTATAATCTCTCTATTGAATCAAAAAGACGAGATAATAATGGACAGTCTTCAGCACACTATGCTTATAAGAATATGGTTTCTGCATTGTTGGGGTTTTTTTTATTATGGTTATTTAAATACGGGAGCTAACTTTTCTCTTTGGCTAGAGGCATCCCCCTTACCTGTTCACTCATTACTCTGCTGATGGTCGTTGCCCTTCCCCCAAATTCTGTCACATCATTTAAATCTTTCTCCTGTATATATACTTTGTTTATCTTTGTATTCCTAGCTTGTAGTCTTCTAAATTCTGTTTATTATGTTGCTTGAGTTACTTATTTGGAGATCATGCCATCAGATAAGCTTGTATCACTTTTGACAAAAGCCACTGCAAAGCCAGTACAGGAGATGACGGCAGGTATAGTGTGATTTGGAGTAAGGCAGTGAGTAGATACTGTTGTGTTCCACCCAAATCCCCTCTTCAGGGTTGATTTACTCATCCTTCAGCTACTGGGGGATTTAACACCAGCAAACAATGGTAACACACTGCTAGACTGTTCCCTAGAAGTTTGGAAAATCAATGGCTCACACTAAGTAGAAATTACAGAATTGCTATATTATTGAGGGGGAAAAGAATTTAAAATATCAGAGTAGGCCGGGCACAGTGGCTCACGCCTGTAATCCCAGCACTTTGGGAGGCCAAGGCGGGTGGATCACGAGGTCAGGAGATCGAGACCATCCTGGCTAACACGGTGAAAACCCATCTCTACAAAACATACAAAACATTAGCCAGGCGATGTGGCGGGCGCCTGTAGTCCCAGCTACTCGGGAGGCTGAGGCAGGAGAATGGCGTGAACCCGGGAGGTGGAGCTTGCAGTGAGCCGAGATCCCGCCACTGCACTCCAGCCTGGGCGACAGAGCCAGACTCAAATAAATAAATAAATAAATAATAAAATAATAAATAAAATATCAGAGAAAGGGGTATGTTAGAGTGGATATGCTATGTGAAGCCAGAAAACCTCCCAGACAACTGTTTATGAAAAGGCCCAGAGTATACTCCATTTACCAAAGTTATTGATATGAAATGTAGTAGATAAAGAAACACCTGCATCATTGAGAAGCTCAGTGGTATACAGGCCAGGGCTGATAGCAAGAGGTATTGCCAGAGCAGGGATTATTCCAGAATCCTGATAAAAGAGGCCAAGTGATGACACTTAACCATCAAAACCAAGGTGAGCACAATTATTTTGATGAATTGCAAGATTGGAATGGCAACTAGGGCTCCTCAACCCTCAGAGAAACATGGAGATGGTTCCTGGAACACAGTGTTCATAGAGGCAAAAGAAGTGGGCAGACAATAAGGATATTGCTTAATTTATGCTCTTTTTTAAAAAAAAAAATCAAGGATGAATGTTTAGATGATCAGAAAGCTAAAGGCAACTACTCTGGTAAAGTCACAATTTATTGTCCAGACCCAAGCCAGTTCTCAAATTCAGAACCTATTGACTAAAGGAAACACCAGGTCCCTATGAGGATGAACGCTACAACATTGCATCAAACGTATTCAGTAGCAATTCTCCCAGTCCTTTCCTAAAGGAATTGATGGCCCATTTACTTGGGTAACCATGTTTTGGAGAAAGCGGACTACTCAGACCTTTCCAGGATTATTAACGCAGGGTCTAAAATGTCATTGATATCTGGGGAATCAAAGCACCACCATGGCTTGTTTTAGAGGGGGAACATAGGGGGCAAGGTAATAAATGAGGTTGTGGCATGGTTCTGGCTCAGGTTGAGTCCACTCAATCCACTGGGTACTTCAACCCACCTAGTGATCATTTCCTGGTCCCCAAATACCTAATTGGATGTGCTGAGGCCTCAGCTGCAACTGCTCTGTGGGGCAGTTCGTCCTGCCCAATCCTGCCCTCCTCACTTCCTTACAGGGTGACTACTCAGACCAAACCCCAAGATAATTTCTTTATACAAGTCTCCAGTTCAGAATCAGTTTCAGGGAATCCAATCTAATTCAGTAAGTTTAAATCAGTCTTTATAAATGAAAATATTGAATTTTTGTGGGGTGAGCTGATAGTTTAAAAAATCAGACCAATGTGTCACCATGTTGACTTAAAAATGTTATCTATGAGTTTATGTCTAATTCCTGAAGAAGCCTGTTTTTAAAAACAGGAAAAAACATTTAATGTATATACATACCATATGACTGCATTTACACAACATTCTTGAAATTGCAGCTATAGGAATAGAGCACAGATTAGTGGTTACAGAGTTAAAAGAGTGTGGGGGAGGGAAGGAAGTTGAGGTGGCTATAAAATGGCAACATAAGGGAAACTTGTGTGACAGAAATGTGGGTATTGACTATCATTGTCGATGTTCTAGTTGTGACATTGTACTGTAGTTTCACAAATGGTTACCATTAGGAGAAAGTAGGTAAAGAGTATATGGGATCTCTTTGTATTATTTCTTTTTTTTTCTTTTTTTTTTTTTTTGAGGTAGAGTCTCCCTCTGTTGCCCAGGCTAGAGTGCAGTGCTGTGATCTTGGCTCACTGCAGTCGCCAAACCTCCACCTCCCGGGTTCAAGCGATTCTTCCGCCTCAGCCTCCCAAGTAGCTGAAACTACAGATGAGTGCCACCACGCCAGGCTAATTTTTGTATTTTTAGTAGAGATGGGGTTTCACCATGTCAGCCAGGCTGATCTTGAACTCCTGACTTCAAATGATCCACCCGCCTCAGCCTCCCGAAGTGCTGAGATTACAGGTGTGAGCCACCGTGCCTGGACTCTTCGTATTATTTCTTAAAACTGCATGTGAACCTACAATTATCTCAACATTAAAAGTTTAATTTAAAAATATAAATGTATGTATGTGTCTATGGAAAACATTAATGAACAGCTTTTTATAAATTGAGCTTGAATGAATGAGGTTATTCTAGGTTATTGGTTAATAGGTCCAAAACACAGAATAAAGTAAAAAATAATATGAAAGATTAGACTTTTGCAAATGACAGTTTACTAGTTCCATTAGGAATCTTCCTTCAATCATAGAAGTAGGCATGCTCTAAAAAGTTTTCAAGGGGCTTTATGAATAGGAATAAACATTTGGATTTATCTAATGTACACTTTTTGAATTTTCTTATACTATCTGAAAAAAATCTATAGCCAATACGTTTGTCTTACACATCTTAATGAAGAAAAGAAGTTTCTGAAATTTATGCCTGCTTCTGAAAAAACCTCTAAGCCAATAGAAATTGAATTAAATTGACACTGACAACAACTTTTAAATTCAGTCAGTAGAATTTTGAGACTGAGCATGGCATAATTTTTAAAGATTGATATTAGAGGAAGGGGAGAGATGGATAGACAGAGATAGAGAGACAGAACAAAAAGACAGAGACAGACAGATATCTAATTGAAGAGAATCCGATTCTGCACAGTTCATGAAAGCTTTTTCTCAAGATCCACAACAAGACAAGGATGCCCAATCTCATCATTTCTATTCAACACAGTCCCAGAAGTCCTAGCCAGAGCCATTAGGCAAGAAAAAGAAATAAAAAGCATCCAAATCAGAGAAGAAAGAGTTAAATTATCAGTTTGTAGATGACATGATCTCATATGTATAAAACTCTAAAGCCTCCACAATAAAATCTGTTAGAACTAAGAAAGTAATTCAGTAAAGTTACAGGATACAAAAATCAACATACAAAAATCAGTTGCATGTCTATACACTAACAAAAAACTATCCAAAAAAAAATATTTAGGAAACCAATCCCATTTACAATAGCATCAAAAAGAATAAGCTATTTAGGAATAAGTTTAACCAAGTTGAAAGACTTGTACATCAGAATCTGTGAAACATTGATGAAGGAAATTGAAGAACCAAGAAATAAATGGAATGACCTCCTGCATTCTAAAAGCAATCTAAAAGTCCATCAATGGATGAATGAATAAAGAAATTGTGGTGTGTGTGTGTGTGTGTGTGTGTGTCTATAATCATTTTCAATATAAATACTGAAATAATGAAATATTATTCAGCCTTAATATTTATTGGGTCAGAGGGATTAATATGGTTAAAAGGTCCATGCTATCCAAAGTGATTGACAGATCCAATGCAAATCCTATCAAAAAACCAATAGCATTTTTTACAGAAATTTTAAAAAGTACACAAAAGACTCTAAATAGCCAAAGGAATTTTCAGCAAGAAGAACCAAATCGGAGGTATATTTTCTGATTTCAAAACATATTACAAATCTACAGTAATCAAAACAGTGTGGTACTGGCATAAAAACGACATATAGATCAATGGAACAGAATAGAGAGCCCAGAGATACACCTACACATATATGATCAAATGGTATTTGACACGGGTGCCAAGAATATACAGGAAAAAATAGTCTCTTCAATAATGCTACTGGAAGAACTGGATATCCACATGCAAAAGAATAAAATTGGGCACTTAGCTTATACCATGCACAAAAATGGATTAAAGACAAATCTAAGATCTGAAATCATAAAACTCCTAGAAGAAAACATAGGAAACAAGCTTCTTGACAATGATCTGGGCAATGGCTTCTTGGATATGACACCAAAAGCAATAATAAACAAGTGGTATTGCATCAAACTAAAAAGCTTCTGCACAGCAAAGGAAACAATCAATGAAATGAAAAGGTAACCTACAATATGGCAAAAAAAAAGTTTGAAAACCATTTAAATGATAAATGACTAATATCTAGAATATATAAGGAACTTCTACAACTCAATAGGAAAATAATAATAACCCAATTAAAAATGAATAAAGGACCTCAATAGATATTTCTCCAAAGAAGACCTATAAATGGCCAATGGATATATAAAAAAAGTTCAATATCACAAATCATCATGGAAATGCAAATCAAAGCCACAATGAGATATCACCTCACACCTATTAGAATGGCTATGATCCAAAAGGCAAGAGATAACAAGAGTTGACGAACATGTAGAGAAAAGGGTACACTGTTGGTGGGAATGTAAATTAGTGCACCCACTATGGAAAACAGTATGGAGATTCCTCAAAAAATTAAAAACAGAACTACCCTATAGGATTCAGCAATCCCATTTGAGGATATATGTCCAAAGAAATTAAAAATCAGAATTTTGAAGAGATATCTGCACTCCCATGTTCATTACAGCATTAGTCACAACAACAGTGAAGACATGGAAGCAATCTAAAAGTCCATCTACAAATGAATGGATAAAGAAATTGTGGCATATATACACACAAACACACACAAAATGGAAACATTAACAAAGAAAAAAATCCTGCCATTTGCAACAATATGGATAAATCAGGAGGACACTATGCTAAGTGAAATAAGCTAGACACAATGGCAAATGCTGCATGTTTCCACTTACATGAGAAATCTAAAACAGTTAGACTCATAGGAGCAGAGCATAGGAGGGTGTATGCCAGGGGCTGGGGAAAAGGTGATATGAGGAGGTATTGGTCAAAGGGTACAAAATTTCAGGTATGCAAGATGAATAAGTTCTACAGTTACACTGTACAGCATAGTGCCTATAGTTAACAATACAAAATTGTATAGTTAAAAATTTGCTAAGAGGGTAGATCTTATGCTGAGTGCTCCTATAACAAACATATGCACACACACACACAAAGAAATGCATACCAAAAGCACATAGGAGTGAAAAAGACGTTAAGTTTTTATTTAAAATGCACCAACAAAAGAAAATAAAACTTCTAAAAAGATACGTAAAGAGAAAATGACTAAAGCTTCATATTTACTGAATGTACTTAATCTGTACATTGGATTTATTTTTCTAGTATCTCTATCCTAGTGTATAGGTGACAATGTTCAATGTTCATAATAAAAATTTTTAAGTGCAAAAAAAATTCTGTACAATTCAAAGCTTCCTATGCACAAAGAGATAAAATAACCACTTATTATTGGCTTCTTAAAACATTTTCTTATTTTTTATAATTTATGCCACTAAGAATTTTTAAATAATTGGTACAACCAGTATCAAAAGGTATTAAGAGGCCAGGCACAGTGGCTCATGCCTGTAATCTCAGCACTTTGGGAGACCAAGGTGGGCAGATCACCTGAGGTCAGGAGTTCCAGACCAGCCTGGCCAACATGGCAAAACCCCATCTCTAATAAAGATACAAAAATTAGCCAGGCATGGTGGTGCACACCTGTGGCCCCAGTTACTCGGGAGGCTGAGGCAGAATTGCTTGAACCCAGAAGACAAAGACAGTGGTGAGCCAAGATTGTGCCACTGCCCTCCAGCCTCCAGGAGAGTGAGTTTCTGTCTCAAAAAAAAAAGTGTTAAGGTTTTATAGGATAAAATTTAACAGATATTATAGATTATAGAGAATGCATCCATACAATGGAATATTATACAACAGCTAAAAATAATAAGTCAGTTCTCCATGAATTAATTGTAAAGGTCTCTAACATATTTTATGTGAAAATAGCAAAGTAAAGCAAAGAGCAATGTTCATGTTATATGTAGAAATAAAAATAAAATAACCAACCTGGCACAGTGGCTCACGCCTGCAATCCCAGGGCTTTGAGAGGCCGAGGAGGGCAGATCACCTGAGGTCAGAAGTTTGAGACCAGCCTGGCCAACATAGGAAAACCCTGTCCCTACTAAAAATACAAAAATTAGTGGGGCATGGTGGTGCATGCCTGTAGTCCCAGCTACTTGGGAGGCTGAGGAAGAAGAGCTGTTTGAACCCAGGAGGCAGAGGTTGCAGTGAGCTGAGATCACACCACTGCACTCCAGCCTGGGCAACAGAGCAAGACTCTGTCTCAAAAAAACTAAAATAAAGTAAAATAACTCGTATACATACAGCATATCTCTGGAAGAACATACAAGAAACTGATAAAAGTAGATATTTCCTTAAAAGGCCTAGAGCAAAGGGAAGAGAGAGATATGCTTTTCACTGCATACCTTCTTGCATCTTAGAATTTTGTACAATGTGTACATATTACCTTGAATAAAAATTTTTAAATAAAGTTTAAAAGAAAAGGGTAAACATGAAATAAATGGATTATATACATTATTCATTTAAAATTACTACCAGTGAACGGTAATGACCAGTAATTGGTATCAGCCACTAACTGGTTATTTCAGCCTTGGGCAAATTATATTATTGTTTTACCTCTTACTTGTGTGAAATGGGGATTCTAATGTTCATCTTTAAGGGTTAGTCAGTGGGTTAAATGTAGCACATAAAGGAGCCCCTATAAAGGCATGCAATAATAAATAGCTATTTTCCTAATTCCTCCTCTCATCTATACTATTGCAGCCCCAGGATGCTGATGAACTGGAAGAATTACTCAGCAGCTATGCTTTCATATGTGATTATGTTGCTGAAGGTCAATAAAACATTGAGATTCCCAATGATATTTCCCATTTTTTTCTACATCTCCCTTATAGCTAAGGTGAGCTGTAAAGCACTTCAATCTTATTTAAAGCTTCATAAAAATTCTTCAGTAGACATTTAATGACATTGTCTTAGTTTGGGTTTTGTCAAAAGCAAAGCCTGAGACAAAGTCTTGGGTACAGATGATCTGCTGGGGAGGTGGTTCCAGAAAGAGGGGTGAGGGAGCCAGGAGAGTGAGAGAAGAGAGAAGGAAAAACAAAAACAAAGGTGCATTATCAAGTTCACCACTATGAGCAAACAGGGATTTGATTTGGTCTGGAGCTCTTGAAAAGCATGCATAATGCCCCCACAAAGAAGTGGCCACCCAAAGGACAGGGGGCTGGAGCATTTATCCACTGGGTTCTGTCCCACATTGGTTGAGGGTTGACCTTGAAGGCATTAAGACTCCCACCCCATTGGGCTGCACTTGCATGGGAATTGTGCAGGCTTTTGTGGCATCAAAGAAAGCCCTGGGGAAGAAAGCAGGAAGACGTACAGCATACATGTGAAGTGTGGCATTGTCAGCACAAGGTGAGTGTGAACTTGTGTGGAACTGTCCACTGCAGCTACAGCTAAAAACAGAGGTGGGCTGAGGAGATATGACACGGGTGCCAGAGGCTTTTGCTACATACATCACTCAGGAAAATTTTGGTCAAGTTACTGCTGCTAAAAGAACAAACATGACACAATTGTCATAACTTTCTTTCCTGTTTTCCTTCTCAAAGATGGCAGTAACAATTACATGTTTAAAGCTTATGGCATTACTTCAATGATCCAAATGCTGCAAAAGAACTCTTGCATATTTCTTTGACAAGCCCAGGGAGCTGAGCAGGCATGATATTGACTGCTGTATGTTTACGACTCTCAAAAACTCTTATACCTATGCTCACTTTTTTAAATTTTTTAAAATTATACTTTAAGTTCTGGGATACATGTGCAGAACATGCAGTTTTGTTATATGGGCATATGCGTGCCATGGTGGTTTGCTGCACCCATCAACCTGTCATCTACATTAGGTATTTCTCCTAATGCTATCCCTCCCCTAGCCCCACCACCCCCAACAGGCCCCAGTGTGTGATGTTCCCCTCCCTGTGTCTATGTGTTCTCATTGTTCAGCTCTCACTTATGAGTGAGAACATGCAGTGTTTGGTTTTCTATTCTTATGTTAGTTTGCTGAGAATGATGGATTCCAGCTTCATCCATGTCCCTGCAAAGGACATGAACTCATCATTTTCTATGAATGCATAGTATTCCATGGTATATATGTGCCACATTTTCTTTATCCAGTCTATCATTGATGGGCATTTGTGTCAGTTCCAAGTCTTAGCTATCGTGAACATTGCTGCAATAAACATACGTGTGCATGTGTTTTTATAGTAGAATGATTTATAATCCTTTGGGTATATACCCAGTCATGGGATTGCTGGGTCAAAAGGTATTTCTGGTTCTAGATCCTTGAGGAATCGCCACACTGTCTTCCATAATGGTTGAACTAATTTACACTCCTACACTCGCACCAACAGTGTAAAAGCGTTCTTATTTCTCCCCATCCTCTCCAGCATCTGTTGTTTCCTGACTTTTTAATGATCGCCATTCTAACTGGGATGAGATGGTATCTCATTGTGGTTTTGATTTGCATTTCTCTAAAGACCAGTGATGATGAGCTTTTTTTCACATGTTTGTTGGCCACATAAATGTCTTCTTTTGAGAAGTATCTGTTCATATCCTTTGCCAACTTTTTGATGCGGTTGTTTTTTTTTTTTCTTGTAAATTTGTTTAAGTTCTTTGTAGATTCTGGATATTAGCCCTTTGTCAGATGGGTAGATTGCAAAAATTTTCTCCCATTCTGTAGGTTGCCTGTTCACTCTGATAATAGTTTCTTTTGCTGTGCAGAAGCTCTTTAGTTTAATTAGATCCAATTTGTCAATTTTGGCTTTTGTTGCAGTTGCTTTTGGTGTTTTAGTCATAAAGTCTTTGCCCATGCCTATGTCCTGAATGGTATTGCCTAGGTTTTCTTCTAGGGTTTTTATGGTTTTAGGTCTTGTGTTTAAGTCTTTAATCCATCTTGAGTTAATTTTTGTATAAGGTGTAAGGAAGGGGACCAGATTCAGTTTTCTGCATAAGGCTAGCCAGCTTTCCCAACACCATTTATTAAATAGGAAATCCTGCCAGGTGCAGTGGCTCACGCCTGTAATCCCAGCACTTTGGGAGGCTGAAGTGGGTGGATCACGAGGTCAGGAGATTGAGACCATCCTGGCTAACACAGTGAAATCCCGTCTCTACTAAAAATACAAAAAATTAGCCAGGCGTGGTGGTGGGCGCCTGTAGTCCCAGCTACTCAGAAGGCTGAGGCAGGAGAATGGCGTGAACCCAGGAGGCAGAGCTTGCAGTGAGCCGAGTTCACACCACTGCCCTCCAGCCTGGGCGACAGAGAGACCGTGTTTCAAAAAAAAAAAAAAACAAAAAAAAAAACAGAGAATCCTTTCCCCGTTGCTTGTTTTTGTCAGGTTTGTCAAAGACCAGATGGTTGTAGATGTGTGGCGTTATTTCTGAAGCCTCTGTTCTGTTCCACTGGTCTATATATCTGTTTTGGTACCAGTACCATGCTGTTTTGGTTACTGCAGCCTCAGGATACAAAATCAATGTGCAAAAATCACAAGCATTCCTATACACCAATGATAGAGAAACAGAAAGCCAAATCATGAGTGAACTCCCATTCACAATTGCTACAAAGAGAATGAAATACCTAGGAATACAACTTACAAGGGATGTGAAGGACCTCTTCAAGGAGAACTACAAACCACTGCTCAAGGAAATAGGAGAGGACACAAACAAATGGAAAAACATTACATGCTCATGGATAGGAAGAATCAATATCGTGAAAATGGCCATAATGCCCAAAGTAATTTATAAATTCAATGCTATCCCCATCAAGCTACTGTTGACTTTCTTCACAGAATTGGAAAAAACTACTTTAAATTTCATACGGAACCAAAAAAGAGCCCATACAGCCAAGACAATCCTAAGCAAAAAGAACAAAGCTGGAGGAATCATGCTACCTGACTTCAAACTATGCTCACTTTTCTAGAAAAATGGGCTGAATATTCCTATTTACACTGGCTAATAAATGACATGTCTTCCTCTTCTCCCTCCCCAAAATCTACAAATTACAGCATCAATTTTTTAAAAATCTATTGCGTTGCTGAAAGCAGGGAAGCGGTACCACCTGCAGATTAAAACAAGGAGAAGTTTCCAGGGGATATAGAGCCAATGAGAAAAGGCTGACAGAGACAACAGATTTAGGCTTCTCTACTATTTGACCTTGTTTACACTGCCACAGGAACAGTTCCAAATATGGTCAACCTGTGAGGTGAATACTGCAATAGTATAGGCAACATTTGAATCCCAAGGAATGAGACACAGAAGCCTTCTATCTTTAGCAAGTTTGAAAATGGGTTTATTCCTGCTACAATAGCTGTTCTTGGCAGAATGCTAACAGGTACCAAGACTTTGCAGCTCCCAAAACACATATTTTCAGAGTGTCATGTTAAGATGCCCTTTTAATGCAGTCTGTGATTGGACTCCCTGGTTCCCTCACTCCAGGCAGATGTCCTGACAGAGAGTATCGCCTGAGTACTAAAGGATTGTCATAAAACAGACTTCATTTCTTCGTCTTCCTCTATTATAGGTAACCTAAATGTTTATTACAAGTCTGCTTTTGCATCATTCTCTATGTCTTATCAGTAGGAAAATATTGGGAGAGCAAGGGTCAAGGAGAAGTAGGCATCTAGGGGTTGGCTTTAAAGTATGTCATCAAGCATGAAGAGCTGACCCTCACATGCAATCTCTCTGACCCAACAAACAGAAGACCTGCAAAGATTAGAAGCATAGAAAGCCAACTGCAAAAGAAGAGCTTGAGCAGTAAGTAACACAACTAATCCACGGCCCAAACAAACAGACAGACAACCCTGTTCTTGGGTCTTCTGACTCCAAAATTTGCCCCCAGAATAGAGCCATGAGAACAGATTTTCTAAAATTGAGAATTCTGACAGCAGAGACTCCTGGATTAAGTGCCAGGTGGAGAAATAGAAGGGTCCCCAGGTCATTTAAAGGCTGCAGTAGGGGACAAGGAACACTGGATAGCCATCATAGCCAGGGGGCACTAGACAGAACAATGGCTTCCCAAAGATATTCAGCCCTAATTCCCAGAACCTGTGACTCTTACTTTACATGGAAAAAGGGAGTTTGCAGATGTGATTAAGTGAAAGATCTTGAGGGTCCAATATAATCATGGAGGTCCTTAGTGAAAGAGGAAGGCAGGAGAATCAGAATCCAAGAAGGTATGAGGCAGGCGGTCTGAGCAATGTGACTGCTGTTTGAAGATGGAGGAAGTCATGAGCCAAGGAATGTGGGAAGTCTCAGAAGCTGGAAAAGGCATGGAACAAAGTCTCCCCTGGAGCCTCCAGAGGATGGTGCTGACACTTTGATGTTAGCCCCATTTTAGACCCCTCTTGGACTTCTACCCTCAGAACCGCAAGATAGCAAATCTTTGTTGTTTTAAGTTTGTGGTAATTTGTTAACAGAAGCAATAGAAAATTAATAGACAAAGTTTGTATAATCAGACGAGGTATTCACTGACAGGTAAAAAGGGATTTTCACCTGTGTTCAATTACAACTGTCTTCTGCATATATAAGCACATTTAAAAGAATCACCAAATATTTAAGAAAAGGCTCAGCATGAAAGGCACCGATATATTTTTAAAAAAAGAAAATAATTAAGCCTCAAGCAAGCATTTAATGCATGTTTAGAATAATCTGAATTTAGAAGGCATGAAGGATAGAACCAGAAGCTCACACATCTTCATAGTAGAGGTTAGAAAAAGAAAAAAAAAATGGAGAAAACAGAGGGAGATAAATAAAGAAATAATAGAGAGAGGTCGGGCATGGTGGCCCACTCCTGTGATCCTAACACTTTAGGAGGCCAAGACAGGCAGATTGCTTGAGTGCTTGAGCCCAGGAGTTGAAAACCAGCCTGGGCAACATGGCAAGACCCTGTCTCTACAAAAAATACAAAAATTAGCCAGGCATAATGGCACACGTCTATAGTCCCAGCTGCTCAGGAGGCTGAGGTGGGAGGATCACTTGAGCCCAGGAGGTTGAGGCTGCAGTGAGCCATAATGATGCCACTGCATTCCAGCCTGGTCAACAGAGAGAGAGAGAGAGAGACCCTATGAGTGAGCCATAGTGATGCCACTGCATTCCAGACAGAGAGAGAGAGAGAGAGACCCTATCTCAAAAAAAAAAGAAGGAAGGAAGGGAGGGAAGGAGGGAGGGTGGAAGGGAGGGAGGGAGGGAGGAAGGAAGGAAAGAAGGAAGGAGAGAAAAGTATCTATGCTGAGCTAAAGCAAGATTCTAATCTTCAGACTGAATGGGTCTACCAAGTGCCATGTAGAAAGAATTAAACAAACAAAAAGCCATTTTTTTGATACAGCTTAGTAAAATTTTCTGAACTCAAAAGAAAATCTTTAAGGTTATAAAAGACAAAACACAAAAGCAAAATTTAAATTAGCATCAGACTTCTTACCCACAACTCTGGACAACATGATAATGGAACAATAGCTTTAAAGTTTTGAAAGAAAGTTGCTTTTAATCTAATACCCAGTCAAAACTATCATGCACATTTAGGAGCAATATAAAGACATATTCAGGTGCAAGGCTCAGAACATTTACCACAATAAACCCTTTCTGAAAAAAATTATGTGAGAATAACCATTAAAATAAAAATGAATTCAACAAAGAACATAATAACAGTGATAAAGAAAGCAGTAAAAGTTATGGTTAAGTATAAGTAATATTGATAATACTAATTCCTAATAAAGAATAACCATAATTTTGTTTACATAACACTCCAGAGGTAAAATTCAGATTATTCTAAACAAAACATGGATGATGGTAAGTGGGGGGAATCTTAAGGGGAGAAAAGTCATAAGGGCATGGTGATAGGTTCTAGATATTGAAATTTTCTCAACATTAATTTTTAAAAATGTAAGTTTAAGTGTTATTGCTTAAAATGTGAGTAACTACTAGCAAAAGAAAAATATATACGACTCCAAAACTAGATTTTTTTAAAAAAACATAACAAATAGAACTCACTATAAGGTATCAGGGAAATAAGCAAACATCAGTTATCACAAACAATGGGATGTGTTCAACTTTCCTTTTTTTTTTTGAGACGGAGTCTCACTCTGTCGCCAGGCTAGAGTGCAGTGGCAGCGATCTTGACTCACTGTAACCTCCACCTCCTGGGTTCAAGTGATTCCCCTGTCTCAGCCTCCCAAGTAGCTGAGACTACAGGCACACGCCACCACGCCCAGCTTATTTTTTGTATTTTACTAGAGATGGGGTTCACCATGTTGGCCAGGATGGCCTTGATCTCCTGACCTTGTGATCTGCCTGCCTCCGTCTATTAAAGCAAAGGTTCTCAAATCTATGCCGTGTAGTTTCGTTGTTGTTTTTAATCCACCTGAACTCAGCATTAGCTATTTGTAATGAACAGCTAAACCAAAATTACACACAAAGACTGAAAATAAAGTAATAGAAAAGATATACTGAATTTCAGGTAAACCTGGAAGATAGCGCACAGGCATTTATCTCTGCTCTATCCTGAAACCTCACTCAAATGGCACACATTAAAAAGTTCAAACTCACAGAGACAAAGATTGCAGAAGAGATAACAACAATCAAAACAAATTTTTAGAAGATAGGAAGTGGGGGAATTATCAAAGCTGAAAAAGATAAATACCAAGTGCTTATACGGGGTCATGCCTGCAAAACCAAACCACGCTTCAGAACTCTAGAAGCCATACTGCAAAACCCCTTATTGAGAAAGCAGGCTTAGGAGTGGGCCTGAAAACAGGGCATTTGTTGCAAGTTTAAATGAGAAATACCGAGTGTTAATGTGAGTGGTGTTTTATATCCTAGGATGGCTTCTTGGTACTGAAAAATATTTTTAATAACTTCTTTTATATTAAATTTTTTAATATTTTAATTTAAAATGTTAAGCTTTAAAGTCACACATTTCTGGCAATGTCTCATGCCTATAGTCCCAGCACTTTGGAAGGCTGAGGTGGGAGGATCACTCGAGCCAGGAGTTTGAGACCAGCCTGGGCAACATGATGAGATCTCATCTCTACAAAAAAACAAACAAAAAAAATCAGCCAGGTGTTGTGGCACATATACCTGCAGTCCCAGCTACCGGGGAGGCTGATGTAGAAGGATCACGAGCCCAAGAGATCAAGTCTGCAATGAACTGTGATTATGCTACTGCATTTCACCCTGGGCAACAGAATGAGGCTCTGTCTCAAAAATAAATAAACAAAAATAAAATACAAATTTTAGAACCTAGATTTCCTGAAGCCTTTAAATTCAAACTTTTACAACTTTATTAATCCATTTATAAATATAGGAAATAGTATATAAAAGCATTATCTTTCAGTGAGTGATCAACTCCACTTGTAAACACTAAATTAAATTTGCCTTACACTGTCTTAATTGCAAACCTGTTGTTTTGGTTTTATTTTTTTGTTCGTTTGTTTTGAGACAGGGTCTTGCTCTGTCACCCAGGTTGAGACAGGGTCTTGCTCTGTCACCCAGGTTGGAGTGCAGTGGCCTGATCATAACTCATTGTAATCTTGAACTCCCGGGCTGAAGTGATCCTCCACCCCAGACTCTTACATAACTAGGACTAAAAGCGTGCACCACCACGCCCAGCTAACTTTTTTTTATTCTTATTTTTTTGTAAAGACAGAGGTCTCACTATGTTGCCCAGACTGGTCTCAAACTCCTGGCCTCAAGCAATCCTCCGGCCTTAGGCTCTCAAAGTGCTGGGATTACAGGCATGAGCCACTGTACCCA
Organism: Homo sapiens; assembly: GCF_000001405.40. Taxonomy (NCBI): domain Eukaryota; kingdom Metazoa; phylum Chordata; class Mammalia; order Primates; family Hominidae; genus Homo; species Homo sapiens. The sequence goes on from NC_000001.11 coordinate 90,641,641, forward strand.
GCCAAACTGGTTTTTAAAAAGGTAGATATTTTAAACTGCATTTAGAAATTCAATATATTTATATTTATAAAATATATTTGGTTTTTAAAAATAGCCTACCAACGCATTGCTAAGAACATATCCCCATCATTAATTGACACATGACTATATTTTATAAAGAGCATTTAACTATCACAAAAGAGCTCATAAAATCAAAATTTGATAGCAGAAATGTTTTCTAAATTAGTGAAAGGATGGGAAAATAAAGTTGGTGAAATCTCTCTGAAAGTAGAATCAAACAAAAGAATGTACAACACTCTGATGAACGTTTGACTAAGAGTTCCAGAAAAAAAAAGAAGAAGAAGAGGGTGGAGAAAAAATTGTCAAAGAAATAATACAAGAAAGCTTCTCAGACCTTAAGAATATAACACTCTATATTTAAAAGGAGTACCATAATAAATGAGAAAAAATGAACACAAAGATACATCGTCATGAACTTGTCACTGTATTTGGAATAAAAATGGTTCATAAAGCTTCCAAAGGGGAAAAAAAAGTTTAATAAAAAGGACATCAAATGGTAGCCAGGCTTTTCAAAAATGATATTAAGAACTAAAAAGAAATTAATCAATGCTTCTAAAGCGCTGCAAGAAAATTATTTCCAATTTAGAATTCTATGTCCAAACAGAAGGGGGATAAGGCAAAGTAACTATACATCCATGGAAAATCTCAAAAAATGTATCTCTTCTGTATCATTTATCAGGAAACTATTGGAGAATGAGCTCCATCAAAATGCAGGAGCAAAAAAGGTGAAAATACAAGATTTAGAGTATAAAGAATCCAACGGGAGTGCAGGCCTGCAGAACAATCATTCTAGATTAGAGCAGGATAAGAGACTCTGGGGGGAGGGGTGATGGATGTGTGTTACGTTTTGATCATGAGGAAAATAATATTCAGAGGAGTTCTATATTTGCTTTGGAGGAAGAATCAGTGATGAAGTGAATAATGCAAACTTTAAAGTGACACCATTGTAAACTGCAAGAAAATAAAAAATTTGAATAAGAAAGGAAATGCAATCATGTTCTTGCTTTGGCTCAATAGTGAAAATTCTTACATAATCATAAAGTAAGTTACTTGGAGGCTTACTTCTCCCATTTATAAAATGGGTAAATGAATAATAATAACACTCACTCTGATTGTTGTGATAATGGAATTAATGAATATAAGCACTTAAAGATATTCCTGGCATATAGTAAATACTCAATAAATATTAGCTGTATTGTTAGCTATGTGTGAAGAAAATACTGAAAATTTATTTAACCAAAAGTTATGATACAACTATAGTAAGAATAGAGAGTTCTTTTTTCTTAGATAATAAGAAGTCAATAACCATATAAGCATATTTTTTAGAAACCAAGGAGTAAATACTATATAAAACAGCTAAAATAATTGAAAGTAGATGTCACTGGAAGTAGCATCAGGGGAAAACTAGGTACTGAAGGTTTTTTTAATAATCCTTTTAAGAATATTTGACTTTCTAAAACTACTTGCAGTTTTTTAATTAAAAATAAAAATAATTCTAAAATAACAGAGCCAAACCAGGAAAACACTAAAACGAAAGTATGTGTGGCCATATCTGACAATATTGAATTGAAATTCAAAATGGATCAGAAAGGATAACCAATTACCATGAATATGAAACTATCATGAACCATTATGTACATAACAATGTAATCAAACTATTAAAAGTGAAAAGGTAATTTGACAAATTCTAAATTACAGAGCAAAGTTTTAACAGACCACATATTAGTTCATTCTTACACTACTAATGAAGACATACCAGAGACTGAGTAATTTATAAAGGAAAGAGGTTTTATTGACTCACAGTTCGCATGGCTCTGGAGGCCTCAAGAAACTTAAAATCGTGGTGAAAGAGGAAGCAAACAGTCCTTCTTCACAGGGCAGCAGGACGAAGAAGTACCAAGCAAAAAGGGGGAAAAGCCCCTTATAAAACCATCAGGTCTCATGAGCACTCACTCATTATCACGAGAACAGCATGAGGGTAACTGCCCCCGTGATTAAATTATCTCCCACTGGTCCCTTTGACAACACGTGAAGATTGTGGGAACTATAATTCAAGATGAGATTTGGGTGGGAATGCAGCCAAACCGTATCAGACCACTCTCAAAAACTCAAAAACTGACAGATAAAATGGAACAAAAATAGATACCAAAAATAAGAAGTTTGAATAAGATGTTTTCTTTCTTTTTTTTTTTTTTTTTTTTTTTGAGACGGAGTTTCGCTCTTGTTGCCCAGGCTGGAGTACAATGGCGCAATCTTAGCTCACCGCAACCTCTGCTTCCCAGGTTCAACTGATTTGCCTGCCTCAGCCTTCCCGAATAGCTGGGATTACAGGCATGCGCCACCATGCCCGGTTAATTTTGTGGGTTTTTTTTTTCTTTTTTTTTAGTAGAGATGGGGTTTCTCCACGTTGGTCAGGCTGGTCCCGAACTCCTGACCTCAGGTGATCCGCCCGCCTCGGCCTCCCAAAGTGCTGGGATTACAGGCATGAGCCACCGTGCCCGGCCTATGTTTTCATTTTTTAAAGCGTAATTTAATAGTTTTGCCTCAGAGAAGTTTGTACCTATAAAGAATACATTCTTTTCAAAAACTAATGAAACATTTACAAAAATTGATCATTTATTAAGGTCTCAATGAAATTTTTATAAAGTTTAAAACATAAAAGCCAGAATCTCTAACATGTAATCCAAAATTAGAAAATTAATAAGTGGAGAGAGAAAAGGGCTATCAGATTGGTAATGTTAAGCTCTCTTTTAAATAACTTTTGGTTAACAATAAGCAAAAAGAGACATTATATCTCAATAAAGAAAAGAGAAAGAATGCATCTGAAAGAATAAAAAGGTAAATCCAAGAAAACACTGAAAAGAAAGAAAAAGGAGAAATTTGTGCTGCCAGATATTCAAATTGAACAGTAACTGTACAATGAATAAAAGAGAGTGGTACTCACTAGAAACTCTAGCAATACATCCAAGCCTATATAAAGGTGGCACTTCAGTGTGGAAAGGATTAATTATTCACCAAATAGTGCTGGGATCACTGGTTAACTATTTAGGAGAAATAAAGAGTAGACCCTTACATTATATTATTTGCCGAAATAAGTAATTTTCACTTAGATTAAAAGTTTAAATTTTAAAAGAAAATCATGTAAGTTTTAAATATAGTAATCTAGGGGTGACTAGGAGAGTCTTTCTGGCATAAAATCAAAGACAGTAATAGAAAGGAAAATATTGATAGATTTGACTGTAGAGTGTCAAAAATATAATAAATAGAATTAAAATCAAACTACACACTGGAAAACTATATGCAGCAGAAAAACAGTTAACTCTAGTATTCTAAAAGTTTATATACTTCAGGACAAAAATAACAAATATTCTTTCAAAAACTGATCAAAAGACCTAAAAAATAATTCACCAATGAAGAAATTTTTCCTCAATAAATATTTAGAAAAAATATAAACTTATTAGGAATTTAAAACGCGTATAGTTAAAAAAAATACCAGTGATATGCATTTTTCGTTTGGGAAAATGGCACTCAGACATTGCTGTTAGGAGTTAAAATTGGTATAAATAGTGTTTTGGCAGTAGATATCAAAAGTTTTAAAAACACATAGGTCTTTTAATCAAGATATTATACCCTAGGAAATGGTTATAGGAAAATAATTAACAATGTGAAAAAAATTGACTATAAGATATTTATTACAACGCTGTTAGGAAAAAATTCACAATCTAAATGTGCACCAAAGATAAATTAGTGAAATAGATGATGATGCAAATGGATTACAATGCGGCTACTCACAATGACAGCACTGAAATGTATTAGTTCACATATAAACATATGTACTGGTAAAGAAAACAAAAAGATTATGTAAGAATTTATACTCTCATTCATCATTTATACCTGTTCTGTTCTCATGTGTATGCCAAATGTCTAGTACATAATAGCTCACAATAACTGTTAAGTATGCAAACTGTAAAAAATAATTGCATATATTATATACATAATCACACAGAAATAATTACAAATGTTAATTATATAATTAAAAACTTCACTATAAATTTTAATGTTATATGTAAGGATAAATTTTACTCATATAGGAAGATAAGTATGCTATTTTGTTAAATAAAAAGACAAAATACAAGTTATAAATGTGGTGAATATACCTAGAAAAGCAGATTGGAAGAAAAGTTTAATTTCTTTGGGTAATAGAATTATCATTGATTTTATTTTTCCTCTTTCTATCTTTTTGTATTTTCCAATGTTTTGGCAATGAACTATTTGTAATGGGAAAAAAATATTTTAAACAAGTTGTGTATTTTGGAATACTATGCATTTATTTTAAACTATATTTTAGAAGAATATCATTAATGTGAGAAAATGGCCACAGTACATTATTAAATAAAAAACAATCGTTTGGAATATTACATTCAATATGGTTCTGATTACATGTGGACATACATATACAAAGGCAAGAAAACTACAAGGTTATATTAAAACCTTTAAATTTTTTTTCTGGATATTAACATCGTTTTCATTTCCTTCTTAGCAATTTTCTGTATTTTCCAAATTTTCTACCAAAAAAAAATCTCTCTTTTGCAATCAAAAGAAAGGGCCACAGGAAGGAGGAGGAAGAGATATTTTTATTTTTAAAGAAATGGAAAATATATCAATGGGTTGAAGGTCAAGCCATCAATCCTTAACAGATTTTTCTCAGCTTTGTGGGAATTCATTCTCAATGATAAACTTATTTTTCCCTCAAGTACATATTTTCTACAATTGTTCATGCTTATGCCTCTGAACACTATTAAAATATTAATGTATTCTTCTCATGTTGTTCTCTCATGTTGCCCACTCTCTATCTGAGCAATAAATCTATACTTTTCCAACCTCTAAAAGAGCAGGGAAACTTGCCCAAGGTGACACACTGCTTGTTGGTGGAGTCAGGACTGCAACACAATAGTCCTTACTCCCAGGCCAGGATTATCCTCTTCGGAAACAAGTTTCCAAAATCTATTAAGCAATTTTTAAATGTTTGTTCTTTACATCCTTCAAGTCAGCAACGAGGCAAGTTTTGACCACTTCTGTTATGGGCCCAATTCCAAACAGCCTCCAAGGGCTCCTGCCCTATGAAGAGAGGAATATGATCATAAAGTAAACATGAGTGTGGCCCACAATAGTGAGTACCTAAGGAATGTTTAATAACTACTTTTTACTAAATTGTTATCCTGCTTCATTGATGGAGGAAAAGCCTGCAGATGAATTCAAAACCAGGAAAATCTAGCTTTGGCTGTCATTCACAGTGTCCCTCCCTATCCATATTTGACATCCCCTAGAATCCTGGAAAGCTTCCTAGCACCATGAGGCTGATACACTTAGGCAGAAACACCAACCGTTCACACTTACACAAGATATATATACACTTCACACACATAGCATTCTGCCAAGGTCCCTCCTCACAAAAACAAAAACAAAAACAAAACAAAACAGATTGTAACAATCTGTCAGATCCATAAATGGTATGTCATCTAATAACCCGCAATAAGTTCTAAAGCACATCAGATCAGCCTTTCAAATGGTAAATTTCCATGAACTATTAATGAAACAGCATCTCTCTCTTTTCAAAATTTTCTTAACTCTTGCATTTGAAATCCAATCCAACTTAGAACTCTTTAAACATCAAACCCAACTTCTCATGCACAGTAAACACAACGTCCAGAAAGCATCATTAGCCCAAGTTAGTAAAGAAATGTTTGCTGCTGTTTCTTCCCGTCATAATAAGAAATGCTGCTCAATAAGGGATGATTAAAAAGTCCATATGCCACATGAATCTCATGAATATACCTTTTCCATTGCTTTAAGTATCAATCCTATAAAGAAAACTAATACTGTGACTTAATATTCTTTTCACTTTGCCAAAAACTTCTCCTAACCACCACGCACATTTTAAAAGGCGGTAAAATCTAATTAACTTCTTTGCAAATCAGTGTAGTGTTTACATCTCAGTGTGTGTATACAGGCCATGTTAATCTCCATCCAAGAGAAGGAAGAACACAAGGCCTAGGGGTCTCTCTTGCTGTGACTTCTACTACCATATTCACAATCATGTTACAAAAAGAAAATTAACAATACCCTAAAATAAAGAATTCCACTGCAAGCTTTATAATCCATCATTAATTTCCTCTTTACTCATAAAACAGAATTTCACATTTTGGAGTTTAAGAGTGCTGAGCTAAATATCCTTTTATGTTTAAGAAAGCAGATTAACTTTTGAGGAAATCATCATTTCTTGTTATAGAGACAAAATAGTACATCAAGGAAAAAATATACTAATTGATGGCTTTCTAAATAAAGCATGATCATTGAGTAATACTAAATTGGTTGTCTTGTGTGTCAAATTAATCTCTTCATTACGGGGAACCAGGCTGGCTATTTTGTGCTTCAATCCATCTTTAATAGCAGCATTTTTATTAATCAAGTTAATGATGACAGTTTTTAGCTAGTAACAAATGATACATTTATTCAGGCCCTTTTTCAGATGATCCAAGCTATTGTGAGCAAAAGAAAAAGAAACAGCAATTTGGAAGATTAGATTAGTATGCCTAGTTTAAACTCTACACTTACTCTAGCAAATGAGATCAGAAGCAAGCATTAATTAATGAGTAAATCTCCCAAGGAATCTCCACCATAAAAAAAAAGTCATTATCAAACAGAGCATGCAAACTCTTACAGATATTTTATGTTAAAGAACATATAAAAAGCTACAGATTTGGGCTAACTTAAAGTTTATAGTTTTCAAAACCAAAATGACCAAATACTTAATTTCAACTCAGCCACCCATAAAGTGACATTACTAAAATCAGAACTGTTTTTAGAACACTCCTCTTGAAAATAACTGTTAATATAGAATGAAAAGGTAGCTCATTTTCCCCCCTTCATTTAAGGTAAGTAGGTAACAAATCTGGATAGCCCAATCTATCAATTTATAGCAAATGCTCTAAATACAGAGGTTGGCAAACAACAGCCCAGCCCATAGGCCAAATCTAGTCTGCCAAGTATCTTTATAAATAAAGTTTTATTGGAAGTAGTCACAATAGTTCCTTTATGTATTGTTGATAGCTGTTTGCACACTACAATGGCAGTCGAGTTGAATTCTTGCAACAGAAACTACATGGCCCACAAAACCTGAAATATTTACTATCTGGCTCTTTTCAGAAACTCTGCTAGCCCCTGCTCTAATATATTGTTTTTCAAATTTTTCACAGTAGAAGTCTTTCAAACAAAATCCTACAAGAAAGCCTAGCAAATAAGGCATTTGAAAGCAATATTTTATTAGTATACATTACTTTTATAAAGTAAATTATGTAACAATTACCTAATATGAAGTCAATCAGTTTTGTTGAACATAGAAACAGGAGGTTGCAGTCATAACAGTAACTTTGTTTTCTATTCGAGGTTATTTTGTTTTTGTTTTCTGGATTTTTTTTTTTTTTTTTTTTGTATTTTGTTTTGGTTGCAGAGAATTGATTCACACAGGTAAGTGGCTGCAAATAGTAACAGTTTTTTAAAGCTCCCTTGCAAACTCAGGATACTCTACAATTAAAAGATAATAGAAGTTTTATTCCAAGAAACTGCACAACTTAACCCGGCAGCCCAAGTTAACACATTGCTAATCTCCAAGGTTTTAAAATTCAGTACCTAGCACTTTTGTTATTTGTGCTTCGTAGTACCATTTTAAAAACAGATTTTTTAAGTTTAAAAGAATTTTAGCTTGCTGTGAGTGTTACATATAAAGTACATAAAACTGTTTGCCAAGTTTTCTCTTCCCACTTATAGAAAAATCTTTCCCCAAATTTCAAACATGTGATTTCAGTAAAGCTTTCATATTTCCTGATGATACCAACTTCCCAGCCGCAAAAATTGACTCAAGCCAATATAACCGTAGCCCCATCTCAGGATTCTTTTCCTAGGCATCAGAAAGAAGACATTTCACTTCCTCTTTGAAGCTGAAATAGAGACATGTGAGGCCTGAAGTTTGCCAGGGGTGGTACTTTTCATTCTTGCAAAAGAAACACATATAAGAGAAATACACTGATAGACAAAGAAAACAGAGGTAGATGGGAAGACAGTCTTAGTGGCACTGAAATCAATGCTTCCAGTTGTCCTTGAGACCTAGCTGCATCACACCCTCTCTGTGTTTTAATTACAGAAGCCAAGAAATTCCCACATTTCTTGTCTGTGGTAGTTTGAATAAGGTTTGGATTGAGTATCCTGATAAACACACACAAGCATAAATATTTTAATTGCAAATGCATGAGTCAAAGTCTGGAGGAATATATATGATAGTGGATACTTGTTATTATTTCTGGCTACTCACTATATGAACCTCTTTCCTAAATCTGGACAATCTTCCTCCCCCTTATAAGTCTCAGTGGGAAGTAGAATCAAATTGCACTATATAAGCTGAAAGAATAATAATAGCTAACCTTTTATATATGCATCAGGAAGCATTCTAAGCAATTTACCTAGATTAACCTATTCAATTTTCCCTCCAACCCCATGAAGTAATTGCAACTATATTTCTATTTTACAAATGAGGAAACTGAGACACAGAGGGGTCAAGCAACCTGCACAGAGTTACAACCAGTAAATAGAAAAACAAAGCTGTATGTAGCCCAAAAAATTTGGTTCCAGAGGCCCTACTCTAAAACTCCTCGTTATTTTGTCTCTGAAAATCCCAGATCATTCTTTCCAAGTCCTTGCTGCAACCAGGCTACACCAATCCAAGTACCCATCCCAGAGTTGCAGGGACCAGGAAGATCTGTATATTTGACAGTGGTGGCAGCTGCAGAAGGATCACGCTCCTGGGAAGCAATGATTGCAGTGCCAGGTCAACGTCCAATTTCTACAGCTCAGCAGTATCAGTGAAGCAAGCCTCAGCACTTATCACGCAGTGCCTGTGACAGTCATATCCTCAGCAGTATGCTGGGTATTGCCTCTCAGTTGCCTCCTGGCTGCACAGTCCTCAACTTGCTTTTGAAAGCTATCAAATATCTTCTTAATATATTCTTTTCCTGTTTAAATCAGCCAGTATTTTCTATTAGTTGTAATTAGGAACCTTGACTTATAAATGTCTTGCTAACAGTGATTACCCCAGAGAAGTGGATTTGGGGAATGGTAAAATTTTTTGTTACTTTTGACATTCCTATATAGAATGACAATATCTGGACAGAGATGGGTTCTAGAGCAGTATGGAGAGTGACTTTGAAGAGGGCAAGACTACATACAAGAGGACCTGTGAAAAGTCAGTTGCAATAGGTCGCAACTGAGGTTCACTTTCTAGGCTTTAAATAGGGTTGTGGTAAGATAAATGGAAAGAAAGGAACAGATTTGAGAGCATTTTGAGAGAGCATTTGGCAGAACTTCGTGCCTAAATCGACATGGGAGAGGATGTAAAGAAAGCTGTCAAGGGTGAATTCCAAGTTTCTTATTTTGGTGGCTGAACAATGGTGGTGCCACCATCTAAAGTAGAATAAAGAAGTGGGAGAAAGCTTATAAAAGAAGATAATGAATTCCAGTTGGTCTTGTTGAGTTCTGAGAACCTATGAGATACCCAAATAGAGATAGCCAACAAGCAGTTGACATGCATGGATTCCAGAGGGTCTATAGACCTAGAAATATAGACTATGTCTCATCTTTATAGATATAGCATATCAGCATTAGGTGATCATAACTGAAATCATGAAAATGAAGATCATCTAGGAAGTATGAAGTGTGAGAAGAGCAGAGATAAGGAAATAAATGGATTTCAGGGAAATACGTTAAGGATAGGCAAAGAAACATTTAAAAGGTCTCATATAAGAAACAAAGAAACAGCAGTCAGAGACACTGACGGAGATCAATTAATGTGGACTATTCAGAATCCAAAGGTGTACAGGACCTCAAAAAAAAGAAACTAATCGACTATATCAAATTCAACAGAAAGATCTCATAAGAAAAGGACTGAGAAATGTCTGTGGATTTTGTAATTAGAATGTACCCACAAAGTTCATAATGAAGGCATTTCTAGGAGTGCTGGTCTGGAAAGTGTCTCATTTACAAAACATATTTAAGGACCTAGAACTTAAATGTAAGTAGCAATATAATGGCATCGAGAAAAAAGTCAATACAATAGAAGGTCTGTTCTGATTGTCCACATTTCAGTAATTAGGTTCTGATTCTGGATGAGGAAGGCAATTCTTTACATCCTTTCTGTAGGCTCAGAACCCATGGAACGTGTTTCCTCACACAGCTGAAGGAATTATAAATAACCTACTCTTGAATATACACACACACACTCTCCTGTTTTTATTACATTTTAAATAAGACTTTAAAATGCTAACTTATCAGAAATACACTAGAGGAAAAAGAAACAGCATGGATGTAACCCTCTACTAATGAGGCACTAATGCATAATTATTATAATACACGTACTTCTCTCCATAGACGAATATTTATAAACACTGAAATCGTCTAGTTTGCAGTGAAGTCTTATGTACAGATTATTTTTCTCTTGTGGTTTGTCCTTTTTTCTTATTGTGGTAATGTTTAATGAATTTCACAGGCTCTGCTCATTCTCTGAAAACACTGAACGAACTTGTATACATAATAGGTGCTGCCTTCAATGAGTATGTAGAGATGAGATATTAAACACACCATCATCAGTACCAGTAGTCAGTTACCTTCACTGTAAATACTCGGAGTTCAGCTAAAACACAATATGTTAAAACAAAGCTGTTTGAATTAAGTAATTTCAACAGATGGTACCTAGGGAGGGGATCAAGGGAAGCATATATTAAAATAATTCAGATTAAAGACTGATAAGGTTTTAGGGAATCCATTAAATAGCACCCTTTTCTCAGCCTGAGCTCTGAGCCAACTGAGAACTAAACAAGAGATGGAGATCAACATATCAGCAATGTTACCAACAAAGGCCACTCTAGGTTGAAGGACATGGTTTAAGTATGCACCAACAATGACTGGAAGTAAGCCCATTCACTCAGCCCCATCAACTGCTGAAATGCAGTCCTTTCTGGTCATCAAGGTGATCAAGCTTTGGAGAAAAATATTCTCCAAAGACCACATTTCACATCGTGTAAATGCTACCATTTGTTCATTTAATTTCTTTTTTTTTTTGAGACGGAGTCTCTCTCTATCACCCAGGCTGGAGGGCAGTGGTGCCATCTCAGCTTACTGCAACCTCCACCTCCTGAGTTCAAGTGATTCTCCGCCTCAGTCTCCCAGATAGCTGGGATTACAGGTGCCCACCACCATGCCCAGCTAATTTTTGTATCTTTTTTTTTAGTAGAGATGAGGTTTCACCATGTTGGCCATGCTGGTCTCAAACTCCTCACCTCAAGTGATTCATCCTCCTCGACCTCCCAAAGTGGTGGGATTACAGGTATGAGTGACCATGCCTGGCCTAGTTCATTTAATTTCTACTAATAGAAAACATACATGGGAAAGCAGATTAGAATGTGTGCTTCCTGTAAGTAGTTGAACACATACACACACACAGTGGGAGAAAGTGGCTAGGCTTTTCATGCCCAATTCCTCTTCCAAACGCACTAGTGAGATAATTAACTGTACCTCTGTGGGTTGGAGAAATGGGTGGAGCAAGAGAAAAATTCCCTCCATGAAAACTAGGGGATTGAGCAGGAAATGACTCCCATTTCCCATTCCCCTAATAAATACACATGATTATTAATTGATTACAGTAAACTTTACTTTTTATCAACTGCAGGGTGGGTATAAACATGTTGCTATATACTTCATTTCTCTTTGGTCCTTTCTGCCAACATTATGATTATGTCTAAAGATATGCATTGAAGACATATATACAGACTATTGGTAGGAACAGGGCTTTAGCCTGGAATCATAATTTCCTAAATCAAGATCTAGCTTCTGACTATGGAAGGTTAACACTGAGAAAAAGCATTACCCAAATTATATTCTGCTTTGTGTAAACACCAGTATCCATTCATTCAACAAGCCTTTATTGAGAGTCTGCAATATTCCAAATGGTAGGTTAAGCAATGCAGATATAAAGATGAACAATTTAAATAAAATTCCTGACTTCTAAGAAAGAATTCCTCCTAAAAAAATTCACTTCATCAAATAATGCTACCAAAATATTAAAAGCTCAGGATCCAAATACATAAGAGAATGTAGCATATGACAACAGTAACTTCTCAAACCCAAGAGGGGTAAGTTGGACCACAAAATAAGGGGTGTTGAGGTATCTGGACATCCCTCTCGAAAAAAGCAAACATTTAATCACACCATACACTTTCAGTCAGATTAAATTCCAAATGGATCAAAGGTTGGAAAATATACAAAAGTAAAACCCCACAATTTCTAGAAGAAAACAGGGGAAATATTTTAGACTGTTAAAATGAGGAAAGTCTTTTTACTTATGACTCAAAATGTAAAAGCAATGTTCTCACCTGGAGATTTGACTAGGGAAGGATCCGCTTCCAAATTCCCTTCTGTGGCTGGCAGAATTCCTGGCAGCTCGCCTCTTCAACACCAGCAACCGAGAGAACAAGCCTCTGCTACTTCCAGTCTCTGACCTCTAGACTCTCTTTCATAGAGCCCACCGGGTTAGGTCAGACCCACCCAGGATAATTTCCCTTTTGATTAACTTTAAGTCAGCTGGTTAGGAACTTTTATTACAACTACAAAAATCCCCTCAGCTCTGCCATATTCTCCTAATTAGAAGTCACAGATTCTTCCCTCATTGGAGGAGAGGGGTTTACACTAGAGCATTACTCAATGGGGATCAGGGTGTGTCTGCCATATCTCCCTAATATATAGAGATTTCCACTGAACACTAATCATTAGATAAATGCAAATCAAAACCACAATAAGATACCATCTCACACCAGTCCGAATGGCTACTATTAAAAAGTCAAAAAATAACATATGCTGGTGAGGTTACAGAGACAAGGGGATGCTTATACACTGCTAGTGGGAATGTGAATTAGTTCAGCCATTGTGGAAAGCAGCGTGGTGATTCCTCAAAGAGCTTAAAAACAGAATTACCATTTAATCCAGCAATCCCATTATTGGGTATAAACCCAAAGAAGTATAAATCATTCTACCATAAAGACACATGCATGTATATGTTTCTTGGGGCACTATTCACAATAGCAGAGACATGGAATCAAGCTAAATGCCCATTAATGGTAGACTGGATAAAGAAAATATGCTACATGTACACCATGGAATACTACACAGCCATAAAAAAGAATGAAATCATGTCTTTTGCACCAACATGGATGGAGCTGGAGGTCATCATCCTAAGCAAACTAATGTAGGAACAGAAACTCAAATCCCACATTTCTCACTTGTAAGTGGGAACTAAACAACAACAACACATGGACACAAAGAACGGAACAACAGACACTGGGGCCTACTGGAAGGTGGAGGGTGGGGAAAGGGAGGGAATCAAAAAGCTACCTACTGGGTATTATGCTTATTACCTGGCGATTAAATAATATATACACTGAACCTCCATGACATGCCGTTTACTTATATAACAAACCTGCACATGTACTCTTGAACCTAAAATTAAACTTTTTTTAAAAAAAGAGAAATTACAAATGTAATTTTTAAAAACATTTAATTTTATTATTTATTTATTTTTTATTATACTTTAAGTTTTAGGGTACATGTGCACAACGTGCAGGTTAGATTTTTTTAAGTTCCAAGAAATCTATTAAAAGAAAATCCAGTGGAAAAACTGGAAAAAAAAAAAAAGAATAGTCAATTCCAGAAAAATATACGAGTAGCTCTTAAATATATGACAAGATGTTCTATCTCATTTTTTTTTGTTGTTTGTTTTTTTGTTTGTTTTTTTTTGAGACGGAGTCTCTCTCTGACACCCAGGCTGGAGTGCAGTGGCGCGATCTCGGCTCACTGCAAGCTCCGCCTCCCGGGTTCACGCCATTCTCCTGCCTCAGCCTCTCCGAGTAGCTGGGACTACAGGCGCCCGCCACCAAGCCCGGCTAATTTTTTGTATTTTCAGTAGAGACGGGGTTTCACCGTGGTCTCGATCTCCTGACCTCGTGATCCGCCCGCCTTGGCCTCCCAAAGTGCTGGGATTACAAACGTGAGCCACCACGCCCGGCCTCTATCTCATTTATGCAAAGAAAAAAATGCCTTTTTAAATAATACCTATCATATTGGCAAAAATCTAGAACTGTTCATGTATTCTCTGTGGGGTAACAGGTACTCTCAAACATTGCAGGCAGAGGTGTAAATCTGTCTAGCCCTTATAAAGAACAATTTGTAATTGGCAATATCTATAAACACATATCCCCCGACCTTGAAATTCCAAACCAGAATATCTACCCTAAAGATCTATCAGCATGTATGTGAAATTATATTGATTTCAGCAATATTTCTAAGAGCAAAATATTGGAGACTATGCAGACATAGCTATCCAACAAAAGGTGAGTTAAGTTAACTAAGGTCCATTTATATAGTGGAATACTGTATAATTTTAAAAAAATGAGGAAACATTCCAAATACTGCTATGGAAAAATTAATGTAGAACAGTGTATATAATAGCTATGTTTTTTGTTAACAAAAAAAAAGGAGAAAAATAAGAATATAATTTGTATTTGCTTGCAAGTGCATAAATAAATTTTAGAATATATGGATCTACATCTGGAGGTGATATGTATGCATATACATATATGTGAATAATAGAAGATCAGTAGGTAGGTAGGTAGGTATGTAGATAAAGGATTGATAGATATAGACTATTTTACAGCTCATATCTTATGGTTGTTTCTCTGCTACCATCTAGTCATGGCCAAACTTCTAGTTCCAAATTCAGTCAGAACTAGAGTTGTGTTATTCCAACATTTATCGTGAAGAAATTCCTATAGATCTGCAACAGTAAACTGGCTATGACTGAATCCACAATTACCCAAATTCACCATATTAATACTTTGCATGCATTTTCACCCCTTTCCTATTCTTCAAGGTTTTGTAGTAACCCAACTATTCACCGGATGAATATAAGTTATATGCCTGATACAAGAATGGAAAGGGACTTTTCACCATTACCTCCTAGTTTGCTCAACAAATAATCTCTTAATGAATACTTCCATAGAATTTTACAGTCATAAAAAATGCTTTTGGGATGCCTGCAATTATCTAAAATAAGAAAATATGGCAACTTGAACTCATGTATTTATCTGTTTCCTCTTTTACTCTACTAAAATAACAAAAGAGGAATCAGAAACTATGAACCCACAAGGAAAAGAGAACAGGAAACGACAAAAACAGGAGAGGGATATCCTTCTATCTCACTTTAATATGAACAAGTTATAACTCATTTCACAAAACAGAAAATCCTACGGCCTGAGACTGCAGCGGGAAAAATCAAGGAAATGTCACTTTATTCATGTCCCCAGAACCCTAGGAAAGCATCAGCATTCAAGGAAAGTTGGATTGATAGTTCAGCTAAAACTTTGTTAGCCAAGCCTGTGGGCCAGCAGCATAGGCACTCTTAAAAGTGTGTTAGAAATGCAGAATTTCAGGTCCCATCCAGACCTACCGAATCAGGCCTACACTTTAACTCCCAAGTGCTCTGTAAACCCCTTAAAATTTGAAAAGCAGTGATATAAAGAGCAGTTCAAATCCCAGAATTTCTCCCATATTCCACGGAGCCATGCAACTGCTCCCTCAACCCTAGATAAGAAGTTTTCTCCTGGATGATGTTGAACCGAAGAGGTCCCAGATTCAGGCACGCTGGCATCGCTGAAGACAGGAGTGAAGCAACAAAGTACAGGTATTCTGCTCGTCTACATAATGAAGAACAAGGCCCACTGTGCCCTTATCCTGTTCAGCAATCCAAAGTCTAGCAGCAGCCTCCCATTCCCAGGTAGAACATTAGAAATTTTTCTATGGGGGAAACCTACTAGCCCAAAAGAGAAGACCTACACATACTTGTACACATGCAGAAGACTGACATGGGGAGAATCCAGATTAAGAGTCACCTCGTCAAGACTATATTTTCAGGGATCATTTCTACAGTGCACTACTAGAGAAGTTTCTGTGAACTTGTAGAGCACCGGAAACCATGAGCAGGAAGTGCAGCGTTCTCTCCTGAGCATGAAGCCGGCTCTTGGTGTGGCTTCGCTGCAACTGCCATTGGCCATTGATGATCGTTCTTCTCTTCTCTGGGAGAGTAAGAGAGAGAGGACACAGTCTGAGTGGTTCCCATCTGAAAAAAAAAAAAAAAGAGAGAGAGTCGCCTCATCACCTTAGCGTCCCTATAGTAAATAGAGAGTAAGGCACACAAGTCTGATTCCAATCAGAGTGAGGGGTAGTTTTTCGGTTTTTTTAATACAATGTGCATTCTCTCAGATTAGTTTCTAGCTCAGCACCAATAATAAAAAAGAGAAATACTCCAACCCAAGCTACATGTGCAAAGATGTTCACTGAAGCATTGTTTATCATAAAAACTATATTTTTAAAAAAAACCATCCGTTAAAAAAAATCTGGTTTAAGAAAACTAGGTCTCTGTGAAATGGAATACTATAAAACCATTAAAAAGAATGAAGTAGATCTATATGTGTTCATATGGCATAATCTCCAGGGTATGCTGAAAAGTGAAAAAAATAAGGTACAGAAGGATAAATATGATAGACTAACATTTCTATTTAAAATATGTATGTATGTAACACATTTCCACCTACATATGTACACAAATATATATGCTTGTACTTGGAAAGAAAATGTCAAGTACATTTCTGAAAGCTGTTAACAATACCTAAATCTGGAGAAAGGAATTGTGGACTTGGAATGGGAGAAAGACCTGTGTTTTATTGCATACATCTAATTTTTTTACCATATGCATGTATTTTCCCACTTAATAACAAAATACTAAAAGGACAGTTTTTTAAGTAGTGTATTTTTATCTGAAGCACTAGCTACCATTAGAAATAAAATATTCCCAAATCTGTATCCCTTACCTAAAATTATCTCATGATAGTGAGACACATAAAATTAAAACTCAACAAGTCCAAAACTAAGCTTCCAATCTCGTTATCTCAACCATGACTGCCACCACCATTAAACATGTTTCAGTTCTTCTGTTTCCTAGTCTGTCCACCCTTCATCAGGTCTCTTGAGTCAGAAACCTGGAAGTCATAGAAGACTCCACCTTTTCCCTCACTTCCTACCTCTAATCACCAGACCAAATGCTGTCAATTCTATCTCCTAAGTTCCTCACAAATCTGTATCCAACCTACCATCTAGTCTGCCTTAACTAACACAGTATTTACACCTCTCCCAGCTCACTCTAATCCTTCTTACTAACTCTCTGCATCTAGTATCTCTTGAATCTAAATTCCACACCGTTTCCAGAGCGGTCTGTCAATATTCCCCAATTTAATCAGACCTTTCTCCTACTTGAAACCCTTCAATAGTTATTTGTCTTCTTTTGAATAAAGTCTAAATTACTTGGCATATCACACAGTTGTGGCCTCTGCCTGCCTTATCTACCACTGTCTCCACTTTTTCTTTCCCCACCCCTTCAATACACAAACCTACCACTCCAATTACTTGCAGCTCCCAATTTTATCATGCCAAACTCATATTGTTTCCTCTATCTTTTTTTCTTTTCTTTATTTTTATTTTTGAGACAGGATCTTGCTCTGTCTCCCAGACTGGAGTTCAGTGGCTCAATCATAGCTCATTGTAGCCTCAAACTTCTGGGCTCAAGCAATCCTCCCACCACAACCTCCCAAAGTAGCTGGGACTACAGGTGCACACCACTGTGCCAGGGTAATATTTTTGTTTTGTTGTAGAGACAGGGTCTTGCTTTGTTGCCCAGGCTGGTCTGAGACTCCTGGCTTTAAGTGATTGTTCTTTCTGAAACACTTTTGCCCCCTTCTCTACCAAAGCCTCATTATTTCACTTGGTACCTCTCCACTGATTATGAATATTTTTATATTACTTCTTTTATTTTCCTATCCTGAGATCCTGCTACAGTGCCAGGTACATGACATGCTCTCATTAAATATTTGTTGAATAAATGAAGCAAGTTAGACAAGCCAGCTATCATTCCAATGCAGGTAATAACTCCTCTAGCTTATCGTAAGTTCCTCCTTAAACACAACAAATCCTTACGGCTTCACATTGAAAAGAAAACGAATCTTGTCAATGCATCTTTTGATTCTTACAAATGCAAGCTGCTCTCTTAACACATCTTAAAAATAACTTGAGTGAATAACGGTTTTACATTGTGCCTTAAAAACTGAAGCATTCATCCTACATGGAAAGGCCCACGAGGGACACTACTAATGAGATGTGACATGGAAAAAATGGCTCAAGTAAGAAAGTAACAGCTTTCAAACAATTCAGATTAATACATATAAATTGCAAAAACGCTGAAGAACAGTTTATAGTTTACGCGTGGTTTGTCCCTTAAAATTGCAGCTTACAGGAGGCTGGGAGCTGTAATTCACACCTGTAATCCCAGCACTTTGGGAGGCTGAGGCAGGTGGATCATGAGGTCAGGAGTTCGAGACCAGCCTGGCCAATATGGTGAAATCCCATCTCTACTAAAAATACAAAAATTAGCCGGGCGTGGTGGTGTGCACCTTTAGTACCAGCTACTCAGGAGGCTGAGGCAGAAGAATTGCTTGAACCTGGGAGGCAGAGGTTGCAGTGAGCCTAGATCGTGCCACTGCACTCCAGCCTGGGTGACAGAGTGAGACTCTGTCTCGAAAAAAAATTATAATAATAAAACATTGCAACATATAGGAAAAACTCCAATTTATTTAACCAAGGAAAGATTAGAGATAATGGTAAATAATGTTTGCTTGAACAATGGAGTCAGGAAAAAAAATGTTAATTATATAAAGCCTTTGTGTGAAATATAAAACATTCAACTCTCAACTCATTTTCCTATTGCCTAAATGTCCTGTACTTTCAGAAGTATTCTCCATCACCTTGATGATATTCTTTTGTATGCAAATTTTATTTACCTGAATTGTTAATGCTGCTTTTGTTTGTACTTATATCTTAATTATTCTCTCTTCATTCACCTGTCATGAGGGTTTTGATTCACATTTCAGAAAATCATGAACAAAATATTTCTTTGGGAAGTAGGGTTGTGTCACCAATGTTTTTGTACTACTAGAGGTTATTCTGCTTTTCCAGTTTAAAAAAATGAGCATTTCTTCTTTTTATAAACTGTCAAACACTGAAATTAAACTTTAAACTGTACTGAATGGATAAAAGATAGATTTTAAAGTATGGATTGTATGTCAGATGAAGAATATAGTACATAGAGACTCCAGTGAGCAAGCAATTCACAATATAAAATATATGCCTTCAGGAAAAATTCCTCAGGCCAATAACAGTAAATGGCAATTAGTAATGCTCATGAGAGTATTATTATAGTCATACAGCCAAAAACTTTATTTTTTCACTAGCATCACACTATACAGCATACAATGTCTATGCTGAAAACCTGTTTGATTTAGTCAGAAGTTTTGTTGAAGCAAAAGTTGTGGATAGAAATACTCAAGGGTTGAGATTATAGCAGGACAAATTCCTCAACTTTGGTTGAAAAGGAGGCAGAAGGTTCACACTCTCAGATCTTTAAAAAAAAATGTAGTTTGCTCTGTTTCATTGTGCAATAAACTAAAATGTAAGTATTGAAAAGGAAGAGAAAGCAAGTCTGTCTTTTTGCAAAAGTTTCTTGAAAGTCTTTAAGAAATAACAATGTCTCACTACCTGCCACTGAAATCACAGATTCAACTGAAACATTAGGAGACCATATACACAAACACTTTATGATTTCAAAAAGACAAGCTCATTGGGAAGAAAAAAGTTCTCTGTCTTTGATTTCTTTTAGAATGATAAAATGAAAGGGACATTAATACATATTTTAAGCCCTGTGAATTCACAATGGGGTTTTACAATAAAGAGGTAAAAACCTTTGAACTAACAAAGGTCCATCACCGTGCACTTTTTTTCTCACAAGTGCATTGTAAAGGAAATTATGCTAGATTGAAGGACCAGCTGGCTTTTGCCACTACACCTTTAGTAACATAACACATTCTCAGACTGTATCAATCCACCCGGAATCAACCATATCATTGACTCCTCTTAGACCGCTCCTCTTATTGCATAGTGCTGTTTTCAGTCCAATGCCCTGTGAAAGCATTCTCTCACTGGCTTACATCTGAGTGCCTCTTTGTACTAGCCCAAAGCCTGAAGTCAACAATCTCCATTAAGTTGATTAAAGTAGTCCTAGAGACTACCCAGGCTTTTACACTGCCCTTAGATTAAAGACAAAAAAAAAAAAAGGCTTCTTCTTCAGAGGATGTTTTAGTTTGGGTTGGAGAATTTGGATGAGGTGTTGAGTTCTGTGAGTTGTATGTTTTGTTTTGTTGCGGGGCGGTGGGGGGGTTGCTGGATTTATTTTATTTTCTCTCTAATTTTCAAAGAGGTCAACAAAAATATGAAGGCTCTTAGAAAAAGAGAGAAGGCTTTTATTACAAGTGATCTCCAATTATTTCTTTGTTCCCAAAGACAGTAATCACAGCTGTTGAAACTGAAGAAGCCAACACTGTGTCCTGAGGAAGCATTTATCATGCACCCTGGAAGAAGAGCCTTACATAAGTATCAGTCATTTCCCTAAATTTAACTCAATGGAAATGGTTCCTCAGTCAAATTCAAAATCTAAAGGAAAAATTGAAAGGCCAAAAAATAAAATAGTCTAAGGTGTGAACTGATTATAAACCCACAAAAGAATCAAAGAAACTGAATGAGACACAGCACAAATGAGTGTCCATTTTCAACAACACAGGTAAATGTATAGCATAGTAGTTGCAGGAGTTAAACATCCTGGTTATCTGACTAGGTCGACCAATGATTTGACCTTGGGAAAGTTGCTTAACCTCAAAAGCTCATTTCTTATCGGTAAAAATGAGGATAATAGTATCTGCCTTGTAGGGCTATAAAGATTTTAGAGAAAAGGGGCCAGTCATGGTGGCTCATGCCTGTAATCCCAGCACTTTGGGAGGGCGAGGTGGGTGGATCTCTTGAGGTCAGGAGTTTGAGACCAGCCTGGCCAACATGGTGAAACCCCGTCTCTACTAAAAATACAAAATTAGCCAGGTGGATTGGTGCACCCGTAATCCCAGTTACTCAGGAGGCTGAGGCAGGAGAATCGCTTGAACCCAGAAGGCAGAGGTTGTTGCAGTGAGCCAATATTGTGCCACTGCAGTCCAGCCTGGACAACAGAGCAAGACTCCATCTCAACAACAACAAAAAGACTTTAGAGAAAAGGTATCTTAAGCATTTAGCACAATATCTGTCAAATACTGCAACACACAATACATTTTTAAAATTATTGTTATTCTATATGAGATATTTTCTAGAGTTCAACAAAGCAAGTTTAGAAGCAGTAGATGCTATTATTTGAGACCCTATGCTAAGCCCCCAAAAGACCTGGATTTTAGTTCCACCTGAGGCATTTACTTGCTGTGTGACTGTAAGCAAGTTTCAGAGCTTCAACATCTTCATCTGTAAAATTAAGGAGTCAAACTAAATTGGGAATTTGTATATCCAAATCTCTTCTCCACAGCACCAGTCTATATGTTCAAAACTGAATTACTGCTATTTATTCCATCCCGTTCCACACAGCCAAAGGAGAATTTTTCTTTTTCTCTCCTAAACCCACATCTCAACTTAATTCATGACCAAAAGGCAAATTCTCCTATGGGTGAGACAATATGGATTTTCTCTGGTGTTATTCCTAGCTCACTGTATTAGCATCATCGAATATTATCTTAACACAAGTCATAGACCACAACTGATGTTCAGTCTACAATTAAAAGAAAAATTGAAAATAATTTGAGATTTACACAAGTTCCACTTCCTTTTTGCAATTAATCTTGGTGCATTTTTAACTCCCCATTTCAGTAAATGGTACTGTTATTCATCTAGTCCCTCAGGACAAAAACCTTGGAATTACTATTAATACCTATCTTTTATTTCATATTCCATACCGAATCCAAAAGCAAGTACCGTTGGCACCCACCTACAATATATACCCAGAATTTCACCACGTCACCTTCACATCCATACCTACCTTTCTAGTCCAAGTCACTGTCATCTCTGGCATGGATTATTGCAATAACCTCCTTCCTATTGGATTGTAGCCTTTACAATTACGGAATAGCCCTTTTATCTCTAATAATGCTTCTCCCCTTAAAAATCTACATCGATATGAATAAAGCTGTAATACCTTTCTTTTGGTTAGTGTTTTTTAAGTTACCTTTTCCTACCCTCTCTTACATTTAACCTTTCTGTATCCTTATATATTTGGATCCTTTGTTCTTTGTAAGCAGTATATAGTTGGGGTTTCTATTCTTATCCAGTCTTAAATGTCAGTCTTTTATATGGAATATTTAGTTCATTTACTTGTAATACAATTGCAGATATAGTGGGCTTATAACTATGACTTTATAATTTCTTTTACATTTTACATTCCGTTTCATATTCTATTTCCTTTCTTGTTTTGGATTAATCTGGTACATTTTAAAATATTTTCCTATGTTAATTTGTTATACTATCATTTTCATTGTATTTCATGGTATAGGAATATAGATTACTTAGATTACATCGTATATACTTGAATTATCACATTCTAGTATGAATTATTACTTATATCACTTTCCAATACTGCTAGAACCTTATAGCACCTTACTCCTATTTAATCCTTTTTTTACTTTTTGCATTATTTTTGTCATGCATTTTGATTATATATCAATTTAAGACTCCAAAAGACATTATGATTATTGTTCTATACAATCAATATCCGTTTGTATTTACCCAGATATTTTCCCTTTCTGATATTTTTCATTTCCTCTTGAATTTACATGCTTCTCTCTGAAGAGCTCCTTTTGCTATTGCTTATTATTATTATTTTTAGTACAGGACGTGGCAACAAATTTTCTCCATTTTTATATGTCTGAAATTGTCTTTATTTCGCCTTAATTTTTCAAGTATATTTTCACCAGGTATAAAATCCCAGCTTGGCAATTATTTTCTTTCAGCATGTGAAAGATGCCATTTCATTGCCTTCTGACTTCTATTGTTTAGTTGAGAAGTCAGATATAAGTTTTATTGATGCTGTTTTGGAATAAAGTCTTTCCCTGGCTCCAGTTAAGACTTTCTCTACTTATTTGTTTTCAGCAGTCTTACATATAAGATGCTGGGTATTGTTTTCATTGTGTTTATCCTACTTGAACCTATGGATTCACGTTTTCAATCAGTTTTGGAAAATGGTTAGCTTTTAACTCTGAATATTATTTCTATTCTACTCTCTCCTCTTCTCCTTCCAGAACTTCAGTTACACATCATTTTCATCACAGTCCACATTACTCTTATCTGTTTTTCCATTATTTGTTCTCTCTGTGCTTCTGCTTGGGTGTTTTCTATTGGCCTATTTTCCAATTCTAAAGAAAATGTAGAGCCTCCGGATGATACTATCTTCCATCAGAAAAGCTTTCCTCCTTCTGCTAATAGCAAGGACAGCTATTAGGGGGATTAATCATCTCAAGCCAATCAGGAATTGTGCTGAGTTGCAGCTGTGAAGAAGTTTTGGTAAAACTCAATGTAGTTCTGCTTGGCCCCGTTCATAGGTCATGGCTCCCCAGGGTTTTTCATTGTAAGCTTGGTAGGATTTTGATTTCCCACATCTGAATGACTAAAGGAGATTCAGTTCTGCCCTTCAGAAGTTTATCACTTAGTTCTTTAGCTTCCTGACCCACACAGCTTCAAATGTGACAAATGTCATCAAGGAACCATCTATGTGTCTGACACTCCTCAAGTCTGCAATTTTGTTACTTCAGTCCAAAAAAAAAAAAAAAAAAGAAGTCAAATCCTGTTGGTTTCTCTGCTTCTCAAGAAAGGCCTTCTGCTACTCTGCTACAGGTCAAGCCTAGCCTAGATTTTCAACCTCAAGAGGCACCCAGATTTACTAAGTATCCCAGATGAAAAGTATCTCCAGATCAATCCACCACTCTTTCTAGGGATTTTATTATCCTCGCATGTTTTATTTTGGGGTCTGCTCCCCAGAGCAGCCTTTGTTTCCTAAGCATCACAAGACTATGTGATATTTCACTCTACCTTTCAGAAGCTTTCAACCTAGCTCTTTAATCTCCTATCTTGGTTCAGAGTTCAGCAGATGTCTTGTGGGAAAACCTGGCCATGTATTTGAGATCCCTCTAGTCTCAAATTTTGTCACTCTAGCTTCACATAACCACTGAAGTTTTTATTTTCCCAATAAGTAGTCCTCAGCCTGGGCCAAGTTTTAATCCTTAGCCCATGCCCAGAATATCAAATGCTCTCAAGGGAGAAAATAGCTCCGAATCATCCATGACCCTCTCTGAAATTGTAGTTTGTCTTGTCCTCATAGCTCCCATAGCTCTTTGTACCTTTAAAATTATACGTTTTGGAATTTATCTAGCTTTTTCTAATTGTTTTCAGCAGAAGCATTGCCCTAATGCAACCTACTACATCATGCTTAGAAGTGTAAATCTACTTAAATCTCCCAACAGGCTTTGCTGCTTCCATTCTGGCCATACCATAGGCTGTTTGCCACACAAAAGCAGGACGATCCATTTAAATCACAAATCAGGTTACATCTCTTATTATTACACTTATACTAAAATCCAAACTCCTTATTTTGCCTTACATCTCTTATTACACTTATACTAAAGTCCAAACTTCTTATTTTGCCTTTAAGGCCTTATATGTTCTTGACTTGATATCCCTCTGGCCCATTCTCCTAACTCCCTCCTTGTTCACGTAGTCCAGAATCATTGGCCTTCCTAGTATTCCTCAAGCATGCTAATCAGAAATCTGTTCTTCTCCCTTATTCCATCCCATCCCAGAATACAAGCTCTATGAGACAATGGACTCTGTCTACCTTTTTCAACCACTTTATTCTCAGCACCTAAAATAGTGCCTGGCCATATTGTAGGTGCTAGATAAGTATTTACTTAATAAATAAATGAATATAATTGAATAAAATGGAAGCTGTCTGGCTAAAATATAACTGGAGTTGTGAAGCCCTGATTAACAACCTCTCCCTTTGCAGACTATGATAGCCTAGATAATTGAGAACTGATTACATAATTTTTAAATAAAATTCTTATAGGAACTTTGAAACATGTCCAAAGCCACTTGGGGTTCCAAGGATCACAGTTTAAAAACAAAATGTGTCACCAAGAATCCTTCCTGTTCTAACATTTTAGTCAAAACACCATATTAAAGGAAAAGCTAAAGCTGAATATTCCAACGGGCCTATTCCACTAGCACATACATATATATTTATTTGTGGTGTATACATATTTGACACACATGCACATGATTTTTCATGACTAGTACAGCTAGACTCTTAGAGACAGAGTAATTTCTCTTCAAATTAGCCTTTAGGAAATGTTTGTGTGTATGTGTGTGTGTGTATATATATATGTGTGTATATATATATGTGTGTGTATATATATATATATACACACACACACAGATAAATATATATATATTTATACACAACATGCTATTATGTATATATATATACACGATATGCTATTTTTGCCTTTAATATTCAACTTTTTAATTATTAGGACATATATTTTTTTGCCTATATATTCATACATATATATTTATTTTTGGTATACATACATACACACACATATATTTATCTCTGCTTATATATATATATATTTATACCACTATTTTATATATATATGTGTATATATATATACCTTTCCACTGGTACATACATATATATTTATTTGTGTGTATATGTGTGTGTGTATGTGTATGCCTGTGTGTGTATATATATATGTATCTCTGTGTGTGTATATACACACACACAAAAATAAATATAATATGTATGTGCCAGTGGAATAGGTGTGTCTGTGAGTGTATATATATATATATATACACACATATATATATATAAAGTGGTATAAATATGTATATACACACACAGAGATAAATATGTGTGTATATGTATACCAAAAATAAATATGTGTGTATGAATATATATAGGCAGGAAAAATATATGTCTTAATAATTAAAAAGCTGAATATTAAAGGCAAAAATAGCAATAACTATGCACTTACTTTGATTCTCCAACTTATTTCCTAGTGTAACTTTCTCATTTCAGTGCCCGGCTTTGGGAACCTAATCAAAATTTGTTCTAGGCTTCCCTCATAACAAAAAAAAAATACTCTTTTTCAGAATGCTTTAGACTCTAGACAACAAACTATGCTTGTGGCAATTTCATAAGTGTGTAGCTTAAATTCTTGCAGTTTTGCAGTTTGGGTTTAAGATCTTAGGCACACAGAGTTATACAAGTTTCATTTGTAGGTGAGAAGGAAAAAATAAAATATGGTGTTCTCAATGACCTATGCTCTCCCTTCCCTGAAGATGAAAAAGAACTTCATGCTCATGGAATTTCACAAAAGTAATGACTACTTAAGTTCCAAACAACTCTAGTCCTTGGAAAGAACTGCATTTCATCAAAAGAGGTCATTAGTAATCACTCATACAGACCTGGTATTTTCTTCCCACCTCTGCAAAAAAGTATCAATTTGTTCTCTGTCTCTGGGCAGCTTCCTATCATTTCTCAAGACAAGATTTCCCTGAAGTACCAGCGTAGGAGACACAGGGTTGTGAGGTATATACCTTTGGTACCTATCCCTTTTCATTGCAATACATATCTTTCATGATTCCCTTGACACAAGTAGTGATGGTTTGGTTTGGTTTGGTTTGGTTTGGTTTGCTTAAGTAAGATAGCATACAAAGAATTAGTCATTACAAAGACAAAACTTAATGGACCGAAAACTTAAAACGTGCAATTATTACCTTAGACTCTGGCAAAATTATTTTGAGACAACCTAAATTCACGACCAAAAGGCAAATTCTCCTGTGGGTGAGATAATATGGATGTTCTTTGGTGTTATTCTTAGCTCACTATATTAGTACCATCAGATATTATGTTAACACCAATCATAGGACACAACTGATGCTCAATCTACAATCAAAAGAAAAATTCAAATAATTTGAGATTTACGCAAGTTCTACTTCCTTTTTGCAATTAACCTTGATGCATTTTTAACTCCCAAGTATCCATGTTAAACATAGGTAGTTACTGAATAACAAACCACCTGAGAATTTTTCATGACTAGTACAGCTAGACTCTTAGAGATGGAATAATTTTGCTTCAAATTAGCCTTTAAAATGTAGATACTAAAAATGCTTCTTAATTTTGAGATTGAAATTGAAAACATTTTTGTCTCCAGATACTTGAGGAGCCTGACGGCTAAACAAATAAAAACTGCTACTTCTCACCTCACAGGCTTAGCTTGTAATTCAGAAGTTTCAAATGGTGGCCAGCAGGGCAAATCCAAAACATAAATGAGTTTTATTTGACCCACGCAGTGATTTTTAAATTTTTAATTTTAAAAATCAAGAAATTTCACTTTAAAAATCCAGATGTCAGGCCAAGCTCAGTGGCATACGCCTGTAATCCCAGCACTTTGGGAGGCCAAGGTGGGAGGATCCCTGGAGCCCAAGAGTTCGAGACCAGCCTAGGCAACATGGCAAAACCCCATCTCTAAAAAATACAAGAATTAGCCAGGTGTGGTGGCATGCTCCTGTGGTTCCAGTTCGTTGGGAAGCTGAGGTGGAAAGGATCACTTGAACCCAGGAGGTTGAGTCTGCAGTGAGCCATGATCGTGCCGCTGCACTCCAGCCGGGGTAGCAGAGCCAGACCCTGTCTCAAAACAAACCAAAACAAAAAAAACAGATGTTCAGTGTCTCATGCTGTGCCTTGCACAAAGCATCAGCTGAAGGGGGTAAGTGGGGCTGGTTCCCCACCCACGCTCCTTTGCTGAGCCATGTTCACAAGGCCTGCACACTCATTTGCCAAGCCTGGACTATAATCACTAAGGGGAAAGAGTGACTTTTCTAATTTGCACAAATGTGCTATATGGTCTAAAAACATCGCATCCCGGGGCCTTCATTCATCATTCACACATAGTAGAAATCACCTGGAATATTTAAACAAAGCATGTAAGCTTGAATTTACTGCACTCCTGACCACTCCCTATTATTACTCTCCTGCTTCACTATATTATGCCTGTTATCTCTGTAGATATTTGAGTTTCCAACTTTGGTTAGGATAAAAAAATAATACTTCTAATTTATTCATCTAAATTACGTAAGTTTAAATTCACTTTGCAAAGGTAGGTTGATGATGCAAATGCAAACCCTCAGCAAGCTGGCTTTTCAATCAGATAGACCTGGGTAACTATCTAACGGGGGGAAACTTATGAGACCTGTCTGTGTGTCAATTTCCTTACCTGTAAAATTAGACTAACATTACCTGCTGGGTTTGTAGTGCAGATTAAATGAAATGACATGTAACAAAATATTTAGTGTATACTAAGTACTCTACTCAAAACATGTAATTTCATGTTAATTGCTGAAATGACATCATCTTTCTAATCCTGAAGTAGAAACCTTGTCAATGATTTCTAGAATCATAAATATTCATTCAAACGTATTAGACTATAAGCTGCATGAAGGCAGGTACCATGTCTACCTTTCGTTAGTCTCTCCCCAACACTGGCATACAGTAGGAACTTTAAATTTATTAGTAGAATAAATGAATAAAATTACTTTCCAGGCTGCACTGGGAACTGGGAAATGAGCAAGATCCTTCTCCCTTTCTAATCCAGGCATACTTTTCCAACATGAAACAGATAATACAATTAAAATAGGAGTCTATAACAGAGACTAATGTTAGAGGCATTTGAACAGTGTAAACAAGATTAAACATTTGCCTTGGGTTGACATACATGTCCTGGACAATTAAACATCATAATATCATAATGCATTAAATCCAAAAACAAGGAAAGTCCAGTCATTTTCACCACCAAATACATGCATTAAATTCTACTAATGTGGAAATCTCAGTTGCTGTCATTTGATCTTCACACAGTATATGAATGTATCAAATTACCACATGTAACCCCAAAATATGTCCATCTATTATGCAGTATTTTTTAAATGTTTTAAATGAAAGCATTAATTCAAGACATGAGATCCAGAAACCAAATATAAAAGAGCTGCAGACTGTCACTTTTCAAATGGCTCCAGGAAGAATTTTAGCATGATAGATGGCTGGAAGTTTTACTTAAAGGTAGAAAGTTTTAGAAACTAAGCATGTCCCACAGGTTGTCAATAAAATAGTGAGCTAAGGGCAGAGCTCAATGGCTCTCTGACACTTTCCCCTCTTTAAAAAAAAAAATTAAAAACTGGTACACCCCGGAAGACTAATTTGTTCAATTGTCTCCTGTCTGCAGAAATACGCTAAGACTTTGGCAGGGTTTTTACAGTGGAGGAAACAAGGTAGTTGACACCTTCTAGTTAGCCAACTTGGATCTAAAATGTAAAGACAAGTGAGATTTGTTTTTCCTAAATCTTTCTTTAAGACAGCATGTCAGTCTCATTCACCCTCCCACTAACTTTCCTTGAAAACATGCAAGACTAGTACCATATACATATACTTTAGTGATCCAGGTTCCTCCTTTTTATATTAGTACAACTGGAAAGTGTGATGCTATCTCTATGTGTGTAATGTAGCACAAAGGTATGCTCACTGAGGCATACAACCAGAATGTGTCACTTCAGAGGAGGAAAAGTCCTCTCATCCCTGGAAAAATATTTTGCGCTAAAAACTATAGCTATTTCCAATGCAAGATTTACTAAGTGATATACCTGGGGGGCAAGTGACTTCATGTTCCAATAAATACCTTATTGCATGGGGTCTAGTTGGATATACCCACTTTTTAAAGGATAAGGAATTTTTTAGCTGTTCAAAATATAAGGAATTTGTGACCATATATTCCCTAATGTAGAAGATTCCATTGGCTTCATTTTATCACCCAGATCTTATGCTGTTGAAAAAAAATGTATGAGATGCTGCTACTTTGATACATAAATGTTTTGTTTTTTAAAAAACAAAGATATTTTTCTATATATACCAGTGAAAAGAAAAGAGATTTTTCTGTTTCTACCAGTGAAAAGGCTATGAGCAGAGCTGCCATTCGTTGACTCTTGTTACTTGAGTAGGTGCCTGTAAAGGGCCAGGTGGTGTTTATGCAGATGACTGAGCAAGTTACAATGTGTTCTTCCTTTTGGATAAAACATTAGTGTATCAGATGTGACAAATCAGATGTTCATCTTCCGCACTTCTGCATTATTTTACATTGAGAATTAGACGATGTGCTGGCTTAGCTTTTTGCTTTTGTTTTTTTCTTGAGAATAAGTTCATAAATAAAGTTTTCTCTACACTCTGCATAATCATAGTCCTACAGAATAGCTAACTGGCTAGTTAAAATGATAATTACACCTATATCTGTCTTACAGTGTGCAAGAGATAAAGCACGTGCTCTGGGGTAACAAAAACACACCATTCATATACTCTAGGAGCTATTTAACATATTATCCATTCCTATGCTCTTGTTGTCAAGGGAAAATGTGGTCTTCTCATAAACATTTTGAGATGAACCATCTGACACTCCAGTGTCCAACCAGGAAATTAGCATTTACTGAGCACCAAAATGAAAGGCTCAAAGCAAACTTCTACTTCCAATCCAAAGGGATACCTGAAGTAGACTATATGTTTAAATTAAATTTTTAAAGAGCCTGAAAATAATTTTTAAATATTCAGACAACATTCCCATCTATAGAATCTGCAGGAGTCTTTCACCCACTTAGCATTCCCATGCTTTCAGACCACTCTAATTCCCCTTGGCTGCTCTCCAGGGAGCATTGTTCCCAAGAAAAGACATTCAGAGTTTCCCCGTGAACACATATTTCCAATAAAGACAACTGAAAAATGCATGTTGCTTTGTGTATTTTATTTTAACTTTTAGAGACAGGGTCTCACTATGTTGCCCATGCTGGCCTCGAACTCCTGGGCTCAAGTGATTCTCCTGCCTCTATCTCCTGAGTAACTGGGACTACAAGCACATGCCACCATGCCTGGGTTGGTATCTTTATATTGAGAGCTTCTATTATGAATAAGAACAGCACTCTGTCACTAGTGAGAAATTAACAGAGGAAGGCATTCCTCTGTTATACCACAATCGTTTGTGGGGCATGCCATACATAGTTTGCTCCTGATCATAAAGCTACAAAGTTTGTAAAAAGACTTTACCAGTGTGGGAATTGAGTGAAAATCATATAATTTGCTTTGTTCAAAGTTTGGAAAAAACTTTACCAATGTGGAAATTGAGTGGAAATGATATAAAGAGGATAGATTTAAACCTAGGTCTATCTGACTGCCGAATCACTACTGTATCCACAAGACCACACTGCTATTGTTTTTTGAACTTCAGCTGTGAATTCAACACTCAGGTGGACATATTCCATGTATTAAATTTAATTCCAGCAGGGCTTTATATGGTCTCATAGCATCTTCTTTATGCCTTCCTTATAGCACATTTACGATATAATTTATAATATAGTTGTTATCCATGTACAGTGCATTTTCCCCTACTCTCTACAATATCGGTTCCTTTAAGGCAGGAAAAAATATTCATCTTGATATCCCCTCAGAACCTAAAAAAGTGCCTTATATATGCCAACCATTCAACAAATTATGACTGAATAAATGAACCCATAATGGTCTTGGATAATTCGGGAGCTGTTTCAGAATCATCATCATAAATACACTCAATATTATAACATTGATAAAATTAGTGAGAAAATAGAAATATTGGAATAACTAACTGCCTTAGATTGTTATATTAATTTGTATTACTGCATAACAAAATACCACACAATTAGCTTCTTAAAACCATCTACATTTATTAATCTCCAGTTTCTATGGGCAGGAGTCCAGGCGTGGCTTAACTAGGTCCTCTGCTCAAATCTCACAAGGCTGGTACAATCTAGGTGTCACCCAGGCTGTATGCCTTTCTGGAGTTCACATCGTTATTGGCAGAATTTAGTTCCTTGCTGTCATAGGGCTGAGGTCCCCAGTTTCTTTCTGGCTATCAACTGAAAGCCAATCTTAGCTCCTAGAGGCCCTGCAGTTCCTTGCCCTGTGGCCACCTCACACATGACAGTTTACTTCTTTAAGGCCAGTAGAATAATCTGCTAAAACTGAGTCCTATATAATCAAGGGAGTGATTATCCCATCACGTTTGCTGTCTAATATAACCTAATGAAGGGAGTCACTGGCTCATCATATTAACAGGTCCTCACCAATGCTCGAGAGGAGGGAATTCTATAGGTGCATATGCCAGCGAATGTTGAAGGCCATCTTAGAATTCTACCCATCACTGTGGGGTTTCCAGAAGCAGATCCTGGGACAAGAATCGATGTGAAAGTTATTTATTAAGAAGTTTTCCAAGGAAAAACCAGTAAAGGAATGGAGAAGTGGGCAGTAAAGAAAAAAAAAAAAAGAAGCAAGGATGCCAATATCTGGCAAGTTCTCACAGGAGCTAAATTTAGCTCAATTCTACAGTGAAATTCAACAGTTTGGGTTATGTCTAAGGGTTGCAAAGATGAGGGGTAAGGAAGCTTGAATATTACACTCCTGTCCCTATCAGGTATTGGTATCAGGGCTATCTCCAGAGCATATAAATTCCAACTTCAGGCATCCAGAAACAAACTCACAGCCATAGCCTACACTCAACTTTCTCATAGAGCAATGCAGATGCTAGCTGTCAGGAATGAAAACTTCTGGGAGTCAAAATAAACAAAAATGATTAAGGGATTTAAGAAAATAATAGTGGGGCATTGACATTATCCGCTACATGAACTTTTTGTAAAAGTGTGTAAATATCACAATGAAAGTTACATCATTTTGTTGTAATATATATATATATATAAATGTAATTAATTATTTAATAAATATGCAAACTTCTGGTTTTAGTAACATGGCAGTCTGAGTTAACATGGACTCCCCCACACACATTCACACTATAGCCATATAGAAATGTGAATAAATTAACTGGCAACCAATGAGTGAGGAAAGATCTGGAAAGGAGGAAGCTGAAAGAGATTCTTTAAATCTCTGTATGAAGCCCTGAGCTATCCTCAACCTGAATATGTGTAAAGTCTATCAGACTCAGACAGCAAAAGCTCTGAGACCCGAACTATAGTATACACCACATATGGAAGAACATGAGCACATAAGCTATGAAAACCAGAATAACACAGCAAAGTCTGTGAAAACTGAACTGACATTGGAACCAAGCCCAACTAGACCAGGTCAGAACTTACAATGTAAATCCAAGGTTGATTTCTTGCTTTTAAAAAAATAAAGCCCATCTCCAAAAGGATTTAATAGAGCCCAAAACTCATAACACAATATTCAAAATATCTAACACACAATTCAAAATTACTTGACATAAAGAATCACTAAGAAATCTAAACAACTGAAAGGGAAGGGCAATCAATAGACATCAACATTAAGATGATCCAAATGTGGAATTATCAAACAAAAAAAGTTATGACAGCTAGTATAACCATGCCACAAGAAGTAAGGGCAAATAATCTAGAAACAAATGGAATTACAGTCTCAGCAAAGAAATAGAAGCTACAGAATAAAAACTTAGAAATATACAATAAAAAAAATTTTAAATTCACCAGAGGGACTTGACTCAATGGCCAATGAAAGAAGAAAGTCAATGAACATGAAGACAGATTAGTAGAAATTATTCAGTCTGAACAATGAAAGGGAAAAAATGGTCAAAAAATAAACAGAGCCTCAGAGACTAGTGAGATAATATCAAAGGTCTAACATTTATCACACTGGAGTTATTGAAGGGGAGGAAAAAAAAGGAACAGTGCAGAAAAGTATTTGAATAAATAATGGCTGAAAATTCCCCAAATTTGGTGAAAGACATAAATTTACAGATCCAAAGAATCTCAGCAACCACAAACCGGATAAATGTAAAGAAAACCACACCTAGATATATCATAGTGAAACTCCTAGAAATCAAAGATAAAGTTTTAAAATCTTGAAATTAACAGGGAAAAATTACATTACATATGGGGGAGGAAGAATTTCAATTACTGCAGCTTTCTTATTGGAAACTATGGAGTCCAGAAGACAGCGGCATAACATTATTTTCAAGTACTGAAAGAAAGAATTGTCAGCCTAATCCTGTATCAAAAATATCCATCAGAATGAAGGCAAAATAAGGACATTCTCAGATAAGGGAAATATGTCACCAG
Organism: Homo sapiens; assembly: GCF_000001405.40. Classification (NCBI taxonomy): domain Eukaryota; kingdom Metazoa; phylum Chordata; class Mammalia; order Primates; family Hominidae; genus Homo; species Homo sapiens. The sequence goes on from NC_000001.11 coordinate 90,676,045, forward strand.
GAGATGTGCTTTCAAAGAAATGCCAAATAAAGGTTTACAAGGAGAAGGAAAGCAATAATAGAAGGAAACTTGGAAGGTCACTAACAAGGAAAGAGCAATAGAAATTGTAAATATCCAGGTAAATAAAATTAGAGTATTATTTGCCTCTTAAGTTTGTTATAATATGCATGATTGCTGAAATCAAAAATTATAATGCTATTTCAAAATAGGTTGATGTGATACATATAACAACTACATCAAAAATGGGGAAGTATAAACTGTCCTAAGGTCTCTTCACTTTACCTAAAGTGGTAAAATATTAATTCTAAGTAGCTTGTGTAAAGTTTGATATGTATATTGTAAGCCCTAGGATAACCACTAGAAGAAAAACTACACTAAGAGATATACTAAAACAAACACTGTAGATAAATGAGAATGGAATTCTAAATGTTCAAGCCAATCAAAAGAAGGCAAGAAATGAAAAACAAAGGTATGAAAAACAAAATGAATGGACAGAAAACTAATAAAATAGTAGCCTTAAATCCAACCACACAAATAAGTACATTAAATGTCTGTGGTCTGAACATACCAATTAAATAAGAGAGCGATTATCAGATAAGATTTGAAAAAGAAAAATTCAACTATGAGCTGTCTAAAAGAAATCCATTTCACATAATGGTAAAAAAAAAACAAAAATAAAAAAAGGCTAAAAACAACAGAATGAAATAGCATATACTAGGAAAATGCTAATAAAAGAAATGCTGGAGTAGATGTATTAATATTGGACAAATTCAGAATAAGGAAAATCACCACTGACAATGAGGGAATTTACATAATTATAAAAGACTCAATTCACTAAGAAGGTGTAACAATTTTAAATATCCATGCACCTAACAATACAGCTGTAAAGCACATGAAGCAAAAGCTTAATAAAATGAAAAAGACATACAGAAAAACCCACAATTATAGTTGGTGACTTCAACATACCTCTATCAGTAATTAATAGAATAAGCAGACAGAAATGCAGCAAAAATATAGGAAGTTTGAATATTATCAACTAACTTGACCTAATTGACATCTATAGACTACTCCATCCAACAAAATAGAATACACATTCATTTCAAATGCCTTTGGAATATTCAGTAAATTGGACCACATTCTTAAATTTTAAAGAATTAAACTTATCCAAACTATCTGCCATGGCCATAATAGAATTAAACTAGAAGACAATTAGAGAAATAAATCATTTCCTCCAGATACTTGGAAATGAAATAATGCACAATTAAATAATCCAAGAAAAAGACTCAAGGGAAATTCAAAAATACTTTGAACTGAATGAAAAATAAAAATACAACATATCAAAATTTGTGGGATATAGTTAAAACAGTGCTTAAAGGGAAATTTATGGTATTAAATGTGTAGATCAGAAAATAAGAAAGGTCTCAAATTAATGCTTTAAGCTTCCATCATAAGAAACTAGAAATGAAGAGTAAATGAACTCAAAAAAAGGAAAGAAATAACAAAGAGAGAAAGATCAATTACATTGAGAAGAGAATAACAAAAGAGAAAAATCAATGAAACCAAAAGCTGTTTCTTCAGAAATATTAAAACATACATAAAACTGGCTAGGTTGATTAAGAAAGACAGAAGGCACAAATTACAAACACCAGGAATGAAGCAGGGGATAACGCTTCAAAACCCACAGACATTAAAGAATAATGAAGGAATGCTACAAAAAGAAAACTCTATTCATATAATAAATTTGACAGCCTAGATGAAATGGACCAATTCTTTCAAAGACATTAACTATCAAAACTCACTCAAAATATAAATAGATAACTGAGGGGTCTTATATTTATTAAATAAATTAAATCCATAGCTAAAATATTTCTAATAAAACAAACTCTAGAACCAGAGGGTTTCACATGTGAAGTCTACCAAATATTTAAGAAAAAATTAATACTAGTTCCACACAATCTTTTCCAGAAAAAAGAATGTTTTCCAGCTCATTTTATGAAGACATCACTACCCTGACCCCTAAACCAAAGACAATACAAGAAAAGAAAGCTACAGATCAATATCCCTCATTAATATAGATGTAAAAATTACTCAACAAAATTTTAACAAATCAAATTTTATCAATATATTTTAAAAAACACATCACAACTTAGTGGGGTTTATCCCAGAAATGAAAGGCTAATTTATATTTGAGAAATATTCAGTGTAAATCACCATATTACAGACTAAACAAAAAAAAGCCACATGATCATATCAGCAGATAAAGAAAAAGCATGTGAGAAAATTCAACATTCATTCATGATATTTTAATTATTAAAAAAAAAAACCCTTAGCAAACTAAGAAGAGAATGGATCTTCTTCAATCTGATAGGGAGCATATACAAAAAACCTAACACCATACCTAATGGTGAATGACCAAAAGCTTTCCTCGTATGACTGAGAAATAAGCAAGAATATCCAGTCTCACCACTTCTATTCAATATTGTTCTGGAAGTCTTAACAGGCACAATAAGATAAGATAAAGAAATAAAAGACTTTTAAATTAGAAAACAAGAAATAAAACTATCCCTATTCAAGATAACATGTGTATCTACATGGAAAATCACAAGGAACAAGGGACCCCAACCCCCAGGGCCACTAACTGGTACCATCCATGGCCTGTTAAGAACTGGGCTCTATAGCAGGAGGTGAGCATCTGCAAGGGAAAATTACTGCCTGAGCTCTGCCTCCTGTCAGATCTGCGGTGGCATTAGATTCTCATAGGAGCAGGAACCCTATTGTGAACTGCGCACACCAGGGATCTGGGTTGCAAGCTCCTTATGAAAATCTAACTAATGCCTAATGATCTGAGATAGAACAGTTTCATCCAGAAACCATCCCCCGACCCCCATCCATGAAAAAATTGTCTTCCAGGAAACCACTCCCTGGTACCAAAACAGTTGGGGACTGCTACTGAGGAATCTACCAAATGCTCTTAAAGCAACAAGTACATTCACAAAATCACAGAATACAAGGTCAACATACAAAAATCAATCATTTTTCTATATACTAGCAATGAACAACTGAAAACTGAAATTTTTAAAAAGTACCATTTACAATCGCCCCCTAAAAAATAAAACATACACAGATCTATACGCTGAAAACTATGAAATACTCAGAAAGAAGGCCTAAGTAAATAGAAAGGCACTCCATTTCCATAGATTAGAATATTCAACATAAATAAGATGTCAATTTTCCCCAAAGTAATCTAGATTTAACACAATAGCAATTAAAATCCCAGAGAGATATTTTGCAGATATAGATAAGCCTGTTCTAAAATTTGTATGGAAAAGTAAAGGAACTACAACAGTTAAAACAATTTTGAAAAAGAATGAACCAAGCTGGATAACTCAACATTACCCAACAGTAAAATGTATGATAAAACTATATCAATCAAGACTGGTAAAAGATGAAAGGACAGACACATAGATCAATGCAACATTACAAAAAGTTCACAAATACATCCACATAATTATGGTTGGTTGATTTTTAATAAAGGTGCAAAGGAAATTCAATGGAGAAAGGGTGATCTTTTCAACAAACGATACTTAGAACAACTGCATATCATATGCAAAAAATTGAACTTCAGCCTTAACCTAATACCACACACAAATGTTAGCTCAAAATGTGTCAGAGACTTAAGTGTAAAATAGAAAAATATGAAACTCAGAAAAGAAATGTAGATAAACATCTTCATGACCTTGGGTTAATCAAAGAGTCTTTTGATAAGACACCAAGTGATCAATCCGTTATAAAAGAATAATTAATAAATTGGACTTCATCAAAATGAAAATATATTGTTCTATGAAGAAAATCATAAAGAGAATGAGAAGACAAATCATAGATTGGAGAAAAAATATTTGTAAATCTCATACCTGATAAAGGATTTGTTTCCAGAATACACTTTAAAAACTCACAAAACTCAGCAATAAGAAAACAATCAACTTCATTTTTAAAATGGGAAAAAGATATGAAGACAAAAATGAATGTCTAATAAACACATGAAAAGAAATATGATATCATTAGGCATTATGGAAACACAATTAAAAACCACAATGATATACCATTATGCACTTACTAGAATGGCTAAAAAAAAAACAAAAAACAATACCAAGTGCTGACAAGGACACAGAGCAACTGGCACTCTCATACATTCCTGATAGGAATGCAGTATGGTACAGCCACTTTGGAAAACAGCCTGGCAGTTTCTTATCAAATTAAACCTACGCTTACCATATGATCCAACAATCCCACATCCATCTGTTTTACTCAGCTATTTTTAGGGTATTCATCCTAGAGAAATGAAAACTTATGTTCACACAAAAACCTGTACATGGATGTTTAGAGCAGTATGTTTGCCACAAGTAGAAACCTGCCAAAGAAAGCTGTCCTGCCTAGGGCTCTCTCTCCTCCATGGGGAAGGTCTGCATCCAGTGACTAACCAATGTGGGGGTATAGCCTTGGCCTCCTTGCTTTAAGACAGACAATTTTTCACAGGCATCCCAGTTTCAGGACTCTAGGTAAGATCAGTTGAAATGTCTATTGTGACTGAATCATAGTTCAACTTTTCCTTTAACCCTATTATTCTTCCCTCACCATTCACAGGTATGTCTCCCAAAACACCCACCAAAAAAACTTCCACACACAAATCTCAGAGTCTCAGAGACTGTTTCATGAGAAACCCAATTTGTGACATGGTAAAATTAAGTTTACCTCAAGTAAGGGAAAGATGAGAATACGATTTGGGACAAGAATAAGAAAAAGTTAAGCTAATATTGGTGTTATTTTTATAACTGTTTTAAATGTATGCATGTCTTCAGCAGACACTCTGATATATGTTATAGTAATTCAAGCCATACATCTCTGACAGTTATGTAGTAATTCCAAAAAATTCATAAAATATGTAGGTAATAATCTGGCCTAGAGGAAAGGCGGGAAACTTTAAATATTGAAACACCAGGTGAAACAGTCTATTGTACTCAGCTATTTTTTTCTCTGAAAGTCACTTGTAAAAAATATATATATATATATAAATATATATATATTTAAAGTTTAGGCCAGACTTAGTGGTTCACACCTGTAATCCCAACACTTTGGGAGGTCGTGGCAGGAGGATCACTTGAGCCCAGGAGTTCAAGATCAGCCTGGCCAACATAGTGAGACTCCTACCTTTACAAAAAATAAAATAAAATAAATAAGCCAGACATGGTGGTGCATGCCTGTAGTCCCAGCCACTCAGAAGGCTGAGGGGGGTGCACCTCTTGAGCCCAGGTGATTGAGGCTGCAGTGAGTTGTGATCACACCACTGCACTCCAGCCTGGGCAACAGAGCAAGAACCTGTTTCAAAACATACATACATACATACATACATACATGCATACATACATACATACATACACTATAGATACATATATGGTTTAGGAAAAAAACTTTAGTTCTGGAACAAAAACAAACAGTAAAAAAAGAATATTTTCACAAGACCAAAAGGATAAAGATTTTTCTAACATAAGACTTTCTTTTCATTGGGGCTTTTACAGCAATTTGAAAGAATAGTATCAAAAAGAAGTGTACATTGTATTTCCCATATATTATCTCATGTTATTAATTAAATGTTTTTGGTTATGAATCCCCATGTTGCATGGCCACAACATAAAAATGAGCCTTAATTTTACTCTTTTGGCTACTTTAAATATCACAACTTCAGACCATCTAAATTAGGACGGCAAGCCAAGAAACTGGTGAAAAAAAACTGCTATATCACAACCTTACAGAATTTGAAGAAGCTGTTAGCCATGGGAATGATCAAGGGACAAATTCACCCCCTGCCTCTGTGCCTGACTCACAGATTCTAAACTAGCTGAGGACACTTGAAAAAGTCTGCTTGGTGAGAAAGTTCTTTTTCTCCTTCTTATGTGTGCACGTGCACACATACAGACACACTCACGTTGCTTCAAGTTCACAAGCCTGCAGCAGAATGGGCCTGGAGAAGGGAGATGATCTCTAAAAGGCTATATATAAAAGTTGTCAAAAAAAAAAAAAAAAGAAAGAAACTGCCCACAGGGACTAAACTTCCAGGAGTGCAGATACAGTGAGGGACAGATTAGCTAAAATTCTGTGTTTGCAGAATAGATTAAACATCAAAAAGAAAAGCAGAGACCCCAGAAAAATTCTCTTTACAGTAAGACTTTTTGTTTAGTTCTTATTTTTAATGCTTTCCCACAGAGAATAGAATATGAAACCAAGAAGCCCAATCTTAACTGAGAGAGAGAACATTAAAGGGCATAAGAAAGAGAATTGAAGATTTATTCAATGGACAAAAGATTGAAGAGCTTTGGTGGGTTTTGTGTTTTGTTTTGTTTTGCTTTCTAGAGGATGACTTAAACTACAGCAGCCTGAGGGAAAGAGTAAAAAGTCTTGGATAAAGGCTAAGACTGCTAAGAAATCTTGGGCCAGAAAAGAGGAATTGCTCTGCAGTGGCAGCCAGAGGCAGTTTCAAGGACTGCCATCTGCTTCCTAGGATTGGAGCTACTTCAGCAATTGTTTCTAAGCCTATGTTCAAAAACCAAGGCAATGTCACCAATGAGATTTGGATTATCCCAGGAAACCAGAACATTTGGGTCTGCCAGCACTGGTAAATTACTACCATGTAAATAAAGCATACTCTGTCCAGATCTGCTTGTCTTGCTAAGGAAACAAAAGCCACATCTCTTGCTTTCAAGGAGTTTGCTACCCTATAGAGGAGGAAAAAAAAATCTATATGTGTTAACATATGATTTTCAAAAGGCATAAATGTATGTCTACAATTAACTGTTGTTGTATAAGATGTAAAAGCTAAGTACTTGAGGGAGATAAGAGAAAGCAAGGATGGAACAGAGTTATTCCAATCAGACTATGACCAGAATCAGGTTTAAGAACAATGGGTAAATATTTCCCAGGAGACATAAGTTGTACACATTTGTCTTGAAAGTGGTAGGTGTCATGGTTCTATGGAAAAGAATAAGAGGAAGATATAACACAAAAAATTGTCACTTAGCCAGACATGATGGCAAACACCTGTAGTCTCAGCTATTCAGAGACAGGTGGAAGGATACTGTGGTTCTATGGAAAAGAATAGGAGGAAGATATAACACACACAAAAAAAATTGTCACTTAGCCAGGCATGGTGTTGCACATCTGTAGTCTCAGCTACTCAGAGACTGAAGTGGGAGGCTCACTTGAGCTCAGGAGGCAGAGGTTGTAGTGAGCCGAGATAGTGCCACTGTACTGCAGCCTGGATGACAGAGCAAGACCCTGTCTCAAAAATATGTATATATATTGCTACCTTCTAGAGTTCCAAGGTAGAAATAAGGAGAGTGTGCTTGAAATTTGCATTGCTAACACATTTCCTAAGATGTATCAAAGAAAAAAAAAGTGCAGTTAAAATGGGAGTCAGTGAGAGGTTTAGCAGTTTTCATTTGATAAATGAATTAAAGAATTAATTGAAAAGGGGCAGCGTTAGGTGGAATTCAGGTGAATGAGTTAAAACTATCAAGAACCATGAAGAGTCTGAGATTTTACCTTACTTGCAAGCTGACGAGTTAGCCTGCAAAAGTCATGAGATCCTATAGCAGAGATAAAGGGTTTAATTACTCAGGACCCAGCAGGCCACATGAACATCATTTTTGCTTTAGCTACACTTCCCACCCAAGTGCCATGGGGGTGATGCAGAAGGGGCCCCGTGTATACTGCACATGCAGTAGGTTTGCATCACAGCTGAGAAATGCTGAACTTACAAAACCTGAATCTTTTATAATGGGCAGTAAGCAAACCTGTCTGACCTTGCTCCAGAGGAAGACATTATTTTATTATACTGGACAGTAAGCAAACCTGCATCCTTGAAAAGATGATCCAGAACAAAAAGACAGTTGTTTCTGCTCACCAGACAGAAAAAAATGCAAGAGACCTATGGAGAATTTTCTCCAAACAAGTGGAGGATAGAAAGGCCTACAGAATGAGTGCATGTGAAAACAATAATTAAGAGATAAAGGAATATCACAGGGCAGTAAATGAAGTAAATGAGGGGAAAATAGTATAGCGTAAATAGGTGAGAAAACATCAAGCAAAACTGCTCTGAATTAGTTATTTGTTGCTGCATAATAAAATTACCCCCAAAGCTTAGTGGTTTAAGACAATAAAAATTTATTTTCTCACATAGTTTCATGGGTCAGGAATCTGAGAGCAGCTTACCTGGGTAGTTCTGGTTCAGGTTCTCTCATGAGGTTACAGTCTAGATGTTGGCTGGGATTACAGTTACCTGAAGGCTTGACTGGGACTAGCAGATTCACTTTTAAGCTGATCATTCATTCACAGGCTTGGCAAGGTGGTGCTGGGTGTTGTCAGGAAGCTTCAGTTGTTGACCACGTAGACCTCTGAATAGGGCTGTGTGAGAGTCCGCACGACATGCAAGCTGGCTTCCCACAGAGAAAACGATCCAACAAGAGAGATCAAAGAAGAAGTCACAATGCCTTTTATGATCTAGTCTCAGAAAACTTCTTCTCACTCCTGCCATATTTTATTCATTAGAAGCAAGTCACTAAGTTGAGCTCACACTCAAAAGAAGGGAAATTAAGCTTCACATATTGAAGGATGGAATATCGAAGACTTTGTGGATATATTTTAAAACCACTACACAGTCCAAGTTGAAGCATCTGGCATGATGATGGAGAATATTGTTGATGAGCAAAAAGTGCTATCACTATTAGTGAGACTGTAGTTAAAACAAGAGACAGGTGCTAGAGTAGAGTGAGAAGAGATGACATAATATACCCAAGTTGCAAAATTTCTGTGTAGGCATACCTCAAACCTAGGGGTTTGGTTCCAGACCACTGCAATAAAGAGAATATCACAATAAAGCAAGTCACACAAATATTTTGGTTTCCTGGTGCATATGAAAGTTACGTTTATATACTGTAGTCTATTCAGTGTGTAATAGCATTGTGTCTAAAAAACAATGTATATACATTAATTTTAAAATATTTTATTGCTAAAAATGCTAATGATCATCTAAGCTGTCAGCGAGTCATAATCTTCTTGCTGAGGATCTTGACTCAATGTTGATGGCTGCTGACTGATCAGGTGGGTAGCTGTTGAAAATATATATATGTTGAGATAGGGTCTCACTTTGTCACCCAGGCTTGAGTGTAGTGTTATGATCTGGGTTTATTGAAGGCTTCGCCTCCCAGGCTTAAGCCATCTTCCTACCTCAGCCTCCCAAGTAGCTGGGACTGCAGGCACGCACCACCATGCCTGGCTAATTTTTATATTTTTTTTGTAGAGATGGGATTTCACCTTGTTGTCCAGGCTGGTCTCTAGCTCCTGAGTTCAAGCAATCCACCCATCTCAGCCTCCCAAAGTGCTAGGATTACAGGCATGAGCCACTACGCCAGCTGGCTGTAAGAATATTTTAAAATAAGACAACAGTGAAGTTTGTTGCATCAATTGACTTTTCCTGTTATGAAAAATCTCCCTGTAGCATGTGATGCTGTTTGACAGCACTCTATTTATCGCAGAACTTCTTTTAAAACTGGAATCCGGCTGGGCATGATGGCTCATGCCTGTAATCACAGCAGCACTTTGGGAAGCCAAGGTGGGTGGATTGCTTGAGTCCAGGAGTTCAAGACCAGCCTGGGCAACATGGCAAAACTCTAAAAACAACAACAACAACAAATACATATATGTATATATAACTTTTTTTTTTTTTTTTTTTTTTTTTGAGACGGAGTCTCGCTCTGTCGCCCAGGCTGGAGTGCAGTGGCGGGATCTCGGCTCACTGCAAGCTCCGCCTCCCGGGTTCACGCCATTCTCCTGCCTCAGCCTCCCAAGTAGCTGGGACTACAGGCGCCCGCCACTACGCCCGGCTAATTTTTTTGTATTTTTAGTAGAGACGGGGTTTCACCGTTTTTAGCCAGGATGGTCTCGATCTCCTGACCTCGTGATCCGCCCGCCTCGGCCTCCCAAAGTGCTGGGATTACAGGCGTGAGCCACCGCGCCCGGCCAACTTTTAAGTCTTTTATTTAAGAAATATATTTTATAAGGCTTTAGCTGTCATAAGTCAGGAGTAAAATATATTTTTCTGTTTATATTATAGAAAATATATTTTTATATATAATATTTATATATTTTCTATAATATATATTATAGAAAATATATTTTTATATATATTTATATATTTTCTATAATATATAAAATATATTTTATATAATAGAAATATAATATATATTTTGTATATTATATATACTTTCTATATATAATATATATTAGAGAGAGAGAGAAAATGGTGAATTCTTCCCAGAAGATTTTCAATTTATTTTGCCCAGATCCGTCAGAGGAATCCTGACTTATGACAGCTAAAGCCTTATCAGATATATTTCTTAAATAAAAAGACTTAAAAGTAGGGCTGGGCGTGGTGGCTCACCCCTGTAATCCCAGCACTTTGGGAAGTCGACGCAGGTGGATCACAAGGTCAGGAGTTTGAGACCAGTCTGGCCAACATAGTGAAACCCCATCTGTACTAAAAATACAAAAATTACCCGGGCGTGGTTGCGTGTGCCTGTAATCTCAGCTACTCAGAAGGTTGAACCCGGGAGGTGGAGGTTGCAGTGAGCCGAGATCGTGCCATTGTACTCCAGCCTGGGTGACAGAGCGAGACTCTGTCTCAAAAAAAAACAAAAACAAAAGACTTAAAGGTCAAAATTACTGTTTGATTCATGGGCTGCAGAATGGATATTGTGTTGGCAGGCATGAAAACAACATTCATTTCCTTAGACATCTCCATCAGAGCTCTTGGGTGACTAGGTGCATTGTCCATGAGCAGGAATATTTTGAAAGGAATCTTTTTTTGAGAAGTAAGTCTCAACGGTGGGCTTAAAATATTCAGTAAACCATGATGTAAACAGATGTGCTGTTATACAGGCTTTGTTGTTCCACTCATACAGCACAGGCAGAGTAGATTTAGCATAATTCTTAAAGGCCCTGGGATTTTTGAAATGGTAAGTGAGCATTGGCTTCAACTTAAAGTCACCAGCTACCTTAGCCCCTAACAAGAAAGTCAGCCTGTCCTTTGAAGTTTTGAAGCCAGGCATTGACTTCTCCTCTCTAGTTATGAAAGTTCTAGATGGCATCTTCTAATACAATGTTGTTTTGTCTACGTTGAAAATCTGATGTTTAGTGTATCCACCTTCATCCATCATCTTCTGGATAACTTGCTGCAGCTTCTACAGCAGCACTCGGTGCTTCACCTTGCAGTTTTACGTTATAAAGGCAACTTCTTTCCTTAAACCTCATGAACAAACATCTGCTAGCTTCTAACTTTTGTTCTACAGCTTTCTTACCTCTCTCAGCCTTCATAGAACTTTCACAGAGAATTAGGGTCTTGCTCCAGATTAGGCTCTGGCTTAGGGGAATGTTGTGGTTGGTCTGATCTTCTATTCAGACCAGTAAAACCTATTCAGACCACTAAAACTTTCCTCATATTAGTGATAAGGCTGTTTTTGCTTTCTTATCATTCTGTGTTCACTGGACTAGCACTTTTCATTTTCTTCAAGAACTCTTCCTTTGCATTCACAACTTGGCTAACTGTTTGGTGCAAGAGGCCTAGCTTTCAGCCTATCTCAGCTTTCAATATGACTTCCGCATTGAGATTAATCATTGCTAGCCTTTCATTTAAAGTGAGAGACTTGCAATGCTTCCTTTCACTGGAACACTTAGAGGTCTTTGTAGGATTGTTAACTGGCCTAATTTCAATATTATTGTGTCTCAGGGAATAGGGCGGCCCAAGAAAAGAAACAGAGATGGGGGAGCAGCCAGTCAGTATAGCAGTCAGAACACACACATTTATTGGTTAAGTTCACCATCATATACAGGTGCTGTTTATGGCGACATAAAACAATTACAACAGTAACATCAAAGATCACTAACCACAGATCACAATAAAAGATATAATAATAATGAAAAAGTCTGAAATATTATGATAATTACTAAAATGGGACACAGAGACACAAAGTGAGCACATGCTGTTGGAAAAATGGTGCTGATACACTTTCTGGTGCAAGACTTCCTGGTGCAGAATTGCCACAAAACTTCAATTTCTTTAAAAAAAAAAAAATGTAGTATCTGTGAAGCACAATAAAGGGAAGGACAATAAAATGAAGTGTACTAGTATTTGGTTTCCTGTTAAAATTTGTATTTTTGCCCTTTCTTGATCCTTATCCTATCACCATTATCTAGTTCTTTGTACATAATTGCAGAAATTTTATGGCTTTATTTTGATTAGACTATAATGCAAGATGATGTTCCCATAGCAATTTTTTGAAAAGCAAGCACACCTGTCCAGACAGAGGGAAAAATTGATCCAGATGCTGAGGAGAAAATTGTGTTGATCCCTAACAGATATCTATTATACTGAGGTTACAATCAGTTCCTGGGTTTGTGGTCAAGGTGAAAAGCCAAAAACCTCTAATCTACGGCAGGATTCAATTTTCTGTATGAATTCATTCCTTCTAGGTTTATTGTTTAATAGTGTCATGATGATTATATCTGTATTCATGCAGGTTTCTTAGGCAGAATATAAAGTGGACTGAGCTCAAAGTCACAAGGTGGGATTCTATTACAGTATCTCAGGCAAGAAATAATAAAGGCCTGAATACAGGCAGTAGTATGGAGAAGAGAAAAGTAGGGAAAGTTTCTAGAGAGATTTCTGAGGTATGATACCGAGAATTTGGTGACTAATTAGAGGTGGGAGATGAGAGAGGGGGAAGTGTGGAAAGAAACTCGGAGGTGCTGGTTTGGGAGATTTGATAGATAGATAGGGGGCCCAGCTGGTCCCAGGTTGCCCAGGACTTTCTCAGGTTCAGCACTGAAAGTCTTGTGTTATGGGAAACCCCTCAATCCCAGGCAAGTTGCCCATTTGGACACCCTATGATAGAAATAACATTAATTTATATAGGGAATACAGGAGAAGGAACGTTTTTGCTGTGGAAAACAAATTCTGTTATGGGCAAGTTGAATTTAAGAAAACTACAGAAGATGTAAGTAACAAGTTGGAAATGCATTTTCAGAGCCCAGTGGAGAGGCTGGGGCTGGATATGGAGAATTGTCAGTCATTATATGAGAAACAATGCCATGCAAGATGAGAATCTCCTAGGAATGATTTATAGAGTGGGAAGAAAAGGGGGGCTGAGAATAGAATTCAGTTTAAAAAAAAAAAGCAGGGGGAGGGTACTTTCTCATGGAAAAAGAAACCCATCAAGGGAGACAGAGAAGAGGTTCAGAAGTGGGAGAAATTAGAAACAGTGATTATCCCAGAAGCCAAAGAGAGGGGGAATTTTCAGAAGGCAGGTGGTGAGGACAAAAGTGTCAAAAACCGCTGGACCTGGAATTAGGCTTATTTCCTGTAGTGATGGAAAAGGGGTGGTATTAGGACTAAGTGCTACAAGAGTAAGGAGAGCATGGGGCCCAGCCCCAGCTAACTTAAAGAGGATCCCATCTAGCAGATACATGCTTACCTGACCCTCTGAGAGCCGAGGGAGAAAGAAAATGAATCATCACTTCCAGCTTACTCTCTAGTCTCAGGCACTGAGACATTATTCAACCTTTCCTGACTTCTTTTCTTTTCTTTTTCTTTTCTTTTCCTCTCTTTTTGTTTTTGTTTTGACGGAGTTTTACTCTTGTCACCCAGGCTGGAGTGCAATGGCGCAATCTCAGCTCACTGCAACCTCTGCCTCCTGGGTTCAAGTGATTCTCCTGTCTCAGCCTCCCAAGTAGCTGGGATTACAGGTGCCCGCCACCACACCTGGCTAATTTTTGTATTTTTAGTAGAGATGGGGTTTCACCATGTCTGGTGAAACCATATATAAATATATGAAATATATATTTCACATATATATTTCATATACATGTGAAATATAAAAAATAAAGCTAGTAGCTTTATTTTTTTTAAAACTGGCATATGTTGAACACCTAGTCTGTGCCAGGCACCTTGTATGCTTTATCTCATTTAATCCTCATAGCAACCCAATGAGGAACTTTTATAAATATTCCTCATTTTGTTTCCCTTCAATTTCCCTACGTTTAAAAAAAATCTGTAATGACAAAAACTAAAGTTTTCTTAAACATGCCATATTCCTCCAATAATATCTCCTTAGTCTTGGAAACTGTTCAGTATCTCTGGATCCTGAGTCTTTAGTGTCTGCTTTGATTCCCAAGAATTAAATGAAATTTTTTCCTAATTTATAAGATACTTTTGAATTCTTTTATAATTTTCTGAGGTACAATAATCCCACCTATCTCGTGCTAGCTACCAAGTTAAGAAAGTCTACACTTCAATTTTTCTAAAAGAATGCCTAAACAGGCATGCAAGTATTCATAGCTCTGCAATATTATTCTTGCAACCTCTGTATTTCAATAGTTTGCTAATTGTTTTATGATAATTTTTGTTTACCTATTAAATGATAAACCTCTAGATGTCAGAAGCCAAGCATCATACTTTTCTCATCCTCTACAACATCTAACAGATTATTGAACATCATAATCATTAATGAATATTTGATGGCTTAGTCTTCTTACTCAGAATCAAACTAATGACCAAAGCATGCTTGCACCCTCTCTAGCATGGTCTCCATGGTGTTCCCTAGCTGCAGCACCAATATTATTCCTCTTACTCTTGGGCTTCTCCCACCAAATCATTTCATTGCCCATAGGATTAATTTAGACACCAGATGAAAATGGAAGAGCACAGAAATAAAAATATACCGTATGTAGTAGTACCCATAAAAGATTAAATGAATAAATATCCATAAAATGAATTGGCATCATCTCAAAGCCTTACTGTGAAAGATTCATATAAACTTTACTTTTTGCAGTTATACAAGTTTCTGTATACATTTTCCCCTATGATATTGTAGTAGCGATAATATCATATTCCCAACTCACCAAAAGCTAAAACTCTCAGAGATGGTACATATATAAGAAACTAATGAAACAAACTCTATTTTTCTCCCTCTGCATTACTCAAATTGAAAAAACATCCAGAGTTATCAAATCTTCTGTAAGACATACAGGTCTAGGCTTGTATAACTGTGATTTCTGCTAACTGGCCACAGCCTAGTATTTTCACACTTTTTTTATACTAAATGGTTAGAACTGATCACTCCACCCGAAGCTGTCATGGAGAAATCTTCATTTAAAAATCTAAATAAGACATGCAGCAGCAGGGTTGAATTTTTAAAATATTATTCCATTTTTTGCATTTCAGTAAACTCTTGCAAATGTCACCTATTTGCCTTTTAGTACAATTATACACACATAAATCCCTGTTTAGTAAAAAAAAAAAAATGTATTCTATTTGTCACATATCATCAGTACATTTCTAGTCTAGACAATTCTTTGGATAATTAACTGAATTTTTATAAGCACTTTAGGTTGCTCATCTAACTTGGGAAAAGCTGTTTACTCAAGTAAACTAAGCTGGGGTGGTGGGGAGAGACAAGGTAGGGAGGGAGTAACCACCAAGCTTTGCTAATAAATAGTTCTCAGAAATATCAGCTCCCAATTTACTACTTGTACACAATGGGCCAGTTGAAACTTGTATGGTGATCCAATTTGCCACAGCTCTTGTTTTTAGTCTTTGTGGAGCTGCTGTGTGAGCACAGTGGGGGCCACTCCTGTGTATCCCCTGAGTCAATCAGTGGGCTTTTGTTTCCTGCTGGTCAAAAATATCAGGTGGCTTCAAGAGTCTAATTATCAATGAAAAATTAAATTCAATACAGAAATGTAGCCACAAGCACCACTCACCTCACCCTTTCTGAGCCCTCACCACCCCCAGGCATGTGATGAAGTATCAAGTCATTCCTTAGGATTCCAAAGAGATAGCAGAGAAAAAAAAGGCCCACACCTGGGGGAGAAGCAGAATAGATTTTTACTTGTATACCTTTCTCCTTTCTTGGTGGAGGACTATTCTAATTACCACAAAAGTTCTGGAAATTAGCAAACTATAAGGCGTTTTCTCTAATAATTGTTAAGCCAAGCTTATCTTAACATTGTACCATAACATCTTCTGGCCATAGTTCCCATCAGAAATAGTATAAACAGAGAAATGAAAGAATATATATGTTATTATCAATAAACTTGATAATCCAAATAGGCCCTTTTTTAATGCACTGAAAGAGTTCTTACTTGCTCACTAATGTATATTCTTTTATCTCTACTGAGTTTATTCCAGGCATTTAGGAAAACACGAAGCTGGAAATGCTAGCAACTGCCACTTATTTCAGGCTTTCAAAGTAAGTACAGGTTCCTCACTTCACATTCTAAGTCAGAATAGAATTGGAAGCTGCCAAAGCCAAATATAATAGAGCTTTAGTTTTCTACACATGTGATTCCCTTCTAATCCTTGTCTTTTTAAAAAATATATGTGCTTCATTTATAAGTGGTCAACTAAGCTTATGGTGGGAGAAAAAAATCTACCGTCTTAAAATATCCACCCTCATCAACGCTTCCCATTAGATACCTCCTCCAAAAAGTGAAATATTAAAGTTAAAACCAATCAAGGCAAGCTTTTTCGTGGTGCTCAAATACTTTAACCACAGTGTCAATGCACATGGTTTTTAAAACGTCAAAGTAAGTATTAGGGTTGATTCACAAATACTGTTGAAGTGTGAAGTGTTCTTCCATATGGTATCCCTATACAGTCCCTAAGTATATCCCTATACTTTTGATATCTCTATATCAAAAGATGATATCAACCTTGGATTAAATGTCTCTAGAGATTATTTGATCAGACAATGCAATTTTCTCTATGAGTCTTGGATATATGTTAGGTAACAGCTTGAACTAGAAAGTGCTCCAGTGCAGAATGACGTGAACCCGGGAGGCGGAGCTTGCAGTGAGCCGAGATCGCGCCACTGCACTCCAGCCTGGGCGACAGAGCGAGACTCCGTCTCAAAAAAAAAAAAAAAAAAAAAAAGAAAGAAAGAAAGAAAGAAAAAGAAAGAAAGAAAGAAAGAAAGAAAGAAAGAAAGAAAGAAAGAAAGAAAGAAAGAAAGACCTCCAATGCTCCAAAACCCTTAGGAAACCAATTATACAATTGTCTGATCCTATTTTAAGGATCACAAAGACTCAAAGACCGAATTATAGCCAAACTTGTCCAAAGGCACTCTGGGAACTCAATAGAAAAACATAATAAGTAAAGAAGCATCCTCAAGACCAGAGAAAGGCAGAAGAGGGGGTAAATAGTAAAGGTAAATTTATAATGAATTATGAATTATATTTTTAATGTTTTAAATAAGACTTTCTATCTTTTGCAAGTATGAGTATTCAAAGACATAAAAGATAAACCTATTTTGTTCTCCTGCCACTTTTAAAAGAGAGATATTTACTGTATACTGAGGAATATGTTATTATCATTATTCACTAGAATTTTAAGTAATTTTATATTATATAGTTAAGGAATAGGTTATTTTTGAACATGGCATTTTCAATAGAGAAGAGCAGTTGTTTGACATTCTTTGGCTTTTACACATTTATGTGAATTTTGCTAATTTATTTTATCTTAACACCCAAGACACAATATACATGTGCATAACAGCACCACATCAGAAACAGTTATTGAACAAGGATCACTCTTTATAAATGAACACAAGGTAAAATCCTAACAATTAAAAATAATAAAATACTAATAACAGCTAGGTAAAGGGTTTTTTTCAATGTACTTTAAACCTACAACAAGCAAAGACATATGAAAGACTGTGTTTCTGTATTCATACATCTTTGTTGAAATTAGCTTGACTAAACACCTACAAGTAAATTTTTTATCACATTCATTCTCTTAGATTTTACTGAGTAAAATCAGCTTTTTACTATGAAAATGTAGCTGGCTGCACAAAATACCATCATTTTCCTTTTAATAGATTCTGTATTGTCTACATAGTTTTTTAATGCTGTTTTATCTAAAATTTTAAAAATATACACACAATACACACCCCAATACAGTTAACATTAAGACAAAAGTTTAGCAACATAAATGGAAGATTTTCAACATGTATAAGGTAACAGTAAACATTTTATGCAAATGCACTTCAGATTTTCTGTTCTTCTTGATACACCCCACCCAGAACCTTCTAAAAATGAAGCTGTCCATGCTATTTAAAGTTGCATTATGCATTTTATATTATAAATTATTAAAGGACTTAATGGACAATGTGCTAGAAAGAAAACAGGCAAATTACAGAATAATTTAACATTGCAAAGAAACAGAGTAACTTGCAGGACATTAAACACTCTATTTTGACATAGAATGCCTGAAGCTAAAGCAATTAAAGCTGCAAAATATTGCTGGCTGACATGATGTGTATGTAAATTTGTCATTCATTGGCAAAGGTTTGTACCAATCACTGGGAATGTTCACAGTAAAACAATCCATGTAGTATAAAATGCTTTTAGTGAAGTCCTCTAAAAAAGTAGTTATGTATCATTTACGTATCTAATCATTATCCATAGTAAATTTTTGGTTTAATAAAAGAGTCCTCTATGGAAATGGCCTTAAGATTGAGGATGAGTTCTTGACATATTATTTATATCTGTTCATTTCTTAAAGGGAAAATATCATTTTAACATACATCACAACTGGAAAAGAAAATACAAGCCAGAAATTGACATTTTATTTAATTTGGTTATGTTTTTCCCTAGGACTCCAAAAGAAGGCCTGTCTTCGAGTATTGTATCTAACTCTACTCTAGAAATAGAGTCTAACAGAGCCATACTGAATTCTAGCCATTTATCCCAGCTTAGAATTAGTGTTATTCTCCCACAGGAGGTAGAAGGGAAAAAAAAACACAATAATCCCCCAAATGTACTGTTGCTATGGAAGAGAAGGAGATGCCTGCTGAGATTGAAAGTCACAAAATATTTGGGCAGTTGAGAAAACGTAGGCCAAACCTCCATTGCCAAAGCCTGAAGACTGTCTTTGCCAGGACTCCTGGGTCATTTGGCACTGCAGAGATACGCTGGACAGAACCCTAGAAGAAGCTATAAGGAAACAAGACACATTTTAATATTCATTTATCAAAGCTCTTCAATTATCCTTTCAAATTAGATGAGCCAACAGTAAACTCGGAACCAAGAGAACATTCTAATAAATACTAAAATGACTTCATAATAGAAAAAATAGTCAAAATAGTTGGTGAATTACATTTCTTTGACATTTCACCAATGAGTTTAATTAAACTTTCCCAAAGCCTAGGAGCAGGAGAACATCCTTCTCTCTCTCTTTTGGAAAAGATCTGGCTCATAAAATTTCACAGCTCCAATTTCCCTCTCTAAGGCTGTATATTCACTGTTCTTGACTGTTTTAGAAATTATATCAAGGATTAATCACTAACCATATGTTTTGGAGAAAATCATCACGAACCACAGGCTCCATTTGGTAAATAAGAAGCTATACAGGAGACTCCAGCCTGCCATCATTTAATGTTATGCATAAACACTGTATTGATAATCCAAACCAATCATCCTTAAACACCATTTCTAAACTAAATTAATTACACATTTAAATTTATATATAAGCACATACAGTACTAATAATGAAAAAATATCCGTATCCCAGAGTTTAATGATTCTGACAGTGTGTAATCTGCAAAATAAGAATATTGGCTTGTGGGAGCTCCATAAATGTTTATCGAGCATCTCTGATAGGAATTGTAGGAATTTTTTAACGTGTAGTATATGTCCTCAAAAAGCATATAGTCTAAGGAGAAAAATAGGTAATCAAACATCACACACAGAAGAATGGCAAAAGTACTAAACAGACGTATAACAGATAAAAGAAGAGAGAAGAAGTAGGAGGAAGAGAGAGGGAGAAAATTAAAGAAAAAAAAAGAAAAGTCACTGACAAACAGGATGAAAAGTGATAGAATGGCCCGAAAACCTGGCTCAAGTGTCACCTGGTGTATTTATGCAGTAATCTATCTAGCCACACTCTCACTATCCACAATTAACAATTTCACAAGGTTTTAAGAAATAAATACCTCTCCAGGATGTCCATGTAAATAAATGTTTTAGGATCTGCTTCATTGCTGGAGTTATGATAACTTAGAAAAGAGACAGATAGTCTTAAAGTTTATATGCCAGCAACACGATTTCTAAGTTGAAAAGATGAGCGCACATTTCAAAGTTTCACAAACAATAAATATGAATCATAGCATTGCTATACAGTGTGAATAGATTTCAGATCTCTGAGAAAAGAACCAAAATAATTCTAAAATTATCTCCACCTCTGGACAATAATAACCAGTGGTCTTTTTTTAATCTACAAGTTTAAAACATATTTTAATGTTGTTTCTCCTAAGCCTTAACACAGTAAAAGAAAGTTGAAACATAGTCTTCTTTGTGATAAACATGTAGTATCTGTGAAGCACAACATTAATCCCATTTGTACCATAAAAAGTATGATCCACTTGAGCCTTGCTCTCCTGTGAATTATGAATCATTGTAATACTCGGGGGATAGTCATCACATCTCTAAGGTTCCTGCTTTGTTCCTACAATGTTTTTCCTCGGATATCTAAAGTATCTAGGAAATTTGAAATCCCCATATGAAATATCTTAACATATTCTTTCAACATACATTCCACCCTTTCCATACCACAAATTATGTAGCACAAGAGAACCAGATTCACCAAATAAAGTGATAGTAGGTGTATCTTATTCTTTGGAAGAAAAGGCTACTTATTACAGTCATATTCCTTTGGTAAGTAGCTAAAATATCCAATTAATAGGGTTTAACCATCAGACAGAATTTGTTTTTAGAATAATGAAAATGTGTTGTCATTACATTGTTATTCCCTTGAGTGTATTTTTTTGAGATGTGACTCATTATAACTTATTTTAGCTGTTCTGTTTTCTAATTCTTCATGTTTTCACATCTTTTACAACAAAATAATAATACATAAATAATACCTGACAAGATTTTACAGATTTTTCTCTATCAGTATGCTTTTCTTCTCCAAGCATCTTAAAACATGGGTGTGGTAAAATACAAAGAATGTGAATGTTAGCATCCTTACAAGAAAAAGCATCAATTTTCTCTCTTCTGCTACACACATTGCAGAGTACAGTTAACAATGCATTAAGTAATTTTGAACCCAAACATCATGCCAAATAGTTCTAGTGAAACCTAGTTCCTAAATGTAGCTTCATTTTGAAAGTCACTGTTTTTATTAACAGTGTCTTCCAACAGCCTTATCTCAATAGTACCACTATTAACCATGAAATTTAGCTGCTTCTGTTTACTCTTTGAATTATACCTATTAAATTGCCAACTCAATTTATTTTCCCAGTTGTCATTAGCCCGTTAATAATATTGTTAATAAGCTAAAATGTCTCTCTATTCCTTTTCTTAGCTTCTGTAGCTGCCTGAATTTACTTACTAATACAATTTAGAATATAGGATCCAATAAAAAGTGGAGTCAGTTCCTGACATCTGCCTTCACTTCCATTCTTATTAAAGAGACACATTTCTAGAAAAGGGTTGGGAGTATTGCTTGCATTTCTCTTTTTGCTACACATAATCAGCAACAACAAAATAGTCTAGTGACTATTTTGACATAGCTACTTCAGATCTATGAAAAAAGGATGTTTTAATTAAAATGTAGGCCAGTGGCACAACTAATTCAAGAATTAGTTGATGTCACATAATTAATTCAATTTTACCAGATACTATTCTTATCATTGAAATATATAAAATAAGGCCAGGCGTGGTGGCTCACGCCTGTAATCCTAGCACTTTAGGAAGTTGAGGTGGGTGGATCACCTGAGGTCAGGAGTTCGAGACCAGCCTCGCCAACATGATGAAACTTTGTCTCTACTAAAAATACAAAAAATTAGTCGGGCGTGGTGGTTGATGCCTGTAATCCCAGCTACTCAGGAGGCTCAGGCAGGAGAATTGCTTGATCCCTGGAGGCTGAGGTTGCAGTGAGCCGAGATCGCGCCACTGCACTCCAGCCTGGATGACAGAGCGAGACTCCATCTCAAATAAAGTAATTTTTTAAAAAAGAAATATATAAGATAGCCAAAAACCAATTGAAAATTAAAATTAATTTTTAAACAATTTTTATTATATCACAACTATAGTCAACAGTGATAACAAATATATATTGTGCCCTTAGGATCTTCAAGTTAATATGCCAAGTATTTGAAATACCATGAAAGATCAGACATGGTTCTTTCCATCAGGGAATCTATATTGACTTACAAACATCACTTGGATATGCTGTTTTTAATTAAGCAATGACTTCATATTCAATTACATAAAGTTTAAGTACTTATGTTATACTAGGCACTGACCCAGGGATTAGGGACAAAAAGATATATCTATCACATATTGAGGATAATGTTAAATATTAATTCACTAGTTATGATCAGGAAGTATGCATAGATAAATGTTCTTGACAAACAATCCAGAATTTTTTTTTTTTTTTTTTGAGACGGAGTCTCACTCTGTCACCCAGGCTGGAGTGCAGTGGTGCAATCTTGGCTCACTGCAACCTCCGCCTCCTGGGTTCAAGCAATTCTCCTGCCTCAGCCACCCGAGTAGCTGGGACTACAGGTGTGTGCCACTACACCCAGCTAATTTTTTGTATTTTTAGTAGAGACAGGTTTTCACCGTGTTAGCCAGGATGGTTCGATCTCCTGACCTCATGATCCACCTGCCTCGGCCTCCCAAAGTGCTGGGATTACAGGCATGAGCCACCGCACCTGGCCACACAATCCAGAATTTTTAAACCAACACTTAGAGAGAGAGAGATGTGATGATACTTTTTTGTTCATAGCTCACTGAAACCTCAAAACCTGGGCTCAAGCGATTAATCCTCCTGCCTCAGCCTCCCAGTAGCTAGTACTACTAGTACTATGGGTGCAAGGTTTTTTTGTGTGTTTGTTTGTTTTTATAGAAACAGGGTCTTTCTATGTTGCCCAGGCTGGTCTCAAACTCCTGGCCGCAAGAAATCCTCCACTTTGGCTGCTCAAAGTGCTGAGATTACAGGCATGAACTGCTGCCCCCAGCTGACACTTTCTTTAATTAATAAGTAGACTTTGAGTGTTTTATTTCTTTTCTTTTTTTTCTACTTTGTCACCCAGGCTGGAGAGCAGTGGTGCAATCACAGCTCACTGCAGCCTCGACCTCCCAGGCTCAAGCGATCCTCCCACCTGAACTTCCTAACTGGGACTACAGGCATGTGCCACCATACCTGGCTTAGTTTGGGATTTTTTGTAGAGATGGGGTTTCACCACGTTGCCTAGGCTGGTCTCGAACTCCTGAGCTCAAGCAATCCACCAACTTTGGCCTTCCAAGTGCTGGGATTACAGGTGTGAGTGACCATGCCTGGAGAGTGTTTTATTTCATTATTCCCTGAGCAATCCACAAGGAACATTTCTCATCTTGCTAAGGAAAACTACCACTATGTACTTTCAAACATAAAGACCAATATCTCTCATCCTAGAATGAGATTAAAAAGAAAACCTCAAGAGTAAAGCTATCAGCTGAAAAACTTGTTGAGATAAATGTTATGTGCATACTGTGTATTCATGGTAATACAGAGGAAAGCTTTTCTTAATGAGGAAGAATTCAAAGTTTTACAACACTAATGTTGAGATATAGAGGACCCCTAAAATGCTGTCACAGTTAACTGCAATAGATGCTATTAAGCTAATTTTTTGAAATCTGAAATTCATACGGTACTGGCGCAGATTCTCACCATGTAGCAGATAATGTTTTCTCTTACACAGATTCACTTTCATGTAGCTATAAAAGGGCTGATCTTAGTAGACTGCAAACCAATCACAGCACTTCACTCTGGGGAATATAGAATAAAGAGGGTGAGAGATCACTAATTACAGTTGCCAATATTTTCTATAGATGTGGCCAAGTCACCATGTAAGAAGTGGTAGTATATGTAAGAAGCAGGAATATATGTCTTTCGTAATACTGACATTACAAATATATGAAGTTAAGGTATCTCACAAATGCAAGTCCTTCAAAAATCTGCTCTCTCTATATATTGCCCTATACTAATATATTCTTAGACCAAGCCTGAGAGAGAAATTCCAACATCCACTGCATTGTTGGACAACAAGGAGGCTTCTAGTGAAAGATAGCATCTTTTTATAAAAAGAAATAAAAAAGAAGGTATGATATGTGTTATATTTCCAGATTTCAACTAAATAAATATTAGTGGTTCTATCTTTTGATTGATGAGAAACTATATAATAATGGATTTCTATCTGCAGAACAAGTTGAGCCAAAGAAAAGTAGGGAAAGGGGTCAGTAAAGTTGGTGCTGAGGGACAAGACTAAACACTATTTTTATAGGTCAGTGGTTCCAAGTTTGTTTCTAAGGGCTGATGTATGTTGTTTTGAAGAACATCATTTGATCCTCAATATAGTCCAAGTCACAGAAAAATAATTTTATTATATCATGGCCTAACTGTACAACAATATGAGAAATCAAAACAAATTTATATTAAACTTTATTCAATTGAAGGGGGTATGTTAAATACATAGATTTGTGTCTTTTCTAAACACTTATTATTCATATCAAGAATATCAGGGCAACGCGTTAAGAATGATTGCGAATCTTACAAGCCGTATAAAAAGAATTCTATAATGAAAAAAATCCCTAATCTCCAAAAACCAAATATATTTAAATGTATATTTCTTACCATTTCTAACAGAAGCATCTGGAGCCAGAAGAACTTACATAGAAGTAGAGGGTTTTTTGTTTGTTTCGTTTTGTTTTTAACATCATAGCATTATTTCCCTTTGGCTTGTAAAGCCTAAGGTATTATCTTCTTGTGATGCTGATATTGGGAAGTAAAGAAATATTTACATTATGGGCTCTGTGATATAATGAAAGATATGTACTCTATATTACAAAACAGAGGAACCATGATTTAATCTTTCCCACAACTCAAACCATGTTAGAGAGTGTGCCTCTTAATGGGTTTTTATTATGTTTTGTTCCATAAAGCATTTCTATTCATGATAGTGATAAACCAATATTTCAGCATTGTTTCTATAAGTCCAAATAGACTTTTCAAATCAGAATTCCATGCAGAAATCAGTCCCAAAGGATTACAACATTTTTAAACATTTAAAAGAGCTATGAAATGTTCTTGGACACTGAAATCCTTTACATGCATCAGGGCATCAAATAGATATTTATACAAGATAATAAGGGTAAGTGCAGACACACAAATCAGTACAAATTTATCTATATGGATAAAGAGATGCTTCTGTTTGCATATGGATATTCATGAAAATTAGAGGGAAAAAGTCAAAACTAAATAAATATTTAATATTTCAGCACCTGTCATATAGTTTTTTGTATGTGTGTGCTTTACTACTATGGACTAGCAGTAGTACTGCTACTCTAACCAACTTCATTAAAGAATAAAAGAAAAGTAATAAGTCATTTCACACTCTGTCTGACCATTATACAATAATAGCAAGATTTCATGCAAGGGTACAACATTATGCCCATCTGCAATCACAGTCTCTTTGCAAAAATCTCAATTCACACTTCACATGCAGCTAACCTTGTTACCATCCCTTCCTAAATCCATCAGTGTTGCAGCTGCACGTCTTCACAGCCCAACATCTTAAAATTCATCACTTTGGCACCTTAGCATCACTATAGGTCAAGATAAAGAATCCAACCAAGAATAATTAAAGGGCACCCAGATGTTTAGTTTACTTATCTCAAGCCTTTCCTTTAATATATTTGAATTGCCTGTGTGTACTATTTCTTTCATATTTTTAAGATATGTGCAGTGTGATTATTTTAAGGGTATGAGACCTGGAACAATACATTTCAGACTTTTTTTTTTACAAGTAGAGTTCTTTGTAGTTGAAATTTGAACAAGAGGCGTGATAATGAGTAGGTTGAGGGAAGGAAAGGTGTTATCTCATTAAGGTAATTACTAAGACATCCCCACTATTATATCAGTTTGAAAATGTGGCAATTAAAGCGCCCTACATGGGCTCCTGGAGACAAGAGAACAAGACAGTTCTCTTGGAACTTCTGTAGTACGGTTAATGTGTGTCATGTAAATGAAAGGGTAGACTATTGCTATTTAATTCTTTTCCTCAAACCCCCTACCCTCACCCTCAAATTTCTTTGTCAGTTATGGTTCTTTTTTTTTTTCTTTAACCTGAATTTAGCTCTCATGAAAGGTGCTAGATTGACAACCCCCAGAAGCTAGAGCCCTCTACTTACCCACAGAATAGTTGGAGCACAGAAAACAACAGGGTAAGCTTGGCAGGCAACATGCTACCAACCTAAGTCAAAAGAGATCTGACCTTCCTTCCCACTCTTTAGTCAGGCAAGTCTCTTGCTCTGATGAGAAGGCTGTCAAATTGATACCCGAAGTAAGGAAGCCTTAAAATACACGTAAGAAAAATGGTAAATGATGTTCGTAGCTTACTTCACTACAACCTATACAGGGTAACTCAGGTGGTAACTCAATTTACACAATTCAGTGAAACCACTACCTTTGGTCACTAATTCATTTGGTCACTAATTCATTTCCCCTCCTGAGCTGGTCATCTTGCTCTTGCTCTTTCTTTGCTTCCACTCAAGATCAATAGTAATGTGATATACCAAATAACACACAGAAACCATTCTCAAAAATCTTGCTTTCATGGTCATTGAAATATTATTTTAAAATACAAAAATTAGTTGAGCATGGTGGCACACACCTAGAGCCCCAGCTACTCGGGGGGGCTGGAGTAAGAGGATCACTTGAGCCCAGGAGGTTGAGGCTGCAGTGAGCCACGATCCCACACCACACTCAAACCTGGGCAACAGGATGAGACCTTGTCTCTCTCTCTCTCTCTCTCTCTCTCTCTCTCTCTCTCTCTCTCTATATATATATATATATATATATATATATATATATATATATAAAATATATATACATATACATGTATATATATTACACATATAAATGTATAATATATATACATGTATAATTTAACTCAAAATTTAAAAAAGAAAATAAATGTCCAGCAATGGAAGGATGGTTGACACACCTATGGTACTTTTTTTTTTTTAGCCACTACACCCGAGTTATTTTTTAATTTTTTGGTAGAGATGGAGTCTCACTATGTTGCCCTGGCTGGAGTGCAGTGGCACAATCACAGCTCACTGCAGCCTCAACCTCCTGGACTCAAGCAATCCTCCTGCCTCAGCTTCTCATGTAGTTGGAACCACAGGTGTGTGCCACAACATCTGGCTAATTTTTAATTTTTTTGCAGAGACAGGGTCTCACCCTGTTGCCCAGGCTGGTCTCGAACTCCTGGACTCAAGCAATCCTCCCACCTTGGCCTCCCAAAGTGCTGAAATTACAGGTGTGAGCCACCGCACCTGGGCACAATTATGACACATTTATGGAAGAGATTATTATATATCAAATATCACACTTACAAAGAGTTTTAAATAATATAAAGAAATATTTGTATTACATGGGAAAAACATATACATCCCAAATGAAATATGACACAACTACATAAAAATGCACTGCAAAAATCCAGAAATTATAAACCAAATGGTAGTAGTGAGTGGTAGAAGATGAGTTTTTTTCTTCTCTCTACTTTTTAGCATTTTATAAATCTTCTACAGTTAGCAGGCATTATCTATACAATAGGAAAGTTATTTTAATGATTTTCACAAAAAGTCTGTTTCTTTTGTAGTAGAATTTGACCACATAAATTTAACTCCATTAAAATTGAAGGTCAAGAATCACCTGAAAGTGCTGTAATCCTGCGTTTTCTGTTTTCTTCCCTTTTGTCTCCTATCCTTACAGGAAAAAATAAAAATGGGAGAGGAGAAAAACCATTAAGCAAATACATTGTAGAAAAAAACTGAAGTTTAGAATAGGTATTAAACTGGATGACTTTTGAGATTCCTTCCAGTCCTGGGTTTGGATCAAGATCAGCTCTGCTTAAAATTCAATTACTTATTAATGTGGATGTTGGAAATATCCTCTGCCAAATTTCTGGACAGAACCGAGTACCAGTCATGTTCCTCTAAGGGACTAGATCATTCACGAGAAGAAAAGAAAAGCCCGTAAAACATGTTGCCAAATAGAAGGGATCCTTCTTGAAATGCCAATGCCTTATGTGGCACTTGTGTATAAAAAGCAGTGTTTTGAATAGTTGGGTTTTTAAATTATGTTCCAAAATATTAATTAATAGTAAGATCCAACGCATTTACAAGCTTAAATGTACATGGTCATCTTTTCATCATTGACATTTCTCAATGGAAATGTTTATTTGACCTGTCACCTTCGGCCACATGAAAACACCCCAGACATGTGAAATAACAAAGTAAAAATCAGGAGGACAAGGCAGGCAGGGAATGGGGAGCTGAAAGGATTCTGCAAACCTGGGCCTTAAAAGTCTCCCAGCAGGCCACAACTTTCCTCTTTTGAATTCGCCCACCTGACACTTCTTACCAGACCCTTGGCCATCATGTCTACTATCAGTTTCTGAAATGAAAGCAGTCATTGTTGCTTTACTAAATGAGGTGGAAAGGTCTTAATGTTTATATATAAATTCTAATCTAATTCTGCCCCAATAAATTTCTTGGTGGGAGGACTTTCAGCATGTGAGAGGCACTGTACCTTCTGCAGGAAAAATTAGGCCATGAGACTCAAGATCGGCTGTGCGGAGCTGCCTAATATCATCCCTTATGCGCCAGCAGGGGCAAAGAATTTTAACTCAAAATAATAATAGGAGACGGGTAAGAGGAAATGGATAACAGAAGTTTGGGCCCGGCTCTGCAACCAGGCACGCCCAGGTAGCTGCCACTCAATGGCTGAAGAGAAGGCAATGGGAGAGCCCCTGCAATCGCGCAGCCAGCCGCGAGGGTAGTAGTCACGTGATGCCGCTGGCTAGAATTGTTTGGTGCGAACATCTGGCTCTTGGTGGTCATCTCTAATGTGTGTTAGAAAAGTTTGTGGGGCAATCAGAAATGTGGATTCCCAGAAATTTCCAAAGCAATCCAGAAAAGAAGGAAGACAAAGGGAAGTGTGCTATCCCACGGTTATCCAATTGTGCTTTATGTGACTTTCTGGGCCAATCTATCAATGCATAGTAATGAAAGATTATGTGAAATTTATGTGTCTATTCACATATGATAATGTTTAATGCAATGCCTCAGTGTGTTCACTCAAGGCCAGTGAGAAAGTAGGTGTCCCTTTAAAATCCTCTTAATTTAATGGAAACAATTTGGTAAGCTTTCATTAATAGAACATTTGTGGGAAATAAAACAGATGAATAAGAAGGTGACGCTTTAAAGTGGCTACAGCTCTGATGCACCCTACTTCCAGTGGGAAACTGTCTTTCTTAATATCTAGTCTGGAATCTCTCTGCTCATCAGTTTGCAGATACCCAGTCTGCAGGAGGCAAGAGTTGGTTCAAGAGGAAGTTGGGCAATCAGATTATCAATGCTACTAACAAACATTATTTGCATTTTTCAGAAATTATGACACGGCAATTTTATCAAATTGGAGATATATTTAAAATCAAAAGCTTAAAATTAAATCATTAGAAAAACTGTTCACTCTACAGGAAACCTAGCTAATGTGCTTGGGAGACTCTGACATTTGAAAACTATACCAAATAACTTAGCTTTCCTGCAGTAGGAAGTGAATAGCACGGACTTCCACATTTTTTCCTAACACTCTGTCAGCTGATTTGTTTTAGAATGCAGACCATTTTTACACCACAGGCACCCTAATTTTGTATTATAGGAGTGGGGAAACAACGCACCACTAATATCTAATTCCTCTCTCCTAAAGAGGCATTATAAATGTACATTGTTTTATAGAAAACTTTCCCTACTAGTTCACGTGAGGATGGACTGTGCCTGAATGGGCGCCCTGGAACACCTCTTCCTCCAGTCCCCAGAGGCTTTGGGGGAAACCCCGTCTCGCGAATAACGCTTGAATCTACAGACATGGATAATCCATTGCACTACATATGTCTACTGGTTCCTAAATTCCACTTAGCATTTTCGTACCTCCAACTATAGTGGGAAGGAGGAAGAGAAGAGCCAAAGGGGAAGTAGGGGGTGATCAACAAAGAGGAGTTGACTTCCAAGAATTGAAGAGAAATCTGAAGGAGGTATCATTTGCAGCCATGAGGTCTTTAGAGCGGTGGGAGTGAAGCTGGATGCAGATAAGAGCTCCCATCTGAGCAAAGATTATTTTATTGTCTTCACAGGAGAAGAAGGCTTTATATTCCCTCCAGAGCCCCCCGAGATGTGAGAGAAGGGCCCTGCTCTGTAGGCCATCCCAAGTACCGTCCTTGAAAGCGTCTGGATTCCCGTCCCAGGCCTATAGAGCCCCTGTCCTGATGCGCCCATGCCTCCCTGAAGCGCTGTCTGTACCCGGGCGCAGGAACTCGTGGCGGCCGGGCGGTCCTGAAGGTGGAGGAGCGCGGGGCCCAGCTGGGGTACGCGCCGAGCAAGAACCCGCACGGAGCCGGCGCGCCGCGGCTGGGCTTCAAGGCCGCCGCGCCAAATCCCTGGCTGCGACGTGTATGCGAATCGTTAGGAGGAGGCGGGAGGACAGCCACACTGAGGGCCTCTTCACTAAAGAATGAAGTCTGACGGCGGGAATGGGGGTGGGTGGGGGCGGGAATCCATCAGCTCCACAAAGTGACAGGGCCCTTTTATCGTAAATCAAGTTCAATCTCGCTCTCGCGAAGGTCCTCTTTTTTCGGCGGAGCTCCCGCAGGGGCGACTCGCTGTCCCAGACCAGATAGTAGCAAGAGCTGGGAGAGACCCAAATCTGCAGGGAGAGGGCGCGGGCTGAGAGCCGCGGTGGGGAGCAGGGCCTGGGCCCAGCGCGACCTGCAGGGCTGCTGCCTCGGGAGCGCTTCTGCTCTGCCTGCGGTGGCCGAGGCGGCGGCTCGCCGAGCGCGCTCCGAGCTGTGCGAACAGAGGAAGTATGTGCCAGTTAGAAGGGTTCCGCCGGCCACCTCGTCGCAGCCGCGGCGCAAGGTCTTGGAGCCGCAGACCTGAGGCCCGGCTCCTCCCTCCTCGGCTTCCACTAAGAACTTATTAAATAGGGACGATTCACAGTTGATCTGTCACTGAGCACTACTTACCCCGAGATCTTTGGGTTTTTGAATTACTTTATTGATCTGAAGATTTTGTTCTTTGGAATGTGACCCTGTTTGGACTTAGAGCTAATCAGGAAACGCTGCCGGGGAGGTTGCTTTGTAATCACTTTGCTTACCTCCCCCCGGGCGCCGCCGACCCTTCCTAGACGCCTCCGCTGCGGCCGCCTAGGCTTTTACCCGGAACCCGCCAGCCCAGGTTACCTAGCTCCACCCGGCGCCCTGGGAGCTGTCTGTGGTGCTAGCACACAGAAACCGGGAGCGGGAGACCCAGTGGACAAGGAGAGGAGAGAGGAGACAAACTGAGAATGTAAGGTTAACCGAGACGGTCCACCCAGCAACACTCAAACTGACAAAGACCTTCAAAATTCAGCCGGAAGGACCGGGGGAAATAGTCCCTTCTGGGTCATCTCATCGCCCCGAGACAGATGACCTGGTTTTCTAATCCAAGAGGCCAATGACACCTCCCTTTCTCTGAAAGCACACCTCCCCACAGCCCCACACACCCCTCTCACTTACCCCTACCCAGCCCTGGGGATAAGGTAAGAAGTCAGGGCACTCGGCACTGGACCCTTATGATAAGTGGCCCTAACTCCAGAAAAAGACACAAATGTTAGCAAAGAAGCCTGGAGATGACTAAAAAGTGGGACTGGGTAAAGACCTAGTGGGAGACTTAAGGAGCTTGGGGATACTGTTCCAGAGTCCATAGGAGTAATCCCTGGAGAGGCCCCCACTCACTCATCTGCGCACACCGCTCTCTAGTCAACAGCCAGGGTACAGAGCAAGCCCGAATTCCCTCACCAAAGATTCAGAGATGCAAAAGAAACATCATTTCCCTGCAAGGCTTGACCCCGCCCCTGAGCATGTCCACCAGTGGTGAAAAGTCTCATTCTTTCCAAGCATGTTGACTTCAAGCTTGGTTTTTTCAAAAACCAGGCAGCTCTCTTCCAGTACATTTTTGTAACCACGTGGCTTAACAAGAACTAAAGTTTCCCTAGCCCTGGGGAGAGCTTTTCCAAATATTTTTAGAAAGTTAAAAATATAACAAAACAAACTACTCACAAGCCACTTGTTTAAAGAGGGGAGGTGGGATCCGACAGACTCCTGGGGAAGGGCTGCCTAGGCAGGAGTCAGATGGCAGGGAGGGAGGAGGAGGGAGAGTAAGCAGTTTTATTTGCAAGGGAGGAAATCAACTGTCTAATTTGCCATCGTGTGGGCTTTCATTTTAAGGGGTGGAGCAAAATTAAACGGATACAGGGTGGTAGGTATCTTTGCTGGAGGCATGGAGCCAAGAAGCAATCACTACTTTGCAACTCATTGAAAAATCACTAGTTTGGGCTAGAACAGCTGGCTGCTAGCCGGGGAGTTAACTTCTTCCTTCACACTCACTACAGATTTGTGTAGGTTTGCTGGGGTCCCTGAGCTGATCTTGGTGTTGGCAAATCTAAGAGGCCTTTGTAGGTCTTTAAACGTCTCTCTGAAATAACTTTGTATTACTGTGTTTCTGTAGGAAGCAAAGATTGCCACTGAAAATCTCTGTTTTTCTAGCCTCCGACTTAATCAAAGGAGCAATCTAAATGGAGTCCAGCCACGGAGTGCCCTTCAGACACCAGCTGAAGGTGGGAAAAAAGAAAAAGAGTACAGTTCCCAGGGACAGCTGTCCTCTGCTTCTCTGTAACTCCAGATTTCCCATGAGAATAGGCCTCTGCCTGTTACCTTGTTCCTTGCTTCTCAGAAAACCTGGAGTTGCACTCTTCACCTCCTAGCCAACCTCCTAATTTAGTTGAGCAGGCACAGAAGGAAAGAAGGACCCTTTGTGAAGAAAAAAATTGAGTTTGCATTTGACTTTTAAGCAGGTGACTTTTGAATACTAGGGCACCTGCTGAGGTGCCCTTTGCAGTACTGCTGCAGAAAAAGAAGGAAAGAAAAGAAAGAAAAGGAAAGGAAGAAAGAAAGAAAGAAAGAAAGAAAGAGAGAAAGGAAAATAAAAGAAAAAAAGAAAGGAAGGAGAGAAGGGAGGGAGGGAGGGAGGGAGGGAGGAAGGAAGGAAGGAAGGAAGGAAGGAAGGAAGGAAGGAAGGAAGGAAGGAACCAGGCACCCACCCAACTTTCTTCCTGGGACAATATCCCCCACCCCACAACATCCAATCTGCCAACTTGTATGCAACAGCAGGTAACCAAACAAATTTAGAAAGGACATTGACACATTCAGCTGCATGATTTAGGGGGTGAAAGAAAACATGACTTTGAAGAAACTTGGATTTGGGGAGGACCCTAATGGATCCTGAGTAATTGCTAGCAGCAGAGCAATATGAGGTTGATTAAGAGATCTTGGTCTCTGTAGGCACAGTGCTTCCCCCTGCATTGTCCACCTCAGGAGTCCAAGTTCAGCCTTGAGTGTAAAGCGGCAGTGGGCAGACTTCCCGGCCCACCATCCTGCAGGTGGCTGGGGACTGCTGGCAGCAAATGGGTGCTCTGGCCTTATTTGGATTTGTAGTTTTGTGTGTTTTTCATACCTGGATCTGAGTTAATTCTTTGTAAAGATTCTTTGTATGCATAAACTCTGTGGCCTCTCAAATCCCTCCTTGTGCCTAGAGTTGACCAGCCCCAGTTTCAGTGCAAACAGAAGCTATAGCACCCTCAAACCTTGGAGAGTGCCTTTTTAGGCCTAGGCAGACCACTTTTAAACTGTTTAAACTTGATCAAAAAACCCAACTGCAAGATGAAACAAGGAGGGTCTGCTAAGTGCCTAGGTATTGGACATCCTAACTGGACATAGCGGCGCCCAATTTCCAGCCAAGCCCAGCTAGCTGAGTTTGTCTCAGCTAAGCAGGCAGAAAATGAGAAGGGCCAGTCCAGACCCTTTTGTTAGAATCAAACAAGACCAAGACCAAGTTTAAAGCAAACTGATGAGCTGGAGAGAAATCTGCAAACCACTTCCTAATTAGCCAAGGTCTGATCAAGGTGCCCCCAGGCAATTTCCACCTGGATTTCACTTTTCTTCCCTCCTTCTTTCCCACCCCTCCTAAATATACATTCCCACATCACTTCACATTTTTAAAAACATTTTTAACTACACTAAGGTTCAACCATCAGAGAAAGTTGGAGGCCAGGTCCAGATGTATTTTAGCTGCTTGTATTACCCCTTTGTCACTGTACTAGGGCAGGAGTGAGGATAGAAATGTGAGGATGCCCAGATAGGAGGTCTGACTCTGGCTACTCAGGAAGTGACCCGGGGGCTGGAGAGGAGTAGGAGCAACCTGGGAACTGTATGCTCCACTAAGTGGCTCCTTCATACAGTCCTGAGCACTGAGCCTGGTGGGGAGCCAGCCTGGCGGGGGGTGAGGGGTGGTGCTTATGACTGACTTAGGCCAGGGTGCTACAAACATTTACTTACATACACACACTCACACACACTCCTAAAGCAGGCAGCGGGCCTCCTCCACACTCTGGGCAGGGTCTCCTATTTTGCAGTCCCAGCTGTCCCAGGGGTGCAGATAAAAGGCTTGGCAGCCAGTCTCAGCCTGAGTTCACCGTTGCAAAGGAACTCCAGGCATCGCAGCACAACGAACTCACTAGGACAAGCGGCTCCGCATGGGGCTGGGGGCTGGACGCCCGCCGCCAGGGACTGAGAAGGCAACGATCAAAGCCGCCACAAGGGTTTGTTAGCTGGCCCTCTCCAAGTCCCCCGGGGGCGTCCTAATTGCTCGTCCCACAGCCTCCCGCTCACAGGCTGTCCGACCTCGCCGGCGCTCAGCCGCGGGCAGCAGAACAGCTGCGAGGCTCGAGGAGCGTCCGCCTGCCGCCCAGCCCCTGCCGGCGTTGTCATCGCTGCCCAGCGCTTCGGACCCTCGCTGCCCCAGGAAGACCCCTAGAAGAAGGAGGAGGGGAGGACAGAGGGATCACCACACCGGTGAAGCTGGGGCCTCTATGCAGGTCAGGACGGCAGCAAAGTTGGCCGCCGACTTAGCCAGCACCCGCAGCCTGCAAGTACAGATTTTCTCCCACAGCCTCCTGGGTTGCTTTGAAACCATCCATTTAAAAAGAAAGGAACTCATACATATCAAATAATGGTTCGGAAGAGGCCAGCACGAAAAATGGAGCTGCTTTTATACAAGCCAACCCAACCTCTTTACGGATTTTGTAAATTCCTAATATTTCAGAAGAAATTTGTTGTTCTAAACCAAGTCAGCACTTCATCATAGTACATTCTGCTTTAGTAAAATCAGCTCCCTTGGATTTCATCACTTGTTAAAAAAAGATAAACTTTATTTTTGTAATTTTCAATCACAAAAAAATCTATATTTTTGTCTAAGCATTTATTTTACTGAATCGAAAAGACATGAAAAGAAAAATCATGTTTTTACTAACGTATATAAGTGACTCTTTTTGGACAACATATAATAAATATGATATATCACTTATCACTCAGTCTTTCAAATGTACATTTTTTTCATATTATGGAGCATGCCACTTTTCCAAAAGAAAAAAGGTCATGAGAAATCAGTGCAAAGTTCTCAGTTACCCTCCTCTTTTCTCTGGGGCAGACGGAATGTCCTCGGCAACGCCCTTTGCCTCAGCACTTGAGGCTGTCCATATATAGTTCACTCTGCCTGTGCTGTTTCCGCTCCGTGCCCTTCTTTCTTCCCTCCTTAGCCCTCCCCCCTCCCTCCCTCCTGCTTGTCCCTAAAGTCATTTTTGAAAAAGAATTTGAGGTTTTGTTTTTGTTGATGTTTTCACTTACTGGTTGCACTCTGTGTGGGGTCAGCATTTTCACCAGTCACACTGCTGTGGGGGAGATTTCCAGCCCTGTTTCTAGGGGTGGGGAGATGGAGAGCAGAGGGCTGGCTCCTCTTTGGGGGTCCCCTGCCCACTGGTAAGCATCTTCCTCTCTTACTCCTCTGCCTTCCAGAGTTGGCTGCAAGGGAGGCCTAGTGGCCTGGAGCAGGGAGAGGACGGGCAGCAGTCCGGGTTGGGCAGGGATATGGGGAAGGGATTGCAGTGCCTTCGCTGCAATGTTTTCACCGGGGGTGTGGGGTGCCTGGGATGGGGCTGGACAATGGATTAAGGGCTGGCTGTCCCCCAGGCCCTAGGCCGTGGATGAGCACACGGGGCACCAGGGGCCGCTGCAGCTGGGGATGGGGTGCTGGAGGAGTCCGGTACATGCTGCTGTACATGGCAGCGGCAGCCGCCGCCGCCGTAGTGCTGTCCATGCTGCCCAGCAGGCTTGGGTGATAGAAATAAGGCGATGGAAACATCCTCTGCAGCGCCGAGTAGTTCCCTGCCTCGGCCAGCAACTCCAGGCCCACCGCTGTCTGCCGCTTCCACTTGGTCCTGAAAGAAAGCGGGTGTGCAGGCACCCAGCAGCTGTGGGCATGGTCCAGGCACCAAGACCCGGCCCCTTCTCTGGCCCCTTCCTGCCTCCTCCTTCATTCTCCCTGGGTGGCAGGAAGACTCAGAGACCTCTTCAAACTGGCAATGCACCACATCTCCTGCCCCAGCCTTGCTCCCAGAAAGACCCAAACCCAAAGCCAGTTTTGTAAATTACACCTTCAGTGGCTGAGACCCTCACAAATGAAATCCTACAGGCCTTGCTTCCTTTTCCTAAACCTCTGCTCTGCTGTCGCCCCCCTTGTAGTTTGGCTACTTCTGGAAACTTTCCTTAGGGCCAAAGGAGACTTCCACAAGCAGTCACTTTCCTCCTTCCTTAGTTCCCCTTCCACATCTCCCAACTCCCAACAATCCCAAAGAGTCTGCTCTCAGCCCCTCTTCCTTCCCCGCCAGGCTGTGAGAGAAGAAACCGTAAACAAAGGGATGCAGAGACTCCTAAGCCAGGGACCCCAGCCCCTCTCAGTCCCCAGGGCTGGGAGACATATTTCTCTCATAAGCCTGACAGGACCTTACAGTGGGCAGGGGGCTTAAGGGGAGGATGGCAACAAGGTCTCAAAATGGAATTCATTTGAGGGAGGGTTCTCCCAAGGGCAAAGTACCTCCTGGCCATTCTGAGGTGGGGGTGAATGCATTTCAAGGTATTTCCTCCTCAGAGATAAAGTAACAATTAAAACCTGTGATCAGCTTTTCTCAGTCTCCTCCCTCCCCCGCTGCACACCCTGCTAGGAAGAAGAGAGCGGGCGTTTGCTCAAATACCTTATGAAGGAACGCAGGGCTGGTGGGCCATCCATACCCGGCAGCTCCAGCCAAATTAATAAACATGTCGCCCATTTTAAATTGGCTACAAATGACACTAATGTTTTCCGACAGAATTAGGGTGGCTGAAACCGTATGTAATGAGACAGAAAATTATGGTAAAGATGACAAGTGGATGGGCATTTCCAACCGCACTTATGGACGATTAGAACACAAACGGGAGAAAAGGAGGGGTAGAGAAAATCGAGACAAGGAGATGAGTGCCAGGCTTGAAAACACAGCAAAACCTCTGCCTCAGATTGCCCAGGTTCCACTCTACACTTCGTGGCCCTGCGAGCACTGGCAGTCACTTTTGCTTTCTTAATTTCCCTTCTAGAGAAGGAGCAGTGCCAGGCAGGCTCTGCAGCACTCTAGCTCCATGTTGAGACAGCAGAGGCAGCCAGTACAGGGGACAGACCCACACTCCTTCCTTCTCCCTGTCCGGATGCTTGGCCAGCCGCCGATTCTCCAGGCTGCGGCTGCCAAACCTACTCTAACCCAGCTGGGCTCTCCTAGTCTCTGCAGCTACACTGACCAAGGCTTGGATCCTGCTTCTCCCAGCCGCCTCACAGGCCAAAGCAAGGACATTTACGCCGAGGCTGGTGGGACAGCTCTGTGGGAATAGCAATAGCTGGGCCGGGCCGTGTTGTTGGCTACAAACCTTTGGAACCAGCCTGGGGTGGGCCCAAGGGGTGCACCGCGCAGGCTCTCTGGACCTAAGTGTCAGCTGCACAGATGTCTCAATTTGAGAAGGTGTGGCTTCATTGATTTGGGGATGAAGTGGGGGGAATTCCAGCGGCTCGGGTTTCAGAGGAAAAGTAGCACCTGTTAAAGCACATAGAATTGCAAAATTGTCCAAATTCCAGCTGCCCTTTGGTCTCTCTCACCTTGGGGGTGTGGCTCATCCCTGCCCCATCCTTAAAGCACCCAAGTGCCCACTCCAGGGTCACTCTCAGTCCTTAGAGTCTCTGGAGGCCAGGAGGGAAGAAGATTGGTATAATGATCATGACTTAAATGGCCAGACACCTTTGCTCCCCCAAAGTGCCTCCCTTACCTGCGGTTCTGGTACCAGGTCTTGACTTGGGTGTCAGTGAGGTTGAGCGCTGCAGCCAGGTCCATGCGATCCTGCACGCTCAGGTACTTCTGCCGCTCAAAGCTACGCTCCAGTTGATTGAGCTGGTGGTCGGAAAAAGCTGTCCTTGCTTTTCGAGGCTTCTTGGCTCTCACAGGGGGACTCTCACGGCTACTCGTAATCTCCCGGTCTCCTTCCTCCTTTGTCCCTACCATAGAAACCCAGCCACGGTGGTAAGTTAGCCTGGAATGGGGAAGGACTGAGTGTCCTCCTGGCATACACTTCCACATTCCCAAGCCAACTACTGGCTTCGGGGGACTGCACTCTGCCACCCCTAGAACACACACACACTCACGCCTTAGCCTGAGTGTGGAGGAAGAGGATTGTTTTCAGACTGGAGAGTATGGGACCTTGTTTAGAGTTTCTAAAGGGGGTCTAAAAGGGTGTCTGATCTTCACATGGTTGGAAGTTAAAAAGTAAAAATTTTTTTAAATAAAACTTTTGAAAAGGGTTATTTTGTTATTGTTTCCTTGACTGAGAGAGATGCTGTCCCTTTTCTTTATTGTTTTCAGTATGACTTTGTTTCACTGATGTGGTGATTTTTCAAAGGGTCCCTCTACTCTTTTTTTTTTTTTTTTTTTTTTGAGGAGGCAGCATCTTTTTCATTTTACTTTTTTCTCTTTTCTGAAAGTTATAGGTGTTTGTTTTACTTTTTCAGATGCACTTGGGAAATGTTGGAATCAAGCTTTCTGAAGCCACCTGCATCAGGTCTTTTAAAGCTTCACAAAGAATATGTCACCCAGACACCGAGTTGAGCTCAAAATCACTGAGCCCATCCAGGTGACAGCATGGAGATTTCCGGATTCTATTTGTCAACTTTGGTTTTTTACTGAAATGCTGGGAAATCGATATGTCAATCCCTCCCTGTTTGTACCCGTTTGTGCAGTGCTCCTTGATCTTCCCTGCAGGAAGAACAATAATCTCTCTAATTGACCCACTGGGGAGGTTGGTGCACAAAAAATCGCCAGACCAGACTGTACATCTGTTTTGGACACTATTATGCTAATGCTATAATAGTAAAATGAGGAGCCAACATCCTACCTTCCAGTCAGTACATTTCTTTACCAGAAAAACAAGGATCAATAATAATAAACAATGTGTCTGTAAAGGAAGAAAAAGCTCTCCTGGTATGTTAAAACTTTTGCCATGCAAAGACTACCACATTTACTTATGAAATTGTCTGATGAGAAAATGGAAAAAGGGAGTTGAAGGACAATTTCCATTGTCATCTTATTTTTTTTTTAACAAAAAAGAGATTAATCCAATTTCATAAGATTTTATTTTTATAAATACTACCTCCTAAGTACTTGTAAGGGGCCAAAAATCTTTGTAGGATACAGATACTCAGTTGAGGCCATAGGGTAAGAAGGGTGCTTTTAAGAAACTTATTACAAATTTTTACGGGCTAACCACAATCTAATTTTTTTAAAGTTGCTCTGTTCATGAACTCAGAAATTTTTCCTCCATTAAAACCGATAATTCCTGTGATGATGTTAAGAAAATAAAGTGGGGGGGGGGTGAAATCACTTGTACTAAAGAATAAACACCAGGTTGTGATCACACCCACGCTAGCTAAGTGGTTTCTCTCTCCTACCTCCCCCCATTCCCATTCCCAAAGTCTAGGCTAGAAAAACCCCAAGTCCATCCCTTTTATCAACGAAAAGTATTTCCTGTCGGATGCCCTCCGCCGCCCCTCAACCCCCAGTAGATTAAAATTAAATAAAACAAAGGAAGGAGCTGGATGGCCGTGAAGGTTGTGGGGTAGAACAATAAACAGAACTTCGAGGAGTCCCCACATCGCACGCCCAGGCCTCCCTTCAGCTGCAGTCTTTTGACCGTCGCCCAGTCGCCCGAGAAGCTCCTGGAATCGCTCCCCAGCAGAGATCTGCTGAAGGCTGAAGGGGAGATTGGGAACCAGGAGGACAAGCTAGACGGCCGAGAGCGCCGGGTGGCGGGACTCACCGTGGCATTTGATGTCGCTCTGGGAATCCTCCCGCTTGTCGAGTTTGGTCTTGCTGTCCTCCTGCTCGAGCTTTGGCCTGAAGCTCTCGTGCACTGCGTTGCTCTCCTGCTTCGGGGTGTGGTGGGGAGAGGATACGCTGGTGCTGTAGGGTGCACATGCCGCCAGAGGTTTGCTGTCGCCCAAGATGTCCTTAATTAAAAAAGAAGACGTGGAAGTCCTGGGGGCCGAGGCGGCCGAGCCCAGCTGCTGGGGGGGCGGCGGCGGCGGCTGCTGTGGCGGCAGCGGCTGCTGCTGTTGGGGCAAAGGCTGCAAACTTTGCGTCGGGGCCGCGGCCGGCGGCGGCGGCTGCTGGCTGTGGTGGAGGTGGTGATGATGCTGGGTCGCGTCTGCTACCAGATGCGGCTCCGGGGGCTCCATGGTGACTGAGATAGGAGAAGAAGGCGCCGTCCCTACGGTATCAATCTCCGAACAGGGAGATGGGGTGGCCTGACTCCTAAAATCCGCGGTCCTGGCCTCACCGAGCGGGCGGAAATCTCCATTCATCATGCCTGGGCTGCCTGAACTGGCACTGGACAAAATCGTGTCTATTCCAAAACTCGACCCGCTGGCCCCTTCCATTGTCATTGCTACATGAGGTCCACGCCACTCCGCCGTTCAGCAGCCGCCCCGAACCAGCGAAGAAAGCTATCGATCGTAAAACAAAATAAACACCAAACAATGTTGCCGCCGCTTAAAAAAAAAAAAGTGGGGCGGGGAGAGAAGGAAGGGTAATTGGGAAGTGGCAATCTGTGGATACTTTCGACACAACTTTTTTTCTTTTATGCAAAAAGTAGGGGTGGAAAGAAAAAAGATGCGGGGGGCGGGGGGAGTTAAAAAAATTTCTGAGAAAACTCGGAACTTGCGCTCCAGGAACGACTGCGCACGTGGCGCGGCGGTGGCGGCGCGGAGGACCCAGGCGAAGGCGAAGGCGAAGGCGAAGGCGCAGGCGAAGGCGAAGGCGCAGGCGGCGGGAAGCTACGCCAAAGCCGCCGCCGCCGCCGCTGCCGGGGTCTGCCCACAGCCTGGCACCGGGCGGCAGCGGTGGCGGCGGCGGACGCGGCAGGTGCAGCGACCGCGAAGCCCGGGCGGCCGCGCGCCCTCGGAACTCCCCCGCGGCTCCCGAGGTGGCAGCCGCGCGCCACTCGGCAGCCCCGTAGCCGAGTTTCTGAACTTTCTTGGAAAGTTGCGGGGCAGACACGGCCGCAGCGGTTGCGGCAACCCGAGGAGGAGGAGGAAGAGGAGGACGACGAGAAGGAGCAGGCACAGAAGGAGGAAGCGGCGGAGACGCGATGCCGGGCGACTCCGGCCGCTGCCGGGCGCGTTCGCTTGTAATCCGGCTGCTGGCGGGCGGCGCCGACCCCCTCCCGTGACGTCACGGCCACTACCGCCGCTCCCCGCGCCGCGCCGCGCCGGGCCCGCGCCCCCGCCACCGAGGCCGCGCGTCCGGCCCCGCGCCCCTATTGGCCGCGCCCGCGCGAGCGAGGGACGCCGACGTGCCAGGGAGCCAATAGGCGCAGCGCTCGTGAGCCCGTCAGCGGACTCGGCTCGGACTCCGCTGCTCTTTTGAGAACCCGCACATCCCTGAGCCCGCAGCCCTGAGCCGAACTCCGAGTCCAGTGGTCCCGGTGTCCACAATCACGAGTGCGAGGCAAAGGGAGAGGGAGGAAGAGATCAGAGGGAGACCAGAGAAAGGGAACCAAAGGGGAGAAAGAAAAAAAAAAGTAGCAAGGATTCGCCCGTTTTCTTAAGTCAGAAGAGAGAGAGAAGAGGACGGGAAGGGACTTACCTTTAGGCTCCAGCGCGGCGGCCCTCGCAGCCTCCCCAAACGCGCGCGGGAATAGTCCGAAGACATTAAGAGCGGAGGAAGGAGATCCCTGAAGGAATCCACAGAAAAGTGTGTCACTTCAGGCGCCGGAGCCTTGCATAAGCGGGCGGGTCGGCTCTGGGCTCTGATTTCTCGCCCGACGAACCCAGGCGCTCGGGCTCAGCCCGGCGGGAGGCGGATCCCTGAGAGGGACACAGCCGGGTCCGCGTCCACCAGGCGCTCTCGGGGAGGACGAGGCCTGAGGCTCCAAGCTGGGGAACCAGCCTGGTCTCCAGCTGGAAAAAATGCCTGGCCAGACGCTTTCTCCCGAACGGGGGAGCTAATGCCCGAGGCGTTCTCTGGTGGCGAGGGCAGCCACGGTTCACTGCGGTGTCGGGCGGGCGCGGGGCTCAGGACCCATAGCGGCTGGTCTGCAGCCCGCGCCCCTGCCGCGCCCCGCGGCAGTCCGTCCACCTCTGTCCCCCGGCCC
Organism: Homo sapiens; assembly: GCF_000001405.40. Taxonomy (NCBI): domain Eukaryota; kingdom Metazoa; phylum Chordata; class Mammalia; order Primates; family Hominidae; genus Homo; species Homo sapiens. Next base: position 90,718,905 of record NC_000001.11, read on the forward strand.
CTTTCGGCGAGCGCTCATTTGGAAAGGAAACAGTCACTGCGGATCCACTTGGGACCCGGAGCATGACTGTAACGCCTCGTTGGAGTGTATCAACTTGCATTATTTTCTCTAGGACGTCTCCAACCTGTCTCATGTTGAATGTCAGAGTAATGGGAAGTGCCAGTGACAAGACGGCGTATTACTCCTGATTAAGTGCCGTGTCAACCTAATTAGCAGAGTAATTATAAGGTGCTAATGAATGATTCAAAGTTCTTTGAGTTACATTTTACTCCAAATTACCATTTTAAGAACCCTATGAATCTGCGAGGCGGGCATCGCTTCCGTGGCTAGGTCTGGAATGATGTTCGAGTGGCCTTTAATGTCTCCAAAGGCTGGGCCGAAATCTGGAGTTTAGTTGCAGTTCTGGAGGTCACTTTCTGGGCCACAGCTTTTATCTGTTGAGGACGAAGGGAGGGGTGTCAGGGAGGCAAATGACCTCCTGGGACAAGCTCTTGCCTTTCGGTCGGAACTGCTTCTGTGTGAGCCCTGGGTCCGGAAGCGGGTAGCTGGGCGACTCATCCTGCCTGCGTTTTCCTAGGGAAATCGGTGTGTTTGACCCAGAAAAAAAAAAAAAAAAAAAAAAAAAAACAGCACTACTTGGAGGGTGGGTTGAGCTGTTTCTCATCGTCTCAGTGGCATTTTTCCTAGGGCTGTTCCGAGAGAACAGCGGGGATTGAAGGGACGGAGGCAAGGAGATGCACAATCCGGGCAGCTCTCGCTCTTCTCGGAAGGCGAAGGGAGTTTGGCGGAGAAGACGGGGTTGGTGAGCCGAGGCGGGGACTCCGGACGTGCTCCATCCCGGCAGGGGCCGACAGTGGCCAGAGGGGTGCGGGGAGGCCCTCGGGAACGGGTGACTGGGCCCCGCCGGGTGGGGTCGGGCCACTGTAGGCTGGAGCGGGGTTGGATCAAATGCCTTTGGCGCGGGAACTGAGTGCTGGCCCGGGAGACCCTCCGGAGAGCTCGCGGGCTCGGCCTCGGCCTCGGCCTCGGCCTTCGGCCGCGGTTACCGAAACACAGACGGTAGACTTGTGGAGGTGGCTTATCCGAGGCCGCAGGGCCCGACGCTGCACAGCTTCGCAGCCTAAATATCCTGCGCCTCTGTCACAGTTGACCGCTGTGGGGAGGACAGGAAGGGCTCTAGGGCTGCCCGAGACTGCAGGCTGACCCTACCTACTCTACCCTCTTCAAATATCGATTAGGGTTCTTCCCATTCCAACATCATCATCCACCAACTTCCCGAATATGGTGCGTTTTCTCCTAGCCCTGGGAGGTTCCAACTCGAACTCCCCTCGCTGCATATTCAGGGTGGGAAGTAGGGAGGGGGAGAAAACAAATTTAAAATCCAGAACTGACGGCACTGCACAAATCAATTATTCTCGACCTTGATAAATAATTCATTTAAGCCTGTTTTTGTTTTGTTCCGACGCCTAAAATGACTCAAGAGCTCAAAAGGCTGATCGCACAGCTTGTGTTGGGCGGTTCGACAGGGTCTTTTTGCTTGGAATAATTCACAGCATTGGCAGGGGAGACGATGGAGATATGACCCTACAAAAAAAATGAAATCTATAAAGAAAAGGAGAGAGAAACGTGGAAGTGTTGGGGGCAGGGGAGAGCGTGTTTTGTGACAACTCTAAAGCAAAGCAAAAGGGAACCCAGTAGGCCCCACTTTGTGAATGTCTCAGATCATATTTTCTTAAGAAAAGGTTAATATCATAGAAGAGTTCTCTGGGTGGGTGTTAGATCAGCTTCCAGGAGCAATAACGGTAAGGGGAAAACACGACCTTGACTTTTATCAAGGCTGCTATGTTAGTAGTGGCCTGAAGATTCACAAAATGGACTTGAAGACCAAATTGCAAACTTAATGAAAAATTTTTTTTCAGAGCTGGAGTTTTGTTTAACTTTTCTCAGTTCTTTTTTCTCCAGACACATTCCTCTCTCGCATTTTTTTTCTGAAAGTATATAATGTATACATCCAAGAAGTCATGCATTTTCTGGCAAACATAATTCACTTTTCATTTTTAAAAATCACAATTCAGAAACACAATAGGGTGCAGATATATCATATTTCTAAACGAAAGAAAATGCTTTAACTGGATTTAATCTTAGATTTTCCCACTGGATTTAAAATACAAATAAATAGAGTCTCTAAACTGACATGAGTTTAAATATTAAACTCATTCACTTTCAGGCCCTCATTTCCTTAGAAGAAGGAGAAGGGGAAGAGAAAAAAAGAAACTTGTGTAATTTTTGGAAGATTTTGGAATTTTGGCCTAGAAAGCAGTTATTGCCAACTGTGGGTAACAGAGAACAAACTTTTCCTTCCCGGCTCTGAAGAACACATCACTGCCGATCAGCATCAAAGATGCTCCTTTCCCATCTCAGAGAATGATTCAAACACTTCAATATTTAACAAATTTTGTTCCTAGATAAACTCTCTACGATCCACTTTCACCATCTAGATTTAGTATTTGAGATTGTGTTTAAACTAGAGCATTCAGTTTTTTAAAAATGAAACTTAACTTTGAAGAAATCCACTCACACATTACGATGAACGTGGAGCTGGTGTTTCTTCCTATCATATTTAATTTTGAACGTTTCTAAGGGTCCACATGATGACAATGCCAAGTAAGGGGAATGAGGTGCAAAGACGCTTCCCTCCACTGGGCGGCGCCAAGAGCTCCGAACGGAGGGAGCTGCTATTGTTTCTTTCTATAAAAGATGCAAGATAAACAAATGAGCTCTCCACCTTCTAAGGCTGGCTCCCTGACGATTGTCTGACCTCTCGCCATTTCAAAGCTACAGAAACGTCGGAAGTTTCCTTTCTTTTTTGTTTTTTCAATTTATCAATATCTTTTCAACTATTTAAGAATTTGATACATATTTGCTTAGAAAAAATAATACATTAAAGAGAAATATCCTGGCAGTTCTGACCAAAAAGAAAACAGAGAGAGAAAGATATGAAAAGAACATAACTGAGTCCCTTAAATAGACTGAAACTGGGAGAGTGGAGTTGGGAGCAGATGGAGAAAGATAAAATGAAAGAAAAAAATAAGGTAACTGAAAAGTATGTTAACAGGAAGAAGTTAAAATGATAACCTGTGTAATTACTAATTGTTCTAGGGGAATGAAAGTTTTGAGAGATAGTTCTGATATCATAATACAATTTGCAAGAGCTATAAGCTTCACCAAATTTTAAAGATGAGCAGTTTGGAAGGAACCTAGTGAAGTTGACTCTCCTTGGGAGTTAGATGTGTGTTGTACAGAGGCAAACCACAGGAAGGTAAGCAGAAATGTAGAGGACAGAACGCTGGAGAAGAAAGTTTTCATCTCATTTTACCACTTTATGTGTTCGTGGGCAAGGCACTTAACCTTTTAATTACCAAATTCCTCCTCCACTAAAGAGGAGACTAGTTCTTGATTAGAACGGGGTGAGTGTAATGACCAAATAAGACATTCTATGTAAAAGCTCTTTACAAAATGTAAAGCAGCATTTGCTAAATACTATACACAAAAGTGGCAATGATCTCTAGCATAAGCAACACCCAGTAGCTATATTTGTTTTCACTTCTTCCTTCCCTCATTCATTTTGTTCATTCACTCAATCGATAAACATTATTGAATGTTCATTCTATGCCAGGTGCTTGAGACTGGGACACCAACTCACCTCAGGTTTGACAAGAACTTGTGCTGGAAAACTGTCATAAATACAATGATACAAATTAGAACCTGCTACAGTGGGAGTGAGAAAGAGAGTGGGGAGTCTTACACTGGGACAAGTTGGGGGAACAGTAAAGCTTTCTAAAGGAAATGAAGTGTGTTCAGTCATGACTGCATCTCAAGCAGTGGGATGTAGAGGGATTTCTATGGTAGCTGAGGGTAATAATGGTGCAAAAATGTCCATGAATTGTCCAAAATTTTAATCTCCTGACTGTAGGGCTGGGCTGCAATCTGTAGACATATGTTGGCTCTAGGGGGTCTCTTCTGGGTCCAGCCGGAAGAGACAAAATACTCTTTGACACTTTGGAGGGAAAAGGAACTAACTGCACATGTTTACAGGCCTGGGCAGCAGCATATACAGCCGGTTACACAGTCTTAGATTTGATCCCAAGAGGTGATCCAGTCCCCTCAAGGACTGTATCCTCTTTTCCCCACCTGCACTCTTGCTTCCTTTCTTCTTTCTAGATTTTCAAATCATGGACGGCTTGGTGACCTTAGCAGGCCCAGAAAGAGGGCTCCTCCAATTCAGGTGTGGAGATTGGGAAGGTGACAAGGTGAAGGCAATTGAAGGAAGAGCCGAGGGGGACATGGGGAAGGATTTTGTTTCACCCCTCCTAAGTTGAACCATTGTCCTTTGAAGGCCGGCTCCTGGAGAAATTAAAGGGCCCCTGTGTGACACAGCCATGTCATACATAAACAGAACTCTGAAGCCTATCAACTCCTGAGGCTAAGTAAGAGGGAATGTAGGGGCCAAGGCAGAAGAGAAACCAAAACCTCAGAGCGCTGAGCAAAGATGCCAATCAGAGAAAGAGAAATTCATTTGCGATGTTAATTAACAAGCGGCTAATTAAAACGGCACTTTGAGTGCTAATCAATCGCCTTATTAAGTTACAGCCATCACTGGAACAAATTGAAACCTCCCCGCCCCGTTTTCTGCCTTTGGTGCAGGCGGGGCCGCGTTCCCAGATACCGTGAGAGGCCTTGGGGCGCGGAGGTTGGGGGCAGCCTCGGTCAGCTTTCTCAGTCTCTCCCAGGTCTACAGAATACGCCACTGGACAAGTGCCTAAGCAGCGACTTCTGGTCCAGACACACCGCCCGGGGAGTAAGTAGTTGCGTCGAAGAACAACTCATTCAGCAGCAGTTAACACCGACGTTTCCTCCTAGAAAGAGCTCCCGCAAAGCGGGGGGATGTGACCTGTGGGCCCCCAGCAGGGGTAGGAGGCAGTTCAGCCCGAGAGGGGGCGCTCTAGGGCCTGGATCCTGCATCCCTATTTCCTGGAACACACCCAACGCCTCATTCTGAAAACCCTGCTTAGGCCCTGGCCCTGGTGCCGCTCAGCAACCAGGAAAGAGCTGGACCTGCCTTCAGGCAGCAAGAACAGGACTGCCAGCCTCCTGTGGCTCTGTCTCCCGAGGCTCCATGAGAAGGGGATGGGGGTGCAAGAAGGGAAGAGTGAGGTGGTGTGCTGGGCGTCGGGGACGAGGACGCACGCCAGCCAAGACGTGCCTCCCACCCAGCCCACGCGCGCTTCCCCACCCCCCTGGCCCTCCAAAATCGGTAAGAGAATTAAGATTTCGAATCCCTATTTTGAGGAGCCTTCCGCATTTCCTAATTGTTAAATTCCTGCTTTTCACCAAATTCCCGGGGGAGAAACATTTGGCAATAAGAAGGGACTGTGAATTTAAATGCTAATTGAGTGGGTCCTTTTTCCGCAGCTCCACCTGCCTGGCAGCCTCTGTTGAAACCAAACACACTCGGAGCGCCCAGTGCAACATTCTTGGGGTGCCGAGTAGAAGCGCAGTAAAGAGAGACCCTAGCGGACTCCTGTCTGGTTTGCTTTTTACCGACTCTTACAGAAAAAAAGAGAATGCCATTGGAAGAAGCTCTTTTGCGTGGTGGGCGATGTGTGGGTGGGGGACTTGTGGCATGGCCCACGGTGTTGTTTCTGTGCCTGCGATGACACACGTATGTCTTGAGCTGTGGGCTCGCCTTCCTGGAGGTGCGCCCGACCGCATCTGCTGGTGGGTCTGAGCGTGCTTGGGGTGTCCCAGGAGAACTGAGAGAACGGCTCCCACGTGCAAAGTTCCAAAGCATTAATATTTTCATCATATTATCATTATTCAATATAATAATATTTGTTCGGTTAGCGGCACTAATTAGGCCACATTAAAACCGTAGTGTGTCCCTAATGGTGCGTAATGTGCTCACACTCACATTTTTCTCTCTGAGGATGGGCGGCTGCAGGCTGGTAGGGGAGGAGAGACAGGCAAGCGGCGGGCTGGATTAGGGCGTGACGCCCCCCACCACGCACACAAACATACACAGCCCACTGGATGTCTGCCGGGTGGGAGCCGCAATCTCCGCGCGGTCGATGGGGCCCTCCGCTGCGCACTCGGCCCTGCGCCGAGCACCCTGCAGCCTCCTCCCGCGACACGGCGCTTTGAACTCGGCGGATTGATTTTGCTTCCCTTCCCCCTTTTGTGTGTGTTTGCGTTCAATTGGTTAGGTTTTTAAGATTTGGGAGGGCTGGTGTGAAAGAATTAAAATACTCTTAACTGGAGCCCCTCCGCCGAGAACTGGAGGTCCCGCCTCCTAGTTCGGCGCTTTCAGGACCCTCTTCCCAGAGGGAATTTCTTTCAGAAATTCCAGGGTGGGCTTGTAAAAGACGCTTCCGCAGAGCAGGTCCCGTCAGGGTCTTTTTCCTGTTCCTGGTGCCAGCGGTCGGCCCGGGCGCCCCGCAGACCTCGGCGAGGTAGATGTTAAGCTCGGAGAGTGCCCCTCCCGCAGGCGCCGTGGCGAGATCACTCTGAATATGTAACATATTTGTAACGTGCGCCGAGGTGTGATGTGTGTGCTGAAATAGGGGGATGGGGGAATTCGAAGCCGGATTGGGAAGGCGGGGGGGAGGCGCACAGAACTCACAATGTACTTCGCAATCTAACAATCTGAACATTCATTTATTAAAAGCTGCTGCGTGACATTTACACTGAGCCACCAGTCTCTGCCTCTAATCCGGGCGAAAACGATTGTACTGCCGAGTTATGGCTGCAGCGTATGGGGACGCTGCTGTCCGCGGCCGGACAGAGCCCATCAGCTACAACGCGGAAGGCCTCTGCACCCCCTTGGGGGCGGGAGGAAAGTACTGCCAGTCCTGCCTGGGGGCCGAGGGTAACAAGCACCGAGCCTCTCGCTCCACGCAGGGCCAGCTGCCCAGCTCAGCGAAGCTCTTGTGATCTGGTGCGTGTCTCTCGCTCTTCCCTCCCCATCAAAGAAGTAAACTTTCTACCTACTCCCCCTAATCCGATCGTTTAGAGCTGCTGTTTTCCTTTTGTCAGATTCCTCCTCCCCGATCAGTCTGAGTACACGATCAGAACTGCTCAGAGAGCAGGAAGCACATTGATTTCAGCTTGTTCTGTCCACAGACAGGCCCTGACAAGGTTGTTAGAACAGCCGGAGAGGTCTATACAATCACTTAATTACCAAAACTGTCAGTCAGGCGGGACGCGGATCCGCGTCCCGGGCTGCGCTAGGCATTCCAGCACTGGGCCGCGCGCGTGATTGATCGGTGCTGATAGCACCGCAAAATAATTACGGCGAATTTTCTGATGTGTGATTTTATCCCAAGTTCATGCTTCAGAGAGGTAATCGGAGAATGAGAAGGGTCAGTGCCATTTCGGATTACCTGGAATCTGCGAGAAAGGGTAAAATGGGGGAAGGAGCTCCGAGGAAAACGGGAGAGATGGGGGTGCAGAGAGAGAGGGAAGAAGAAAGCGAGTTATGGATTGCTGGAGGGACTGCAAGCAATTCGTCAAACTGTGCAAGTGATTTCCTTCAGAGCCAGCATATGGCAGATTGATTTTGTCCAACGTCGGTTTTAGCCACATTTAAAATGATCCAGCGGTTATTACTGCGATTGGCTTAGGAACTGACAGGCAGTTTTAGGCGCAAGGAGTATAGATCCTGTTTACCGGAGATGTGTTCGTAACTGCTGTCAAATACAGTTAAGTAAATATCATTAGCGAAGAGCTCTGTTAAGAGAAATGCCAATCCAATAAATATGCTTTTCCTCCCCGCCCTCCGCATGGCTGCCTGCGCTTCCTCCAGAGGTTCTCCTTCCTGCTCCTTTGCTGCTTGGGTCAGACGTCCCAGGCATGGTGCTGACTCCCGCCACCTTGGAGCCCCGAGCTGAGCCTCGGGCAGAAGATGACAGGCCAGCCGTGGGGCAAGGAGGCCGCGGAAACGCGGAACGGCTTCGGGGAGACGGAAGCGCCCAATGAGATTCACCCTGCAGCCCGGGTCCAGCCCACCTTCCTCGGAGATTGCCGCGGCCCTCGAACCCGGGCCTAGGTCTTCATGTCCCGGCGGCCAGAGGACGTTGCGGGGACCACTGGGGAGCTGCCCTCAGTCAGCTCTCTGCCCCACGCCGGAGGTCCTGGCGCGGCTTCTTTCCCGAACTAGACTGGCGACTCTGGGCCAGGCCCCAAGGACCGCCCCGGCCTCTCCGGCTTTGCGGGGAGAATCTGAGGAACCGAGTCCAAGATAGCCGACCTAGGCTGTTTTCACCCAGACCCTGCGTCCCCGACCCGCTGGAGTGAATCTGACACTGCCAGGTTCTCTCTCATGGCATGGAGTGAATGAAGAGGGCCATAGATCCCCTTACCCAGCACAGTCCCTCGGCAGGCCCTGGAAATCCACAGGGAGCAGAAGCACAGTATTTTCTGAACCGCTCCCTCTCCCTGGGCCTGTGGCCATTTGAAGGCAGAGCTCTGTGCCTCCAAGACAGTAGGTTTTCGGTCAAGTTTGGAGCCTGGGGCCCCAACACATTTACACAGGGTTGGCATCACCGTTTCCTTGGACTAAAGGCAGGCTCCTATATCCTTTTTAAAGGAACAGAAGGAAGGAAAAGGAAACCAACACGGGTTATGTTCAGATAGTAGGCCTATGGCAATTCTTCACAGCCATAGAGTCCTAATCCGAGTATCTTCCCAGAGAGGAAAAACCCAAAAAACTTTTAAAAGGGGGAAAGCTGGGTAGATCATAGCACCCATTCTTCATGCCTAGGCAGAAAAACTAACCCAGAGGGAGCAAAGGGGTAAGAAATATGAAGAGATCCCCTCTGGGAGCTGAGGAGCACCCTAGTTTATAATTTGGTCAAAGGAGAAAGTCACTGGCCTCCTCCTTTGATAGAGGCGTGTCATCTATCTTCCCAGGGAACATGATGGTTCACAAATGAAGAGGCTAGCCCTCCTGCAGCTTTTTTCTACAGAGTGTAAAACACACACCGCCTTCATCAGTGTTTGGGATGTAAAGAACCCTGTCTATTTAAAAGAGATACTGCATTTTTAAAGTCAAACAGTACCAATGTATGTGGCGAATCAAGTAGGTAAACAACTTACATATGGTTGCTGCACTTGAAGGAACCATCCATTCTCATGCACAGCAAATTGAAGAAACAATGGCACTAATGAGCCTTGCAAAATGCAACTGTGAATAATGAAAGACAACACTGCATTTTGCAACAGAAAGAATAAAGGTGAAATAATCAGCTAGCAAAGAGGAAAAGAAAGCGAGCAATGATTAAATGATCAAAAGCTGGCAGAGTGAATTCAATGTCACTGCCAGACGCAGCCATCTACCCACAAGTGAAAGTTAGGTTTCAAGCACAGTGTAATTATAGCTGGGGTTGTCAGTTTGACATTAATGCAGCCAGCAGAAATTTCCTAATTGGCCTCAGAGGAGAAAGTGAACCAGAAAATATATTAACATTTTAAAAAAGCATATTTTGCCTAATCCTTTCACTTTCGAACAATATTTGAAGACCAAAATGCCCCAGGCATAAGAATTTAAATGAGCAATTTTGTTTTTGAAGGAAACGGCCAATGAGACAGAAAATAGACTAAAGGGAAATCATTAGTGGATGAGAGATACTGACAGGCTTGCCTTGCTGACTGGCTGGCCTGTCACTTGCAGTCTGTGTTCTTTAGTTCCACGCTATGAGCTAAGTTGATAACATGAAAAGACCCATAAACGTGCAGCCAGAAGTCACAGCCTATTATCTGGAAATTCAAATGCAAGGGGAGGGGGTGGCAGAGAAGGCATCGGCGAGGTTGGGAGGGAGAGGTGTGCATCGAGGGAGGAGGAGGAGGAGGAAGGGGAGGAGGGAAAGGAGGAGGAGGAGGAGAAAAGAAGCCCTCATTCTTTGGCATAAAATCGGCCATATCAGAGAACAATAATAAGCTATTATCTGTCATAAATGTGCTATGGACTGCCAAAAAATGTAGTCCCGAATCGACAACATTGTTCGAACTGAAGATAGCAACAAAATGCTTAAAGTTGCGGATGTAATTTCACATGCGTCCGGGTTGATGTGATATGACCGTATCAGGGAAACAAAGCTAAGTGCAGTCAGGATCTGTTAGTACAGTGGCTTTTGATGGAACAGCTGAGGCACACATCGCCCGTGGCATGGACTCCGGGGCCGAACGCTCACGACCAAGACTTTTGCCCTTTTGAAATGAAATAGAAATAGGGGAGCTGCAGGAAAACCGAATCGCGCTTAGGGTCAGGAGCAAGACAGGAGCTTTCAGCGAAGATCTGAACATTCAGAACTGGAACGGGTAATTAGCAGATAGCCAGGAAAAAATAAATAAATAAATAAAAAAGCCTGGATGGACCTCTGTAAACAATCATTAAGAAAAATAAAAATGAACCTTCTTATTAGCCTGCCTTGGAGGTAGTCAGAAACAAACAACCAAAGCAAGAGAGGATGAAGATTTAAATAAAATAATTATGTGCATCATTAAAATAATCATATATGTTTGTACAGACACGTATACACCAAGGAACGTAATGGGGGCTCCTCGCACAGTCCCAGGAGATGCAGGAGCCCAATTGGTGCCCAGGAGCTGCAGGCTCGGGTCCCCAGCCAGGCGGGGGACTGCGGGCCGCCCGCGCTGCAGGGCCGCGGGTCACCGCAGGGGGCGCCGGGGCGCTACGGGTCCTCGGGCCTGGTCTTTTCCGGTCCCTGCCCGAGCCCGCGCCTTTCCCGCCTTTCGGGGGAGAAACCTGCCTGGACACTGGAACTGGGAGAAAGCAGCAGCCTAATTGCTCTTCCGATCGTCGCTTGGGAAAGGGGGGCTTCACATTTAGAAACTTCTCGCACCTTTCTCTCTCGGTCTCTGCCTTTTGGTGCCTGAAAAACCTTCAAAGATTTGCTTATTTTGATTCCTCGGGCGTTGGAGCTGTATTAGGCAGCACTCGTAGATAATATTGATGAGAGCTTTGCCGGAGCCTGACATCAAATTAGTGGCCTTCGTGTAAAAAATCTGGGAAGAAATGTCTAACATGCTTAAAGCTGGTGGGAGGCGAGATTTTTACTCATCAATGAAATGCTGCTTTAAGGGTGGAGGGAAGGAAAAAGGCTAAGTCAAAACTTCAAGCTCTCTCATTATGAGGTATACCTGACGGGGACACCGAAAGCCGCCTGTACTTCCTCTCATCAATACAGCAGAGCTTTTTGTCAGTAATTTGCAATAAGTGTCTGCAGCATTTCTGCAGGGACCCAGAAATCATTATTGGCTGCAGATCTGCACGGTTCCTAATTGGAAGCATTGGGCCTTATCAGCTGAGGATTTCCTAGGACCTTTGACAGATACCAATACTAAAATCATTGTTCACGTGTCAATTTAAAAGACCATTAAAGCAGCTTATTTTGGTTTTAATTGGAACCTCCTCCCTTCCAACTACAGGCTTAAAAGAAAAAAAAAAAAAACTCTCCCCCACACCCAGGCGCGCGCACGCACGCGGGCACGCAGCAGCGATGGGGATGTAGGTCACCCCGCGGGTTAGGGCCACGCGCCCGCACTCCCGCCGCAGCCGCAACCGCAGCCGCAGCCGCAGCCAACGCGGCCGCGGAGCGACGCAGTCCGCAGCCTCGAATTTCCAGAAATTCCAGCACTGGCAGCAGCACGTCTAGTTCGAACGCTTCCAATTAAACAACACCGTATTCGCTTAAAGATTTTCGCAAAAAGTGCACTGGGGCCAAAAATCAATCACTCTCCCTAGCCTGACCCGGTGAAAACAGATGCATAACATATTCATGCGCTGAGCACGCCGAGCAGCCCAGCGCGGAACTTTTTTTTTTTTCTTCTTCTTCTTCTTCTTTTAAATAAAGCGAGGAGGACTTCCGCGGCTCGGCAGTCCTGCTAAAGCTGGCAGATGCAGCAAAACTAATATGTGTAAATGCTTTAAAGCAATAATCTGCTTACAGCGACACTTCCCCGAACGGCGGCAGGACTGAGGGGGAAAGAGAAGGCGCTTGGCAGCCAGGGGAAACCGAATTGTTTTGACACTGCCATTGAATAGCAAAGCCTGGTGGATAATCATTTCATAGGATAATTGTGGGGAAGTAAAAAAATAATAAAAAGAAACTACCCACTTCACCCACCCTCTTTACCTTCTCTCATCAAAGTGAGCGATGAGCTCCTCATTATTTTTACCTTGCTCACAACATCACTGGGTCTCTTCTAAATGAAATAGATTTAATGATAATACTAGAAGGTAAACGGAGCTGGAATAATATTTACTGTATAATCATTTGGGCTCTGTTAAGCTCAGCACTTCCCCTTATCGCAAGAATCTCACTAATTGCTTCCAATCTGAAAATGACCAGGCAGAAGTATTTTGCTGGAAGGTTACTTGCACCTAATGTTAAAAGGCATACATGTGTTTTTGTTTTAAAAGCTCATTTTCATCCAATTCCCCCTCTCTTCCAATTTTAAGTAGCTAGTGTTTTGTTTGGCTGCTGTTTTATTTGCTGTCAAAAAGAATTTGATGCAAAAACCATTTAAGCATGTATACAACCCATGGAGGGATTCATTTGACCTCATTATACTGCAATAAAGAAGAAATCCAGTTTGTTAAATATCACCGAACCGCATGCATTTCACATCAGATCATAAGAGCAATGCTTCAAAAGATTATTCCAGAAAGTGCTTAGAAAGATGGAATGGGTTAACTTTGCTTGCCAGAAGGTGTTCTGACAAACACAGGAAAAGAGAGATATGTGCAGCCCCCTTTAAGAGCAGAGCAACTGAAGAAAAAAGAGATTTATGCTTTTAATTAATGGCAATTAAACCATGCCTGTTGGCTTGGCCTATGGCAATTGTTCCCTGCAAAAAGGAGGCCGAGCTGGTGACAAGCATTTGAATCCGCTAAGTTCTGTCAAGGGAGCTGACTCTGCAGGCATCAAAACCAAACTAAATCAATAAAAGAATTAAACTTTTATAAATTGCATTTTGACAAGTATCAGATACCGTTAAGCTTTGATATTATGAATTCCTTGGAGGTGATGCAAACAAGAAGGGCCGCAGTTAGAGATCCAAACAATCAAAGAGGCTTGTTAACATGCGCTGTCAAATGCATCAGTGCTATTAATTACTACAAATTAATGTGACTCTCTCTTCCTCTGGTGATTGGAATAATAATCAGCCAGATTCGTGGAATGAGCACAGAGAACATATGCAACCCTGCCAAAAAGAATAAGTTTTAAAAACAGTAGACATTTACAATCTTTGCGTTCAAAGACTGGATGGTTTTCTGTTGCCAGTTGTGACCTCACTTTACCCCATCTTCCTGATTCCTGGGATCCTCTTCATGTGCTTTTTCCTGTGTGATGACAGAAGGAGGCATCATCCTCTTGCCAATGATTATTGGAGCATAGAATAAAATCTTTATTGTGCTTCACTGAGGTGTGGGGGAAGAATAGCCCTATCCAAAGTGATGCTTTTCTAGGAAATGAACCCAAATGCGAGAAGTCCCATAATTTGGCCTCTTCTTAGCATGAAAACTTTGCTTTGCAGTAGACTTTATAATTAAAATTACATGATGCTTTCTCTCTGGCAGTGCAGTAGGCAGGACTCATGGGGAAAATAGGAACCCTAATTATTCCTAATACGAATTCTGGGTACCCAGAATGATTCAAACAGAAGAATTTCCCCCAGCATTTTATGATATTCTACATCTACAAATGACCATTGCTGGGATTCATCTGTTCCCCTTCAGATCCACATTTTAAAATAGAATGTGAATTTCATCTTAACAGCTAGAAGAATTGTGACTCTAGATCCCTCCCCTACTCAGTGAAATGCCACAACAGACTAGAGCTAAAGAAATACTTGTGTCATCATTAAATGTAATCATTTATGTTTTCAAAAATGTTTTAAAGCAAACATATTACAATTAATTAGTAATAACATACATCCTTGTGCTTTCTAACACATAACAATTTTTCTGTTTATTTTACTAATTTGGACATATTAATACCCTCCTTCCTAAAGTCTCTTTCTGTTTTTACTTTTTACTTCATGAACCAATTGCATATGGTTTCTCACATCTGAGGGGTTTCCACACATTTGTACTGCATTTTCTTATTAATTGAAGAATGGAGTTTAGCCACAAAATATGGGGATTTATAATTTGGGGGTTCTTTTGTATAGCAGGCACTAAACATTCCAAAATATGAACAAGTTTTCTTTTAATCAAAGGAGGTACAGGGCAGAGGTGGGAGTGGCAAGGAGTGAGCTTCTAATTCTCTTGCAATTAGAAGTAGAATTTCTATTTGAAATAACATTCTGTCTCTTCCTATTGTCTTGGGATGATCTATGCTCCAGAAAATCATCAATTCACTAATTGTGTTAGTAGGCTACTATGGCTACTCTGTATTAGTTGGGTGGGCTGTCTTAATTGGAGAGACACAGAAATTATAATAATGTACCTCCTAACTTGTAGTAGGAATGGTGCCAGGTGTATATGGTGTTTGGACTAATTATTTGATTTTTACTATTGACTATATCTAAGCGTGTGTTTTTAACACGGAGAGGAATTATCTTGACACCATCTGGTAGCAGTTTTTGTTGTTGTTGTTGTTGTTTGTTCTTTTATGTATGACAAAATTTAAAACTCGGTTTGAAGCTTGGCCAGTGATAAATATGCTCAGGATTCTATGTGACCTTGGTCAACCTCTGACCTTATACATATCAGGGCATTTGTCTCAAACTGTGGTTACAGTATTTTATTGATGTGCCTAATCTGTTACCCAGGAACCACAGTTCTTATGATAGATAGGATATTTGCTTGGATAGTGACAAGTAAGTTTGGGATGATTTTTTCCCCTTTTTCATTGGCAAGAAATGGATCCTGTCTCTAAGTGTGGATTTAAGTTTACGTTTTCCATTTGAAGGGCTTCTCAAAATCTGTTCAGAAAGAACATTAAAGGGGGAGAAAAGGGGAAACAAATGCTTATAAAGCCTCCCTAGAAGAGTCTGATAGATAAAAGTCTGGCTCTAAAGATGTGCTTTTTTCTTTCCCTATGTGCTCTCTCTGCAAATGCAGAGGGAATTTATTGTTGGAAATTTGTGTAATCATTTTTATCTGATGATTTGGCAAGATGCTACATGAGCTTGAGCTTCTCTCTATTTTAGAAATCCTGGTTTTATTATAAGTATGCTTCAGTTCCTCCAATGTCTTTGTGGATTTGAAGGGGCTACTCAAGGTTTGTCACTTATTTTTAACAATATAATTTTCTAAGAGTGGAACAATCTTGCTAAGCCTGATATGTGATATGTAAGCACATATTGACCGTTTGCTATTACTTTAATACTTCCTGGCAGCAGCAGTACATCAGGCAGAGTTCAAACAACATGTTTATTTGGAGTTCAGTATCCAAACAAATCAAATTTGTCAGCTTTCTATCTTTTAATACTGTTTTTTATTTTTATTGAAATTCAAGTTAATAAATGCCTTGTATCATGATAGCATGCCTTGATTCTAAGTGGGGGGAAAAAGTAACTAAAATGCCCGCTAACACAATAATGTAATGTCTTAATACAATAATGTAATTATCTTTTTCTGGAGAGTTAATTTACAACACATTTGCATTTGCTTCATTTTTTTTTTCAATATTATTTTGAAGGTCACTCATTTGTAAACATGCACATGTTTGGTTATGAATATGTGTATGTGTTTTCATTGCGTAAGGAGAAAGTTCTTTTACCCCTCATTTCCAGTTTGGCTTCCTCCCCCTTTTCTCCTTTTTAAGCTTATAAATATTTTTCATTTTGGACTGGGAGCTCAATTCACAAATTATATTATCAATCAGATAACAAACAAGTTTGTGAATCCTCATAAGTTTTATACAAACTAGGATTTAAGAACTATTTTTCAAAATTATTTCTTGTAAAAAAGGAGGGGGGATTGCTGGTGATGAGAAGGGTATTCAAAATTTTATACTCAGGTAGAAATATAGATATATCTTCAAAGACACATTTATTCACATACATGTACACCAGTATAATCTATGACCATTGATTTCTCAGGAAATGTCTTCATTTGAAAGGTGAGTTATCTTTTTTTACTTTGCTCATGAAGAAAATGGCAGATGAATGATCAGCTGTTTGTTATTCCTCACAATGTGAAGTGATAGATGAACAGACACTTTAATTTAGCCCCTTTGTGTTTGCACACAGTTTAAGATACTTCTGTTTTTTATTATAGTGTTTCAGATACAGCGTAGCTCTGTATAGTTAGTTCAACTTATAATGAGACAAATTGCAAATATAGATGTTGATATTTTTCTCTACTTATGACACTGAAAATTGTCCCAAGAAGAGATTTGCAGGAGAGACTTTGGACATTTCATAGGTGGATTAGTAACTAATGAAATACACGCACACACACACACACACACACACACTGGCACTGATTTCAACCAAGTTATAGTTGCTAAAATTGACTATAGTTCTCCCCCGTATGACAATTCTGTGACTTGGGAGAAAAGAAATGACAATTTTACTTCACTTCACCACCCTTTCAGTAGTTTCTTAGACAAGGGGGCATAGAACTGGATACTACTGCTGAACTTGATTTATATTTTTATGGTCATTATTTTTATGTGGAAAAAATAATAGCAAATGTTAACCCATTTCTAAAAACCAAAGAAAGAATATTTCAATAGATATATCAAAGGTTAAATATAATCTTGAGTTATACAGCATTTTTTTCCAGCTAGCTACGCAAAAGACTTTTATAATCTGACCTTTCTGTAACCCAAATTGTAAGACTTGGGACCCGAATATATTAACTGTCAACACTACCGGTTGAAGATATGGCCATCTCTTTCCTTCTTGGCTCTGGGAGGTAGCCCTCTTTTCTTCACTTACCTACTTGCTCTGGTTTGATATTTAATAAATTCTATCGTGCTAGTTAACCCAAATACAAATGTTTAGTGAATCCATTCAGTTACACAAAGTACAACTCAATAACCATCATCAAACACTTGCTTTATTTAGTCATACAGTTAAACTTTAGTGAACATCCTATTCTCTATTCAGAAATGGCAATAGGGAGTGTAGCTCAGTGTTTGAACATTTCATTGCCTAAATGGCAACAATTCTGGCATGGTATATGTGGTGCTTCTTGAGCAAACAGAAAAAAATTAATTTGGTAATGATGAATACACAAGCTGATTTGGAGAGAGCTACATTGATCTCCTGAGGTCTTGGGTAAGTCATTAATTTAATGGAATTCTCTTTTCATATTAGAAAAAAAAATGATTATGGCCGGGCACGGTGGCTCACGCCTGTAATCGCAGCACTTTGGGAGGCCAAGGCGGGCAGATCATGAGGTCAGGAGATGGAGACCATCTTGGCCAACATGGTGAAACCCCGTCTCTACTAAAATACAAAAAATTAGCTGGGCATGGTAGTGCATGCCTGTAGTCCCAGCTACTCGGGAGGCTGAGGCAGGAGAATCGCTTGAACCGAGGAGGTGGAGGTTGCAGTGAGCTGCGATAGCGCCATTGCACTCCAGCCTGGCAACAGAGCAAGACTCTGTCTCAAAAAAAAAAAAAAAGATTATATGTTGCATATAATTCATTCCACAAATGTGCCACCAGACACATTTCCAATCCCAATCCCAGAACACAATCTCAATCACTTAGGGATTGTATCCCTAAGGATACAATCATGAACAAAATAGGTAAGCCCTGCATTGCCAGACTTTATAGGCTGAAGAAAAGAGAGAATACAATAAATATGTTACAAGGGAGTTGATATGTAGAATGATTGCAATATTACACATGGCCATGGGAGCACAGGCGAGGGACATCTAACCAAGCCCAGAGATGGCACGAAATGTTAGGGAGTGCTTCCTGGAGAAAAGTACCCCTAAGGGAAGGGCCTAAAGGATAGGTAGATATTGGCTAGAGAAAGGGAGATGGAGAAAGGAGGAGAGGAAAACGTGTTCCAGGCAGCAGGAAAGGCAGGATGTGGAATAGATACACTAAAATTTATGGCAAAATAAAAAGAGGAAAGTCATTTATTTTGCCTGGACCAGAGTTTGAGGGAAGACTTTATATATAAGATAAAAAGAACTTTCTAATATTAGAGTATAATTCTTTAAAATACTTTGTACTACTAGTCTTGATTGTGTAAATATCATTACTAGCAGTGACGGCCTTGAATATATTCGTGTGACCATATTTACTAGAGATATCTGACTGATTCAGTAGCTTTAAAGGTTGATCTGTATCATTATATAGAAAAAAATCAAGGAGACTTAACATACATTTTGTTTCTGCTGATCTCTCCCATGTGAGAGATATAAAGCCCTCCACATATATTAACTCATTCAATCCTTAGAACAATATGTGAGGCAAATTAGCCAGGCTAGGTGGCATGCCCCTGTAGTCCAAGCTACTCAGGAGGCTGAGGCAGGAAGATCTCTTTATCCCAGGGTTTTGAGGTTGCAGTGAGCTATGGTTACACCACTGCCCTTCAGTCTGGGCGACAGCACGAGACCCTGCCATGTCTCAAAAGTAAAAATAAAAAAGTAAATTGTGAGGTAGGAATCTAAGGGTCAGATCTAAGAATTATATCGTTTCAACGACTGAGTAACATAAAAAAGATAGTTGACACATTTGGAGAAGGTGGGCCTAGATCTGGCATTCACCCTGTAGTCAACTTTTAAGAAAAATATTAGGAATTAGAGATTTTTGTTTTTCTAGTAGTAAGCAGAAATGAAACCAATAATTTGGCTATCTGTTCTATTTTGCTCACTTCATAGATTCAGCATATCCGCCGGGTGCAGTGGCTCACGCCTGTAATCCCAGCACTTTGGGAGGCCGAGGCGGGTGGATCACCTGAGGTCAGGAGTTTGAGACCAGCCTGGCCAACATGGCAAAACCACGTCTCTACTAAGAAAACAAAAATTAGCTGGGCATGGTGGCGCATGTCTGTAGTCCCAGCTACTCGGGAGGCTGAGGCAGGAGAATCGCTTGAAACCGGGAGGCAGAGGTTGCAGTAAGCCAAGATCGTGCCACTGCACTCCAGCCTGGGTGACAGAGACAGACTTTGTCTCAAAAAACAAAAAACAAAACAAACAAACAACAAAAAAGCATAGATTCAGCATATCTTAATGTTAAATTCTTTTATCCAGTCTTTAAAAAAGGGATCTCTTGCCTTTTGCTTGAATGCTGAATTCTAAGGAAGGGAAGCTTCCTTCTATTGAGATGAAATCTGGCATTCCATAACTTGCTCCACTGGTCTTAGTTCTTTCCTTCATCAGCACAGACATTCTCAGTTCTTCTACAGCTTCTCATAGGAGATGGTTTCCAGGTTCCTCACAGTACAGTGAGTGGATAAAGCTCAGGTTCTAGTGTCAGGGCCCATATGTGACCTCAGCAACTCACTATATGACCTTTGGCAACTCAAGCTTTCTAATCCTCAACATGCTCAAAGGTAAAATACAGTGAGGAATAAAAATGTAACAATCCATGTAACATGCTTAGCACAGAACACAGTGTGTTTTAAATTATATTTTATTATGATTATTAATCCCGACCACTTCTGAACACACTCTAGTTTGTCAAAGTGCCTCTTAAAATTCAGCCTCCAAATTCAGACAAAATATTTCAGATGTAAGCCATATGTTTAGTAATTAATGAATTTGATTAATGTTCCCCTAAGGCTTGGCAGAAGAGAACAGCTTTTCAATACAATAAACAAACCATATGCATAAATAGCATGATTAGATTCAGATATGTAAATAGTGACATGATTTTCTAACTTCGACCAAGTTATTTTAAGGATTTGTTTCCTAAGGTGATCTAAGACTATGTGGCTTGACTAATACTTACCAAGCCACAAGAGTTCTTTCACCAAATGTAAGCAAAACACGTGCTTACACCACCAAGGCCCTCACTCCAGCAACAAAATTGAGTACTGGGACACAGAAGGGAGAACACTGGTAGGCAGGAGTCTGTAATCTCATTATCAATAGCTGGTATATTGTAACTATAGTGGCCTACTGTTTTAATATTGCAGCACACTGGGCTGTTTTTCAAATACATTCTCTTTAGCCTGGAATTACCTATCGGAAAAATTCATAGGTCCTGCTATTGTTATGATGCTGTGTTATGGACTAAAACCTTTTTCTTTACTCAGGTAGGAGCCAAAACAAACAAAAATCAATAGCCCCCCCGTTTCTTACTTTCCTTCTTCCATTAACTCTAGAAAGGGAAATAGATGCCTTCTTATGTCTTCATAGAGTCTCATGCACATACATGGATTCATGAAAGGAGAGATTACCCAGCTGGATGACTAGATGGATACACAATGATAGAGGCGTAGACAGAGGAAAGAATAGAAGGATAGATAGGTGGATAGATGATTGATTGATTGATTGATGATTGATAGGCAGAGGATGCTATCATAGCATCTCAGGCTGAGTATCAGGACATTTGAATTCCAATCTCGAGTCTGCTATTAAGCTGCTTGTGATTTTACTTAGTCCCTTAACCTCCCTTGGCTGTTGCAGTAAAACAGAGGTGTTGTCAACCAGCAAGTTGGGCAAATTGGTAGGTCTTGAATTCTAAAGAGGTAGCTCTGCAAATTCATTATCTTTGCCCTGCTTGCCACAATTCTTCCCTGTCTGCAGTTAGCCAGGATTCTCAGTGGAAGGTGTGCTGTTACCACTCACATCTGCCAACCACCCTGTCAGAGATGTCCATGTTTCCTATTGAAATTACAAATTATTGGAAACTATTTATACATAAATAATCTCCTTAATAGGTAAATGAGAAGTCGTTTAGGTTATCTGGAACCAAATGTCATCTAGGTTCCTTCCACGCTAAATTCTGTTTTACCACACATAAAGATAGCCTCCTAAATTTTGCTACTCATATTTCCTATGAACATAATCCTTTATGTAAAAACTAATTTTTCTAAAATCTGAGGAGCAGGCCTGGTTTTACAGCTAAATGTTTTTCTTTGGCCCAGCCCTGTTGAAGGTGCTCAAATCTTAGGCAAAATGACAACGTGAAAATTTACCTATAGTTTCAGCTATATCTTTTTGTGCTATATCTTTGCACGGTGTCAAGTGCCCTTGTTACTTTTAACTTCCAACTCCCTATAAAACAAGGAAGTTCAAATCATAAAACCCTACCTCATTATGGTGGGAAGGGGCTTCGGGATTTTGCTGGAGTGTCTGTTGTCAACTCCGTTTCACCATCACCTGCTTCTAGTCAGGAATTACATTTCCCAGCATCTCCTTCTCCACGAGGTCCCTGGTCAGAGTCAGCATCTCTTCCAATAACAGACATTCCTTTGAAGCTTGAAAGGTTGGAGAGGAGAGGCCATAATACTCAGGATTTTGGTTCCCCCAACTTTTCCAATAGTTGATATGCCTCTAATTCTCTGCATTAAAATCCTTCATACTTGAAATATGTAGAGTGGCTTCTATTTTCCTGATTGATCCCACACTGTGTAGTCATCACCTGATTCAACTACACAGGGTATGTGGGTCCACTTTGTGACACATCTGTTGAGTGTGCATTCAACCTGTTCTTAAACACTTAAAGAAATGGAGAAACTGCCAATTTCCAAAACAGTCCATTACAACATAGAACTGCACAGATTTTTAGTAAGCGGTATCATAACGTAGAGTAGAATGACCATGGGTGTTTTTTACTTAGAAAAGCCTGGTTTATATCATGTTTGCCTCTTATGAATGTGGGGAAAGTTGCTTATCAGCTTCAGTTTTCATTCTGTAAAGTGAGGGCAGTAATTGTACCTACCTTTCAGGGTTGTTACAAGGATTAAATGAGATGAGGTTCATAAGCCATCTTTTCCTTATACTAACTACAAATCAGCATCCATGTAACTTTCAACATTTGGGCCTAATTCTGTCCTCTGAAGCATGAAGATAGGGCTGCAACTGGCCCACAGAGCACCTTTGCAAGAACAAGAGAAAGGTGCACCGTTTGAGCTGACTCTGCCTGGGTTCGATGTATACGGCTTGATGAGCAGAACAAGAGTTGGATTCCAGTGCCTACTTACCCTTCGAGTGAGCACCTTTGACCACAGTTAGAATAACCATCCACTGTGTCACTGCAAGCAGTTTCAATATAATCTGCCAGGAAAATCCTTCCTATATTTAAGACTTCTCTCAACTCCTCGACTCCCCTTTTCTCCCATCTCCAAACCAAACATTACCAGCTGGATATGAGGAACACCTCATGGTGAAATAGTACACTCTTCGTTAAGGAATGATTCCAGAGGATGAGGAACTGGAAGACTAATTATACCAGCTAAAAGTCATTCACATTAAGGTGTCACCTTAATTGTGCATTTGCATTTTTAAATGTTACTGTGAAGGTTTATGCTCTTGTTAAAGATGGTTGGACATCAGTGAGAATGTGGGGAGGGACGTGTATGTGCCTCCTGCTGGGAAAGGGGAAGGTATGTGAAATCCTAACTTGGGCTGCCCAGCTGCACCCAAGGGCCTCTCTGGTGTCATCTCTAGGTCGACACACCAGGGGAGAGTGGGACCCAAGGTTGATTCTACTTCCCCTCCAGGCAGAGGACCCGCTCCTAATATTTGTGGGGACCAAGGCAAGAGAACAAATGGAGGCTTATAGATCTTATGTCTAAATATTTAGAAGTTATAAATAAAGGTAAAAAACTGTTAAATAAATTGTTGTCTCTTACCTTGACAAATATTCATAAGGACAAAATTGAGAAAATGTGTGTAAAGCTATGTTTTTTATGTGACTGGCAGTCAGCAAAATATCAAAGATGACTGAATTAATTATTATTGTGCATGTCTAGGTGCTCTGTTGATGAGCTGGTGACACTTGGATGCATAATAAAGCCATACATAATTCATTAGCTATTATATATATTACATAAAATTAATTTGTCTTGCCTTCATTTAAAAAACAATAACAAATTATATTGGTATAACCAAGATTTTCATATGTGTTCTATTGACATTAATGAAAATTAGCCAATATTTTTAAAGTCATTATAGTTCATACATATACTCAGTTCATTTCAACTTGGAGAAACTTCACTCTGCTAAGGCAGGGTCAACTGGAATTCTCAATAAAATTCTTAAACCAATACTGAAGTTAGGAAGTGAACTTTATATATGAATTTAATAATTATTCAAAAACTGTAATGCAGGCACATGTAACAAAGTAGGGTTATTGCAGAACATATAAACTATTTTAATATCAAATGCATTACTATTATTTTAACATAACTATGTTAAAGGAATATCTAGATATTAATACGTAAAGTGTTTCTTACGTTTTTAATTTCAAATTTTCCAATGTTGGGTCATTATAAAGGAATAAAAATTAGGGAAAAAGTTAGCATTGATTAACTTGTTCAAATTTCTCTTCAATTAGGACTGTACTCTGAGCCTGGGCAACATAGTGAGACCCTGTCTCTTAAAAAAAATAAAAATAAAAATAAGCCATTAGTTGGGCATGGTGACTCACTACCTATTGTCCCAGCTACTCAGGAGACTGAGATGAGAGGATCACTTGAGCCTGGGAGTTTGATGTTACAGTGCACTATGGTGGCACCATTGCCTCTAGCCTGAGTGTCAGAGCAAGGCCATGTCTCAAAAAAAAAAAAAAAGCCGAAGATTGTACCTTGTGTACTCTGATCTACAATGGCCAGAAACATGGTTCCTATTGAAATTATAAATTATTGGTAATTATTTATACATGAATAATCTCCTTAATAGGTAAACATTTTCATTTTCTTGCTCAAATGTCCTTACATTTTATTGGAACAATACTTTTGTTGCATATTTTGCAATAAATTTTGACTTAGAAAAAAACACTTTGCTAAAATTTTTTAAAATACTTTTTAGCCCTTTTAAAAATGAAATAGCCAAACTTAGATCTATTTGAAATTTTTTGTTAATTTTTTGGTAATATTATTAGTAACACGAAACAGTTCACTTCAAATAACTGTGGATAGCATCAATTAAAAATTAATTTTTCAGGCAGGGTGTGGTGGCTCACGCCTATAATCCCAGCACTTTGGGAGGCCGAGGTGGGTGGATAACCTGAGGTCAGAAGTTTGAGACCAGCCTGACCAATATGGTGAAACCCCGTCTCTACTAAAATTACAAAAATTAGCCAGGCGTGGTGACATGTGCCTGTAGACCCAGCTACTTGGGAGGCTGAGACAGAAGAATCACTTGAACCCTGGAGGCAGAGGTTGCAGTGAGCCAAGATAGTGCCACTGCACTCCAGCCTGGGTGACAGAGTGAGACTCTGTCTCTAAAAAAAAAAATTTAATTTTTCTCCAAAGATCTGACTTACGTTTTATTTGAAATTCTTCTGTTGCTTAATTAACTTTTGTGGCACGTCTTGTGTCTTATCTAAATTAAACTTAGTTGCTTAAACAGCATTTAAGCAGCATTTCTATCATATGTCCAAGAGTGATTTTAAAGTCATCACTTTGTTTCAATGAAGTAATTCATCTTCGGGACGATTCGGAAAATATTGTATTTCATCTTTGAATTGCTATTGAAACAAAAGGTTGACACCACATCTCCTAATAACAAATTCAAATGTGTGCTATACATGACAAATGCAATTTTTTTAAAAAATTGGCCAGTATCCTAGATGATAAATCTTTCTGTTTATTTATCACGTTGCAACCATTGTCTTAGATGCTGCCCTCAGAGAATTTTTAAACAGTTTAAATAAAGGTAGGTTTTAATTTAATTTTTAAAAAATTTAATTACATCTTATTAAACATTTGATAAAACTAAAATTACTTGCAATTCTAAGGTTCAGAATCTAGTCATTAATGCAAAGAATAAATATCATGCTTCCTGAAGGTTACATCCAGACTTACATATACAATTTTAAGAGAGATATAAATTATTGCAAAATATTCTTTTTCTACCCCATGCAACTGCAGCAAATACTGTGCTATCTCCTGAGTACCTTTGGAACCAAACTAGAATACAAAGAGAAGCAAGAAAATGGGTACTTGGTGCTATTGGGAAATGATACTTTATTATGAAAAGACCTGTAGCATTCACACTATCTGAGAGGAAGGATTTGACAAGTTAGTTTGTCTTTTCCCTTACCTGAGTGTTTCTACCACTCAAATCCTCCCTGCACCCCACGACACTGTCTGTCTTTTACACAGATGGTGGCACAAGCCAAAAACCCTTGCGGTTTCAGATGCTGTTTAGAGGACAACGGGGAAGAGATGTGCCTTTTTCTGGGTCTTGAACTGTGTTCCTCACAAGAGTGGGTCACCCTGTGTCAATACTGACCTCCCATGCCAATTGTCTTTAGTACATATTTTGCGTGTGTGTTTGTCATCTGTGCAGTCCCAAAGGGCAATACTACCAGCAAGCTCCCTTTTCTCTGTGGAGATCTGACCAAGTCTAGCTCATAGGAACTATCTGTATCTTATACCAGATCACGTGCCCCTAGACCTTCCTTGCCTGAAGGGGCCAAGTTTGGTCTCTTCATTTCCTTTCCGTATGCTCCAAGTCTTTTATTTGGAGGGTCTTTGAAGCTGTATTGGGCAAATATCCCTCTTTTACAGATGCTAAAATTGAGAGTCAGATAGCTAAAGCTACTAGAAGTTCCTCATTTGTACAGGGCAGACTAGAGCCCAAGTTTTCTCATTCTTACTGGTCAAGTGGAAGCAGTGACATCTTTTGCCCAAAGCAGTAAAATAACCTTTTATTTTTCCCCCAAACAAATGCTGCCATATCCCCTAAATAGAAAAACATCTATGTGAGCCTAACACACACATAGCATTGGCAACATCTTCAAAAGTCTAGGTGTGGATTTTAATATGATGAAGTTGAGTTTTACAGTTCACACAATTCCAGGTTTCATAGTGATAAGAAATGTGGATCAGAATTGTGCCTGCTGTGTGAAGGTGATGGCAATCAGGTCAGCCATCCAAGCAGGATACACTTGACAGACAGAGCTCCCATGCAGGTCCCCCAAATCCAAGCAACATGTGGCTCAGAGTTGCCAAAGACTGTGCTTTCCTTTCCTGGCCCTTCAATGATACATCTCCCCAATGCCTTCTCTGCATATTTTCTCTCTCAAATTCACGGAGGTTCTCATTAGGAGAGCAGAAAGGCCTTTCTTCTAGCACTACTCACTTCCCAATGACTCTTCTCACCTCCTCCCGCTACCCTCCACCACCAACCTCCAACCTCTCCCTTTTGTGTACATTTATGTCCCTTCTATTGCATAAGGTCTCTACTGCAGCATTTAGCTTTGCAGTATATACCTCAGACAACACTCCCTCATACCCCCTAAATTAGTCTCATCTCTACAATTAGATTTTAAGCATTTTAAGATCAAAGGTTTCGTTCACACTTTTATGTCACACATAGTACAGTGCTGAACACATATATGGGCTCAATCACATTTGTCAATTGATGGATTAAACAAGTAAATTTTTTTTTTTTTTTGAGACAGGTTCTCCCTCTGTCACCCAGGCTGGAGTGCAGAGGTGTAATCATAGCTCACTGCAGCCTGGACCGCCGAGGCTCAAGTGATCCTTCCACCTCAGCCTCCCGAGTAGCTGGGACCACAGGTGTGTGCCACCATGCCCGGCTACTTTTTTAATTTTGTAGAAACAGGGTCTCGCCATGTTGCCCAGGCTGGTCTCAAACTCTTGTGCTCAAGCAATCCTCCCGCCTCAGCTTCCCAAAGTGCTGGAAGTATAGGCATGAGCTACCGCACCAGCCTAAACAAATAATTCTTAAACTTTTTGGTGTTATTCCCTTTATACTCTTAAAAATTATTAAAACTTCAAAGAGATTTTGTTTGTGAGGGTTTATATCTATCAATATTTACTACATTAGAAACAAAAACTGAGAAAATCCTAAAATATCATTGCAAAACAAGGCAACAGAAGTGTACTTCTTGTCGTGTCTCTGCATAGTTGCAAGGAAAACATTGGGATTTTAAAACAATTTACTGGACAACATTGAGGTTACAGAGATTTTACCAAATATAATTGACAATAACTACTTACAGCCTAGGAAGTAGTGAGAATAACTGAGTTAATCTCAGAAAATGCACATTTTTGTATGCTAAATCTACCTTAGAAAATTGTAGAAAACACAAGGTCATACAAGCATCCATTTCATAAACTGTCAGGGCAATGACATCATCCCATAGATGCAGCCTCTGGAACACTACGCCACATACTCATGAAAGAATGAGAATGAAATCGGTAAGTAACATCTCAATAAAAAAAAAAATAGTTTGATCTCATGGATTTCCTGAAAGACTCTTGGGGACCCCCAGAGATTTCCAGACCAGACTTTGGAAACAAGTAAATTATAGTCTTGGTTAATAAGACAACTTAAAGATGCTTGTTACATAAAATTACTAGCAGGAAATTATAGGACAATTGGAATTCATTTTCTTGTGACTGGCATTCGTGTTAGTTATCTAATTGCTGTATTCGTTCTCTCACTGCATTAGTCATCTAATTACCCCTAAAGTTCATTCCTTAAAGCCATAAACATTTATTATCTCACAGTTTCTGTGGGTCAGGAATCCGGGTGTCACTTAGCTGTCTGTGCTGGTCAAGATGTCTCATGAGGTGGCATTAAGCTTCGGACCAGAACTGCATAGTCCCAACTTACAAAGAATCAGCTTCCAAGCTTGCTTATATGGTTATTGACGTACTATTGGACTGAGGCCTCAGTTTCTCACTGGCTGTTGGCTGGAGGTCCCCACCACACAGACCTCTCCATAAAGCAGCTTACAATGTGGCAACCGGCTTCCCTCAGAGCAAATGAGTGAGAGTGTAAGAAAGGAGTCCCAAGATGGAAGCCACAATCTTTTTGTAACCTAATTTGGTAAGTGATATCCATCTCCTTTGCTGTATTCTATTTGTTGGAAGCAAGTCAATAAGTCCAACCCAGTGCTCAAGGGGGGCTACCAAGGGTACAAATATCAAAGGCTAAGATCATTGAGTTGCGCCTTAGAGGCTGCCTACTATAGCATTTTTTTCTTGCAAAAAGAAAGGCATGATTCAGCAAATGATTGATAAGCCACAGACCAGTTCCTTGCATTATTCTGTTCTTTTTCTGCCTAGCTTCCTCTTGTCATCATACCATTCTTTTCTTCCTTGTAATACTGCTGTTACCAATTAAGTGGCTTCATGTTGGTGAGAAGAACCTAAGATATTTTAAGATTAGAACTTTATGGCTTTGGTTCATCTCATTTGAAATTTGTTGGATTGCTATCTTAATAAATATTTCTCGTCCATGGTCATGTCAGGCCACCAGTTGTCCTTCAAAACCCACCTTTTCCATATTTCTGGGCACATGGCCATCTAGCTAGCAATTAGGTCTCCCAGCCCTTTGACAGCTAGAAATGACCATGGGCCTAAAGTTTGGGCCAATGGGACATGAGAG
The DNA here is from genome assembly GCF_000001405.40 of Homo sapiens. Classification (NCBI taxonomy): domain Eukaryota; kingdom Metazoa; phylum Chordata; class Mammalia; order Primates; family Hominidae; genus Homo; species Homo sapiens. The sequence continues at coordinate 90,747,442 of NC_000001.11, forward strand.
AAAGAGATGTGTGCAACTTCTGTGTTCTCTCCAACTTAAGAAGGGGCCCATGTGCTGGATTTTGGCTCATCACCCTCTCTACCAGCTGGAAATGGTGACAACTTGAGCAGCCTTGGAAGCCATATGTTGGGGATGGCAGATCCACCCTGGCTTCATGGGACAGAGCTACCCGTTTAATCTGAATCAGTCAGATTGTTCCATGAGAGAAAAACAAATCTCTATCTTATCTAAGTCACTATCTGGAGGCCCTGTTTGTTATTAGCAGTTCAGCTTTTTCTCCGGCTGTTATACTTGACATAAACTAGACAAGGAACCCAAAGACAGAACTGTTTTACTCTCATTTAAAGTACTGCTTTAGTTGATAGTGGGGGAGGTTATGTGTGTGTGTAAGAGGATGGGGGTGTGTGGGAATGCTATTTGAAAATAGCATTTTCAAATTCGCTGTGAACCTAAAACAGCTCTAAAAAATAATGTTTAATTTGAAACAAAACAAAACACTGTTTTTTACTTAGCAAATAGTAAATATTTTATTGATTCATTCATTGACATCATTCAATAAGTATATAAGCACCTACTACTATGTGCCAAATACACCGGGGACATAGTGGTAAACACCATGCTCACATTCTTTATTTTCATGGAACTTTCTCTTTAGGGAAAACAAAGCTAAATAAGCAATTACACATGCAATTAATTAATTGCAATTATGGTAAATGACAAGAAGGAAATATAGAGTGCTATGTGGGTATATAAAGAGAAGCCCTGACCTATAAAACTCTAATAGAGATCATGTATTTTTAAAAAAACAAAAGAATAAATGCTTAATGAAAATAATTTCAGATTGTAATACATTTTAATTTCTTGAAAGAGATTCTCTAAGCAGTAAAAAATAAAAGTTGATATGTGACATTAGCCTCTTTCCTCACCTGTAAAGTTGAGATAAAGGTTTCTCTTCCTATTTCCCTATCTCCATACCAGTTCTTCACATGTATAGCATTTTCCAATAACTCTTACGGTGCTGAATCTAGACAAAATAGACTGACCCCAAGAATAATCTGAATATGTGTGGAAAGGGACACGTGTATCTGTGTTTCAATGAGACAAAATGGGCCTGAAGGAGAAACCAGGCTCAAACCTAGGAGAGATGAGTTCGAGGTTGATTTGATATTTCATTTTTTGGTGTTGATTTGTTTTATTTTATTTTATGATTTTTAAAGCACAATCTCTGCCCTTCTAACACTTTGCTAATGTACTGACAACTAAAAAGTTAGTTTGTAAAGTGCTTTGGGCCCCTTGGTGGTTAGATAGGCACTAAATCATACATCAGAGAGAAGGCCTCCTGAAGATGAGGACTTGGAACAGTTGAGGTTTCTGTTTGCTGTGACACCAATTGTCCCTTTGCTCCTCTGTAATTCTTTCCCTGTAGAGATAACATGGGAAGCAGGCTGGAAAGTAAATAGAGAAAACTCAAAGCTTTGTACTCATGAGGAATCAGAGGTAGTATTGTGTAGTCAATCAATAAGCACACAGACACTACCCCCAGCCTCCTTGGCTCAAACCCTGGCTCAGACACTTATCAGCTGTGTGAATTTGTTTTATTTTTTTTTTTTCCTTCCCATTTCTTAAGGAGTACAAGCTGTGTGAATTTGAAAGTCACTTAACTTCTCTGTTCTTCAGTTTCCTCATCTGTAAAACACAGGAAATAATAGCATTGACCTTATCAGGTTCTTGTGAGAATTAACTGTGTTTTAGTCCATGTCACATCCTTAGAATAGGGCCTGCATATGACACGTGTTTGTTATTAGCTATTATTATTAATCATAATTGGATGATTTTTTTGTTTACAGTAGTTAGAAAATTTTAAGTTAGATTAATTTATCAACAAAGTGGGAGAGGGTGGAAGAGGCCACACACAGAGGTTAAAAAAAAAAAAGTGCAGAAAACTGTTCTTTGAATAATTAGGTGTTTTGTTCTCAGAAAACTCAGTTTGTTTCATAAAAGACCCCAAAACTCTGCCTGGCTTTGCCCTTTCCTGGTTAGAAAAATTAAAGAAAAATGTCACTCTTTGTTTCCGGCTCTTTGTCTTGGTTGAATTTGGACCCCTAAATACAAAGTACAGCTGTGATCCAAGTAAGTTTTTCCACCAAAGCCTACACTCCACTTGCAAATACATCCTTCCTAGTCCATTGTTTTTCCTTCCTCGTTGGAAAGAATTTAAAATCTCATCAAAAGTACCAGGCTTTCCCAGCAAGTCACACATCCCCAAAGCCAGGTTCAATCACACCTCTCGGCAAAAAAGAACCCACTCTGGAAAGAGAGGGACAGCAGCTCCTCAGCACTGCGTAAATTAATATCACAGCTGCCACTTTCATAAGAAAATCAAAACCAGCTTTTCGGTTTGTAAACATACACTTCACAGACCCACTGTAGGATAGAATGCTCCTAAGTATTCTGAATTTGCAACACCCAGAAAAACCTCCAGAGTGTTATTTATAGTATTTGCTTCATAGGGAGGAGAATTAATGTTTCAGTGGTTTAAGGAACAAACACAGACATAGGAAAGAAAGCAAGCAAATTATTTAATGATTACTTTTTAAAAATATGTCACTGTGGAGAAAAGTGTTTAGAGATATATTCAAGGCCCATGTCACTGTATGACACTTCTTCATTATCACTTCAATAGCAGTGAATCCAGGGGGTGGGAGCACAAATTCTTGCTATTTGTGTCTTCCATGTAACACTTCATACAAAAAATAATGACTTTAGTCCTTTAAGCCCCACCCCAATATTTTAGAAAATATTATGTTCTTGCCTTAAAACAGTGCTTTTGTGCATCTCAAACATTTGATGCACTGTTTGCAGCAGTAATATTGAATGAGCATTTAATTGTGTTTCACCATTCTTAATGATGATCAATAATATGTTCTTCCCATATTCCACCTTAAAAAAAAAAAAAACACTTACAATGGGATAAAATAAAAACACATCAACGGAAAGATTGTCTTCAGTTGGCAATGCTGGGTGAATTTTAAATTTCCCTTTTCACAATGCAGCCATTGCTATGAAACTCTGAGGGCGGATTAATGCTTTTCTGGTACTTCAATGTATCAGAACATGGATTTGCCGACAACAGCTGCAGCAAATTCCCCTGACTGAGAAGAATTACAAGTATTATCACCTAGATCATTAAACTGGGTTCATAGATTGCAGAATGTCTTCAATCAATTCATCTAAGATAACTTGAAGCCAGCTGGACCCCCTCAGTGAGAACTTGACTTAATTGGCCAATAAGTGGCTGAAAAAGGTGCATGCTATTTGATAAAATTACCGAGTGAGCAAGTGGTTACAGTTTGGAGAAGCACCGACGGTAGACTGCAGGTCAGCCCTTTCGGGGAGGGCTAAGTTAATGTCCACTATTAAGTGCTGCTGTGAAAAATGGTGGCTTGCATGGAGCTCAGATGGAAAAGAGGATCCAGGTCAGGCTTCAGCTGATGGAGTGGGCAAGAGGCACACATTTATCATCTCTTTGGCCTCATTTCTGCCTTGGTAATAGTCCCACACTAACCACTCTGCCGTTGCCTGGTTTTCTGTCTCCCTTCCATTTTATTGGCATAACTAAAAATATTGTCCTAGCCAATGAATCCATCTGGAAGGAAAAACCACTTTTTCCTCAATAGTGTCCCAAGGGTCTTTTCCACAGGAAGGTTAAAGAATCAAGAAGAACACGCCATTTATACATACATATCGATAATTATTCTCTTCCTCTAGTGAGGAGAGTGAAGTATTATTATTTGCCTATGGCATGTGTCTACATATTACCAGAGGAGTTTAAGAAAATGGGTAAATCAAAAGTAAAATATGTTACCAGCCTGTTGGCAAAAAATATTAAGTAAAAACAACCCTTCATGTTGAAACAAAGGTTTCTTAACATTTCTTCCATGGCATTTTTTTTCCTGCCACTAAACGTTTTAGCCAGTTTGCAAAAAAATAAAACTTTTGACAGATTTAGTTCAAGATTTCAGGTTAACAGACCTGCAACAACACATTGTCACTTGAATTATTGGTGTTAGACAATAATGCAGTATTATGCAGGGGAAGTCCCAAGATGAAGGTTCCAGTACACAGTGTACTCATTTATTCTTATCCAGAAATCGACCTGTTTCATGGATTTTTACTAAACAACGTAATTTTACTACATAATAAACAGCATTGGGGTTTTCCACAAGCAGAAAGATGGAAAATAATTCAAACTGCCTAAGCTATCACACATATTTTAAATCTGCCTGGTCTTCATAAGATAAATGAGTTCATCAGCTTGCAAATGCCAGTTGCATCGCTAGTATCCCTTCAATTCTATTTGTTAACTTACTTTTGGAAGTAAGATCAATGGTTCTGAGCTTTGGTTTCCTCATTAGTGTGTCATTTGGGCAGACATACTATGTACTACGGAAGAAGTTGGCCTGCTCCACTCTGGCGCCACAGGCCTTCTTTCCAAGTGGGAAATATACGCACACCTTGGAGCCTCTGCACCTACTCTTCTCTCTACCTGGAAAACTCTTCCTCCAGTCTTCAGGCATGTGTTCATATGTCACAGACAGACCTTCCCAGGCAGTCTATGTAAAATGGCTACTCACCAACTTTCCCTGTTTCTTGCCCTGTTTCACCACTATTGATGTCATATCATACATTTAGATTCTTATTTTATATCTGCATCACTAGAATATGAGCTCTGTAAAGATCAGGTCATAGTTGGTCTTGTTCATATCTATATCCCCAGATTATATGCTCAATATACATGAATGAGTGAATATCTTATCCAAGAGTCACCAAGAATGAAATCCGTAGGTTACCATAAAGACAAGCCAACACATGCTCACCAGAGGCATTCCCAAGTAAAAATTTCTTGTTAGATACCAAGGTAGTTCGAGATCATGTCTAGTATGATTTCATTGCTGTGCAGCTCATCACCCTTCTCAAGATCCACATGTCCCCCAGGGCCCTGCCACAGTCTGGTTTATTTCTCCTTGAAGCCTTTTCCCACTGCTCTTGCCTTTCGTCTCTCCATGCTGTCCCAGCCCTCTCGTTTGTCATTGCTCCTCCTCTGGCTCCATCTTTCATCAGGCTTGCTCTTCATTTTTCTTTATAGTTTCATGTCCCCATATCATTTTCCCAGTTAATTGAAGACAAGAAATAGGCTCATTGAAGGCAAGAAATGGGTTCCAGATAATCTTTCTCAGTCCTCATTGTTTCAGTCTTATAAAAGGTACATAGTAAACACGTGTAAAATTGGAAGGTTTTCAAACAGAAGCCATTGATTTGCATGGCAAAAGCAGCTAACATTTACCTACAGCCTAGTCAGCCAGGCAATGTGCATCCCATTTATGGAATAAAACAATGTCATTTAATCCTCCCAGCCACCATAGAGGTAGTTACTATTGTTGCCTCCACCTTACAAATGAGGAACACAAGACCTAGAGAAGTAAAGTGTTTGGATCGGGTGCCATGAAGATGTGGCGTGCACCTGGACTCAAACAAACCCTGGTCTTTCTGCCCCAGAGTCTGAGCTCTTAAGCGTGTTGTTCTGTTGCATTTGCGACTTGCAGGCTTTAGGCTTCTCTGTGAATGCATCTTTACTTAGGTCCCAGATCTTTCAAGGACAAATTGAAAGTCAAACATATTCTGCAAGTATATGTTTTAAGTTGTCTTATTTTTATCATAGCCATGAACTATTTCCAACTAATGAGAAAGCAAGTCGTTTTCAACACAGCAGCTTAGAAATCAACATCTTATGAAACCTCAATCTGCACTGATTTTCTAAATAGCAGAATTTCACCTCCACACCACCAATCTCCTGCTTCTAAAATATTTCTTCAGAGTGATATCAAAGAAAAATAAGGCAGGAGGTAGGGAATCATCTTCACAAGCTTTTTGATGACCACATTGTTGCTCTATCAGCTGTTTGAAATGGAAATCACCTTCCAGGTGGGAAAGCGAAGTGGAGGTTATAATTTCCACCTCCCATGGTTTATTCCTAGAGTATTTTAGTGAAGAGTTAAATCAGAGAGCACTGGACTGGTGCACACATTTTTCTGTTACCCTGAGATCTTTTGGGTGAAAGGGCAGCACTGAATTAAGCATTTAGTGTATTCAAAATCTGTGACCCAGAGCTGGTGTCTGAAAGTGTCATTGATAATAGGGCTGGAAGCACATTATACTTTCCTGGTACTTATCTTATCTTGCCTCAGACAATCTACTCCAGAAGTCATAATTATCCCACTAGGAAAACTGTCCCATTGTCTGCTAGTCTTTACTGGCAGGAAGTTTTTCTTGCTCTCTCCATCTGTATCCTTTCTCAGCAGGACCCATTATTTCTCATTTAATTAGTAGCACTTGATATAAACAGCCCTTTCCTCTCCATTTATGTTGTTTTCATTTAAATCATTACAAAGTGCGATGTTCCCACTCCCTATAGGCACATGTTTTATAGGCTGAGAAAGAGGATTGCAAGCCACAGGCTTCAGTTAATCTTTCAAGCATGACTCCACCTTTTTCAAATGACCAAGACAGATACCTTTGTGCTAATGATGGACCTTCAGGAACATGGGCAATTACCCTGTTTCCTCTAGGAATGGATATAGATAGGAAGTGGCTGGCAGGCAGATGGAGCAAGCTACCCAAACCACCCAATGACACAGTTGTTGATGTGGTCTACTGGAACATCTGCTCTGGGCAGGACATCAGGCAGGTGCTATAGATACAAGGGTGGATAAGATGCAGGACTTCCCTCATGGGGCTTGCAGTCTTACAATCTAGACACCACTACAGAAGAGAGGCTTGGGTCAAGGCTCTTGGACAGTGCTCAAAATTTATGTGCATATGAAATTATGGGAGATTTTGTTAAAAGACAGATTCTGATTCAGTAGATCTGGGTGGGGCCTTCTTGTTTTAATTTTTAATTATTATGGATATGTAATAGTTGTACATATGATACATGTGATATTTAATACAAGCATACAACATGTAATGATCAAATTAGCATAATTGGGGTATCCATCACATCAAGCATATACCCTTTCTTTGTGTTAGGAACTTTCCAATTCCACTTTTTTTGTTATTTTAAATTATGCAATAAACTATTGTTAACTATAGTCTCCCTATTATGCTACTGGACACTAGGTCTTATTCCTTCCTAACTGTAATTTTGTACTCATTAACCATTGCTCTTTATCCTCTCTCTCCACCACCTTTCCTAGTTCCTGAGAGGTAACCATCATTCTACTCTCTGACTCCATGAGTTCGATTTTTTAAATCTCCCACATATTAATGAGAACATGGGATATTTGTCTTTGTGTGTCTGGTTTATTTCATTTAATATAGTGTCTTCCAGTTCCATCCCTGCTGTTGAAAATGACAGGATTCCATTCTTTTTTACAGCTGAATAGTAGAAAATACGGTACATGGATGATTTCCTTTTTTTTCTGGTATGTCAGATTTCACAGCCTTTTATTTTCCTATTACATTTTAGAGTCTGCATTTCTAACACACTCCCAGGTGACATGATGCTGATGTTGCTGCCCCAAAGACCACAGCTTGAGTAGCAAAGGGTCTAGAGAGTGAGATCGAGACTCATCTCGGCATCTTGGCTGCCAAGTGAACGTTTTGCATTTGGGCAGTTTCCTTAGAAAAGTGAAGTTTTACCATCTGGCAAATGGGGCTCTAATATCATGCCGCCAAGTTTTTGTGAAGCCAAATAAGTGTAAAAACATTTGATAAATTTCTATGTGCTGTACATATCTATAGTATTACAAGGAAATTATATTATTGCACTCTGCATTTTTGAACATTTTCAACATTTTTTAATTTTTATTTATTTATGTATGTATTTTTGAGACAGAGTCTCACTCTGTCGCCCAGGATGGAGTGCAGTGGCGCAATCTTGGCTCATTGCAACCTCTGCCTCCTGGGTTCAGGCGATTCTCCTGCCTCAGCCTCCCGAGCAGCTGGGATTACAGGTGCCCGCCATCACACCCGGCTAATTTTTGTATCTTTAGTAGAGACGGGGTTTCACCATGTTGGCCAGGTTGGTCTCAAACTCCTGACCTCAGGTGATCCGCCCGCCTCGGCCTCCCAAAGTGCTGGGGTTACAGGTGTGAGCCACTGCAATCAGCTAAACATGCAGTATCTTTAACCAAAATCTGATGTTACATTGTTTTGAGGTGATCACTTCCATGTCTCTTAAACCGGACTTTCAAAGCAAATGTCTTTAACTTTAAGACCAGGGGAGTTGTGTTTCCAAGTTAGAATGCCATAGGAAAAGCACATTTCTATGGTTAAAGCACCAGCACATTTTGACTTCACTGTGAAACATCATGGGCACCAGGCACCACCATAAAATGGTCTTTGGATGGAACTTGAATTTTTTGATACTTTTATTAAAAAGGACTAGGACATCTATTTGGCTGGGAAATATTGATATTGGGGATAATTTTAAGTACATTAAAATTATGTACTTAAAGTACTTTAAGTACATTAAAGTAAATTAAAAAATGTGGGCACGGTTGCTCACACCTATAATCCTAACACTTGGGGAGGCCAAGGCAGGAGGATCACTTGAGGTCAGGAGTTAGAGACCAGCCTGGCCAACGTGGTGAAACCCCATCTCTACCAAAAATACAAAAATTGGTCGGGCATGGTAGTGGGTGTTTGTAATCCCAGCTACTCAGGAGGCTGAGGCAGGAGAATTGCTTGAACTCAGGAGGCGGAGGTTGCAGTGAGCCGAGATCGCACCACTACACTCCAGCCTGGGTGACAGAATGAGACTGCATCTCAAAATAATAATAATAATAATAATAATAATAATAATAATAATACATTTTAAAGCCTTGGGTTTCTCTGTTATTCAGTGAGGTTATAGGCAAGGGTTTTGGTTTGCAACATATCAGCAGTATAACCTAGGGCAAGTTACTTATCCTCTCTAAGTTTCCTATACTGCAAAATGGGCATGATAACACTTCCTAATTAAGGATGTTATGAAGATTAAATAAACCAATGCATTAAGGGACTGAGGTACATAGCAAACTAATATCAATGCCTACTTCTCTTTACCAGTGTTTGGAAGAACTAAATCTGGCCTTTTTCTGAGTCAACTGGGATCTTACACACATTCTGGCTCCTCCTTTAGCCAAATGCCCTGTCCTGGGCCCATTCCCCCTTCTTCTGTGGGTTCCCATTTAGATTGCATGCTGATATTTTAAAAAACCAAGGATATTCCTTTTTTTTTAGTAAGAAAATAAAGATTTAATAATTCATATTCATTATGATTGCAGTGTTTTCCCAAATTGTTTCTCATGTGGTAAAATACATATAACAAATTACCACTTTAGCCATTTTTAAGCATACAGGTTAGTGGTATTAAATACATTCATAATATTATGTGACCATCACCACCATCCATCTCCAAAGCTCTTTTCCTCTTGTTAAATTGAAACTCTGTACCCATTTAACAATAACTCCTCATTTCTCCCTCCCCCAGACCTGGCAACCATCATTTTACTTTCTATCTCTCTGATTTTCACTGCTCGAAGTACCTCATATAATTGGAATCATACAGCATATGTCTTTTTGTGACTGGCTTATTTTACTTAGTGTAAAGTCATCTGAGTTCATCCACGTTGTAGTACGTGTCAAAACTTTCTTCATTTTTAAGGCTGAATAAGATTCCATTGCAGGCTGGGCGCAGTGACTCATGCCTGTAATCTCAGCACTTTGGGAGGCCGAGATGGGAGGATCACCTGAGGTCAGGAGTTCAAGACCAGCCTGGCCAACAGGGTGAAACCCCGTCTCTGTTAAAAATACAAAAATTAGCTGGATGCAATAGCGCGTGCCTGTAATCCCAGCTACTTGGAAGGCTGAGGCATGAGAATACCTTAAACTCAGGAGGCAGAGTTTGCAGTGAGCCGAGATCGCACCTCTGCACTCCAGCCTGGGAGACAGAGCGAGACTCCATCTCAAAAAAAAAAAAAAAAAAAAAAGATTCCATTGCATGTACAAACCACATTTTGCTTATCCATTCATCTATCAATGGACACTTGGTGATATGGTTTGGGCTGTGTCCCCAACCAAATCTCATCTTTAACTGTAGCTCCCATAATCCCCATGTGTCATGGGAGGGACCAGGTGGGAGGTATTTGAATCATGGAGGTGGATTTTCCCATGCTGTTCTCGTGATAGTGAATAAATCTCACAAGATCTGATGGTTTTATAAAGGGCAACTCCCCTGCAAATGCTCTCTGGCCTGCCGCCATGTAAGGGGTGCCTTTGCTCCTCCTTTGCCTTCCACCACGATTGTGAGGCCTCCCCAGCCATGTGGAACTGTGAGTCCATTAAACGTCTTTTTCTTTATAAATTACCCAGTCTTGGTTATGTCTTTATTAGCAGTGTGAGAACAGACTAATACACTTGAGTTGCTCCCACATTTTAGCTATTGTGTATAATACTGCTGGGAACATGGGTGTATACATATCTCTTTGAGACCCTGAACCAGGCTTATTTGAAACCTCAATCTTGAAGAAACTGATCTGGCTAAGAATGAAGATTATTTGTAGTATCCAGAGCTACACTGTCCATGTGAAAAACTAGTATGAAGATGGAGAAGGGGAAAAAACAAGCTATCGAAACTGTTGAGCATATTACATATTGGGCACTAGGCTGAACACCATACAAACATTACCTGTGCCCTCAGCTCCACTTTCCAGATGAGGAAACCGAGGTTCAATGATGATACGCAACTTAGCCAAGAGCCATGGACGATAATATTTGAACTCACCCACTTAACTCCAAGGTCTGTGATTTCAAAAACAGTTTCATATGCCTTGGTCATGTGATGCTACCTGCCTGTGAAGGAGAAGTATCTGTACCCTGCTCCTGCTGCCACTTTGTGCCCAACACACCCTAAGAGGACACCAAGGTCAAAGAGGTCTGCGAGTATCTACTGCTTCAGTGCCCACCGGTCAGCATGGAGATGGATTAGTTTGTCACTGTGTCTTACCTGTCTGTTGTAGGTCAGGGTTCCCCAGGAAAAAGACTCTGAGATTTGTGCATAAGAGATTCATCAGGAAGTGCTCTATGGAACAATATCTGTGAGGAATGAGGGATGCAGGAGAAACACCTCACCCAATCCCACAGGGCACTCTGATACCAGGATGGCCCTTGTGAATTATACCACCTTGAGGCAAGGGAGGAGGCAGACTTTTTTTGAGACAGGATCATGCTCTGTTGGCCACGCTGCAGTTCAATGATGTGATCATGGCTCACTGCAGCCTCAACCTCCTGGGCTCAAGTGATCCTCCCACCTCTGCCTCCTGAGTAGCTGGAACTACAGACATACACCACCACACCCAGCTAATTTAAAAAAATTTTTTTTGTAGAGGCGGGGTCTTGCTATGTTGCCTAGGCTGCACAGACTGTTAATCTCTCCTATTGACCATATTTCTGCAGGATGCTTGTGGTTGGGGATGGGGGCATGATTTTAATAACCCAAGGAGAGTGACTTAGCTGAGAGCCATCAGCCATCAAGAACTAGAGGGATGAGTGTGTCAGTCTAAGGGGAACTGGGTGGTCACTACAGCATTCACTATAATAGTCCCTTGCTTCTTGCCCCCTCCTCCTTCCTGGGCATTCTGTCCCATGCAAAGAGGTTAATTCTAGAGATTGGGAATGGGGGGATGGCAGTAATCACATCTCCTGGGATGTTACAAGCTGCATTCAGTCCTGTTCCTATCTGATAAATTATGTGATGGAGGTGGGGACAGGGGAATGGTACCCAGACTCCTGCCAGCTTGGTTGCAGCAGCACAGAAGCACATCTAATCCCAAAGCACCACACTTTGGGCGTTTTATTTGCATCCCTGGGATTTTTCAGTTTAAAAAAAAAAATTCCCTATGTGAGAAAAAAAAGGAGCCAGAAAATAGTCTAAAAGCACATTACCAGGAAATTGTTTCTACTGTGTTTATGACTGTTCTTAATGTTTTATGAATATGCTAAAAAAAATGCTCCGGCATATTTCCTTGGGCACTCTAGTTAATTACTTATTCTGAGTGCTTCTACTCCATTCCCTGCAAAATGTGTTGTGCATTAATTCTGATTATGTACAAAAACCCACCTGCAAGGAAAAACTCTGAATCAGTAATGCTGATAAAATGAGCAGCCCTCCTGGGGCTCCACTGAGAAGGAGGATACTGGACAGAATTAGAATCTTGTAGCTAGGGCTATTCATAATGTCATTAACATAAAGGCAATTAAATGAGTTTTTAACCTACAACCCTTTATTGTTATTAATGAACATTAGAAAAACACAGGAGATAAAATTGGTAATTATCTCTGCACCAAGCTATGCAATAATGTGTTTAAATATAAAAACAAAACAAATGATTATTGTTAGTATTTTCAGTAGCAGAAACCCCAGGAGCAGCTCCATCATATTTAATCACATGGGCCCACACCAAGAGGGTTAATTAAAAGAGGGTTTTTCCTTCTATGTGCCTGGTTGTTCAGTTTAATATGGAATCAGCAAACGTAAATGTAAATTTGCAAAATGTCCTGAGCAGTTGTTTCTGCCTGCAGGTTAACCACCTTTACAGAAACACTGACTAATTCCTCCTCCTTCAGGACAATGGTCTATGGCTCTGTAACTAAGTTTTTCCTTTCTGAAAAAATTACCTCACAACACTTTCAAAGCCCCTTTCAAGAACAACTGTATAAATCCAGGTTCATTGCCTAAGCTTGCTGTTCAATAAAAATAATTTAAGCATTTGAAGAGACATGTAGATTTAAAAAGTAATAATAAATGAGATCTCATCACTATGCCATATTCAAAGAGCCTCCAATTTATTTTTTTTCTTTCTTTATGCAAACTCTACAGCCTATAAATAAGCCCCCCTAGATAGAGCTTGTTTATGAGGATACAGCAGGTAATGTATGGTGGAACACCCTGCATCTAATAATAGTTTTCCATTGATTAATGCAGTTTGTATAGCTTACAATTGAAAATGTTAGTATCACATCCCTTAAAATTTGTTCCAAACTGGCTTTGTTTCCAAAGCCCATTTTTAAGATGATGCATACTTCTAATTTGTCTTTACAGTGGAGCTCAGGGCAAACAATGCCACACAAATGTGACCCTTGGAAACAGATTTTGAACAACTGCCATGGGGCAAAGCTAGTGCTTTTTGTGTTCACTTGATTTTTCTCATATATCCAATTCTACAAAATAATATAATAACTGCTGCTTATCTTTTTTAAAAATAAAATAACTGTAGCAACAACAGATTACATTTGCATATTACTTTACAGTTTACAGAACACTTTGAATAACTGAGAGATACGGAGATGAAAATTATGACAACCCACATTCACTTTCATATTTCATAGGCCTCCTCTATCTCATACATTGTATTACATAGATCGAGCTTCCCTACCTATATGCAAACCCCTTAAGGGTTGAAAGTGAGCCACAAGTGCCAGGATCAGAATTTAGGTATGGGAAATAAAGGGGAGCAATTTTCTTTTTTAAAAGAAGTTGATTACGCCACCCAAAGCTGCTGGGGCTCAGAATTTAAGGCCAAGGATGAATCCCACCTGGCCAACTATCTGATAGATCATTAGAGGTAAAGTCAAGTTAATCAGCAACAGCATTGACGAGGCACAAGGTGAGCCCCTCAATTCTCTCCCAATCTGCATTTTAGAAGGAAGGAGATACCAGTGTCTGGGGCAGTGGAGTGAGGCAGAGCAGCAGGAATTGCTATAAGGTGCCACTCCCTTCCGTACCAGCTTGGTGCGCTGTGTCCTGGCTGGACTGAGGGAGCAACGCTGCAGGCAGCCCCAGGAGCACACACAGCTGCCCGGTCTGTTCTACATGGACCCATTGCCAGTGTCAGATAAGTCCACAGTAGTGCTTTTACCTTCTCAGTTCCAGATTATGGTTCTCATAAAAGGCCAAGACACGTTCTCTGTCTGTAGTCACCCTTTGGCCACTGCCCTGAGCTGGGATCAAGTCACGACACATGGTGCTTCCCTGGGATCTAGGAAAGTCAGGCTGCGAGCAGGGGCCTTGACAGGATGGGTCTCTGTTTATGAAATATCTTTGTGCTGAAACTGTACTTTTAGATGTAGAGCAAGAGGTAAGTGACTTTTCGCTGTAAACTGAGAAAGGTTTCTTCGAACACACGGAGCTTTGGCGTAGGGGGTGGAAGGGGAGAAGTATTCATTAAAGCCATTTGCATTTTCAAGTTCCATTATTCCTGATCCTTCAGAACATGCTGCCCGGCTGGTGCCTCTGCCATGTGGCAGACGCAAGCTCAAGGTCAACCTCCGGCTGTTAGCCAAACAATTGGGATCCGCAGAACACTAAACTTCCCCCTTTCTTGTCACCCTCCCTGGCTATTAACCACCCCTAGGGCACCCTCAGGGGCCGCAAATTTTCTCCTGGCGCCTCCTCTGACTTGTGAAAATTCTAGAGGCCTGTGAGGTGAATGAAGAGCAAGCACAGGGCCATATGCAGGGCCTTTGATGATCTGACATCAGACAGCCGAGGGAGGAGGGACGGTGGCTGGGTGGCTGCTGTATTGTCCACCCTTTGATTTGACTCATTCTGGCTGCCCTGCATGGCTGCTGCCAGTGGGCTGGCCAGAGAGAAGGTGGCCAAACAGCAGAACAATGGCACAGCCTTTCACAGCTGGAAAATCATTTTTTAAAGACCTCCAGGAGGCACCAGTTGGTCCTGGCAGCTGATATTTGATCTAGGGAGTGTGGAGCAGCTGATGCCAAAGTAGGAGTCTCCGGCCCCATTCCAACTGCAGGCTGGCTATGGAGCTGCTCGTTCACTCACCTTCCTTCTGCACCGAAAAAGCCTGGGGCATATCTCCATGCTACATCTCCTGTATTCAAAGACAGAGTCACCTGAGCTCTTCTACCCCTCCCTCCCCAGCCCAACACACACTCATTTTTCACCAAGCTCTCAGAAAGAAAAACAATAAACGCTATTCATAAGACAGATTTCTGCAAGAAAGAATGTCAATTTCACATTCCAGATACTCCGAGAAACAGGAAAATTCTTTGCAAGTGGTCCTGCTTGGACAATTTTGATAGGCTATTTATCTATGCCCATGAGAGTGACACTCATTCACTTAAAAGTGACAGTTGCTTTTAAAAAAATACTAGTTTGATTACAATTTGTCTGGAGTCAGTGCAATTTGGTCTAAGTTTAAATGACTACAATTAAGAGTGTATTATATTTAGAGTAATCATATAGTTAATCATCCAAACTATGACATTTTTTATTTTTTATTTTATTTTATTGAGACGGAGTCTCACTCTGTTGCCCAGATTGGAGTGCAGTGGTGTGATCTTGGCTCACTGCAACCTCCATCTCCTGGTTTCAAGTGATTCTCCTGCCTCAGCCTCCCGAGTAGCTGGGATTACAGGCACCCACTATCACGCCCGGGTAATTTTTGTATTTTTAGTAAAGACAGGGTTTCACCATGTTGGCCAGGCTGGTCTCAAATTCCTGACCTCAAGTGATCCACCCACTTCGGTCTGCCAAAGCGCTGGGATTACAGGTGTGAGCCACTGCGCCCTGCCCAAACTATGACAATTTTTAGAGTGAAAGGGGACTATTATTAACTCTAAAACTGGCATAAACTGCATTGTGTACTAGTGAAACTGGGATTTCTGCATCTTCCTATTGTTTTCACATCATCCTCACAATATCCTTTTCAGAGTAAAGAGTCCAGAAACCACAGAGGACAAATCTACTTTCTATTATTAGTCTGATCTTCTCACTTTTAAAAGGGAGAAACACTTGAAGTCTCAAACCACACATCTAACCACTACATAGCAAAATGGGAACAAGCATAAAACTCACATTGTCAGGTTTTGGAAAAAGGACTGAATTTGGAGTCCGGATGTGTAATTTAAATCCTAGTGTTATGAAAACAGGTCGCAATCCAGACCCCAAGAGAGGGTTCTTGGACCTCGCACAAGAAAGAATCTGGGGCAAGTCCATATAGTAAAGTGAAGGCAAGTTTATTAAGAAAGTAAAAGAATAAAAGAATGGCTACTCCATAGGCAGAGCAGCGATGTGGGCTGCTCAACTGAATATACTTATAGTTATTTCTTGATTATATGCTAAACAGGGGGTGGACTACTCATGAGTTTTCTAGGAAGGGGTGGGGATTTCCCTGGAACTGAGGATTCCTCCTCCTTTTAGACCATATACGGTAACTTCCTGACATTGCCATGACATTTGTAAATTGTCATGGTGCTGGTGGGAGTGTCTTAGCATGTTAATGCATTATAATTAGCATATAATGATCAGCCAGGACGACTAGAAGTCACATTCTTTTTTTTTTATTATTTTATTTATTCATTTATTATTTATTTATTTGAGACAGGGTCTTACTCTGTTGCCCAGGCTGGAGTGCAGTGGCACAATCTCGGCTCTCTGCAACCTCCATCTCCCGGGTTCAAGCAATTCTTCTGCCTCAGCCTCCCAAGTAACTGGGATTATAGGCACTTGCCACCACGCCCAGCTAACAGAAGTCACTTTCATTGCCGTCTTGATTTTGGTGAGTTTTGGCCAGCTTTTTTACCACATCCTGTTTTATCAGCAGGGTCTTTGTGATCTGTATCTTGTGCCAACCTCCTATCTCATCTTGTGACTAAGAATGCCTGACCTTTTGGGAAGGCAGCCCAGTAGGTCTCATCTTCATTTTACCCAGCCTGTATTCACGATGGAGTCGCTCTGATTTGAATGCCTCTGACACTAGCTCAGCTGCTCCTGATGCTGCTATAACATCTATTACTACTACTATTACCCCTGGTAGTAGTACTATTACTACTAATGCTACTATTACTCCTACTGTTACTATTTCTACTAAGAGCTACTATTTATTGAACACTTACTGTGTACCAGGCACTGTGTTAATTGAAAACCTGTGCAGAGCCTCATAATAGTCTCAATAAGGAGGTTAAACAGGGGTTTACCATATGATAATTAGGTACCTTATAGGCACAATAATCTATGATGTAAGTATTGTTATCATTCTCATTTAAGAGAGGAGGAAACTGAGCCTCTGGAAAGTTGAGTAGGTCTGATACAAAGCTCACATTCTTGACCACTATACCACATTGCTACAAAGAGCTTGCCACCTCTTCTTCCGGCTCCCCAATAGCATTCTCTCAGTGTTGGCTCTTAAATATTTATATATGCATAACATAAAATTATGTGGCTTCACAAGCCTTCAAAAATGTAGAAGGCATGACCAATGATCCACAGTAAAGATGATGTAGGGCAAAATAGCTGAGGATGAAGATCACTAAGATTCCATGTAAATCGGAATCATTAGAACAGACTACAAGGCCCAAATAAATTACGAATGCAGAGGAGTGCCTGGCACTTGGTCGACCTCAGTGGATATCAGTCGAGTGATCTGCCCATCAGATGCTCACAATCCACCTCTATATCACTGTGCAGCTTCTGCTTAAACATTTCCAGGGACAGGTTGCTCACTACCCACAAAGGGAAGCCATTTCCTTTTACAGCAGGGATGGTGATTATAAAATATTTTCTTATGCTAAGCCAAAATTCCAACTTCCTGTAATTGCCAGTCTTTGATCTTCGTTATACTCTTTACGTACCTACATAATACGTTCTCTGCTCCACATATTTTCCAATAGAGAAACATCTCTATTTACCAACAAGTTATAAATTGATACCTGTCCTTGGGTCCTTTGGTTTCCAAGTCCACAGAGGCAAAGAAGGTTTTCTCTTTGCAGTCTCTGGATGCATTTTCACAAAATAGAAATATGAGTTGATATTTCAAAGCTTTACAACCAAGCGTAGTCTCTTCTTTACTGCTAGTTCTATTGGGCCTCCTTTTCCATTTATAATCTGGCATTATCTTTTTTTTCACATATGCTTTTCTTTTTTAAAAATATAATTTTAAGTTCTGGGATATATGTGGAGGATGTGCAGGTTTGTTACACAGGTAAATGTGTGCCATGGTGGTATACGTATCAACTCATCACCTAGGTATTAAGCCCCACATGCCTTAGCTATTTGTCACGATGCTCTCCCTCACCCTGCCCTTCCAACAGGGCCCAGTGTGTGTTGTTCCCCTGCCTGTGTCCATGTGTTCTCATTGTTCAGCTCCCATATATAAGTGAGAACATGTGGTATTTGGTTTTCTGTTCCTGTGTTAGTTTGCTGAGGATAATGGCTTCCAGCTCCATCCATGTCCTTGCAAAGGACATGATGTCATTCCTTTTTATGGCTGCATAGTATTCCATGGTGTATATGTAGCACATTTTCTTTATCCAGTCTATTATTGATGGGCCTTTGGGTTGATTCCATGTCTCTCCTATTGTGAATAGTGTTCCAATAAACATATGCATGCATATATCTTTATAATAGAATGATTTATATTCCTTTGGGTATATACTCAGTAATGGGATTGCTGGGTCAAATGGTATTTCTGGTTCTAGATCTTTGAGGAATCACCACACCATCTTCCACAATGGTTGAACTAATTTACATTCCCACTAACAGCATAAAAGCTTTCCTATTTCTCCACAGCCTCACCAGCATCTGTTGTTTCTTGACTTTTAATAGTCACCATTCTGACTGGCATGAAATGGTATCTCATTGTGGTCTTCATTTGCATTTCTCTAATGATCAGTGATGTTGAGCTTTCATGTTTGATGGCTACATAAATGTCTTCTTTTGAAAAGTGTCTGTTCATGTCCTTTGCCCACCTTTTGATGGGATTGTTTTTCTCTTGTAAATTTGTTTAAGTTCCTTGTAGATTCTGGATATTAGACCTTTGTCAGATGGATAGATTGCAAAAATTTTCTCCCATTCTGTAGGTTGTCTATTTACTCTGATGATAGTTTCTTTTGCT
Source organism: Homo sapiens (assembly GCF_000001405.40). Classification (NCBI taxonomy): domain Eukaryota; kingdom Metazoa; phylum Chordata; class Mammalia; order Primates; family Hominidae; genus Homo; species Homo sapiens. The sequence continues at coordinate 90,766,398 of NC_000001.11, forward strand.
GTACAGAAGCCCTTTAGTTTAATTAGATCCCATTTGTTAATTTTTGCTTTCGTTGCAGTTGCTTTCGATGTTTTTGTCATGAAATCTTTGCCTGCGCCTGTGTCCTGAATGGCATTGCCTGGATTTTCCTCTAGGGTTTTTATAGTATTGGGTTTTACATTTAAGTCTCTTTATTTTTATTATTATTATACTTTAAGTTCTGGGGTACATGTGCAGAACGTGCAGGTTTGTTACATAGGTATCCATCTTGAGTTAATTTTTGTATAAGGTATGAGAAAGGGATTCAGTTTCACTTTTCTGCAGATGGCTAGCCAGTTTTTCCAGCACCATTTATTAAATAGGGAAGCCTTTCCCCATTGCTTGCTTTTGTCAGGTTTGTCAAAGATCAGATGGTTGTAGATGTGTGGTCTTATTTCTAAGATCTCTATTCTGTTCCATTGTCCTATGTCCCTGTTTTTGTACCAGTACCATGCTGTTTTGGTTACTGTAGACTTGTATAGTTTGAAATTGGGTAGCATGATGCCTCCAGCTTTGTTCTTCTTGCTTAGGATTTTCTTGGCTATATGGACTCTTTTTTGGTTCCATATGAATTTTAAAGTAGTTTTTTCTAAATCTGTGAAGAATGTCAATGGTAGTTTAATGGAAATAGCATTGAATCTATAAATTACTTTGGGCAGTATGGCCATTTTCACAATATTGATTCTTCCTATCCACGAGCATGAAATGTTTTTCCATTTGTTTGTGTCCTCTCTTATTTCCTTGAGCAGTGGTTTGTAGGTCTCCTTGAAGAGTTCCTTCACTTCCCTTGTTAGCTGTATTCTTAGGTATTTTATTCTCTTCATAACAATTGTCAATGGGAGTTCATTCATGATTTGGCTCTCTGCTTGTCTGTTGTTGGTGTATAGGAATGCTTGTGATTTCTGCACATTGATTTTGCATCCTGAGACTTTGCTGAAGTTGCTTATCAGCATAAGGAGCTTTTGGGTTGAGATGATGGGGTTTTCTAGATGGAGGATCATGTCATCTGCAAACAGGGACAGTTTGACTTCCTCTCTTCCTATTTCAATACTCTTTATTTCTTATTGCCAGGTTTCTCTTGCCAGTTTGCCCTGGCCAAAACTTCCAATACTATGTTGAATAGGAGTGGTGAGAGAGGGCATCCTTGCCTTGTGCCAGTTTTCAAGGGGAATACTTCCAGCTTTTGCCTGTTTAGTATGATACTAGCTGTGGGTTGGTCATAAATGGCTCTTACTATTTTGAGATATGTTCCATCAATACCTAGTTTATTGAGAGTTTTTAACATGAAGTGATGTTGAATTTTATTGAAGGCCTTTTCTGCATCTATTGAAATAATCATGTGGTTTTTGTCTTTAGTTCTGTTTATGTGATGAATTATATTTATTGATTTGCATATTGTTGAACCAGGCTTGCATCCCAGGGATGAAGCCGATTTCATCGTGGTAGATAAGCTTTTTGATGTGCTGCTGGATTTGGTTTACCAGTATTTTATTGAAAAATTTTGCATCAATGTTCATCAGGGATATTGGCTTGCAGTTTCCTTTTTTGTTGTTGTTGTATCTCTGCCAGGTTTTGGTATCAGGATGATGCTGGCTTCATAAAATGAGCTGGAGAGAAGTCCCCTCTTTTCAATTGTTTGGAATAGTTTCAGAAGAAATGATACCAGCTCTTCTTTGTACTTCTGGTAGAATTCAGCTGTAAATCTGTCTGGTCCTGGGTTTTTTTTTTTTTTTTTTTTGGTTGGTAAGCTATTTATCACTGCCTCAATTTCAGAACTTGTTATTGGTCTATTCAGGGATTCAACTTCTTCCTGGTTTAATCTAGCGTTATGTATGCAATTCATCTGTTGAGTCACAGAAGCTTCCTTTCCTGTTGATCTCTGTCAGTGTCATGGAAACCCCTTAGCAGGGTTGGTTATTAATAGTACATAGTTGTACTAAGTTAGTACATCATCTGTACTTAGCTCCTCACCATTCATTTTGATGCTGTAGAAAATCAAATGTCCTCCAACTTAGGAACCCTCCATGGCTGGGGACAAACTTTCAATATCAATGTGTTCAACAAACTGAGGCCCAAAGTTCTCAAACTAAATCCTTGGCTTCTACATCATAGTCTTGGAAACCCACTTTCATCCCCTTTTGAAAACTCTAATTATATTTGCTCATTTCCAATTTTCCTGGGATGTAGTAGGTTCATAAAAATCCTCAATATTAGTCAATATTCTCCTTTCCATCCTCTTACCAATACTTTAATGAACATCTTATATGTAAAGCTTTTGTTTCTCCATTAAAAAAATAAAAAAGGAGCAGAGAGAAATCAGATCCAGCCTATAGAAAACCACAGGTAATGAAGACCCACTGTAGTAACATTATACTTCTGAATCTGCTAGATATCCATTATGTGAGATATATACATAATATGTATGCTCCAGATTAACTCTGGATTCAGGCAGAATTGGGTTCTATACATGATCCATTTATCCTATGACCTCATGAGGTGCCAAAGAGCATTTTATAGATGGAAAAAGACAGACCAAGGGAGCCTTGCCCCCACAGCTCCCCAGCTTGTGAATCAGGATTCACGTGTGGCTGGTTCATCCAGTGATTCACTAAACAAATTAACAAAAATGACCAATGAGCATAGAATTCAGATTTTAATGGATTTAGCACCAAGCATTGTTCCTTTATATGTGCACACAGAACACACACTCTGTGTCTCAGCATTCTCAGCTCTCGGTGAGTAGATTCAGGGGTGATTTCTCAGTCTTGGTTACACTCTAGGAAAAACACAGGCAACTTTGATTGTACTATTGATGAAATCCTATTCCATATACAATTCTGGAATGTTGTACCAGGTCTCCTTTGGCTGGAGATGTACCTGTTGCATTGGCAACATTTTGGCATTTGAACAATAGGCAAGCATCTGAACACCTATGTGTACATAGATGATTTTTCATATTGGTTATTTGAATCTTGATTTAAATTCCTACCCCAGGAACACTATGCAAGTGTCTGGGAGAAGAAATCTTGCACAGCAATGGCGATAAAGTCTCTCTTCAGCCAGTCTTTTTCTTTGGCGTATGTGTGTGTGTGTGTGTGTGTGTGTGTGTGTGTTTCCATCCACTTGTGCATGCATTTACTCATGTGTGTATACACATACAAGTACACGCATATATACACTTGATGGATAATTTTTGAGCACTTACCAAGTGCCAGGCCCAGTGCTAATTGCTGTCAATCAAATTAATATAAAAGATTTTAAAAATCCACAGAGCAGTAAGAAAGACAAATAAACAAGTACTATAAAAGAAATAGAAAGTCTGAGGAATAGGTGTGCACAGACAGGAGAGGGTGTCAGGGAGGGCTTTAATTGAGCTGAGTCTTTAAAGATAAGTAGACATCTGCTAAGTAAATTAAAAGAGAGGGTAGGCCAATCAGAGAAGAGTCCACACAAAGATTTGAAGAGTGTGGCATTTCAGGGGACAGTGGGAGTTTAATGTAGTGTAAGATAAGGCAGGCAGCAATAAGGGGAGGACAATGAAGCTGATGGAAGCAGGAGCACATCCGGAAGGGGCTCCAACATCAGGTCTGAGAGTCTGAGCTTTATTGTGTAGCCATATGAGAGGCTGACTCCATCTGGGCAGTGATCTCAGGTTGCAAATGGTCATGGAAGAGATACCCCTATAAGCTTCTCAGGGACATTATATAGAGAAATTATTACATATATTACTAAAGCTACATTGTGCCTGTCAGGATTCCCCAACCTCAGCACTATTGACATTTTGGGCCAGATAATTCTTTGTTGTGGGGGGCTGGCCAGTGCATTGTAGCATGTTCAGCAGCATCCCTGAATGCTCACTAGATGCCAGTGGCTCTCACCCCCAATTTGTGACAACCAAAAATGTCTCTAGGCATTGCCAAATGTCTCCTGGGGACAAAATTGCTCCTCATTGAGAATCACTGGTATACTTCTTGTGGTAGGTTCTATGCTAGGAAACTCTTCCAGAGGCAAAGTAGAAGTATAGAGTGAGTTGGAGTGGAAAAAGAAACACTTTAGCATAATCTACAGTGGCTGGGGGCAGTCTGCTCTTCCAGATTCCACTTTAAAGAAATCCAGAATTTTTTTCTGTCATGTAGCCTATACATCCCAGGTAAACTCTATCTTTTGACTGTGTAGTTAGGTAATCTTATTCTGCCTGTTGGCCCAGGGCCACATGAGACCAGAGCACCCACTCTGAAGACCACCCTTTAGCCAAGTGTATTAGGAAAGTAAAACCTGATATACCCTGGCATCCAGTCAAATAGACTTTGTTGTCACAGGTAATTTTTACACGAGAAGAATACAAAGATCAAGCCTGCTTTCAGGAAAATGAGCAGTGACCGTGAGGCACATGTACTGGAATGAGAAGAGATGAGAGTCAGGCCAGGAGCTCTAATAAGGAGGCTGCTCCTATACTCAAGGCAAGAAGTGCTGAAAACTTGACTGAGGAAGTGACAGTAGGAATGGGAGGAAAGGGCCATCCCAGAGGACAGTTCCACAGTAAAATGACAGAATTTACCAGCCAATCAGATGGGAACAGAGAAGTAGGACCTGTGCATGAATCCATTCTGTCTGACCTTGGAGACTGGTTGCACTCTAATGCTATTGACCACCTGGAATAGAAAGAGACCAAATTCAATTTGATTCCTGTTGCTTTGTTGATCTATGATAAAGTAATTTGCTGAATCATTTTAAGAGTGGCCATTATAGTTACAACTAATTAATAAATCCAGAGCCATTATAATCACCATTAATTCTTACTAACTTCATAGTATCCCATATTAATTCCTTTGGGAATAAAGAACTAGAATATTCATGTCTTGCCCTCCAGAAATTCTGATCAAATTAAAAAGACATACATTTATTTAAAAATTGAATTATAAAACAAAACAAGACTATCAAAGATGGTCCAAATAAGCAACCCATGTGTTTCTGGCAATGAGTTCTGTGAGTTCAGAAAAGGGCCAGAGTAGAAACCCTCACCCGGAGCTTAGTCAGATGGAGGCCAACCTTATGGGTTGACATTGAACAAGTATATGGTATGTTCTATCCCTTAGAACTGGGACTCAAAATAAGGTCTGGGATCCCTGGGGATATTCCAGCCTATTTCACAGGGGTCTGTGAGGTCAAAACTATTTTCAGATCATATCAAGACTTTATTTATCTTTTTCTCTCTCATTCTGACATACGTTTACAGAGGAGTTTTTCAGAGGTCAGGTGATGTGATGACATCCTTATTCTGATAGTGCATGAAATGTGTCCTTTTGTATCGAGTTTTTAAATGTTCCCAGTTTTAGCTTCTAACATGATAAATATATCTATCTATCTATCTATCTATCTATCTATCTATCTATCTATCTATCATCTATCTATCTATCTATCTCACATTAGCCCACTGATATGGTTTGGCTGTGTCTCCACTCAAATCTCACCTTGAATTGTAGCTCCCATTATCCCCACATGTTGTGGGAGGGATCAGGTGGGAGGTAATTGAATCATGGGGTGGGTTTTTCCCCATGCTGGTCTCCTGATAGTGAATAAGTCTCATGAGATCTGATGGTTTTATAAAAGGGCAGTTCTCAGGCAACCTGCAGAATGGGAGAAAATTTTTGCAATCTGCCCATCTGACAAAGGGCTAATATCCACAGTCTATGAAGAACTTACACAAATTTACAAGAAAAAATCAAACAACCCCATCAAAAAGTGTGCAAAGGATATGAACCGACACGTCTCAAAAGAAGACATTTATGCAGCCAACAGATACATGAAAAAATGCTCATCATCACTGGTCATTAGATAAATGCAAATCAAAACCACAATGAGATACCATCTCACACCAGTTAGAATGGCGATCATTAAAAAGTGCTGGAGAGGATGTGGAGAAATAGGAATGCTTTTACACTGTTGGTGGGAGTGTAAACTACTTCAACCATTGTGGAAGACAGTGTGGCGATTCCTCAAGGATCTAGAACTAGAAATACCATTTGACCCAGCCATCCCATTACTGGGTATACCCAAAGGATTATAAATCATGCTACTATAAAGACACATGCACGCATATGTTTATTGCGGCACTATTCACAACAGCAAAGACTTGGAAACAACCCAAATGTCCATCAATGATAGACTGGATTAAGAAAGCATGGCACATATACACCATGGAATACTGTGCAGCCATAAAAAAGGATGAGTCCATGTCCTTTTTAGGGACATGGATGAAGCTGGAAACCATCATTCTGAGCAAACTATCAAAAGGACAGAAAACCAAACACCATAGGTGGGAATTGAACAATGAGAACACTTGGACACAGGGCGGGGAACATCACACACCAGGACCTGTTGTGGGGTGGCGGGGAGCAGGGAGGAATAGCATTAGGAGAAATACCTAATGTAAATGACGAATCAGTGGGTGCAGCAAACCAACATGGCACATGTATACATATGTAACAAACCTGCATGTTGTGCACATGTACCCTAGAACTTAGAGTATAATTTTTTTTAAAAAAGGCAGCTATCCTGCACACACTTTCTTGCCTGCTGCCAAATAAGATGTCCCTTTGCTCTTCCTTTGTCTTCCTTTGATTGTGAGGCCTTTCCAGCCACAGAACTGTGAATCCATTAAACTTGTTTCCTTTATAAACTATCTAGTTTCAGTTATATCTTTATTAGCAGCATGAGAACAGACTAATACGCCCACAAAGAGCTCTTTAGAGTCCTCGCTAAAATTCTAAAATTTTTAAGAGTGTAAAGGGGTCTTTGGACGAAAAAGCTTGGGAACTACTGCCTTAGAAAGACTACTAAAAGGTATGTTTGACTCCAGCTGACCAAGCTGCAGCATGTCACCTCAGTAACCCAAAGCTTTGCCCTAGGCCTTTTCACCCTGTTGGCTCAAAATCTCTTCTGTTGCTGGTAACTTAGCTTCTCTATACATCTGAAGTCACTATTCTGTCTCCTACTTTTGCTTTGTTGCTGATGGAAAATGATTTTTGCTCAATGTTTCCTCACTCTTGTCTCCTTAATATGAGCTGGTATCCTAGACTTCAAGACCTCAGTCAGAAACACAGCTCATATACTTTACAATTCTACAGAGGTAGTTATATTAATATTTTTTGAAGTATCTAAATTGAAGCAGATTCTATTATCTTTCCAAACAAGATAAAAACCTCAGAACAATATGTCTGTCCCCAAAATTATCCACCCCAATTAAAATCCTTGTAATTGTTTAGAATTTTAGTTCTAACTTGTTTTATGTAAAAAATTATTGATAGTATTATAGTTAATATTATTGTACTACCTATTTACATTTAGATTTGGGTATTAGATTTGTGAGAATCTGAGGGTTGGAAGTTTTCAGAGTCTTTGTCTATCTGAAAATATGATTACTTCATCCTCACTCTTAAATAATAATTTGGCTGAGCATTGCAAATAGTATATTTCTGGTTACAACCTTGGGTAATGAGCAAAGTGATTTTCGTTCCTGTTCACAAACACGCTAAAGAGGCTTTGGCTTCCTGCTTCATGTGGGGAGCCTAGTCCCAGTTTCCTACCACATGCAGCAGGTGTTAGCTGCCAGTCCCTAAGCTGGTGTTAAGACTCCAACCTTGGTGGCCTTATTCACTCTGGGCTCCCCATGCGCTGTGTGCAGCTTCAGTTCTTGCTAACCACTGGGTTTTCCTTTCAGTTTGTGATCCATAAAGATTTTCCTTTTATGCTTTAGATTGTGGCCATGCATTTATATATACATATATATTTAATATTGAATCTATCATTCCTATGTGTTTGGAGAATAGTGATGTTTCTGCGTGTGCTCAACTCACCATCTACAGGTCTAAGCCCATATCCTTACAATGGAGCCAGGGGATATATTTGCCAAGGTCTAGAAATACTCAATCTTTTTGACTTACCAAAGCAAGCACAAAATGCAAAGCACTAATTTAGATTTTGTTAAAGATCTTAAATTAAACCTGAGCAATGCTGCATTTGGATTGGTTATTGCAAATTAAACAGAACTATTTCATTTACATTTATGGTCATGTAGGTTAATTAAAAATTTCTCTTTAGAAATACAGCCCCCAAGACTCTATGTAATTTAAATAGGTTCTACATTCATGCAGAGTGAGAATGGCAGTTTCAATATTTAATTCTTGCTTCGTAAACTTTGAAGGCTAAAAACACATCATCCCCAAGTTCTGAACTCTCTTTATGTTGGAAACAACTCACTAAAGGCAACTTGGAGTTGCTAGGTAACTTGGTGTCTGTGGAAAGCTTCTGATAAAATATATTTAAATCAGATTTCCTGGAGTAGATGGGCAAACTGAAGTGGAAAATAAATTCAAATGATCTGATATTGGCTTTTCATGCTAAAACTAAAATCTCCTTGCAGTCAATGCTCACAGAGATCTTCTTAACTTTAGGGTGCCCTTGCTGCACAGAGCATCACATCTCATTCCCCACAACATGATGCCATCTGAGCTTTGTGAGCTGAATTACTTTCTAGCAATTGGGAAAGATCCCTGAAGAAGAAACACTGCATGGAGAACAGTCTGAATGTGTCTGCTTTCCCCACTTCTTCACTGGGTACAATCCTTTCTCATAAGTTAATGGACCTGGTTGGGGTGGTCTTGTCTTTAGTTCTCCCAGATCATAATAATAAAATCTAATTATAAAAGTAGGGTTGAGCTGCTGGGAAGTGAATCAGCTAAGCTACAATCCCCTAGTCTTCAATGGCTCAGGCCAGAAACTCAGAAAACAGAAAAAACTGTGGACTTACTCAGTGAATGCACATACTATAAGGTAGCTATAAGCATCACCCAATGATTGAATTGTACTGTTTGAGCTTACGTAGGTTGAGAATAAATAGAAGCTGCCAGTTATTTTTTGATATTTTTGTCTGTGACCAGAGGGTAGGTCATGGGACTGGTGGGGGTTATATATAATCTTCTATGAGGAAGACTTCAGGAATCTTTTTCTGAAGGAGAAACTTCAGTCACCCTACAACCCACAAAAGTCACTTCTTTGCTGAAGTCTCTATAATCTTTTAGGGTTGGTGAATTTGTACAAAAATGATACAAAAGGAATCGGTAGTTAACTTATTAGTTCTGGAACTGATTAGCAAAGAATGCTCAAATTCCCAGAAATGATGCCCCAGAGAAGTGTCATCACCTCTGTAATGACATGCAAATGCAGATGAAATTAAAGAAGAAAATGATTATTGGCCAGCTCAGTGGCTCACACCTGTAATCCCAGCATTTCCGGAGGCCAAGATGGGAGGATCGCTTGAGTCCAGGAGTTCATGACCAGCCTGGGCAACAAAGTGAAACTCCTTCTTTACAAAAAATAATAAAATAAAATAAAAATGAGCCTTGGGTGGTGGCATGCACCTGTAGTCCCAGCCAGCTACTCTGGAGGCTGAGGCGGGAGGATCACTTGAGCCCAGGAACTTGAAGCTGCAGTGAACCATGATTGCACCACTACACTCCAGCCTGGGCGGCAGAGTGACCTGTCTCAAAAAAAAAAAAAAAAAAAAAGAAAGAAAGTGATTATCAAACTCCAGCATATGTGTCTCTTGTTACCTCACTGTAAGAAAAGGGCATACCAGGAAGAGGAGACACCCCAGTGAGAAGCAGGTATAAACCAGAATGTCACGTTAGGAAATTGAAGTTAAGGGAAATGGCTTGTGCTGAGTGGCTACCGTCTGACAGGCAATGTACTAGGTCCTTCAATTGCATCATTTCACTTAACTATTAAAGCAGTTACAGAAGGTTTTTTTTTTTTTCCATTTCACGGGACAGAAAACTGAGGCCCCAAAGGGCCTACTAGTTTAAAAGTGGTCACAGGGCTAATAAATGACAGAGCCAGGATTCAGAAACCTTTCTGCCTGATTTCAAAGCCCAGGCTACTTTGTCAGGAACCTTGGGAGGGAGTGGAATCACAGACACTCTCATATGCTGCTAATGGGAGTGTAAATTGGTTCAAATTTTAGCAATATATGTCAAAATGTTAAATGTACACACCATGAAATTTAGCAAAATAGGCTTGTAAGAATTTATTCTAGACATGCACTTTCACAAGTACACAATTATATATATATGTGTGTTCATATCAGAATGGTTTGTAACAGAGAAAGATTGAGAATATCTTTAAGTATCCCATTAATCAGGGACTTGTTAGAAAATTCCTGGTAAGCCACACAATGGAATACTATTTACTCATTAAATATAATGAGTTGAATCTATATGAACACATGAAAAGATATTCCCAATATTGTTCAATAAAAAAGTAAGTTGCAAGGCAGCAATGCTTGTGAGTTGTGTGGAGGGGGTACAATCCCCTTCGAAAAAAGGGGAATGTCTGGAAGCATACCCAACTCACTCTTGTCAATGGTGAACCTGTAGGGAGTAGGGTGGGGGTGTTTCTTGGTCAAGTGGGGAGTGAATCTTTTACTTTTCACTTTGCAACCTTGTAAATTCTCTGATTTTTTTTCCTAATAAGCAAGTATTACTTTTATAATAAAAGAAAAGATTTAAAGAAGGCCCTTTGAACTCAGAAAATAATGGAAGGTTTTTATAACACAAAAATGAAGTGGGTCAGGATCTGTTGGAGAATAAAGGGAAGGCAGATGATGATTAAGGAGCTAATGATTGCCAAAGGTCATTTATGTCTTCATGCTAATTGCGAAGGCAGATTCACAGAGAACTTTAGCATTGGAGAGGGTGCACCTTGAAGGCAGAAGACCAAAAAGGAAACTCTTCGTGATATCTTGGATAACTTGTCAAACCAACGCCCAAATGCTTTGATAGTGTCTCAATCCTGTTCAGTGCATGGAATCATCAACACAGTTGTTCTGCTCATACAAATTATGAGCAAAGGAATACTAGTAGGCAGCTCAGGTAAGAAGAGAAGTATTTTTCCCCAAAAAACTTGGCTGCAGCAAACCATTCTATCCCCAGGATGCCTGGAGTTCGTCGGTGACAGCTGCAGCCCTTTCTGCCTGGAAATATTCTCCTTCTGATGTGGAGGCAGATTGCATTTGCCTGGCTAATCCAGCCATACACTGGAGAAATGACGAAAGGCCCAAGCTACCCATATGTCCTATAGATTCCAAAAGAAGACGTGCTACCAACAGGTTTTTTGCCATTGCTTTTTCTGATAATGTCAACATCGCCATTATTGTTTGATTAGTTTTCTTTGCACTGAGTCTAAAAGGAATTTCTGCTGAGTGTCTCCAAGATGCCTCAGACATCTCTGGGTACTTTTTGCAGGACATAACTGAATACTTTTTGTGGAACTTTCCTTAAAGTCAGTTACTTTGTGCTGTATGAAAATATGATGTATCTGTTTTCCCTTTACTGCCCAGTGTTTCCTGTTCTTATAATTTTGTTCTAGTTAGGTTTCCTTTCGCTTTTAAAAAGCCATTGTTTGTACTTTCCCTATTAATAGTATTAGCTCATCTTTGCTGGGGCTTATGTTGTACCAGGCACTATTTTAAGTATTTTATGTAAATTAATTATTTGAACCCTCATTATGAATCTATGAAGTAGGCACTGTTTTCATTAGACAAATGAGGAAACTAAAGTGTGAGGAGCTTAAGGAACTTACCCAAGCAGTACAGCCACGATTCAAAACAGACCTGTCTTACTCCAAAGCATGTTTATTTAGCCATGTACTACACTGTATCACAACAAAGATGGCAGTCTGTCTGTCTTGTGCTTGACTCCACCTCTTCTCCAGGGCATTGTCAATTCACCTTCCTTAACATGGAGGGACTCTACTCAGAATCCTCAGCTCCCCACCAGCCATGGCTCAAGACACCAGCTCCTTTTCTGCCAATTCTAGCCCAATTGATCTCTTCCTTTGCTAACAACTTTTGCGTTTGTTGAGAGCACCATACAATTAGCATATATTTTTAAATACCCTATTATCTAATTAGCTGAAATACATAATTTAACACTTTCTCACAGTCATATCTGCCTTCCCAGGTTTTGAAGGTATATCAGACACCTCTTAGGCTTCATCTCATATCCTCTCAACCCACCTTTTTTTCCAACTTTTGCTGCAGCAAGCAGCTATGCCCAGGTATAACCAGATAAGGATCTTGTCTCAGCTGCACTGTGAATCTGTTCCACTCTCTAGCCTGAGTTTTTCTAAGCTGAATAGATGTCTGCTAGAATCTCCTGAGCACTCACACATATGCAAACCTAGAATGCAAATCTAGACATTTGAGAGAATTAACATTCCCTGGGGCAACCCTTGACTAATAAAGATAGGATCTGGTGAGTAGAGCTGCCCTTTCTGGCTTTTGGGCAGAAAACTCTGAGTCACATTCAGAGGCCTACAATAATGACTAGCTTTCTAATGTCTGCTTTTATCAGCTTTCTCTATAAGGAGGTATAGGGCCAAGGCATATGGATGGACCTATGAGGATAGGCATAAAGGGTGAGGATTTTTTAAATCCTATGTTAATGTCCATGAGCATCCACCATAGTGAATCAATAGAGCATCAACAACCAAGTAGACAGGATGACTTTTGTCTTCTGGATGTCAGTGTCTCTCCATGGCCATTCCAGTACTTTTGCAATTGGCTCATTAATGGCATGGCCATGGTGACAGGAGTAGAGACTAGGCATGGACACAACAGTATCAAGTCCTTCTCACCAGGGCTGATATAGCTCCTGCCATTGCTGAATATTTTTCCTGCCAGAGGACAGGCTGGCATAGATAAGGCACCATCCTCAGAGATACTAGCCAGGCACTTGGTGGCAAGTTGATGACATCACACCTAATTCCATTATAAGAATTGACACCTAGTTGGATATGGCTTTGCCTTCCCTGATGTCAGTGCTGTTGCTGACACTGCTACCTGAGGACTTACGGAATGTGTTCTTTACTGAAATGGGAATCCACACAACTGTGCCTCAGACTAAGGGATCCATTTGATGGTAAGAGGGTTGTGACAATGGGCACATGATCATGGGATTGATTGATCTTACAATGTACTTCTTCACCTAGAGGCAGCCAGCCTAGTAGAATAATGGAAGAGCCTAGTTAAGGTGCTAGCTTGGGCATAATACCCTATGGGGTTGAACTGTATACTCCAACATGCAGTATATGCACAGAACAAACAGTGGTGATTTTCTCCTAGCTATAATATATGGGTCCAGGAATCAACTGGTGGAAATAAGATTGGTTCTTTTCACCATCATTCTCAATGATCCACTTGTGAAACATTTGTTAAGCAATTGACCCCGATTCCTATGAGGAAATAGGGTTGCTATTACACAATGGAGGCAATAGGGCAGAAGGGAGTACGTCTAGGACCCAGCGATTTAATGGGGCATCTCTTGGTGATAACTCCAAAGTCCATTGATAACTGTAAATTGGCAACTGCAGCAACCTCAGCCCACAGGGGCTAACGCAACCCAGTCCCCTTGTGGGTGAAGGTCTGAGTCACTCTTAGATGACTCCTAGGTTGCTGGGAGGCACCCTAGACCAGCTGAGGTGTTGGTAAAGGGTGAGGCAAAACTAGAATAGGGGTGGAAGATGAAGGTGACAAATATTAATTATGGCATTGAGATCAGTTGTAGCAGTGAGGACTGGACCTCATTACATTAACCTTCCTTTATGAAGTCTTGAAGGCTCTGTGAAGAAAAATAAAGCAGAGTAGGGAGACGGAGAATAGCAGGATTGGGTGACTATTTAAAAAGAATGGTCAAGGAAGCTTTCTCCGATTAGGTGACATTTGAGCAGAAACCTAAATGAAGTAAAGGAGCAAGCCATATGAGTACATAGGACAAGAGCATTCCAGAGAGAGAAAGTAGCAGTCCAGATGTTCTGAAGTGAGAGCATGCTCGGTGTGTTTGAGGAGGGTAGTGTGGCTGGAAGGGGGCGAGCAAAGGAGGGAAGCAGGAAGAGAAGTGATCAGGAAGGTAACGGGGCTCAAACCATGATGGGCTTTGCAGGTAGAATGAGGACTTTGGGTCCCATTTTGTGTGAGGTAGGGAGCCATCAGTGGATTCTGAGATGATATGATTTATTTTACATTATATAGAGTCCTCTGCTGCTCTGTGGATTGGCTATATGAAGTCAAGGAGGGGTGCGGGGAGATCAGTTAGGCCACTACTGTGGTAGCGTGTTTAGATCTCATTTCAGATGGGTTTCTGGGTGCATAGGGTAAAGGCATGGGGTTGCTGGACATCAGGTCTTGAATTAAGAGTGGTATTACTGTTCTTCAGGGTTGACTTTAAGCTACTCCTGAGTAAAAACTAACTCTTCTACTTCTTATAAATCTTTCCTAATACACAGCACAGCCCTATGTGTGTAGTGGTGAATGCGCAGAAAATGCCTGTGATTTTCTCATTTGAACATCTACTTAGTCTTTGCGAAGAATCCATAGAAACAATCTGTCTACATTACAACACATAAGTGACATGTGGTTTCCAAGATCAGGCCTATCATTTGAACATAAGTACCCAGACCATGTGCTAGGAAATGTGCTCCTTGCTACACACATACCTTCTCTTTTAATCCTCTTAACAACCCTGGCAGGTGAGGTTATTCTTTACAAGGTACAGGTGGGGTTATTCTGTATAAGTTATTCATACAAGTTTCTGTATGAAGAAACAGAGACTGGGGGTAGAGGTTGAGTAAATTGCCAATGGTCATCAGAGGGTAAGGGACAGAGCTCCAGATCTGAACCAAAAGCTGATTCCAGAGCCCGCGCTTAACATCTCTGAACTGCTTATCCACATTCTTTGGTGGCCTAATCTTATTTTTATGATCTTTCAGATTCTTCTGACTATGAAAAATAACTAACATTAACAGGAAGAGCTGATTTTTTAAGCCTCATTTGCCTGGAGGAAAATAACTAAGGTAATGATTCTATTTGTTTATTAAGATGCCTGTTAGAATGATCCTTTTGCTCCTGGAAAATCATTTGGGCCAATAACAAGAATGGGTGGGCATTTTATTCTGAGCTTCTTTGATGATATCTGCTGCAGTTTTCCTGCTGTGTGACTTTTTTTCCCCCAGAAAGCCATAGTACTGCCTTATTCCTACTTTAAAAAATCATTAGTGTAGTTGCATCACAGAAGAAGGAAAAAAAAAAACAGACGTGTGAGCTGCCCATGAAATAGAGTAGTTTGCCACACATGAGCACAGCCCTTTTCATGTGCTGGCTGTGAGCCTGTCCTCATGCTGGGGTGGAGAAGCTCATTACTGCTCAGAGTAACCAAGAAACAGGGCCTGGCAAAGAGTAGAGGGAGACCAAAGGCCCAGAGTGCTCCCACCAAATTGGATCCTGGAAAGTCTGACACCGGAGCAACTACTAGAGTCACTCGGCAGCCGCTTGCTCGGGCTTTTTACAGTGAAACTGCAGGGATAAAGGAGGCCATTCTGGTGAACTGGAGCATCGCCCAGTATTTGCCAATGGATAGAAGGGTCACAGGGTTTGAGGCCATGTAGAATAACTGATGCAAAAGTAGCAGATACTCGTTTGTCCAGACTGCAAATACCCAGTTTTAATGTCTTGCTGAATCTGCAGCTCTCCTAGAAGCACAATGAAGTGTCTGCAACTCAGAACACATTTTGTGCCTTGGACACTGCATGTCCCCTTCACTCCTGCTTTCCACTTCTATCTTCTTGGCCACCCTGCCTGTTTGTTTTGATGAACTTCTGCCACTGGAGTTGGTATGTCCTGCCTAAATGGCATTTCAGCATGGATTTCCCCAGGTGCCTAGCATCCTTGCCTAGATTAACGTGTCAGTGGCATATGGTGCAAATGGGCTGTCGTTCAGTCTCAGAATCAGTTTAAAATATCTGCCAGGCTGCTGACTCCTTTGGCATAATGCCTGTGGCCCCAGTGTTTGAGAAAGGAGAGTAACATTGTCTGAAAATTATTTAGAGTGAATTTTTTCCTCTAAGAGCCAGAATCTGGCTTCCTGTCTTTCCACATTACTCTGTCTCTCTCTCTCTCATTTCTTATCCCTGGTATCTGAGCAAAAGAAAGAAGCCTATATTCTGATATTGAGTGCCTAGGAGCAGGGAAAATGTTGAGAGCAGCCTTTGTTGTATTGGTTCCTTTATTTTATTTATTTTGTATTTATTTACTTATTCATTTATTTATTTTTGAGACACAGTCTTGTGTCACTCAGGCTGGAGTGTAGTGGTGTGATCTTGGCTCACTGCAACCTCTGCCTCCCAGGTTCCAGCAATTCTCCTGCTTCAACCTCCCAAGTAGCTTAGATAACAGGTGCACACCACCACGCCAGGATAATCTTTTGTATTTTAGTAGAGTCGGGGTTTCACCATGTTGCCCAGGCTGGTCTCGAACTCCTGAGCTCAGGCAATCCACCCACCTCGGCCTCCCAAAGTGCTAGGATTACAGGTGTGAGTCACCACGCCCAGCCATTGTATTGGTTCCTTTACAGGCTCTTTTTCCATAAAGGGGAGTATGTTGCTTTTCAAACATTGTTGCATTTGATTCTCTTAAAAGCCCCTGTGTAGGTATTAGCTCCATTTTGCAGATAAAAAAATTGAGGCTCAGACAATTTTTAATGTGGTGAAAGCATACTACAAAGAAGTAGAAGAATAACAATTCAGACCCAGGTAATCTGACTTCACAGTCCAAAGTCTTTTCACTCTATTAAGTACATGCATTGACCATCGTCTGAACTGATATTGTGCCCACATCCAAGCCTCTCTGGGGAAGGAGATCTATTTTTACTGCAGTTCAACAGGCAGAGCTCATAGAAGCCTGCGTCTCTGTAAGCATTGTCAGCAAGTGCTCCTGGCTTCTTCTTGTACAAACTCTTCATCATGCTCTTCTCTCAGTGTGTTTAATGGCGGGTCATTGTTACTGTTTAGTTGCCTGATGGGTTTCTGGCTCCTAAATCCAAGTAACGAAGCAGATCCTGCTGTCCCTGGGATTATCCCCTCTTGATGAGTGATGACCTCAGGATTGGAGGCAGCCGACCTGCGGGCAGAGAGAGGGGGATGTCAAAGGTTCCTCCAGCTCAATTTGGATTGATGAACCAGAATAATCCGGGTAGCAGGGCTCATGGAATTGGCCTCAACTGGCAATCTTTTTCCAGAACTGTTCTTTCTCAATTTTTGTATTTGAGGTGGAGTGTTTCTGCCAATTTCTCACTTACATCCTCTCTTTTCTATTATAGGTATTTGGAAAGCACCCTCACTCTCATCTATTGGCTGGATTCATTGTCTCCACAACACCAATCAGATGGACTGCATTCACCAGCTACTCATTTCCACCTTTATGCTGTACTTTGCTAGAACGTTTCACTTAAAATACCTCCCAGGTCTTTATTCCGTCACCAAAATTCTGCACCTGCTTCAAGGCCCTGCCCAATTCATCACCTTCAGGAAATCTCCAAATGAGTCTATCCAACTAATAGCTTCTTTATTCCAAATTCCTTCCAATGATAACAACAACAGCACTTCTTAAAAAATTTATAATTGCTAATTTAAATAAGTAATATCATGTGGCCCAACATTTAAATGTACACAGGGTGTACAAATAATCAAAGTGAAAAGTAATTTGTGCTTTTGTCCCAGCTCCCTAGCTCCCAGCTCACAGGCACTCTGTGACCAGCTCCTTTTGTCTCCTTCTGAGCCTTCCAGAGATATCTTTATATGTATAAGGATATATACTTTTAAAAAATGCATCAACAATGTATGAGAATTACTGTTAACATAGATTAGCAATTATTTAAGAGATGCCATGCTAAGCACTTCACATGTATTATTTCATTGAATCCTCCAACAACTTTATCAGATGGATCCTCATATGATCCATATTTATAAATAAAGAAATAGAGGCTCAGAAAAGTTAAGGAGCTTACCTATGATCACCTAGTGATGTAGCAGAGCTGGAATTTGACCCCCGGCTGCCTGACTGCAGAGCCCAAGCTCCTAACCACTGTGCTACTTGCCTTAAAATGACTCTCTGATTGTCTCATATACATATGCATCTGGCTTCCCAGCTAAATCAAAGAGTCTTCAAAAACAAAAGAAGCAGTGTGGGATAGTGGAAAGAACGTACACTTGGGAATCAAATCCTGGCTTTGAAACTTACTAGCTATGTGACTACAGGTAAGTTTCTGAAACTCTCTGAATGTCCATGTTCTCATCTGTAAAGTTAGAAAACTGCTAACCTCATTAGCATTAGAGGGAGGGAGGAGTGTTGTGACCATCAGGGGAGATAAAGAATGTAAAGCATCTGACACATTAGAGGTTTGCAGAAATAGTAGTGACTTTCTCAAGAGCTGTGTCTTTTTAAAAATACATTTGCCTGCTTTAGCTACCCTATGCAAGGTAGAAATGTGCATAGGCAATCCTCATGTGATGTTTGATATAATATAAACCTGACCTTTCCAGTGGAAAATACCACACAGAAGTCCCTGAAAGTAAATACAAGGCAACAGGCTCTTGTACCTAGGACCCATGGGGCTAGCTCTAGAGGGAATAGTTGGTCATTTGTTGACTATTCAAAGAAATGTATGGAATAATATACAAGACTGGCCTAATGGTCGTACATATTGTAAATCTTCACTGAGGTAAACAAGCATAAATGGAATCTAAAGGGGAAAAAAAAACTGAGGAAACACTGTTAGGAATTTTTTCTGGAATATTCTTCCTCCAGACACCCTCATGGTAACCCTTTCACCTCCTTCTAGTCACCTCCTCAGAGGTCTCTCCTGACCTGCAACCTGTCCCCACTCCCAGTTTATTTTTAATTTTTTCATAACACTTTGCACCTGCAATTATATAATATAATTATCCTGTCTTTTGCATATGTTTTTCATGGTCTGATTCCTCTAGAATGTAAGCTCCCTGAGGGCAGAGGCCTCGTTGTTTTCATTGATATATCCTGAACACTTCGAATAGTGTCTGGCACATAATGCCTGCTCAATAAATACCTATTGGAGGAATAAATTTTTCAGATAAGAAAGCTGAGGTTAAGAGACTTAGCCTAGATAATTTTGCTAGTTAACAGCAGAGTTAAGATTAGAACTCAGTTTTTCTGCCTGCCAAACCAGTTGTCTTTCTATTAAATCATATTTTTAAGGATGTAGGAGCATATATGTAGGATTGAGGAAAGATTTGACTATTGAGGAATCCAGAAAAAACTGGAAATCACTGCATATAGACAAAATAACTGAACCATGAAAGTGACAGTAGGAAAAAAAAAAGCCATAGATGTGGGTGATAATGTTGATTTTCTTCAAAATTTTGTTTAAGTAACTGAGACTCTGCTGTCAGTTTATCTAGTGAAATAAGATTCATGATCAATATGTGGCGACGGAAATTTCAGACCTCATTATACACAAACTGAAGATTATTCCTTTGCTGTCACTGTGGCATTTGACACGCCAGTGAAAACAAAAGGAAATCTGTCTCAGATGCCCCTTTTAGCTTTGACAGATGTGGAAATGCATGAGTTTGGAGAGTTAATTTTTAGTTGGATATTACATGTGAGCATGTCCCAAGATACAGCTAGAGAAACTACCACCATGTTCACAGTTGAGAGCCACAGCCCTAGTGATGCACTGAATTTCAGTCCAGGATGTCTACTCCCATCCCTACTTTGTTCTCTTATCTTGAAAGTAAAAGAGGCACTCTGTCTTTTCCCAGGCTAATCTCCCACCTGAGCTTTTGATCACATCCCTTTCTCCCATCACTTACCCCTCTTTCTTGAATCTTAAATCTGTCTTTTTCCCATATGTGCAAATATGTTCAAATCTCCTCCATGCTAATGCAAAATTATAAATATCTTCCAGCAATCTCTTCAATCAGTAACCTATTGATGTAAAAGCAAAGCACCCCAAAACAGTGGTTTCAAACAGAAAGAACTTTATTCACAAGTTGATAAGTCATCTGGGCCAGGCTCAGTTGACTTCAGCTGGGCCCGAAATAGTGACTACACACCCTCATGAGGGTGCAGTTAGCTGGGGGGTCAGCTAGGGCAGGCTGGTCAAGGGCGAGCTCGCTCACATGCCTGGCAATTAAGCAGGTTATTAGTTATGGTGAAGTGGGTGGCTGGGACACTGATCACTTATCATCCAGCAATTTAGCTCAGGCTTATTCTCATGGTTGCTGGGCAGGATTTCAAGAGGCAGAGAGAGAGAGAAAGCAGAAATACAAGACCTCTTGAATTGGCACAAAACCAATTCTTCCTCATTTTATTGGCAAAACCAAGTCACAAGTCCAACCCAGGGGCAAGGAAATAGACTCTACTTTTTGATGGGAGGAGCTGCAAAGTCACATCACAAAGGATGTGGATTCAGGGAGGGATGGAGAATTAGGGTCAGTTTTGTAATAATCCTACAATATCTCTCTTCATCCTTAAGCTTCAGCCTAAGTGTCTCCTTTCCTTCACATCCGAACTTCCAGAAAGGGTCGTTATCACTAGCCTTGGCTACTTCCTTACCAACCACTCACTCCTCACCCAAGATGACCTCATCTTATTTCCGCCATCTCCCTTTTGATGGAACTACTCTCTTTAAAGACAACAATGGATCAAATATCAAATACTATGAACTTTCAGCTGTCATCTTACTTAACTTCATTGCACAATTTGACCTGTATGGCTATTTTCTCCTGCTTAAAACTCTCCTCCCTTAATGCCTGTGTTCACTCTCTCCTGTCTCCTTCTATTCCTCTGGCCATTCCTCCTCAGGTCCCTTGGCTGGCTGGTGTCTGTCCTCTGGCTTGTCAATGTTAATGTTTCTGTTGTCTCTTCCCTTTTCTTCCTTCTCATGTTAAATTCTTTCCAGAATCTAATCTAGTTAGGGGAATACCACCTATATCCATCTTTATTCTAACCTCCTTTTAACCCGCAGGTATAGTGTCAGTGCCTACTGGATATTGCCATAGGCTCCTCAAACACAACATGTGTCTTCAACTGAGCTTAATATCTTTCTTCCAAAATGTAATTCTGTCTTCACTTTCTTTGTTAACAGCCTTTCAATTATTTCAATTCATCAAGCTGAAAACAGAGGACTGTCCTTAACTCCTTCTGACCTCGACTTCATACAACCCAAAACATTAAGTCCTATCAATTCTACACCCCAAGTATCTCTCAGAGTCACCCCTTCCTCAAGTCCTTGCTACTGCCTGAGTTTAGACTGTCAACCTCTGTTGCCCAGGCCAATGCAGAGCCTTTCGTCTGCTCCCCTGACCCTCTTCTGCAGCCAGAGATCTTCTGAAATGCAAATCTGTTATTCCTTTGCCTTATACGCTTCCACTGGCTCACTTCTGCCAAGATAAAATCTAAACCCTTTGGAAAAAAAAAGTACTCCCTCTCATTTTAATAAAAAGAAGTGTTATTATCAGGAAATAGGGGACTCTCATGAAGCAAGAAGTACGGCCAGGTAGCAGGGGAGTTGTCAGGGACAGAGTACCCCGTGTGCTGGCTCCTCTCTCACTGCCTTCAATATCTTATCTCTGCTTCTTTCTTTGACTTTACCCCATTCTTCTGAAGACTTTCCCACCCTGTCTCCCTCTGCTTGTTCATCAATGCACATGGCCCCCTATACACATTTTTAATCCAAGCCTACCTACCCATCATATCTCTCAGAACAAATTATTGAGAAAGAAAATCTGATTGGCTTATCGCATGAGCCAAATGCTCAATTGGCTGTGACCATGAAGGGGTGAGGTTATATGGACAAAACATGACAGCGGTGGAGGCCCACATCTTCAGTGGAAGCTGTAGAGAAGAATGTTCTCAGAGAAGACAGTGTGGGCTGGGCAGGCAACTCAGACAGGCCCACTCTATTCCTTAATGTGACATATGTTATTTTTCTAGTGTCAACTCCCAAGTTTTCTACACTGCAATGAACTATCCACTCCAACTACACAGAGCTACTCCCCATTCCCTACACACGTCATGCTCTTTTTCATATGGTATTCCCAATACCTGCAATATTCTACCCCCCTCAACTCTCTAGAAATCTCCTCCTTATTTTTTATTTATTTATTTTATTTTATTTTATTTTTTGAGACAGAGTCTCACTCTGTCACCAGGCTGGAGTGCAGTGGCGCGATCTTGGCTCACTGCAACCTCCACCTCCTGGGTTCAAGCAATTCTCCTGCCTCAGCCTCCTGGGTAGCTGGGACTACAGGCTCATGCCACAACACACAGCTAATTTTTGTATTTTTAGTAGAGATGGGGTTTCACCATGTTGGCCAGGATGGTCTCAATCTCTTGACCTCATGATCCACCCACCTCAGCCTCCCAAAGTCCTCCTTATTTTTTAATATCCAATGTCACCTACACTGTGAAGCCTCCCTTGCTCCTGTTAGTTGCTCTGTCTTGTAGGAATGCTTACCACTTTGCACACTTAGCACTTTCCATTTGCACTCTTAGAATATATATTACACCAAATTGAAATTGTTTGCTCCCTTTGTTAGATTTATGGGCTTTTTTAAATTGGCAGGCACCATCCCCAGCATCTGCTATAGTGTTGGGCACATAGAACTGAATGAATTAAAATGTTAAGTGAACAGAGTTTCTAAATCAGTTGTATTAATCCATTTTTGCACTGCTGTAAAGAAATACCTGAGGCCAGGCACAGTGGCTCACACCTGTAATCCCAACACTTTGGGAGGCCAAGGTGGGTAGATCACGAGGTCAGGAGTTCAAGACTAGTCTGGCCAACATGGCGAAACCCCATCTCTACTAAAAACACACACACACAAAAAAAATTAGCCAGATGTGGTGGCATGCACCTGTAATACCAGCTACTCAGGAGGCTGAGGCAGGAGAATTGCTTGAACCCGGGAGGCGGAGGTTGCAGTGAGCCAAGATTGCACCACTGTACTCTATCTTGGGCAGCACATCAAGACTTCATCACAAAAAAAAAAAAAAAAAAAGAAAATACCTGAGACTGGGTAATTTATAATGAAAAGAGGTTTAATTGGCTCACCGTTCTGCAGGCTGTATAGGGAGCATAGCTGGGGAGGCCTCAGGAAACTTCAGTCATGATGGAAGGCGAAGCAGGCACATCTTCACACGGCTGGGGCAGGAGAGAGAGAGAGTGAAGGGGAAGTGCTACACACTTTTAAACAACGAAATCTCGTGAGAACTCACTCACTATCATGAGAACCGCAAGGGGGAAATCCACCCTCATGACCCAATCACCTCCCACCAGACCCCTTCTCCAACATTGGGGATTACAATTTGACATGAGGCTTGGGTGGGGACAAATCCAAACCATATCACCAGTGGTTCTCAAAGTGTGTTCCTGGATCATTAGCATCAGTATCATCTGAAAACTTGTTAGAAATGCAAATTCCTGGGCCCCTCCATGAACATACTAAATAAAAAAACTCTAAGAGTAGGAGTGGTAGGCACAACCTTGTCCCTTGCCCCCAGATGTCTATGTCCTATACCCTGGGACCTGTGAGTATGCTATGTTCCATGGCAAAAAGGAATTAAGGTTGCAGATGGAATTAAGGTGACTGATCAGCTGATTTTAAAATAAAGAGTTTATCCTGGATTATCCAGGTGGGCCTAATGTTATCAAAAGGGTCCGTAATGGCGAAGAGGGAGATGGAAGGGTCAGAACCAGAAAGATAACATCATGAGAAAGACTTGACCAGCCACTGCTGGCTTTGAGGATGGAAGGGGGCCACTAGCCAAAGAATGTAGGCAGGTTCTAGAAGCCAGAAAGGGCAAGAAAAGAGATTCCCCTAGAGTCTCCAGAAAGGAATACGGGTCTGTCAAAATCTTGACTTTTGTCAAGTGAGACCCACTTTAGACTTCTGACCTCCATAACTGTAAGTTAACAAATTGTTGTTGTTTTAAGCCACAACATATATTTGATAGGTGAATGAATGAATGAATGATAAACAATAAGTCAAACTTGAGGACTTTTTATTTTTGTAGATTTAGAGGGTACACGCACAGTTTTGTTACTGGATATATGTGTAGTGGTGAAGTCTGGGCTTTTAGTGTAACCATCACTCAAGAAGTACACATTGTACCTGTATTCGTCCATTTTCACACTGCTATGAAGATACTACCTGAGACTGGGTAATTTATAAACAAAGGAGGTTTAATTGACTCACAGTGCCACATGGCAGGGAGCTGGGAGGCCTCAGGAAACTTACAGTCATGGCAGAAGGGGAAGCAGACACCTTCTTCACAAAGCAGCAGGAGAGAGAAGTGTGAGCACAGGAAAAACTGCCACTTGCAAATCCATCAGATCTCGTGAGACTCCCTGTCACGAGAACAGCATGGGGGAAACTGCCTCCTTAATCCAATCACTTCCCTCCCTTGACATGTGAGGATTACACATGGGAATTACAACTCAAGATGAGATTTGTGTGGGGACACAGAGCCAAACCATGTCAGTACCCAATAAGTAATTTCTCATCCCTTACTTCCTTCCCACTCTCCCACCTTTTGAAGTCTCCAGTGTCTCTTACTCAACTCTCACTTGAGGACTTTAGAAACTTTGGAAAGGAACAGTCGAGTTCTAAAGGAATATCATCCCAGCACTGATTCAGTGGAGTGGGGAGAAGACACACTCTTCTCTTGTGTGGATGTCAAATAGAGGACACAGAAAAGCAATTAGAACAAGAGTAGAAAGCAGGACTGCCTGAAGATGTCAGAGGATAGGAGTAGAGAGTGTAGGAACTGTGCATGGCTCCCTGGAATGGGGGTGGGGGCAAGAGGTTTTTTTGTTTTTTTGTTTGTTTGTTTGTTGTTTGAGATGGACTCTCGCTCTGTGGCCCAGGCTGGAGTGCAGTGGCACGATCTCAGCTCACTTCAACCTTCACCTCCCAGGTTCAAGCAATTCTCCTGCCTCAGCCTCCCGAGTAGCTGGGATTACAGGTGCACACCACCACACGTGCACCTGTAATCTAATTTTTTGTATTTTTGGTAGAGACGGGGTTTCACCTTGGCCAGGCTGGTCTCAAACTCCTGACCTCAAGTGATCCACCAGCCTTGGCCTCTCAAAGTGCTAGGATTACAGGCATGAGCCACCCCACGCCTGGCCAGCAAGAGTTGAAGGGTAACAGGAGAGGCAAGGCTGGAACTGCGTTCACCACAGTATCGCCAGTTTCTAGTCTAGGCCTGGAACCTCAGAAGCCCAGCGCCTGAATCATCAATATATCTTTGTTGAGTGAAAGAGAATTTTAGTGTGAAATTGTTCTGGGCTCTTCAGACATTTGTTTCAAGGTGTCTGAGGAAGATCTGTGATTAGGTTCAGCAGACCTCTCAGCAGTAATGCAGACACTATGAGGGGAAAGGCTGATTCAAAAATCAACGCACTGGAGCTGGAGGCACGGGCAGCATAGATAGAATGGGTTCTGATAAGTGGTCAAGACCCAGTGTCCAGGGAATGTGGCCATTTCCAGTCAGGGGCCTTGCTGAGCAAGGGAATTCTAGCATTTAATTTAGTGCCCATTGTGAGTCAGCCGTGGGACTAGGTGTTTTCCTTCCTTGAGCTCATTCGAGCAAAGTGCCCCAATATGTGAGCTGAGAACAGGAAAAGGAAAACAAGGGAATGGCTCAGAGCCCAGGTTAGCAGACAGGGCCAGGGCCATCTCTCCATAGGGGACAGGTTCAACCTATTGGGTTGGTCCTATGGCAGGGTCCAGGCCCCAAGGAGGAGAACTGCCTTAAACAAAGCAGGGCCATAGGGGTCAAGACAGATGCCAGAAACAGAATGAAGGCTAGCTGAAGGCACAGAGCGTAGTCAGAGGCAAGGGGCAGAACTAAGCTTACGGAAGGAGAAATAACCCCGAAGTGCAGTGCATAGGGATAAGGCACTGCAATCAGGGAGGGAAGAGGCAGAGCTAAAGTCGGGAAATTCCTAAGAGAAATACTCATGATCAGAGTTACTACAGTTACAAAGCTAAGTAGGTGAGAAGGATTTCTTGACATCAATGAAAGTGATGGTGAAGAGTCATAGAGTCATGTGCCGTGCCCAGGCTGAGTTCCTGACCCACAGAATCTGTGAGCATAATAATACTTCATCATTTTATGCCACAAAGACTTGAGGTAATTTGTTTCCTCAAATTACAGTTACTTCACCATTACACATATATCCAAAACAAAACCGTGCATGTACCCTCTAAATCTATAAAAATAAAAAAGTGAAGTCCTCAAGTTAGACTTATTGTTTATTATTCATTCATTCATGAATTACACAGTTGCCACAGATTTAATTCCTAGAACACCTATTTTCATAAATTTTCATTTCATTTTCAAGACAAGGTCCTAGTCCAACCTCTTTTTTTTTAATACAGTAGAACTTGGGAAACCCATTTTAAGTGGAATTACATTAAGTGACCTTTTTCTAGTATCAAATTTCCTGCAATACTTTGCAGGGAACACTGTCTCAAACCCCTTGGCTCTGTCTCAAACCCCTCTCTACCATGGCAGGTAGAGAGATCAGTGGGCCCAGCTACTGGGAACCCAGGGAAGCCAGGGGAAAATAGATGGGTTTGAGTTAACTGCAAAAGGCCTAGAACTCAGTGTTGCATGGTCCTGTGACGGTGTTGTGGAAAGAGGGCCACATTTGGTGCTAGAAGGTCCCACTCGATAATTATGTGGTATTGGGCAAGTTACTCTACTTTTCTGAGCCTCAGTTTCCTCAGTTGTATCATGGGGCTACTAATCTTCCCTTCCTGGGCTGTTTTACTGCTCACAGGTGATAATCTATGTAAAGTAGTCACCAGTGTTAGTTTCCAACTGAGGATCCCACTCCTACTATGAAATCCACTTTTATTAATGTGAGAAGGATTATTTTTTAAATCATAAACAAAATGAGATAAAAATAATGTTCAGGTTTCACAGTTTCACTTCTTTTTTTCTTTTTCAGATCCTTTACCTTATTATTTTACTCCTCCCCATGTGCAGATCCTATTTTGATATCCCTATGCATGGGATAATAAATAGGATTCTTTCTGAGCACCAACTCCATTGAACTGCTTGGAACCCTTGAGAAGAATTCTGACACTGAAACCAGACTCATCACAAAATGGTGCCCTGATCAACTGGTGAGGTCTGCTTAGGAGAGGTGGGTAGCATCACTATTGCCCACTTTTTATCAACTCTGTTATATCTTTCTCCCAAACACACGTACTCTCACTTCCGACTCCCCAGAGGAGTCGGATTTTTAGAAGCACAGAGCCTAAGTGTAATCTAGGGCTCGTATGTCCCTAATGACTTTTTAGCTCTCTCCATGTTAAATATAGTGCTGGGTTGCTGAAGTTCAGACAGGTTAAATTATTTGACCTAGATCACACAGCTAGTAAATATGAAAGCCAAAATGGAAAGCTGATCTCTCCAATTTTGAAGCTAGAGCTCTGTCTTTAGTAGGCTGTCTCCCCTTCAGTGGCAACAATCTCTCAAAGTAGGCCTGGATCCAAGTGTAACCTAGGGCTTGTTCTGGGAATAGGGATAGTTCCTTTTCCTAGAAACGCCACATGTGGAAACTACTGACCATAGGCCACTAATTCATACTGGGAGAAGCTCGAGTATAGAACATCATCAGCCAGCAGGTGTAGAGAATAGCAGTGAAGGAGCAGTGCTTTGTAGATAGACCAGGTCAGGATCTGCTCACCAGCTGGATAATCTGGAGCAAGTTACTCAACCTTCCTCTTACTCAATTTCCCTGTAAATTAGGACTAAAAAGAACATTATCAACTTCACACAGTCATATGGGGATCAGGTGGAGAGAACGTTTGTGAAGAGCTCAGTACAGGCTGCAGCACACAAGTCCTCAATATGTATCAGTCATAAATCATCCTAAGGAGAGTGTAAGGGGTCTGCTCCTCACTGCACATGGGGGCAGTGTGTGCTAGAATATATAACCTGAATAAAAACACATTTGGAAGAAGTACAGCCAAAGTAATAAAACAATAACATGATAAATGTGTGTATGCTTATTTTTTTTTTCACTTGACCAGGGAAATTCAGGCAATTAATGTTTGAAAGGGAATGTGAAGCAAATGTAATGGAGTCAAGCGTTCCCTCATAATGTCATGTGATCCTGCAGCCCCCAGAGCCATTTTGGTTGTGTAAAGAAGACCGTGCCCAAAGTACCTCCTTAAAGCTTTCCTAACAATAGCTCTACCAGCCACGAAAAACCGTTTCCTTCTCCCTTCCTGGAAAGTCACTCCAGTTGTCTCTGAACAGAAACTCTCAAATAAACAACACGGGAGTATAATTAACAATGTTCCTTTCTCAGTTTCCTACTTGGTTGTCCACCTTTGTGGTATTCTACCATGATGAGAATTCACTGGGTGGAAATACCACCCCCCACACCAGGGCTGTGTTTATTTCATTTTCTCCTTCCTCAGAGACAGCCAGCAGAAACTTTCTAGAAAGTAGAATTACTTTGAAAGCCATCATGCTTCCCTCCAGCACTTTGATGGCCCTAATGTCCTTTTAATGTGGGTTTTTTTTGTGTGAGTGCCTCTGTCCATGAAACTAGAGGAGAAATATTTCTATTTGAAGAGAGTTAGAATCAATTGGCCCAGAAGTCTGAATCTTAGAAGAACTAAGAGACAGTGATATGGACTCTCCAGCAAAGCAGTGACTTAGTGATTCAAGGGACATTTTCTCTTCTCACTGGCATGTCAGTTGTCATGGGCTTTCTGCATTATGACATCTTGTTTTCCTTAGTAAAATAAGTCTTTTCATTTGGAATCTCATCTTCCCATTAATTGGTGACAGTGCTATCAGAGCCTCTTTCACAACCATATAATCTGGGCCATATCCTTATTTCAGTATCAATTCTTGGTGCATTATCCAAGCCACCCAGGAAAGTCAGAATCTGCACCAAGTCTGTCCCCAGGGTACTTGTGAAAATACATTTAGCCTGTACTACTTCCTCTTAGCTATCTGTCTTTGATATGGGGTCTCTCTTCTAGCAGGCTTTATGTAAGGCAAAGTCTTTCTGGAGGCATTCTTTGCAATAAAAAAAAGTGTATTATCAGTGAGTATCAATTATAATGAGGCATTTTTAGTGGGGCTTGATAATGTTGGAACCAGGGAACAGTGGCCTCTGAGCTGAGATCCTGGCAGCTGCATTTTATTAACCCAAGTCAGAGTGTTAAGCTGATTTTCAGGCTTGATTGACAGAACCCTTTCAGCACAAACCCTGGAAAACTATTAGGAGGAAAGAATCCCATTGAGGCATTCTGCCTGTAATAGTTTTAATGCAGAAACGCATTTGATCAGCAGCACGCTGAGCTCATATCATTTCCAGAGTGAGTAGCAATGTGGTTCCAGTGTCATTTACCACAACCAATTATGGTACTTCCTGACAACATTTAAAACAGATTGGATTAGGAAAAATGTACTCTCAAGATTGTGTTCTGAGAGGCAAAATCCTGGAATTTTCAGTGGATCTCATTCCCTATCTTTTTCATTATAAGACAAAGCTGAAGAAGAAGAACAAAACACTTTTAAGGGTAAAGGATTGAAAGCAAGCATAAAAAGCAGGATACAACTGAAGTTCACTGACCCTTCGATTTCTTCAGGACTCTTCCACTGCTGCAAATCTTCTAAATACAAGAGTTGGACAGTCTTTATGCACCAGATACACTTCCCCAAATCACAGTATGCATTTCCCAGCCCTCTTCACCATTCTTATCCCCTGCAAAAAGCACTAGTTCTAATGAGTAAAAATATCTGTGATATAAACATCAGCTATAAAGTCACTCTTGGGTTCAGAAGGTTTTACTCCATTGGCAATATTGACTGATCTCATGGACCAACACAGACATGTCTTTTAGATATTTCATATGTTAAGAGGATCAGACAGCTATTGCGATCTTCTGAATTAACCATACACAAATTTCACTGGAATAGTACACTGGAAGTACTTGCTTAGGAAATCAAATAGTTTTCTTTTTCTGGTTTTTATAATAGCTTTATTGGAGTTATTTGATTATAAAAGTAACAAATGCTTACTGCAAAACAAAAAAAAAACAAAAAACATAGGAGAAAACAATGAAAAATAAAAGTATCATCCAGAGATAAGCACTGTTGATATTCTGGCCTCACCCAAATGCATATTTAGAAACAAAAATATTATCAGACAACATGTCCTTTTTTGCATCCAGCAATATACTGTGAACATTTTTCCATGTCAATAAATATGGATCTATATTACATATTTAAAGCTGCAGAATGTCATTGTATCATCATTATTTTAACTAATCCTCCTCTGATGAACATTTAGGCTCCCTGCTCCTTTTTGTTCCTCTTTTAAACAATATTGCAATAACATCCCTGTACATTAGTGATCCTCAAGCTTAAATGTGATTAAGAATTATCTGAGGCTCTTTTAAAATATAGATGCATGAGCCTCACATCTTCAATAAGAGAGGCATAAGACCCAGGAAGCTGCATTTTATCAAGCACTACAGGCGATATGGATACTGGTAGTCCTCAAAACACACGTTGAGAAATATCTTTGCAAACTTGTCTAATGATTTCCTTAAGATAAAGTTCCAGAAGTGACCTAGTGAATGCAGTGCAGCATTTCAACAATCTACCTTGTTTGTAGTTATCTTGGTGATTAAAAAAAGTTTAGATCATTAAGATAGGCATGTACTGTAAGGTAGGAAATATGTTTGAGGCACAAATGAATAGGTTGAGTCTGTTCAAGAGCCCTCAGAATCAGCCCTTCAGATGTCTGTGGGATGCAGACATCCTCCTGCCTTGGCTCTTCCAGCAGAGCCTGGCAATAAGAACTGAGCAGGGATGGGGCGAAGACACAAGGTGAGAGTGAGTTCAACATGCTGGCTGGAGATGTTGGTTCCTGAGAGGAGAGGGTGCCTGCCCTTGCCATTTGCACTGGAAATTGCTACCAATAAGGGGTCACCAAATAAGACAGCTCCATCCCCAAGCTCACTTGTATAAAATTTGCACTTGAGTAACATTCCATTCCCATTTTAGGTTTCTCAGGAATTTGAAAGATGGCAGTAAAAGAACACAGGTATTTCTCCATTTCTAGGATATGAGCACATTTAAATGAGCATACACATACTCACCCACATGGACAAGGGAGACATATTCCCCAGCTTATAGTCTCCAAACTCCAGAAGGAGGACTTCCAATTACAAGCTTCACATAAAAGAATAATTTTGCCCATGGCCACAAAATACGAAAATTGAACAGGCAAGACTCCAATTTAAATCATGTTAGGAAAAAAAATTTGTCCTCTATTTTTTCTGGTAAATGTTACGGAAGTAGGATATGCATGCAGGAATGTGTTCAAATCCTAAATTTACAAACTCAACAAAATTTCACAAAGTTAACACAGTGGTGTAACCAGCATTTAGATCAGGAAATAGAGCAAGGCCAGGCTCAGTGGCTCATGCCTGTAATCTCAGCACTTTGGGAGGCCGAGGCGGGCAGATTACAAGGTCAGGAGTTCGAGAACAGCCTGGCCAACATGGTGAAACCCTGTCTCTACTAAAAATACAAAAATTAGCCAGGCATGGTGGAAGATGCCTGTAATCCCAGCTACTCAGTAGGCTGAGGCAGGAGAATTGCTTGAACCTGAGAGGCAGAGTTTGCAGTGAGCCAAGATCATGCCACTGCACTCCAGCATGGGCAACAGAGCAAGACTCCATCTCAAAAAAAAAAAAAAAGAAAAAGAAAAAGAAAAGAAATAGAGCAATACCCTGATCCCAGAAGTCCCCCGGTGCCTGCTTGCAGTCACTGTTCTCTCCAGGGGAAATCATCATCCTGATTTCTAACCGTTTTCATTGTCCTGACTTATTTTTAAGCTTTATAGAATCATAATATAAGAACTCTTTTCTTTCAAAAATTTTTTGACTAGATTTCACAGATCATTAGCTTAACTCTTTGTATCAGGTGCAGACAT
Organism: Homo sapiens; assembly: GCF_000001405.40. Lineage (NCBI taxonomy): Eukaryota > Metazoa > Chordata > Mammalia > Primates > Hominidae > Homo > Homo sapiens. The sequence continues at coordinate 90,798,332 of NC_000001.11, forward strand.
TTCTCAATATTGAAGCAGAACTATTCCCCAAAAAGAAATTTTAAAGTATATACTTCAAATAAGTCAGTGTCCATTTGTGCCATTAAAATTGGATGGCTTTGTCAGACCAGCTACTTGGGAGGCTGAGGCCTGGGAGGTTGAGACCACAGTGAGCTGTTATCACACCACTGCAGTCTAGCCTGGGAGACAGAGCAAAACCATATCTCAAAAAAAAATAAAATAAAAAAAGGATGCCTTCATATAAGTTGATCCCTGAGTCTCTGGGGCCCTTGTGCCTGTCCATAGTAAGGTAATGAGGATCCTAAAAGGCTACTCCCCAGTGTACATGATAGACAACTTGAAAGGCAGTATAATGCAATGGAAAAAAAGATTAGCTTTGCAACCGTAAAGAACCAAGTTCAAATAAAATTGTCTCCACTTAACCAGCCGTACTATCTTCATGAAGTCACATAATCTCTCTGGGGCTCAGCTACTTCTACACCTGTGAAATGGGAGAAATATCTCACTCGAATGTTGTGAAAATTAAACAAGATTCCAAATATAAACTACTTGGCATACAATAGATACCTCATAAATGTTCATTCTCTTTCTCCCTTCAGAGACTAAACCCTGATTCTTCATCAGTTTCAGCTCATTGTGTACATGCATTCTAAATAGATATGTTTTCAATGGCAACTATTTGAACCCACTGACTAGCAAGTTTAAAATCATTTGGAAACCAGGTTTGTGATCCAAGGGAATTTAAAGTTGCTGACACAGAGGATTTTTCAGAACTGAGAAATGTCACCGTTCATCTTTTGGAAACTGGTATGGCTTCATGTCCTTCACATTTTCCACCATGCTGGCCTGGTTGTTTATTTATTAATGATTTCCATCATGAAACCATTGTTATCTCAGCTTCCTGTTATGGCCTAAAAGCACACAAAATCATCATTTTCTAACGAGCACAAAGCATCCAAATGCCTGTGCTTCCCGCGACATTTTTGTTTTATTAATAGCCATTATGCCAATCCGTTGATAATGGCCTTTTCAGTGAGACACACACACTGTCGCGTAACGATCGTGTGATTTCTGCATTTTTACCAGTATAAATATTAAAATCTCTGACAGATTGCTAATGAGCTGATGTTGGAATTACAGAGTAGTCTGTTATCATTTGTCCATTCACAGTTTCCTCACCAGCCCATCTGTGCTCGGAACACAGCCACCGCGGAGCATGCAGGCTGGGACAGTTTCTCCATTTACACCTTTTGCCTTCAGAAGCCTCTGGGAAAGCCTGTCCCTAATTAAAGATTTTAGCAAACATATTGCCAGCTTTCTAACACTGTTATTAAACTGCTCTCTTTTGTTAGAAAAGGTGCTGTTTGTCAGCAGTTTGTAGATTTAGATATTTAGTGTGTGTTTCTGTAACCCAGCAAAATATTTATGCTTTTAAAATAATTCAATTAATATGTTATGCATGTATCTACCTGTGTGCACAATAAATACACATGGCACACACGCCATCAAAATCCTGTTTAATTATTCAGACTCACAAGGACAGACAAAGAAACATGGTGTTTCTGCAGACACATGGACTTCTCTACAGAATAAGGTGGATTTGAACATTTTAAGGTTGGGACTATTAAAATAAAATGATCAGATTGAGATCATGGCTCAGGTAATTTGGGGCAAGGGCAAAGTAACTTTCATCTGAAATATTTGTAAAATTAAGGTACACTGAAAAGGATCTGATATTTCTAGCAGAATATGCCTAGTTGAGAAAACAGTGTTCCCTCACGTTAAAGGCTTAACTGTTGGAGCCATGGTTCTCAGTCAGTATGGGTGTGATTGAGGCTAGGTGGGGAAGGGCACATGAGGTCAGTGGGGGCGCTTCTGCATGCTCTCTCCCACCCCCACCGTCAAATCTGCCTAGTTGCAAATCAGTGCAGCAGAGCAACAGGGGAAGAGGACAGCTGCCAGATCGGAGAGCCTGCTGCCCCAGGAAAAGGCTCTCAGATCATTAGTCTTGGAAGTGAATTCATCTCACTCTTCCCAGGGTGAGCATACAGAGGGGTGACCCCTCTGGTAGTAAGCCATGTAAGGTTTTACAGACTAAAGCGACCCCCTAGAAAATCCTGAAGAGCCCGAGGTCTTCACTAAGGAGGCAGGAATAGTAACTCCCAGGGGCTCATCACCTTGGAGCCCAGAAGGTGGCTCTGCATGCTGCTTCAGAGTCATTCCCACCAGTGACACTATAACACTGAGGGACTGTGAGATGCATCTTCCAGTGTGGAAGCTTTGTGGCCACTTATTGCTTTGAAATTTTAATGTAAGTTTTGATATTTTGATTTAATCCTTGAATTAAATACAAACAAGTCTGAGGGCAATGACACAAATCATACAGCAAAATACATGTTCTGAAAGAATTTGCACACTAGAGAACTACTACACATCCATAAAAACCATGCGCTCTATCTAACTCCACAGGGTAGCCAACGTTAAGAGCCAGATGACTGGCCCAGGTGCAGGGGAGTGCAGAGGCCGGAGACATCCCTTCTAGTGAGGATAAGTTAAGAAGTTCTCCCAGAGGGGTAGAACCAGCACTGAACACTGAAGAATGTGGTTGAGTGACAGGGTAGGAGTGGGGGAAGAGGACATTGTGAGCTGGGAAGATGCTGGGAAAGGAAAAGGGATATTTGGGGCACCTTAAATAGGCTGCTTAGGCTAGAGCAGAGGTTTGTGATGGGACCTTGAGAAAACAAAGGTTTCTGGGGCTGCTCTGTCAAGGCTCAGGATCTGTACTTAATCTTGTTCTTGTTGTTGTTGTTGTTGTTGGTGATTTGTTTTATTTGTTTCCCCTCCCCCCCTTTTAAATAAACTTTATTTTGTAAAGCAGTTTTAAGGTCACAGCAAAATTGAGGTAGAAAGTATAGAGAGTTCCCATATGCTCCCTGACCTCACATACACACAGCCAGCCTCCCCCATTCTCAACATCCCACACCTGGGTGGTACATTGGTTACAACTGATGAACTTCCACGGACACATCATTATCATCCAAAGTCCATAGTTTGCATTAGGGTTCACTCTTGATGTTGTACATTCTACGGATTTGGACAAATGTACAATGATATGCATCCACCATTATAATATCATACAGAATAGTTTCACAGCCCTGAAGACCCTCCATGCTTCCCCTATTCATTCCTACCTCTCTCCAACTCCTGGCAACCACTGAGACCTCTATACTGTATCCATAGTTTTGCCTTTTTCAGAATGTCATATAGCTGGAATTATGCAATATGTAACCTTTCAGATTTACTTCTTTCATTTGGTAATATTCGTTTAAGGTACCTCCATGTCATTTCATGGCTTGATAGTCATTTCTTTTTAATGCTGAATAATATTCCATTGTCTGGATGTACCACGGTTTATTTATCCATTCACCTACTGAGGGACAACTTATTGCTTCCATGTTTTGGCAATTATGAATAAAGCTACTATAAATATCTATGTGCAGATTTTTGTGTAAAGGTGATTTCCATTTCTTTTAGAAAACACCAAGGAACTCAATGGCTGGATCATACGGTAGAAGTATGTTTAGTTTTGTAAAAAAAAACAAAACAAAACAACAACAACAAAAAACAGGCTGTCTTCCAAACGGCTGTATCATTTTGCATCCCCACCTGCAATGAATGAGAATTCCCATTGTTCTATATCCTTGCCAACATTTGGTGTTGTCAGTGTTCTGGATTTTGGCCATTCTAATAGGCATGTAGTGGTATCTCATTGTTGTTTAAATTTGCATTTCCTCAATGACATGTGATGTGGAGCATCTTTTATTTTGCCTATCTGCCATCTGTGTATCTTCTTTGGCAAGGTGTCTGTTCAAGTGTTTTGTCCATTTTTAAATTAAGTTGTTCATTTTCTCTCTCTCTCTTTTTTTTTTTTTTTTTTTTTTTTTTTTTTTTTGTGATACAGAGGCTCGCTCTGTCACCAGGCTGGGTGCAGTGGCATGATCTCAGCTCACTGCAGCCTCTGCCTCCTGGGTTCAAGCGATTCTCCTGCCTCAGCCTCCTGAGTAGCTGGGACTACAGGCAAGCACCACCACGCCCAGCTAATTTTTGTATTTTTAGTAGAGACTGGGTTTCACCACGTTGGCCAGGATGGTCTCGATCTCTTGACCTCGTGATCCGCCCACCTCGGCCTCCCAAAGTGCTGGGATTACAGGCATGAGCCACCGCACCCGGCTGACATTTTTAGTTTTAATAAAGTCTAGCTTATTATCTCTTGCATGTATCACGCCTTTGGTATTATATGTAAAAAGTCATTGCTAAACCCAAGGCAATCTATATTTTGTCCCATGTTATCTTCTACATTGTGATTTTTTTCTAATCTGATCCTGAGCTCTCTCTCTTGAGAGCAGCAATAAGCCAAGATAGCCACCCTCTAGGAGAGGGCTGACCAGGAGGAAAGTTAGGTTCAAGTGCTTGTGTCAGGTGAAGCACAATGAGGAATGAGGAATTGAAACCAGAATGCCTAAAACAGAAGAAATGTATTACTTACAGGTACCAGAGAGATTAGGGGTGCTGATAGGAAGTCATCAGGAAATCTGGAGGCAGCAGGGAGCTCAACCATCAGGTGGAGAGTGGGAGAGAAAGAAGACCTGTGGGACTTTGCCCTTATCAAGGGCGCTAGTCCTTAGGTTTTCCCATGGGAGCTGTGAATTGGCTACTTTAAAGAAAACATAGCCAGGCTGTGTGTGGTGGCTCATGCCTGTAATCCCAGCACTTTGGGAGGCCAAGGTGGGTGGATTGCTCAAACTCAGGAGTTTGGCCACCTAGGCAAAATTGGCAAAGCCCTGTCTCAACAAAAAAAATACAAAAATTAGCCAGGCATAGGGGTGTGCTCCTGTGGTCCCAGCTACTCAGGAGGCTGAGGTGGGAGTATTGCTTGAGCCTAGGAGGTTGAGGCTGCAGTGAGCCATAGTCACACCACTGCACTCCAGCCTGGGTGATACAGTGAGACCCTGTCTCAAAAACAAACAAAAATGCAAAGTAGGGGATTTTTTCACATAATTCTGGTGTTGACAATTAGATATTGACATCATAATCAGCAGCTATGGAATGTGTTGGGTTTTGGGTTAATGAGATGAGGAACAAGTGGGCTATATTAAAAATAACCACACAGAAAAAGTTTTAATGAGGCCAAAGGTGACAGGGTACAACTGGGTTTCAAAGAACTTATGTCAGGCCCCAAATATTGAAGCCAATGCAGCAACTATGTTTAACAAATTTATGACATTCTAAGAGTTTTATAGTTTTGTGTTTTATGTTTGGGTCTGTGAGCTGATTTTTGTGAAGGGTGTAAGGTCTGTGTCTAGATTCTTTTTTTTTTGCATGTGGATGTTTAGTAGTTCCCGAAAAGGCCATCTTTTATCCATTGTATTGCCTTTGTCAAAGATCAGTTGTCAAAGATCAGTTGACTATATTTCTATGGGTCTATTTCTGGGCTCTCTATTCTG